>NC_000007.14:12740242-15240242 GCF_000001405.40 Homo sapiens | reverse complement strand
TCAAACTTAACTTGTCGTCCTGTATTTTTATTTTTTAAATATGGCAAGCCTAATATGAAGAGACCTAACACACCAGGTAGTTAGCATGTATTGAATAAATAGATGTTTATTTCATTATATTACCCCTTTGATGTAGCTTGATTGTTAGGAAAAAGCATGTTTCTCTTTTTGACGTTTCTATTGGCAGCAGAAGTTACTGTTTCGTAATGAGTTGCAGCAGAAGTTGTTGTTTCATAATGAGTTAAAACAATGACAAAAGATAAAGCAACAAGGTATTTGCAAGGGAAAATGCTAATTTCAAAATGCATGGATAAGGAAATACACATGTGGAAACAGCGTGTCCTTACATGTCCTAGACAAAATCATAAGGTCTGCATTTAAGGCTGAAAACCGGTGAGGCTCATTAAACAGTGTTATTCAGTTCAAGTGTGTTCAAAATATGTTCACCTACATATTTTTAATATGTAAGTGTACTTAATAAGTGTACATAATAAGAAACACCTACATAGAGTTGATTGATAGCAAATGAAATTGTAAAACGCCCTGATTGATTTACAAATTATCCTCATTGGCTTACTAACATAAATGGGGCTTTAAACTCATACTGAAATGTCAACCTTGGAAAGATAAATTATACAGGCACACTGCTTTCAAATAACAACACGAATTGCTATAGGGTTCTTTTAAGTAATGTAGAGAACCACATACCCATATACACTGTTGGACATTGAAGACAGAATTACCTAACCTTCATAGAGATTGCTATATATGGTAACATGACTTAATTATTCCATTGTTTTCTTCAGCATGATTTTACTATCCCTGGAGACTCTAACCCAAGCAACTTGCTTAATATTTCATAACAGGAACTTCCCAATCAATCCATCTGCAATGGAACTCATTAGCAGACACTTTGTACCCTAAGTTTTAAATCCTTTGCATCAAATATCATTATCTAAACGTTCCTATGGATCCTATACTGTTTGTATCTTGATGTTTACCTGATCCTAGCCAAGTCACTACTGCAAAACCTCTCATTGTGATATTTTCCCTTTGAACAGTAAGCAACAATCTCAGCCTTTTCTCATCAACAAGTTGTGTTGATGGTGCTTGGAGAGCAGGCATTCAATAACATTGAGGGCACAGATCTAGAACCAGACTTCCTGAATTTAAGTTTTAGGTTTGCCAGGTACTACCTTCATGACCTTGGAAAGGTTATTTATTCTTTCTGTGCTTCTGTTTCCTCATCTGTAAAATGGCGGATAATACTTCAAAAAGTCATTATGTGCAATAAAAAGTTTACATATGCAAACAACTTTAAATAGCGCCTGCGCCTGGTGTATAGTAATGGGGGTACATATTATTAAAAGTTATGTTTTCCTAGTACATGTATTTTTTATATTTCAAATCTGACTATACTTATGACTTTCTATGACATTTTATTGCATAAAAGGGATGCATTTTATTTATTGTAATAGAATGTAAAATTGGAAGTTTTCCCTTAATTGGTGCAATTTGTACTTTCTCCATTTCTCTGAACATTGGCCTTAGAATTTCCTTCATTTTCCACATATAATAATTTTAATTTATATAATCCTTTTTGCCTTTGTGTTTTAACCTATTTCTATAGCCTTTAAATTATTAATAAAATGAAAAATTAAAATTTTTAAAATTATTTTAATTGCTATATTAATATTATAGTTGTACATATTTTGGGAGCACATGTGATATTTTGATACCTGTGTATAATGTATAATGATCAAATCAGGATATTTGGGATATCTATCAACTCAAATATTTATTTTCTTCGTGTTGGGAATATTAAACACAATTTTTTCTTCTAGCTATTTCAAAATATTCAATAAATTATTGTTAACTATAATTTTCACCTGGAACTTTTGAATACTATAACTTATTCCTTCTGTTTAACTGTATTTTTGTATGCCTTAAGAAATTCCTAATATAAATAATTGGAAATATTATTTTCTTTAAAAATACACACACGTGTGTGTATTGAAAAAGAAAAATTGCCACAGACACTTGTTTTAAATGCCTATGAAAAAGTTATTCAAACTATTGATATAAGGGTCAATACTACTGAAAAAAAGAGAGAAATTGACCTCAGCTCCAATGGAACAAAAAGCAAGTGGGTTTAAATGCTGGGGAAAATTAATAGAAATGCACTGTAGGTCATTAAGGGAGAGGCTGGTCAATGTGATTAGGCCATCTATGTTTGCTGATGTGGGACTAATCAAAGTTAGGCTTCTACCTTCCCACAGAAACTGGGATAAATAAGAGCCCTGTCTTTCCTGAGGTACGGATCTCTGAGAAAGACTATATGGAGTTGTAAAATTGTCAAGAAGTTGAAAGAAGGTTTATATTCAAAGGGGCAGAGAAATAATTTACAATTCTGTTTTCTAACATAAGAAGAGAAAGGTTAGGAGGGAGGTTGAAGCCTACAGTCAAGAAGAAAGCCTGTCTACACTTTGGTCAAGCTGAGGTGAACGTTAAGACTGTGTTGGTCAGTATTTGTGTATTTGTGTGTGTGTATTGCTATCATTTAAAGGGCAATTATAGGTATTTTAAACCCACAAGGGAAATGTTCATTCTAACTTTTATCTTGATTTATTATAGAAGGATATCTTTTAGTTTCCCTGCTCTCTCATATTCTACCTTCTGAAACAGACTTTAAATTCTGTAGTTTCATGTGGTGAGATTCCACATGTAAATTATTCTATTGGCCAAGAAAAAAAAAACACTCTCTAGGTCTAACCGAAGTATATTCTGTAGACATTGTAACAGAACTGTGGGCAAAATCTTAAAGGGTCACTAGACCTTTCTTATTCCATAAATGACAAACACAGGAAATATAAAGAAAAGAAAGCCTGCATGAGCTTCTTACCTTCCTTTGTGCTACTTTCATCTGTTCTAGTGAAAATGTTTCTGAAAACACTGACACAAGCCTGACCCTCCAAAGAAGAAAGAACATATAACATGGTAAACACAATTTCTCCACGCACACTTACTGGATCTCAGCTGCTGCTTCTGGAATCTGCTTCCTCTTGTTCTCTGTCTACTGTCTGGTGTGAATATATGCACATACGGAGCTGCACAGCAAAATAATCTTTAGGGAAGTTCCAAGAGTTACAAAGCACATTTGAGACTGATTTCACAATGCTTACTTTAAAAAGGTATTCAAAGGATCTTTCTTTGCCTCAATAATAAAGGTTTCATCACTTTTTACATTTTTTATGTTTGTTTGAGTACTATTTTTTATTTTTATTTTTTTTACCAATTTCTTTTGTTTTACCAACACTTTTATTTACCAGTTTCTTAGATGGCCGTTTCTTAGTTGATCAGGTTTTAGGTCAGAGGTGTGCTTGTCATGCCCTTCAGTTTGGTTGTCATATAATCATAGTATCAGGTGAGCTTTTTAATCACTAACTAGTAACTAGACTCCATTTTTTTTTGTTCTTGTGGTTTGTTTGTTTGTTTTAAATTAGGCAACTTCCAGTAGATAGCAATGAGAAGTCACCCTAATCTGCATCTTTAAATCATATATCCTCAACATATATCTTACTCATCTTTCAGTTGATCAGATCTTTCAATAATATCATCGATGACTGGCCTGTTTAAGCTATTAATTTACACATTTCAGCCTTATAACTGATTATTGTCTCTGTATATTTCTTATGTCCATGTCGAAGCAGGGATCTTGAAACAGCATTGTCACATCTAACATCTGATGTAGATAATTCAAGACAGAGTTCTTTATCTTCCTTTGCCACACTTACCTAGCAAAACTACTTCCCTTTTGTTACTGACATATTTGTTAATAAACACATAATCATTATATGTCCTCCTTCAAATTCATTAAAAAAGGAGTCATGCTTATAAATTATAATGTAGTTTTTATGTAGTTTAATGTAAATGTAGTTTTTACAAGATCTATAAAATGGTATCTTACTATATAAAATCTTGTTAATTATTTCTAGACAGAGTATTATTCAACCACCCCAAACTGATAGAAATTTACCTTTTCCTTAAGAATTATTGCCTTCAGTTACAGAATCATTGCAATGTCTTTAAATCTTTATACATGAACAATATTTTCCAGTGTGTAACCTGAATTCCTTGTGCTTTCCCCTCTTGCTCAGGAAATAGAGAACAGTATATCATTTTCCTTTATTTAATATTTCTTTATAGCATTTGAAGTGTATTTTAAACTTGCTCTTGAGGTCCCATCCACTAATAATAATGTTTTTAAGAATCTGTCTGTAAAGTAAACCAAAGGGCAGAGAAGAATAAGCCACGCTTGGTGGGGAATTTCTGTAGAATTTCCTGATTTATTCTTAAAAAGAAAATGATGCAAATTTTGCAGTCTGAATCACAACATTAGCTTGCTTACATTTGTTCCATAAAAGTAATGTTTTGAATTACTTTCCAAAGTGAATTGCTTCCTTCTTCTATCCAAAGAGAGTTAAATTGAGAAAAAGTCACCAGTGTGGTTTCTGGGCATTTCGACTGCATGCCCCCAAAGGTCTACAGCTATTAGTGGCTATAACAATCCCTATCTCTATTTTCTTTCTTTAGGATCTATTTTCTGAAACAGTAGTTAATTTAGTCTCTAAAATACAAAATGAATCAGAACGGCCTATTTCTGATCATAACTATACAAACAAGAACCAGTACTTTCCGTCTTTGTGTTAGTCGTCTATGAACAGCATCCAATTTGAAGAGAATTTTTAATTATAATACTCTGAATCAAACTTACTCACTAGTGGATAAATGAAGAAACCTTAAATTTCAACCTTACTTGATAAAGCAAATAGTTGAATTCCATTTTAAGTAATTAACACTCTAGTCATTCAGTGGACACTTACTACACATTCGCCATTCTCTCAAAATTTTGCAAAATTCTAGGGACAAAAACACAAACAAGGTCTTTGTCTTCATTAAGGAAAGCGCCAATGGGGAAGACAGTGTGTGTACATAATTTCAATACAGTGAGAGTCATGTTTAGATATATATATATTATAGATTAAGAGAGATTATAAAAGAAATGTTGGATAAAACACAACTCAAAGGACCCGGGGGAGAGTCTCAGAGGAGGATCTTTTTGAGCAGAGGAGGATCTCTTTTTCTATAGATTTGCAGAATCTATAGAAAGAAGAGGGAGTCATTCAAGGCAGATGAAGTTTTCAGCAAATGGTATGATATGCTCAGAGAACTGCAAGTATCTTAGCATAGCAAAACCATAGGGTAGGAGAAGATTAGGAAAAGCTAAAACGGAAAAAGTAGGGAGAGACCAGATCTTTATAAATTTATGTTGTAAATCAAGGGTCTGTAGCATGTCTTTTGTTTTTGTACTGCACACAAGCCAAGAACACTTTTTACATGTTAAAATTGTAGAATAAAAGTCAAAAGAAGAATAATATTCAGTGACATATGAAATGATGTAAAATTCAAATTTCAGTGATCATAAAATTTTATTGAAACATAGCAACTCCTCTTTGTTTACAGACTGTCTATGGTTACTTTTGCACTATCATGGCATAGTTGAGTAGTTGTGACCAAGACCATATGGCCTGCTAAGCCTGAAATATTTACTAGCTGTTCCTTTTCAGAAAAATGTTGCTGACCCCAGCTATAGATCAACAACTTTAAGATTTTATGCTATAAGAAAAACACAAAAACAAAACAAAACCAAAAAGAGATTGGGTTTTAAACGTGGGTGTGTCATTAAGAGTTGTTTTGTAAACTTGTTCTCTTAGCGTATCTTGAAACTAGTTTGCATGTAGGCAAGACCGGTATCCAAGTGAACTAAGCCATCAGCAGATAAAGGAGTCAAGATATTTTTGGACTTTTGCTGTGTGGGGGAAAGTGAGGAAGATATAGAGAAAAATGTGACACTAACCTTGGGAGAGATAGACATTTACACAGAATAAGGGTCTTAGGAATGGCAAGGAAATAGCTAAGTCCCCTTTGAGAAAGGTAATCATGAACCTCAATTTGGAAGATTCAAGTTATTATTTATCTGACAAACATAAATTTACTTGTGGTCAGAAAGCAAGTGGATGGAAGGACTATATTTAATCTCATTTTCGGAAGTTGTAGTCAGTAGTGAAGTTTCAGGTGAAGATTTATTTCGACCTGTTCTTCTCTAATATTTTTTGTTATTGTTTGTTTGTGTTGAGACGAAGTCTTGCTCTGTCTCACAGGCTGGAGTGCAGTGTGGCGCCATCTCGGCTCACTGCAACCTCCACCTCCGAGGTTCAAGTGATTCTCCTGCCTCAGCCTCCCAAGTAGCTGGGATTACAGGGGCGCACCACCACGCCCAGCTAATTTTTGTATTTTTAGTAGAGACAGGGTTTCACCACGTTGGTCAGGCTGGTCTCGAACTGACCTCGTGATCCACGCGCCTCAGCCTCCCAAAATGCTGGGATTACAGGTGTGAGCCACTGCACCTGGCCTAATATGTTCTATAGTATCTTAAATTCTTACGTTTCACCAGAATCATTTGTGATGTGCCCAACTACATACTGCAGCAATGTGTGTTATGTGGGCTTTAATCGCTTTGCTCCTAAATCCGTTTCCTGACTTTTTCATGCTTAAGTACATGGACAATGCTGTGTAATCATCACCACTATTTCCGAAACTTTTCCATCATCCAAAGGGGGGAAAAAAAAAAACAACTCTCTGTAACCATTAAGCAATAGCTCCCTAGTCCACCTCTCCCCATTCCCTGGTACCCTCTACTCTCTGACATCATTTTTGTAACTGCTTCTCCGTATTCGAATCCCTCCCTCAGTCTCCCTGGAGAGGGCTGTGTTTTTCTGCCTGGATCTTGGATGATACACATATGTTCAAGGAATCACTTCCTGTGACTCCAGGAAGTGAGTGTGGTTCCTAATACCCAATCCAGCCAAGTGTTTACACTATCAACCTGTGGCTGGTAATTTAGATGGATTCACGATACCTTACAGATTTTAACATGCTTTTCATAAATCTTCTTAACAGTAGTCCAAATTAAAAAAGTAATGTCCTCATGTGGAAATTTATAGATTTTTAAGGCTACTAATTCCCTTTCTCCTTCCCTGGTGTCTCCAATTTATCTCTTAGAATTCTTGCCTTTTTTTGCGGACAGTTAATATGAATCAAACCTACATGGCTATTTCTTAGAATAATAGTATGATTTTATAATGGGATGCATGGCATAAAATTCCATCTATGCAATCATTTTATATTTTATAGCCTCTGTTTACTCTTTAAAATGCTTTGTTCAGTTTTCTCTTAGAACTTCTTCATTCTTTTTCTCCCTCTTTTACCCTAAATTCCTTTCCTCCTACTTGCTGTTGCTAGGACTATCTACTTTTGTGATAGCTTAAACCAGATGGAGTTTTTTCTTTAGTTTTTGTGTGTGTGTGTGTGTGTGTGTGTGCGTGTGTGTGTGGTTTCCATGTTTAAAGTTAAATATTGGTGTAATTGCTGTATTTTTATAGAGTACTGAAGTGTTGAATTGTAATTGAGGCAATTTTGTTGGGTAAAACTTCCTTTGATTCGTATTCTACTCATTGGCAGATGTTTTATTCATGGCTGTGTAGCACACATTCTTTAAATTTTAGCATAGACATTCCAATTTATAAAGGCAGAACTCTTTTCTTCATAATGTACTTTGACATTCATTAACTGATCACTACCAGCTCTTCTCCAATCCTCTTGTCCATCAAATTAGCAGTGGTGCAAGGCTCACATTTTTATGCCGCATGTATTCTGATATATTGATATAAGATTAAGGCAGTTTGGTTTACTAAGAAAGAACGTTGGCACAAGAACAGTGGGGAGAAGGAGAGAAGGAAGAAGGGGGAAAAGGGAAAAGCTATCTTTTACTTCTGAAAGCTATGACCTTGTGCAAGTCACTTAGCTTCACAAGCCCTGTTTCCTAAAATATTGTGGATACTTGTGGCACCTCCACTTCCCATGTCTTGTAAGAAGGAGATTGAAATTTCTAGCCAGAGTCTTGGGATACTGTTGTACAGAGTGAGCAAATGGATAATGTAGAGCGTAGGCAAGGGAAGATTTCTTGCATTGAAAAGATCTCTTTAATAGTTGAGGAAACGAGAAGAAAATCTTCAGCAGGTGGGAGGATGAGAAATAAAAAATCGCTTATGATTTTGTGAGAGAGATTGAAAACAGATACAATTATATGACAAATATGACTTTGGGGAGAAATATGGAAAATTAGCAATTTTAAAGAGCATTTTAAGAGCATTTTGTTTTCTGTGCATAACCCACCTTTGGCATTTTTCTAACAATCTGTGATAAATATATAAGTAACTACTTTATTATTTTTTATTGTCAGATTTGTGTTACTTTGACCACTCCTGTTATACCTGAGCCACAAAGCTGCACAGCTTTGTACCAGCCACATATGAAAACAGGTGCAAAAGAAAGGGAAGAAATAGGTGTTGAAAATCACATTATATCATTTTACCCTCACAGAACGCTGCAAGACAAGTAACATTATCCTTACAAATAATTTAGTAATGCCTAGAAGATCTATAATCTTAACCCAGGTCTGACTAGCTCCACTAGAATTTGCTTTGCAAAATGGAACATTCATATCAATTGATTATGATCATTCATTATGCAAAGCTATTGAATAAACACTGTCACATGCTTTCTCAAATGGTGTGATGTGTAACACATTATTTGATTTTAAACTGACATTATAAAATATAACGCAAAATTTGCATTGTGTTAAATACAAAAGGGAATTTCAAAGAAAGCTCATGATATGAGGGATGCCAATTTGATCTATGCTTTGAGATAGGGAGAGAATGTTGGGGCCCATGGAAGAATACATTGACTCACTGCTGGGGAAGTGAGAGATAAGTATAGAAGCAGAGTCCATCAAACTATCGTATTCATAAGTTTTGATTGTCAAACAAAAAGGACAAAAAGACATTGGAAGTGGAGCAAGCTTCCCAATGAAATAGGACCACATCCCTGTCCTACTGCAACTTCCATTTGCCCTACTAGAACCATCACACTGATATATTTAGGAATTACGGAGAAATTAAGCAGGGGAGTGGTGGCAGTCTATATTTTGTTACACTCCAGAAAACTCTTCTGATGAAGCTCTAAATTGAAAATGAACTTGAACTTGGTTCACTATCATGATCTAGGACTCAATAAGCTGAGAAAGAGAACTGAGCCACCCTGAATTAAAATAGCTGATTAAAGCAACAAGCCAAAAATGAAAGAGTTAAGCATTAATGGTGCAGTGGAATAAGCAAGAGTTTAACACCAGAGAAAGTGATGACTTCCCTCGTTCCATTTCCCCCATGGAAGGACACACAGTTTGAGGGCCAATGGGATGAGCAGAGGTACTGCAGTCTTCTCAATATTGAGGGAGTCCCAAACAAAAGGCTCTAGGAGTTTCATGGATTCTGCGGTGGGGAGAGAGCAAAGGGGAAGAGCGAGGAGTGAGAAGTACTGTGGACCGAGTCAGAGTGGGGAAAAGTGTCTTTGAGATTTCTCTCTCTTTCCCTTATAAGGAGGTTTCTGCAGAGCCACCTGAAAAAGACTTCTGCACAAGGCCTCAGATAAAGAGACCTAGGAATGAAATTGCCTGTACTAGAAATGTAAATATGTCAAAGAGCATGACCCAACAGAGGGCCTGAGTCTTTTACTGAAAATATCTTCAGAATCTGTGATACACTCTCTGTGCACCAAGTCTGGTGTGAGGAGGGGAGCTTCCCCTGTAGGACTTGCCATAGGACAGGTCCCTGACATAGGTCCCATGTGGGACCTGTCAGGCCTTTGTAATTGCCTAGATTCAAGTAGGATTTTCCCAGGAGATGAACTCCTCGATTGTATTTATGGGTAATTTTTTTTTTACCTTAAATTTTGCAGACAACCAATAAACTTGTAACTGTAAGGGGAAAAAATGTAAGCACTTTTATACTCTTGCTAAGAAAAAGGGCTTTTGTCTGGTTTCCTCCATTTCTGTCACAAAATTTTCAAAACTTCTGTATCCAGCCACCAATATGCTGCTGCTGGTATTACTGTTTCTTCTTATTTTCCTCCTCCTCTTTTCTTTTCCTTTGTTGTAAGTCCTTTAATGGGGAAAGCAATAATTTAAGAAAATTTGGCTTGAAATTTTGTATGTGCCTATGTGTAGACATTTATTGTTTTAAAATAAGAAATTAATGTAAATTGTATAAATTATAATTTTAATTTTGTTTCAATGAATTAAAATGAGAAATATGGCTTGTATTAAGTATTGTTGGGAGTTACAAGATGACAATCGGAGGCACAATCACAAAGTATTAGATAATGTTTCTAATTCCTTTTACAGAATAACATCTAGTACATTTTGAATTCTACAGTATCAAATATCTTATTAGGAGATGTGAGCCTCCCACTTGGTTTGATTTGCAGAGCACACAAATACTTTGATCTAATAATTATATATATAACTAATTATTTATATATATTATAATATATAATTTATATATAATATAATATATATATAAATAATTAGTTATATATATGTGTATACTTCGCATTTTCCCATAATTCTTATAAAGGAATCCATTTTTAATTTGAACTTGAAATGGGTGAAAGTTTTGTGAAGTTGGCAAAAAGTTCTCACGTTTTTCCCCTGTACTGAACTCACTTTTCAAAGGGTTATTTGGCATTTTTTATTTCTTCTTTCTTTTTTTTTTTTGGAAGGATGAGGGGATGTGTAGATGGGGAGAAGTTTCTAGTTGAAGTAGTAAGAAAGTAGCGAGACAAAAACCCCACCTTGTGAGGATAGCTTTTATTTATTTTATTTTATTTTATCTTATTTTTGTATTCGAACCCTTAGAATCCACCTTTCATCTTAAATATATTATCCCTAGTAGTATGAACACTGTGTGAAGAAATTTCATAAATTGAACATGTGCCATGTTCGTATATACTCCCTCTGGTTATAGACATGATAAAATTATCAATGAAATTCCCTAATTTGATCCCAAAGTGAAGAGTTGTTGTCCAATGAATCATTTGTGTTTGTCGGAGGCAACATTGTAGCTAATGGAGCAGGAATGGGACCCAGATGTTTTCTGAAAAGTTGGTTGAACTGGAGGCAGGGAGCATTACCTAAAGTGTAGGCAGCCATATGGAAGTAAAGGTTGGAAACATCCCATTACAAGTCATATATCACTGGTCTGACAGCAGGAGTTTCAGCTTGTTTTTATTTAAATCCTGAAAGCAGCTGCTCAGCTGTCTAGCTGTATTAAATTTAACCCCTTTTCCTGGCAGTCGAACTCAGTAATTTATGCAATTTTGATTGGACCACTGCGTAAATATCATTTGGAGAGCTTTTACTTATTCTTGTCCCTTAAATTTACATCCAGATCCATGATTGGCTAATTTTTCTCCTGGATGAGAATGCCTACAGATAATGCACCTGGCTGAATCTATCAAAACAAATCACAGAGGAATACTATAATTTCAGCTTTGGCAGATAACTACTATGGCAAAACATGAATAAATGCCAGATCATTTTTTAAGTGATCATTTATATCTCTTGGTATATTTTACTTATTTTACTTTAGTTATTTTGTTTCCTTCCTCCTTTTCTCTTAATGACTTGCTCTTTCACTTTTCTGTCCTGCATTTGCAATATGTGATTCTGCCTAACCCTTCATATTTTATTTTCTCCTTGTGTACTCTGGCTGTTTCAGTTGACTCCTTCACAACTATTTCTCCAGCCCATTTTGTTCAACCTTCCCTTACTTCTCCTTCCATACATCTCTCTTTCTTCATATTCTGCCTTCCTTCAAGCTCCTTTAAGCTCTATAGCTAGCAAGATTGTTTTAAATTACATTTCCTTGAGCTCTATGAATCTTGTAGATGTTCTATGCCCTATGTGGAGTATTTTTATCGTTTGGAAAGCCTTCAACTCAGGTTTTGACCACGTGTCACTCAAACTACCTGTTAATTTAAGATGGATTTTTTTTAATCACTTGCCCACCAAAGTAGACTTCTACTATTATCTGTTGGAAAAGTGTAGACTTTAATTTCCTGTGGAGAGAAATACTATGGAAAGAAAATGGAGTTTTATTCCAAACAATAGGAGTGTTAAAAGAAAAACTTTAAAGAAATTAAAATAAGCAGAGTTTATATGCATGAATAAGAATTCATGAATCAGGCAGCACCCTGTCCCAGTAGAAGTTCAGAGAGCTCCACCCAGCAACATGGGCAGTCAGTATTCTTACTGTGTAAAAGGGGATCGCTGCCCAACACACGAGAAGCCAATACTCTAATACCAAGCTTTTGAGGAAAGAAAAGCTTTGTATTCTAAGTTGACCTACAAAGAGGCAGAAGTCCAGTTCAAATCTGTCACCTTGTGCTGATTTTAAGTCATTAACTTTATTAGAAAAGGTTTAGAGGGTGGATTCTGGAACTAGTAGTTGATTAGTAGAAGGAAAGGAAAAGTCTGGAAAGTCAAAGTCCTTGGGCATGTGTACTTACTGTTCATGCTACCTCATGGATGATACGTGTAAATTCAGGAGGCGTTACCGTGAAACATGCAGTGGAAATTCCAGCCATAATGTCAGCATCCTTATTTTGTGCAGACTCCAGTTGGCCATATTGGTCCCAAGTGATTTTAGCCAGTTGTATTTTATAAGCTGAGGGAGTTTTAGTGTTTTTGTAAGTTGCTTCTTTTTTTTTTTTTTAATCTGCCATCCTATAAACTCAAGAATTTATATTTGTCACCGTTTTCACCATTTTGTTGTTGTTGTTGTTGTCATTGTTGATATATTTGTTTGTTTAACTCTTTGGGGCACAGTTTCAGTATTTATAGGTAGAAACTGGAAATAACCATATACACAGCTTGATTGGTTACAGCGTTGCCTTACATGGACATGGTTGATCAGTAGGCAGCTTGTGATTGGCTGAAGTTTGCTTGATGTGATTGGCTGAAGTTTGCTTGATGTGATTGGCTGATACTCAGCTATTTGTTACTGAGAATATACTCTTATGTTAGACTGCAATTTGGTTACGTACTAAGTTAAGTTGCAGTTTGGTATGCAGGAGTTCAAAGTTAAAGGTGGCTTTATGTCCAATTTAATTCAATTAAGCAAGAAAAAAACAATAAAATCGAGGTAAGCTGGTTCTAGGAAAAAGATGAAGTTAAGGAAGAGACTTTTGCGTTTGTCTGGATTTTTCAAGTAATTACTCAGGAAATAACGCAACATTCTTCCCTAACCATAATTAAGAGTCTTTCTCTTCTTTTCTCTTATAGGTGGTATTTTGTTGGAAATACTGACTTTGAGAGATACATTTCTTGCATTTTCTTTTTACTGATTTTATAATGACGTTTTCTGCCAGACTATTTTTCATGAATATAAAAATTCTTCAGACAGTGACTTTAATAGTGAGTTATATCTGTAATTTTCAAGATCCAGTGTTGTCCCCATGAAATAGTTAGAAATCAAGGTTTGACAATAATTGAATGTACTGTTGGGTGCCAAAATGATTTGCTGTGGGTCAGTGAGCTAGTTGACATTCTTCAGGACTGTTTTCTTCAGGGTTAATAATAAAGGTCTTATGCAGAGAGAGTATTTCTCTTTAAGCTCCATATCTGCCTAAACAGTACTTCTAACCCCATATTTCTACTCTTTAAAAATTTAGCATGGCTTCATATGCTTAGTCATGGACTGGAAAATCAAGGATTATTTGTTAATGTGGGGTCCATAGAAAATTCTGTTGTAACTGATTTTGTATCTACTATTTTCTCATTAGAAATCAACACAGAATGTCCTTTTCAGAACTGGTGTCAGAAAAATATTGTCATCTTAAAGCTTAACTGACTTTTCTAAGGTCATGTCTGACATGGCTAAACATCAGAGTCCTTGTAATTCAGAACCTAATTGGTTTTATTCTCATACATAATTTTCTTGTTGCATTGGTCTGATTTAGATATGGAGCTAGTTCAGTGATATTTAAAATACAGAGTTTGTTATCAGATGCCATGAAAAGGTAACATAGAGTTCAAAGTTCTGCTTTTTGGAAATCCTCCAAGCTCAGGTTTGATAAGATTTTAGCCAGTAAAATCTAAGGTGAGAAAGGCTAGTTTTTCTTAGGGAAGGTGATGAACAGGACTGGGGCAAAGAAAGCAACGATAAACTTTGGCCACATTTACACATCTGAAACATGAAATGAGAAACCACACATCATCATAGAAGCTGATTTATCTCTTTTATTTTTTCAATGAATATTTATTTTAAAATGTACTGTGTGTCAGATAGATAGTGGATTAGATGCCAAGTTGCCAGGGTAAGAAGAGAATTATGAAAAAAATGTCAAAAACAGCCACAGACTGAATATAAGAATTTGAATCTATCAGATTAATCAACTCTTAAATATTTAAGAAAATGTGTTTACTATGTCTGAGCTTGTTTTTCCTAAATATTTTATGAACAAAGATATATTTATTTAATCTTATGAGCAAGAAATGACCTTTTACATGAATATGCTAAGTTTTTATTCTGCCATGAGTAACAATCATAATAGAAGCTCAATAATATTAACAGCTATAAAAAAATATTCAACTTAAGTTATTAGTCTGTCTTTTTATCTCTCATATTAATGTAAGTTTTAAAAAAGGATATTACCAAGATTGATGTAGGTGTAATGAGATGTACACACTTTTATACATTTATACTTCTGGTAGGATGGTAAATTTTCACACAATTTTATAATCATGTGAAATAATAATTAAAATTATACTATAATTTTAAAGGGATTTGGAGCAAAACATATTGAGAAAGTTAAAACATTTGTAATCTTTGACATAGTAATTAAAACCACAAAAACATATCATAAGAAAATACAAAGATTAACTGAAGGATATTTTTACAGAGATTACCATCATCTAATTATAAAGGCAAATTTTTAGGAGCATTTGGAATGCAACTTCAGGGGAACGGATAAAAGTTGTGAGCATTCATGCAGTCGAACACTACACAATTGTTAAGAATCTTATTTTTGAAGATTATGCAATCACATGGAAAAATGTTCGTCTGATGGTAAATAAAAATCTGTATCAAACAATATATTTAGTATAATTTTAACATGAACTAAATTTTAAAAAGAAAGTGAAAGAAAAAAGAAAAAAAAGACTGAAAGAAGTATACCAAATGTTAATGATGTCTCCCCAAACTCTTCCTTCTACCTGTGAATTAGGACATTTATTTTTTATATATAATATTCCTACTGTCCGAAATTTCCACAATCAAAATGCGTATTTTTATCACAAGTTAAAAAATTAAAAATTTGAAATTGTGCCAATATCACTAGATGTGCAATATGAAGCATTTTTTTTAAAATTTGTAAATATAATTAGACCTTGTTGCCTATACTGCCAAATTTGCTAATTGCTTTGCTCCTATTCATGGCCCAAACCATAATTTTATATTTCCTTGGGACAGCTCTATTTAATTAATTGAGTTAGGAAAGGAAAGTGGTTGGTGCTCAAACAATACAAAAGATTTTTCAAGCATAGAGAGTTTCAGGGACATGAGGCAATAAGGGAGGGGTATAAGACATTCAGTGCTTGCCTTAGTCAGTTTGAGTGCTATAATAGGATACCATAGATGAGATGGCTTAAACAACAGAAATTTATTTCTCATGGTTCTGGGGGCTGGAAAGTCCAAGACCCAGGTGCCAGCACATCCAGTTTCTGGTGATAGCCTTCTTCTTGTATCCTCACATTGATGAGAGGAGAGAGAGAGAGAGAAAGAGAGGACAGAGAGACAAAAAGGGGTGGGGGAAGCAAGCTTTCTCTTATCTCTTTCTATAAGTACATTCATCCCATTCACGAGCTTTCTACCCTCATGACCTAATTACCTCCTCATAATACCATCAGTTTGGTGTTAGGATTTCAACATCTGTATTTGTGAGGGTGGACACAAATATTCATTCTGCAACAGAGGTGAAAGATTTGGCTAGAGTATATGGTTGCTGACAAGAGTGTAGTTCTGTGAATCGTATTTTTTTTTTCTTTTACTCATAATCTGATTCCAGAACTCTGGAAACCTGTGCATAGAGAGACTCACCATACCTTCTTAGAAGGAGATGCTCTCTGACTTCTTCATTTAATTTAGATCTCTCTTTATTCTTTTTACCCACATATAATAATTCTGACACATCAGCATAAATAAATGTTACATGCCAGAGGTTCATCATAATAGAATTTTAAATAATAAAGTTTTTACTTGATAGCCTCCAGCCAAGTTTGTTTCAAGTACATATTTTTGGAACATTTCCCAATGAAGCTGTTGATGAAAACATTTGTGACATTGACATATTCATAATTTATTTTAAATTTTGTCAAGGATTAATTAATTGTATAGATCAAGATAATTCAAATTTCATAACAAGAATATTTTTCTGATATTAAGTGTATAATAAATTTTAAATGGATGGGGCAGGTATTAATAAAGATATAGGAAAAATTATGTACTTCAGAGACTATGCATTGTCTAGGTGCTAGAGAAGACTTCTTCATGTAGCAGAGTCTTATTCTATGGGAGTTTTTTATAACTCCAATAATTCTTATATGTAAACATGTAAATTCTGTCCTGTCTAGCCTTAACCCCAATCCCTGTGGAAAAAATATTTCTCCCTTATTGGACATTTAATATTCTATAAATGTGTCTGTTCTTTACATTTTCTTTTTAAAAAGTTATAGCATCTACCTAGTTTCCTCATTGAATAGAATCTTTAACAAATGTTCATTCTTATATCTATATGAAAATCACTTTGTTCTGAAAATTGTATTTTTATAAGGATAAAGGAGCATTTCAATATAATGCAATGATATCACTGAAGCTACAATTTTATCAAAAATTGTACCTGCTAGTTGTCTCTTAGATATCAATAATGATGGTATTTCTAGTAACCTATAGTGTTAATACTAAATTGAACAGCAATAATGATCAAGTCAGAAGTAACAGTTACTATAACACTTCTTACTGTAGGTCTTGAAGAATTTCAGTATTTTATTTAAATAGCCTTTTGAGCACTCACTTAAAATTATTGTGAAATTATTGTATTCTAATTGTTATGATTTATCTACACATAAATCTTGAAGTGGTGTTTGAATTAAATATAAAACTAAACTACATGAAATGCTTCATTGTTGAGTATATACACATTACACACAATCATAGACATGCACACTCATGCATCTGTATTCACAAATCAGTAGGGCATATTTTGAGACATTTTGGAAAAATTGTATATTAACTGCATATTAGATAATTATATTAATGTTAACTACGTTTCATTGATGATATTTTTGTTACGCATGTTGGGGAAAATCCTTGTTCTTAAGAAATGAACACTAAAGTATATGGGGTAAATTTCTAGGTATTTGCAACTTCAAATATTCAGAAATGTTTTGAGTGAGACAGAGAGAGAAAGATAGGGGAAACCACATATGGAAAAATATATGTGGAAAATTGAAAGAGGCTGAAGTATTTGTAGTGCCAAACTTTCCATTTTTCTGTAAGTTTGAAAATGTTCATTATAAAGAAATGGGGAAAATAATTTATTTAACAAATGAAGAGGATAGGTTAATAGACATAACAGTTTCTTCTATAAAGAAATATACAGGTATGGTTGCTAATAACTACTGACCATTTCTAATGACTAGCCAAAAAGCAAGATGACTAACATTGAAAAACATGTTTTTGCTTTAAGGGAATATTTGAGTGAATGCTAAAGATCACGAAATCTCAATCGCTCTAGCCACTCACTGTCTTTCTTTTTCTATCAGTTTTATTTTCAAAATATTTTGAGCTTTTTGTCTATGTTTGCTGTTCATCAGGCTCTAAGTTCATTCTGACTTCCAAAATCAAAAGTTGAGGCTACATTTCAGGTATCTGTGAACTAATTAATTAAATAAATCACCAATTATTGAGTAATGTCAGGATTCTAATACCTAGACCAAAAAAAATCTGTTATTAGATAACTTGTTAAACATTTTGGATTCAGAAATATTAACTCTTCTTCCCAAAATGCTTTAATAAAGTGACTAAAAAGTAGCAAGTTGGACTAATTTGAAGCTTACATCTTGCTTTATCCTCCAATAATAGCATTTTAGACGAAAAGATTTCAAAGGAAAACTGCACGATTATATTAAAGTTTTACTCTCCAAACTGAATAACTAATCATAAGAAAATTATGTAAACACTCTATATGTTTTGTTGTGAAGTTTGAAATAATTGGAAAGTGAAAACGTAATGCTATATAAATATTAAAAATATTTGCCTTTTACATACAGAAATTGTTATGAAATTGGTGAAATTGCACAACATATATCTAACAATTATCTTCTAGTTCACGGATACTGCAATAGAAGAATAACTATGTTTCCTTTGTTGGATTTTTCTCTAGGGGAAGGGCAAGTGGCTATTCCTTGAAGGAAGCAGATGCTTAAATTTAATTTTGTGGATGGTATGTTTAACATTCATTTGAACAATAGTTTTACAAAAAAGAGCTTCCATATGCTCATTTTCTCTTTAAAAGGGATTCTACAATTTCCAGTGTGCCTACAAACAAAAGCCACGTAGCATATCCTGCTTCTCACCAAGGAGAAGAAATATCAGAGTTGACTGCTGTGAAACCAAAACCCTGTACTTGAATTTTTTAGGAGGAAAGGGGATTACGTCTATAGTCACCACTATTGCCCTTTGTCTCAGCAAGGGAAATAAAGAATTTAAAGTGAAAAACAAGGAGGAATTTTTTTTTTAGCCGTGTCATTTTTTTTCTCTCTTTCTGTGATTATGATGTAGGTAAAGTTGTTATTTCACAAAAGGCAGCTTTCTAGCTATCAGCATTATCAGCCAGATTCCAAAGTTTTGCTAGATGACTTACAAGAGCTCAGCCCTGGCTCAAGGAACTGACAGATGGCCTTTACTTCCAGAGGGGCTGGAATAGATTCATGGAAGTCACCCTGTAACTCTGATCCGACACACATGTCCTCAATATCCAGAAGGTAAAAGGGGCCAAATGATTCTCCTACATTTTCGGTGAGCCCACTACCAAGGAGGCATACTGATTGAGAAAACAACAACAGAAAATATTTACATGATTTGCCTCTTTCTCCTTCTTTTCTTGGAGGTGTAAAACAACACCAAGTTATTCATCATTCTGACATCCTCATTGTATTTTCCTAGTCTTCCAACTTTCTTGAATGTTTTTATGATTTTCATTATTTTATAAGATTTACGAATATCATCACAGAAAATAGCATCATCATTTTCAGCCTACATATCTCTTTGAACACCCACTTTATTTAAAATTAGATTAATTTCAGGGGACATAATTAGATTAATTTCAGGGGACAGATTTTTAGATCTGTGTCCTGAAAATATATGCTATTTATGGTAATAATAATAGCATATGTTGTTATTAGCCAATTTCCAGTTCTGGGCTTGGTTTTACAATCGGTTCTAAATTTAAATGGTTTTGAAATAAGGTTAATTTTCTAATAAGATAATTTATATATTCATATTAATAAAATATTACTGGATTTATATTATTTCTGAATAAATATTATTATCACTGTGTCCTTAACATGCACAAGACAGTATGCCAAGCACTTTAAATAGGAACAATTCATATTTGATATTTTTCCAGGCCTTAAAGCACAGTCAGGGCCGGGCATGATGGCTCACCCCTGTAATCCTAGCAGTTTGGGAGGCCGAGGTGGGCGGATTGCCTGAGCTCAGAGTTCGAGATCAACCTGGGAAACACATTGAAACCCAGTCTCTACTAAAAAAAAAAATTAGCCAGGAATGATAGGCGGGCCCCTGTAATCCCAGCCACTTGGGAGGCTGAGGCAGGAGAATCGTTTGAACCCAGGAGGCAGAGGTTGCAGTGAGCCCAGATCCAAGCCACTGCACTCCAGCCTGGGGCAACAGATCCAGACTCCATCTCCAGGAAAAAAAAAAAAAAAAAAAAAAAGGCACAGTCAGGTGGACACATAAGATGTTCAGTTGCCATTATAGCAGTCAGTATGTAATGCAATAAAAGAAATAAGGCAAAAATTCTAAGGACTTAGAGGAAGCAGAGATTATATATTGTATAAAAGAATGGACATCATAGAAGATTCCATGAGCAAGGTATCATTGAGGCCTGCCTTCAAGGACGGGTGGGATTTTAAGAAGTGGGATTGAAGAAAAGAATTAGAGGAAGTGAGTATGAAGGGAGCTGTACAACAGGAAAGATCTGGGGTGTGTGCAGGAAACATGTAATAAGCCATCTGGCTTGTCTGGAAAGATGTTAGGGGATTATCAGGAGAGCATAGATATATTTTCTTAGGTATATACTCCTTGGAGAACTCATTCACTTTCACAGTGTAATCCCCTCAAATCCTTTAAATCCATCTTCTTCTCTCCATCCCCATAGCCAATACTACTTTCCCTCTGGCCACTGTCATCATCAGCTTACTGAGATGGTGTCCTAACAGGACTCTCATCCACTTACCCACTTAGCCAGTCTTCATTCTCCACACCACAGCCTGGGTGCTGAAGAGTAAATCGAATCACATAGCTCCAGGATGAGAACGCTTCAATCACCTATCTTGTCTTACACAAGCCTTATCCTTCTTTACTCTTTACTTGTGCTTCTCAGGATCAGACCTCTCAGAATGTCTCTTAATTTCTTTTAAAAAAAAAAATTGTCTTTTTTTCCTTCCTGGATTGTTGTTTCTGGCCCCAAAACTTTCCTTCCTCCTGTGTTCAGCTAGCAAACTCCTCTTCATCTTTCTTGTCTCACTTTAAATATTAGTTAATGTAATCATGCAATCATCCATTCATAAATACTTAATTGAACAACTACTGTGCTCCAGCACTTCATTCTGCCACTTTCCTTGATTGTCTAGATTATATTAGATGTCTCTACTGCACACAGCACACTGCATTGTAATTGTGCAAAGATCTGTATTATCTGCACTAATTCAAACCCCGTAAGAGTAGAAATGGCCTGGGTGATTATTGTAATTTTATAAATAATTATTTCCTGAATAAGTATTTTAATCTTCACCTTTATGCTAATGAACATTGTGTAGATAATTAGTGCATGGAGGTACTTAATACAAATTTGATCAGTAAATGTATGAAGCTACAATACTTTCTCTTATCTAACATGATTCTGACAGCTTTACCTGACTTGTTCTCCTATTTAATTCATATTACATATTTTAACTTTTATTATGGCATTATCCTTCAAAGTCATTGAATAAGATTCACCTTATTCAGTCTAGCACTGAATAGCCCCATAGATGGACTTCTCTTTCAATTTTTCTGTTAATTCCAAATATGTTGAAAAAGAGTCAGGCCTGTCTTTTCTACCAAAAGGTTGATTGTGGACTGTGTGCACCATGCTTCAACTGAGTTAGTCTTTCTTCTTGCCACCTCGGGTCTGATCTGTCTCTCAGGCCAGCAGGAATATCACCTGTATTCTGAAGCTTTCCTGACCATTCACAGGTCTTGTTGAACTCTTTTTTTAAATTAATAAGTATTTTTAAACTATATATTTTTTCAAAAATACAGAAAAAATAAAATATCCAAAATTGTATATTAGCCAAGCTTACAGAGAGTTAATATATTTTAAGATTTTTTTTAAAGGAAATGAATTTTTTATCTGAACATTGGAAGCCCACTCCCTTCAACCACATTCTTTTCCTTCCTGTCCATTGCAATCACTATGTGAACTAACCACTAAAAGAACTGAAAGAACTGTTGAAAGAGTCATCATTAAAAGAACTAAAACATATGGCCCAAAATCGTAAAACAAAAATTCACAAAATACACACACACACACACACACACACACACACACACATACACACACCATAGTCAATATAGTATTAATGTCTCTCATTCCTCTGAAGGAAGATATAGTTCTATTCACTATATATCCTTAATATAGCAGCCTTCTGCTTTTTAAAAAATTACATAAATAATTTCACACTGTTACATTTTCACTCAAATTTGTTCTTGAAATTTCTCCACATTGGAATATGAAACTTCATTTTCATTTTTATCATCTACAGCATTTAATTGTTTGGATATATTACCGTTTATACGTCTTTTTTCTTATTGATAAATTTAATAATTTTCTTTCTACAATTTTACTTGTATCCCTCAATTTTGATATGCAGTATATTCGTTGTCATTTAGTTTTATTTAATAGCACCAAACCCCCAGGACACACAGTTTACCTACATAACAATTCTTCATATGTACCCCTGAATCGAAAATAAAGTTAAATAAATAAATAATAATATTTCTCATAAATTATGGCGAACAATAAATTAACAGTGTGCCATTTATATACCAGTATTTGGTCTTTAGTAATTCTATTTTGCTTTCTATTGTTATTTCCTCTCCACCATTCTTCTCATTTACTTTCTTGAATTTCAGTTAGACACACTGTATTTTTCATTTTAACTTCCATATCTCCAAGTATTTATTTTCATCTTGCATTATTTTCTTCTGAGTGATTAGTTTTATTTGCCAGTTCATTGGATTTTTAATTTCAATATCTTATATTTTAATTTAAGATGTTTCTATTTGATGTATGTTTAAATTTACCTGCTATTTATTTTTAGTCCCTTATTTGTTTCTCATTATTTCTATTTTTAATCCCTTTAAACTTAAAACTTACTTTATAATATCTTTCCTGCTTCTTCATTACTTTTTATATTTGTGGTGTAAATTCTCCATTTCTTGCACATATTAAAGTCTCTCTCAAGATGTCTTTGTTTTTCTTGTGTGTGTGCATGTGAGAGAGAGAGACACACACAGAGAGAGAGAGAGATTATGTATGTGTTCATGCATTTAAATTTTTATTATGAACTCCTCCTCAGTTGAGATTGTCAATATCCCTGGGCTTCCCATGTTCCTTGGGATATGGGAACATCTTTACAGTATTTAACATTTCTTTCTTTGGGGGCCCCAACAATTTCATATGACAAATTGTAGAAAGAAAATTATCATTTCCATCTACCACAGCCCTCATAGATTCAAGGTCACATTTCATGGCTCAATTGCAACATCACAACTTCAACTGTATTTCCTTCCTCACCTTCTCGTTTTCCATAGACTCTAGTATTTCTTTTCTTTTAAGGTAAGCTATATATTAGGTATTCAAATGATGTATTTATTTATAGTAAAAGAGAGTTTTGTGTCTGTGAATTAGGACACTTTATGGAAGTCCCAGCCCCTTTGAGGGTGTGAGATATGTACATCTATATTTCACATTGCCAAACATTGTCAAAGGGATTGGGCATGTGTGCATGTGTACACACACACACACACACACACACACACACACTTTTTCTTTCACTTTGTTTCTTGCACTTATATAGGAACGTAATGCATGCTCAATTGATATGTGTTGATCTATTGATCCTAGAGTTCTTAAATCTCCCATGCAGTAAGCAACTTTTAGTTTCATACTTTATATTTTATATCTTAAAAAAACTTGATTTTATTTGACATACACTTGAATTCAGTATGCAATTGGACCAAATGAGTTTTGTTATTATATTGAATTTTAGTGACACTTCATTATTTTTTATCATTATTCTTTAATCTTTTCATTACTACTACAAATGAATGATGCCTATAGAATTCCAGTAGAAAGATTTGGCTTATTCTTTGACCGTGAAAGTTTAATAAATTAACTGTTACAGTGTGAAAATCAAGGCTCTTGGATTTTAGTGTTACTTACCACTATGTTCATTTGTGTCTACAGTTTACAAAAAAAACATAGAAAAAGGAACCCTATAAAATTATAGCAGTGCAGAAAGTGTAGTTTTCTAACGCCCATTAACAATTCCCCAGGAAAGCAGGCAACCCCTCTGTGGACAAGAACAGAGACAGGGTTTGATCACAAAGCCAAAGCCATTAATACTCTTTCTGATTGCTGTTTGGCCTGAAAGTTTGCTAAAAGCATCACAGTCCTAGTTAGACTGTTTTCCAGCTTTTAAATACACTAGAGTGTGATTGTATTATGTGTTGACCCTGATTTATGTTGAAAACCCAGGAACATTTTTTCCAGAAGAAGAGCTTTGTGTATGTGTGAGCCTTTGAGGTCTGGTCCCATCTGAGAGCTGACTGGCTCACCTCAGTGTACTGTTCATTTATTCAGATGGCTTGTTACTAAAGGAGGAATCTTTGAATGACCAGTGGTATTTCAGTGAAATAAATACTGTGAAGCCGATACGGGTTTTTAAAAATGTATCACCATGATGTAATACGTCAGTGCTCAATTATACATTCGCATGCACCTTAAAAAATCCTGTCTCTAGAGAAAAACTGATTGTCATAATACTGCATTTCAATTAAGCCCACATCCTAGGCATTCTGAGTTCCAAATTCCTAAAACCCTCAAGTTAATGTGTTCCATGTTGTGGGGTTAATTTACATAAAGTCTTGGAGCTCCTGCTGCACTGTTTCAAATCTTGGTAGCTTTGATATTCTCCATAGTGCTATACACAAATATTATAAACTAGTTTTCACAAAGACAAGTTATGATTATCAGCAGGAATTAGATTCATACAGCGATCTCTAACCATATAGTACCAAAACAATATGCAGACCCCCTTCATTTTGCAGTCTCTATAAAACACATCTGTTCCACTGTGTGTGTTTTGAAAATTAAATGTACTAATATCATTCCTACTGACCCAGCCGCCAAACTCATGGGGGAGAATTCCGGTGTACAACTCAAGCTGTGTTGAGTCTTCAGGTCTTTGGGGGACCTGGTAACTCACTTCATCACAGTAAAGAAAAAAAAGAGAGGAAAAAAAAGAAAAATAAAATTTCCACATACATGTGCTTTCTTTTGATCAAATTGTGGAGAAATTTAGCCAATTATAATGAATTTAGTTAATATTCCTCCTTGTGAAATTGCCAAGGGCCACAACAGTCTTCTCATTTCAGGATTGTGTAAGTTTCTCTACGAGTCTTGCTTCATAACAAGGAGAACCCTTGTAGTAAATACTCTGTGGTGGACTGATTTATTGCAGAGGATCATCACTGGGGAAAGAAAATGCTAGTATTCGATTTAAAATTAGCTTACTCTACTTATAACAGAAGGTCTTGATATATTACATGTGTTGTGACAGAATTTATACTGGACTCATTCATTTGAAAGTTTGAAATAAAATTTCTGTTGGCATAGGCTCTTATAGGATCACTGCTGTCAAAGATGCACTTAGAAATAGCAAGAGATACAAAAAGATGTAGGCAGTTAAAGCATTGCTTTAAAATAAGCTTTTTATGTCCGAGAAGGCAAACTAAATATTCTTCTGTGTATTAAGATAAAGTAGAATGACATCATTTGTGCATTTAAGCTATTATCAGGATTTACGACTTACCACCAATTGCAAGGTGTATTCCACTCTTTTTTTGACCCTCGCAAAAGCAACCACATCCTTTAAAAATGTATTCGAGTAATAAGGTTCAATATTAAAAATAAAAAGTAGCAAGCCCTACAGATAAGTAGAAACATGTTAGAGCTCCTCATCCATTTTTTTCCTCTGCTCTTTTCCCTTTGACCCAAAGGTAGGATTGGTTTGAATTGTGAGAAACCTGCATATAGACTTTCCTTTGGTTACTTTCCTCAGCCTTGCACAATGGTTCTCAAATTTGAGGGTGTGAGAAAATTGTCATAAAGCGTTTGTATATACAAAACCATGTGTATTATACTTTAGGGGTTATTGAAGGGATTTTCTAGGGTAATTTTAACTCTGCATAACTTTTGCTGCATGTGCTAACTTCAGAAGCTAACCAAAGAGGTCTCTTTTGCTTTTACTTAGCCATGAGAATTATTAACACATTTCTCCAGAATCCATAAAATATACCTTTGACATAATCAGAAACACATTTTCAGCTACAAAGATACTTTCTGAAAATTCGTAGTGTCCCAAAGTGTGATTTTTCTCTTATTCAATATTTAATATTGGTTACAAATTCCCCGTGGATTTGTTTTTACAGATTTTTCATAACATAATTATTTTTAGAAATTCTAGTAATTTCTTCCTCTCTGTCTCTCTCCCTCCTTTATGTCTCATTGAAGAGAGAAATAAACAGCAACAAATTATGGATCATGTAAAAACTAAATATTTTAAAGGTTTAATTTTGTTACTGGATATATACAATACATTAATGGCCAATCTGTGTTTGTTGAACTATAAACACAAACAAGCAAAATGTTTTTACCTGTGAAATTTCTGTTGTCCTTGAAGCACTCCATCATTTACCAGTAACCATCAAAATTGTTCATTTTACATGTTTTTACTTGAGTACTTGCCTTTGCAAAATTTTCATAAGAGTTATTGCTACTGCTGATGCTTTATCTACCATACCTTTGGCAATATCCACTAAGTTATTAGGATATACTTTTGTCTATCCTAACTTTGTAAAATTTTGGGAAGCAGAGTGCCAGGAAGCTAGCTTATCTCCATCGAGGAGATCAGGAATCTTGATATCTAGGAATTGACGATTTTGGAATCTGTCTCTTCCATTCTTTGCCATCCTCTATACATACTTCAAATGTGTGGAGGATGCTTTTATAAAAGGATTTTTCAGGGTTTTTTTACTGTTCAATTACATTATTGTGCAAAAAACTGGGACAAGAACCAATATTTCTGATGTATCCTTTTTATTATAAATTTAAATTTTCCTGGAGGCTATCTGGGGAAATTTATATTTTTTTAATATTGTGTTGGTCATTTTTATTATTTTTTTCACATAATAGAACTGATAATAGATCTTGGAGATTTTCTATTTCTACCCTCGCATTGAACAAATAAACTGCTTGTCCTGAGAAAATAAAACAATTCAGCTATTTGTGACCCAAAGGATGAGAGTCCACATTTCGTGGTGCTCAGCCAATGTTTTTTCTAGGATATCAAACTTTGGAACATAGAAGACTTCTTTATATTTTTGATTGTGGTTTTCAAAAGTGATGGGTGAGAGGATCCATTGAGTTGGAAAAAAAAATAGAATTTTTATTTATACTTGTTTTATCTCATGAATTTTAAAAAAGATCTATTTTTATGTGTGTCATATCAATAATAATTGAACAAAATAAGTTAAATCCAATGAGGGGAAGAACTTCGATGATACATTTTCAATGCCAAGTTTGGAAAACATTGCTGTAAATGCTGATCTAATGTAAATGCTGACAATAATAACACAATATAATCAATTGAAACTACTGACGTTTGTTGATGTTTGCACGTATGAAAGTCTGTAGTAAGTTTTCATGTACCTTATTTAAATTGAACATTGCAACAACTTTGTAAGCTGTTCTTTGTAAGCTCAGTATCTTTTTCAGCTGAAGATACTGAGGCATAGCAGGATTAAATAACTTGCCTAAGGTGGAACTGTAAAATTGACTTCGTTTGTATCCCCAAAATGCTACTCAAAGCACTGAATCATGGTTACTTCAGGGAATACTCTACCTGCTAGATGAAGATGATTCATCGCTTACCCTTGTAAGAACCTTGTTAAGATAGCTGTGCTAGATATGATTCATTTTACAAGTAAGCTAAGTCAGTAGAAAATGTAATATAGTCCTGGGATTGATCTCATTTTAGTAAAATATTTTTCTTTTTTCATTGAATGACAACATTATAAAGATAATTCTACCTGAAGATTTAGAAATAAGGTCTGTACAAATCTAATATATGTTCATGAAAAACTCAGGGCCGTATTACTCACCAGTAACATCTCTGCCAAGAGTGAAAGGCCTGGCATAAAAAAAGAGTGAGATAAATATTTGTGAATGAATACAACCTAATAGAGACTGATTCGATGTAATTCTTTTTATACAACCATTCACCTTTGAAGTAGGTCCCATGCTATTTGTGTGTGTGTGTGTGTGTGTGTGTGTGTGTGTGTGTGTGTACTCCACACCTAACACTAAATAAATAGTGAATGGATAGAATAATGTATTTATTTTAGAGAAATTTGAAGGGTTACTATTTTGTGACTTTAATATGTTAGGTTTTCCTACATTGAGTCTGGACTGAACATTTTAATAGGTTTTCAAGAGTTTTGATTGTCTAGCAGAGCATTGTTTAGAATACAGCAAAGATATGGAACAATAATTCTCCAAGGCATTTTTCTGACCTTTCTTCCTCCATTGTGTCCTTCAAGTTTGGCCCTTTCCTTTGCAGTTCTGCTGTCAATTCGCTAGTCCAAAAATGTATCATGGCATTATTGTGGTTCTGCTCAAAATTGACTCAGCTTTGTTGAATGTTATTCTTTTTATGTTTGTCAAAAAATACTTCAAGAAACACTATAACTAAAAAATTGTTTTTTGTAGAAAATGTTTATGCATGTATTTCCATTGTGTTGCTCAAGATCCCCCTGAAAAAGATCTGTATAAAAATAATTATTTTGGACATAGTTTTATATATGAGTGGGGAATTTAATGAAATATGAAAGAACAAAACAGTAGTTTGGTAATAGTGAGTGGGAGGATCTTTAGAAATTATTCCATATTTTTGTCATAAGTAAGGAATTAAAATAAAAATTATGTTAAGACACTAAAATGTGTTTCAAAAGGCTTGTATAAAAACTCAAAAAAAAACATGGAACACCATGTTGTAAAAGGACAGGGTCCATAATAGAAATACTCCAAACAAATGATCAATCCATAATTGTAATAGTTACCCACTAAAGTTTTATGCCACTTTGCAGAATTCTATTTTCCCAGCAATTATCATATAGCCGCAGCTTTAAAGGCATCATTTTAACTTATGACCACCAACGAGAAAGAGTTGACTAAAATCTCTCATGTTCCAAAATCTACTTACAATTTATGTCACATCTGTCACTTTGTTTTCACTTTTAATTTGAGTCTTTTAAGCAAGAATAGTAGCATAATAGTCTCTCTTATATTCTTATAATACTTTATAATTTAAAAAAGTAAGTCAATACTCAATAAAATCCTGTGAAAAATCAGGGAAGCTAATACTCCCATTTTATAAATACAGAAACAAAATCAAATTGACCTCTTGAGGCAAAATAGTTTGTGTTGAACTGGGACATCCTAGTTTGCTTACTCCTTTTTCAGAGTTTTTTTTTCTTTTGTTTTACCAGTCCCTTTATGTCCCAAGTTATGGTAATTGCAATGTGTATGCAGTATATCTTTCTTAGTCTATTCACTAATTTACTTATGACACTGTTATTTTCTGTAAAATAGCTTTAAGTTTTTGAATTAACAGTATCACTTTATCCAAAGCTGGTTTTCATAAACAACTTGAAAAATATTTTCTCTGCTGCTTTTATTCAGTACTTATTTTTATTTGAAAGGGTCTAATTTAAAACCCAGATCAAATAATATATTCTACCACCTTGGAGGAAAGAAAATTATCACAGAAACAATAGACATATTAAGGAGAAGAGGCCTAGCCAAAGATTTATTTTGAATTATTGGGATAAAAATAATAAGAATCTTAAGACAGAAAATTAAATGCAATTCTGTTCTCTGTTATAGGAATATCACTCCGTTATACAGGAAATTGAACAGTTAGTTACCTAGTAATATAGATTACTGAAGCTCCAATTCCTTTAGGTAAATTCTTATTCTAGTATGTCAAATATAGGAATCATTTTTTAAAATACTCTGCATCTGCTACCTATAAGCATGAATGAGTTATTTAAAATTTCAGTTTCCAAATAACAAATCCAGAAAGTGAATACATATTTTTTAAAAGCCAGGAAATTCTGTCCATCTGACTTAAAAAGTAAATCAACATCTTCCAGATTAATATTAGCAGAGGATCTTATGTACTATTTCATTGATATACTTACCTGGAGATTGTAGCATATGTTAAGGTTTTTAAATTATATTTTTGAACATATGAAAAAGAAAATGTAATGCAAATGGTAATGCAATATCTGATTGCTTTTTGCCTGGGTCATGGGAAAAATGAGAAATCAATCAAATTAAGTGCACACTTTAATCTTATTTCATAAGGAAAAAGAAAAATTATTGTCCCTGAAATGTGGAGATTTCACATCTTTCCAATACTCTGTATCATTTGAGCTCCTTCCCAGCAGTTGATAGGTTTTTTTCACAATCTTTGTTTTAATAATAAAAGTTATTATTATCATCATATCATCATCATTTGGAGTAGAAGAGATGTGAGGTGTTGATACAGGCTCACACCTTTTTTCATAGCTTGAAAGGAGAAAATATATTCTTTGAATGTTTGTAGTGTTTATGTAATCAGTACCTATATTGCCAAGTCTTATTGAAAACAGCTGGGTGCCTGCTGCCTGCCTCTCCCTTTGTTGGAATTGTTGCCAGAACAGGTAGTCAAAAATGGAAAGTAAGGGAAAATTCAGGCATCTGAGGTGTCTCTCAGGAAAGCAGCTGTGGCTTTCTTAGGAACCAGTCATTGTTTCCCATCAGTCAAGACTCTGTATACCCTTGGGTCCAGTTCTGGCATGGCTGGTCCTGCAGTTTATGACTTGAGACTTAGGCGAGAAACCATTTGTGCAGTCCCATCTCTGGCAGAACACTGAGAGAAATCCCCCAAGCTGCAAGCCGTATGTGGGCTGCTGGCCTTCTATTAGCGTATGCTGGGAGGTTCCCATTTACTGGGGCTCTAATCATCCCTTTGACATAAACAAAAACAATACGAAAGAATCTTTTCAAAACATATCTTTTCAAGATAGGCTGTCTTATTTTTAAAACCAGACATCTCTGTGATTTCTGTAAACATGGCATTTTTTCCCTAAAAAAAAACCTCATTTTTTGAGACTTTTTTTTGTTTCCTACATGGTAGAGAAAGTCAAATAATTTGTTTAACAGCACACTAAAAATCCTGGATAAGCAGTATTGCATGCTATTCTGCATTTGTAAACACATGCTCTTCCAGATTGAAGTTTTTGTACATCAAGTATTGAAAACTGTTATCCATGTGAGATGCCTTAGACTCTTTATTTATGTCAGAGAAATGCCAGAAGTACATTTTGCTCTTTGGAATACACTGAAAATCGGTGGGCTGTGATAACAGGATTGGGGAGGAAATGGGCGACACTGCCAGTCATTTAGCACAAAAATGACCTTTTGGTAGAAGATTAGGACTGAATTATTTTCTTGATAATTTTTTATGGAAACAAACCTCTGGTTTTAAAATGTAAATGCTTTAAATTTTAGTGGTCAGTAATAAAAGGTATTAGAAAAGTGTAGTACTTTGAATTTAGATTAAATGTCGTGTTTCTCATCATTCAAGAGAGTTCTGTTAGGACACTTAAGGTCTATGATGAATCCAGCAACATCTTATTCAAAAATCTTCTGTTTCAAAACATGCTGGATATGAGGCAAACAATTTTGTGCCAATGTTAGGCGTATGCAGAAAAATTAAATGAAATTGTTTCTACTTGTAGCTAGAACTTATTTACAGAAATATGAGTAAAATAAGAAAGTTAAAGAATTTTTAAATTCACAGAACTATCTTATACTTCAAAAAATAGTGCTATCATAGTTTTCAGAGCATGGGTGCAGGTTATTTTGAATGGTTTGCCCATCACTAATTTTAATGCATAAAAAATCTCAGCAGAGAGTCAAGCTAGGTATAATGTTCACCAAATGCCTTGTTATTTTTCTGCTCTTGTTTTATTCCCAACTTTATAAAAACTAAAACAGACCATTCTTAAAAGTTTTTTATAGCCCTGATTTTTAAAAAATTTTCTTCTCATATCCATAAAAAGTAAAGAACATGAGGTTCCATGGTGAGCACCAGAGGAAGATTATTGGTGGAAAAAGATTATTTCTCTAAAGTACACCTTTACTAAGATACTTATGCCAACATGATGGTCAGTGTTCTTCCAAATGTTTCTTCTCACAAATGATATTTGGTCCTTTATTAATTTGACCTTATTGCAACCCTCTCTCTATGTATCCTTACTGTTTCTGCCCTGTAGTGTTTAAGAAAAAGTCCAAAAAGTCACTCTTCTGTAGCATTAAGAACTTGGATGATTAGAAAACTACAAATTCAAGCTTCAATTTAAACAAGGCACATTTTCTGGACACCCCATGAATATATTCATTATTTATAAATCACAGGCATAATTTGTGATTCATGATTTATAAATCGCAGACATAATCAAGTTTGGTTGTCTCTAAGTTTTCTCTGTGTGTTAGTTGTGGTAAATCTATTTTCACTTTATTTATTTCCTTATTTTATTTTACTTTATTTTTTTGAGACAGAGTCTCGCACTGTCACCCAGGCTGGAGTGCAGTGGCACCATCTCGGCTCACTGCAAGCTCCGCCTCCTGGCTTCATGCCAATCTCCTGTCTCAGCTTCCCGAGTAGCTGGGACTACAGGTGCCCGCCACCAAGCCCGGCTAATTTTTTGTATTTTTAGCAGAGACGTGGTTTCACCATGTTAGCCAGGATGGTCTCGATCTCCTGACCTCGTGATCTGCCCACCTTGGTCTCCCAAAGTGTTGGGATTACAGGCGTGAGCCACCACGCCCGGCCTATTTTCACTTTATGCTAGTGTCTATGTACCTGACCTTTTGACAAAGTTAAACTAAAAATATAACAATCTAAGCTGGTAAAAATTGAGAAGTTAGGTCAGAACATCAAGAGTATGTGTATCAAAATATTTAGAAATTCTCCAGGAAAACAATGTAAATAGAAGTGTGTCGGTGTTTATAAGGAAAGGCAAGAATCTAGTAGTTATTCAAAGACAATTTAAAAATCCACATTATTGAGTTGTCATTCTCTTAGAACAAGGGTTGGTAATATTGGAATTTTTAGGGCCATCTTTTAAAAACACTTTATTCATAACTTCCAAATCAAAGATTAAAAATTCACAGATGTTTTTGAGAAAGGTAGCATCTATTTTCACTTTATGCTAACTATGGTTTATACAATTTTAACCAGATGGGTTTACATGTGCAGTAGCTAATTCATGCCAACCGTATTAAAGTATATTCTCTGAATTATGGGTAGGCTCTGGAGACCTCTAAATGATCTCTAATCTTGTGGCTAATATTTATGGTTTTCAAATGTTATCGTGATAGTTGAAATGCGGTCTGGATGAACCATAGGCTTCTCTTCTGTAGTAGTGTCCAAAAGGATGCACACTTTCTTAGGCAGTTTAGACCTTTAGAAGTGAGTAAATAATTGTATAAAATTAGGGAACTGAAATAATGCGTGAAATGAAAGATTCTGCATTTGTTGTGTAAATTAAGCTAGTACTTTTTGTTACTCTAATTATAAGTGTCTTTTGCCCCCATTAAATAGTAAAATAGTGAAAATCTGATGTTTCCATTTTCGGAGTTCAGCTGGAGCAGTGAAAACTCTGTTTTAATGTGTATTTTGTATTTATCTTTTTAAAACTTGATTGCGTTATGTTTAGTATTTTCTCCTGTTAGAAAATGAGTATCAGTAGATACTTATTGATTGAAGGATATTCTTTTCAATAAGGTGTGCAACAAGCACACAAAAACCTCTTCTGATACTATTGATATTCTTTTCAATAAGGTGATGTTATCACATGGTCATTCACATGAACTTTCTTTTTACATTGTTTTTCATCAGCTAAGAACTGTGATATATATTTATAAACTAATGTAATACTGTTTGATTTAAAATTTAGATAGGAAAAAACCTTAAAAGGCCTCATATTAAACATAGCTGTGATTGTGTTCTCTCTTGAATGGGGTATAGAAATAAGCACAAAGAGATAATGCAAGATTTCAAAGTCATAGATGCAGTATTTGTAATTTATTTCTTCAACATTTTCTTTCCCTTTTTCTGAATATGAATAAATATGTTTGTATATATAGAATATTTTCAAAGTGAAAACAATTCTCAATTTCTTGTAAGTTGGCATTTGTGAAACTGGGTTCTTGCAAAATTCTAGAAAAAAAATCTATAATTATCTAATGTATTTCTGATGTTTCCAGTTCCTAAAGAGCTATGGTACATTTGGCTCTAATTTATATTCTAGTTCCATTGTGCTTATTTGTCCTCTTGCGCTCATAGGAAATAGAGATATTTTGGAGCAGTTCAGGCTTAATCTCTCTTTGGGTTCTTATCTGTACAGCTGACAATGGTCATCTCAAAAAAAACCAAAACATTGTGTTAAAAAGTGTATTTAACAAAGGATTACCTTTAGTTTTCTTTAAATAATTTAGGAAAAAAGTACTCCATATTTAATGTGTTTCCTTTAAATCAATTCTTACTGTTGCGATTGTTTTAGTTCTATTAAATAGTTAACTGGTATTTTATAAACCTCACTGATACTACAGAAACAATTTTTCAGAAAAATGTACTCTTCCATTTAGGGCCAGGGTATACATTTGTTTAGAATACAAAATAGTTATTCTAATATTCTAATTCTTAAAAATTTTAGGGAAATTTTAGGAAATAAGTATATAAACCTATATTTGGCTGAAAACATATAATTCACTAAATAGTAATAACCCTTCAATTTGTTGTAAAATGACTAAGTCTGACATCTTCACGAAAATGCCATTTTATACTTAAAGTAACTCAAATTTCTTCCTTTACAAAGTAGAGTAAGTGACTTTATCATTCAGCAAAATGACTTAGCTCATTTAACATGTTTATTCATCTTATTAGTGATTCAGGGATATACATATTCATACCACTGCTGGCAATCCATATAAAATTAAATAAGATATATCTCAATGAATGTTTTCTATTTTAATCTTTGTGACATAAATACATGTTTGGGAGACCAAAAAAATTAGCAATTTCAGAGATTTTTTTTCTCTTGTGAATAATTATTCAAGTACATTAAAGCTTTCATTTTATTTGTAAGCTTATCTGAAGGCTGAATTATTTGAAAAGTCTTATTTCATCACTACCACAAAGGCTGTGGAAGATCCCTAGCTAGTTGTAATTGGAACTTTCCACTGCACAAAGTGATATTTGTTTTTCTTTTCTCTTCTGGTTGCTTATTGATAAATATAGTAAGTGTATTAAAACCAGAAGAGACAGATATGTACATAGGTATAAGTCAAATCCACCACATTTCTTTGTAATTTGAGGGTTTGCAATTTGAGAGCATGCAACAAGCACACTATTCTCTCTCCTTTAAGATTAGATGCTTGATTTCCTCTTCATTAGAGCCATTTTGAATAAGGCCTCTCAAAACACAGACATAAACCTGGGTGAGATGATATGTCCCTATAGGCCCAACTAGGGAGGCTGAGATGGGAGGAGTGCTTGAGCCCAGGAGTTCGAGTCCAGTTTGGGCAACATAGCAAGACCTTGTCTCTTAAAACAAAAGCAACAAACACACACACACATAACTGAGAGGAGCAGCAGAATAAAACACCAGTCCCCATTAAAATTTTAATATGGATTACTGACAGATTAGCCACCTGCCAATTGATGAACTTTTTGGAAAGGCATGGTGGAAACATGACAGCATCTGTACAGGCCAAAAGTTCAGGCATCAGAGTTGAGGTTCCTGGGAAGTCAAGGAAATAGCCTGAAGACAAGGACCACTAATGATGTGTTAGCACAAGGACGGCTTGACACTAAGAATGAACTTCCTCTGCTTTATATTTAGAATCCAGCTGTTAAAATCATGGGACTTGCCTAGAACTAGGATACAATAAGTGTGCATTGAGTTTGTATGTATCCGGAAACATCATATATGTAGATTAGAGACAAATATTGCAAAATAAGAAGTCTACAGTTTTCATCTATTCTTTCACTAGCCTAAGTAGGAATTCTGTATTTATTTAACAAATATTTGAGAAATGTGTTAATGAACTATCAAGTAAAGTGACATATTTAATCTAATCAACTAAGGAGACCTAAAATAAATGGCGTAATACAAAAATCAAGAGAACAGTTGGACAAGGAAAATTTTAAATGGAGTGACTACGGTAATCAGGTGGTTATATTGACTCTATGTTAAATAATTTTCTGGCTTAAAATTATAGTGCAATATATATTTGAATCTATACATTGTATGTAATATTTATATATAAACACATATATTCTAAAGTGTAAAATTAACTCTGTTTTCTTCTACTGAAATATTTTCTAATGGAATGGTGAATATTTCAGAGTCACATATTTTTAGAAGGGCACATTTATGTTATTTTATTTCTATGATCCTTTGCCAATCTGGATTTTATTATATATAAAAATTCCAAATTTGTTCTTAAAATATTGATAGTGAAAAGGTCTCAGAAGCCTAGCGGTTACTGACACAAGAAGAAAAATAACTAGGAAAATCTAGGTGATGACTACAGAAAAGGAAATGAATTCACTATGGATGTTCATATTCTTTGAAATGATTTCCTAGGTTTTGCAGTTAGATTTTCTTGGGGTAAATGTAAAACTTTATTCTAGCTCTGATATTTAGTAGTTTTGTGATTCCTTGGTATAACCACATGAATTTTGAGTTCCTACTGTCTCACTGCCAAATTGGATACCAGTACACCAAAGTTTGTCATGAGAATTAGATGACATAATCTAATAAAGGCATGTGGGACAGTGCTGGCCTAAGCAAAGGTCTTCATTGCACATTAATATAATCTGATCCTGACTCCTAGGCTTAACCAGTTGTACATCTCTTTGAAGGGATAACACATAGGAGCCTGAAACAAGCAAGCAAGCAAAAAAAAAAACAAAAAAAAAGAAAAGAAAAAAAAAATAAGACTGCTAACTTCAGTACTGCATTTTCGGTAGGAATTTGAAAGCATTTCAGATAATTGGAAAAGGGAAGATTTTTGTGATTTACTTAGAGGTAGGTCCTAGAGGATAAAGGATGTGAATCACAGTTTCAAAGGTGGAAAGATTTAGTGGAAAGTGGTGGATTAATAACAAGGCATAACTAGACTTGTAATCTTTTCCACTTCCTATTTAGGTAAAAATTTTTAATAGTACTGGAAGTCGAGATGAAAGTATGGATAGTCTAGGGGAATTGAGAATGGAAAAGAGGAGAATTATGAGATTTATGAGAATACTCCGAAAACTTTATATACAACTTATGAGGTTTCACTGAAGTAATTGTACTCAGCCTTCCCTCAGGGAGATCATCCTTGTAACCAATAAAGACTTCTAGTGCCAAATATAGCTTAGATTCCAGCACCCTGCACAACACAAGGTATGTATTAGTTGCTTGCTGAATATTCTGGATCTAAAGTAAATTATTTACTCTGATATTATAGATTTATCATCTCTGTCTCACTTGAAAAGCTATCTTCTCAGCGCCCCTCTCAGCATTAACCCATTTTCATGGACAAATGCAACTCATTGCACAAGTCTAAGAGCTTTCAAAAATACTCCCCCCAGCGCAGTATTATTTTACCTGGCACCATCAGAAGAAGTGCCATGAGGTCATTTCTCTTGAATTACAGTCAAAAGAAACAAAATCAAAACCAGCCTTTAAATATATTGTATTTGACTTCTGAGGCAACTCCAAGACGTTAATATTATTCTTGACTTCTCCTTCAATATAACTGCTGATTTTATTTTTAGTATTTTTTCATATTGTGGGTGTTATAGGCTAAAAGGAATGCATGAATTTGAAGAAGTCCATCAACCTGACTAATGTGAAGGATGATGGTTCTCTAGAAAGATCCAGGAGGTTCATATGAAACTGAACAACCCACTCATAAATGGAAACATCCTTGTTTGGGAGGGTTTTTTTTTTTTTTTTTTTTTTTTTTTTTTTGCTCATTTGTATTTTGGTTGTTGGTGATGTTTTTTCCTCATTCATGCTTTAATAGCAAAATCAGCATAGTTCAAGGTATTTTCTGTGAGTTAACAGCTGTCCTCAGTTAACAGTCTTGACTTCACCGGAGTTCCCCACACCAGAATGCTCCCATGCCTTCATCTTCTTAATTAAATGTTCTCTCTTTGTATATTTCAGTGAATCTTCCAGGTATAGTGATATTCTTCTTGGGGAGAGGCATCTGGTCCTATTTTAATAGTATGGAGGGGAAGTATACACATACATGAAAAATATAGAGAAACTCCTGCACAGCTATCCCAATAACTCTGGTTGTTTTGGCATTGTTTGCTTTCATCATCATTCCAGTTACCCAACCACCTAAAATGGTGATCAGGAAAGCAATCCTATAGTTTTAATTGTCGGTGCCTAGGTAAGAGCATAGGGAAGTGTTTACTTTTGGGAAATCTGATGGTGCAAAGACCATGACCAGAGCCTGGATTGAACAAACTCAATGAAATTTTCAGGCTGCTTAATATGATTCAGTTAAGTCTTCAGTGTGAAAGAAATTTGCAGTTACATTTTTACACCTGATAAAATCAAAAGACTGAGGAGGTAAATCATCAGCAGTGTTTAGAATTTAATTCACGTTGGGCGAAATTCATAGTAAGCTAGATCATACTGACTTGGAGGGATTCTTTAACAGTGTTTTTACTTCTCCTATTCCAAAGGTTTCTTAACCTATATAAGCAATTAGATCATCTAGTATAATGCATACAGCATGCTGTATCTCCAAATGTCAGAAGAAATGTCTGAATATCTAACTTGTCTAGCCTCATTCCTTGAAATGACCCAGATTTGTGAATATAAGAAACAAGCCACAGAAATAAAACTTCTTAACTCCTGCTCCTGTCTTCACACACCATGTTTTAAGTTAAATTGGCTAAGTTCTATCAGTGAACAATTGCTAGATTTAATTTAATAACTTGACTCCCTAAAATGTCCATGTTCATTTTCCTCTAGGGAAATATTTTTAATTCAGTTGAGCAATAGTATTGATTCACTTCTAATTTTTTTTTCTCTTTGTGTTTTATTTCTTCAGATTGTTTTTTCCATTTGCATTGCTTTCTGGGGAGTTAGAAGCATGAAACAACTCACCTCTCACCCTTGGAAATAACCTGAATTTGTACATAATTCTCTTCTTTTAATGAGTTGTCCACACGCATATTATGACTGCATATTAAAATGTAATTATTTTATGTAATGCTTATATGAACTATTTCTTCAATGAAAAGTAAAATTACTTATTTACTATTGTTTGCCTTTCACATTTGTTATTTTCTATTAAAAATTAAAGTCAGTTTTGGTTACTTCCCCCCTTTACTACAATTAAAAAAAGATTTCAAATATAATGATGTTATATTAACTGATAGCCTTATATGACAAGTATAAAAAGAAGGGATGAAACTTAAAAACAGTAAAAACAAGAAGGAATATTGCCTTTACATCAATTTGAAAACAATGTTTCCTTTGATGTTTGCTAAAATTATGCATAGATACATGTTTGTAGTCATAAAAATGTATTACATTGGTTGTCTTCCTAAGGCCACAGTTACCTTTGCAATCCATATAACCTAAGAAGCTGCATTCCAGAAAAAGACATCACTGAGGCCAGGCGCGGTGGCTCACCCCTGTAATCCCAGCACTTTGTGGGGCTGAGGTGGGCGGATCATGAGGTCCAGAGATAGAGACCATCCTGGCCAACATGGTGAAGTCCTGTCTCTACTAAAAATATAAAAATTTAGCTGGACATGGTGGTGTGCGCCTGTAGTCCCAGCTACTCTGGAGGCTGAGGCAGGAGAATCGCTTGAACCTGGGAGGCAGAAGTTGGAGTGAGTGGAGATTGCACCACTGCACTCCAGCCTGGGCGACAGAGCGAGACTCCGTCTCAAAGAAAAAAGACATCACTGAAAGAAAAATGAACAGAATTTGTCAGAATTAGTTTTTTCAACAGGTTACTTTGTCATACATTTCTCTAATATGCTTGGTCAATTTGTTTTGGCAGACTGGGCAGCATGCAGCAATTCTGCATTATTTAAAGTTATCAGAACAATGTTAATTCTCTAAATAAAATTACCCAAGGTGTTGTGTGTACATTGTTCATTGGGATTGTAAAAATCCACCAAGTGTTTCGTTAGGAGGGAACTGACAGGGATAAGCAGGATGAAGTCCAAAGAATGAGAACTGGAAAAAGTTAAAAAAAAAATCTTTATTTTTCATTTATCCAATATTTCTTGAAATCAAGTTAAAATTTAATAATTTAATAATAAAATTTAATAATTTAAATAATCAAAGACACATGTACTAAAAAAAACTAATGCTGTTCTTCATTGAGCTTTGCCTATGTATCACTGGGTTAAGGAGCCTGACTTAGATAATCTCATATTAGCAATACATTATTTAATCTTTGAATGGACAAAAATATAGAGTATTAAGAGAATCAGACTGCAGGTGTCTATGTGAACTGAGGATACAGAATTGAAGCATATTTAGTTTTCAAACTGGAACAGCAGAGGAAGATTAAATTTTGCATGATGAAAAAGCAACACATTCTATCTCAAGTATCAGAAGTGGGTTTGGCTTTGCTTCATTCTTTTTATACTTCTTAATTTAACACATAGTTATAGACAATACGTAAGCCTATAACATATATTGAATCCTGCTTTTGTCCCTTAACAACAATTTTCACAGAATTTTGTATACATATACAGAATCATGTTACAGTAGGGAGCCCTCTGCTGGCTTGAAATTAGGAAATTTAAGGCATAAACATTCTCAAGACCCTGATTCTACATTCTAGAGACTTTTCAGTGGGTAAAACACATTCTTCAGTAATGGCAAAGAAAAGAGACTTTTTGCTAATCTTTACATAGTTGTTTAGTATGTCAGAAGAGCTTAATGATTCCCCAAGGAATGATACATAAATATGTGTATATGCTTTAATATATGTGAATTTATAGGATTAGCCTAAAAATGAGTTTAATAATAGAAATGTTAATAAATAATTCCCCCAAATGAGAAAAGATCCTTTTGTGGTGAAGTTCAGTTTTCTTTGAGTAAATTGAATTCTGTCTATTCTCTCTCTTCTCTCTTGGGTTTACCTCACTGTGATTGTGAATGGTTTTCTATTAGAAATACAGATATTTTCAAGATACAAATTTGTGCCAATGAAAGTGGGAGTGGTTACCAGACAGGTAATGTTCCAGACACCTCCTATACAAAAATTATAACAGTGAAAAAATTAAGACAATGAGAAATCTGACCTAACAGACTCCATCTTGCTTCTAACCTCCAAGGTGTCCTTGTTTATTCCTGGGCACAGGCTGAGCTAACTTTGGTAGGAACTTAGTTTATAGTTTGCCTTTGAAACAAAAATGATAACGGCACTTTCTTAAAACAAACCCCCTTCTTGCCTGGGGACAAGGCTGCCTTTGTGGGACTAACAAATTAGCCACAAGATTAGAAAATAGGCTTAGGAGTCATACAGCTAGAGGCTACAAGATTCGAACTCTCCCCAGTTGCTCCTAGGGATAACATCATTATTGTGAAACCTCAGATTGGTGTTGGAGATATTTTTCAGCTCCTGCACTCCATGGATCAGCTGGCACCACCCAGATGGATAAACTGACTCATCTGGTCTTGTGGCCCCCACCCAAGAACTGACTCAGCCAAGAATAGCTTCAAGGCTCTTTGATTTTTATCTCTGACCTGATCAGTGAGCACTCTCCATTCCCTGGCCCCCTACCCACCAAATTATCCTTAAAAAACCCAGTCTCCGAATTTTCAGGGAGACTGATTTGAGTAATAATAAAACTCCAGTCTCCTATTCAGCTGGCTCTGCATGAATTGAACTCTTTCTCTATTACAATTTCCCTGTCTTGATAAATCGGCTCTGTCCTGGCAGCAGGCAATGAACCCATTGGGCGATTACATTTCTAGGGCCTCTGTGCATTATTAACCAAGGCACTTTATTCTTCACTTTATTCTTTAACCCTGCTAATTTTCCAGTCCAGTTTTCTTTTGCAGAGCACTAATACATGATGACAGAACATACAGCTATTATTAATGTTGTAAATTGATCTTGAGTGATACCATGTAATGTATGCTTACTGGAAGGACTTTAACACACTCTCTCTCTGTCTCTGTCTCTCTCTCTCTCTCTCTCTCTCTCTCTCTCTCTCTCTCTCTCTCTCTCTCTCTCTCTCGGGAAAGCCCTAAAAATAGGACTCGTCAATTACTCACCACTTCTATCGGAGAGATGCAAACTGACTTTGCAAATCATATGAAGATATTTACTTTTCCTAATCTACCATAAGAAAAGATAGAGGAAAGGAGCATTTGTTTAATGAGTAGTCCTCTATTAGTATTATTTTATTTAGTCTCTACAATCCTGTTAGGAGCTGTTAACACTACTTTATAGCAGATAATTTTGAGTCTGAGGTTAAATAACTTGTACAGGCCCATGAAATGTAATAAGTGACCAAAATAAAATTTAAACTCTCTGAAGTCGAACATTGAAGTCCATGATGTTTCCCCATTCCACGATGTCAGACATCTGAATAAGGCAAGCCTTTAAAAGTATAAGCTGAGGAGTTTAAGTTCAGAGTATTTTCAATTCAATTTGATGCTCCAAGATACAAAAAAAGTTCTCAGGATAAGTATTTTAGTCATAAGATTAATTGACAGGGTGAATGAGTCCAGAACTTCTAAACCTTCTAAGAATGGCAACATCGTAAGTTTACTTATAGGATTGCCATATGTCTGAAAGAGGCTACAGGACTTGTCAGTTTCCTCCAGACTTGCTCATTACCTTAGCTCTATTAGTTATGCCATTTACTTCCATATCATCTCATTCCATCAAATTATTTTTGTTAAACTGAATCTAATCGTCTCAGAGTCCTGATATTTAGCAATATGTGCATTCCTAATCATGAATCAGATGTTCAATTAGTTGCTAAAGTATATAAACCCTTGTATTTAACATTAACAGCTTACATGATAGTTTATTAAATATTTTCAAATTTCATTTTTACTAGTGATTATATAATTTAATCCCTCAGTGTGGAATCTGCAATAGAATCATTGACTGGAATTCTTTAACATATGGTATACATTATAGTGTACAGTAATAGGATTTATTCGGGAGAACAATAGAAAATAAGCTTCCTTTTTAATGTCTCGCCCATGTTCTCATAGTCATAGACTCCAGAAACCCAAGATAAAATAGCAAAAAACAGACTAGTTTGACTTTCAGAATCTTAAAACATTTTTTATGTTATAATTTTCAGCAACATGATGGAAGCAGCTTGGCTCTATCTTAAGCCTGCCTCAGTGGAAAAAAAAAACAACAACAAAAAACGTTCTATTCATTATTAGAACATTTTTTTCAAATCTCACTCCAGTTCTGCCATCCGTTCTTCCTAACAACTTACATTCCTTCCTCCCCAAGACACAATTAGAAAAAATTAGCAAATTAAGCATTGATGTTTATCTCTTGCAGATTGTGCCTTCTTTTTGACATTCTACAACTCTAGCACTATTTATGTAAACATTTTCAACCACCCAGGCACCCCAATATCCATGAATCATAATAACTTCATTTCTTGGGCATGTTCTTTCTTCATTTTAACAGCAGTAAGCCCCAAATTACAACTTGTCTTGATTTACATTACAGAAACCAGGAAGACACAGTCTTTGCTTTATGCATCAGGATTACCTGTGGATCTTTTTAGAAACGGAAATGACTGTTGGGAACACTGAATTTAGTAAGACTGAGGACGTGCCAAAGGTTCTATATTTTTCAAACCTCTGGCAATGATAAGCTGCAGAAGCTACAGCCAAACTAGAATGAAGGAGAACTTCTCTTGTCCCTCCTGTCAAGTTTTAGAAATAAGCAGAAAAGTTGTGCAGTGTGAGAGAATATTGTTTCTATAGCAAAGATGTTAATTAAGAGAGGTAATACTGATTAAGTAAGCATGGATATTTAGACATGCCACCAAAGTTTTCTGTTTCACATGAGATCATTTTGCATACATTTTAAAAGAAACGGAGCCAGCCGGGCGTGGTGGCTCACACCTGTAATCCCAACACTTTGGGAGGCCAAGTTGGGTGGATCACATGAGGTCAGGAGTTCGAGACCAGCCTGATCAATATGGTGAAACCCCTTCTCTACTAAAAAAAAAAAGTATAAAAATTATCCAGATGTGGTGGTGGTGCCTGTAATACCAGCTACTCTGGAGGCTGAGACAGAAGAATCGCTCGAACCCGGGAGGCAGAGGTTGCAGTGAGCCGAGATCACACCACTGCATTCCAGCCCGGTGACAGAGCGAGACTCTGTCAAAAAGGAGAGGAGAGGGGAGGGGAGAGGAGGGGGAAAGAAAAGAAAAGAGAGGAGGGAAGGGGAGGAACTGAGCCAGAAAATGTAAATACTATGTAAGCATCAGCAAGCTGGAGAGTGAATGGAGGTAGAGTGGGGAATGGAGATGTGGTCGAAAAATATTGTCACCATAGGTCCTGTTTGCATTTGTCTGATTTTTCATTTTTAATGGAAGATTATTAATAATGGTAATGATACAGGAGTTAACAAGGCATTATTTGGGCAGATTATGAGGATAAGGAAGTCCTCGGTAAGGTTTTCCTTTTAAAGAAAAGCAGCTCCTAAATCATTTTCTTTTCTAACAAAAAGCAGTCTGTAAAATCAAGCTGCAGTCATGGAAAGGCAAGCTAGAAGCTTGCACAGGTAAATGCCAGCAGTTGTGCCAATAGGAAAGGGGCTACCTGGGGACTAGGCATGTTCAAAACGGTGGTTCCATGTTCCCTTTTCTTTGCTAACCACGTGTACGGTAAGGAGCAGACAACATGGCGCCAGCCAAGTACAAAACCCATTTGCATAATAAAAAGATTAGGGTGGAGTGACAAGCTTCTTCGCAGTACTATGTAAGCGTCACACCTGGTCCAACCAATCTTTGGGCCCTATGTAAATCAGGCACTACCTCCTCAAGCCAATCTGTACAACCCTGTGCACTTTACCAGGGGCACGGAAGACCCACTGGGGCACCCATCTCTCCCTGCAAGGAAAAAAGCTATTCTCTTTTCTCTTTCTTGCTCCTATTAAACCTCTGCTCTTCAACTCACTTCTTTTGTGTTTCCATGTCCTTAATTTCCCTGGCATGAGGCAAGGAACCTCAGGTATCTATCCCAGACAATGACTGCTTTAGTGTTAAAATATACAGGGGGTTAGGTTTGGTAGATCCCTATTTTACACTTCTGGCTTCTTCCAGGGTCTCTTGTAGTAGTGTGAGGTATGTGTGCTCACTGAAGGGAGCTCTCCCTGTAACACAAAGTTAAATGTAAAAGATGTCCATACATAATGGTTTCTCTCCTCCCCTTATCCTATTCAGGCAAATCCAACCAACACATCCCTTTCAGAGACATTAGACAAATGCAACTAACACATCCCCTTCTGAGGCAGTACACAGCATGCATTTTAACTTGCTGGTAAAATGATGTCTGCTGAGACAATCGGAGCCTAAAGGGGGCTAATTCTCTCTAGACAGGGGGTATTGGAGATCATCTAAAAATGGAACCTGGCAGCCACACGGCACACTAGGAAACCTTGGCTTGGCCTACGTAATAGGCTGCAAGATGCATAAAATCATCAGGATGCCATGAGCCCCTCCCCACCAAATTAATAACTCCATATTTAGTAAGCTAAGTACTGATTTGCTTTTGAATAAAACTTATGCTAAACATATAATTTGCATAAAATGTTTATCAACTTATATTATTCACAGGGTGGGGGAAGATCAGTGATATTACTGATTGCACAAAAACCAGAAGGAATAAGTGTGCTGAAGAAGTATCAGCATCTATTTCGAAAGTTTGTACTCATTTTAAGATATTCATGCTCAAAGGGGAGATCTAACACATGCAACTGCAGAGGGCATATGCACTCTCTGAAATGCATCATTATTCAGATTAAAAGACTTTTAAGTTATTTTACTTATATATATTTTTCTTTTTTTTTAATTTTACTTATTTAACCATTAAAATTACCTTGTGCACAAACAAAAAATAAAGCAGTAGCTATTCATGTGCTGGCTCCATAGCTGAAGGACTTTGCAATCAGTTAAAAGATACCAGTTTCATCTCACTGCCATCTGATTTTCCAAACGGATCAATATTTTCATTCAATTAATGTAACTGAAGTAATTTTTAACAGCCTATCCCATCAAATGTGAAACACTTGATCATTACAAATTAAAAAGTTTAATACTGAAAATAAAATTATATTTGTTTTGTAGAGATAGTATGAACAGAAATTTTGGTGGATAAGTGTAGTAATACAAAGCAGTGTTCTTTCTAAATTAAGAGATTGATTGTTAGCAGAAAAATTTCTTGAAATTATTTGTGTTGGACATAAAAATAATAGTATTTAGAGAGGTATATTGTGAAAATTTAAAAATATTTTATGTATACAAAGTTGCAAATTGCCTAGAAATTTATTTGTTGTACAATTGATGTTAAATACAAAAGAATACATCAAAATAAAAGTATGTTTTGCTGCCAGACATCAGATTTTAGAAGTGAGTAAGACTTTGAAAAAAATTTTCTAAATCAAACCTGTGTCCTCTCATGTTACTGAACTTTATGGTAGACTCTGTCAAACTTGGTTGCATTTGTTTAGAACTAGTTGGAGATCTTTAGACAAATATCAGTAAAGATTGACAAAACTTTTGTTCCTGAAGTTATTAGTGAATTTCACTTATTGAAAACGAAGCTTGCAAACAGGGAGATATTGAAATTGATCCCTATTAAACTAGGAAAGGACTGAACAAATTATATAATAAGAGTTCCAACTTCAAGTGAGATTTAACTCTGACACCCAAAGTTGAAGCTTGAGAGTATTGATGAAACTTCTGTTTCAAAAGAGATAAACTTATATTATGTACCAAGAAGGAACAGAATTTAAAAAGCCATAATTTCACAGCTTGTAAATTTGGTAAAACAATTAACAAGTAATAAATAAGACAAATTACTTGATAAATTTTGTTTTGTAAAATATTTTTGAAACGTTATTCTGAATGTAGGCAAAAATACAAGAGCTATGACATATGTTGGAGTTAATTATATCACTTAATAAGAGAAAAATTAGAAAATATCATACATTTGCTGTATTTTATAGCTTGTTAGATACTTCAGTACCTGTATGGATAGTATTTTCAGAATATAAGTGTTATGCAGAGAAAAGTCAATTGCAAGTGTCAACACTTTTGAATGTATTAACCATAAGATGAAACTTTGAATAAGAATACGGATAATTTTATTTTAAAAATTCAAAATAATAACACCATATTAGAAACAATATCTTCAAAAAATGCCACTGGCATGCTATTAAAGATAGAAGTGACTAAGAAAACTGATTAGAGTATATATTAAGAATAATTATTCTGTTTATGTCATTTTTAATATTCTATAACCTAGATGATTAGTGTGAAGGTTTTTTAAAAATTTGCTTTGGTGACATTGAAACAGGAAAGTTCCTTGACCCCCTTATGGGACTTACGACAGGGGTGTGGCTAGTTTGCTTGGCTCCTGGTGCTCAAACTCCTTATGGGAGGGGGAACACTCAAATGGACAGGTGCAGGAGCCAGGGCGGGCACTTTTGGGCGCTGGAACCACAGTAGCGTCTAAGGGTGTGTTACAATTAATGCTCTATTAGCAGTTGCTGTCTAGGGATGGCTAAGTGTTAATCAGCTCAGTGGAGAGTCAGGGTGACAGCTTTTTACACCCTGCGCTCTTGGTACCTGGACCTTTGTCCAGTGTCCGGGAAGAATCAGGTCACACAGACTTGAAGGATGGTGAATGCAAGGATTTTACTGAGTGATGGAGGTGGCTCTCAGTGGGATGGATGGGGAGCTAGAAAGGAGCTAGAAAGGAGATAGAGTGGGAAGATGACCTTCCCTGGAGTTTGGCTGTCCTGTGGCTGATCTCTCCAACCATCCCCAGCCGAACTCCTCTCAGTGTTCAGATGCTCCTTCTCTTCTCTCCTTCTCTGCCATGCTGCTCTGTCACTCTTCCACTCTTTTGCTTGTGGAGCCTGGGGTTTGGGGTTTTTATGGGTACAGGATGTGGGGGGCATGGCGGGCCAGGGTGATTTTGGATAAAGCAACATTTTGGGCAGGAAAACAGGGATAACTTCTCATTTAGGGTCACGGTTTCCAGGCTCGAAGGTGGGGCCTTTGGTCGGGAATCCCACACTTCTGCCTCTTCTCCATATTAACATGGTTTTGTTATTTCTTGTTTTGAAAAACATTTATTTTGGAAACAGTTTTGAATATACTATTGTATAAATTTGCCAACATATTAAAACAGATTTTTGATGAATAGTTCTCTGTGTGTGTGTGTGTGTGTGTGTGTGTGTGTGTGAGAGAGAGACAGAGGGAGAGTGAGAGTGAGAGATTTTATTCGATCAATGATTTAGACAATCACTCTACCAGTAAAACCTATGTAAGCCATTCATAAATATGCTAGAGAGAGGAAAATTCTTTTACATTATTTAACACTGCTTGATGTGTCTAGGCTGAAGAGTCAGAAGTGGAGTTAAGCACTTTCAATATCTTACATTCTAAATATACTAACTTGGCAAATAAAAGAATGAATGACTTAGTGCCTTAAAAAAACTTTTAATAGTAAAGTGATTTTAAAAATTTAAGCTAATTTATTGAGACCCTTGAAGAACAATGATTTTCATCACTGAACAGTTTCAAGAATCCATTCAATTTGACGAAGACTTACTTCGTTGCCCTTAATTATAAGAGATTCAATTATAATACATAAAAAATATCTGACAAAAGTTCATGTTCAGTAGTTTGGTGTTTAGTCTCAACTATGTCATCTGACTGGGTCATTGATTCCAAATTTGTGGGCTGTGGTTTATCTGCATCAAAACACCTGTTACTCCCAAGGCCCATCTTAGACTGAAGTAATCCAGACCTCAGAGATACGTTCTGGTATGTACACAAGTACCTGGGTTCCTAGGGGGATTATGTGCAACCTAAAATATAAGAATCCCTGTTCTAGAGGAAAAGAGGGTTCATATATTTTCCCACATTTAGCAAGATATCGTGTTACTTGGTAGCGTTTCTACTTCTTTTCATGCTTGTGATTGCTGATCCTTGAATGGTCTAAAATTTTCTTTCCCACTCTATAAAGAAACTGTCCTTTTTCTATTTATTTAAAATAGAAATTTTATGTAATATTTCCATGGAAATTCCTGAGGTCACCTTTAAGCTCCTTAAAATAACTTTGTTCCCAAAGAAATGCCTTAATTGTCAGCACACATATAGTAAGTAATCCATTAATTGAGTTTCTTGAAGATGAATTTTGCTTGGTTGCAGAAACCTAAGGTAAGAATTGTGTTTAGACTCTCATGCCAATTTAGCCACTTACTAGATGTGTGACCCTGAACAGACATGGGAAGTGAATAAGAGGTCTTTAGAAAACAAGCCTCAAAACCCAGTCTGGTTATTCTTTCCTTTGGTTCTTCAGTGAAAAAAAAAAATGAGAGCAATGGTCCAGATCAAGTCTGTGTTCCTTTGCAACTCTGACTTTCCTGTATCAGTTAATCCAAATTACTTCTATATTTTAAAGTAATAAAACTCTTTCTGTTTTGATCAGATATGGACTACTCAATAATTTGTATTTCGTTGGTAATGAATTAATAAGGTTTTATTTCATAGTATGTTCATTAGAATCAAGTCAATGGGGACAACCTTAGAAGGGAGCCAGACAATTCTAATGCAAAAAATGGAAAAGAATCTTAGAAGAATTTTACAAATTCTAATTCTTATTTTTTCAGACATCCTGCCCTTTCTAATGCCTATTGTCCTTTCTCTGCTGTATATTTTATTCTGTTACTTCCATTTCTTCTACCTCCCTTATTCTTTCCACTATGGAGAAATCAAAGTTTTATATGAAGTATGATCTACTTTACTCTCTGTGTGCTTATAAAGGCCACCACATTTTGACTTACTAGTTGATAACCTGCTTCTTTGGCCTTCCTTTTATTCTTTTGGAAGAGTAAAGAATCTCAGGTAGTTCCTTAATGTGCATTTCTTCTGATATTAAAAAGCAAACAGCTGTTTGCTGCATATATATATATATATATAAATATATATATATATATATATATATATATAAATATATATATATATATAAATATATATATATATATATATATAAATATATATATATATATATATATATATATATAAATATATATATATATATATATATATATATATAAATATATATATATATATATATGGCACTTAAAAATCTTGAGTACATGGACTACACAAACACCTCAGGAAATTCAGGTCATTTGGTACATATGGATATGGGTAGCTCCTTGGAACAGCAGGGAAGGTCCCAAAACACAAAAGGAAACTGCTTACTCTGAGTCTTAAGAATAATTTAGATTTTAACTTTATTATGAAATATAAATGGTAAACAACATACATTTAAGCAACTAGTATAAAAAATTCTTGTTGAATTTTTAAGCTGATAGTTTACATTTCTGAAAACTGTAAACTATCAGCTTAAAAATTCAACAAGAAATAGCTTTTTCTATTGTTACATCTCAGCGCTCGAAGACATGAGAAGACAAGATCAAATCTAAAACTTGACTTTCTTTAGATATTTTCATAACTGAAATTCAATATACAACTTTGTGTCTTGATGAGATCCTGGAGTGGTATGGAAGGTGCGATGCGCTGTGAATGTTGCTGATAGGAAAGAAGATGCTGTTCCTTAACATTTTATTGGCTGACTTCACTTCAAAAAACAAAAAGTGAAGCATTAGCTATTAATGTGCTGGCTCCAAAGCTGGAGGACCTTGCATTCAGTTAAAAGATACCAGTTCTATCTCACTAGCATTCGTTGCTCCAAATGGAAAATCAGCTATGATAGCACAAAGTTGAGTTTCTTTCCAGCTCTTTAATGGAAGAGAGGCTGTAAAATGTTTATAAAATGAGTCTATTTTCCTAATTCACTGGAAAAGAAAAAAAAAACTTAAAATCAGTTAGAATCTTCTCTCTTTTAGGAAGTCTTGCAAGGCCCTATTTGTAAATTTCATTAATAATAAGGCCATTTCCCTCATGGCAGTTCTTACTCCTCCCTGGATTTCTCCCCTAATTGTCTTGGGTTTTTCTTAAAGCCTTTTGATGGTGGCCCACTCTCATTTTCCCCAATGCCCCTCTTCTCATAATTCTGAGGAATTTAATACCACATAAATGCTCTTTCTAGGATCCTTCAAAATATTTTAAAAATGCTATTTTCCCCAACTTTTTAAAAGACTATTTCTTCATCTCACTTCTACTTCCAGCTAGCCATGTTTATCTCCATCATTTTACCTCAAATTTCATTCAAAAAGTTGTCTGTAATTATTGTTTCTAATTTATCTCCTCCGATTCTCTCTTGGACACAACTGGTTTTGCTTTCACCCTCACTGTTCCACTATTCTTTAAAAATGCTCTTATCAAAATCAGAACAATGCTGATGTTAACTCCAACGATCAGTTCATGGCCATTACTTGTTTTGTCTTCTCAGTAGCATCTGACACTAACCACACTGTCTTTGAAAGACTGTATTACCTCAGTTCAGACGTTATATTTATCTGCTTTTCTATGAACTCATGAGCCTTTTGGGATGCAATTTTCTCGTTTCCACATACTCTAATCCTTTCAGTGCTCAGGATGTAGAGCCCAGTGCTTGAAAATTCTTAATTGTCTATACTCACTCCTTAGCTGTTATCACCCAGTCTCATTATACTAACCACATCTACAGTTTGAAGACACCAAAAGTATGTATCTGGCTCATAAATCTCTCTTTAACTACAGACTCATGTCCTTATTGACAGTATACTTATGTTTAGTACAAGTATGGTAATGGACATATTACTATACTATTGTAAGTATAATAATGGACATGAAATCTTACATAGTACTTCCCATGTACCAGCTATTCTTCTTAGTATCTTACATTCACTAACTCATGTGATCCTCACAATAACCTTATGAGGTAAATAGTAATATACTCTTTTCTTGGCTGAGAAAACTGAGTGAGACTTAAGCAGTTTACTCAAAATCATACAACTAGTGATAGGACTGCCAAATTCAAACCTGGACCTCCTGGCAACTGGGGCTTCAGAAAGGTCAATAAAGTCCATAGTATTCATCCATTGAAGTTTGCGCCCTTCTTCGTGAACCTCTGTTTGACCCATACCAGTCTACCCAAGTGGCCAGTGTCTCCATTTGGGAAGTAGCCTCGTTCATGGCAGCGGGTCTCATTTGCAAGCTTGCCGTGAACTAAAAGGAGAATAGTGAGTGTGAGAACAGACATAAGGTGTCTGGAAAGACATAATGTCAGTTGAGCACTGTTAAGATTTAAAGCTAGATGCTGGTGTGAGGTTGGAGCCAGATGCATGGGCAGTCGGGGGGGAGTTAATCCTTGTCACGAATTTACCCGAGAGATCCTAATGGGGAGTAACTTTAAACACCAACAAGACAAGAGGAAAACAGTCTGAAAATGAATGGTAGCAAGGAAAGCCCTTTCTTGACTCTTCTCCTCCCCTCTACTTGCATGGTGAATGAGCTCTGGGCTTCAGGAGAGATAGAAGATGTAACAGAGTAAAGAAAAACCAAGACCAAACTCCCAATACACAACACAGACCCACACACACTCACACATACACATATTAATTGCACACTTCCCACTGGCAGCAGGGCAAATTGAGGAAGGGGTGGTACCGGAGAGGGAAAAACTCTAATGAAGTTTGCTTTTCAAATATGGACACTGGCATGCTAATTTCTGAATGGAGAATATTTTTTATGACTAACGTGATGAAAGGATTTTTATGAAAGGACGTGTGAAATACAGATGCTGCCCAAGATGTCATCCAAGGACAAAAAGTAGCTCTACAGAGAGGCTGGAGAGGCAATGGAGGAAATGCAAATCGTTATTTTCCTTTTTTATCTATGAGTCCTGTTTTTTCAGCATACTGGTGTCCCATATGCAATGTGCAAACAGGGAAGAAATATCTCTTAATGAAAATTATTTGAAAATTACAGGATGCAGTATTTAAGCTTTATGTAGAATAAACCATAGATACTCTAATTTTCCAAGTAACTGATGCATTGATAGCAACTCTTATTTTAAAAGCAAGAAACATAGACACAATTCTATAAAATTTTCTAACATCAGATAGCTATCTTGAGACGTCTGAAAGACTGAATGACAAGGTTCACTTATTTGTTTATTTACATTTTTAAATTAAAAAGAAAATTACTTTATAAACCATTTACATGGCTAGCAGCGTGGGAAAGATGAATAGGTCTAAATTAAATTTCTTCTCTATTTCAGCACTTTTGAAAGGCCCGAAAGGAAATAACACCAATCCAGAAACGTATTCTTTCTCTCCAATTTTTCCTTTTCCCATATGAGCCAAGCCTGGAAGTCTACGGACACATTAGGGAATGTTTCCACTGTGTGGGAGAAACATCTGCAAAGTGCGCCGGGACCACCAGAAGTGGAATGAGAAGGAAGCATGTGGGGGCGGTGGCGGCAGACAATGAAAGAAAACTGGGATCTGGTTAGGCCCAAACATCCAACTGAATTGCCTAACCTTTAGTTTACCTTTTGGGTTATATAAGAACTCTAAGAGCTATAAAATTTATATTAAAAACAATTTTTAAATGTCATGAAATAGAATTCATAGCACGCTCTTAGAATTCTTTCCTTCTGCAACTATAAGAAACATTCTACTTTGCACATCACCCTCTATAGAGCCTAAGTTGGGTGGTTTTCATGGGTTTCTTCCTACTCATTCTTTGCAGCCATTTGTTCATGTGGCCATGTGAAAGACTAGGAGCTACAGGCCTCCTCTTAACCCAGAGGGAAGCACAGTGAAGACAGAGATGGATTCTGAGGAAATTCACTGTAAAACATCAGGAGCCAAAGGGCTCTGGAAAAGCAAATGATTATCATTAGAAAGTAATATGCAACTACTGAAGAAACATTTGAAAGAGTAATGTGGTCTAGCAAAACAATCCTGCAATCTGCATTCAATCAAAACTGACCAAAAATGCTTGCAGTGGTCCTTTGTATTGTTGGAAGCCAAATGCTCTCTGGAACTCATGAACAAAGCTTTACAAAGTGGCTTATTACCAACAGAATATTACTGAAGCAATAACCAGCCTTAGAGTTGACTTTTCCAATAAGGGGGAGAGTCTCCGACTGCAATGGCCAAGGTATTGAGAGTGACAAGAATATTTATGTACCTATCAAATGCTCACAGATGAGCTTTGTGGGTCGATTTGTTTTAGTCTACAGCACTTGTAACTAGACATCTTGCCCACAAAATAGCTTTTGTAAGAAGATAATTAAAATTCTGTATACAGAGTTTTGAAAATCATTATGAGGCAGAGCTATACTTAGAAGACTGGATGAGAAGAAAGCATACCTCGAACTTTTGGAAACTGCTTAATTAATTTTGATTCTAGGCCAATTTAATAAGTCTCAAATACAGTGGTACTGAAAATCCATTAACCTCATTCTGTTAGAAAACAAGGCACATATTCTTTATAGATTGTGATTTTCACTGCTCACCTGTGGTTCAGTGCCTCAGCCAGGGTTTTGGACTCCAATCTTCAAATGAAAAGTTCTAAGGCTATGATTAAGTTTCAGACAAATCATCTGCCTTCTCTCCTTCTGGTTGACACCTGGCCTCCGTGAGCAGGACTGCCTCCTTGGGATGCCGACTGGCAGTCATGAGACAGAAGCCCCGTAGTTTTTCATGAAAGAACCACTTATCCTAGGGCCATAGATCACCTAGTACCAAAGTGCGTGGTTTAGGAGATGTCAAGCACGTTCAGGGATTTTAGACCTCATTCATTACCTACCAGAAACAGAAATATGTTCATAGGTAGTTTTTTCAACAAGTATTTGTTCTAAAGTTAGAACAAAATTGAAACCTAATGTACTTTACTGTCAAAACCAGGCAGGCAAGTGGAAAGGCCAGTAAAACAAGTACCTTAGATTCTCTAATTCAAATATATTATATCTTTTAGTTTATATTTATTTTCTGAAAGACAGTATGATCAAATTAGTTAAAATCAATATTTAACTGAAATGGAACATTGAAGAATAAGATGATGGTATTTTTGGAGGCATTTAAGAAAAATTAAGTAGGCCGTATTAGAATGTGAATATAAAAAAACTTCCCTAAATTTTAACCTTATATGAATATTTTTTCTTTATATTCTGAAAAACATTGAAAGAATAGATTTTTATTTTATTATCGGTGCCACCATTATATAGTAGAAAATGTACTTGCACAACAAAACAATTCAATTGTAGCTTTCACGACTCCCTTATACTTCCTTCTCTCCTTCTTTCATTTCTCCTTCCTTCCTTCCCTCCCTCCCTTCCTTCCTTCTTTCCCTTCTTTCCTTCATTCCTTCCTTCCTTCCCTCCCTCCCTTCCTTCCTTCTTTCCCTTCTTTCCTTCATTCCTTCCTTCCTTCCCTTCCTCCCTCCCTCTCTTCCTCCCTTCCTTCCATCCTTCCCTCCATTCTTTTCCTTCCTTAATACTTTCCTTCCTTCCCTCCCTCCCTCCTTTTCCTTCCTTCCCTCCCTTCCTCCTTTCCCTTCCTTCCTTCCCTCCCTCCCTCCTTTTCCTTCCTTCCCTCCCTTCCTCCTTTCCCTTCCTTCCTTCCCTCCCTCCCTCTCTTCCTTCTTTCCTTCCCTTCCTTACTACCTTCCTTCCTTCCCTCCCTCCCTCCTTTTCCTTCCTTCCTTTTTACCTCCCTTCCTTCCCTCCCTCCCTTCCTTCCTTCTATTCCTTCCTTCCTTCCCTCCCTCCTTTTCCTTCCTTCCTTCTTACCTCCCTTCCTTCCCTCCCTCCCTTCCTTCCTTCTTTTCCTTCCTTCCTTCCCTTTCTTCCTCCCTCTCTTCTTTCCTTCCTTCCTTCCTTCCCTTCCTTCCCTCCCTCCCTTCTTTCCTTCCTTCCTTCCTCCTTCCCTCCTTCCCTCCCTCCCTGCCTGCCTCCCTTCCTTCCTTCCTTTTCTTTCCTCCCTTTCTCCCTCCCTCCCTTCTTTCCTTCCTTCCTTACATTTTTTACTTTTCTTTTTTCCAAAGAAATATGACATTTTAATTTCTTTTAAAGCTTTAAAAATTCAAGTTCAAATGAGCACTCCGGTTTTTGAGAATTTACATTGAGACTTTTGATATATATTGAGTATATGGTATCTGTTAAAATATTCAGATTGATGCAGATGAAGAGATTAAATTAAATAAAAGGGTGCTTTCCCAGGAGATATTGTTTTTAACAATTTATTAAAACATGCTGAGTATTTCTGCCTAATTAAAATTTGCTTAACAATAACAATCACTTTATAGAAAACTGTGCTTGGGAAGGGACAATTATCAAATTTTATGTGTTTAACAAACCACAATTATTAAAATTCTTATGTTGTCTTTGTTTAGCCCCTTGTGACATTAAAAATAATTTGTTTATATATTTTTTATTTGAATACAACTATTTGATGCTTAAAGGTTTAATTTTCTCTAATTGCAGTTTGACCTTAAAAGGTGATAGATGCTACAGATTACCAATTCATCATGTGTCTTAACTCATTGAATCCTCACATTGACTCTCTTAAGTAGCAATGACTTCCATCTTACAGTTGAGGAAACTGAGACTTACAGAGTGTAAGCAACTTTCTACAAGTCAAGTGGTCATTAAATGTAAGAATCTGAAGAAGAACCAAAAGTGTTGACTCTAGAATCTTAGATTACTGAACTGAAAGCCAAGGACAATAGGCAAACAACTCTGTTTAAGTGAGGATGCGGTTGATAATATTGCCTGCATTTTTCAAGAACAGTGGTTCATATTAAGCATAAAATTAACATTTTGTCTATTGTAAATTGTATCAGAATATTATGATAGGTAATAAGAACATGAATACTTGCAAACTTCACACACCTTGTCTATTGTTCTTTCACCCTGCAGAAAGGATGGGGCATGGTGAATGTTAGTTAAGATCCATTTACTTGAATCTTCTTCCAGTTTTGTGGGCTTTGGAAATGAGAAAATTTTATTTTCTTTAAAGTCAAAATGGTGCAAGAAAAATATATCAAGAGGATAGAATAGACATATAAAGGCAGACCCCTCTTCAGTTGCTCATATATGCCATCATTATAAAAAAAAAAAGTATACTTGAACAAAAGAAGTGCAATATGGTTTGGAATTGTGTCCCCTCCCAAATCTCATGTCAAATTGTAATCCCCAATGTTGAAGGTGAGACCTGGTGGGAGGTGATTGAATCATGGGGGTGGATATCCCCTGTTGGTGTTCTCATGATAGAGTTCTCATGAGATACGGTTGTTTAAAAATATGTAGCACCTCCCTCCACTCTCTCTCTTCCTCCTGTATGGCCTTATAAGATGTGCCCCTTCATCTTCCACCACGATTGAAAGTTTCCTGAGGCCTCCCCAGAAGCCACTATGCTCCCTACAGCCTGCAGAACCATGAACCAATTAAACCTGTTTTCCTTATAAATTACCCAGTTTCAGGTATTTATTTATAGCAATGTCGGAACCCATTAAGACAAAGTGTATTGTTGAGGCTAGGCACAGTGGCTCATTCCTATAATCGCAGCACTTTGGGAGGCAAAGACAGGTGGGTCACTTGAGCTCAGGCGTTCAAGACCAGCCTGGGAAACATGGTGAAACCCCGTCTCTACCAGAAATACAAAAAATTAGCCAGGTATGGTGGTGCACACATGCAGTCCCGGCTACTCGGGAGGCAGAGGTGGGAGGATCGCTTGAGCCCAGGAGGCAGAGGTTGCAATGAGCTGAGAATGTGCCACTGCACTCCAGCCTGGGCAACAGAGTGACATCTGTCTCAAATAAAATAATAAATAAATAAAAACAGTGTATTATTGATTTTTTTCCTAATTTTTTATCGTGGTACAATATATAACAAAATTTATCATTCGAACCATTTGTAAGTACACAGTTCTGTGGCATTAAATGTATTTACGTTGTTGTGTAACCATTAGCACTGTCTATCTGCAGAACTTTCCCATTTTCCTAAACTGAAATCCTGTACCCATTAAACACTAACTCCCCACTTCCCTCTTCCCCCAAACCTAAGAAAACACCATTCTACTTTCTGTCTAATAAATTTGATGACTCTATGCACCTCATACAAGTGGAATTATGTAATATTTTTCCTTTTTTTGACTGGCTTATTTCACTTAGCATAATTTTTTAAGATTTACTGATGTATCAGAATTCCCTTCGTTTTCAAGTCTGAATGATATTCCTGATGTATATACCAAATTCTGTTTGTCCTTTCATCTGTGGATGGACACTTGGGTTGCTTCCACATTTTGGCTATTGTGAATAATGCTGCTATCAGTATGAGTGCACAATATATGTTTCATATATAATAATAGATTACAGATTTTATCTGCACCACCCTTAAAAACCTTTGGAAATCCCTGAGTTCTATGTCACCCACTATCAATCAATGCAGTAAAAGTATTTCTTGTTTGCTTTCTCAGGAGCTGTACATACTAAAACTATATAAAGCAAATCAGAACAAAACACTACCATCAAAAATAATATTTCCAAAATGTCTAGAATTTTTCCGTTATAGTGAATATTAAAGTTAAAGAAGGAATAATGGAGGGCTTCAGTTTTAGATAATATATATAATATATTGAACCTACAAGCTTATCTCCTTTCTGAAAACCTATTGCATTAAGAGCAATGGAATAAAAGGTATGTATCTAGAACAAAAATAGAATAGGAGTAGAATAAGAGGGAAATGATTAGAAAGATAGAAGCTTTTTGGAAGTTAGAAAGCCAATTCATATATGGGTAGTGACTGATAAAATAGTTTCGTTTGGGTCCAGTGAAGAATGAGAGTAGAAGGGGCTCTAGCTCAGGAGGAAGTAGTTTTGTCCCTAAAGAGTCTCAGTTGATAGAAATAGGAAGTAGGAATAAAATGTGGGCATTAAAATAACAGTCAATTGAAATTTTATGTGAAAGACCTCTCTACACTTAGCATGAAGTGATAATAGCCAGATGATACCTCCTTAGAAAGGAAAAGTGAGAATTCTTCTCTAATGAACTGTGAATAATTTAGGAATTGGTACCTACTATGGTTTGAATGTCTTCTCCAAAACTCATGTTGAAATTTAATTGTCTTTGTAACAATATTAAGAGGTGGAACCTTTAAGAGGTGATTAGGTCATGAGGGATCTGCCCTCATGAATAGATTAATGCTATTATTGAGGGAGTGGGTTCATTATCACAGGAGAGGGGCTTTACATAAAATGAGCTGAATTCATAAATTCATCCCAGTTTTATCTATGTATCCCTTGCTTGTGAGCCTTTTCACCCTTTCATTTGCTGCCTTCCATCATGGGATGACCTTTGCCAGATGCTGGTGCCCTGCTCTTGGGCTTCGTAGCCTCCAGAACTGTGAGCCAAACAAACTTTTCTTTATAAATTACCCAGTCTGTGATATTCTGCGATAGCAACAGAAAATGAACTAAAACAGAAAATAAATACTGAGAAGTAGGGCTGCTGCTGTTACAAACACCTGCAAATGTGGAAACAGCTTTGGAAATGGGTAATGAATAGAGACTGGAAGAATTTGGAAGAACAGACTAGACAAGGCCTAGATTGCTGTGAATGAAGCATTAAGTGAAATTATAGTGAAGGCTCAGAAGAGCAGAGTAGGGAAAGTCTAAATCTTCTTAGAGATCACTTAAGTGGTCATGGCCAAAATGGTGGTAGAAATGGATAGTAAAAGGCGTTCTGGTGAGGTCTCACACCTCACCAGAAATGAACAAAGTATTAAAAATTACAGTAAAGACTATTATTATTACAAAATAGGAAAGACCTTGGCAGAATTGTGTTCATGTTCTAGGACTTTATGAAATTCAGAACTCTAGAGTGATGAACTGGAATATGAAAAAAAATATCTAAATAGCAAAGTATTCAGGCTTCTATAGGGTGACTTTTAACTGCATACAGTGAGATGCTAGAGCAAAGCAATAACTTAAAGATTGTACTTCTAATTAAAAGGGAAGCAAAGTAGAAAGATTTGAAAAATTTGTAGCCTGATGACATAAAAATGCACATTCAAGAAAGAACGCCAAAGGTGTAGCAAAGCAGCCTTTTGCTAAAGAGATTACTGTGGATAGAAGGGGGCCAGGTGTTAGTCATCAACATAATAAAGACCCCAAAGGCATTTCAAAGATCTTGGAGGTTTTCCTCCCATCACAAACCCAGAGCTCTAGGAGGGCAAAATGGTTTTGGGATATGCCCCCAGAGAATGCCCCATAGGTTTGCCACTCAGAGCCATCTTGGGATTCTCATCCCCTCGTTCTAGCACAGTACCCCTGTGGCAATCCAGCCATGGTTGAAGTGAACTTGAGTGTGGCTTTATCTCCTGCTCTGGAAGGTAAAAGCCATGGCAGTGTCTACCGGTTGATAATTCTGCAAGCTTACAGAATGGAAAGGCTCTGTGGTATAGCTGCCTCCACCTGGATTTCAAATGATGTCACATATAGCCTGGGGATTCAGGCAGAAACCTGCTGCAGGAGCAGAGACACACAGAATCTCCACTAGGGCAGTGCCTAGAGGAGTCATGAGAGTAGGGTTTTCTCTGAGACCCCAGAAATGTAGAGTTACAAGTGTGCAACTTCAACCCAAGAGACAGAAATTGTGAGCTGAGCCCAGTGAAACTAAAGGGGTAGGGCTGCCTGAGACCTCAGGAGTTCTACCCCTGCCCTAGTGTGTTCCCAGAATTTAGGAAATGGAGCTCTAAGACTTAATATTGCTTTCCGTTTTAGGTTTTTTACTTACTTGAGACAAGTCATCCCTTTCTTCTTGCATAGCTCTCACTTTCAGAATGGGAATGTCTATTCTATGACTGTCCCACCATTATATTCTGAAAGTAGATAATTTGTTTGATTTCACAGGCTCACAGCTGGAGGAAATTTGCCTCAGGATAAAGGGTGCCTTTAGTGTCACTCATATTTGATTCAGATGAGACTCTGGACTATGGACTTTGGGGTTGATGCTATAGCAAGTTGAGATTTTTGGGCTATTGTGATGGCTCCCGACTGATGTTATGGCCCCTATTGTGATGGATGAATGTGTTTTATAGGTGAGAAGGACATGAGTTTCGGAAGGAATGCTGTGGTTCAAATGTCCCCACCAAAAGTGATGTTGAAATTTGTCATTGTAACAGCATTAAGAAATGAGACTATTAAAAGGTGATTAGGTCATGAGGGCTCTGCCCTTATGAATAAATTAATGCCATTATTACAGGAATGGGCTCCTTATAAAAGGACAAATTCTGTCTGATTTCCTCTGCCTCACATTCTTGAGTGCCCTTCTGTCCCTCTGCCTGCCATTTCCTGCCGTATGATGACCTTTGCCAGATGTTCATGCCATGGTCTTGAACTCCCCAGCCTCCAGAACCATAAGCCAAATAAACTTAAAAAGTAAATAAATAAATTACCAGACTGTAGTATTCTGTGATAGCAGCAGAAAATGGACTAAAACAATACCCTAGAAGAAAGCCTCCTTCCTTCTGGTATTTACTACTTGCAAAATGTTACATAACAGTCCTTCTTGTCCACCTAAAATCTAAATGTCGGAGTCAAGAAGCTGCACTTATGTACCAAGTACATACAGCCATTTTTAATAAAGCCTCTTTCTCAGATGGAAAGAGGCATGAAGAAACACCAGATAGAGGAAAAAAAGCAGCAAAACAAAAGATAAACACTGATTTATACAAGCAGGACAACAAAACAACAAAAAAAGGTCTACAACCAGACACATCACCACTAGATTCCCATGAACTAAGGAACCAAGTGTTTCCAGAGAGAAAGACAGATTATGCAGTAAATGAGTTTCAGACTTCTCAAAAGGATTACTCTGCAGGAAAGCAGTGCAATAATGCCTTCAAAGGCCTGAGAGACAAGAAAGTTTAACCTAGAATTCTGTATCAGCCAATCTATCAATGAAGTCAGTAGTTAGAATCAAGATGTTTTAGTCATGCAATGACTCAGAATATTTCTCTGGAAAATTCCCTTCTTAGAGAGTTATTTGAGAACATATTCTGGCCAAATATTGAATAAAAAGAGGAGATGGTAAGGCAGGAACAGTATATTCCACTCCCCCAAAAGGGCAGTACCAGGATGTCCCAGGATAACGCTAACTACTACTAATAAGGATTGAACCAGGAAGGAGTTCTGCAGGCTGAGGAGGGGTAAGAAGAGTGGAGTACATAAAACGAACAATATAATTAAGACATTGGGAATAATTGACTATTTATTGGGATATATAATGAAAATCGATTTTAATTTGTGTCCCAAACATTTTTTATTGAGAGACATATGGTGGACATCGGAGTCATAAAAGAAAGCAATATCATTATGTAGTAAACACTCTTTATTGATTTTTACTTTTAACAATCCCCCAATAGAAATAGTAGACAATGTAATTGTGTCTATTGAAGGGAGAGTATATATTTTTACCTTAGAATTATAAAACTGGAGGTTTAGAAGATAAGCAGGGGAGTGGAAGGGGATTAAAAAAGTAAAGAGAATTATGGAAGATCAAATATCTTCTATTCTACCGAGTAAGAGTTAAGACATGCTATTCATGGCAAATGGCTAAAAAACAGAGGTTGAATAAAGTCTTCTGAAGTAGAGGAAAAAGAGAGGTGTACTGGGTAACAAATGTGATCCTGTTACTTTCCTACCAGAAGAAGAAATCAGCAGACAATATCTACATTTTGTGAATCAAGAAAAAGTGTTTTTAAAAAATTAGAGATTGAGGTACAAACCACTGGAACTAAAACCAGAAAACAGCAAGAGCATTTGCTTCAGGAAGAACAGAAGTGTTGATGGGCAGAAAGACTGTTTTTAAATGAAACAGTGTATCTTTGATAAAAATAAAAGCAACTAGTTTAAAGAGAAATAAAGGCCAGAGAGAAGTTTGTTTGTGCAAACAAACAAAGAAACATCTTTTTCATTCTTTTCATTACCTAATATACTTTTTCATTTTTAAAAATTTTTGGTATGTTTCAAATGCAAAGACTTCATCTCATTAAAAGCAATGTAGCTATGCCCTTTAATTTCTAACAATTTGGATGGAGCAGTTGTATTCTCAGATCCAAAAAAAATGTTTTTAAATCATGTTTTTTCCTCCCCTTATTTTAAAAGCATCAGATTTGCATTACCTTTTTATGTTTATGAAATTCTTTAAAAAATATCTTCACAAGACATTTATTTGCTAGGCAAGAATGAGACATCTAGTTGTGAAAGATTAAATGACATGTCTTGGTCATGTGATTAAGCAGTGGTAAGTCATAATAACCCATGTCTTTTTGACTCTTGGTCCCAGAAACTATTGTTTATACTTCTGTTTAGTTGTGTATAGCATCCTGCAAATTCTGTCAGAAGCCTATGATTTCAGTAACACCAAAACTTCTCTCTCAAATGTTACAAATATTCAGTTTTAAGACAAATAAGCTCTGGGGATCTAATGTACAACCTGTTGACTATAGCTAATAAGTCTGTATTGTTTACTTGAAATTTGCTAACACAAATTTGCTTAAGTGCCCCTGACCCAACTAGTACATAAATTAAGTCTAGTGAAGGATGTGTTAATTAATTTGATTTTGGTAATCATTATACAATGCATAAGTATATCCAGTCATCACATTGTACATTTGAATATATATAATTTTTATTTGTCAAATAACCTCAATAAAGCAGGGGGAAAAACTATTCTCATGTTGTGGTTTCTCTTGATACAAGAGAAAGTGAATAATAAAACTTCCTGTCTGCACCCATACATTGTATAAAATATCCTTTCTGATTGCAAAGAAGAAACATTTCTTTAAATATTCAGTTTGAATCCTAAAAATTTGGCATATTTACGTGCTCAAGGGAAAAACTGAGTCAGTTGTAGATCGGAAACTTGAACATGGCTTCTGTCTTAGTCCATCTATATTCCAGTCTTCATCATGCAGAGGAGGAAAGAGGAACAAAGCCCGAAGAAACAGGATAAAAAACTTTTTTGATGCTGCAATCACATAAAAGGAAATGTAAATAATGACTGTATGTGTTTGCTTTTCATTTTGCTTTTGATAAATTAAGTATAAATCTTGAAGCATAAAAATAGGAAAACGTAAATTTAGACTAGTGTAATGATAGCAATTTTAAAAAGTGGCAGACATGACATAAATGTCGTTACCTATTGCTCCCAACAACATTACATCGCTACTCTTTGTATACGAAGATATCATTCCTTCCTTGTGATCTTGGTTCCATGTATCAGTAATAAATCTGCTCGGTGATGTATATAACATATTAAAGTTTAGTAAAACTCAATGGATACTGATGATGTATAATACAAATTTCATAGTAAATACCTTTCCCATTTTTAACAGAATTCTCAATTTTCAATTTTCTTCAGCCTTGAATTCCATATTTGTTGATGAATTAATTTGAAAATAATATTTAATCTATATACTATGCTTTCCTTAAAGTAAATTAAAGTTATATAACAGTGAAAATAGAATGGATGACAAGGACTACTAATGTTATTATCATTTAAAAATTGTGTTTTAAAGATTAAAATGCCATGTGAAATATGTAACCTCCTTTTTTTTGGACATAAAATCATCTGTTGAATTATCATTGAGAGATGTAAACAAAAGAAGAGGGATTAGACCTTACACAGATAGGAGAGAGAGAATAAAAGAGCCAAAAATAAATAAGTATATAGAAATAGGGATTACATGGAAAACATTCAGATGTTTATTGTTTTCTTCCACTGTAAACACCATAATCCCTATCTAAATTAATTACATGAATTTTCCCCCCAAAATCATAACTAGTGTGTGTTAAAACTACTCTTCTTTGTCAGACTGCTGCTTACACTAACTATGGCGATTCTGAGTAAGTGAAACTGGAAAGAAGAGAAAATAATACTCCCTTTTGTACTGGAAGATAGTTAAAGTAGCTCTTTTCTTTTTTGATACTGACATCTATTGGAAAAATGGAAGAATATATTGATATGTTTGCTTTCTGAAGGCAAATAAAAGCTAATTAAATTTAAAACCCAAATTTAAATTAAAAATTATGAATATATAGTACATTAACCATTTTAATAGCACCATTGTCTAACTGCTTGAAAACACAGTTAGGTAAGTTTTTAATCCTGTAAACCTTTTTAAATTCAGTAGTTGTTATTGCAAATACAACTATTTGCAATAGTTTTAAAGGATATATATTGCAAATATATCCTTTAAAACTCATTCATTCTAGATAGGATTCATGATTCAAACTATTGAACATTAAACAATAAAAGAAAAGAATTAAGTTTGGCTTATATTCAAGTTTTGCCTATCAGGCTCTCTGAATTTTTTTTATCATTTGGATTGATGATACATAAAGAAAATATGCTTTCCAAAATAATTTAATTCAATCTTTGAATGTCCTTTTCATAGAAAAAATATTTTTGGAATGTATTAGCTAGTCTTTTTCCACATTTATTTAAAATAGGTGTGCCCAGTAAGGCATGTATGCTTACTTTGTAATTACTACTCCATTCTATCTTTAACTAGATCTGGGAGTGCTTGGTCTACACAGGGTATTTTGTGTCTAAATGACCTCTCATGCATTTCTATGGGAGTATAGAGCACACAATTCTGAGGAAACGCTCCTATCTGGTAAAACAGACTGTAAAGTACACATTTTGTCTACACTGAGCTGGGTTGGAGAGCTTACCAAGGAGTCCATCTTTTTCTTTGAGCTTTTACCAATGTGATAAAATCAAGCATGTGATGGAGAAAAGTATCTTTCTTAAAATTTATTTTTATTCTCTGTTTAAAAATTACAAAAGTAATATATGATTACATTACAATGCAAATAGTACATGCAGATCAAAAAGTGATCGTTCCTCCCCTAATACCACCACTCCTCACTTCTCAGGTAAAAGGGTTAACTTTAGTTTTCCAGATTTTATGTATTTACATATCTGTGGATGTATATACACAAAAGGTACAGTGCATGTTTCTATCTATTATTTCTATTTATATCTAATTTGCATATCTATATATTTGGGGGATATATTAATATCAGACATTCAAGAAATACATAGAAGTACCAAAAAATGTAAAAAAGAAATTACCAAGTCCCCAAATGCTACCATCAAGAAACATGTGTTCCCAATATTTTACAAACATCATCTCAGGCTTTTCACATCTCTAAACAGAAATAAAAGAGAAACATAAAATGGGGTCATATTCTTCATGTCATCTTAAAGTTTAAAATGTATTAAAGATAACATGAAATTTGTAAAATTTTAAAAATAAAATCAAAAGGATCATGAGTTTTAAATGTTTCTTTACCTGAAAGATATTTCCTAAAAATTAGATCCCACTAAACATAAGAGAAACAATAGAAAAAAAAAAGAAAGAAATACCAAAAAAAAAACCTTTCTTTAAACTAAATTTTCAAATTTATATCTATTGGCTCTTTGCTATGTAAAATAAGGAAATTTGTAAACTTAAACTCCTAACTTCCATTTTATTCCTTAACCCATTTTCTATTAACCATATTAATAGTATATGGTTATGATTCTATAATGTATAACATTACAATATAGTAGTTTTTATCCTTACCTATTTTATATTTCATTTGTAGTTTTTTATTGTATTGTCTTCACATTTCTTTGCCCTGTTAATTTGTAGTTTCATTCTGAATCTCATGGTGATGATCGAGGGACCAGACAGACAATTTAATTTTGACTTGTGTTACAGGGGCTAGATCTTGCTCATACTATTTAAGAAATCAATGTGGCTTTAAAAGGAATCAATACTATATAAAATGCCAAGCAATAACAATTTAGTCCATAAAAGTAAATGACATTTTATCCCTTCCTATCAAATCAGATATACCATGCCATTTCTTTGGGCTTTGTTTTTGTTTTCAAGAAATAGGAATGTCCTTTGAATTAGTTTATGTGCATGCCTTTGGGCCTTCTGCAGTGATACAAGTGAATAAATTTACTTCAGTAAATTTATTCAATAGATTTACTTCAATAAATATATTCAGTAGATTTACTTCAATAAATATATTCAATAGATTTACTTCAACAAATATATTCAATAGATTTACTTCAATAAATGTATTCAATAGATTTATGTAACATATTTACTTTTCAATAAAGAAAACAGATTTAGTAAAAAGTATAGAGGAAAAGAAGCTATAAAGAAATATTTTATGTCATAAGGATATGTAATGAGACCTAGTTATTTGAGAAGCCCTTATCTTTGAGATTTGATTCCCAACTAAGTTATTTGTGCCTATCACTTGTGATTGTAAGGTTTTTCAGATATAAAATATTTGCTGGGTAGTGTTTGTGTATGAATGAAAATGAGGCTAGGGAAACACAGCGCCATCCTCTTCCATGAGCTCTCCCCACACAAGTCTCCGCGACGCTCAACTTCTTTACTTCACACTTCACCTGTAGCTTCTTCTTTACCAATTCTGGATTCTAGATAAGCATAAGCATAATTCTTCCTCACACCTCTGGAGCATCAGAGAAGCTTAATTGCTGAGCCCTCAAAATCCACTGGGACTGGAGTTTGAGGAACTCTTCTGGGTCTCTCTCACTGGAACTTCAATTAAAAAAAAAGTGTACTCAACCACCAAAGTCTTAGGGAACATCGCAATAAATATCAGAAACTTGATAACTAAGTCACATGGCAGGTTTTATTTTAAGTGTTGATGCTTTAGTCAATCTAGGCATGATTACTGAATCTGCCTCACTCTTCGGAGGTCTACAGAATGATTGCTGCAATCCCAGTTGTGGCCCTCTCTGTGGGACTGGAGGTAACTAAGTACCATCTTCAACCTGAACCCAGTGATGGCTCTGGAAGAAAGCTGAATTGGAAAGGTATGCTATACACTCAACTTATTTAAATGTACTTATTGAGATTCACTTGATGTCTGGGGACGTATCCTCTATGGACAGCTCTGTACCTCTGCCTGGAATGTTGGCAATCTTGTACACAAAGGGTGACCACGAATACTTATTTTATTTTTATATCTGAGGATGGGACACCCTCAGGGTTACAATGAAGACTAACTACAAACAATTAACTTCCATATGTAATCTGGAGCTTCTGCTCTAAGTCTTGCTGTGGTGAACAAAACATTCTAGCATGTCTTTGTGTGGGAATCTAAAAAAAAAGAGCACATCACTGTCTCATTGAGTTGTGGTTATGAATTTTAGATCTGAGGTTATCCCAGGCCCTCAATACTTGTTTTGTAAGTGGCCTATAGTGCTGAGCCACAGAGATAGGTACTTAGATATGTGGGTTTCTCCACCTTTGAGATAGTCCATTTCTTCATAATTTCTATCATTCTTTAAAGTCAGCTTACATTTGTGGCATGAATCTTTCCCCCAAATTTCTCAAGTTTCTTGATATTTATTGCAGTGTTTATAATAGAAAGATAAAAGGCATGGAGTTAATGTTAATTAAATGTTAATAAGAAACTTGTTAGAAATAAATTATAAAACACACATGGTATAATACTAGACAGCCAATTTAATGATACAAATTATAATTTATGACATGGAAAGATACAGTAAATTGTTTAGTGAAAGAAAGTGCTGATTAAATATATTACACATCACTAAATGAGGAAAGTAGAAAATTCCCCCATGCAGAATAATTCCAAATAATTTGTGTTGATATTCTGCCCTCCAGGAGATAAAGCTTAACTCCTCACAACCCAAATCTAGACCAAACACAGTGACTTCCTTTCAAAAAGTATAGTATGGAAAGGGGAAAGAAGTGTATACTTTATACTGACAGATACTACTGTGGTGGGTGATCAAGGTCAACATCAACAGTGATAAGTCATGTTGACAATATGTACCCTTGATAGAATGTGTGGACAATGACTCTTTACCTCTGTGGTCTTCCTGCCATAAACCGTAACCCAAGGTAGGGCGTGGTGGCTCAAGCCTGTAATCCCATCACTTTGGGAGGCTGAGGCAGGTGGATCACGAGGTCAGGAGATCCAGACCATCCTGGCTAACACGGTGAAACCCCGTCTCTACTAAAAATACAAAAAATTAGCCAGGCGTGGTGGCGGGCGCCTGCAGTCCCAGCTACTCGGGAGGCTAAGGCAGGAGAATGGTGTGAGCTCCGTCCTGGGAGACGGAGCTTTCAGTGAGCTGAGATCACGCCACTGCACTCCAGCCTGTGTGACAGAGCGAGACTCCATCTAAAAAAACATACAAAAAACAACAACAAAAACCACAACCAAAGTCTAAATATGAGGAAAAAAATAAGTCAAATCCAAATATAGTAACATTCTACAAAATACCTAACCAGTACTCTTTAAAACCATCACGATCTTCAAAACAAGGAAAGTCTCAGACACTATCACAGCCAAGAGGGGCCTAAAGAGACATGTCAGCTACATAGAATGTATCTGTCTGAAATAGGATCCTGGAACAGGAAAAGGACCTGAGGAAAAAACTAAGGTGATATGAATACAGTATGGACTTTAGTTAATAAAAATGTATCAGTATTGGTTCATTAATTATGACAACTGTACTCTGCTAATGTAATTAAATTGGAATGGAGTATATGGAAATACTCTATACTATCTTTACAAATTTTCTGTAAATTTAAACTAATTAAAATTTTAAAAATAAAAAAATAAAAATAAATATAAGCCTTGGTTAGTGGAAAGTGCATATAGATGTATGCATGCATATACACAGCAGCACAGCTAGAATGACATTGTAATATGCTAACCTTGGTTATTCCTTGATTGTGGGTATACCTTCTTTTTGTTTATCTATATTTTTCTATGTTAATTATTTCTTGCTTGTGTAATAAAAATAAACAACTACAAAATTTCTGTCTCCTTTTATACATCTCATTTCAACTATTAAATACAAGCTACAGAAATAGCACGCAATAAACAAATGTATTTTCTCACAAATCAAGAGATCCAGAGGTAAGGTCGATACTCTCATGCAAAAGTCAGAGCTCTGGGAACGTCTCACTCTCCCTTTCAGCTCCTGGCCATCAGCATGACAGCTTTGTCTTCAGGTTTGCTCACCCCTGGTCAGAAGACAGATGTCAGCATTAATTACATGACAACCTGCTTTCTTGTTTATATCCGTGGAAGAGGGGAAAACATCTACTCCAATCTCCCTAAAAGATTTGAGTCAACTCAGGTAACTGTACCCATCCCTAACTAGTCACAGTTGCCATCACATGTTACAAATGTTCACTGGCTTAAGCCAAATTCTCTGAACCAGTCACTGTTAATGGAATAGGGAATTACAGGTAAGGCCTAATCATATCCACCCAGAACCAGCAATAGAGTCACGTTCCTCAGATACATGGGTGACCTGAAGAAGACTGAAACAAACTCCTTCATTGACTTCTTACTTGTCTGCAGATGGGACTTGGTGATCACATTACTGACTCCAACTGTTCCAAGTAAAGTGTAAGAAAAGACACCAGTTGGCCAGTGTGGTGTCTCACGCCTGTAACCCCAGCACTTTGGGAGGCTGAGGCAGGTGGATCACTTGAGGTCAAGAGTTCGACACTGGCCTGGCCAATATAGTGAAACCCCATCTCTACTAAAATTACAAAAATTAGCCAGGTGTGGTGGTGGATGCGTGTAATCCCAGCTATGTAGGAGGCTGAGGCAGGAGAATTGCTTGAACCCAGGAGGTGGAGGTTGCGGTGAGCCGAGATTGCAGCACTGCAATATACTCTGGGGGTGACAGAGCGAGACTGTCTCAAAAAAAAAGAAAGAAAGAAAAAAAAGAAAAAGACACCAATTGCCCACAAACTACCTATGATTCAATATCTTAATTCAGTCGAATTGAGAATATGAACTAATGGTGTAATCAGCAATTGGTAAATCAGTGGCAGATCCACACTCATTTGTTTGCATATTGTCTGTGGCTGCTTTCATATTGCACGACGGCAGAGTTCAGTAGTTATGACAAGGACCACCTGGCTTGCAAAGCCAAAAGTATGTTCTGGTCAGCCCTTTATAGGAACAGTTTGCCAACCCCTGACCTAAAGTCAATCAGGGACTTCGGTCTCCCTCCCTTAGTGAAGAAGGTCAGCAGTCCTCCTGCTCATTTGTCACTTTATTGAGGTCTCTCCACCCCATCAACCAATGCTCATCTGGTTATCCACCTGGGACCAATAATAGACAAATGGGATTAGCCCCTAGGACAACTCTCCCAGAAGCCTCTGAACAAGGTCAAAACATTAATCCAACTTCAAGGCTGAAGTTCCATTGTTCATTCTAAATGACTTCCAACTGTGTTTATCCATAGAGCCTGTCAGAATTTCTCCAATGAGAGTGGCACTAGGAATTTGCAACGAAGGCATCACCAATTGCCAGCTTTATTCTAAGTGCCTTTGTTTCACTGAAAGCATCTTCATTCTGTTGTTTTTTGAGTCATATGTTTTGACACCCCAAAAACTGCATTGAGTGTGGGCCCCATCTAGTGACAGAGCGTGCATACTTCCTTTTCAGTTCTGAGTCTAAGGAACTATTTTTATTGTCTCATGAAAATGCCTTGGCTTAAAAATAGCCTGCCTCCTAAGGAAAGAATCTTTCTTTCTCGTATGTTATTAGCCAATGCAGAGCCAAAAGAAGACCAAGTGGTAGGGATGATACACAGGTCTGTGGACAAGCTCTTGAATTCAAGGTCAGCCTCTCCACAATTCCCGTCTTAGCTCTGGATGCATGGTAATAATTTGGGCAGCACATGCTGGCTGACCAGGTGGTGCCCTAAAATTTGTGAGCTTAGGGCCTCATGAATGCTTTTGAAACAGGAAACATTGATCTAACTATTAATGTATTACAGGGCTATAAAGCCCCGCCCTTTTTATTTATTTATTTATTTTTTCATTGCTTTTTCTGATTCTTTACTTCTGTTGCACTAGCTTATTAGGGCCTGAGACCTACCACCAGCGTATGCTGGCGATCTCCTCTCCCTTCAGTAGGTGTACTAGGCATAGTTAAAAATTAAAATCAAACTAAGCATATGTACCCTGAAGCTGCCTGTGCTGGCTAATGACCTGTACCTTTACTGAGGCCAGTGCAGCTGGTATTAACTGGCCACACCCTGTGCAATCAGAATCTGCAATAAATGTCTGTGTGGCTAACAGGTCATTTAAGGCCCGTGAGCTTGCATGTTTGCTGAGATATATTTAGCCTCTGCACCATTGCTAGGACCAGCTTTGATTCTTGTGTGTTCACCAAGGTCTAGCATTTCTATTCTATAGAGACAGCTCATTGCCTGTAGATAAGATCACTGTGTCCTGCCATGAATGATGATGTCTATATCCCATATTTATTAAGGTTTAGAAGTGTTCCTTGAGGACACAGCATTTAAAATTAAATCACACTTTCATTTCCAGAACATCTTCCAAAAGTGCAGGATTTGGAATTTTAAATGTTTATTGCCATACAGCTAAAAGACAGGTTGATGATGCCAAAGCACTGATAGGTGTAAATGTCTTGCTTGAGTTGACCTTAGAGAGGCTTCTAAAGTGGTTGAAAAGCTTTCAGAATAGTAATCTTAGCCCTGCAATCTTAGATAGGTGCGAACTTTTGGTTTTCAGTCTGATATAAGAACCTAGTGAATGGCTAAAATGTGTTAAAATTGTCTTTAAAAATGTTCCGTGATATTTTTTTCTTTCCTTTTAGTGTTTGGAGGTTGTAATTGCCAAAGCAGTATAATGTAGTCACCTGGTTTTTTGTTGCAGTCTACTCTTTAGCGTCTCTTGCAGAATGTTACTTGTGATGTGCCTACTTATTATTATTGAATATAAGTCTCTTCATAATCCTTTTGAACAAATAAAGTCCGAAAGAAGCTATTTCTTAATTTTAGAGATATTAAATAACTAGCTTAATTTATAAAGCAATGTTTGAAATTATGTGAGTTGTTTACCTTCAACACCATATATAACCAAAATTTACCAATCATTATTTCTAAGTAGTGTTTTTCAAACTCTCCACAGAATATTTTTTAGTATATTTCAGTGAAATAACTTTTCAATATTCATGGACATTGTTTTAATTTCTATAAAACACTGATTGCTATAAATTTTCATGATTTATGGTGTTATTTAGAATCTAAGATTTTTTTTAGAACTTATTGATGAAATTTAGAATGTCAGTTTAGACTATTAGAAATTTCCCAATGTGGGAAAAAATAAAAATAGAATCACTCTCTATTATCTTTTCTCCAAGTATCTACTGGACATTCTACTGAATGGATAAGAGCCCTTTTGAATTCAGCATTTCTCAAACTGAGCAACCTGACCTCCCACTTACACCCCTAATCTTGCTCCATCCAAAGACTTCTCTATCTCAGTTGTCAGAAATGCCAAAGTTCTACTTTCTCAAGCTAAAAGCTTGCATCATCCTGGACTCCTCTACTTCATGTACTCCCCACACTGAATTCATTAGGAAATCCTATTGATGTTACAGTAAAAATATATGAAGAATGTGACCACTCATCACCTTCACTGCTTTGACTCCCATCCCGCTTCTTACTGGATGACTGCAGTGGCCTTCTAACTGGTTTCTCTACTTTTCCCCCTTTTCCTTAAGTAATCTTCTTAATATAGCACCTGGAATGATAACTTTTCTTAAAACGTAAGATGGATCCTGTTCCTACTCTGTTTAAAACCTACAAACAGCTCAGCATTTTGCTGAGAATAAAAGCCAAAGTTCTTACACTGTCCAAAGGGACATTGTATGATGGATGCCTTCTTCCTCTCTGACTCCTCCTTTACTACTCTCTCCCTCCCCACTCTGGTCTCCCGACACCAGCATATTTGCTGTCCTTTGAATATACCACACACCCAGCTGCCCTGGGGCTTTGCACTCATTGCTCCATCCACCGGTGTGGTCTTCCCTAACGTGTCAGGAGGGCTCACTCTTCATTCATCTCAAGTCTTTGCTCAAGCATCCTTCTGGTGATTCCCCTTAATAGAGCAGCCTGCTCTCCTCTTCTCACTCAGCACCACCGATCCTTCTTATCTGGCTCTACTTCATCTCTTTTTCTTCTCACGTCTCTAGAATCGATATAATAGGCTTATTTATTATGTTTATTACTTAGCATCTGTCACTTCCTATAAGAATGTATACAAGGCCTGGGGTCGTTGTCTGTTTTGTTAGCAACGTATCATGCTCAACACATGGTAGGTACACAATTATTGAACAAATGAATGATATAAGTAAGATTTCATATGAATATTTACATATTTATATACATACCTATAAATCACTTAAGGTATACTTAAAATTATCTTGTATGAGTACACAATAAATTCTTCAATTAATTCCTTACTATGGAGCAATAATATGCTTTAGGTTCCCATTATTTTAATCTTTAATGAACAAGCATGTATGTAAATATTTTTATAGATTCTCATTTATAGAAAAAGTACCTTGGGTAGTTTTACAATGTCCCAATTAACCACGTGTTATATCCCATTTTAAGAGATTAAATTATATGTCATATTCATTTAAGTAACATAATGGAAAAAATTGTACTAGACTAGGAACAGTAAAACTTTTCAGATATGCTACTCTTTACATCTGGGTAAGTTATTTAAAATTCTTGAGCTTGTTTTTCTCGACTTTTAAAATAATATACACTTTATCATCTATGTCATTTGTTTATAGGGTTAAATACAAAAACATAAGGCTTATTGTTTTAGGAACTGTAAGACTCTATTGAAGTGTAGTTTTACCATATTAAGTTACCCTCAAACTCTGAGTTGTAATTACCCTTCAGACTCTTGTCTTTTATGGTAACTTTCAGAATTTTTTAATGTTTATAGATTCAGGGAGTACATGTGCAGGTATGTTACATGGATATACTGCAGGATGATCAGGTTTGGGCTTCTAGTGTACCCATCACCTGAATAGTGAACACTGTACCCAATAGGAAATTTTTCAACCCTTATTCTCTCCCTCCCTCCCCACTTTTAGCATCCCTAGTGTCTATTATTTTCTTTGGTATGTCCATGTGTACCCACTGTTTAGCTCCCCCCGTAAGTGAGAACATGTGATATTTGTCTATATCTTGAATTATTTCACTTGGAATAATGGCCTCCCGCTCCATCCATGTAGCTGAGAAAGACATGATTTATTCTTTTCATGACTGTGTAGTATTCCATAGTGTATGCGTACCACATTTTCTCTATCCAATAATCTGTTGATGAACTCTTAGGTTAATTACATGACTTTGCTATTGTGAATAGTGCTGTGATACACATATTAGTGCAGGTGACTTTTTGATATAACAATTTTTTTTCTGTGGATAGATACTCAGGATTGCTGAGTTGAATGGTAGTTACATTTTTATTTCTTTAAGAAATTTACATACTGCTTTCCATAGAGGTTGTACTTTACATTTCCACAAACAGTGAATAAGCATTCCCTTTTCTCTGCATCCTTGCTAATATTTGTTGTTTTTTTGACTTTTTAGTAATAACCATTCTGACTGGTGTGGGAGAGTATCTCATTGTGGTTTAAACTTGCATTTCTCTGAAAAAAAATTTGCATTTCTCTGAAAATTAGTGAGGATGAGCATTTTTTCATACGTTTGTTGGCTGCTTGTCTGTCTTTTAAGAATTGTCTGTTCATGTCCTTTCCTACCTTTTAATGGGGTGTTTTTGTCTTGTGGAGTTTTTTGAGTTATTTATAGATTCTGAATATGAAGGCATAGTTTGCAAATATTTTCTCCCATTCTGTGGATTGTCTATATACTCTGTTGATTATTTCTTTTGCTATGTCGAAGCTCTTTAGTTTAATTAAGTCCCATTTGTCTATTTTTGTTTTTTGTTGCATGTGATTTGGGGATTTTAGTCATGATTATTTACCTAGGCCAATGTCCAGATAATTTTTCCTAGGTTTTCTTCTAGGATTTTTATAGTTTCAGGTCTTACATTTAAGTCTCCACCCCATCTGAGTTAATTTTTGTATATGGTGAGAGATAGGGGTCAAGCTCATTCTGCATATGACTATCCCATTTTCCCAGCACCATTCATTGAATAGAATGTTCTTTCCCCATTCTATATTTTCGTTGACTTTGTTAAAGATCAGTTGGTTGTAAGTATGTGGTTTTATTTCTGGGTTCTCTATTCTGTTTTATTCATCTATGTGTCTATTTTTATACAAGTACCATGCTGTTTTGCTTATCATAGCCTTACAGAGCCAGTAATAAGAAATCTCCCAACAACAATAACAAAAAATGCCTACAACCAGACAGATTCATAGTCAAATTTTACCAAACACACAAAAAAGAGCTGGCACCAATCTTACTAAAACTATTTCAGAAAATCAAAGAGGAGGGATTTCTCCCTAACTCATTCTGTGAAAGCAATATCATCCTGATATCAAAATCAGGCAAGGGCACAACAATAAAAAAAAAGAAAACTGTAGGCTAATATCCCAGATGAACATAGATGCAAAAATTTTTAACAGAATACTAGCAAACTGAATCCAACATATAAGAAAAAGATAATACATCATGATCAAGGGATTGTTATCCCAAGGATATGAGGGTAGTTCAACATACGCAAATCAATAAATGTGAGTCACCATATAAACAAAATTAAAAATAAAAAACCATAGGTCATTTCAATAAACGCAGAAAAAGCATTCTATAAAATCTAACATCCCTTTAGGATAAAAATGCTCAACAAACTAGGTATAGAAGAATACACCTCAAAATAATAAAAGCCATATATGACAAACCAACAGTCAACATCATATTGGATGGAGAAGAGTTGGAAGTATTCCCCCTAAGAACTGGAACAAGACAAAGATGTCCACTCTCACCACTCTTACTGAACATAGTACTGGAACTCAGCCAGAGCAGTAAGGCAAGAGAAGGAAATAAAAAGCATGCAAATTGGAAAAGTGGAAGTCAAATTATCTCTGTTTGCTGACAAAATGATCTTAAATCTAGAGAACCCTAAAGATCCCTTCAAAAGACTCCTAGACTTGTTAAATGACTTCAGTAAATTTTCAGGATACAAAATCAATGTACAAAAATCACTAGCATTTCTGTACACCAATAACCTTCAAGCTGAGAGCCAAATTAAGAACTCAATTTCAATTACAATAAGCCCCCGCAAAATCAAATACCTAGAAATGCATTTATCCAAGGGGGTAAATGAGCTCTACAAGGAGAACTATAAAACACTGATGAAAGAAATCACAGATAGATGATACAAATAAATGGGAAAACATCCCATGGTAATGCATTACAAGAGTCAACATAGTTAAAATGACCATAGAGGCCAAAGTGATCTACAGATGCAATAAAATTCTATCTTTTACAATTTATATGGGACCAAAAACAGCCCAAATAGTCAAAGCAATCTTAAGCTAAAGAACAAAGCTGGAGGTATCACTTTATCTGACTTCAGGCTCTTCTATGTTGACATTTGTAGTAACAGAGAAAGAGATAGTGATTACCTTTTATTATTTCTTATTTTATTATTACTATTTTTGAGATGGCATTTTAGTCTGTTGTCTAGGCTGGAGTGCAGTGGTGCTATTACAGCTCAATGTAGCCTCAACCTCCTGGGCTCTGAAGATCCTCCCACTTCAGCCTCCTGGGTTACTGGGACTATAGGTGCATGCCACCGTACCCAGCTAATTATTTGTCTTTGTTGTAGAGCTGGGTTTCCACCATGTTGTCCAGGCTGTTCTCGAACTCCTGAGCTCAAGCAAACCACCTGTCCCAGCCTTCCAAAATGCTGGGATTACAGGCATGAACTACCATGCCTGGTCACCTTTGATTATTTCTAATCACCCCATCCTAAAATGGCATAGCAAACCTATGATAAGATTAGATCATACAGAAACCTACCTTGAGTTGTAAACTGTTTGCAAATTATTAAAGGTGTATTAGTCCATTTTCACACTGCTATAAATATACTACCTGAGACTGGGTAACTTATAAAGGAAAGTGGTTTAGTTGACTCACAGTTCTGCATGGCTGGGGAGGCATCAGGAAACTTAGAATCATGGCAGAAGGTGAAGGAGAAGCAAGGCAGGTCTTACATGGCAGCAGGAGAGAGCCAAAGCACAGGGGAAACTTCCATTTTTAAAACCATCAGATCTCAAGGTAACTCACTCACTATCATGAGAACAGCATGGGGGAACCGTCCCCATGATCCAGTCACCTACCACCAGGTCCCTTTCTCAACATGTGGGGATTACAATTTGAGATGAGATTTGGGTGGAGACACTGAGACGAATCATATCCAAAGCTGTATATTGAATAGAACCTATCTGAAGTTAACCTTCTGAGGCAAACAATTATCTTCATGAAGACAAGAACAATGTCTTGTTCATCTGTGCAGGCCACATACTAACAGGATGCCAGACAAATGGTATATGTATTACTCAGGGTTCTCCAGAGAAACAGAACCAATAGGGTGTGCGTGTGTGGAGGGGTATACATGTATGTGATTACATATGTGTGTGTATGTATACACACACACATATATACATATACATATAGCATTAATCCATATATGGATTATATATGATATATATATATGTATGAATATAGGGATATATATGGATTATAGATGGATACATATATGTATATATACACATATATGTAAAATCCACATGTGTATATATGTATTAATGCATATATGATCCATATATGCATTAATACATATATGACATATGTGTGTATTTATACAAGCATATACTTATATGTGTATATGTATGTGTGTGTGTGTCTGTGTATATACATATTTATATATAGAGAGAGAGAGAGAGATAGAGAGATTTAAGGAAGATCCATGGATGAGTTGATAATTGCAGCTTGAGTCTAAAGGCCATCTGCAGGCAGAATTTGCTCTTTCTTGGGGAACATTTGTCTTTTTTCTTGCAAAGCTTTCAACTGCTTAGATGTGGCCCATCTGCATTATGGAAGGTAATTGGCTTCATTCAAAGTGTACTGATTTAAATATGAATCTCTTGTGATTTGGATGTGTCCCTCAAAAGCATTTGTTGGAATCTTAATCTCCAGTGCAACAGTGTTAGGATGTGTGGCCTAATGAGAGGTGATTAGGCTATGAGGGCTCTGCCCTCATTAATGGATTAATGCCATTATGACAGGAGTGGGTTCATTATTGTGCAAGTGGGTTCCCTATAAAAGGATGAGTTTCATTCTGTTTTCTATCTCTCTTTCACTCTTTTGCCCTTCTGCCTTCATCCATGAGATGATGTAGCATGAAGCCCCTTGTCAGTTGCTTGCTTTTTGATCTTGTACTTCCCTCCTCCAGAACTGTGGGAAATAAATTTTTGTTCATTGTAAATTACTCAGCCTCATGCATTCTTTTATAGCAGCACAGAGTGCATTAAGATAAATCTCATCTAAAAAATACTTTCACAGCAATAGTTATACTAGCATTTGACCAAATACCTGGGTTCCATGGCCTAACCTATTTGACACATGAAATTAACCATCAAAGTAGGTGACTAATAAATATTTTTGAATGACCATACTGGATAATTATAAATAGATTTGCATTATTGTTCCTTTCCATATGGAATTTATGGTAGTTTATTAATTTTCAGATATATTAAATTATATCCTTTTAAGTTTTGTTACTTCATATGTGTACATTTAGGTAGATCAGATTTATAGACAAATAGATGAATGGAAAAAAAAAGATGGACAAATCGTATATAGACAGATAGACCCAGATAATACAAATATACAGTTCTCGTTAATAATATTTTGGGAATATTAAGTCATTACGGATTTACATTTTATAGTTTTTAATACTTCTTTGTATCAGACACAGGCCTGACAAAATTTACTATCAAAGTTACTATAAAATTAGATGAACACAATTAAGAATTTGTCATAAATGAAATCTCTGCCAATGAGAAAGGGAGAAATCCTTCTGCCCCTTGTGTGGTATATGAAGAAGAAGGAAATAGTAGTGACGGAAGGTCAGGTGTTAATGTTAAAATTCCTACTTCTCGCTGTTCCGTGATCAATCCCCTTGAAGTTTAAGGGTGCTATGAAAATATCAACATGTATGAGAAGTCCTCTTCTTCTAGCATGAGATTACCTGTATGTTTCCAAGAGAACTTTGGGATTTGGCTCAGCTCCATTATCCAATATAGTGCAAAAGTGATATATTAGCATTCACCAAGGTGGTGGCTGGATAAATAAAAGTGAAGCAGCACTTTTAGCTTCCAGTGCCCAGTAGGCAAAAAACAAGTTTAAGCATGTTCTGGCAGAGAAATACATCGGATCTGAGAATTCTGGAGGAATAATATGGGTGTAGGGATCATAAGAAGAGACCACACAATATGCAGGACCTTTGTCACTAGAAGCAAATGAATGGACCGATTGGACCTTGAGAATCGCATGTAGAAAATCTTATTTATAGTATGCTTTGAAATATTTTTTCTGAGAATTCACAAATTAGCAAAGTTGAAGCAACTGGAATATCTTTGAAAGTATTATCCTGTCCCATTTGCAGCCTGTTAGTATTCCCTCTATATATTGTGACAGTGGGACAGCCACATGCCTCAGATTGATGTTGGTACAGATTCTTTCATGTTGTGCTTACTCCTTTAAAGCTTTCTTGCTTAGTTCCTGTTTTCCCTAGGAAAGGCAATGACAGAATTATTTTTTAAATGTACATTCTAAATGAGAATGAGCCTAGGGAGAAAGTAGTAACCCTGTGTTCTTTTCCAGTCCTGGACTCATGCCCTAGGAGCATGCAGTGAGAAGAAACAGAAGAACTGAAATCTCAGCAGAAGAATTAAAAACAAAGCAATCAATCTCTGCACTGTCTTTTACCACTTCTGTAGAGCTTAAAGATTTTTATCCGACTAAAACTTTGAGATATTTGAAAAGTTTATTTCAACCAAGGTCTGCAAAGTTTGCCTCATCATAAATAGGTTTCTTACATTTCCCTATCCCCTTGAATAACTAAAAATATATTTTAACAGTGTATCTCAAGTTTTTCTTCTTTCATTGTGCACAATCAGTCATTGTTGAGGGACCTGTACTTTTGTGGTAACACATGGGGTGTTATTTGGAATAAAATACAAAGAGAATATAATCAAGAAACAATCTTGTTTCTTGATTATCTTGTTTCTTGATATATTATGAGAAACTAATATGTGTATAAGAGATATACACATATTAGTTGCTTAAGAGAATGTAGTTTTATCTACCCCTCACCCCAACCCCAAAAATAGCAACATGGAATCCAATTCTGGATACTTGCCTTTGCTCAACATTTTGTATTTATTTTTAAGGACAAAATAAAATTTACTTGCAGCCTTGATTTTTATCTTTATTTTTTTTGAGGAGTACACACTGATTAAAACACTGTCCTAAGTCCTGACATACATTATACAATTTATCTCCCTCTAGAAAGGAGATTAAAATTTAATTCAGAGACAGGAAACAAATAAGAGGCAATCAATTCTATGCTGGGGCTTTATAAGCACAACAGACTGAACGATTCTGCTTTATGAATGGACCTAGTTTATTGTAAGTTCTCTGTGCCTTTGGGCCTTAATTCCCAGGGGCTCACAAGACATATTCATTGGCATGAAACTATTTCCTTTGCATGAATGCTATTGTGATTCCACAGTAAGACTCATGCATGGGAAAAAACAAAACCTGAAAAACCAAATGAGTAATGAGCAAAGTTGAGGTGAAATATTTTTGGCTGCTAGGTTTTGTTTTTGTTGACATTATATGTTGTTGTTGTTACACCTTTTAAAAAGTGTTTCCCTGCAGTTGTGCTCCTCACAAATGTAAAGGTTGTTTTTCATAGTTTCTCTTTTAGAATGTGATCACAGAGACTTCCTGAGGTCCTGAAACACCCGTGTCCTATAGCAGTGCTGCTCACACTTGCCTAATGAGAACAATTGCCAAGGGAGGTTGCTAGATGCATATTCCTGAACCCCAATCCAAACCTAGTAACAGAGCCAAGTTCTTCATTAGCCACGGTAGGTATGGTGCCTAGGGTTCATGGAACTTTTAGGGATCTAAAAAAATGCACTAATTTCTTTTGAAATCTGAAGAACAAATATAATCCATCCTCAATTATATTTGTCTTTATATCAATACAGTCATAAAATATAATATTTAATATTTTTACGGATAAAAGAATCTATTGAATATAATAGTGCCTAGAGCCCCTGAAAATAAAAATGGGATCCTGCTTAGCAACCAGAATATTCAAGGCAAGAGCCCCAGAATCTGCATTTCAACTAGCACTCACAAGTAAGTTTTTGAAACACTCGAGCAGTATTTTTAAAAGCTACATCCTTTCTGTGTTCAGTCAGGTTTCAATCAGAGAAATGGAATTATTGCAAGTATTACAGAAGGAATTTATGAGAGGAGTTAGACCTTACACAATTGTGAGAAGTACAGAGAAATAAGGTCGAGAAATAAGATGTGGAGGATTTGAGAAGTCACCAGCAAGCTTGAACCTGGATGGGAGGTTAGAAGCTTGCAGATAATCTGGAAAGCCAGGCTTGTCCCCCTTTGGAGGTGAGACAAACAAAGGGAAGATGAGTTGGGATAAGTCTCTTCAAGGCTGTTGCCTCTGTGTCTACAGGGGTGGGAGTGTGGGATCGGGGTTCACTGTTTATCACCAGGACCTGCAGCCTGGCAAAAAGAGAGTGGGACGCTGAGTAAGAAATAGCAAGGCAAACTTGAATGTACCTGCAGATACCTCCAGCTTAGCCAAGTTGACACGTACAAAATGCAGCCCTCTTCTTCCCCTCAGATGTTAGATAATTTTTATTTACATAACACATACTCTGCCCTCATGGGCTGATCACAGTTGTGTTAACTCCCTGTCACTCCACTCTTTACTCTCCTACCCTCTTTCTTACTAGTTGTGTGATCTGGGAAGGTATCTTACCCTCCTAAGCCTCATGGTCCTTCCTCATTTGATAAAAGAGAGAGTAAGAGTGCCTGCTTCAAAGGATTGCTGTGAGAACTGAACCTGATAAATAAGGTAGGGTGTTTTTTTGCCAGACTGTCAGGCACATAGTAAATGTTTGTTACTAGTGTTATTATTAATAATAATAAAGTAGACCGCAATTCAAGTGAATGATTGTGATATAATTGTAGAAATAATTCTAAATCTGCAATAAACTACGGTGCTATTTGTTGTCTTAATGATTTAATGGCCAGAAAAAATAATCAGCCTACTTAAAAGGAACAATAATTAGATGGCTGACTTTGTAGTAGAAACTTTGAAAGCCAATAGAAAACAAAGAAATAATATGTTCAATGTGCTGAAAGAAAATATTTGTAAGGTGGAGAGCCAAGATGGCTGACTAGATGGAGCTAAGAAGAGCTTTTTCCACTGAGAGAGACTGGGCCATGAAATAGATTGGTGCACTCCAAACAGATCTTTGGAAAGAAGGCACTGAGAGTGGACAGAGGGAGGATACAGACCCCAAGCTGAAAGGTGAGGAAGCTACCAACACTGCATGTGGTTGCCGAGCATGAAGACTTGTTCCTGGCCCTGAGTGGCTCCTAGAGAAGCAGTAAATGACACAAAAGTGGAGTGGCTTACTCTCATCATTGACCTCCAGGATCCTAGCTGCAGGAGATTCCACAGCCCCCAAGAACATCTGATCTGGCAAGAACTGTCTGGGGAGTTGGCAGAGACAGAACTCCAGCCTGCATTAAGCCCAGAGGGTTTGAGCACAGCCATGGGTGCCCATGCCCCAAGGCTCTAGCTTGTATTGGCTGCTGGAACTGGATAGAACAGGGGTGTCTTGCCCGTGGGAGGGGGCCAGTCTGATCTGAGCACCCCCTATCCGCCAGCCTCTCCCAGGGTTAATGCCTAATTACACTTGCTTGCTGCACAGCCTCAGCTTGCCAGCAGCCACTGCCATAGCTCTTTCACTGGCAGATCTCGCCTAAGCACTACAATATTTTTGCAGATGGACCCCTGCCAGTGCATACTCACCAACAGCCTTTCCCTGCCAGTGTGCACTTGCCCATAGCCTCCCGCCATCACCTTGCTGGTGCGCATGCACACATGGACTCCCTGCCACTCTACTGGTGTGCATATGTACAAGGACCCCCCACCCCTCACTGGAGCACTATTACCAGCAGCCCCCATTAGAGCGTAGTTGCCAATAGCCTGGGAATACCTCAACCCCTCTAGCACAGCAGGTGCTTCACCTTGAGGGGCTAGAGGACAAAGACAGAGTCCTGGTTACAACTCCTCAGGGTTAGAGCATGTAGCTCAGGAGTGCTGGGCTGAGCCTTGGCTGCCTGAAAGTATCCAGAAACAAAGCAAATAAACTAAAGGCAACTTATTCCACACTCAAACCCTCAAGGGCATCAAAGAATATAAAAGCAAAATGCCCCATACAAAAGACAGCCACTTCAAAAATTAAAGGAACATCGGCCCACACAGATGAGAAACAACCAGTGCAAGAACTCTGGCAACTCTGAAAGCCAGAGTGTCTTTTTACCTCCAAATGACCGCACTATCTCCCCGGCAATGGTTTTTAACCAGATTGAAATAGATTAAATGACAAACACAGAATTCAGAATCTGGATGCCAAAGAAGCTCATCAAGATATAAAAGAAGGTTGAAACCCAATCCAAGGAAAATAGTAAAACAGTATAATTGTTGAAAGATGATGTAGCCATTTTAATAAAGAGCCAAACTGAATGTCTGGAAGTGAAAAATTCACAACAGGAATTTCAGAATGCAAAAAAAAAAAAAAAAAAAAAAAAAAAAAAGAAATTCTGTAATGCAATTGGAAGCATTAATAATAGAATAGACCAACCTGAGGAAGGATCTCAGAGCTAGAAGACTGCTTCTTCGAATCAACATAGGCAGATAAAAATAAAGAAAAAAATTTTTTAATGCAGCAAAACCTCCAGGAAATATAGGATTATGTAAAGAGACCAAAGCTGAGACTCATTGGTATTCCTGAAAGACATGGAGAGAGAGTGAGCAACTTGGAAACCATATTTGAGGATACTGTCCATGAAAATTTTCCCAGTCTCTCTAGAGAGGCTGAATACAAATTCAGGAAATTCAGGGAACCTTTTCAATATGCAATACAATATAACCATCCCCAAGACACATAGTCATCAGATTCTACAAAGTCAATGTGAAAGAAAAAATCTGAAAGGCAGCTAGAGAAAAGGGGCAGATCACATACAAAGAGAACCCCATCAGGGTAACAGTGGAGTTTTGATCAAAACCCCTAAAAGGCAGAAGATATTAGAAGCCTATATTCAGCATCTTTAAAGAAAAGAAATTCCAACCAAGAATTTCATATCTGGCCAACCTAAGCTTTATAGGTGAAGGACAAATAAAATCCTTTCATACCAGAAAATGCTAAGGAAATTTGTTACCACCAGACCTGCCTTACAAGAGATCCTTAAGGAATTGCTAAACATACAAACAAAAGATGAATACCTGCCAGCTCCAGTGGCCTAGTACATAGCTCACCGACACTATAAAGCAACTATATAATCAAGTCTATATAACAACCAGCTAACAGCACCATCACATGATCAAATCTTCACATATCAAGATTAACCTTGAATGTATATTGGCTAAATGTACCACTTAAAAGACACAGAGTGGAAGTTAGATAAAGAAGCAAGACCCAACTGAATGCTGTCTTGAAGAGACCTATCTCAGATGCAAGGACACCCAAAGGCTCAAAGTAAATGGATGGAGAAAGATCTATCAAGCAAATGAAAACCAAAAGAGAGTGTTGCTATCCATGAGCATGGGATGTGTTTTCATTTGTTTGTGTCATCTATGATTCCTTTCAGCAGTATTTTGGAGTTTTCCTTGTAGAAATCTTGCACCTCTTTGCTTAGGTATATTCCTAAGTATTTTATTATTATTTTTTGCAGCTATTGTAAAAGGGGTTGAGTTCTTGATTTGATTCTCAGCTTGGTCACTGTTGATATATAGCAGAGCTACTAATTTGTGTACATTAATTTTCTATTTTGAAACTTTGCTGAATTCATTTACCAGTTCTAGGAGCTTTTTGGATGAATCTTTAGGGTTTTCTAGGTATATGATCATATCATCAGCAAACAGTAACAGTTTGATTTCCTCTTTACCAATTTGGATGCCTTTGATTTATTTCTCTTGTTTGATTGATCTGGCTAGGACTTCTGGTTCTATGTTGAATAGAAGTAGTGCAAGTGGGCCTCCTCATGGATGGATAGAATCAATATTGTGAAAATGACTGTATTGCCAAAAGTAATCTACAAATTCAGTGTCCATCAAATACCACCGTCAAAATACCACCATTATTCTTCACATAACTAGAAAAAAAATGTAGCATTCATATGGAACCAAAAAATAGCTTGCATAGCCAAAAGCAAGACTAAGCAAAAAGAGTAAATCTGGAGGCATTACATTACCCGATTTCAAACTATACTTTAAGGCCATAGTCACCAAAACAGCATGGTTCTGGTATAAAAATAGGCACATATGCCAATAGAATAGAGAACCCAGAAATAAACACAAATGCTTACAGTCAACTGATCTTCAGCAAAGCAAACAAAAACATAAAATGGGGAAAGGACACCCTATTCAACAAATGGTGCTGGGATAATTGACAAGCCACATGCAGAAGAATGAAACTGGATCCGTATCTCTTACCTTATACAAAAATCAACTCAAAATGGATCAAAGACTTCAATCTAAGACCCCAAATCATAAACATTCTGGAAGATAACATTGGAAAAACCCTTCTAGCCTTTGGCTTAAGCAAAGGCTTCATGATTAAAAACACAAAAGCAAATGCAACAAAAATAAAGATAAATATATGGAACTTAATTAAACTAAAATGCTCCTGCAAAGGAGAAGAAATCATCATCAGAGCTAACAGATAACTACAGTTTGGGAGAAAATCTTCACAATCTGTATATCTGACAAAGGACTAATATGCACAATCTACAAAGAGTTTAAACAAATCAGCAAGAAAAGAAAAAAAAAAACAATCCTATCAAAAACCAAGCTAAGGATATGAATAGACAATTCTCAAAAGAAGATATACAAGGGGCCAACAAACATATGGAAAAATGCTTAACATCACTAATTATCAGAGAAATCCAAATCAAAACCACAACATGATACTACCTCACTCCTGAAAGAATGGCCATAATCAAAAAATAATAGATGTTGCTGTGGATGTGGTGAAAAGGGAACACTTTTACACTGTTGGTGAGAATGCAAACTAGTAAAACAACTATGGAAAGCAGTGTGGAGACTCCTTAAAGTACTAAAAGTAGATCTGTCATTTGATCCAGCAATCCCACTACTAGGTATCTACCTAGAGAAAAAGAAGTCATTATACAAAAAAGATACTTGCATACACACCTTTATAGCAGCATAGTTTGCAATTGCAAAAATACGGAACCAGCCCAAATGCCCATTAATCAATGAGTGGATAAAGAAAATGTTGTATATTTATATCATGGAATACCACTCAGCCATAAGTAGGAATGAAATAATGGCATTCACAGCAACCTGGATGAAATTGGAGACTATTATTTTAAGTTAAGTAACTCGGGAATGAAAAGTCAAACATCATATATTCTCACTCATAATTGGGAGTTAAGCTATGAGGATGAAAAGACATACTAATTAAACAATGGACTTTGGAAAGTCAGGTGAAAGGGTGGGAGGGGGTTGAGAGACAAAAGACTAGACTACGCACTGGGTACAATGTGCACTGCTTGGGTGATGGGTGCACCAAAATCTTACATGAACTTATTCATGTAATCAAACATCACTTGTTCCCCAAAAACTTATTGAAATAAAAAATAAATTCAAAAAACCTTTTACCATTGCACACCTTCAGTGCCGCCCTGAACTGCTTACAGTTTGATGCTGCCCAATTCATGAATTTCTGTCTGTTCAAATATACATAAAAATTTTAAAAGAAAACAAAAACAAAACAAAAAAAGAGTGTTGCTATTTTTATTTCACACAAAACAGACTTTAAACCAACCATGATCTAAAGGACAAAGAAGGGTATTGCATTACATAATAATAAAAGGTTCAATTCAAAAGAAGATTTAACTATCTTAACTATATATGCACCCAACACTGGAGCACCCAAATTCATTAGAGAAGTTCTTATAGACCTACGAAGAGACTTAAATAACTAGACAATATTTGGGATATTTCAGCTCCCTGCTACAGAAATTTCAGAATGCAATTGGAAGCACTAAAAACAGAATAGACTAACCTGAAGAAAGAATCACAGACCTAAAAGACCACTAACAGTGTTAGATAGATCATTGAAACAGAAAACTAACAGATATGTTAGGGACCTAAAGTCAACCCTGACCAAATGGACCTAACAAATATCTGCAGAATACATAACTCAACAAAAGAATACACATTCTTCCCATGTGCACACACCACATATTCTGAAGTGGACCATATGTTCTGCCATAAAGCAATTCCCAACAGATTTTTAAAAAGACCCAAATCCTGCAAATCACACTCTCACATCACGACACAATGAAAATAGAAATCAACACCAGGAATATTTCTCAAAACCATACAATTACATGGAAATTAAACAACCTGCTTCTGAATTACTTTTGCATAAACAATTAAATTAAAACAGAAAAAAATTCTTTAAAACTAATGAAAACAAAGTACAATATACCAGAATCTCTTAGATACTGCAAAAGCAGTGTTGAAAGTTTATTGTGCTGAACACCTACAGAAAGAAGTTAGAAAGATCTCAAATCTAACATCACACCTAGGGGAACTTAGAAAACAAGAGCAAACCAACCCCAAAGCTAGCAGAAAAAAAGAAAACCAAAACGAGCGATGAACTGAACACAAATGAGATCCAAAAATCCATACAAAAGATCACTGAAACGAAAAGTTTGTTCTTTGAATGAATAAATAAGATGGATTGCCCATTAGCTTGATTAATAAAGAAAAAATAGAGAAGATTCAAATAAACATGATTATAAATGACAATGCAGAAATTATCACTGTCCCAACAGGACAAAACAAACAAACAAAACTTAGAGACTATTGTGAACACTTCTGTGCACACGAACTAGAGAACCTGTAAGAAATAAATACATTCCCAGAGATATACAACCTCCCAAGACTGAACCAGGGAAGAAATTATAATCCTGAACAGACCAATAACTAATTGTGAAATCGAAGCACTAATAAAAATGTACCAACCAGAGAAAGCACTGGGCCAGAAAATTCACAGCCAAATTCTACCAGACATATAAAGAAGAACTGGTACCAATACTACTGACATGTTTCCAAAAAAATCAAGGAGGAGGGACTATCTCCTAATTCATCCTATGAATCATTCTGATGAGGCCAGCATCATTCTGATACTAACAAAACCTGGCAGAGACACAAAAAGAAAAGCAAACTTCAAGCTGTTTTCCCTGATGAACATAGGCACAAAAATCCTCAATAAAATAGTAGCCAATCAAATCCAGCTGTACATTAAAAAGCTAATTCACCATGATCAGGTAGGCTTTATTCCTGAGATGCAAGGTTGTTTCAATGTATGCAAATCAATAAATGTGCTTCATCACATAAGCAGAGCTAAAAACAAAAACCACTTGATCTCGATAGATGCACAAAAAGGCTTTCAATAAAATTCAACATCCTTTTATGTTAAAAACCCTCAACAAACTAGCCATTGAAGGAACATACCTCAAAATAATAAGAGCCATCTATGACAAAACCACAGCCAACATCATACTAAATGGGCAAAAGCTGGAAGCATTCCCCCAGAAAACAGGAATAAGACAAGAATGTGCCTTCTCAGCATTCATTCCTATTTATCATACTACTGGAAGTCCTAGCCAGAGCAATCAGGCAAGATAAATAAAAGACATCCAAATAGGAAGAGAGGAAGTAAAACTATCTCTCTTCACAGATGATATGACTCTGTACCTAGGAAACCTCATAGTCTACCCAAAGGCTCCTACAACTGAAAAACAACTTCAGTAAAGCTTCAGGGTACAAAATAAATATAGAAAAATCAGTAGCATTTCTATGCTACTTGGACCAATAATGTCCAAGCTGAGGGCCAAATCAAGAATGCAATCCCATTCATAATAACCACAAAAAGAATAAAATACCTAAAAATGCAGCTAACCAGGAAGGTGAAAGATCTAAACCCTAATGAAACAAATCAGAGATGACACAAACAAATGGAAAAACATTCCATGCTCTAAGATAGGAATAATCAATTTTGTTAAAATGTCCATATTGCCTGAAGCAATTTACAGATTCAATGTTATTCCTATCAAATTACCAACATCATTTTTTTCACAGAATTAAGGAAAACTATTCTAAAATACATATAAAACCAAAGAAGAGCCCAAATAGCCAAAGCAGTCCTAAGCAAAAAGAACAAAGCTGGAGGCATGACACTACCTGTCTCCAAACTATACTACAAGGCTGTAATAACCAAAACAGCATGGTACTGGTACAAAAACAGACACATAGACCAATAGAACAGGTTAGAGAACCCAGAAATAAAGCCACACATTTACAACTATCTGATCTTTGACAAAATGGACAATAGTAAGCAATAGGGGAAAAGACTCCCTAGTCAATAAACGGTACGTGATAACTAGCTAAACATATGCAGATTAAAACTGGATCCCTTCCTTTCACCATATAATAAAATCAACTCATGATAGATTAAAAGCTTAAATGTAAGACCTACAACTATATAAACCCTAGAAGAAAAACTAGAAAATATTTTTGTGGATGTAGGCCTTGGCAAGGATTTCATGGTGAAGTCTCCAAAAGTAATTGCAACATAAACAAAATAGATAAGTGGGGCCTAATTACACTAAAGAACTTCTGCATGCTAAAAGAAGTGATCAACAGAGTAAACACACAACCTACAGAATGGGAGAAAATATTTACAAACCATGCATTCAACAAAGGTCCACTATCCAGAATATATGAAGAAGTTAAATCAACAAGCCAAAACAAATGACTTCATTTAAAAAAGTGTGCAAAGGACATGAATAGACATTTCTCAAAAAAAGACATATACATGGAAAATGCATATGAAATAATTCTCAACATCACTAATCATTAGGGAAATGCAAATCAAAATCACAATAAGATACTATCTCACACTGGTTAGAATGGCTGTGATTAAAAAGTCAGAAAATAACAGGTGTTAGCGAGCTGAGATTGTGGAGAAAAGGGAATGTTTATATATGCTAGTGAGAATGTTAATAATTTTACCCACCGTGGACAGCAGTTCGGAGTTTTCTCAAAGAAATAGAACCACCATTTGACCCACTAATCCAATTCCTGGGTATATACTCCCCAAAATATACATTGTTTTACCAAAAAGACACATGCACTTCTATGTTAATCCTAGCACTATTCATAATAGCAAAGACATGGAATCAGCCTAGCTGCTCATCAACAGTGGACTGGATAAAGAAAATATGCTACGTATACACCATGGAATACTATGCAGCCATAAGAAATGGAATCATGTCCTTTGCAACATGGATGCAGTCAGTATCCTAAGCAAATTAACAAAAGGACAGAAAACCAAATAGTGCATGAATTCCCACTTATAAGTGGGAACTAAACCTTGAGTACACATGAACATAAAGAGAGGAACAATGGATTCCAGGGCCCACTTGAGGGTGGTCCATGGGAGGAGGATGAGGGTCAAAAAACTATGTACAGGGTACCATGCTCACTACCTGGGTGATGAAATCACTTGTACACCAAACCCCAGCGACATGCAATTTACCCATGTAGCAAACCTGAACATGAACTCATTGAACCTAAAATAAAAGTTGAAAAAAATAGAAAATAACTGTAAACCTAGAACTCTATGTCCACAAACCTATCTTTGAAGAATAAGAGCAAAATACATTTTACTCATAAGAGATTTACCACTAACTAACAAATCTACCCTAACAGAAAAATCTAAAATATGTACTTTAGGCAGAAGGAGAATAATTCCACCAAGAAGGTCCAAAATATAAAAAGGAGTAGTAAAACAAATATGGAAAATGTTAACTAAGTCTAAATAAATAGTAAGTATTTTAAAAATAAAATTAATACTATTAATAATTGATTCCTTCTAATACACTTTACCACTGAGCAAGACTGTTTTGCTTTAGTTTGAGCCGCTCCTCTTAAGTGATTGGAAAATATTCCAAAATTGACACCTGAATTTGAAGTTATGACAAGCATATTTTATATTGAATAATAGTCAAAATAATAATGCTTAGGCTAGTGCAGGTATAATCTCCAAATCAAGACATGATTTTATGTTTCAGTATTTTTTTTACCATTACAATTTTTCAGGGACTTGCCTTTTACAGTCTGTGTACGTCTGACTATGGCAGAGGCTACTAGGTTTCTCTTGGTATATATTTTTCCCTCTTTGATAGAGACAGAGTTCCTTATTTTTAACTAGTCACACAGCCACCCAAAATGGAGCCTACATTTTTCAGTCTCCTTGGTAGTTGGCTGTAGCTCTGAAATTTAAGTTCTGGCCAAGGAAATCCATTAAAAGATAATGGGTATGGTATGGTTTGGCTGTGTCCCCACCCAAATCTCATCTTGAATTGTAGCTCCCATAATTCCCACGTGTCATGGGGTGGGAGGTAACTGAATCGTGGAGGCGGGTCTTATGCTCTTCTTGGGATAGTGAATAAGTCTCACAAGATCTAATGGTTTTATGAAGAGGAGTTCCCCTACACGTCCTCTCTCTCGCCTGCCACCATGTAAGATGTCCCTTTGCTTATCCTTCATCTTCCGCCATGATTGTGAGGCCTCTCCAGCTATCTAGAACTGTGGACTTAACTGAGTCCATTAAACCTCTTTCCTTTATAAATTACCCAGTCTCGGATATGTCTTTATTAGCAGCGTGAGAACAGACTAATACAGGGTACAATTTCCAGGATGTGTCTATAAAAGACAGGAGGGTGCCATTGACTGCCCCTCCCACTTCTTCTAAGGTTGGCATGTGGTCCTGAACCATGAGCCACCTTGGACCCTGAGGAGGAGGGACCCCAGAGAAGGCCAAGCAACAAGAAGGGAGAAGCTGGGACCTCAGACATGGCAGAGCACTTTACTATTCTTTAAGCCATTGTGGGTTTTTTTGTTTTTTGTTTTGTGTATATATTTTAACATTTCGTGAAATGTATATCCTAAATAATAAAGTGGTTATAAAAAATACATATGTTAATTTATTGGCACACTGAAACTCATTACTGTAAACACTGTTTAAATCTTTACATTTCACTGAATATAGTGTTAGCTACTTTTTATGCTGTCAATATTTCACTGATTTTGAGATGCTACTGTTTCAGAAGATGATGCCATGATCATGAATGCACTAGAGCAATCTGCAGGGAATGTTTTATGGTGATACTTGCATCTGTGAAGCATTTGTCCTCCAAAAAGAAAGCATGTACTTTAAAGGTTAAATTCTCGTGCCCTGTCCAATGTACAGGTAACTTTAAGTAATAACAAGAAAAATAGAGAATGCTTGTTGGTTTTAGTTTTAATAAAACTGGAATGGAGACTCAGCTAAGACAACTAACATACATAATTACTTCATTTTAACAAAGAGTACTTTGGTACTTTGACCAAAAAAAAAAAAATAGCTGATTGCTTCCTTTGTCTAGACAAAATCACTTCGTATTCTGTAGAGCTAGGCCTAGGAAATGATTAAGTTACACAATATTTAAGCCTAGTTTTCATGCAACCCTAATAATTCTATCACATTTTTCTTTCTTTGGGTAATTCATTTGGGATTACAATATTTGAGCCATACATTAAGCCCAGTGTTTCATATATAAATTATGTACATTCTTACTTTAAGAAACCCGTTTCTGAATAAGCTAAATTTACAATAAGAAAATATTAACCTTTCAGAATTGATTTCCAAGAATCTGAAAATACATATTTTATAACATAACTTGATAAGATTAAATGGTTATATTTCAAATATTATAAAGGTGTATAGAATTAACCATGTGGTTATTATTAACTGTGCTATAGCAGATTTTTATTTGTTAGCTACACTTTGAGTGAAGGATTAGATCTGTTTCGTTAGTTTTTAATATTAAAATGCACTGAATAAATCAACTCATTCCATGAATAAAAATTGTTTAATTTTCTTAAGTAAAACATAATTGCGTAAACATTTTAACAATCAAATACCTTCCGCTTCATTGCTAACATAAACTTGCCTTTGAGATAATGATAAACAATACTTTAAAACATACTATACCAAACATTTGAAGATGAAATTAGAGTTTTCTAATTTGCTCTGCTTTGGAAGAAAGTAGATACAGGTTATATTATTCAATTTGTATGGCGTAATTGTGTAATGATGATTAAATTTCTGTTACAGAATATCCTCAAAAACCTACGGGTAATAATCTTTATATCTTCTACTGTGAGCATAATGGAGGTTGACATTGTGAAGTTTAAGGAAATACGTGAAAGGTGAAAAGTAATTTAAAATAAGGTAAAAATACAATTTATTTTTCCTTTAAAACACTAGGGTTTAATGGGTTAAAAATACCAAAAATACAGTAAAAACAATTACCGATAATACTGCCATCTTGAGATAGTCATCATTAATATCTTGATATATTTCTATTCTGTTATTTACTTTGAACATATAAGCTTATGTATCTACATATCTACATATTTATGAAGATAGTCAATTTTTATTGTATTCATACTATAAGACAGTATTTTCATTTAGTTTTATTGTATTCATACTATAAGAGTATTTTCATTTATTTTAAATATCTTTAAATAACTGTGTGCTATTTTATTTTATAGGATTTTTATAATCATTCTTCATTTTGCAGGCATTCAGGAAGCAAGTACCTTTTCAAATACTATTAGTAGGAAGCAAGTTGAAAATGGTAAGACATAATACATTTATTTACTATTTTACCTCATCTTTTTTCAAAAGTATAGGGCAATAGGCAGGTGATATTTTGACGCTATTGATGAAAATAAACTTAACGCCGGCCGGGCGCAGCGGCTCACGCCTGTAATCCCAGCACTTTGCGGGGCCGAGGCGGGCGGATCACAAGGTCAGGAAATCGAGCCCATCCTGGCTAACACGGTGAAACCCCGTCCCTACTAAAAATAAAAAAATTAGCAAAGCGTGGCGGCGGGCGCCTGTAGTCCCAGCTACTCGGGAGGCTGAGGCAGGAGAATGGCGTGAACCCGGAAGGCGGAGCTTGCAGTGAGCAGAGATCGCACCACTGCACTCCAGCCTGGGCGGCAGAGCGAGACTCCGTCTCAACAACAACAACAAAAACAAACAAACAAAAAGAAAAGTTACGCCACTTGTTCTGCCTCCACTGGAAATCAGACACAGACATAATTCCTAACACCAGTATGTATACAGAACATCTTAACATTTAAATGGTGATGTAATTTAAACTTTGTAGCCTGCTGTAAAGCGGCAAGGGCAGACAGCCATGTAACATATCATTACAACTGAAGAAGTGCAACTAGAGGTAAATATAATGTACCTTGGAAGCATTTATTGCTCCTGACTAAAAACGTGCATGCGCATACTTAAGTACCATTCTCTATACACGTACACGTATTAAGATGTTAGGGATTTCTGAAAAATCCTCTTCACACACCTTTTTTGACTTATTTTTCTCATTTGCATTTCTTATACTTTTCTGGGTAACAGGTAAACAAACACTTGAGGTATTTAATTACTATTTTTTAATTTTTCAGTTTCTACTCTGTCAGAAAGATTGGGAAAAGTATTCTAATATTTAAGTAATTAAAACATCATTGTTCTGTATAAATCAAAGATTGTATGATGCTATTGAAAAAGTCAGACCTGTGCATTTTTTTTGGATTACCTTATAAAATATTTGACTGAATATATTAGGCATACTCATCTGCCTAATAACACCAATGTTAGCTAAGTTTCTAGACTTAAGAAAAAAAACCCACAGAATCTAATTGCCTTTCTGGTCTGACAGGTTTGTGCATTTGAAAGACAAATATTTGTAAATATGATATTCAGATTTAACACTGATGCATATCTTTTTATAGTGGCCAACTAGTAAAAATTTAAAATAGTTCAATAGGTCAATGATTGTCAACACCACCAAATACATGTGTTGTGATAATCTGTTTATACCTTAAAGATTCCTATTGAAATGTATAATTTACAATGCATGCTACTTATAAGTTTTTGAAATGTACAGTGCGCTGGCTTTCTAATTCCTGAGCAATCTATCCTATTTGAGCATTCACAAAATGATTAGTACTGGAATAGAATTGTTCACGATGACCAAAGCTATTCTCAAAATCTCACCATCATTCCTTCCATTCTAAGAAAACATGAAGTTTTAAGGAGCAAGCTGTTCTATTGTGTCAGAAACTATTGCTGTATATGTTTTACATGTGTTTCAAGTAAAAAAAAAAAAAAAAGACAAAACAAAACAAAACAAAAACTTCAGTGCCAACTCCGTCTGCTCATCTTGTTTCACTGAATGGAAATATGTTTTTAAATATTTCTGAATATACCCATAGTACCAAACACCAAATATTTAAAGTGTAAATATTTACTTATTATTGTCTGAAATGCCTTTTACTGTTAAAGTACCTCTGAGTTTACAACAGTCTGCATGTTCAGTTAGTTAGATGTTGGCATCCAGTGTGTCATGCCATGTTTATGGTAAAGGGAAGGAATTTGAGAAGGGATAGGTAAGAAATCTAGCCATATCTATTGGGTAGATAAATTGAGCACCACCTCAGCATGTCACATATGTTAGGGCAATAACAGCGTGTTGGTCCATCAGATTTACAATGCATGACGTCAGGGGATTCTGTGGAGTGGCCTGTCTGTTACTAAATGTTGGACTTAGAAAAGTCTGTCAACTAAAGAGACAGTGATTTCCACTCATCAATTTCACGTTCAATAGCAGAAGCACTCCAAATCCTTGGAGAAAACTGTCAGAAGAAATAAAGATATTTAATGCTAATTGAGATTGGCAATTTAGGCAGGCTACTAGAAGAGAAACCAGGGAAAAATAATAAATCAAAAACCTAATCAATAAACAAAGGCAATATAATTTATCATCAGATTGTTGGGGTTTATATCCTGGCTCCTCAGTTTAGTAACTGTGAGATCAAGAGCTATGATTTAAACTCTTTGCTTCAGTATCTCATTTGTAATATGGAGATAATAGTACCTAGATTCCATAACGTGGTTGTGAGGATTAAATGCGATAACAACTGCAAGTTTCTTAGTTTCACTTCTAATACATATCGGACATTCAATAAATATTAAGTATATATTAGCAGAAATGATTGTGGCAAGGTGATCTCTTCTGTCTTTTCTGTCGGCAATCTCGTATTCTCCCTTACTTCACTAAGGTAGCCTAGCTCTTTTGTATTCCACAGCTTCAGGGAAGGTTGCATTGCTGGACCAAAACTAAAAGCCACTTACAGGACACATATCCTTTTGTGCTATTTGAGGTCTTAAAGCTTCAGGATAAAGGAATTAGGTAACATGCTTATGAGGATAAGTAGAGGAGAAAAGATAAAATTGAAAGATTAAGAGAAAAGACTAATGAGACAACACCAAAGGTAAAGTTTAGAAGAAGAAATTATGGAGGCTGAATAATAAACATCAGAATTCACTGCCTCAGGACAGTACTCCTTTATCACTAGAAAACCATGAAAAGAAACCTTTCTAGATCTGAAGAACCTCTTCAGAGCTGTACAGTAATGTTTATAGCTATGACTGTTATGGTTCATAAGTTGGTGGGTCTTGCTTCTTTCTCCAGGCCATATTTCACTTGGACCTTGAAAGATAATGGGGCCCTAATAATAACTAACTTTGGATTTCCCACCAAGCCTGTGGGATAGAGGCTTAGAATCAGTTTTAATTTGATGATTTAAGATTAAAAAGTGGCTATTTCTTATATATAGTTTATATAATATGTGGATTGGGAACAATGTCATTATTAGCAAAATGCGGTGTGAATAAAGGCTTAGAGATTAAGAATAACATGACAGATCTCGACCTTGATACTGAAACCCACTGTATAGTATTAGAGCTCGATGAATACCTCATGGATCAGGCAGTTTGACTCTGAGAATTAGCAAAAGGTTAAGCCTACAGGCAAAGACACAGTGTCCCATCTTTTGGGAGGAAGAGAAATGCTGGCTGAAGTGACCTTTCTTAATAGATTTTTTAAACATATTCTTTAAATTGCTGTGTTACCTGGCAGAGTGAGAATCCTAGCTCAGTTCTAGGCATTTACCAAAAAAGAATAATATTTGACAAAAACATAAGTTTAATATTAAAAAATAATTTTGTATTTTAGTGACAATATCAAAGTTAGCCCAAATAATAGATTCGCCAGTTTTACTTGGAAGTACCTATCAGGTGTTTTAACATCTATAAGGTAAAATCTGCAGCATTTCCATTTCAGGCAGTTGCTTTAATGGTCTTAGAGAAATAAAACTAAACTAGGTCTTGCATAACACATAGTTTTTTTGTGTTTTGTTTTGTTTGTTTGTTTTGAGGCGGATTCTAGCTCTGTCACCCAGGCTGGAGGACAGTGGCACGATCACTGCTCACTGCAACCGCTGCCTCCCGGGTTCAAGCAATTCTCCTGCCTCAGCCTCCCAAGTAGCTGGGGGGACTACAGGCGCCCGCCACCACACTCGGCTAATTTTTTATATTTTAATAGAGACGTGGTTTCATCGTTTGCCAAGGTTGGTTGCAAACTCCTGAGCTCAGGCAATCTGCCGGCTGCGGCCTCCCAAAGTGTTGGGATTACAGACGTGAGCCACCGTGCCCCGCCAACACATAGTTTTATACTATTAATATTAGTTAATTAATCAGAAGTCTCCAAGAAGACAAAACCATAAACCACAAAAAGACAGGAAAGGAGGTTGAGACTGAAACTGCAGCCTGTCCTACAAGCACTCCCAAGGCGTTGGGCTCTCCTCAGGTCAAATCCATCAGGACTAGGATCAGGTGACTGGACTATGAGCCATTTACAAGATGAAAGTTCTTAGATGATTTAATTAATGCCAGAATCCTAGAAGGTAGATAAATTGGTCTCATTTGTTAGCTCCCTGATTCCTGGGAGGAGAAAATGCACATTTACTCTGAAAGGTCGTTGACTAAGGTCAACTAAATATAAGCCTATTGTCAAAGAGCCCCAAACACACAAGAAAACAAATACCCATGAATAAGAACCAGCAGGAAACAGGTGTTTGTTTAAGGGCCCTGAGGATTACAGATATCAGAATTATCATATATAAAATATGAAATAAACATATGCAAAATGTTTAGGTAAAAATGTAAAATTGTAGAAAGGAACAATTAGCAAAAAAGTATGTAAAAAAATCCAAAAATTTGAAAGAACCAAAATAAACTTTAAGAATGAAAAACATAATTTTTGAAATAATAATCAAAACCTTAATATATGGGTTGAAGTTTAGATTAGACTGAAGAGAGAACCGATGAACTAGAAAATATTATCTGAAGAAATTACTAACAATATGGCACAAGGAAGCAAGGAGATTAAAAAAAGTAAAGGCGAGATTAAGATATTTTGAGAATGGAAGTCCTGAAATATGTCTAATTAGAGTCCTATGAAGACAGAATAAATAAAATGATAGAGAAGAAACATTTCAAGAGATTACCACTATATTTTCTATTACCATTGAAAGATAAGGTAAAAATAACTTATGCTAATAGCATTGTAGTGAAACACAGAGAAGAAAAAATAAATATCTTAAAAGATGCCAGAGGGAAAAGACAAATCTCCTCAAAGAAGTATTAATTTGACTGACAGTTGTTTGCCAACAACAGTAATGGATGAAGGTGTTATAACAATACCTTCAGACTCCTAAGAGAAAATATGTATAAACCTAGTTTGGTGTACTTAACCAAATTAATTTGTATTCATTATTGCTTTAATTTATTGGAGCTCAGTCTCAAAAGCCTGAATGAAACTTTTTCTACATTTTATGGCATATTTTTTACTTTTGATATTATATTTTTATAATTTATATTTTATTTCCTATAGTTAATATATAATTTATAACTTTATTTTTGCCAAGTTCAAATCTCCTCTTTTTGTCCAGTTTTACTTCTTAGCCTGAATCCCTACTTGTATTCTATTTCCTGCCATTATAAGGTTCTAACATATAATATATTTAATTTATTCTATACATTGTATTTATATATAGTTGGGTTAAATGCTGACTAATGGCAGGAAAGTGAATCACCACTAACTTACATACTGTATTATTCTTTTTTTTTTTTTTTTTTGTCTTTTGAGATAGGGTCTAGCAGCTCTGTAGCCCAGGCTGGAGTGCAGTGGTGCAAAGGAATATATTGGAAAGAAATTTGGCACAATCTCATAAGATTAATCATGCATATACCAAATGACCCAGCAATTCTATTTCAATATGTACCAACTCCTTGCCCCTAAACAACTCTAATACCTGGCCATCAGGAGAAAAAAAAATCTATAATGTCACTACCAAGAATAAAAAATTGAGAGCTAAATGATGAGAACTCATGAACACAAAAAAGGGAACTACAGGCACGGGGGCCTACTTAAGGGTGGAGAGTGGGAGGAGGGAGAGAAGTAGGACAAATAACTAATGAACGCCAGGCTTAGTACCTGGGAGACAAAATAATCTGTACAACAAACCTCCATGACATGAGTTTACCTGTATAACGAACCTGCACATGTCCCCTGGAACCTAAGATAAAAGTTAAAGAAAGAATACAACATCAGAATCAATTAAAAGCCCCATTTTCAGGAGAATACTATATAAGCAGTGAAAAATGAATGAACAACTACATATACCAAATGTGGATGAAACGTAGAAATAATTGGGAGTGGATAAAGCAAGTCAAAGATAACAGTGTACACCATAATACCGTTTTAGAGAACTCAGAAACAAAGTTAGAAGTATATGTTACCTGGAGTTACATATTTTATGTGATAAGAATAATAACATGGCAAGTGGGTGATAAATTAAAATTCCAGAAAGTGGTTAATTGGTTGAGAGTAGGAAGAAGAGCAGATAGGAAGACACAGATAGAAATTTAGGTGTCAGGAATGCTCTAGATCTTAATTTGGGTGGTTAGTTCAGGGAGGATATTTATTTTATTATTAAGCTTTATAAGTTACTAATGTGATATATGTAATGTATATAAATACACATAATGTTTATGATGTGTCAAACACTACCCAATAACATTGTTAAGAACTGAATGAAAAAGTCAATTTACAATTTTTTGAGAATTTTATTTATAGACTCAGGCCTTACATTACATTTATTTTATTATGTAAAGGCTCCATGGGCATTTTGTCTTCATTCAAAAAGATTTAATTTTCTATTGATCGACCTCATTATGTTACCGTCTCAGGCTGTACATTATTTGTGAACGGGTAAGTATTGAAACATTGGTGTTTAGAAAACGGTTTATTCTGCTTCTCTCAGCTTAATTGACTCTTGATTGTATGTGCTGCAATGTATTGCCTAGAAATGCAGATAGTTGTAAACGCTTTCAGGTTATTTTATGTATTTTTGGGCAGGATATTTTTCTCACATAGATAATTGAAGTCTTATTTTATATCACTAAACTTGATGAATACTGATTCAGCAGATCATTGTCTGAGAATACAAACAATATTTAGGATGTCGGGATTATGATTTAGCCTGTCCAAGTGGCACAGTGGAATCTAATTACATTACATGCTTTGTGCTTAACTCTACTTAAATCATCCAGGAGAGAGTAAAGTCGTGAGACGTATACAAAATGTACCTCGCCATTACTTTCTAACTTCAATTGCACGAAGTTTTTCTGAACATAAGAGAATAAAACAAAGTGCTCTGTCTCCAGGACTTTGGAAAGGAACGGGTTCAGAATAAGTAACAGTTATGCAAGCTAAAGGTACCAATAATAGATGTACTAAAAAGAGGAAATGTCATCCAAGAGGGGAGAGCAATTCTAACTTTTTGGGGGGCTGGTGAGACAGTGAATGGAGGAACATGAGAGCTGAGGTAGATTTGAAGTTGGTGTACAGTATCATTTGGGGGGAAAGCGAGGATAATAGCCTTTGAGGGCCAGGATATGGCTTAAGCAAAGGGCCAGAGAGTGTTGTAGACTCAGAAGTGATGAGGAGACTGCCGTTCTCAGCAAACAATAAAGCAAGGAGAGCACTTGTTTCAGTTAAAGCCTTCTACATTGTTTCATTGCCTGTTTCCTCATCTCCACCCTCTCTCTCCTCCTTAACCTATGATTCTGCTCTTTTAAATGTACTTTTAGTCATTTCACTCCCTAGCTTAAAAACATTCACTGACATTCCCTTACCTATGGTGACATTTGTTCTGGGGCTTGAACTCAAGGACCTCCTCAACATGATCATAATAGTTCTTGTGAATCATCATTCCTACTAATCTTCTGCTATAAAACTCTTTCATGAAAAAAATCAACCCATCCATTATCTTCCATCTTTGGTTTGTATGCTGGTCTGCACTTGATTGTACATGTCCACCTCGACCAGCACTGCATCACAACCTTTGCCATCTGTTTCAGGATTCCTATCAAGCCCTCCTTCCCCTAAAACTTTCCCCAAATCCCTGAGGAACAATTTATTCTTCAAAATTCTCTACAGTACTGAAAGTACAACACTAAACTGTTAACAATTTGAATAACAGAAATCAAAGAATTATGGACAGGGAAAAATAACAAATAAAAATCAAAGAGAAATCTTCATGACTGAAGAAAATACATTATCAGATAAAAAGTATCCAGGAGTTTCTGAGGAAAACGTATAAAAAAGTAATCGTTCCAGTAGACATCATTCAGAAGTTTCTGAACTGCATTGATGAAAAGAATATGCAAAGCTTTCTAGAGATACAAGTTACCGACAAATGTGTAAGAAATATCAGAAACCATGAATACTTGAAGGCTGTAGAAGAAGGCTTTCAAATTCTAAGATAAAATAATTTTGAACCTAGGCTTCTATAACCAGAAAATTCACAACCAACTGCGGAATGTAAACAAATAAATCATTCTCAGACATGCAAAACCAGAGAATCTTACATCTCTGGAATATCTTATTGGCATCTTATGAAAATAGGATTTGGCAAGCCAAAGAATTAAACTAAGGGAGAAGAAGTCATGGAACCTAGAGAACAGTCTTTAGGCTAGAATTTCAGTGTAGGGAAACCTCTGTGGAACACCTGTATAGCACATCTAGAAGGTAAACCATCCCACAGGAGGATTCTGGAGGGGGAAAACTTGACAAGAGATAGGTAGTGGAAGAAAATAAAACCAAGAGACTCTTAAATACGCACGCGTGCACACACACACACACATACACATCACACAACAATAAAGGCGGTCCTATTAGGAATTAATTGCTGCCGTATACAGCAAAAAAAAATGTGGCATAAAACAATTTATGAACTGTAAGAAAACACGTTATTTTTCCTTCATGCAGAAAACTTCAATTTTCAAGTGCTCCAGAGACTGAGATTTTGGACCCAATGGAGAAGGAGCATAATACCAACACACTATTAGTGAAGAATGGAATCTTAGTAATAATGTAAATGCTCCTTTTAAAAAAAAAATACAGATGTTAGAGTCAACCAATGCTAAAGCAATGATGACTCAACTGCAGAAAGGAATGTGGGTGTAAATACCTTGATTATATAAATGGAATAGTGCAGCTGACAGTAATTAGGAGATAAAAAGCAGGGAGGAAAGGTGCAAGAAAGGGTAAGGGAGCTTGTAGCCCTTTTTTACAATGTGACACATCAAGATATGATACTAGGCCAGGCGCGGTGGCTCATGCCTGTAATCCCAGCACTTTGGGAGGCCGAGGCAAGCAGATCACCTGAGGTCAGGAGTTCAAAACCAGCCTGACCAACATGGAGAAACCCTGTCTCTACTAAAAATACTAATTTAGCCTGGCGTGGTGGCACATGCCTGTAATCCCAGCTACTAGGGAGGCTGAGGCAGGAGAATCGCTTGAACCCAGGAGGCAGAGGTTGCAGTAAACTGAGATCACACCATTGCACTCCAGCCTGGGCAACAAGAGCAAAACTCCGTCTCAAAAAACAAAAAACCAAAAAAAAAAAAAAAAGAAAAGAAAAAATATAATATTAAATGTTGAGAAAAACATAGTTGTTTCATTACATGACTAAAAAATACAAAATTTAAAAATGAACATTTAAAATAATAAGTAGCAAGTATTTGAAGAAAGACAGCTGGAAGAAGGGAAAGTAAAAGGAAAAAAAAAGTCCTCATCTTTCCTATGGGAATATTAATGCATTTGTTTAAAGTTGGAATATTGTCTAAAGTTGACATATTAAGAAATAGAGGAATAAGCAGATTATCTTGAAATATGAAGATGAATACCAGAAGAAATTAAAACAGAAACATTTAAGAGTCCTCTGAGGAATAGGACTTTGGTATCAGATATAATTCCTTCTTATCCTAAGTTTTTATTATTTGATATACTACTATATTAATGAATATTTATAAAACTACAGATTTTACAGCAGTATTATGTGATTTAAATATGCAGTTTTTGATTTAAAACAACCCTTTTCATTCATTTTCTAAGCTAGCCTGTTTCCAAACATTGAAGACAAACTCATAAAGTCAAAATATATGGCTGTTTCATTTATCATGGCAGATGTTACAGTCATGAAGAGAAGTCACTGGATGCTAATTTGAGAGGTGATGTTCTCCACATTTAGAGGGTGGTGGATACCTTGAACAGAGAGGCAGTTCAAAGATTCTGATCAGCTTCGATAGCTTCCCGGGTTCCATTTTCAGAATGAGTCTTTGTTATCATGCTAAAAATTCTCTTAGCTATCAGATTGGTAGAAAAAACTATAGGCACACGTATATGCCACACACACGCAGACACACACACACACACACACACACACACAAACTCATATAAATAAATTTTGATTAGCTATGTTATTGTTCTCCACTTATATGCATATACTTGAAATTATATATTATATGTGTTATATATATTATATATCTAATTTAAAATTTACTTATCTACAAATAATTTATTCCTGGAATCAGATGGATAGTAATTTAGTTTTTTTAATATCTGTAATCTTGAAATAAGGAGAGTTACCATGGAGTGATATATTCACTGAAAATATGTGAACGTCATTCGTGTGTAAACTAAAAGTTTCCACTGTTGACTTTATTAGATTTAATTCCCTAGTTAAATTGCCATTAGCTCTCAGTTACGTGTATGTGAAGTGTTTTACAGAAAATCTTTTATGTTCCCCAATTTCACTATCAAACTGCTTTCTTCCCCTTCCTTCCTCAAAAACCCCAACTCCACTGTTCACAACAGCAAAGGCGTGGAGTCAACGTAAATGCCCATCAAAGGTAGACCAGATAAAGAAAATGTGGTACATATAACCATGGGATACTACATAGCCATAAAAAAGAAAGAGATCATGTACTTTGGAGCAACATGGATGGAGCTGGCAGTCAATATCCTAAGCCAACTAATTAAGGAAGAGAAAACCAAATTCCACATGTTCTGCCTTTTAAGTGGGAGCTAAACTTTGGGTGCACATGGGCAAAAGGAAGGGAACAACCAACACCAGGGCCTACTTGAGGGTGGAGGGTGGGAGGAGAGTGAGGGTTGAAAACAATCTATTGTGACGTATTGCATACGCTCAGGAGTTTGAGACCAGCCTGGACAACATGGTGAAAACCCATTTCTACAAAAAAAAATTACAAAAATTAGCCAGGCATGGTGGTGCATGGTGCACACCTGTGGTCCCAGCTACTCAGGAGGCTAAAGTGGGAGGATCACTTGAGCTCAGTAGGTGGAGGTTGCAGTGAGCCAAAATCATGCCACTGTACTCCAGCCTGGGTGAGAGAGCCAGACCTGTCTCAGAAAAGAAAAAAGAAAATAAAATACCTATTAGGTACTACACTTATTATCTGGGTGAAAAAATAATCTGTACATCAAACCCCTGTGACATGCAGTCTACCCATGTAACAAACCTGCACACGTACCTCCGAACCTAAAATGAAAGTTAAGAAATTGTGTTCTCAAACTCTCGATGGTATTTATGATATAGGGACCATAACAGAAAGGTGTGCAAAAGTTTATGTGCTTAAGAACTGGAACAATTGTCAGAAACAGTATATTTGGGAAAAGAAGCCAGTTTGGAGGCAAAGATGAGGTGTTCAGTTTCAGATCCACGGCATTTGAAGTGTTGGTGAGCTGTGTGAGTGAACACTTGGCTGGCAGAACAGCTGACTTGTGTCACTGCTGGACGTTCTCACCTCCAACTCTCACCTGGGTTGTGGTAATGTTGGATTCTGGTGTAACAAAGGCAAAACAGTTACTAATTTAGTTTTTGGGATTATAGGCTTGATGATGTCACTTTTCCTATATATCACCATCCTCTGCGTAGCTTCAATTGTTTAAGTCCACTTTTATACTTCAAAAAAAAATCCTAGCTCCTTTGACTCATATATCTTTGAATTTATTACTTACCTATTTTTATTGATGCCACTGACTTGCCTCTTGGTCCTTATCCCTTTTTCACTGATGATTTTAGCCTCCAGCTAATGGTATTCTCTCTCCATTCTATCTCTTCCCTGTTGTCTTCCCTCCCTACTTCCTTAGAGTCCATGATCCGTACAATAACTACTCAACTGAAACCATTTCAGCACTTTTGCCATCTTCCTTTATTGTCTCCACCTGTTCAGTTGTTGAAAACAATTGTCCACTTTCATTTTGTCTTTACCTGAGTAGCTGGATATTGCTACAGACACTTACACAAAAGGAACAGTTACTGTCCTGAAGTTATGCCTGCAATTCCTAAATAGGTTATTGCACTGCTTGTCAATCATTTCCTAGCATACTCTTTCCCACTCTCATACAGGATTATGTCACATTTATTCTTCCCTCCTCAAACCTTCTCAAAAAGCTAAATAGCTAATTTGACACAGCTTTATAGATAAAATGGAGTAAGTTACAAGAAATGCTCAATTTCCCAGTAAATGTAATTGCTTACCATATCTAGACTCATATTCTTGCCCTTCTCAGTTGTTTTCATAGTGAAATGGTTCTGTCAAAGGTTGACCATTATAACCGTGCTCCCCTCTTGCATCCCTCTTGCCTTTCTGAAGACTTAGCACTTGTAATTGTGAGCTTTTTCTCCTGAATTCTTCACATGTCCCTGAATCAGATCATTCTTAACAGACAAATAAGCTGTAATAACTCCCTGTTGTAAAATGAAAACAAATAAGGGAAAAACCTTCCTTGACTTCACATTGTCTTTGTCATTTATCTATGGTTTAATTTTCCCTCCTTAAAATCTGAGTACAGTCTTCACTGCCTTGATTCACATTCTATTTTCAGCTCACCCCAGTTGATCTTCAGCCACGATCACTTTCCCAAGATTTTTAAATTGATGTCACAAGTTGCCTCCATGTTGTTAAATCCACTTTGCTTGTATCACCTTCCAGGCCATTATTTCCCTGTCACTAACAAGAGTCAACTCATTTGTTTATGCCTTATTGGAATGGAGATAAGGAGAGGGAGAAAAAGCACTGAGGTTTGTAAGTTGGAGCTGTGCTGCCCAGGAGTTAGTGTCATCCCCTCAGAGACACCTTCACTGACAATTGTACCTAAAAGGAAACTTGCAACCCTAAGTCACATCAGATTTTTCTGTTGTCCTTATAGCACTATTAGCTGATATCATTTGATTAGTATTTGTCTTCCCACACCATCAGCTTCATAAAAACTGAATCCCAACTCTGAGAGTAGTGCCTGAAATATTGAAGTATTTCATTTAAATGCTAACAATAAGTTGTTGAATGAATTCATGAATGCCTAAATAAAGTCAACACTTTTTATACTCCTCTAATATCAGCGAACACCAGAGTTGTCTTCTTGTAATTTTCATTTGATGTCCTCCAGGTAATAATTCCAGTGCTGCATGGTATCTTCTGTGTGGCTCTTCAAATCCCTTATGCACCCATCTCCACTCCTCTCTGCCTCAGAAGGCTGGCCTGTATGCATGCAGCTACAAGTGTTCTAATTCCCCGCTTTCTGATAAGATTTGGACAATTGTGAGTCCAGCAGGAGCTTGGAGGCAGACAGGAGAGTGGATTCAGAATTTTTATCACTCTAGATCCTTCTCTGTGGGGTTGCCTTGGGCTGGTTGCATTTCCTCAACTCAGGATTGCAGTTGTTCTCATGGCAGCTTGCTCTACCCAGCTGTCTCCTTTTGGCTTCCATGTGTGCCAGGAATTACTCCTACCTTGTTTGTGTGTGTGTGTGTGTGTGTGTGTGTGTGTGTTAATTTCTTTGGCTTTTTAAGCCTAAGTGTGATAACAGCTTTTCTGTTACTAGGTCTTTCTCTACATCTTATCCCTACATTTATAAATTGCCCCTTTAATGAACTAGCCTCCAACTGCCCTGTTTTGAATATATCATGTACTATTTGTGGAACACTGAAAAATGCAGGATAAAAACAAATTCTGCTAAGTAGTCAAACAATTTATGTAATCTTCATCCACAACTTGTGCCATAGTCTAGGCAGAAATGATTTCAACTTATCTTTGGGGTGTCCACGCCATTATTTCCCTGTCACTAACAAGAGTCAACTCATTTGTTTATGCCTTATTGGAATGGAGATAAGGAGAGGGAGAAAAAGCACTGAGGTTTGTAAGTTGGAGCTGTGCTGCCCAGGAGTTAATATAATTTAAACCAGTTCTGGAGTCCAAGGGATGACTAGCATTACATCCTGTTATATTTTAAGTTATGGAGCTCTAACTCCACTTTGCAAATAATTCAGCAACTTTATGCCCTTCCTAAAATACTGCTTTATTCGTCAATGATGAAAACTGTTCTACAGATCAACAAGATTCTGTATGTTGATGAAATCATTGTTTAAACCGAGACTCCTATGAGGCTATGAAAAGAACGCCTCCTTCTGATATATGTTTCCAAAGTTGCCTCCTGTTTTACATAAGTGGTTTCATGCACACACACACACACACAGAAATACAAGCAAAAATTTGAAACAGAATGATATAGCTATTGGCAATTAGAAGCTCAAAAGTTTTTGAAGCTTAATAAATTATTCTGATCTTTTAAAATTCTTTTTCATAAGCCAAGGTTCTATGTTAAAGGAAGTTAATTATTTCAAACAATAGAGCAGATGGAATGCTCAAGAAAAAAATGAAAAGCATTGCTCATGTATTACTCACTCCTGATAAATATCTTTGTATATATACATAGCACACACATAAATGCCAGACATATCACTGAGATTAAAGTGATGTCATCATTTCAACACTGTATTTTCTCACTTCTGTATTCCTTTAAGCAATATTTTAACAAACACAAAATATTCTTCACTATAAAACCAATAGCAAAGTGTATTAATTCTAACAATTATATAGCTAACATAATTTAACTATTAATATCCTAATCTGTTCCCCTATTTTCAATCGTTCCTTTCCTTGTCCACTTCTTGTGCTGTAGTATTCTTTGCCACATTTTATAGCAATTAGAGAACCTTTTTGTGAAATATCGTAATAGAACAATGTTTTAAACAATTTCCAGGGCTTATCATTTTTAGGGGGCCTGAGTGGAGAGTGAGGAGTGGAGAAAGATGTTGAAAATACGCTATTAACATTCAAGAAAATGTCTTGTTCTGGAAAATTATTTTTAGTTCTAGGAGAGAAAAAAGCAAAACAATAACAAAAATAATAAAAATAGAATTTGACTATTGTCAGAAAAAAAAAGGTGGGGTAAGTGAGAGATTAAAAGACATGACACTTTGAAACATGAAAGAAAAAAAGGAAAATAAATATTAAGAGTTCTGAAATATAATTATCATAATAATTTGAAAATCATTACTCTAAACAAAGCTGGGTGGACAGAGAGCAATTTTAAATATATTTTATGCTAACTATAATAAAATAAAACTATATTTCTAGTTTGATTCATATGCCCAATAAACTAAGATATTAAAATTGCAAAGGGGGAGGAATCGCATGTAGCACTTTGCAATTTCCTATTTCTGGAACATATGTCCTAGACCCCCAACTCTTATACAATACAGGCTTTCTAATTCTCTCTTTAAATTAAACCCTTGGGATTACTCGAGCATGGCTGATACACTTAGATAATATCAGGCATTTAATACACACTATGTGCCTTTGATTTACCTGACAAGTGACAACAAGGCTGTATTGAGTTAAGCAGGCCCTATCACTAAATGAATATTTGCAGGATCTGCCTGTGGTTATTGTCATACCAGAACAGAACTCTTGTTCAATATCCTGTTTGGGAAGCAGTCTCCACCAGATGCTTCCAAAGCAGGGCAAAACCACCCATAATGCAATTGGATGGATATGAAATTCTCTACCCCTAAGGGAAAATACTTCATCCTGGCCCCAGGTGGTGGGCCACTAATACTTTGTTTGTATTCCTAGGAGAGCTGTTGTCTTTAAAGAATATATTTTTAAGTGACTCTTTAGTAATATGGACTTTACCTTTCTAACACTGATTATTTTTCTGTGATTATAAGTCACAACAATGGGAAATACTAAATTGGTCAGAATGAGTTGCCTTTCCTTATTTTTCACACAAAAAAGATTCTTTAAATGTGATGTGAAACACATAGAATTATCTTCCTATATTTTATTCATTTCTGATTTCCTATACATGTTCTCTGAAATAATTTGGTAAACTACATGGTAGAAATAAAATGGATTTATGTGTTAACTGAGAAGCTGGATATACAACTGAACAATGGCCAGGCACTATAAGTAAAAGAGAACACTAACCTACAACCCTGTAGCAACCAGCCCTGGAAACCGAGCAACAACTTCTGCAGCAACTAATTTCAGAAGTCAAACCACACTTATGTAGCAATCATACTTTGATGATTGACTTGGTCCAAGACTTCAGCTCACCTGTCCTTTCCCCCTCTCTTACCTGCCCACAACTCAGGATCAACCAGTGAAAGCCAAACATGCTTCCCAACTAATCACATAGGATGCCCCACTTCTAGTAAGCCCACCACCACCCGCATTCAAACAGCCTCCAATTAGGAGAAACCTGAAGCCTTTCCTTTTTTCACTATAAAGCTCTTGACAACCCTGACTGCCTTTGAGTATCTGCCAAATGTGAGCGACATTGGCTGACTCCCTAGCTATAGCAAAGTGACATTGGCTGACTCCCTAGCTACAGCAAGCTCTTAATAAACAGGCTTTCCTCATGCTAATTTAAGTGCTGATTGTCTATTTCTACTACATGCTAATGTTCTTAAAGCATATTCATAAGATTTTAGATTACACTTGGTTTTAAGGTACATTTTAAACTGTTTCAAATGATTATTTCTGGGGCATAGATTAGATGTAATGGGTAACTTTCTTTTTTCTACATATGCACATACACATACAGATATATATACTTATATACTTTTACTTTATATATATTTTAGTTGAGTATCACTGATTCCAAAATTATTTATAAACAATAAGAAATAATCTTGTCTTCAATTAGAGAGCTAAGCTTTATGTAAAGAACTAAGACAAATTACGCATTCAAATGAATTATCACAAAGTCCATAGCAAGCATATAAACAACAGTTTTATAGGCACTGATAAGTGACTACTAATAAAAAAATAAATTAAAATTTGTTTTAGAAAAGTAATTCACCCAGCATATCTTCTATTGTACTGGTGACTTTGGGAAATTGAAGAGTTTGTTCAATTTCATTAAATTCATCTCTTCCTTTTCTTTCTTTCTTCTCTCCAGCTGTATGGAGATATAACCACAGCTGCTGCTTCTTTGTCTACCTGGGAAACCAAGCACGTCTATTATCACACTCGTTTGGATTGGTGCCACCTGTTTTCTCCTCTGAAGGTGTCTGCCAGAGTAGGAAGCACTAGTAACAAGAGGCAAACTTGGGTGGCACTGGCAGGGTTCAGGGCAAGAAAGGCAGGACTGATGCTCTAAACAGAGAGGAGGAAATAAACACAAAATTCAATATGAACCTTGTGGTTGTATATCCAAACTACAAGCAATGGCTCAGAACTAGGGAAATTATATGAATATGGATGGCAGGAATTGAAGGAGGGAGGGAACAAACATGTCACTAATGGAGAAAGGGGTGAAGAAAACACCGTAAATTCCTGAAGATATGGGAAATAAACATGAAATCAGATGGATTCTAAAAAAAGCTATTTTTACTACATTTCCAAAACTCAAAAAATAATTAGAAGTTAAATTTACAACCACAGAATAAAATATTTAAAAGCCTTTATAGAACAATGAACATGTGATTTCATTAAAATATTGACTTAAGAATATTGCTTAAATAGAAATATAAAATCCAGTTGCAGATAATTTTAGAAAAGCTATTCTTAGCAATAATTCTACAGTAATCCCTCAATTTTAATCTATGAATTTTGTTATGGGATGATTTAGACTTCTTTATCTAGACTAGCTAAGTGAAGTATTATTACCTGATCTTTGAAAGGAGACAGTCATTAATTTGGAACGTATTTCCCTTGGTATCTTCTATTAGAGTGAATTTAATAAGCTTGCTCTCAATGTCAAAAGATCTTGGAGAACTGTCAACATATACTAGATAATTTTTTTCTGAAGATTTATTTACGTATTACTCGTTAAGTTCTAAGGTTGAGAAAATTTTTGTTATTTCAACACAAAAGGCAACAATGGTGCCATATTATAAAAAGAATACCTTGGCAACAATGAGTCTTAAAATCATTTATTTATATGTGTTTGTTGATGAAAAGAGTCAAACTCTGTAAAATATTTTAGAGATTAATTCTGAGCCAAATATGAGTGACCATGGCCTGTGACACAGCCCTCAGGAGGTCCTGAGAACATGTGCCCGAGGTGGTCAGGGTACGGCTTGGTTTAATATATTTTAGGGAGGCATGAGACATCAATCAAATACATCTAAGAAATACATTGGTTTGGTTCAGAAAGATGGGACAACTCAAAGCTGGTGAGGGGGCTTCCAGGCTGTAAGTAAATTTACACATTTTCTGGTTGACAATTAGCTGAGTTTATCTGAAGACCTGGGATCAATAGAAAGGAAATGTTTGGGTTAAGATAAAGGATTGTGGAGGCCAAGTGTTGTTGTGCAGAGGAAGCTCTCAGATAGCAGACTTCAGAGACAGCAGGTTGTAAAATGTTTCTTATCAGACCTAAAAGGGTGCCTGGCTCTTAGTTGATTATTCCTTGGATCTGAAAAGGAAGGAAGGAAAACAAGGGGAAAGAGGATTCTCTATAGAATGTGGATTTTTCCCACAAGGGACAGCTTTGCAGGGTTATTTCAAGATATGTCAGAGAAACGTGCTTTGGGGTAAAATATTTTGATTTTCTTCCTTGGTATGCCAGAGTCAGATTGAAAAGTAAGTCACAATATCCACGGTTAAATAAAACCTTTCTGATGAGAATTTATGGTTTGTAGGGCATGACTCCCCAGACCCTTAGACAGGAATTGGGGCAAGATTATAAAAAAATCAGAGCTTAGTCCGCAAGTTTATTTTTCACTTTTGGATTTGATCACTTGAACTTTATTTCATAGGTAACTATCAGGAGTACACATTCTTTATTTCCCATGATTACAGGCAGTAATAGAGCACAGTAAGGGGCAACTACAATAACTTAATAGTTTTTAGCCAATAATCATGCTCTATGATTCATATAAATTTGGATGTGATTACATTTCTTGCATATTTTTTAACTTCACAGTGTAGGCTCCATTATACAAACACCTCATTTATATTTAAAATGTTACTAAGATAATGTTAGCATTGGCTTTATATAAAAAACAGACTTAAAGAGTTTAAGTATTTTTTATGAAAATATACAGCTAGTAGGTGGTAATGTCTAAATCAGAACCCAAGTCTTCTCATTTCAAACTGAGTGTAGTTTCTATTATGCTATGTGTGTCTCATCTGAAGGAGGCTTCTGTGTGCCTAGCTCCTAGCTCATTTTGGAGTAGACTGTGGTACTTCACCAAATGCCTGAAGCTAGTTACAAGCAATCCTAGCATTTGAATAGCATTCATTACTAATTAATATACTATTAAGTACCTGTTAAGTACCAGGTGCTGTATTTGGTGACTTACAGATATTTTCTTTAACGCTTACAATGATTTTTAAATGTAGGAGATATTTCTCTATTACATAAGAAAATTGAGATTCACAGAGACTAAATAATTTGTCTAAACTCATATAGATGACAGAGCTAGGATTCATACCCATGTCTATTTAATTTTTGCTTGTTCTAGGATCTGCTCCTTTTGAGATAGAACACCTTCTAATTTTTATGTAACTATTGTTGAATCTTCTTTCTTGATTCTTTAAGGACCAATCGATTGGCTAGTTTACTTAAGGCCTCTTTTTTCTAAGCTGATGGTCATATATACGTATTGTCTGGAAGAGAAACAGAAGACACCTGGTAAGCATAAACACTATTGCAAGAGTGTTTAAAAAAATAGAGAGGATTGCCACAGGAAGAGAGTAATAATAGCTAAAGCATTCTGTAGATGAGGCAGAGGCATACTTCAAAAAGTTGGAAGTTATTTAAAAAGTTATTACTCTATGATTTTTATATCAAAATCAGTCACATCTTAGCATTAAGCTATGGGGCTCTTGGTAGTAGTCTGAGTAGAAGCCTACCTCCACTGCACTTCTAGCCACAAACTGCAGACTGCAAACCTCACTGGTCATTCTGTGAGTAGGGCACAGAAGAGGGAAGAAGGAAGTCACAATTCCAGCCTCTGTGCTCTGAGGGCAAACTCTTGCCTTCTGATTAAATGTTCAACATTTCAACTGGAGAAGCAGCTATCAAATATCTTCTCAAAGTGAACAAACTGCATAATACTGTTTGCATGGGTTATAAAACAGACAAGAGCTTGCACATACAGGTATCTTGGTTTTGGATGCGATGAAAAATACTCCCAGTAGGTGGTTCCTAGCTCAACTGTCATTTCTTTTCTGAAGGCATCCCATTCCAAAAATACTGTTTTAACCTTCCCTTTTTTTATATGTTCACATTATTTCATAAATTTGTTATAAAATTTACCAAACTCTCTTTTGTGACTGATTTCTGTGTCCCCCCTCTATGTTCAGCCATTAGACTATGTTCTAGTTAGCAGCAGCTCCACTGTATCTTGTTCAGTTTTATAACTTAAGTGCTTCCATGACTTCAGCCTTTGTGGGAGGCACTATTTTCAGGAACACTTGCTGAATTTCTGAATCCAGTTACAAGAATCCTAGCATTTGCATAACATCCTGAGAAGTGGTTAATTGATATTATCCCTGAATCAAATGTAAAATCTGGTAAACACTCCAATGTTGAAACATGTCCATCTTTAGTTATAAAGAAAAGAAATCTTTTGAATTCTAAAGAGTTGGAGAGGAGGACAACACCATCTCTAGCTTCCTTCTAAAGATCAGAAGACTGGGAGAGTATGTCAGCAAATTTAATATTTTCAACAGGAGAATATGTCAGCAAATTTAAGCAGGAGAAGCTTTATCTGATTCAAGTTCAGTGACCTGATTGAAAACTGTAAATTGCCCCAATTTCTTTATGGGCTCTTCTTGTATCCTGGCTCATGTTAGGCCAAAACAACACAACATAGACTGTTGGAAAATTCTATTGCCGTGATAACTGGCAATCCAAACTGACTATGGAAAAAATCTGGCCACGCATATTGGATCATACAAAAAGAACATTACCAAGGAGGCACCATGGCTACCACAGAGATAAGTGGCTCAGGTGAAAGGCAAGGTAGGGAAAAAACCAGTCAGCCATCATGAAACAAAGAGTAATTCTGTTAACAGGTTTGCTGGTTGGGTGGTTGGTCGGTTTGGGGTTTTGTTTTGTTTTGTTTTGCCTGCCTTTTAGTGCAGGCACACAGTGAAACTCTATGTGGGAAACAATGGCTGTGAGGGACTGCCTTTTAATCAGTTATGCCATCTCTACTGCAGGTCTTGATTCTAAATATCATAAAAACCACAAGCTTTTTAAAACACTCTGGCTGTACTACAAGGTACTAATGCGAGACACGTCATAAGAATATTTGAGATGGTACTGATACAGATTGAATAGAAGTGCTACAAAAAGTTATCTGAGTAAGAAACCTGTCCCAGCAAAGCGTACGCTCACTTTACTGGAATAAATTACTTCATTTTACTGCTGCTCATGTCAGTTTTTATGTGATCTAAATAAACTCATCAATGATTTTATTTAAAACCTGAGTCAATTAAATTACTTCAGCAGAAATTGATAATAGCTAATTTCTCTTTTTTTTAATACCACTTTTTTCAGTGAAGCATAATGACCAGGCTCAAACTTAGTTTATGATTTCTAATTTATCTTATGTTCATGTTTCTAACTAGGAGAGAGAAGAGATTAGCAGGTCTTGAAGACTCATTTTAAAGTAGGAGTAGCTATTTATACATTATCAAAAGTCTGTGATGAGAGTCAAGTATAGTAACATGTTAGAGAGCATTGTAAATTTTGAAGTCCTGTGTGAATATAAGTATTCATTCATGATTCATTCATCCCTTTGTTTTTTGTTCATTTTTTTTTCATTCGCAAATATTATTGAGGGCCTTCTCTATGCCAAGTACAACACTAGGCACTTAGGATACATTGAAAAAATAACTTCTCAGATCTCATATGGCTTACAGTCTAGTATACAAAACAAAGGTGCAACATACTTAATAGCTAAACTGTATACTATCTTAGGATGTTGGAAGTTCTGTAGATAAACAAAAATAAAGGACAGTAAATAAGAATAGACTTTTCAGGGGTGAGCTGTTGAATTTAAGTTGTAAATCAAAATAGAGATCATTGAGCAGATGAGTTTCTAGCTAAGACTTGCTGGAGGTGAAGGAGTTGATTATGCAGATATTTGGGAAAAGAAAACAACAGAAAGAGAAAAAAATAGTCTAGGTCCCTAGGGCAAGAGCACAACTAGCATGCTCTAAAAACGGTAAGGAGGCTGGTGTTGTTCAAGAAAAGAAAGCATGACAGGGATTAGGAAAACATGTCAGAAAGCATCAGGAGGGCCAGATTATATACTATCCTGTGGGCAACCATGAGGACTTTGTTTTTTACTCTGAGTGGAATGTTTTGAGGAGAGTAGTGACATGATTATATTTAAGTTTTAAATGTTTCACTCTGGCCACTCTGTTAAAGCAGAATATAGAAATCAGGAGAGAAGTGAGGAAAACAAATAAGTGTATCATAATAGACATGGTAGTGGCTTATACCAGGGTGGAAGCTGTGAAGGTAGAAGTGGTTGCATTGTGGACAGATTTTTGAAATTTTATAAAAACAGTATTTCTTAGAGAATGGATGTGACTGTTAGAGAAATAGAAGACTCAAAGTGGAATGCAATGGTTTTGGCTTGAGCAAGCGAAAGGGTAGAAATGTGAGTGACGTGGAGTAAGACAGATTTCTGGAGGAGCAGGTTAGGGAGAGGGTGAGCAGATTAGGAGCTCATTTTGGAAATGTTGATTTGAAATCCCTATTAGAATAACAGGTAGAGATGTTTATAAGCAATTGAACGTATGAATCTGTAGTTTGGGAGAGAAGTCTGAGCTGGAAATGTTAATTTAGCAATTGGTGCATTGATTCTATTTAAAGCCATGAAATCTGATGTGAACAAAGACGGTGACTGCAGATACAGAAGTACACAGGAACAATGAATGAGCATATGGATAGTCTGACATTAAGGGGTTGGGAAGAAATTGAGGCATGAACAAAGTAGATTAAGAAAGAGAGAAGTGTCTGTTCATATCGTTTGCCCACTTTTTGATGGGGTTGTTTTTTTCTAGTAAATTTGTTTAAGTTCCTTGGAGATTTTGGATATTAGACCTTTGACAAATGGATAGATTGCAAAACTTTTCTCCCATTCTGTAGGTTGCCTGTTCACTTTGGTGATAGTTTCTTTTGCTGAGCAGAAGCTCTTTAGTTTAATTATATCCCATTTGTCAATTTTAGCTTTTGTCGCAATTGATTTTGGTGTTTTAGTCGTGAAGTCTTTGTCCATGCATATGTCCTGAATGGTATTGCCTAGGTTTTCTTCCAGGGTTTTTAATGGTTTTAGGTTTTACATTTAAGCCTTTAACCCATCTTGAGTTAATTTTTGTTTAATGTGTTAGGAAGTTTCAGTTTTTTGCATGTGGCTAGCCAGTTTTTCCAGCACCATTTATTAAGTAGGGAATCCTTTCCCCGTTGCTTGTTTTTGTCAGGTTTGTTGAAGAGCAGATCATTGTAGATGTGTGGCCTCTGTTCTGTTCCATTGGTCTATATATCAGTTTTGGTACCAGTGTCATGCTGTTTTGGTTACTGTAGCCTTCCGTAGTTTGAAGTCAGGTAGCATGATGCCTCCAGCTTTGTTCTTTTAGCTTAGGATTGTCTTGGCTACATTTATGCAGCTGACAAATATATGAAAAAAAGTTCATCATCACTGGTTATTAGAGAAATGCAAATCAAAACCATAGTGAGATACCATCTCATACCAGTTAGAAGGGTGTTCATTAAAAAGTCTGGAAACAACAGATGCTAGAGAGGATGTGGAGAAATAGGAACGCTTTTACACTGTTGGTGGGAGTGTAAATTAGTTCAACCATTGTGGAAGACAGTGTGGTGATTCCTCAAGGATCTAGAACAAGAAATATCATTTGACCCAGCAATCCCATCACTGGGTATATACCCAAAGGATTATGAATCATTCTACTATAAAGACACATGCACATGTATGTTTATTGCAGCACTATTTACAATAGCAAAGACTTGGAACCAACCCAAATGCCCATCAATGATAGACTGGATAAAGAAAATGTGGCACATATACAGCATGGAATACTATGCAGCCATAAAAAAGAATGAATTTGTGTCCTTGCAGGGACATGGATGAAGCTGGAAGCCGTCATCCTCAGCAAACTAACACAGGAACAGAAAACAAAACACTGCATGTTCTCACTTACATGTGGGAACTGAACAATGAGAACACATGGACTCAGGGAGGGGAACATCACACACGGTGGCCTGTCTGGGGGTGGGCAGAAAGGGAAGGGAGAGCATTAGGACAAATACCTAATGCATGCAGGGCTTAAAACCTGGAAGACGGGTTGATAGGTGCAGCAAATCACTGTGGCACGTGTATACTTGTGTAACAAACCTGCACTCTCAGCACATGTATCCCAAAACCTAAATAAAAATTTAAAAAAGAACCTCATTAGAAATACTGTGAAAACTTCAAAAAAAGAAAAAAAAGAAAGAAAGAAATATATTATCTTAGCTCAGGTCGCTTTACTAAAATACTGTAGACTATGTGGCTTCAACAACAGCCATGTATTTTTTACAGTTCTGGAGGGTGGGGAGTCCAAGTTTAAGATGCACACTGATTTATTTCTAGGTGAGGTACCACATCCTGGTTTGCTGAAGACCTTCTTCTGGATGTGTCCTCACAGGGTGGAGAGAAGGAGTTGTAGTCTTCCTTCTTCTAAGGACACTAATCCTATCATGGAGTCCCATCCTTGTGACATTATCTATAACTAATTACCTCCCGAAGGCTCCATTTCCAAATACCCTTACATTGGGGTTAGCGATTTAACATAGGAATTCAGGGAGGACACAAACATTTAGTCCATAACATATTAATATATATTAAGAAGGAAGAACTAATCATCAGGGTCAAACGCTTCTGATATGTCAATTAAAATGAGATCTTAGGATCAACCATTGGATTTATCAGTTTGAACATCACTGGTGACCTTGGGAAAGCATTTTTAGTGGAGTGGTGAGGGTAAAATCTAGTGGGGGTGACTTCAAAGAGAATGGGAGAAAAGGAAGTGGAGACAGTAAATGAAAGATCTAAAAAAAATTGAGCTTTTTTGTTCTTTTTTGGTTTTTGTTTTTGATTTTGGTAGGGAGAGGGTAAATTGCAGCATACTGTCTATGTCAACGGAAAAGATCTAGTAATGAGTAAACACTCAAAAATGGGATTTCAAGGTGTGAATTGTTGGAAAGATGTTCTTAAGTAGGCGATCCAGGAGAGGAACCAGTGCAGAAGAGGAGAAACTGGATTTAGAAAAAAAAAAAAAAAGCATGCATGATTTATCTCTGGTGCTACATTTATAAGGCAGAGGGTGTGAAAACTAATGCTGGGAGGTTGGAAGATACGTGATGGAAATATCCAAAAGTTCTTTTCTAATTGTTTCCATTTTCTCTGTAAGATATAAAATAATTAGCTCAGATTGAGGCTAGGGGAAAAAGTGTCTAGTTAAGAAAAAGAATGTCTATAATTGCATATAGTATAATTGTATGGAAGCATAAAGGGCCCATATGAGGTTTCTGGTCATGTATTAAAAGCAAAACCAATCAACAGGTTGTGTGTTTTTCTCCAGCCACACTCAGCTGCAAGAATGAAGGGATTAATACATTGGATATACTTGGCCAAACAAGTTTTATAAAGTCAGAGATGTTGCAAGGAAGCTGAGGATGTATGCAAGGAAATGTTTATGATGACTGACCTTAGAATTTAAGCTGGGTAAGGAAGTAAGAGAGACATCAAGACAGTAGAGGATAGTTAAAAGTTGTTAGGTTAAAAATTTAAGATTGTAGAAATTATAAGTATTAAACTGGTATAAAGAAACACCCAAGACTGGGTAATTTATAAAGAAAAGAGGTTTAATTGGCTCACAGTTCTGCAGGCTGTACAGGAAGCATGGCAGCATCAACTTCTGGGGAGGCCTCAGGAAGCTTTCAATCATGGCAGATGGCAAATGGGAAGTGAGGCACTTCACATGGCCAGAGCAGGAGATCTAATCACCTCTCACCAGGGCCCACGACCAGCATTGGGGATTACATTTCAACATGAGATTTGGGTGGGGACACAGATCTAAACCATATCAGATGCCCAGAACTCCTTCACTGTTCATGTCTTGCTCTCAGAGCAGGTGGGAGGAATCACTATTAGTGAAATTAATATCAATCAATTTTCCACTCATATCTAGTTCTTATAAAGGTCAAAAGAAGGAAAAAAAAACCCCAATAGCTTAATTCTGTGTTTTCTATCGTGCCACTGCACTCCAGCCTGGCAACAGAGAGAGACTCTGTCTCAAAAAAAAAAAAAAAAAAAAAAAAAAAAAAAAAAAAAAATACTGACGTCTGGGAATTATCCAAGACACTGAAATATCTGGGGTGAGAGAACTGGAAATGTGACACTAAGTTTCTGTATTTTTTAAAGCTCCTCAGGTGGTACTAATGGAAAACCAGGGTTGAAGACCAATAGCTTTTAAAAGAGGTTTACTTATCTAGTCATATTGAGCTGAGCTTCCTTTAGCAGAGATAATCAGTGGTTGACAAAGGCAAATTATACTCATCACTTCTCTGGTTTCATAACTATGAAAAGTGTCATTAGTAACATACCTACACGGAAGATATTAGAAATGTTAACACATAAGGCAAATCAACAAGGAAGTCAATGATTTTTGTTAGATAGGAAAGCTGTTTTTTGTTAGATAGGGAAACTGTGATAGACCAAGTGAGCTTATGCTGAGAAAACATGATCAGTTTTCTATAATCAATAGTGACAACTCTCTGTCTAAGTAAAAATTGCTCCCTGGAGAATATAGCTTCTCTGTCAGTGTAAATGGAATAGCAGATAATTGCATGTAACTATAATCTCCCCTAAAAGATCCTTCTGCATGTTTCATTATGGTCAATATCTGATTTTTGAGCCAATAATGAGTTCAGACTATAGAATTGTATTCCATTGAATGAATTTTGGATGTTCTATCTGAAATATTTATCTGTTTGTATATATGTGTGTGTGTGTGTGTGTGTGTGTGTGTGTGTGTGTTTCTCTTTAGTGGTTTTTAAATTCCGGCCAATTTAACCTTGACTCTCATGCATGTTTGACTGTTTTATAATATTGATATTTAGTTGGTCAACTTTTCAAGCAACATTACACAGGGAAATTATGTTTGCAATAAGAAAATTTCTTTTGTATTTTGGCTGAAGGTATTTAAAAAGCATTCATTTCATGTCTGTAATCAATGCCATTGTTGGGTGAAATATGGTTTCATCAAACTTCGCAGTTTCAATTAAAAAAGAAAACCTCATCTAAAAGAGATTTAGAACTGAGAGCAGCAGATAGGAGAATAATAAATACATCAATAAACCATAATATACTAGATTCTCCTCTCCTGTACCCTTAAATGTGGCTGAGCACTTTACCTATCTTTTGCTTAATCCAACACCCATCTGAAGTTTTCTCATTGGACGTAACAGTAGATAAGAAAGCATGCGGCCATGTGGACATTTCTATCTATAATTTTCTTCAATTACTTCTCTTTAAAAATTTCACGTTCAAGGAGTACATGTACTTGTTACATGGGTATTATAGGTGTCATGGTGAGGATTGGGTTTCTTGTGTACCCATCACCCAAATACTGAACAGTGTACCCAGTAGGTAATTTTTTTCAACCCTCACTCCCCTCCTTCCCTCAAAAGTTAGGTATATTGGAGCACTAATTTACAAACAGTGAAATTTATTCTTTTTAGAATTAAAATTCTTTGCATTTTGACAAATGTACAAAGTCATATAACCATCACAACAATCAAGGTGTAGAATATTACCCTAAAAAGTTAGAAATGTTCCTACAAGTCAGTTATGGACATTTACATAGTATCCATTACATCGGTTACATGATCCTAATAAAGTCCTCTCTTGTTCCTTTGCAGTTATTACCCTCCTATCATCCCCAAGCCTTGGAAACCGCTAATCTGATTTCTGTGGCTGTATGTTTGCCTTTATTAGAATGTGATATCAAGGTAATTATAAGTAACAGTATTTTGTATGTAACCTCTTTTATTTAGCCTAATGCCTTTTAGGGCCATCTATGTCATTACATGTATCAGCAGTTTGCTTCTTTTTATTGCTCAGTGATACCATTGTCACAATTTAGTTGCCCACTCACCAGCTGACTGATATTAGGGTTGTTTATAATTTTTGGTGTAAAGTATAAGGCTGCTGTGAATGTTTGCATACAGGTCTTGGTGTAGACATGTATTTTTATTTATTGTGGGAAACTGCCTAGAAACAGTATTACTGGCATGTAGGTAAGTATACATTTTAATATTAAGAAACGGCCAAAGTGTTTTCCAAGGTTTCTGTACCATTTTGCTTTTCTAGGAGCAATGTATGAGAGTTGCAATTGCTGTACTCCTTATCAGCACTTGGTGTCATCTATTTGCGTTTTGACTTTCACATTCTAATAGGCGCAATATCTCTTGGTAGTTATATTTACATTGCCCTTATTACTAATAGTGTGTTTCTTTGCCATCCATGTTTCCTCTTTGATGTAGTATGTGCTCAAATATTTTCTTGATTTTTAAAAATTGGGCCATTTTTTTCTTTAATTGAGCTGTCAGAATTCTGTGGATATAAGTACTTTATATAAATAGGTTATTTGAATCAGATATGTCATTTTTCTCCCAGTCATTGACTTATCTTCTCAGCTTCTTAATAGTTACTTTAGAAAAAAAAAGATGTTTGGTATTTGATGAAATCAATTTGTTCACTTTGTTTCATGGGTTATATTTTTATGGACTTATCCAGAACCACAATGATTTTCCACTATGATTCCTACTAGGAGTTTTATAATTTTAGGTTTTACATTAAAATCCATGATGAATTTTGAGTTAATTTTTATAAGTCATATGAAGCATATGTTGAAGCTCATTTTTATTGCATATGGGCATCCAATTTTCCAGCATAATTTCTTGAAAAGATTCCCTTTTCTCCACTGAATTACGTGGTCGTCTTTGACAAAAATCAATTGGCCATATATTTGTTGGCTTATTTCTACACCCTTCTTATTTTCCAGTGATTTGTATGTTTGTCCTTTAGGCAAGGATAGAATGTCTCTATGTTATAAACTTACAGTAAGTCTTGAAATCAGGTTGTGTGACTTCTGGACCTTTCTTCTTTTATGAAATACCTTGGCTCTTCTTAGTCTTCTACTTTTTAATGTAAATTTAGAAATCAACTTGTTGATTTCTACCCAGAACACCCGGCTGAGATTTGGTAGAGATTGCATTGACTCTATTGTTTAATTTGAAGAGCATTGATATCTTAAAATATTTCCTTGTAGTCAATTAACATGGTATATATCTCTATTTGTTTATATCTTCTCTGATTTTTCTCATTAAGTTTTGTAGTTCATAGCGTATACATTTTACATATGATTTTTTCAGGTTTTACTAAATTTATCTTTACATGTTCTGATGTTCTGTTTTTGATGACATTGTAAATTACCCTATTTTCTATTTTAATTTCCAATTTTTCTACTGTTAATATGTAGAAATAAAGTTGACTATTTATATTGGCTTTGTACCATGGAAAGTTCCTAAATTCACTTTCTTCACAGAGTAATTCTAGTAATTTTTTCTTCTACTTTTTTTTTTGGTGATTTGCTACATAGACATCATGGGATCTGTGAACAAAGGCATTTCTATTTCTTGTTTTCCAAGTTGTTTGAGTTTTTTCTTTTCTTTATTATTGATTATAATCTTCAACATGATGTTTAGTAATAGTGGTGAGAAAAGACATCCTTGACTTATTTCCACTGTCAGAGGGAAAAATTAGTCTTTTACCATTAAGTATTATATTAGCTGCAGGTTTTTCATAGATGTCTTATGAGGTCTTATATTAATATTTATAGAGTTTTTCTCATAAATATATCTTGGATTTTGTCTAATGCCTTTATCTGTTAAAGTAAGTTTATGGGTTTTTTCTTTAGTAAATAACATTAATTGATTTTCAAAAATTGAATCAACCTTGCATTCTTGGGATAAAATGACTTGCTTATGAGGTATGATATTTGAAATGTTGCTATCTTTGATTTTCTATTAATTTGTTTAGTATTCATCTATCTATGTATATGAGGTATATTGTTGTATAGCTTTCTTCTTTTTTTTTTTTTTTGTAACATCTTAGCCTAGCTTTGGTCTCAGGGTAACGCTGACTTTATAAAATGAGATGGAGAATGTTCAATCCTCCTCTATTTTCTCCAAGAGTTTGGGTAGAATTAGTATTATTTATACCTTAAAATTTTGATAGAATTTTTCCATTAAAGCTTTCTGAATGTAAATATTCCATTCTGGAAACTTTTAAATCACAAATCAATACATTTAATAGTTTAAAACTTTTAAAGTTATCTATTTGTCCTTGAGTGAGTTTCAGTAGTTTATGTCTGTTAAGGAATTTATTTAATCTACATATTCAAATTATTACAAAAAAAGTTATTCATAATATTTCCTTTTTATCTTTTAGTGCCTGTCTAATCTGTTGTGGCATCCTCTCTTTTGCTCTTGTTATTAGTAATTTTTGTGTTTTCTTTCTTTTTCTTTACTTTGATCAATGTGGTCAATATTTATCAACTTTATCTTTTGAAAGAATCAGCTCTTGGTTACATTGATTTTATTTTTAAATTTCATAACTCTTGCTCTTTTCTTAGTTATTTTCTTCCATTTGTTTTAAACAAATTTTTAGATACTGGCAAATGGGAGAGCAGCACCATATATTGAATAATGATTTACGGTATACACCGCACCCTGGAAAACATTGCTCCGGTTTTGCCAGGGGGTGCCATCTAACTGATAGTGTAACTGACTCTTCCAAAGGCCATTCAACCATTTTAACAGGCCAGTGGTTTCAAGTTCATAAGGAATATGGTAAGACAAATGAATTCTACGAACATGAACCAATTGCTCTACTTCATTTGTTGTGAAAGATGTCCTTCACCAGAAGTGGTGTTAGGTGGAATAACGTGATGGTATCCACCATGATGGTGGATAAGGCTTTCTGTAAGTCCAAAGGTGGTGATTTTGGCAGAGGCATTGAGGATAGGAAAGGAAAATCTATATCCAGAGCAAGTGTCTCTTTCAGTGAGAATAAAGTAAGGCCTCTTCTAAGATGGAAATGACTCAATGTAATCAACCTGCCAATATGTAGCTGACTAATTCTCCCCTGGTAAATTATGTTATATGGGAGGTTAAATGTTCACATCTGATTTGGCAATTGGGCAGTGAGAAGTTGCTCAACGTTAGTGAGTAGCTTAACCTTAGTGAGTAGAAGTAGGTGTTGCATGGCCTCATTTCTGACACAATGGCCAATTTTTTCATAAGCTTAATATAATGACAAGAATTATAGAATGATCCATCTTATCCACCTATTAAAATTCTCCTCTCTTGTGGTCACATATTTGTGAGCATTTACATGCAACATAAATATCTTTAACTTGCTGTCCACTTAGAAATATCTATCCAGGGCTGGGTGCAGTGGCTCACGCCTGTAATCCCAGCACTTTGGGAGGCTGAGACAGGCAGATCATGGGGTCAGGAGATCGAGACCATCCTAGCTAACATGATGAAACCCCGTCTCTACTAAAAATACAAAAAAATTAGCCGGGAGTGGTGGCAGGCACCTGTAGTCCCAGCTACTCGGGAGGCTGAGGCAGGAGAATGGCGTGAACCCAGGAGGTGGAGCTTGCAGTGAGCCAAGACTGCACCACTGCACTCCAGCCTGGGTGACAGAGCGAGACACCATCTCAAAAAAAAAAAAAAAAAAATATATATATATATATATATATATATATATATATACATCTCGAGATATTTCTCCCTGAGACCAGTTTTCTAACTGTGTATTTTCCAGCATTCAGTGAAACTATTAGCCCACAGTTCATACATTGGTATAAACCATACCTCTATTTCTCTCTCCAACAAAGGGACATTGGGTATATTGCTCAAAGTTCTGCTGATCAGGCAGCTTTGCCTTAATTGATGTCAACAGGGCCCCACAGAGTAGAACTATATCATTTCGACTGGTCACATTTGGATGGCACCTACTTATCAAACAGAACTTATATACTTCAAACTCTACTTATTCATTTTCAGCCAACTAGTCATAGACACTCCTAATGAAGCCATAGGTGAAGGTTGAGTAAAAGAATGTAAGTTTTGCAAGAATAGGAACCATGGGCTTTCAGGAAACTTTCTCATATAAATTATAGTGCCTGCACAACCTGCTGAAGCCCAATCTCAAACATATCATTTTCACTTGATGACAGCATGCTGCTTGCTGTCCACACACAAACGTATGGTTAGGTAGGTCAGACAATATCCAATTTATGATGAGCAGCTCAAGTTACATGATAATTTGGGAGTCATGGTCAAGCATTCAGTCTCTCCTAAAGCCTAATAGCAAACCAGAATCTAAACAAACTTCTCAAAAACAGAGTAGTTAGCCACCAGAAAAATGGTATTGCTTTTCATTACATTGATGTTATTATACTCAGTGGATCTAGTGAGCAGGAAGTAGCAACTACTCTAAACACAGTGGTAAGACTCTTGTGTGACAGAGGTTTAAAAATAAAATACACAAAAATGAAGGATACTGCTGCCTTGGAAAATTTTTTAAGAATTTGGTGGTCTGGGACATGTTAGGATATTTCTTCCAAGATTAAAAATAAATTGCTACATCTGGCCCCTCCTACCACTTAAAAAGAGGTAAAATATCAACTGGATCTTTCTGCATGTAGGCAGAAGCATATACTTCATTTGAGTATTACTTTAATACATTTTCTGAGTTATATAAAAAGCGGCAAGACTTCTGCAACAGGTCCACTGAGATCATTGAGAGGTGAATCTCAGTCAGATCATCTGACCTCAGTAAGCTTCTACCTGGACTGGTGAAACAACGTTTTGGTTCTGCAAAAATTAGTGTCGGCTCAGATTCAGTAATTAGTAATATCCTAGAAGTCTATTTCCTCTTCTCCAATGTGTGGTCACTCTTGTAAATGGCTAGAGGTCTCTTTGAGGAAGAATAAGGTCATCTCTTTAAATTTTTCGCAGAGTGGAAGGGTCCTTCCTTAAGGGAACCCACCTCTCTTCATTTAAGGAATTTAAATGAAGGAATTTAAACTTAAATTCCTTAAATTCCTTGAGTTTAAACTTAAATTCCTTGAATTTAAACTTAAATTTCTTGAATTTAAGGAATTTAAACTACAAGCTTGTTCAAGTTTAAAAATTGATTGAGGGTCCTGCCTCTTTGTTTTGGTGATTCAAGTCAACCTTTATTTACTAGATCTAGAGTTTTTGACTTATGCAAATCAAATAAGCTTCAATATGTTATGTACCTATTTCAGTTCTAGGGACACTATAATCAAGTTGCCAATAACACAAATTTTTGTGGATCAGACTATTCTGATTAATGTTCTGGCTCTGTGTCTAACACGATAACCATGCTCACTTGGTCCTTGAACATTAAATGACACTACTTGGTCCCTGCAATCCCAGGATTCTAATTGTAGTTAGAGATTTCTGTTTAACTATAGCAGTTTCCTCTTTAATAACTGGCCTACAGAGAAGAGACACTATGGAGCTCTTTAAGAATATGGGGAAGAGGAGGGAGAGACTTTCTTCAAAAATTTTTCCTACTTTCATAAGAAAGAGAGTGTACTTTAGACCCTGGAGGGTATATTTAAGGGATGAGAGGGTTGAGCAGGTCTTACATGGTAAATCCAGCACATAATTCTAGTTGCACTAAGACTTTGGATAACTTCCTCTACAGTTTACTCAGAAAAAGAAAGCATTTCAGCCTCATTTGGTGTGGGATTACTTTTGGTCCTATTTCCATCAATGATGGAACTGTACCTTCTCGTGGGTCAAACTTTGCATTTCATCTTTTAGGACCTCCTGTGACTGGAATTTTGTGATAAAGTCTAGAAGCAAGGAGATGGGGTTAGTGGTAGTTCCTAGGAAGGATAGGTAGCCCCTTGTAAGGCAAGTACCTAAAGGGCAGCCAATACAACGTCTTCAGGTAAGGGGGAACTGACTTCCTCTGCAGATTTAAGAGGGCTACTTCTAGTGGCAGAGTGATCTTGGCAGAATTTCAGGCTTCAAAGTTCTCAGCTTCAGTGGAATGTCTCCATGGGTCTCTATCCTAATTTTCACAGTCTCATTCCTTCCCAAACCTTGATGGCAACCTTAACAAAAGAAATCCTGAGAGGTTTAAGAATTAAATTTGTGTTGTAATTCAGTTATCTATATATTAATATTTAGAGTTTGCTTTTCAGAAATCTTGATAGGTACAGAATATAAGAGAAGTAACAGAAGCTTTGAGGTCTCTTATGTGGTCCTTGTGCTGGAAATTTAAATCCCTGAGTACATACTTTCTCCCTAGCTTTCTCCAGTGCCATTAGAAGTAGCGAAAGAATCTCATTATTCTCCTTATTTTCACTAACATGTTATACAGCAGCAAATAGTTGTTCACCCAAAGCTTTGTCTTCTATAGACATTTAATTAAAGTATGTAGGATTATTACTGCCTTTACATTTAATCACATGAGAAAACCAGTGCTAGATAACCCAGAACCAATTCAGATAAACTGTGGGGGATATAAAAATATTTTTTCTTGGCTTGGTGCAGTGGCTCACGCCTGTAATCCCAACACTTTGGGAGGCTGAGGCAGGTGGATCACGAGGTCAGGAGATCAAGACCATCCTGGCTAACACAGTGAAACCCTGTCTCTATTAAAAATACAAAAAATGAGCCGGGTGTGGTGGCAGGCGCCTGTAGTCCCAGCTACTTGGGAGGATGAGGCAGGAGAATGGCGTGAACCTGGGAGGCGGAGCTTGCAGTGAGCTGAGATCATGCCACTGCACTCCAGCCAGGGTGACAGAGCGAGACTCCGTCTCAAAGAAAGAAAAAAAATATATATATATATATGTGGTTTTTTTTTTCTTTTTACCCTTTTAAGTTTTTGGCTGGGGTCCCTGTCACAAATAAAGAAACAACAACAATGAAACCAGATTAACACAAGATAAAAGCATGCAGATTTATGTAATATAAGTTTTATGTGACATGGAAGCCTTAGTAAAGAAATGAAGATTCACAAAAGCAGTGAAACATGGCCATTTTCATGCTAGGTTTGATGAAGAGTAAAAAGTTGTAGAAAAACGTGACGGGGCAAAGGGTATGAGCTAATTGTGGTAAACTGGGGAAAACTTAGCAAGGGTTATTTGTTCAGATTCTTTTTGGCATTCTTCCATTTTCAGAGATAAGGATGTTCCTTTCTCCAGGTATAGGGAAGGCACTTCTGACATGAGGGTCTCATGACCTGTATAAGGGGAAGGTCAGAAAGTTTTTCCTGCACATGACATTTCTCAAATTCCTTCACTTTAAAATATTCAGTATACTAAAGTGCCATATTCTCAAGTAGCCTATCCTGAAATCCATCAAAACCATTTTTTGAAACCATACTTGATAATTGAATCAAAGAAGTAGAATGAATATACACACAAATATACATATTTTTAAGGACATTTTTACAGAGATTTGCCTTTATGCTGAGGCAGGCAGTCAGGAAGTAAAGATGGATGTAAAGTTTGGAGAGCATGTGCAAGGAAAGCCATGAGCACAAACTAGAGTCCGTAAGGCCAGAACAGAGTCTGTGTCACTTCTCACTTACACCAACCTCAATTATGTCAGTGTCCCATGGAAAAGTTAGTGCCATTTGTTACAGAGTTAGATCTACACTTGGCCCAGGAGTTGGGTCAAGCTGAAGGGGGATCAGCTGCAAGACTCTCTGCTGTCTGACACTGCTAAGGTGAGCAAAAAGAAAAGCAACAGCATGCATTAGCCCCAGCCCTGGCATTGTGAGCATGAAAAACATGGCTGCGGCTTCACTTCCACCATCTACATCTCATGCAAAATATCTTTTGAAGCTCACTATAATTAGGAGACACACACACACATACACACACACGCGCCTATGCAGGTGTGTGGAAATTCTGAGAAACAGAGTTGAGCCTAGCCAAGTGGACACACACTCAAAGTTGCCTATCCATGGCTTTCAGTCAAATGCATCATTTAAAACTATACAGAGCTTTACTACTTTGTACGATCTTAAAATACAATAACAATTTTGGCCTTCATTTTAAAATGAAGGTAGATTAAGTAGCAGTTCATTTAAGCTGATAAGTTAATGTAAAAAGAAGACCATATTAGATGTCTTAAAAGAATAACAAAAGTTCTATGAAGTTCCTAAAGAAAGATACATTGCATAATTGGCATGAGAACAAGAATTATAAAATGTTTGTTTGTTTGGGAGGGGCCATACAATTTGGGCACCTGACTATATTTTGATCAGTCAAGTTGATAGATGAGATTTTTGTAAGCTAAAGAAACTGAGTAAAATGGTATAGATTTAAAAAAGGTATGTTAATAAAAGTGAAGGATAAGTTTGTTCCGAAGATTACGTGTGTGTGTGTGTGTGCGTGTGTATTTGCATGCACATGAGCAATGGAAATTCAAATAGAAATGTATATTTAAGCAAATTCTAGGAAAACAAGGGAGAAATAGCCATAGGTGAGTCTGAATTTGAAAGAGTAGATGAGTTTCCCTCTGTACTTGGAAGATCAATTCAAATTTCAAAGTAATATATAGGTGTACTAGGTGAAAGAGAAAAAGAGGAATGAATACATTGAAAGTTAATGCATATTAGTTGGTGCCAGTTAGAAGAAATTGAGATGGGATGTTTGAGTCACTGAGAAAGTTAAATCTGTATGATTTTATAATAATTTCAGGTAGGTTGTTGAAGATAGTAAGATCACGGACGAAAAGGCTTTACAAAAGAAATATTGAAAAAATAATAAATAGCATTCACTTTTCATATACATATATTTTCATTTGTGAAAGACACTCTGCAGGCATTGGAGATACAGAAATATGTATAATGTGTAATCTCTGCTCTTATGAAGCATAACATCTATTTAGGAAGATGGACAAATAAGTACGAGGCAACAAGGCCTATGAAGAAGGTATGAAGAGAAGACTTTGGAAGAACAGAGGCACGTATCTAGTTAGACTAGGGGACCAGGGAGGGTTTCCCAGAGGAAATGACAGAATTATTCTCCAGGTAAAGATGAGGTTGTGACCAGACGAAATTTTGTGTCAAGCTTTCATGCAATTGTATCAAGCAATTTTGTGCATTCTGTGCCTAGTAACATCAAGCAATTACATCAAGCAGTTGTACATCTGGAAGAGCTGAAGCATTGTTTCTTAACAGATAGATTCTGTGAGATGAGTAAGGTAAGGCAAATGATAATCAAATTATCAAAACTTGTATATTTAACTAAATATATGGGCTTTGCTATATGTGGTTTTTTTTTTTTTTTTTTTTTTTTTTGAGACGGAGTCTCGCTCTGTTGCCCAGGCTGGAGTGCAGTGGCACGATCTCGGCTCACTGCAAGCTCCGCCTCCCGGGTTCACGCCATTCTCCTGCCTCAGCCTCCCGAGTAGCTGGTACTACAGGCGCCCACCACCACGCCCGGCTAATTTTTTGTGTGTGTTTTTAGTAGAGACGGGGTTTCACCGTGTTAGCCAGGATGGTCTCGATCGCTGACCTCGTGATCTGCCCGCCTCGGCCTCCCAAAGTGCTGGGATTACAGGCATGAGCCACCACGCCCAGCCTGCTATATGTGTTTTAAGCAGGAGAGGCACATGATGAGTTCTTTATTTTCAAAGACTACTCTATGGAGGTTCCTCAAAAAATTAAAAATAGAACTACCATATGATGCAGCAATTTCACTACTACATGTATATCTAAAGAAAATAAAATCAGTGTGTCTAAGAGATATCTGCACTCCCATGTTTATTTCAGCACTATTCACAATAGCCAAAATATGGAATCAACGTAAGTTTCTATCAGCAGATGAAGGAATGAAAAATGTGGCATATACACAATGGAATATTATTCAGCCATAAAAAAGAATGCAATTCTGTCATTTGTGGCAACATGATGAATCTGGAAGGCTTTATATTAAGTGAGATAAGCCAGATATAGAAAGAGAAATACCATATGACCTTACTCATGTGGAATCTAAACAGTTGATCTCATAGAAGCAGGGAACAGAACAGTGATTACCAGAAACTAGGGAGAATAGAGGGGAGGGGTAAAAGGAGGGAGAGTGGTCAATGGGTACAAAGTTAAAATTAGGAGAAATTAGTTATAGTGTCCTATTGCACATTAGGGTGACTATGTTTAATAATGTATTGAATATTTCAAAATGTCTAGAAGAGAGAATTTTGAATGTTGTTACTACAAAGATATTATAAATATTTGAGATAATATGCTAATTGTTCTGAATTGATCATTACATGATGTATATATATGTGTTGAAACATCACATTGTACCCCACAAATACATACATTAATGTGTCAATTGAAATAAAAATAAGGAGTACTTTCAAAGAGTGGTAAGCTTGGAAAGATGAAGACCAATTGGAAATGTATCATGTAAGTCAAGGGTCATGCTCTGAAGATCTGAATTGAGGCCAAAGTGTGAATAGAGATATAGGAATAGATTTGAAATGATGATTATGATAATGATGATGGTGCTAACGGGAGTGATGCTGATGTTGATGAGGATGTTGATGCTGTTGCAGTTGCTGCTGCTGCTGATTACAGGAAATATCTTTGAGCACTTACTATTTTACATGTACTGTGGAAAGTTTATTACATAGATTATATCAAATAATCCTTATGGAAGCCTTCTAAGGTTAAATTTATTTTTATCTTCATTTAAGAGAAGAGGAAATACATCCTTTAAAATTTGAGTATTTTGTTCAAGATGATAGAGACACTAAAAATTGTATGTGGATTTTAAGCCAGGCCATCTAAAGTCCCTCCTTTAGGGCCACTTTATGATTTTCCTTCTCAGCAAATATTTAGGAATGAAAATGGTCAAGTGGAAGGTAGGGAATGAGTTTGAATTAGAGAATAATCTAGAATTTCTCTCAACATTCTAACTTAGGTAATTAGAATAATAATATTCCCATTTATTGAGACTGAGAGTGCTAGTGGAGGTACTAGCACTAACATTATCAGTTGTTGCAATAGCAACAGTATGGTGAGATCTCGCCTGAAAATATATTTGAATTTATCTGCCTAGAGAGATAACCACACCAGGAAATTTTCTAAAGAAATACTGTAGGGTAAAGGAAAATATTCTGCAGATGTGCACAGCTGGACCAGGAATTGACCATTACTGTATTAACAGTGTATTTTGGCGTTCTTCCTGTTCTTCCTTTTTGTCAATGCCTCATATCTTTTTCATTATTCTGTTGGTCATTTCATACATTTTTAAAAACCTGAATAAATTTAACTCAACATTGATTTATGAGTAGCTGCAAAGTTAAAAACAAAATATTATCAGAATCACAGAAATATGTATCTTCAAAGAACACGTATTCTGAAGAAAATTATTTACAGTATGACAAAAATGTCTAGTCACACTACAGTTCCACCTGAAGAAAATAGATCCCTGTCCCTCTAATCTAATTTGGGTAGTAACCTCTGCTCTTGTACTGACACACTATGATAATTGTGCTGTCTCTAATTTTACATCTTTATTAGCTTTTGTGTGAAGCCACCTTGTCTGGTAATTACAAAAATTCTATTGCTTTTTTCATGGATATCACTTTTCACATTAAAACAACAATAAAAAATACTGAGAATGCCCCTTGAAAAGCTGCATTCCTTGTAATAAATCTTACCTATAAATAGTTACATTCCTTGTAATAAAACTAATTTATAAATTTTCATTATTTGTATTGTTAATATTTATAGTGATTAGGCTATAAAAGAAAAATATCAATACTTTCTCAGGTAATTTTTCCATCATCATGTTTAAAACTTAGGGAGACTGATAATTATAAAGATTAAAAACTTAAGGAGACTGACAATATAAGATTAGAAATTAAGGGAGACTGCTAATTATAAGATTGAAAACTTCCACAGTAAAAAAATATAAAACTTAGGGAGACTGCTAATTATAAAGATTTAAAACTTTCACTGGAAAAAATACAACTGTAATGCTTTACTTTAATGGTTTCTTTCATTGCACTGAGTTGTTCCTTTCTGAAAGTGTGGGTAAAAGTCTGTGCATCCCTGCAAGCTTGTTAATGGTATTCTGTCACCATAGAGTACATGAGGTGAATCCCCTGGGGGGAAAAACAGAATGTCTTATCCTAAATGGACAGCTAATGAGATACTTAAAAGCACAGCCAGTGAAATGTGTTACTGGAATAGGTCTGTACGAATTTGTTTGAGGCTTCCAGTTCATTGATTTGTTTATAGAGATCTCTTAGATTCATATCTCTTTCACTGCTATGGTCTTATATAGACTGAGGTCATAATGAAAATTTATTTGGTGAGAGTCCCCAGAGGGAGTACTAAAATTAGCAGCCTCCATTAATAATATTTGAGGGTCTTCTGCTTGATTAAAAAACACTAATTTAATTAGTGATTTATTTTCTTCTCTAATGCTGTTTGCATTGCATCCAATTCTGATTGTCAGTAATTTCCTGTGAAGAAACAAACAAAAACCACATGTTCTTAATATTGTCATTACTGTCCATTTCATTTGTAAGTAATTTAGCTGTGTGTAAACAAAGAAAGAAAATGAAGAATTAGGCAATTGAGGAGGGAATTTATTTTCAACTTAGCCAGACTAGATCACAGTATTTTTCTCAACTTTTCTCAATAATAGCATTGATTCTCTACTTTCATATCCTATAAGTAAAAAGGCAAACTAAAACTGAAGCATGTGTTTATACAACCTATGCGTTTAAGAAGATATCTGAATAAGATAGTATAGAGCAGGAAGTGATATCAACACTCCTAGAGGGGAATGAACCCAGTTCAGTATATCTTTTGAGTGGGAATCTGAGAAAAACTGAAGTGGGTAAATATGAAAATGTCACTCCCTGGTTTTCAAAGAGAAAAATTGACACTTAAAGAGATAGTACCAATATAAATTTTAACATAAGTACTACTAGAATGGAGATTTACCAGAATCATATTATAGAAAAACAAAGATGAGAGATGTTTAGCCAAACATAAGGAGTTCAAGAAAAGTCTCCTTCACACGCACACACACACACACACACACACACACACACAGAGAGAGAGAGAGAGAGAGAGAGATAATCTATATGTATCTATCTCCCTAGATATATATGTATATAAATGTAATTTATGTATATAATATATATTATATATACATTATACATTATATGCTTATAACAGTATATACATATATACAATATGTAATGTCAAATATTTATCATTTATTTGTCTTGGAAACATACCAAATCTATTCTTCCACTTAATTTGAAATATACAATAAATTGTTGTTGACTATATTTGCGCTATTTGCTACTGAACACTAGAGCTTATTCCATCTGTCTAATTGTATTTTTGTACCCACTAACCAACTGCACTTTATTCTCCCTCCCCACTACCATTTCTAGCCTCTGATAACCAGGATTCTATTAAAGATCTTCCATGAAATCAATTTTTTTTTGGCTCCCACATAAGTGAGAATGTGCGACATTTGCCTTTCGTTGCCTGGCTTATTTTGCTTAACTTGATGTTGAGTTACCTTAATCAGTATTTTTCCTCATGTTTAGTATTCACAGTAATTATTGTAAGTATTGTCCCGATGACATTAATTATTTCAACCATTTTTATTATCTTATTTCAAACTCATTACTTTTGTTAATAGCATTGCTTGCTTCATTTGGTTAAATTCTTCATAATTCTTTCACTACCTAATTTAAGTCTTGTTTATCTCCAGAACCAAGATTTTGTTTCAGAGGTGTGAATTGTATGTTATTACTGGTTTTCTAAGAGGCTGAGGAGGTGCATTGTGTGTATGCGTAGGTGTGGGGGAAAGGTCAGAGTGGGATAGAGTCAAAAGTGCTAAGTTAGAACGACTTATTCAGTAAGAAAACTAGCTATTTTTCTAATAGTTTGGGTATAGTACCTACACCGTCTGGTTGGAATATATATGATCACTTTTTTGGAATAATCTTCAGCTGTGAATTTTTTCCCTGGTTGTATGGGATACTTTCATTTCGTGAAAACATGACAATTCAAGTGTCCTCATGCCCTACTTTATCCGTATCTACAAAGCTGTCTATTTATACTCTTCTTATAACCATTTAAAGACTAGAAAAAATAATTAATGAATTTTAGCCATGATTTTTATTTATCTGTCAGAGCATAGGGTAGCATTTTCCCTAGGCTTTCCTTCATGTGTCTTTTCTAGAACAGTCAAATGATCCTGTCTTTTGTCTTCCAGTTTGCAAAATGTCATGAATTTATTTCTTAACTGTAAGTAGCTCTAGGAAAACAGGATCATTGTGCCTTTCCCATATAGTTTTCCTCCCACAAGAAAAACTGTAATGCTAACCTGTACTGGTGCTTCCTTTCACATTGAGGCATAAAGAGTATTTCTGTGTGGATTCTTAAGACAGCACGTACCTTTTAATTCAAATTAAAAGAAATTTCAAAATTTTGTGTGCATACTGGAATAAGAACTATGCCAATCTTTTTCTAGTAGTGCAGGTTATGAGAATCTTCTATCTCTCCCTAACTATATTCAATATTTTAAATTGTAGCACAATATTTTATTCCTTTTATGTCTATATGTGTGTGTGAAGGGGCAGGTGGGATGCTTTCTGGGTTTACCTATCTTTTGTTAATTTTTTTTAATTTTAGAGACAAAACATTCTATGGTTACCCAGTCGTTATTCTGCTGTTTTATTCAGAATGTTAGAAACTATTATAAATGTTTTAGCTTTTTCAATTCTAGAAATACTTCAAATCAGTTTGGAAGGAAGTAACATATAAATAATAAATGACAAAAGTATTAGTTCTAAATAGTTGGTGACCCCTGTAAATCTGTATCAATAGCAGGAGAATGTGGCTTCGGTTTTGTCAAAGAAAATATTTTGAATGAAATTTAAGTAGATTTCTAGCTTCATTTTTTCCTTTTATAATCAGTTTCACTGCCTAATCTGAAAGAGAAGAGAATTTTAGCTTGCAAGGTATTATATAGTTATTGTCGAAAGTTCCAAATTGAGTCAAATAGATGGGTTTGAACCCAGCCCTGGTTTTGTTACTAATTGAGTGATTCTGTGCATATCACTTTACCTCTCTCCCTTTGAGTTCCCTCTTATCTATATCTTTGGGTTTGCGAATTTAACTGTAGGTGAAGTGCCTAGTATAGTCTGGCATACAGAGTGCTCAATAAATAGGCGTTATTATCATTAGTTGATGTTTTAGTGTTTTTTTCAATTTTAATAGAAACAAAGTGACAATTACACTGTGGCTTTGTCATAAACATAAAAACAGATAAATCTATGTAAATGTTGTAGTTACATCTTAACACAATAAGATATGAAAAATTATTTTCTAAATTCCTAAGGAATTTTAGAATAAAATTCCTCAAAAACAAAACATATTTGTTGAAAGTTTTTTGTATGCTTGCTTAGTAGATCTGAGATATAATAGCTATGAGATCAAGCACATCTCATTTTACATCAGAGTCAATAATTCTTTAATTTTCAGTTATTTTTAAAGTTTTTTCCCTACTGATTGTAATTTGTCATCTTTCTGTTTCATTTGGCATAATAACTTCAGTTTAAAATCTCATAACAAATTTATATCCATTTTAATTTAGAAAGCTAAAACACTAACAAAATATGTCTTCTGGAGACCTATGTTTTCCATCTTTTCTGCTTTGGTAATCAACTTTCTCATAACTCTTTTGGGGAGAGAAATCTAAGATTGCTATTTAATAAATGAAGAGGTGGTACATGGATTGGTTAATGCAAATTAAATTAATGGATCCTATTGTCTATTGTGCTCTTTAAAACTCATTGACATCTATCAAAGAAAATTTTGAGAAGAAGCATGTTTTAATAGGCCAGTTTTGTGTCTAAAAAAGTTATGTTTAATGACATTACATTTTTTAGTGCATTTGTTAGTTTCCTACCAGCAGGATACTCAGAGAAAAAGCATATGTTGATTATGTGTGCGTCATGTTTTCTCCCTTATATTTATTTTTAACTTCTACATTTTAAAAATTAAGAGAAAATCTTTTTAAATCAAGAGCAAAATTAATTTAAAACTGGTTCTATAGGGAAAGCACTTAAAAATCAGAGAAATATCTATACAAAATTTTGGGGGCCTCAGGAAAAAAAGTTCCATAAATGAATCTCAGCTATTTTATTATTTCAATGTTCACAGCAATTATGTTTTGTACAATTTGTTCATTTGAACCACTTTTTTTGTTTTGTTTTGTTTTGTTTTGTTTTGTTTTGTTTTGTTTTGTTTTGTTTGAGACGGAGTCTCGCTCTGTCTCCCAGGCTGCAGTCCAGTGGCACGATCTCGGCCCACTGCAAGCTCCGCCTCCCGGGTTCATGCCATTCTCCTGCCTCAGCCTCCCCAGTAGCTGGGACTACAGGCACCCGCCACCAAGCCCGGCTAATTGTTTTGTATTTTTTAGTAGAGATGGGGTTTCTCCGTGTTAGCCAGGATGGTCTTGATCTTCTGACCTTGTGATCTGCCTGCCTCGGCCTCCCAAAGTGCTGGGATTACAGGCATGAATCACCACGCCCGGCCTGAACTATGTCTTCTAAGATAGCCATTATACACCAACAAATCTATTTTATATTCTTTTAGTATCATCCTGGTGATCAGCTAAATCAAATTCAGAAAGACAACTGCTGTGAAATTTTCATAAATTTTTTGAACTTGAATAGCTTTTTCAGTCTGGCTGTGGACATGTAGACCCTTAATCCATCATTTGAACATTAAAATCACTCTACATGTATATTTACATTTTTCTCAATTTTTCTGAAAATAATTTATTTTCATATAATTATGCAATAATAAAGGCTTTCTTCACTATCAAGTATTACTTTATTTAAGAATTTTTCTGAGGAAATTATTTCCAGGATTCTGATAAATGATTTGCTTATAAATAGAAAACTTTTATGGGTAGTTTTTCCATAAGTACTAATTTCACAAAACAAGACAATCTGTACTTGAACCTCTGAGAAATGATTCTACTGATCACATTTCAATATGCAAATATTTCACTCATGCTTATCATTCCACAAACGTGCAAATATTTCACTCATGGTTATCATTGCCTTCAAACACTAAGTTCTATTAAGGACGTCACTGTCTTTCGCCTGTTTAGCTTCTATAGCACAGTTAAGCTTCTTAAAAATCCAATTCCTATACATTAAGTGGTGTGTATGAAAAGAGAATGCAGGTCTACTTATTTACAGGGTCTTCAGACTTTTTTCATTACCTCCATCTTTGTCTTTTCTCCTACTTCCTATAACTGGAACATATTAAATGCATTCTGTGATGGAGAGACTGTGAGTAGCATTCTCACAACCATCATTCATTTACTTTACATCTTGACACCAGAGATGAAGCTCAATTCATTATCTGTGGAAATAGATAAAATCTCTCGTATTATTTATGTTCAACTAACTAAACCCAAAATGTCACCATGAGAAAATCCATTTTCAGATTGAAGAGCCATTCTCTTTGAAGGATCAGCTAATGACTACTTTTCCTATTCCTCGTCTCCTTCACAGGACAATTATGATGGGGCATGGGGAAAAACCAGTCCTCTCTAAAATGACATGTGGCATTTAAAAACAAAAATCTCTATTTTCAGTGCTTGCATAAATCTGATGATTTTCTCCTCTTGAGCAAAGAAACTGTAATGGCTTCCTGGTGTGTTTTGCAGAGCATGGGATCAACATCACACATGGAATATATTTGTGAAGAGACAGACAGAATTATGTCATACCCAGAGGGGAAAATAATCAGATATCAACCCTGCATTTGCTGCATTAATCATATTTTTGTGACTAAGAGAAATAAGAATAGAGCTGGTTATTAGACTCATGATGACCTTGTTCCCAGTCTCCAATTTTGGTGTGGCAAATATGCTCATCTGTCTGCACATTGGGTTATTGGTAAAGTAAGGATAATCATGCATAATACTTCCTTATTGGCTCAGAGCTTTAGAAAGTGATTTCACATTTTCCTGTGTTACTTGAAAAATTGTGTACTATTCAGGTGCTAATGGCTCTCCTTGGCAAAGAAAACTAAGACATACTCTCTTATAATTTCAAGAGAATTTTAAGTGTATAATTACATTAATATCGAAAGTAAATTGCATCTCATTTTTACATCATAGGAATTAGGATTATTAGCATTAAGTAAAATTCAAAACGTAGGAATTAAGGATATTATTACTGGGGAAAAATAACAGCATGAAATTTTAAAGGAAGGATTTGGTTTTAGGTAAGATAATGTTACTTCGTACCTGGTAAAAGATAATTCAGTAAATATTTTTGAATATAAATTAGCTTCTAATTGAAAATGGTAGTGATTTTAAGTGTTGAAGTTTACTAGAAGCCTTTGGGAGAAATTTGATGTATTGAAGAAGTTAAAATGTATACAATTTTACAACCTATAAGATGTATTGCTAATATGATAAAAGTCTATGTGACTATTTTGAACCTTAAAATATTTATATAAGAATGGTAATAAGTGAAAAGAAAAGAATTATTTCTGGAGATTAAACTGAACACTTTAAGCTGTAGAACTGTGTTTTGTGTTTTCTATGTATCAGTCTTCAGTATTGTGCAGGCAACTCAATTTTAATGTATAAAATAGTCTGGGTGATGATACTCATGCACAACAACCTATCAGTTGGATTAGAGTTAAAAGCACTGCACTAATGTTATTAATTTATATTTGTTCATTTAGAATCATGTAAATATGCTCACAGCTTTTCTGATAAAACTCTAGTTAAAAAGCCATAGATGGAGAGGAAGACAAGGCTTCCAATTGGAGAATGTCAATATTCTAAATATCTCATTGCCAACAATTTTACGTGTCTGTCTATGTCAACTTAGAGAGAATAGAATAGAACCTAGATTTCAAGTAAGGTAAGGTAGAACTGACAGCCATTTCTCCTTTTTTTGTTGCCAGAACATTAGTCCTGCTTAGGATACCCATATACTAAAGATTATATTTCAAAATTTATATACCAGAGACATAATTTTGCTCAGCTAAACCTATGATGGCAATTTCAGTCATTATGCCAATGACTGAAAGATGAGGAAAAATCTACAGGGGGATTTTGGAAAAGACTACATTATTCTCACTGATAACAAGTAAAAGATGAGGAAAAACAAAAAGTCTTCTCTTTGTTGGATTTTTTTTTTACACTTGAAATTTTGGCAGTCATTTTGGGAACATAAGTAGAGTGAGCATAAGATAATTAGCCAACACACATGTAGGCAGAGAAAATCATAGAAAGAACGTGAGTCATTGTGATGTAATTTGTACACTAAATTAATGCCTCTGATCATTTTATAAGCAATGTTAAATTTATATATTGTCTAGTCATTTTGTTTGGCTCTTCTCTTGTGTAAGGGATGATACTTGTTATTTAAGGCATGGAAGTGCCTATTTTATAAAATATTATTTCTATCTGAGATGAATTTCAGAGCATTGAGCATGTGTTAGTGGCCCAGGTACTGGTATGACTGGGTTCATCTAAATTTGTGGGATGACTTTTAGCCAACATTGTCGAAATTTAAAGCAAAAGAGGACCTCTGATAACTTTACCCCCATTTTATTTTCCCGTCAACATTTTACAAACAATACGCTGAACTCCAGAAATATTAATTAGCTTACTAAAGGCAGCCTAGATCTCTGTATTTACGAAAGCTTTATTTAGAGCTGTATTTAAAACATGTGTCTTTATTCCTAGTTCAATTTTCTTTCCATTATACTATGCTTTTCCTAAAGCCTAGAAACTAAGTCAATATCTGATTTTAATTATCACCTGAAAAGTGTTGTTATGTAGTTGACCCATCTTTATAAAACCTGTGGTGTTTATGAGCTTTCCAGATTAACTGATGAACTGGGCTTAACTATTGGGGCGGGGGGGGGCGGGGGGGGGGGGGGTTGGTGAGTCACTGTCCATGGTGCTATAATAGTGGAGGCGGGGGGCGCTTTCCAGTTACTGTTTGACCCTTACTTTTTGATAGTAGTCATAGGTGCATGATATCATCCAAATGTAAAATTTATCCTCTGATTATTGCCCATTTAAAAAGTAAGAAACATACTGTTGTCTTGGAAATTAAGAATCTCAAATTTCCCTTATATCCTCATTAATCTGGCTTTAGTTTAGATGAATATGTTCTTTTTCTTCTTCTTCCTCTTCTTCTTCTTCTTCTTCTTCTTCTTCTTCTTCTTCTTCTTCTTCTTCTTCTTTTCTTTTCTTTTTTTTGGAGGGGGTGGGGAACAGGGTCTCAATCTGTCATCCAGGTTGTAGTGCAGTGGTGCAATCTTGACTCACTGCAACCTCTGCCTTCCAGGTTCAAGTGATTCTCCCTTCTCCCATCTCAGCCTCTTGAGTAAGTGTGTTCTTAATATATTAGATACTGCACGGTCTGCAGTAAAGGAGTTTTAAAATATAACAGGATAGTATAGCAATGAAACAGTTGACTTTTCTTAGAAGACCACAGCACTGGGTTAGAACTGGTAAAGTCATTGTTTTTCTTTTTTTTTCAGATAAATATTGCCATCTCATAGTGCCATATCATAGCATTATCCAGAATAAGTTATAATGCAGACACTTTTCTCTGAGGACGGAGAATCTCAGCACAGTTGGCTGATTAGTGGGTCATCAAAGAGAACAAGAAATTCCATACAAGTGCTTTCTCTAAATGGTCTGCAATCAGGCAACAGAGATTTCACCTATAAAAATATTGACTGGTTTATATTTCCACTCGCATCTATGAAAGTTGCTCATGTGGGACTCTCACTCACTTGTGTGAATAAAGCCTTTCATAGGCCTCGGTATTTCCAGAAGAATAGGTCAAGACATGGTTTGAGCATTCACAATAAAACCACCCATCAGGCCGGGCGCGGTGGCTCACGCCTGTAATCCCAGCACTTTGGGAGGCTGAGGCGGGTGGATCGTGAGGTCAGGAGTTTGAGACCAGCACAGCCAAGATGGTGAAGCCCTGTCTCTACTAAAAATACAAAAATCAGCCGGGTGTGGTGGCAGGCGCCTGTAATCCCAGCTGCTCGGGAGGCTGAGGCAGAGACTCGCTTGAACCCGGGAGGCAGAGGTTGCAGTGAGCCAAGATCGCACCACTGCACACCAGCCTGGGCGAAAGAACGAGGCTCCTTCTCAAAAAAAAAAAAACAAAACCAACCACCCGTCTCGTGTCTTTCCCATCTCAATCAGCTGGAATCCAAAGAGCACTGTGTATTTGGAGTACGACCACCTCTCTTTTGACTTTCTCACCTTAGAGTCAAGTGATCGGCCTCATAACTTGTTCAAGTTCATGACAAATGTTTCTTCTCTTTTTCTTTCCTTCCCTCAATGCTTCCCACTTACCACCTTAATCTGCCTTCAAGCCATTATTTCTTATTTCATCATATTATTATTTCTTGTTTTTGTTAATCAGTTTCAAAAGCTCAATCTTCCAGTCCATACATCATTTCCTTGCTCCAAATCAGGAATCTGTTCATTCCTTTATCTCCCATCCATCACTAACGTCTGATAAGCTCCAACAGTTTCCTTGTGTTGGATATTACCAAAATCCTCCCTATCGGACACTTCTTATTGAGTTTTTATTTTAACTTCCTGTTTTAACTGGTATATGGCTGTCTTCCACAGCTTCCCCTGCAGCCATCCCAGTGGTATTTATCCTGTCTCATACACTCATCATAGGCCAGGGCATTCAAGTGAGGTAGTTGTTTTCCTTAATCCTCATTACCACATCCAAAATATTCTCCCTCCTTCCAACTTAGAAACCCAAACTGTGGATCTCATATATGCATACTGTAATACTCCTCATATGTGCATACTGTAATACTCCTCATATGTACATACTGTAATACTCCTCATATGTACATACTGTAATACTCCTTACTGCTGTCATTTACTTACCACACATTTACTTACATCATTTCTCTTCATTTCCTGAACATTTTGACTCCTGGATAACTTTTGTTCTTTTGCCCGCTAATCCTTTAAAATGTGGCCTCTCCTGTCTCTGATATCTTATTCTCCAGTGATCCTGTCCTCCACCTTGCCACATCATGGTGGCATTTTCTATATTTTGCCCTTAACACTAACTCCACCTCTCCACGATATCAATCGCATGCCACCAGGAATCCAAGTGCCTTGTCTTATCTTTGTAGCCCACTCACAGTTTCTTACCACTGATGATCTCACAAATATACTGAAATCTACAATTCACTGATTCTATCACTTTTTAACCATTTGTCACATCCCTTCATGTTCACATTTTTCTCTATTCAAATTACTCAGCCAATCATCATATACTCCCCCTTGCATATACCCTTAACTCATTTTGCCTACTCAAACTTTGTCCTCTTTACTTGGGACAGTCACAACCTTGGTTGCCCTTACTTGCATGTGCACTAATGAAGCTAAAATTAGATGTAGAAGCTGCAAAGTGATCATACTGTATTTTATTTGCCCGTTTACTTTCTCATCTTTAGAACAAGGGTTAACAAGGTATGTCCCATAGGCCAAATTCAGCCCGCTGCTTGCTTTTCAAAGTAAAGTTTTGTTAGAACACAATTATGTTCATTCATTTACATATTGTCTATTGCTACTTTCATGTTATAATGACAGAGTTGAGTAGTTGCACAGAGATCATATGGCTCCCAAAGTTTAACATATTTACTCTCTGGTCCTTTATAAAATAAGTTTTCTGATTGTTGTTCTAGATGACTATGCCGTTACCTTTCACCCATCCTCTTACATCTAACATGTTCTCCCCCGTCCTCACTTTTGGTTGGTGAGATTGCTTCCCACTGCAAGAAAACTGGAACAGTATATAGATACGCCTTAATGCTCACATCATATATGTAGGTAGGTAGTATGTGTGCTACCTACCTACATAAGTAAACCTAAGCTGAAAAATGTTGCCTTCTCCCTTGATACTATAGGCATTATTATATACATGCATTAGATTTTTCACATGAGAATCAGCTCTTATAACTTCTCATCTACTAAAGGACATCAATTTAACAATTCACTTCTCTCTCTTGAATCATCAATTTCCTGATTTCTCTTTTTGTTATATTGTTATCATGAAGATACAGACATGCTTTTATATCTTCTCTTTTTAAGTAAAATCTTCTCCTGATAACATCTCCCTCTCTAGCTTCTTCAGTAAAACCCAAAAGTATTTTCTACACTTACTGTTCTCAATTTATTTCCTGTCATTCTCCTTCTAATGCATTCTCATCAGTCTACAAACGACATACACATCGCAAAATCCAGTGACTGGTTCTCAGTTTTCATTTTCTTTTACCTATTAGTAACATTTTCATTAAACAATTACTTACTAAGTACTTATGTATGTGGGCACTGTTTAAAACATTAGCCAAAAATGAAAAAAGTCAGGTAGAAATCTTTGCCTTTAAAAGGTATGTATTTCACTAATTAATCATATTTAATCATGCATTCTTCCTTTCTCCCCTCCAGCCTAACCCTCCACTTTTTCTCAGTCTGCTTTCTAGTTCTTTCTATTCTCCATGACCATTTAATGTTGCAGTATTCCAAGGATATGCAATTGGATATTTTTATTTTCTACCTGCAGATACTAACTCTATGACCTCGTTCATTCCTGTGGCTTTGAATTTATACTTTTTGAAACTTTAAATGTGTATCTCTAGCCTGTATTTCTGTCCTGGACTACAGATTTATATATAATATATGCATATATGATTTATATATATATTGTCTATTTAACTTGGATGACTAATAATCATCACATACATAACATGTTTTCAGATGAACTAATGATCTTCTCCTCCAACCCTTCTGTATCTCAGTTGATGACAACCCCATCCCCAGTGACCAGCGTCCTGCAAGCAACCATCTCTTACTTGACTTGTCACTATAAACCCTTAACAGGTCTTCCTGATGTATTTTTGTCCTCCACCATCTATTTTCAACACAACAGCCAACTTGATACCTGTAAAATGTACACCAGACCATGTCACTCTTCTCCTCCAACCCCACTAGGGGATATCATCTCATTCTTAAACAGTAATGTCCTTACAAAAGCCTATGAGGCACTATATGATCGGGTCCTCCCTAGCCTCTTTCACCTTCTGCTTATCTCTTCCTCTTCCACTTGTTACAGTAGTTGCTTCCTTGATGTTCCTGAAAGAGACCCAACATGCTCTCATTTGCAGTTTTAGCTCTAATTGTTCCCCCTCCCTAAAAAGCTCTTTTCCCCATATATCCACTGGACTTACCTCCCTCCAGTGTAGGTATAAGTGGCACTTTCTCAGAATAGATGGCAAAAAAAAAAAAAGAGCAAATAAAATTGGTTAAAATACTGACAGCATGATATTACTTGCTCATATGATAAAAGGCTCAAGGAACCATATTCATAACTTCCTTAACTATTTTCATGTTTTTATAATATATGCACAAGAAGCTTTTATGACCCCAATAGCACAAAATAGCTCTCTTTGTAATTATATATGTAACGGAGGCATTAAATTTTGGTATAGTTTTTCATTTAAACAGCTTAATACAAGGACTAATAATATATTTCTCACATTCAAGATAAAAAAAATGACCAGATAAATTTTCTGAGACCAACTAACTTGAGAGTAATAAAGCTAGAAAAATACAGGTTTTTAATTAATACATTGTTCAAACATCTACAAAGCATAATATTAATTTAAGAACATTTATAAAAGTAATAGTTGAGCATTCCTTTACTTTTTGCTTTTTGTTCAAGAGCTTTCTATAGCTTTTCAAAGATAATGTACCTTATTTTTCTTTCCCTTAAATTATTTTCAAGATAAAAGAATCTTTATCCAGCCATATGAAAAATGCAGTACATCATTATTTTCCACTAAAAAGTAAGATTTTTATCATCCAGATCATAAAAATCTGTAGAATTTAAGCCAGCATTCTCGAGTCCCAAAGACTTTTTTATTTCACCCTGATCCTGGACCCTAAATTAGTTTCTGCTATGGCTCTATTCCTTTAGGATTTGAACAAAGCAATTACATAAAAGAGAGTAGACTACAAGAATCTCCAATAATCTTAGAAGAGAAATTAAGTAAACCATGAAAATCATGTCTGTCTATGACCCCAGTGGATCTAAGAAAATATTCATGGTCACATGGGAACTTTTGAGTATTTCTGTATATCATGAACAAAGTGACAGCAGCCCAGCCAGTTTAGAAACTTCAAATGCCTTGAATCAATGGATTTTATTAAAAAATGACAAGTTTGCACTGTGATAATTCAACCTGCCTATTAAAATTACTTACATTAGCCCATGATTGCATACTCTGTTTGCCCACAAATATAAATAGTTATTTGAAACACTGTAATTTACTAACCCTGAAATGAACATTTAAAAGAATAAAGAAAAAGAAATCAAAATTAAAAAGGGAGAGTGAAAGAGAATTTTAAAATTTAGAGAAGATCTGTTATCAGGACACTAGGGCAGGTACCGCAATAAGAGAGGTGGTGGGGGGGATTTTTATAGGAATTAATTACTGAGAAGCATATGCATAGATGAAAACAATACTTGTTTTCCTAAATTCCATCATCATTGACTGTGAGAGAGAGTTACCAGTAGTTTTTTCCCCATATCTGCCTACTCTTATACATCGTTTTTTGAATAAGCAGTTATGTGCAAAACAAATGGTCTTCTGACCATGAGCCTGCTAACTTGGGTATAATTGTTCTGCCGCAATTTGTTTTTACACTTCATTCTACATTATCCTTTTGCTGCTGCCTTTTAACCTTCCTGCCTCTGTTTGCTAAGGTGGTTGATGACTAAAATGTCTAGCCCTGAGGAGACAATCCTGAAATAAAATAAAGCATGATATACTCAATGCCTGCAAGTAAATCCAATTCCTAATATTTGAGCTGTTTCAGTCTAAGTGTAATAAAAATAGCAGTTGGTCTTAAAAAAGCAAAACAAACAAACAAACAAAACCTTCATTAACCTTGCCAAAAAAGAAAAATGACTTCATTATTCTGATAGAATTCTGAGATACTCCCCCAAAAAATCTCCTAAGACACTGTCTATTTGTACCATAGCAAAGTGACCTCTTTGATCTAAGATAATTAACTCCTCAGTTGAAGTTTCAATTATTTTTTCTGACATCTGCTAACATTGATGGTATTCCCAGAATCTGTCAGCATTACAACAGTGTGCATTAGTATAGGAAAACTTTTAAATGAAAAATCTATATTACATTTTAGTAAACACTTTACTAGCACTTAGGCCCAATTATAAAATATCCTATTGCTTTCTTTTCCTTTTCTTCTCCTTTTTTTCTTTATTTTATTTTTATTTCTTGCATTACTATAAGAAAAAGCTGAAATCACTTAGGCCTTTAAATACAAGAGTGTTTAAGTATTACTATTGTCAAGAAAAGTTATACAACTGAAGGGTGCATTGGAAAGGTATGAAATACAAAACTCAGGAAACCAAGTTTCCATCAAGGGGTTCGTAATTTCTGTAGTCAAGTGCATTCTAGGTAGCTGTACTTGAATTTTCCATTCTTTGTAAAGCATGTTTTCGCCATTTCCATCATCTGTCTTCCCTTGCTGCCACATATATTCTCCATGAAATATTCTACTTCCTCCATACTCTGGGTTACTAGACTCAGAACTCTACCTTTTGTAGTAGCATGGTTAGCTCCCTAAATTCAAATTTTATATTCGCTTTTGCTATACGAGGAAAAAAATCTATGGAGGCAAATTTTATTTTAAAATTTTATGCAGAAAAACAAAACTTCTGTGCAAGTTTTCAAGATCTTAATCACCCCTAAATCTCTCCCCTACTTCCCACGACTATAACATGGCACATTATGTAATGAACACATAAAATCTTTAAATTGGAAAACAGAGTGGGGTTTTTGATATTTATTAGCGTCTTTTCTTCCCTTACTTCGTCATTGTCTATGCATCCTGCTATCTCCAGTCTTTCTAGCTTTTTGGACTGTCAAAACATTTGAAATCCACATGTGAGTGATTATCATTCAGTTTACCCATGACAAGTTTGTGTCTGTTCCACTGAGCTCACTAAGCTTAGTGTTTTGCTCTCCTCGGGAACCTCAGCCCGTCACATGACTTCCATGTTTTATGTTTCCCAAGGTAGAGACATGGGTACCGCCTCTTTCTGGACATGGCTCACATGAAGGTTAATGGCTTCCAGCAGCAACTGACATACTAATAGTTGATCACTGTCTCTTTTTTGGAACACTGACTTCTCTAATTTACAAGACACAACATTTTCCTGGTTTTCTTATTTCTCTGACTTCCTTTTCAGTTTCCTTTTTGCTGATTCCTGTTTCTGATTTTACCTTCTTATCTAAACATGGAATGTGTCTGGCCGTACTTTAGATTTTTCTCTTTTTATACATGTCATAATGTGTCTATGTACATGATATATCTTCGTTCTATATATGTTCTACATATATCATCTCTCTATAGAGATCTCCTTTATATATAGTAATATATCAGTTATTAAAATACTGTTGAGAAAAGAAATATTTAATTATATTCAAAAGATTCATGGCATATTAATTATAAAAACATGGAATATAATTTGTGATCAATTAGCATGATATTAAATGGAGATATGCTCTGTATTTTTTTTTACAATCGAGAGATGTGATAACTATTTTTCCTATATAAACTGTTAATTTGATTACTATGTATGTAGTAAATATAATATAGGTGGCATAAACATATATTATAATTCATACAGGTGTGAACCATCTTGCTGCCTAAACAATGTTTGTTTGTTTATGTGATAGTGTCAATGCATAAAACAATTCTTAAGATGTGTACACATCTGGCCGGGCACGGTGGCTCACGCCTGTAATCCCAGCACTTTGGGAGGCCGAGGCCGGCGGATCACGAGGTCAGCAGATCGAGACCATCCTGGCTAACGCGGTGAAACCGTCTCTACTAAAAAAAATACAAAAATTAGCCGGGCGTGGTGGCGGGCGCCTGCAGTCCCAGCTACTCAGGAGTCTGAGGCAGGAGAATGGCGTAAACCGGGGAGGCGGAGCTTGCAGTGAGCCGAGATCTTGCCACTGCAGTCCAGCCCGGGCGAGAGCGAGACTCCGTCTCTAAAAAAAAAAAAAAAAAAGATATGTACACATCGGCCGGGCGCTGTGGCTCACGCCTGTAATCCCAGCACTTTGGGAGGCCGAGGCGGGCGGATCACGAGGTCAGGAGAAAGAGACCATCTTGGCTAACACGGTGAAACCCCGTCTCTACTAAAAATACAAAACATTAGCCGGGCGCGGTGGCGGGCGCCTGTAATCCCAGCTACTCAGGAGACTGAGGCAGGAGAATGGCGTGAACCTGGGAGGTGGAGCTTGCAGTGAGTCGAGATGTCGCCACTGCAGTCCGGCCTGGGCGAAAGAGCGAGACACCGTCTCAAAAAAAAAAAAAAAAAATATGTACACATCATTTGCTCCATTATTATTTAGTTTGTTTTTAGATACAGAATTTGCTAGGTTCAATGGATATTACTGTGACATTTATGAGGAAATAACAATGAATTAAAGTTTTTTACTATATGTATGATGTGCTAATTACATTTGGTGGTTCAAATGACCAAAATTACCAACTTGGAATTACTGTGTTGCATTAGATTTTCTAAAGAATTGTAATTGGAACCATAAATCGAAATCAGCCTACGTAACTTATTGCTGGAAGTGGTGGATTTTCTAAAGAATTGTATTTGGGTTTTCTAAGGAATTTTCTAAAGAATTGTAATTGGAACCATAAATCGGAATCAGCCTAAATAACTTATTGCTGAAAGTAGTGTATCAATTTTCTTTTGACACTGTAATGCTGCAGAACAAAACAGCTGATAGCTCAATGGCTTTAAACAATGGCCATTTATTAACACACGAGCCCTCAGTTCAGTGACTTAAACTGGGCTAGATCGTTTTGGCTGGACTCACTCACAGGGCTGAGAATCTATCAGCCAGCTGTAGGCTGATGCGGACTGGCTGTGGAAAGACTGAGGCAACTAGTTCTGCCCACATGTCTTTAATTGTTTCTGCTCCACTTGTCTTTAATTGGCTAGCCTTAGTCTATTCTCATGTCAATGACAGATACAAGGGCACAAATGAAAGCTTGAAAATATTTTTTAAGCCTCTGCTTTTGAACAGACACTCCACTGACCAAAGCAAGTCACCGAGCCAGATCCAGAGTTAGAGTGGGAGGATACCACAAGGTTTTAGGTCAAAGAGCACGAATACAGGGAGAGGAATAGATAAAGGACAATAAAGAAATCAATGTACCACATATGCTATAAACACATTGAATGTTACCATAAGGGGTCATTATCTTCTGTGGAATATTTTAACCTACACATACATTGTCTCTGCCCCTCAAACCTTCTCATTCAAGGTGCCTATATATTCAAAAATCCAGAGACTTGTAACCTGCATACTCTGGGTTACTAGACTCAGAACTCCACATTTTGTAGAAGCTCTGGATTAAAAAGAAGTGATTGAAGTGTATAACCTGATTGAGAATGATTAGGCTAAACTAATGCCAGAAGCTATGGCATGGCAATTTGATTGGCTTAAGCAGAGTATTATTCTATTTTAGGAATTGTAAATATACCAGCTTCAGGCCATCACAAAAACTCTAGGAGAAGAAAGCTATAAATACAAAGGAAACTTCCTTAGATGTTATGATTTGCCCCATTGTTCTTGCTTTTCAGTATATAAAAATCGAGCACAGAAATATGTCTAGCTTCAATAAAAAACTCTTCTTAGATTCCCTGTCTTATGTTTTCACTTGGTCTTTCTACCTACTTCATTTTCTAATCAAGTTTTTCCACTTTATCTAGATTTCCCAAAGGATCTATCTTCATCCTGTGACTCGCTCTGATTCAATGGACTATTCTAATAATAACTTAGCAATAAACTGCGACTAAATCCTGTGTCAAAAATCATTTTAGCCTTCACTCTTTTCATAACAATTAATAATATGAGAGAATTATTTCCCACTTCCTTTGTAGAACATGTTATTTTATGATAAATATCTTGATATACCATAAATCAGGTTAAAATAGAGAAAGAAGAAGAATGTAAGTGAAAATTGACTCATGACTAGACACAATACATACCAGGACTCTAAGTTTCAGTCAGACAGAAATACACACAACCTTGTTCTTTTGTTTTGTCTATTTTTTAATGTCCTTCATTGGTTGACTTTTAAAATAATTCCTCATCAAAAAATCTTCACTCTTGTGAAAAAATAAAGTTATGTTTGATGATCAAGAATATTATGGGGTTAAAAATTAGCATTTAATACCTTATTGAAGGAAGCAATTTAAATGCATGGTCTACTTCTTCATGATTTCAACCTGGGTTTCAGAAAGTTGGGCCAGAGAAACCCTCTGAAATGCTTGAGGAATGTTTCCTGGCTATGTCTTGCATCACCTTTTCTGACTTTGTAGCCAAGTCTTATAGCTTCAAGAGTTGGATGTTGATTGTCAATGTGTTACTAATAAAAAGTTAAGCTCTCAGATTTTTAAACCAGACGGATTTGCAAAAACTATTGCAATTTCTTAGTTTTCTTTCTGTATCAGCTATTCATCTCACACTCCTAAGAAGCAATACATGACTTCATTCATTATGATCTATGCTTCAGTCTGAACAATTCGGGAATATTCATCAGGATTTGCCATTAATCAGTTAAAGATGTTCGTAAACAAAGCCAATGAATAATTCATATAAAACCCAGTACATGTGCTCTAATGATGAATAATCATGAACTGATCTGGAATTTGTTAATGACTTATGAATATTTATCTCTAGATTGTACTCCTGTGCAATTCACAATTCCACAAAATCTTTCCTTTTACATTTCATCCTGTACTTTTGCTGAAGATGCCTTTGGGACCATTAAATAGTCTTCCTAGAGGGCTTTAATATGACAAAAATTGTGAATATGATGTCATCTGAAGACCTTACTAAACACACCAAAAACTGCTCCTTTTTCCATAATCTTGATCTAGCAGATTTTTCTTAGATAATATTGCGTTTCACCATATGATGTTTGTGTATATGACAGAAAGATGGCCATGCGGAGCCCACTTAACTAGTCAGATGTGAAAATGTAAAAAAATTAAATGACCTGAAAGCTGAATGCCGGAAATAACGTTTTCCTTAAGCAGCTACTAATCTTATGCCAGGTGCAGGCTGTGACACCCTTCAATGAATGTCTTCTTAGTGTGCCCTCTGGCCACTCAAAAGTTGGAAATTTCACAGCAACTTTGGGCTGAGTATTTATATGAGATGAGACACTTCAGGCTAGGATTGTCATCAGCTGGCCCTTCACAGGATGAGAATTAACAAGCAACATTTTTGGAACTCTTCAAGTGTTCTGAGTGCTTGGCAATCATTTACCAGTTAATCCTCCTTTGAGGGAGGTCAGTCCTCTGCTTGAATTTTCACATGAAGTATTTCACACAGATGTGAAGTGATCTCTAAAGGCCACAGTGCAGCAAATCTGGGGTAATAAAAATAATCAGAGACAGACTTGGACAAAATTGGAGAGTAGGAAATTGATAGTTTGGGTTGCCCAGTTGGAGCTCTTTCTGAATGCTTCTCATAATGAAAGCAAGTTATCATTTGCTATGTATCAGGAACTGTTCTAAACACTTACAAGCAGGAGTTAATTTAATCTTCGCCACAGTCATACAAGGTGGGTAGTATCATTATCTCTATCACGCAGATGAGGAACTGAGGCACAACGTGGTCAAAACAATCGTCCAGCACACAGATAGTAAGTGACTGAGCTGGGATTCAAATCTATGCATTGGGGCTCCAGGCTGGGCTTGCAACTTCTTCCCTGAGATGCCTCTGCTGCCCCATTCTTATCTTGCCAATCACAAGCATCCTACCTTAGCTTGTCCACCCCAGCAATTACCTGGATTATACATTTCTGTCAAGTCTTTGCAAAAAATAATTGTTTTATGTCCAGTCACCCTCTGTCTTTTCTCTGGTAGGGAACTACTAAATTATCTCTACAGTGGGCCTGTATTTGATCGCTGAAGTGTTTTGAAAGAAAGAAACATTCAAAAGTTCTTTTAAAATATCATTGAAGTAAATACATACTGTGTTCCTTTTACAGGACCACCTCTGCAGGAAAATGTGGTGAAATTTTATATCCTTTTTTTTCTTTTTTCAGAAGATCTTAAAAGTTACCGGGTCACTTAGTGGGATGCTCGTGCGGTTAAGCCAGGGAGGGGTTCAAAACTAACTGGTGTGCACACAGCAATGATTAGTGAGAGATTGAACCAGTAAAGTAGAATGCATCTTTGCCCAGACGTTTTATCTACTCTGCCAGAATATATTCATAAGCATAAATGGTTTTTCGGGTGTGTTCAGACAAATTACTTTGAGACTGTAAATTCCATTGATGTCACACAGTGGGTGGTTAAATTCCTCAGTTTATAAGGAAAGTTAATAGTTTCTATGAGATCAGCCTCTATTTATAAGTATTTCATTTAGGGGGAGAAAGGGGAGTCCGTGAACTACTTTGCTTTCTTTAAAGTTCAGGACTGTTTTCACACACTTTTAAGTGTTTATCTTTAGACTAAGCTTTTAGGTGTATATGTATATTTTTAAGTCACTTCTTCATGAACCCCTCCCCATTGCATCCAAGGATATTTATATTTGAATTACCGATCACTAATTACAAATATTAATGGTAAAATTAGATTCATGTCTGATTGCTTAAATAAAAGGGGCTGCGAAAAGGCAATGGTAAAGACAATGATTCAACAAAGAAAGAAATTTTGAAGTCTGTGTAAGAGGCTGAATTGAAAAAGGCATGCCTTAGGGTCAGTTTGAAAATTTCAAAAAATCCTGACGTTTGCAGCACCTCTTCCATTTATAGAACAGGTTTAACACTTTCTCCATAAGAGATGGCCAGTTGCTTTTCTAAATGTCTATAAAGTGTTATGACATTTATTTTGTTCCTCATGATATGTATTTATATCTAAATACAATTAAGCAGCATGAAAATATATCTTTATTAGAATTAATACCAATTTTCAATGGAATAATTTTATATTCAGAATTTTTCAAAACTTTTATCTCTCTCAATTTGCTAATACTTTGTACAGGTTTTATACATGATTAATATAAATTATTCATTTGTAAATGTATTATTGTCATCAAGAGATTTTCTCATTTAATATTTCATATTATAAAAATCATAATTGCCACTTTTTATAAAAGTGATATATGTATTTAAAATAAATGCCATTCATGTATTAGTTCATTTATACTTTTATGCCTGCCTTAGGTAGTTACCTTCATTATCCCTATTTTCATAAGGAAGAAAAGATTGAAACATAGAGGTTTCTTGAGTTATGCAGAGTCCCCACAGTTAGTAAGTGGCCAAATTGGGGGCTAAACGTAAGCCTTTTAAATACAAAGTATTGCTTAAGAGCAATACTCCATTTTGTTTTAAAATATCTAATAATATTCCATTTTGTTTCAAAATATCTAATAATATCTCAAAGCTGGTAATAAAATGCCCTTTCTATGCCGTCATTAATTACTACTTCCTTTATACACTCCATCGTCCTCTTTTAAAAAATACATATTTCCAAATTTCTAACTAATATAGTTTATAGAGCTATTTGTTTATTTTTCAATGTTAGACATTACTTATTGACTTACATTACAGAAGAAAAGTATTGCTCACAGAGTTCTCCCCTTTGGCACTTCTCCTACTGTCATCCTCCTGAAATACTAACATCCCACTTTCTAGTTAGGTCAAATTTCAGAATTCACATTTTATGGTTTTGCAAATACTACTGTTAGTTGTGCCATTGACCGAACTTTCTCACGGTTTTTTATTGAAGACACTTACAGTTTATTGGATACATTATTTTGTTTGTTTATCCTGGGGTTACCCATTCTCTTCAGTTGCTTTTCTTCCTATGTACCTGTCATTAACTCAGCACACAAACTCACTGACAGAATTGTAAAATTATCCTCAATACCTCTCTGTTTCTCTGTTCTCATGGGAACTTTTTATTCAAAAAGTCTATTACACATCTGGCTTTGGAAAATTACCATTTTCTTCATTATCTTGGGAATTTTCTTTCCCTCTCCTCTCTGTTGAATCCCATTTATCTTCATCTAGTATCTTCCTTTCTGGTATTTACTCTCCAGTTTTGGTGGAGTATATTCTCTAAGAGATCAAGAGTTAAGAGTTTAAAGACCTGTACTTATAAGCATGACTTTATTTCACATTGAGTATATTGAATTGTAGTAGGCTGGGTTTATTTTACCAGCTTTTAACTTTGGACTTTTTAGGCAAAGTAATTCAGATAGATTATTTGCATAAATTAAAAAAATTTAAATTCTTCCTTTTCATCTGTATAACACTCTTTTTTGGAGGAGGCAGTAGATGTTCAAAATGAAAAACTAAATAATAATATTGACAGTAGCTTTCTAATATTAATGTGAATGAATTCAGTATCCTGTTAGCCCTTAGTTTAATATTTTTTTTTATTTTCCAAGTAATTTTAACTTAAGAACAGTTTAATTGAATTCTCTAGAGATATCTGTTAATGTAATTGTGAACATTTTGTTTCCTAGTGGCCCAGGATGTGTGGAGTGATTTTATAATATAAAGTATTCTTTAAGAGAAAAATCTAAGTTCATCTTGGTGTTTGATTTCAGTTCCCTGGGCATTTATTTAGGATTTTAACATCTGTCTTTATCTTTTTGTTCCTATACAATGTTTTTGAGTCTTTTATAAATATATGTATATGGCTAAACTTTTACTACTGATTTAATCTATGCTTTGTGCATATGAGCCTATATGAGAAAACATTAATGCTATTCAATCTAAGTGAGCAATAATAGATGCTGACTTAGCAAATTAGTTATGTCCTCCTTTTTTTTTTTTTTTGCCTTCTCCCTCCATGAGGCATTGACTTTATAGCTTCCAAAAAGTGAAGAATAAGACAAAAGTAGATTTTTTAAAAAACCTAAAGTAGTTGAGTTCCTTTAGATAAGAAGTTCTAGATTACGTATCAATATATGTCTACCAGTGATGGGATAAAATTAATTGGCCAATTGAGCTAATACTAATAGTTTTATGCTGTGTATTCTTCCAGCTCTTATTCTTTCGTGAGGTTTGATTGTTCCGCTGTTTCAATTTCTTTTAGCCTCCTCAGATATCCATGTGCTAAATTCCTAAGTCCGGAATTAAACTTTAGATATCTTGGCAACCTAAGGGAAACATTGAAAGATTATACAGCATTGAGTTATCCATTCTTTGAAAGCTTGAGGGAACTCACTGGTAAGTTATATTATCCGAGAGCTTTACTTTTAAATGTAATTATTGAATTTTTATTACATTTTCTGGTAAGTTATATTATCCGAGAGCTTTACTTTTAAATGTAATTCTTGAATTTTTATTACATTTTCTGCAATTATCTATGTATTCATATTTTCCCTTTCTTGAGTCAACTTCATCTGTATATATATTTAGAAAAATATTAACTTATTATAATTTCTAGTTAATTAACTTATAAATTGACATAGTTTTGCTTTAAAATATTTTTAGTCTCCTTTACATATATTGGAAGTATTCAACCATGTAAATTCCTCAAAGCTGAAGAATTGCTATAGGAGATGGGAATAAAGAATGACAATAGTTTTTATTTGCTGTGAAAGATAAAATATTCAGTCACCTGCAAACGTTGCAAAACTTTTTGGAAGGTTACCTCATCAGATTACTTCAAACTGGAGGGTAGTTTCTCGATTGTTATTTTGCAGATAACGATAGCATTTTTGACACAAACCTAAGTCAATGTTATCTAATTGGCATAAATACAAAAGCAACTCCAGCATAAATTCACCTGGAAAATTGTCAGTGAATTATGGTGTTCCTTGAGAAACACAGTTTAGATATATTTGTTGAAGTGAGCTAAGAAAACCTTGATTTTTATTTTATTCCCTCATGTATCTATGAGTTTGAATTTTCTGCACGTATAGCTATAAAAAAGTGGTTATATAGTAACAATTACATGTGCCTTGTCATTTCTCAAACACTTCCACATTTCCAAATGCTTAAACTTCATTTTAGCATCAGGTATTTTGAAAATCACTTCTGAGAATAATTAGAGAATACTTTTGCTTTATTATACAACTTGTATTAATTTCCCCTTTTTCCTGAAATGGTAATCAACTGATAATAAGGAAGGTATATAAGGAATATATCTTTGAAGTACTGTTTCTATATTATATGACAATAATAACAAATAACTACATAAATAAATAACTAAATGAATAACTAAATTTCAAAAGGATAAACTATATTTCATGCTAAATTTTGTGACTTTGAAAATCTATCTGACATTTTTCCTCAGAGATGAATAATAATTATCAAATTCTCAAAGGATATTGACTCATGAAAAGCCTCAGAATTAATGATTTACTTTGTGAGACTAATAATTTTTACATTGCTTAAAATATGTTAGCACTTATTTTGTTCTCTAATCTATACTAGCTAACACTTTCAGGTAAACAAAAGTATTCCTAACAGAAGTTATTGTATTGTGTTCAAATTAATAGAAATGTCTCTCTTCTCATCAGCCAGAACTATTTTGTCATTTGATGCTAAATTATATTACATTAAGGAATATTGTTCTACTGATATTTTGCTAAGAATTTTGTTTGTTTGTAATCAGGAATGAATGGTGGTTATTTCTAGTTTACATATTTGATATTTATTTCTTTTTTCTGTTTTGATCTATGTAAGTAACGAATCTTCTTCATAGATTTCTAATAGATGTTCTTGAGTTTCTAGAATAAAGAACATAGAGATCATTAGAAGGTAATCATGAAAAGAAATGGAAGTGATGAGTCATCTTCATAGATTTCCAATAGATGTTCTTGAGTTTCTAGAACAAATAACACAGAAGTCATTTGAAGGTAATCACAAAAAAAGTAATTAACGAGTCATCTTCATAGATTCCTAATAGATGTTTCTGAGTTTCTGGAATAAAGAACACAGAAACCACTAGAAGGAAACCATGAAAAGAAATGTATTTACAATAGACATATGGTCTATTCCTTTAAGCAAAGGATTAGTGTTCCTGTATTTTTATATCTTTTACAGTACAAAACAAGCTAACCACTAGCTAAACTAATAAAAGAAAACAGAAGGCATAAATATTCAAAATAAGAAATAAGGACGAATAAATATTTAAACATGAGATGTTTAACAGGACTACTTGCAGACTTGTATGAAAATTAATTTGAAAACTTAGATGAACCGGTTAATTTCTTAAGGAAATACAGATTACCAAATTAACCCCACAGAGTTAGGAGGCTTCAACAGACCAATTTTCTAAGAACGAAAATTGTTAAGGAACTGCCCCAGAAGCATCAGACTCAAATGGCTTCACAGAGGAATTCTACCACATTTTCAAAAACCAGATTAATGCTCTAAAAATCATTGCAAAGCAATGAAAATGGGGGAAAGTGATCAAGTTCCTTTAAGACTGGGAGTATAAAATCAATAACTTAGGCCACTTCTTCTGGGTTCCCTGCAGTCTTTCATCATCTGCTTTTTTTCCCTATTGATGGGGAGGCAGTAGTGTGGTAGTGTGAGAGGTCACATGCTGCCATTTGATGAATTCTTTTCTTTTTTTTTTCTTAAGTTATTTTAACATCTCAGCATTCTCTGTCATCAAATTATACTGAGGGCATAGATTTATGTAGAATATAATTTTCCATTCTTGTTTGGTTGTTAGTCGATTATTACTGAATGGAATTTCCTACATTGAATCTGCACTCTTGTTCACTAGGTATACCATGCTATTGCTCCATTGTTGGTACATGCTTTTAGCCCTTATGTCTTTGTAATATACACACCTGTTTGAATTATTGTGTGACTTATTTTCCCATTTACTCATTTTTGCCTTGCATGCTACATTGTCCAATATTTATAGTTCATTGTCTTTCATTTTTCATAATTTTCTTATATATAGTTTTCTCTCCTTTTATTTTTAAACTTTCTAGGTCATAGTACCTACCTCATAGAGTTTCAAGGGGATTAAATGATCTAATATATATAAATCACTTAAAATACCCAAAACATACTAAGTATATAGTGTTTTTGTTTGTTTGTTTCAAGTAAATATACTCAGATTTTTAAATTTTTTTGTGAGACTAATTTTCTTAAGGATGAGAACTGGCTGTCTCATGCACATCCTTAGATTGCTTCAGTCTTATCTGACTCTTGGGCTTTTAGCTGCTTGCTATACTGGCTTCTACCAAGACCACCAATTCCATTTGCAATGATGTTCTTCCTACCTGAGACTGATGCTCAGAGTCTTGTGATCCTCCCACCACTTCCAGATGAAATACTGCACCACATGGCATGGAACCGACTTCCCCAATGGCTGTCAAAGGGTCAGATAATGCAGCCTAAAATTCAGGGATAGTAACAATCCATGGAATGAATTTTGACCGTTGAGGGAACGGAAATGCAGAGAAGATAAACTTCCCTCTCCGTGCTTCTCAATTCACTTTTCTGAAAGAAAGTATTTGAATATCTTCTTTAGAACAGTCATTTTCTGGAAGAGTTAATACCCATGTCTCTTGGCGGAACAGTGGCAGTTCATGAACTTTACTCATGCTGCTCGAGCTTTCGTGAGTCCTGTCCTAATTGTACAATTTCCATTTCATGATGAATTTCTGAAACATCCATGAACTCATGACTTAGTAACTCAATAATATGCAGCTCATGAACGGCCATTTAAACTCATAGTTACTTATCGTCCCATGGTCATTACCTTTCTCTAGAAAAGACCGGTAGCAGATGGAGAGATGTTTCTCAAACTAGAATTTTTTCTCTGTCATGGTGAACATGTTTTTGCTCCAGATTCCAAGGGATCTGTATTGCAACTCATTTGTTAGGTCTTATCAGAGACCCCATTCAGCATCTCCATTCACAAGGAAAACTCCAGCCCTGTCAGAAGTTTTGGATAATATAGCTCAATTGGCATGGAAACTTAAACCATAGTTTGAACTTGCTTCAGAGCCCTCTCTTCCCCTGGGACCTACTTATAACTAACAGCTTTTCACAGCTTGTGATAAATGAAGCAGAATAGTATTCCCAAGTGTACTATATGCTGCTTTTAAAAGTCCCCAAAGACCCGAAACTATTGTGCTTATTTCTGAGAAAGAATGAGGTTCAAAACTTGCTCATCATCTTAAAAAGGATGTCCCAGGCCGGGCGCAGTGGCTCACGCCTGTAATCCCAGCACTTTGGGAGGCCGAGGCGGGTGGATCACGAGGTCAGGAGATCGAGACCATCCCGGCTAAAAAACGGTGAAACCCCGTCTCTACTAAAAATACAAAAAAATTAGCCGGGCGTAGTGGTGGGCGCCTGTAGTCCCAGCTACTTGGGAGGCTGAGGCAGGAGAATGGCGTGAACCCGGGAGGCGGAGCTTGCAGTGAGCCGAGATCCCGCCACTGCACTCCAGCCTGGGCGACAGAGCGAGACTCCGTCTCAAAAAAAAAAAAAAAAAAAAAAAAAAAAAGGATGTCCCAGAACACTCCGGACTATTGGCACTTTCTACCCCTAATTTGCATTAATGCAGTAAGTTCCCCAATGTTTGTAGAATTTCTCCAGTGCTGTTCTGGTAAATTAATGTTTAACAGCCAGCTCTCCAGGTAAAAAGAAAAGGTCCTGATTTTTAGCTGTGTTATTTTTTAAAATATAAATATTCCCACCACGGCTGATTTCAAAGTATTAATTGGGCACCCCTGAATGTATCCTTGGGAAGAGATATGTACCCCCAAGACTCAGAAAATATAGTAAACCAGCCCCTAACAATGTCTTTTACACTCTGGCACATGTGAATTACTAGAGCACCTAGGATACTTGCAGCATTCTGCTCATTGGGAACAATATGGTGTTATTGATAGTCGAGCATGGATGATCATCTATAGGCCATGTATGGATCACGTTTGTTGTTTTGTAGCATATCAAGAAAAATCAAAGTCTCTATGGTTACATTAGATACATGGATACATTATGGATACAAAATCTCTATGGACAGAAAAGAGTAGAATTAATCAGAGTTCTATGTTTAAGTTGTACTGCTGGTCTTAACATATAAAGGCAAACTGTTTGACCTCCCATCTTGGGTACCAAGAAGACATACTTTCCAAATGAATTTCTGCATACTAAAAACCAGAGGCTGTATTGATTCGATTCAACCCATTCCATGTCAGACACAGCAGTTTCAATTGATATTACTCCTTTAATAACTTTACAGTAGGTCACCATTATACACCATGACCTGTATGGGTTTTATCAGAGGCCATGCAGGTGAACTGAAGGGTAAATAATGGAGCCTAGATCTCTGAATCCTTCAAATCTTTTTATGTGTGTATAGTGCTAATATCTATATTATATATTGATATATTTTATAAGTAAAACCAAATATAGGTACAATACAACTCTGATACTTACTTTAATTATGAATGGCAATTATTAGGAAAGAACCCTACGGTTCAAAAAGTTTATTATACAGATACCTTTGAAATAGTAAGAGTTATACATAAATTATTTTAAATAATTTTTGAAAGATACAGTTCTTTCCAAAATATATTATCTTTATTAATTCAAATGGAAGCATTCAGAAGATAAGGTTTCATGTTTCGACCCTTTGTTAAGTATAATATTTATCAGCAAAGAACATATCTGAAGTGTCAAACTCAATAACTATTCAAACAATTGGACACAACCACATGACTGGCACTCAATCAAGAGGCAGAGCATTATCAGAACACCAGAAAACTACCCTGTGTACCCCATTTCACTTAGCACCCCCATAAGGATGCTAAGTGACTTGAATATATAGGTTAGTTCTGTCTTTTTTGTCCTTAATATAAATGGAATTATACATTTTGTACAAGATTGTGTTTGCCTTCTTTTTCTCAATATTTTATTTGGGAAATTTATCTATGCTATTGCATGTAGTTGCATATGATTATTTTTATTGCTGAGTAATATACTATTGTTAAGAATATTACATTTTAGTCATTCTAGTGATTTAATAAGTAACATTAAAGAAGGTCAGTACTTTTTCAAATATTTATTGGCTTATTAAATAGTATCCTGTGTGAATTGTCTGTTCACATTATTTTTTCTTTTTTCTTTTTCTTTTTTTTTTTTTTTTGAGACAGAGTCTCACTCTGTCGCCCAAGTTGGAGTGCAGTGGCCCAATCTCCGCTCACTGCAAGCTCTGCCTCCCAGGTTCACGCCATTCTCCTGCCTCAGCCTCCCCAGTAGCTGGGATTACAGGTGCCCGCCACCACGCCTGGCTAATTTTTTGTATTTTTAGTAGAGACAGGGTTTCACCATGTTAGCCAGGATGGTCTTGATCTCCTGACCTCGTGATCTACCCGCCTCAGCCTCCCAAAGTGCTGGGATTACAGGCATGAGCCACCGTGCCCAGCCTGTTCAAATCTTTTGTACATTCTTCTTTTGGGTTTCTTTCTCTAATAAATAAATTTAGTTGTAAAAGTCAATTTTTGTTAGATGTATATACTGCAAATATTTTCTCCACTCTGTGGGCTGCTTTTGCACTCTTTTACTTGTGTCTTTTGACAAATATTAAGATTGTAATAAAAGCTTGGTCAAAAGAGGATCCCTTAAAAATTGTATTTATGTGTATTCCATTCTACCCTATCCATTTCTGTTTCTTTTTTTTATTTTTATTTTTTCAGACGGAGTCTTGCTCTGTCGCCCAAGTGGGAGTGCAGTGGTGCAATCTTGGCTCACTGCAACCTCTGCCTCCCAGGTTCAAATGATTCTCCTGGCTTAGCCTCCTGAGCAGCTGGGATTACAGGCGCATGCCACCATGCCCAGCTAATTTTTGTATTTTTAGTAGAGATGGGGTTTCACCGTGTTGGTCAGGCTGGTCTCGAACTCCTGACCTTGTGATCCGCCCGCCTCAGCCTCCCAAAGTGCTGGATTACAGGCATGAGCCACCGTGCCCAGCCCTATCCATTTCTTTAAAAAACTCACCCTTTGATGAATTAAAGGATAAACATTTTTTTTCAGTTTTTAAATTGAAAGGTTTTTTTTGTTACTGCCGGCTTTCCACTACCTGAATTATCAGGTTGATTTGCACAAGAAAGGCCCCTGGCATACCAAACTGTTTTGCACCAAATAGATGAAAAGTTAAGATGCATCCATATTTAGTGAACCACCATACGGTTGATATTGTAATCAGTAATTGTATCAACTTGTTTCTAAATGTCAACATTTTAAACAAATTATTTAAATATTAAATTCATTTTTTCCAGGAGATATTTTAACGGTTTCCTGACACCTTTTTATCAGTAGATGAATTGACAATTCTCTTATGTATGAATACATGCATGGATATGTGTATATCATGTAAAGATATACACGTATTATAACAGTTTATATGTAATTTAAAACAGTCGTTTATTAAAGGCAAAGAGGCAAATTATGTTTTAGGCCTGAAGAATATTTAGGTTGCAGGTAAGAGTTTGACTACACTTATTACTGTGATTTGCAACAAGTGTGCAGGATTAACTTAAAGTATAAGGATGCTGGATTTCTTCTAGGAAAAGTCAGTAAAATTAAAACTTTTGACTTCTTATATACATATACATGTAACTATTTTCTCCTTGAAAAAATAGGTTGGGAAAATGTTGGAAGGGCCAACTGGGGTTATTTCTTATTAAATACTTTAAAGCACTAATTTCTTTTAAAGTATGCTTTAAGAACAATCATTATTAAACAAAATCATTTGCCCATAAGCAGGAGTGAGAACACAATATAACAGAGAAATAATAACACTATTATTATGGAATTATGATTTTCCAGTTTTAAAATTCCTACCATCGTTCAAACTAGCCTAAGGTTTTCTGCAGATTGCATTGAAGTAATTTGCATGGTGTATTTTCTTCTTCTTTGACTTGTTTTCTATGACTGGTGATTAAAGAACAAGAAGAGAAATGTTTCTTTGTATTAATTCTCAGGTTCAATTGATTCCTTAGAAGACATCTTTTTTCGCTTTCTCTTTTGCTTGAATTGAAAAAAAAATTAATCTAACTCGAAATATGTTCTCTGGTGCATTAGAAACTTTTCCCTTTTGTTTTTGAATTTGCCTCAAGGGATAAGATAAAGTCATGAAAATTGACACATAAGCTTTCTTTTTAGCATTGTCTAACAACGCTTATTGTTAATATAAAACAGCATTGCATTTAAGCTACAGCTACTTCTTCACATTGAAGGCATCCTTCCAAATAAAATTATCTACACATACTCAGGAATATAAATCAGCTAAATAAGCCACACGAGGCAGATTTTTTACTTGAAATTTTATTTCACAAAATTAAAAAATCTGGCTAGAAATAAGTAGATTTCAGAAAATACATAGCTTATTTTTTGTCAAACTCATTCAAGCCAAATGGCTAAATGAAGCCAGCACTCATCAAGGGGAAGACAGAGAAGTAAAGAAACAGAAATATTTACGGCTCATTTGCAAACGACAGAGAAATATGATGAAAGACAAGTGAACGCGTTCTGCTGAAGGACTCCTTTTGGAGTTGAGGAGGGGCACTTGCCCCTCTATTTTATAGAAGAATATGACTGAGCTTCCAATCAGCTCCTTTGTGCTTGTTGCTCTTACGGGTGGGAGATTTCCTAATCTTGGCTATATAAAAATGTCTGTGATAGTGTCCTGCCGGGAGCAAAAGTATAAATGTCCAATGACATACTAGTCTTTAGATTTTTCACACAAAAAATATTTTTGAATATTTCATTCTGATGAGTCTGTCAGAACGAATACAGGTGTTTTTATCCGAACACCTAATGGATTATCATATTTAAGTTAATCTTCTCATAGTTTAATAGCTTTCTTCTCTAAAGTTCCAAACAAAGACTCCTAAGTATGATGATGTATTTCAGAAATGTATAGCCCTATAGAAACAGTTTAAGTTTGTAGATGACATTAATGTCTTTGAAATATCATATCAAACGTATACTTCCAAAGCATTAACAACATATTATAATCTCATTGTTCAACGCAGCCCACTTTCCCTTCCTAAGTCAATACTTCGGAGGTAGGACACACAATTATCTTGTGTTTTTCTTCAAACTTTTAAATGCTATATGAAGACAATTTCATAGAAGTTCACTGGGGCTGAAAGTACTTTTTGGGTAAATTTTTTTTTTTTTTTTTTTTTCTGAGACGGGGAGTCTTGCTCTGTCACCCAGGCTGGAGTGCAGTGGCACGATCTCGGCTCACTGCAAGCTACGCCTCCCGGGTTCACGCCATTCTCCTGCCTCAGCCTCCCGAGTAGCTGGGACTACAGGCGCCCACCACCATGCCCAGCTAATTTTGTTTTTGTATTCTTAGTAGAGACGGGGTTTCACCACATTGGGCAGGATGGTCTGGATCTCCTGACCTCGTGATCCACCATCCTTGGCCTCCCAAAGTGCTGGGATTACAGGTATGAGCCACCGCGCCCGGCCCTTTTTGGGTAAATTTTTAACATTTCTCTAATGTTTGCTACAAGTTGCACTGATAGCAAGTATCAGCAAGGAAAAAGATTACTAGCAAAAATCGTCAAAGCCCAGAAGCAACCTGAGATACACTCTGTAAAAGTTAATTATACAAAATGGGTCATTCTTGTTATACCTAGCCAAACAGAGTTGAGGGGAACGAGCCCTCAGGGCACACACACACACTGCTCCAAGAATATAACTCTTTGCAAGACTAACTGTTGAAACTGCCTGCTGTAACCCAAAACAAGTTTTATCTAATGTCTTATGAAACAACCTGCAGCAATTCTAAGACGAGTTTTACCTGCCACTGTTACTCACCAATCAGAACTTACCGGTACCTCAGAACTTTACTAGTGCCGATGAATTTTCTCAAATAGCGATACTAACATTCTCCTTTTTATAAAACCTCTAACCTCCTCTGTGCCTCACACATACAGAAGACCACCCAACGTGTGTGGTCTGTGTGTATGCCCTGAATTGCAATTCTTTCTTCCCAAATAAAATGTTAAATTTAGAGATTTGTCTGTACATATTTTATTTGAATTTGACAAGTCTCTTAGTCTAAAAACCAAATTTTCTTTATTTTAACGAATCCGATTTTAACTGACAAATTTATCGCCACAGGGAATTTAGATTAAAAAGTTTTCTGCAGTCTCCCATTCACAAATTCAATAGAAACGTAGCAAAAAATGAGATTTCTTTTTCCGTTTAGTGAATCATTACTTGATGTAAAATCCTAATACATCCTTTTTTTCTTAGAGTTTTACTTTCTTTTATAATTCACTCAAAATAACATCAAAATAAACACAGTTTTATTTTCTGGGCAAATTGTGATTGCCTTTATGTAATTCGGCTTTCATTGTGATATAATATTATGATATTATGTAGGACAAGGGTGGGTATCTAGCTCTTTCCTCCAAGGGAATTTTCAGTGTGTGACTAGAAAAGGGTGGGAGAGTGGTGCCGGGTTTCTATTTTCAGAAAGTTTAGCACATAGCATTGGCCTGTCTGTAGTTTTTCATCAGTGGCTTGCAGAGCATCATTATCTGATAGACTCAGTTCATATAACTTAGTAAAAGGGCATGGCCAATAGTGTTGGGGAGGGTAAAGGTAAAAATCCTTCTTATCAGTGCAAGTGAACAGTGGTGCCCTTGAGCATATATTGGAGGGACTGCATGCCACTGCTGAATCTTAGCTCTGTACATTATATATTTCATAGATATTTCAGGTGGACTTTGTGTTCACTGCCCTGTGGCTATTGATATTTTGGAATATGAAAGAATAAAAAAAGAATCGATTTGTCTTAAAATATTATTACATGAGATAGTTTAATAAACCCCCACAAAGTAGCTTTGCTTGATCAGACACAAAATAATCTATTTTAGTTCTTTGTCACACATTTTTTCTGATGATAAGGTAATATAAAATCAATGTAAACATGTTAAGCAATATGGAAATTAGACAGCCAAATTTGCCAGGTGCGGAGGCTCACACCTGTAATCCCAGCACTTTGGAAGGCCAAGGCAGGTGGATCACCTGAGGTTGGGAGTTCAAGACAAGCCTTACCAGCATGGAGAAGCCCCATCTCTACTGAAACTACAAAATTAGCCTGGCATGGTGGCGCATGCCTGTAATCCCAGCTACTCAGGAGGCTGAGGCAGGAGAATAGCTTGAACCAGGGAGGTGGAGGTTGTGGTGAGCCAAGATTGCGCCATTGCACCCCAGCCTGGGCAACAAGAGTGAAACTCCATCTCAAAAAAAAAAAAAAAAGAGAGAGAGAGAAGACCAAATTCCCCTTCTTAAAGTAGATTTTTCAAAAATATGAAAATTTGACTCTTATACACATATATATACATGTATAGAATGAATCTGTATCAAAGATTTAATTCATTAGTAAAGGTACTTGGAAGATGTTAAAAGTAGTTGTCAGCACACTGAGTATTAAAAGGTATTTTTTAAAAGGAAACGTTGGAATAAGTTTTCTAGTTTAGATATAAAAAATCATTAATGTCTCACAGAGCAATAAAATCAAACCCTTTGGGTTTATTTTTTCTGTCAGACAGAAATCTAAAAGTTACTATATCACTTCTTTGTTTTTTGAGCTTTAATCAAGTAGTAAAGAACAACATCAAGCACAGGTACATTATCCTAGAGGATTTAATAACCCTTAACTGGACCTGTGAAAACAGCTCCAATATAATATTGAAAGAGCGTCATGTACTTTCTTATGTCTTTCATCCTACTTTTTAATAGTTTTTCTCACCAGTTCCCCCATTTTGATATAAAATTTCCAAAGGTTATTCTTGAACACAAAGTTTGTACCGCCTATTTGTATTGTTTCAGCAAAAGGTATTGATTAACCAGATATGTTTTCTTGAGTGCTGTGCTCTGAATGTGGTATGGTTTTGCTCTGTGTCCGTACCCAAAACTCATCTGGAACTGCAATAGCCACATGTCAAGGGAGGGACCTGGTGGGAGGTGACTGGATCATGGGGGCAGATCCTCTTATGCTATTCTCATGATAGCGAGTGAGTTTTCATGAGATCTGGTAGTTTAAAAGTGTGGCACTTCCTCCTTCTCTTCCTCTCCTGAAGGCTTGTAAGACATGTCTTACTTTCCCTTCTCCTTCTGCCATGATTGTAAGTTTTCTGACGCATCCCCAGCGAAGTGGAACTGTGAATCAGTTAAACATCTTTTCTTTATAAACTCCCCAGTCTCAGGTAGTTCTTTATAGCAGAATGTTTATGTCCCCCTTGAAATTCATTTGTTGAAATCCTCACTCCTAAAGTGATGGTATTAGGAAGTGGGGCCTTTGGGAGGTGATTAGGTTATGAGGGCAGAGCCCTCAAGAACAGGATAAGTGCCCAGATAAAGGAAGCCTAAGAAAGCCCCCTCGCCCTTTCTGCCATGTAAGGTTAGAGTGAGAAGCAAGCTGTCTAAGAGGAAGCAGGTCCTCACCAGACAACAAATTTGCCAGCACCCTAATTTTGGACATCCCAGCCTCCAGACTGTGAGAAATGAGTTTTTGTTGTTTATAAGCCACCCAGTCTATGATATTTTGTTATGCTAGCCCAAAGGGACTAAGATATTAAGCAAACAGTTTTGATGAAACACTAAACATCTACTAGAAAATTAGCTTTGTCTACAAATTCTCATAAAGAACCTCAGTTTGAATTTGTATAAGTATGTATTATTTAATTTTTTATACCAAGACCAGGAAACCAAGCCCAAGAAAGTTTTTCCCTTAACATTGGGGAATTCTACTTTGCTTGTGATGTGTAAAATCTGCTAAGATCTTTGGTCTGTCAGGACGGGTATTCCTTACTGATGAAGCTAGAAATATGTAACAGGTAACGTGGCCAGTTTCGCTGAGCGTTTTCTCCGAGCATTGGCTCTCTATGCAAACGTATTTCCTAAGTGTGAGCTTGGTGTACCTTGACTAAATGAGAAGCATTCTCAATATGACACTGTAGGTATAATCTTGGATTTATGATTAATATTTCCAATTATATCTTAGTAAAAGGAAAACAGATTTTTACTTAACCTATGCAAATGACTATATTAACTTAAAAAGTACAGAAACTCAGTAGAGGTGTTTGCTTCTGAATTATGAGGAGTAAATGAGACTTGGCAAATTGAGGGTTAGCCTTAAATTAAGAAAGAAACAAGCTTCTTTTTAATATACCAGCCAGAAAATAGAACTGTAAAATTAAATCAACAATACTGTAAACAAATAACCACAATTAAATTTCCCTCATTAATTCATTCAGTCCAATGGAATTAATTCCTTTACTGAGTCATAGGTCATCTGTCTGTTATTAATGAAGTTTTCCGCTTCTAGTTTTAAAAAAGACCTAGCTGTCCTGACTCAGTCTGCTGGTATGATCTGACACTTGTTTAAATATTGTCAGCTTTAAGCTCCAAAGCCTATAACCATGAATGTATGCTGTGAAGCATCAATAGGTAAAAGTCCCAGTATATTGCTTTCCATGAGTCTGTGAGTGCAGCTTTCTTTATTGAAGACAAAAATTTACTCTGTAATTTACAACAGAGCCTTCAGGCAAGCATAAGATGACAGCAGCAAACATCTGTAGATGAGAGTCAATAGTTGTGGTTATTTTGTTATAGAAATGAATGATATTAGTTTGGAGAGGAATGAAGTTGTTGAATGGAGTACAATAGATAACACTTTCATAAGAATTGTATCAGTGTTGCCTCTGATAATATATTACAGGCAGAGAGAGAATTGACAACTCTTGAGGGCCTTCAAATCCATTTTATAAATTGTAGAATCCTGGAAATACTTATATTACTCACAATTCACTTGCATAAAATCATAATTTGGCTTGGAATCTCTTTCCATGCAGCACCTTTTTTTAAAATAGTGTGAAATAGTGTGAAGCAAATCAAGAAATGTGCAGCATTCCCAATGAATCTGGGTTTTTTTTTTTTTCATTTTTTGGGGAGTAAGGTGAAAGACCTTTGTGACTCCCCAGAAACCCTCTGAGAAACTCAGACTTTAGTTGTAAAAGACATGCGCTCTTCCTCACTAAATTTAGCATCTGATTTGGTAGAAGACAAAATTTAAAAGATTAGCTGAGGAGATTTGGTCACTTGATTAAAATAGGAATATCGATGCCTAAGAACAATTACTCAATGTGACAATATAATATCTTAAGTAAACATAGGAGAAGGAAACCCAATAGTTAGGAACCTCAGCTCCTTCAGATATGAACAATATTTCATCATCGTTTAAATCTCAAGAACATGATAAAGGCAAAACAAAGCACTGAGGATGATTCAGTTAGTCTGATGAGGAAGTTGTCCGGTCATACCATTTAAATACTCCTTGTTAGGAAAAGACTAGATACATCAATTATTACTTATGCATTAATATAATATGCATTAGTAAAAAAATTCTACTTTCATTTAAAAATACATTATTGATAAAGCCATCAAAAATAAAATTTTGCCAAAATTTTAATATATTTTGTTGCTTCTTTTCAGGCTCATTATTTGCAAGAAACCTATTTCCAAGCAAATGAAATTAACATCTGCCAAATTTTCTAAAACTTGATACACACATTTAAACATTTTCTTTTATTTCACTTTTGTGTATTCTAAAATGACCTGACAAGTTTACATTAAGACAAAACCTCTTTTTTCTCTTAAAATGAAGACCTTTTCTGTTATAGAAAAGAATTGCTTTTCTACAACATTAGCATTCCTAGTATAATCTCAAACATCATTGTTAGTTATAACTTTTAATGAATGTAACTTCTACTACACAGAGAAAACTGCAAAGTAGTAACTGATACCTGACCGTCAATAGCAAGAATGTTGGCAGACAGCAAAGGCTCATGAGAACATCACTGATCACCTACTGAGACCTACCTCCCTTTCACTCATTCTTAAAATGGCTAAATATATATGTTCATTAACTTGAGCCAAATTACAGCCATTATGTAACATACTAATTGTTAAAGAGAATATACATAAAATTACCTATATATGTAGTTAAAGCTAATTAAAGTTACAATATCCTGTCTTATTTTTCACTAGAAATCTATATATTATTTACTAATCCATGGTTAAATAATAGAAAAGTCTTTGAGTAAGGACATAGGAAATGATTTTAAGATCATGTACCCAAAACCATATAGAGTTTGGTTGTTAGTAATTATTAAAATATTAGTATATTTAAAATGTTGTTATTGCAGATGTTTTGTTTCCCTGGGAATTCTTGATTTCCCTAAAATTCAACTTATGTTACCCTTGTTGATCTCTATTAACTAATTAAACAAAGTTCCCTCAATTTAAGAGACTTTATAATCCAAGTGATTGATATACTCTGAAGGGAAGAAAGTGTTTTAAACTCACCAGAAGATGTGTAGGTATTTCCCAGTTATAAACACACAGATATAGAAAGAGCTTGCAGTTTAATTGCCACAACCTCAGTCACAAGTTAAACACAGAGGAAAAACTTTACTGTTGAAGATCTCAAAGGGCTGCTCTGCTTTCTAGTGTGCAAGAAATGTTTTCTTCATTGAGTTAAGCTCCACAATAGAAAAGCACACAAACACAATAAGGAACCAAATAACCAGATTTCTTCCATCTCTTAACTGCCAAAAACAAAGTTTTTACCATCTCAGTAGAGATCATCAAATAGTCAGATCATAAAACCAGTACCCTTCTCACTGTTATCTCCAAATGGGGAATAACTTATTGGACACATACGAAACAGAAACGGAACCAAACTTGATCAAGAAATTGAAACGAAACCAAAACAGAATTGAGAGACAGAGAGAAAGAGAGGCAGAGAAACAGAGAGATGGGGGAAATTTCTATTATCACTTGGGAATAACTCTAGGGTTCCAGAAATATATATAAGTCATCAATGAGGAAATCACTAAAATGATAAAGCTGATTTCCTGTAGCACTTGAGAAGCTGGGCATTTATGGGTATACAAAGAGAAGGAGAAGGAAGAAGAGTGAGAATAGAAGAATGATGTAAGGATAAGATTGTTAATTAGTTACAATCCTGGTTAATGTCCTACATGGTAATAAAACCATAATCTTTGGGGCTAATCTATCAGATAGAAACCTACAGATTAATATATAACATTACAGTGGGCAAAATTACATAACAAGTAAGTACGTCGAAAAGAGACACACTGCCCTAGGATCTAGAAATAATTAAGTGATCTTTTTTAAAAAGAATCGTTTAATAATATCCTTATTGATTTGCGTATGTTGAACCAGACTTGCATCCCAGGGATGAAGCCCACTTGATCATGGTGGATAAGCTTTTTGATGTGCTGCTGGATTCGGTTTGCCAGTATTTTATTGAGGATTTTTGCATTGATGTTCATCAGGGATATTGGTCTAGAATTCTCTTTTTTTATTGTGTCTCTGCCAGACTTTGGTATCAGGATGATGTTGGCCTCATAAAATGAGTTAGGGAGGATTCCTTCTTTTTCTTTTGATTGGAATACTTTCAGAAGGAATGGTACCAGCTCCTCCTTGTACCTCTGGTAGAATTCGGCTGTGAATCCATCTGGTCCTGGACTTTTTTTGAATGGTAGGCTATTAATTATTGCCTCAATTTCAGAGCCTGTTATTGGTCTATTCAGGGATTCAGCTTCTTCCTGGTTTAGTCTTGGGAGGGTGTATGTGTCCAGGAATTTATCCATTTCTTCTAGATTTTCTAGTTTATTTGAGTAGAGGTGTTTATAGTATTCTCTGATGGTAGTTTGTATTTCTGTGGGATTGGTGGTGATATCTCCTTTATCATTTTTTACTGCGTCTAATTGAGTCTTCTCTCTTTTCTTCTTTATCAATCTTGCTAGCGGTCTATCAATATTGTTGATCTTTTCAAAAAACCAGCTCCTGGATTTATCGATTTTTTGAAGGTTTTTTGTGTCTCTATCTCCTTCAGTTCTGTTCTGATCTTAGTTATTTCTTGCCTTCTGCTAGCTTTTGAATGTGTTTGCTCTTGTTTCTCTAGTTCTTTTAATTGTGATGTTAGGGTGTCAATTTTAGATCTTTCCTACTTTCTCTTGTGGGCATTTAGTGCTATAAATTTCTCTCTACACACTGCTTTAAATGTATCCCCCATGCTCATGGATAGGAAGAATCAATATCGTGAAAATGGCCACACTGCCCAAGGTAACTTATAGATTCAATGCCATCCCTATCAAGCTACCAATGACTTTCTTCACAGAATTGGAAAAGACTACTTTAAAGTTAATATGGAACCAAAAGAGCCTGCATTGCCAAGACAATCCTAAGCAAAAAGAACAAAGCTGGAGGCATCACGCTACCTGACTTCAAACTATACTACAAGTCTACAGTAACCAAAACAGCATGGTACTGGTACCAAAACAGAGATACGGACGAATGGAACAGAACAGAGCCCTCAGAAATAATACCACACATCTACAACCATCCGATCTTTGGCAAACGTGACAAAAATAAGAAATGGGGAAAGGATTCCCTATTTAATAAATGGTGCCGGGAACACTCACTATCCTTATGTAGAAAGCTGAAACTGGATCTCTTCCTTATACCTTATACAAAAATTAATTCAAGATGGATTAAAGACTTAAATGTTAGACCTAAAACCATAAAAACCCTAGAAGAAAGCCTGGGCAATACCATTCAGGACATAGGCGTGGGCAAGGACTTCATGTCTGAAACACCAAAAGCAATGGCAACAAAAGCCAAAATTGACAAATGGGATCTAATTAAACTAAAGAGCTTCTGCACAGCAAAAGAAACTACCAGCAGAGTGAACAGGCAACCTACAGAGTGGGAGCAAATTTTTGCAATCTACTCATCTGACAAAGGGCTAATATCCAGAATCTACAAAGAACTCAAACAAATTTACAAGAAAAAACAAACGACCCCATCAAAAAGTGGCCAAGGATATGAACAGACACTTCTCAAAAGAAGACATTTATGCAGCCAGCAGACACATGAAAAAATGCATCATCATCACTGGCCATCAGAGAAATGCAAATCAAAACCACCATGAGATATCATCTCACACCAGTTAGAATGGTGATCATTAAAAAGTCAGGAAACAACAGGTGCTGGAGAGGATGTGGAGAAATAGGAACACTTTTACACTGTTGGTGGCACTGTAAACTAGTTCAACCATTGTGGAAGACAGTGTGGCAATTCCTCAAGGATCCAGAACTAGAAATACCATTTGACCCAGCCATCCCATTACTGGGTATATACCCAAAGGATTATAAATCATGCTGCTATAAAGACACATGCACATGTATGTTTATTGTGGCACTATTCACAATAGCAAAGACTTGGAACCAACCCAAATGTCCATCAATGATAGACTGGATTAAGAATATGTGGCACATATACACCACGGAATACTATGCAGCCATGAAAAACGATGAGTTTATATCCTTTGTAGGGACATGGATGAAGCTGGAAACCATCATTCTCAGCAAACTATCGCAAGGACAAAAAAACCAAACACCACATGTTCTCACTCACAGGTGGAAATTGAACAGTGAGAACACTTGGACACAGGAAGGGGAACATCACACACCAGGGCCTGTCATGAGGTGGGGGGAGGGGGGAGGGATAGAATTAGGAGATATACCTAATGTAAATGACAAGTTAATGGGTGCAGCACACCAACATGGCACATGTATACATATGTAACAAACCTGCACGTTGTGCACATGTATCCTAGAACTTAAAGTATAATAAAAAAATAAAAATAAAATATCCTTAAAAGGGCATGCTTTTTATTCTGTTGGAATTTTTTTCTACTTGCAAGTTTGTATTCTATTTCCTAATACTCTGTAATTTCAGTGTTCAGAGATAACTTTCTTTCTGCACAGATTTTCTATATATATACTTATATTTGGGAACTTAACATGGGCTCTTACAGTATGAAATTTACTAGCTTCACATTTTTTTCATGGTGGAGTATAAGCTGCATAATTAATTTTAGATCTCCTAAGTAATTAAAATGGCCCAATGATATATTCTTCCCCTTTTATCCTAACATATGCCTTCATTGATTATATTAAATGATTATATCAAATTACATCGTAAATTTTAAACTCTTGGTATTTTAATCTTACATTAAAGAAAAAAACCTTTAGAACACATTTCTAAATTTATTAGTAGTAAAGTGTTTGGGAGATTTTGTGCTATTTTTAGTTCCCAATGGTCAATGAGGAAATAATTTCTTAATATATTAGCTTTGAACCAAGTTCATTTTATTTATATTTTGTATAAAATTAACGAATATTTGTGTCCCACTGGTTTCTCAATAATGTTTATCCACTTACTTTTTCTTTAGATTGCTTCCTCTACCAAGCAAGAGAGGTCATGTCTAGTGATATTTTATTATTCTCTACAAAGACTCTGTATATTCTATCTAGTTTTCCTCAGGTAAACCCTGAAGGCTACCAGTAATGCTTTGATAACTTACATTTCTTGAGATGAATGAGGATGTTTTGAACGTCAGAAAAGGATGTGGGGTACAGGAGTGGAAGGAGAATGGAAAGAGAAAACGAAGAAAAGAAATACAAAAGATACTTCAAAATGTAACACCTCATGAAGAAGTAAAACCCCATATATAACATCATACATATTTTATAAATATATTATAGGTACATTGTAGAGTTATCTTGCTTTTCAATTTCTGTAAATAATTTCAATATTGAAAAAATTCATATTGAAAATAATTATCCTTTATTGTACCCCTTTAATTTACAAATGAAAACTTTTTTTACAAATAAAACCATATTTATATTTTCAAATATTGTCCAAATTTGAATTGCCACAATTCTTTAAAATTTATAAAGGTTTATTTCCCAATATTCCCCATATTTGAAGGATACTAAATCACTGAATTTTTGTAGTCTCTTCTCCTAAATTTTGCACATTTTTTTTTCATGTTGCAGAGCTTACCAGAACAGTCTTTTCCATTCAAATGTATCATACTCTTTTTCTCCAGACATCTGTATACCCACTGAGTTACTGGGTTTGGCTGATTCTAGTTCTCAAAATCACCAATTCCATCTAAAATGTATGTTCTAATGCTAAGTTGGACTTCTGTGCCAGATATTTTTCTTTATGATGAATTCTATCAAACACCTAATTAGTTTCCTACAACTTGATTTCCATTTGGGCCTCCAAATCTGTCAAAAACATATGTATATGTCCTCATGTCAATTACAGATTTGGTTAAAAATAATTTTCCCCAAGGAGTTCCCCAGAGGTTGCCATGTAAATGAGCGCACACTACTATTCAATACTTTTAAGTTCACCTGTCAGGTTTATTCTCTTTTAACCCTCACCTAGAGTGGGCACTTTGCTACTTGTACATATAACACAATATAATTCAAGTTTTTGTGAATTTTAATATTAGTAACTTTACATGATATATTCTGAGATATTATTGTTTAATATTTTATAAGTAAAACAGAAATGTATAAAAGTTTTCATATTATTTCTTGGGAAAAATTCAACCTCCACACAATGTATTGTAAATTTATAGCTTGACACATTTCACAAAAACTGACCGAAATCATGGATGTCAGGGAGCATAGAGCTGATTACTAAATATCTGATGAATATCAATAGGCTTATTGAATGCAGAAGCAAATTAACTAAACAATTTTCCACAGAAAAATACATTAAATAAAATTATTTTTATTTGAGCAGTGTATTTTTAAACGAAGTGTCATATTATTTTTCTAAACTTTAGTGACACTACTTTCCATGTACTTTTATAATTTCAAAGTTTTATTATTATTACTGTATTTGTATATGTTTAAGTTTCAATGATAAGTAGTTTTCCAAAGACAAAAAGTATAACTGTTAGAATGTAGGCACATTGGGTTTTAGATGGTATACATTGTATAGAGATAAATAAATACCAGTACACAATTTTTCACATCTATCTAGTACCTACTGTTAATCCCTTTGGGAGTCTAAAATGAGCTTTCCAGACTTTTTTACTTCTTTCTTCATGCTATAGAGTTTGTTTTACTTTTCTGCCCCAAATTGATACTATAAATATAAAAGTGTTTAATTTTATTTAAATATATGAATATACTATTAATATGTTATCCAATTTAAGAAAAATATTTCATAAGCCTGCTATGTGCTGTCAGTGTTAGAGTTTTTAATGGGACTGAAAAAGAAAATAAAACTTTAGAAACACATAAAATGTATTAAATACAATTTCATCAATATAATTTTTAATACATAAATATTTTGAGTTCACATTTGCCAAATCAGATATACATGACTTTAGGAATGCTGAATACCATTTACAATGTCTTACATTTTTCAGCACTCAACAGATTTCAAGGAGCTTCAAAAAACATAATCTTATTTAATTATTGTAACTTTATAAAGGAAGGTAGGCAGAAAAGAAACAGATTCAGGTTCATAAAGCGACTTGTTTGAAGTAAAAAATGGAGTAACAGCTGCATATGAATATGCCTTTTAGACTTTTGATTGTAAGCTCAGGTCTTTTCTCATTATAACTTTAGCTCATTTTTCAGGTATACATTATTTATCCTAAAAATGAAACTGTTGCCTTGATGCGTGGGACTAATTTGCTTTTTCACTCTCACTGGCATCTTTTTGCTTCAGTAGAAATATCACTGACCTGCTTGAATATGTGTGGTGTACAGCACATAGATTTGTGGGTGTCCAAAATACAGATTTCATTTTTTCTCACACACTAATATTAAAAATTTGAATGAGTGTCAATTTCTCTGGTTATAGTATTCTGTGAAATGAAGAATCATATTAAATATTTGCTCAAGTCCATTCCAGCCCAACTGTTCTGTTCTACAAGCTGGTTATTACTCTACTAGAAGACCGAGCTTGGTAGCAAAATGATGTTTATTTGTCAAGAAGGAGTTTCTAATTATGGCCCAGTACAGCTAACTCTTTACTTCTATATGTTTCACTATGCAGACATATGTCTAGTGTGTACTTAATAAAATGACAAACCTTCAGTTTGGATGGAAGACCCTATTAGGAGAAAAAAAAAGTCGTTATAATCACAACACTTAAGTATACTGGATATCATCTCAAAATACATGTGTAATTAGTTAAAAAGCAATGTTAGCCTTCTCTAAGGATACTCTTTCTCACACAATAAAGAGGCAATGATTTATTACTAATACCTAATATACCACAAACATTGAGTTGTATTATTTTGTTATAAATTTGAGAATACAAATCTTATATTTTCAACTTCTAGAATTGTTGGCCTTTCGAACAAGAGTGGTTCTTTTCAAAATACTCTCAGCCTGACATTCTGTTACTGTTACATGTCAAATTGAGTTACATCATGTAATAAAACATACTCAGAAAGGTGTACAATTTTAAAGAACCCTTCCAAGGCTCAGAACAAAACATCTTGTATACATTTTTCCTATGTGCGTTTTTTTCAGCAAATAGAAAAATCAAAATGCCATAATTATAAAAGCAAATCATAAACCAATTGAGGCATCATGTTAGTATAGCTTTATCAGGCTTTTGAAAACATTACTGTAAAGTTGTCTGCATAAATATTTTTCTTTGAACATACAAGATTTTGGTAAGGAACATTTGGAAAATTCATTGCATCAAAAAAGTGTCATCAGCTTCATTCACAACGGATACTTGGTATCAACAAGAATGAGTTTTCATCCCTCTTTGACAGCCGGTTAGTCCTGTCTTCTCTACACGGTAGAACAGTTCTACATGAAGCCAATGAGGAAAGGTACAAGCTTGTATTCAGTGAGGATTTAGACACGATTTCTTGGCCCAAATTTCTAATTTATCTGACGAAGAAACTTTATCTCTGACCAGATATTTTTCACATGAGGCCAGTATGTAAAAAGATTATACACCCACTCAGTCAAATTTAAATTTCTATTACTTGGAGGTATATTTGCAATGTGTTTGCCACAGTCAGATTTTAGCTTTGTAAATACTTCTGTCAACACTTACATTTAAGGACACAAGTATAAAAATTTTGAGAACTATTGGCTGGGCATGGTGGCTCATGCCTGTAATCCTAGCACTTTTGGGGGGACGAGGCAAGTGGATCACGAGGTCAGGAGATCGAGACCATCCTGGCTAACACGGTGAAACCCCGTCTCCACTAAATATAAAAAAAATTAGCCAGGCACGGTGGCAGGCACCTATAGTCCCAGCTACTTGGGAGGCTGAAGCAGGAGAATGGTGTGAACCCGGCAGGTGGAGCTTGCAGTAAGCCAAGATGGTGCCACTGCACTCCAGCCTGGGCGACAGTGTGACTCCGTCTCAAAAAAAAACCAAACAAACTGAGAACTATTTCTAGAAATATAAAGTGTATAATATTGAAATAGTTTGGAATTATTAAATATAGAAAACACTAATAAGTAATTTTATTAATGCTGTTAAAAATTCAAAAATTATAGTGTAAGACGGAGAAGGAGAGGGTCCTTTTTATCAGTTGACTCTTTCATCTACCAGAATGTTGGCTTCTCTAGTGCTCTAGTCCTGGTCACTCTCTTATGCCTTCAAACATACAGTTTTGTTTCTCTTTTTTCAGCTTTGCTACTTGTTCTTGACAAGAAAATTGGTCTTACATATTAGCTAATCCCTCATAGAGGAAAGCATATGGAGTTTTCTGAAATGTAAAGATAAAATATTAATTATAAAATGACTTGAAAACTTGAAATATATAAATAAACATGCACAATAAAAGCTTCTAGTGTAATAATGAATGAAATTGAGTAATTCATTTAACGTGAATCAGATACATTTCTAATGCACACAGGGAAAAAAATCATATTCTCATTATTTTAAGCTACATCATATTTTCCCCTCAAGGCATTTGTGGATCATAAAAAGAATACTACATAATAATAAAATAGAATTTGTAGCCATTTTAGATATGTATGCCCAGAGCAAAATAGTCTCAAAATACATAAATATTTTCAAATGTTGAAACAAACTTGAACACCTGGAATAAATCCCACTTGACCATGCTGTATAATTATTCTTATGTATTGTTGAATGTGATTTGCTAATATTTTTTTGAGGATTTTCATGTCTATGTTAAGACAGACATTACTATGTAGTTTTTTGTTCTTCACCTAGTTTGAGTATTAGAGAAATACTTACCTTATAGAGTGGATTACAAAATGTTTCCTCTGCTTCTATTTTCTGTAAAAATTGTAGAAAATTTACACCATTTCTTCCCTAAATGCTTGCTAGAATTCACCAGCAACCCCGTCTGGGCCTGGTGATCTCTGTTTTAAAAGGCTGTTAATCATTGATTCAATGTTTTGAGCAAGTAGTACATTCTGCTTGTGTGGTGACCAGAGTAAAGTTAAAAGTTTATACACTTGCCAGCATTCCTCCCCACACAGCTCTACTGATGGTCTGTTCTGGTTACCAGATACTTGTTTTGTTTCACGGTTGGACGCTCCTAGAGTCTGGGCAGGAAGTTGTAGTCCGCAGGTTTCCACCAGAGGAAGAGCTGCAGTGGCCACTGGATCTATGGAAGGTCTACCAATGACCACAAAAGCTCTTTCCAGCTACTCGTATGGCCACTGCATGGTGTGCTGGTGGTGTCATTTGAATTACGGACACAAGGCTAAGTCTGTTTGGGATTCCCTTGAAAATTTTGGTGTGTGCTGCTTTGTTTTTATTGTGAAGAGCCAACATGACTATGAAGGGAAAGGAGGTAGCACAGAGACTTGCTGACTGAGTTAAAGAGAGAAATGTAAAGACAGCGGGAATATTAGACTCATTAATAAAGCTTTTGAGTTGGCCGGGTGCCGTGGCTCACGCCTGTAATCCCAGCACTTTGGGAGGCTGAGGTGGGCGGATCACGAGGTCAGGAGATCGAGACCATCCTGGCTAACAGGGTGAAACCCCGTCTCTACTAAAAACACAAAAATAAAATAAAAATTGGCATGGCTGCGTGCGCCTGTAGTCCCAGCTACTCGGGAGGCTGAGGCAGGAGAATCACCTGGGCCGCGGAGATGGAGCTTATAGTGAGCTGAGATCGTGCCACTGCATTCCAGCCTGGACAACAGAGGGAGACTCCTCAAAAAAAATAAAAATAAAAATAAAAAAAATAAAGCCTTTGAGTTATCTAGTCACTTGCAGTGGTGGTCAGTCCTCTGATGTTACAAACTCTGTGTTTGGCAATACCTACTAATGGTACAGACAGGTCCATCTTTTCACTGGGGGATACAGAAGAGCCTCATGACCAAGAACAGAAGAGCCAATTCCACAAAATTTTATTTCCCGGAGTGATAATGGCTCGTCGGAGTGAAAGATAGACACAGTCATTCGAAAGAGGCATCACAATCCCAACAGTGCCAAGGAACTGAGGCCAAAATATATTAATGTCATTTCAGAAGACTATAGGACAATATCAGAGAAAAGTTATTAATGGTTTTGATAAAAAATGTTCAGCTTCAAGAAGCTCTTTGTCCGAGAAGCTGCTGGAAGAAAAGAATGTGGGACCTAAAGGGACAGAAAATGTGTTAGAAAACATCAAAACACAAAGGGAAAAAGAGGCCAATTGTAAAGAGAATCAGTAAAAATCTCTAATGGACTCTGCGCTGAAGATGATAAACTTATCTTCTCCTTTTAGAGAAGATTACACAGATGATGACAAATTGACATCTCCTTTTAGAGAAGATTACACAGATGATGACAAATTGACATTAGACAAAAAGGGTTTCAGAAAATGGAAACCAAGATTATCAGTCAAATATCAATTTGAAGAAGCTCGTTAATGCTGTTAATTTAAATATTTTCTTTAAAAAAAAACTTAAAAGAGAAAAACAAGCAGTATTTTAAGAATTCCCAATTAGAGCAGTGCAGTGAGAAATGCACTATTTAAAATTGAGATTCAAAAGCTTCCTTTGAAACTCCAGACACTGCTTGAACTAAATCAAGAATGTGAAATCAAACTTTGCAGAAAATCAATGGAGGAGGAAATGTATCACTTAGAAATAGAGGAGAAACTTCCCAAATTATATGAAAGCATCATCCTTTTACATCAAAACCCTGACTCCTATGGGAAGATGTCTGAAGGCTTGGAGAAACAATTGGACAGTTTCATTTAATCAAAGGTGGATCATCTCTCATGAGAAAATAGCTCAAGAAAGCTTGTTAGCTGTTGTTATGACCAAGAGAGTGCAATGATCTAAGAAAACAAGATGGTCACAACATGCAAAAATTGTCTGAATTAGAGTTTGAAATCCAACTTTTCCCAAGTGACCTCTTTGCACCTACTGTTCCACGTGTAGCCCAGTGTGGTGGCCAGAGAGTATCAGGTCGGCTCCTGAATCTTCAGGTTCCCTGAGGAGTAGGAGGGGTGAGATGTGATAGCTCAAGGATGCAGAGTGATGTGCAGATTTGACTGAGGTTTCCAGCAGCTAAATCCTGAATATCCACATACTTAGCCAGATATCTGATATATTGTATCCATTTAAATTAATTCTGATTGACACCTTTTGATTTAACTTCTTACTTAATTGATGCTGCATTTTCTCTATTGAACTTTTATGTATTAATAATGATAAAATATTGTTTTCAGAATATAGATGGTTTCAATATAGTTCTTAAGAGCATATTATTTCATTTTATCATACTTTCTAGAATTGGATCATATAAGTATTGCACTTTAACTTACTTAAACTATAATTGAAGTTGAACCCAATCAGGAAACAATGGAAACATTAAAGATCTTTTCCATATGCTGTGAGATGTGATAACAAAAAGTAATATTTACCTCAATAACTGTTGATTGTTGTTAAACACGTCAAGAAAACAAAGAAGCTAAATTAAACACAACCAAATCCCCAGCCTAATTTGTAAATACTTGTGTTTATTTATTCCTAATTTTATAAATTAAGTTTAGGAAGTTGATAGTGTTGTAACTGAGCGAGTTAGAAAAACGCCACACTTTGAGATGAATTAAGAGTCCTTTATTAGCCGGCGACCGAGAGACGGCTAACGCTCAAAATTCTCTCAGCCCCGAGGAAGGGGCTTGATTAACTTTTATACCTTGGTTTAGGAAGGGGAGCGGGTGGGGTGGGGGGGTGGCGGTCTAGTTAAAACAATTTTACAGAAGTTAAGTAGTCAAAAAGTTAAAAGGATAAATGGTTACAGGAAAGTAAACAGTTCCAGGTGCAGGGGCTTTAAGACTATTACAAGGTGATAGACGCGGGGCTTTGGGTGTTATCAATCAGACGAATTCTTGGGGACTGCGGATATAGCTTGCCACAGTATCTTATCAGTTAATTGCATTCTTGGGTGTGCTGGGAGTCAGTTTGCACAAGTTAAGTCCTTGAGGAAGGGGCTGCCAGTGAAGGAGCCAAGATGGAGTCTGTCTGGCTCTCTTAGTTAAGGGAGAGTCAATGCAGGTGGAAACAAGGCTAGATGATTAAAGGAAAAGGGACAGTCTAAAAACAGGGTTAGTAAAAACAAGGTTGGGCATTACAATAGTTGTTGATATGGTTTGGCTCTGTGTCCCTACCCAAATTTTGTCTTGAATTGTAATCCCTGTGTGTCTGGGAGAGACTTGGTGGGAGGTAATTGGATCAAGAGTCCTGAGGCAACCCCTGCCATGAGAAACTGTGAGTCAATTAAACCTGTTTTCTTTATAAATTATGCGTCTGAGGTAGTTCTCTGCAGCAGTGTAAAAACAGACTAAAACAGAAAATTGGCACCAGGAGTGAGGTGCTGCTATAAACATAACCATAAAATGTGGAAGGGCCTTTGAAGCTGGGTAATGGGCAGAGGTTTGAACAGTTTGGAGGGCTAAGAAGAGGACAAAAAGGTGAGGGAAAGTTTGGAACTTCCTAGAGAGTTGTTAAATTGTTTTGATCAAAATGCTGATAGTGATGTAGACAATGAAGTCCTGGCTGAGGTGGTCTCAGATGGAGATGAGAAACTTATTGGGAAATGGAGCAGAGGTTACTCTTGCTATGCTTTAGCAAAGAGACAGGTGGCATTTCCCCCCTGCCCTAGACATCTGTGGAACTTTAAGCTTGAGGGAGATGATTTAGGGTATCTTGCAGAAGGAATTTCTAAGCAGCAAAGCATTCAAGGGGTGACCTGGCTTTTTCTGAAAGTGTACAGTCATATGCACTCAGAAAAAGATTATCTGAAACTGGAACCTATGTTTAAAAGGGAAGCAGAAGATAAAAGTTTGGAAAATTTGTAGCCTGACCTTGCAGTGAAAAGAAAAACCCATTTTCTGGGGAGAAGTTCAAGCCATTAGCTGTAGAAATTTACATAACTAAAGAGAATCTAAATGTCAATAGCCAAGACAATGTGGAAAATGTCTCCAGGGCATTTCAGAGATCTTCATGGCACCCCATCCCATCACAGGCCCAGAGGCCTAAAAGGGACAAATGGTTTTGTGGGCTAGGTCCAGGGCCTCACTGCTCTGTGCAGCCTCAGGACATGGCACCCTGTTTCCCAGACTCTCTAGCTCCAGCTGTGACTAAAAGGGGCCAAGGTACAGCTCAGGCCATTGCTTCAGAGGATGTAAGCTCCAAGCCTTGGCAGCTTCTGTGGGGTGTTGGCCCTGTGGATGCACAGAAGACATGAGTTGAGCTTTGGAAGCCTTCACCTAGATTTCAGAGAATGTATGGAAATGCCTGGGTGTCCAGGCAGAAGTCTGCTGCAGGAGAGAAGCCTTCATGGAGAAGTTCTACTAGGGCAATGCAGAGGGGAAAATGTAGGGTTGAAGCCCTCACACAGAGTCCCAACTGGGTCACTAACTACTGGAGTGATTAGACAAGGGCCACCATCCTCCAGACCCCAGAATGGTAGATCCACTGACAGCTTGCACCATGCACCTGTATAAGCCACAGAAATGGCCGGGCATGGTGGCTTGTGCCTGTAATCCCAGCACTTTGGGAGGCCGAGGCAGGTGGATCATCTGAGGTCAGGAATTTGAGACCAGCCTGGCCAACATGGTGAAACCCTGTCTCTACTAAAAATATAAAAAAATTAGCCAGGCATGGTGGTGAACACTTGTAATCCCAGCTACTTGGGATGCTGAGGCAGGAGAATCACTTGAACCCAGGAGGCAGAGTTTGCAGTGAGCCGAGAGTGCACCATCGCACTTCAGCCTGAGTGATACAGTAAGACTATGTCTAAAAAAAAAAAAAGAAAAGAAAGAAAAAGAAAAAAAGCTACAGAAACTCAACTCCAGCCCAAGAAAGCAGCTGTGGAGGCAGTACCCTGCAGAGCCACATGGGTGAAGCCCACCTCTTGTATTGAGCATGCCCTGGATATGAGACATGGAGTCAAAGGAGATTATTTTGGAGCCTTAAGATTCAATGACTACTCTGTTGGGATTTAGACTTGCAACAGGGCTATTGCCCATTGGTTTGGGCCAATTTCTCCCATTTGGCATGGGAGAATTTACCCAATGCCTGTACCCTGTGGACACTAATGTCCCCCAGAAGCCCTCTTTATTTTCAACCCACATGCATGCAATCAAAAGTAACTAAGTTGCTTTTGATTTTACAGGTTCATAAGCAGAAGGGACTTCTCTTGTCTCAGATGGGAATTTGGATTTGGAGTTCAGGGGACTGTTGAGAAGGAATAATTGTATTTTGCAATGTGAGAAGGACATGAGTTTTGGGAGGGGCAAGGGATGGAATGATATGGCATGGCTCTGTGTTCCTACCCGAATCATCTTGAATTGTAATCCCCCTGTGTCAAGGGAGGAACCTGGTGGGAGGTAATTTCACGTGGGGGTGGTTCCCCCATGCAGTTCTGGTGATAGTGAATGGGTTCTCAGGAGAACTGATGGTTTGAAAGTGTGGCACTTCCCTTTGCTCTTTCTCTCTCCTGCCACCATATAAGGCATAACTTGCTTCCCCTTCACCTTTGGCCATAATGGCAAGTTTGCTGAGGCCTCCACAGCCATGCAGAATAGTGAGTCAATTAAACCTCTTTTCTTTATAAATTACCCAGTCGCAAGTAGTTCATTATAGCAGTGTGAGAATAAACTAATACAGTTGGCAACCATTTGTTTCTTATTTTGTTTGTTCTTTATAAGCTTTGTTTTGCTGTTTATAATATTGTTTACTGTTTAAATATTTCTAATTTGTATGCATCCAGAATAAAAGATAATTTGATTGCATGACTCCTGCGCTTCATTTTTGACTTAGAAACAATCTTCTTAATCTTTTTTTCAAAACTTCTGTTTCTCTCTGGTATATTTATGGTACAATTTTTTACATCAAACGTTTGATCTTATTCTGCTTTGCATAAGAAAGAAATGATAAATCCAACATCATTTTTCCTGAAATCTTTATGAAGTTTTTCTGAGAAGGATAACGAGACAGTTTGTGCTCTCTAATTAGTTAACATGTCACTTTGGCCAGGTATTAAATTCCCATATGGTTTTAGATCTATTACTACTGCTTTTTAACAGTGATCATAGAGTTTTTAAAACCTCAAAAGGATAGTGAGCTCCTCATTTAATTTTTTTTTTCTTTTTACATTTCTCTTGGTTGCTTAATATTTCCTATGACTATAATAAAATTCGGTCAAGTTCTCACCTCAGTCCTCAAAACACAAAATGTATAGATTAATTTAGGAGAGTTGACATTTGTCTAATGTCTTCCTATCTAAGGACAAGCACATTTAATACTTACTCATGCTGTAATTTATATACTAGAGTTTTCCTCATCTATGAACTTCACATTTATTTTTAGGGTTGTTGGTAGGCCTTTAAACTTAATCATAAGTATTTAATATTTTGAGATGTTAATACATATTTTCTTCATTCTATATTTTCCCTTTTTCTTCTCTTTTTCATTATGCACTGAGTATAAAGCCTGAGGAAGTGGATATGATGGGAAGATAAATCCAAAATGTCCAGAATATTCTTGCCATTTATGTGGCAAATCTTAAACCCTAGGATGGAGAGAGGATTTGGAGAGTAAAGAATGTGCCTCGATAAGAAAGATGGCAATAGTAGAATGCTCCTCTTCAACTACTACTTCACAAAAACACAGAAACACATGTACATGCCCCATTCAGACTCCTCTAGAATCTGAGAAGACAGATGAAAGAGAGGCGGGGCTGGATTTTCTAATGTTCATTCTATTTCCAACCTTATTTGGGACACTTAGAAACTGTCTTCAGCAGCAGGCTGAGGGACCTAACAATCCTGATTGATTAAGACAATGTCACAGGAGATCATAGAAGCAGATTTTGCTTTCCTGACAAAACTTTGGCAATACAAGGTCACTCCCTTAATAACCACACATACTAATGTCCCCCAGAAGCCCTCTTTACTTTCAACCCACATCCATGCAAAAAATTCAATTTCTTATAATCATGGTATGTTTTTTCATTAACCCCCACCCCCTGTGATTTTGTGGAGTCCTTTGAAACCAGAAATGCTTCCACATCCCTTGATTTTGTCATTTCAGGAGAGAGGTAATGAGCCCATGCTTCAGTTGCTGCAATTTTTACAGAATTCCATAGGGTTCTCAAAATGTAGAGAAATATGTTTCTCTTGAACTCTTCCCTTAATTTAGTCTATATTGTACTAAGTTTGGGATGTAGTTTCATAGTATAAGACTTAGGATTGCAGTTGTTTCCAGGTTTGATTTTTTTTTTTTACTTTTATAAACATTTAAGGTCAAATATATCACACAATATAAAAGTTAAGAGTGAGTATACAGTCAGTAATTACAAAGTGATCTCCTCTATCACAGCATGATGGCCAAAAAAAAAGTATCTGTAGTATTCCCAAGAGCCACCTTCCATGGCTTGCAGGACCAGGTAGCTTAACGACATGACATTTTGTTTTCTTAATATGAATCATTAATAAGGCTGGTGTTTTTTAATATATATTTTATATTAACATGGAATTTACACACAAAACCTTTCACGCTTTCTGTGTATAGTTCTGTGGATGCTGAGAAACGTGTACAGTTGCGTATCCACTACCACAACCAAGATATGGAACAGTTCGTTTATATTCTAAAAATAAACCCATCTCCTTCAAAATTGTCTCTCCAGCTCGTGGTCTCTGGCATCCATACATGGGTTCCATGTTCCCACAGTATTGCTACTGTAAGAACATCATGTAAATGGAATCAAACAGCATGTAGCATTTGAGTCTGACTTCTTTTACGTGAGTTTATCCATTTGTTGCATGTGTTAGCGCTTTGTTCTTATTATGAGCAGTACTCCATTTTACAGGTGTACCACAGTTAATTTAACGCTTCATCACTTAAAAAATATTTGGCAAGTTTCCAGTTTGAGGGGATTAGAAATATAGGTACTATAAATATATGTTTATGAAGGTAATGCCAAGTAGGCTGGATCATAACATAAATAAATGTTAATTAGACATTACCAGATTGTTTTCTAAACTGGGTATTTTGCATTTCTTCTACCAATGTATGAATTGTCCAGTTTTGCATTCTTGCCAGCACTTGAGGTTTTTTCCTTTTTAAAGAAGCTATTCTAATAGGTATATGTTATATACATGTGGTTTTCACTTGCCAAGTGACTAAGAGATTGAGCATTTTTATATTCTTGTCATATATATGATGTCTTCCTTGGTGAGATGTGTTTAACTCTTTTGCCTACTTTTTCATTACTTTCTTAGGAGTGTTCGAGAGTTGTTTGTATATTCTGCACACAAGTCCTTTATCAGGCATATGATTTGAAAATATTTACTCTAATTTTTTGCATTGAGTTTTCAATATCTTAGTAATTTTCACAGAGAAAAAGTTTATTTGATAAAGTACAAATTATTCTCTCTTTCTACATATCTATATAAATATATATAGATATGTAATGTATAATGATGAAAATCAATTGAGCATATATTCGTGTGAACGTGTTTCTGGACTCACTCCTCTGTTCCATGCATCTCTCTCTCTATGTATACGTACATCCTTTTCAAAGACCACCTGATGTTGAGTACTATTATTGGTTCATGTTAAATCTGAAAATATGGCAGCAAGAATTCTCCAACTTAGTTTTCATTTTAAAAATTATTTCAACTATTAGAGTTCCTTTGTCTTTCCATATAATTTTAATAATAAATTATTAATTTGCCCACAAAATCCTGTTGGAAAATTTTTTTATAATTTTATTGACTCTACAGAAGAGTATGAACAACTGTAGGCTGTGAGAGGTAGGCTCTATAGAATCACGACAACAGAGTGACCTCTCCTCCCAGGCAGAAGATGTGATTAATTTGTTTGAATTGAGTGGGTAGCAGGTAACTAAAACCTGCTAGTCAGAGATGAGTTCATACAATAAGATATTATTTAGCCTTAACAGAGAAGCAAATCCTGTCATTGGTGACAACATGGATGAAGCTGGAAAACATTATGCTAAATGAAATAAGACAGACACATGACAACACGATTCCATTTATACGAGGTATCTACAATAGTCAAACTCAGAAGCATCAAATGGTGAATGCCAAGGACAGTGGGTAGGAGGAAATGGGGAGTTAGCCAATAAATAAAAGTTTCTGTTATGCTAGATGAGTAAGTTCTAGAGATCTGTTGTACAACATCGTGCCTATGTCTAACAATACTTTATTGCACACTTAATTTATTAAGAGAGTAGATTTCATGTCAAGTGTTCTTGTTTTAAAAAAAGGCAAAAAGAAACATTTGGAGGTGATGTATATGTCTATTTCCTTAATTTTGGTGACAGTTTCACAGGTGTGTGCATATGTCCAAGTCATGGAATTGTATACATAATTTATGTGCAGTCTCTGAGAGAGAAAGAGAGAACCCAAGCCTAAACAGGAACTGTGCCTAGTTCCTCTGAAAAGAAGGGTGGCTTGGCTGTGGACCTTATCTTTGGGAGGAGGGGTCAGAGGAGAATTTGCAGTTAGGACATCGTGGCATACCTATTTATTCTCTATTTTATATTCAGCGTTTTTTCTTAAAATTATAGGAGTTGTCATGTTTAACTTTAGTGGAATCTTCAATTATAACTATAATTTGAATCCTAGTATTAATTAAAGCTGTGAAGGTTTGTGCAAAATGCTATTAGTGCATTTTAGTAGATGGTAAAGTTAATTTGGAACCTATGTTGTAGAGGTGCAAAAGCTAATCAACTCCCTTTTATATTTTTGTTGTACAAATTATTTTAGTAAAGTTTGGATTTCCAGTTGGGTCAATGTGTGCACCTATTTTTTCTAGTTTTTTTGTTTTCTCCTTCTTTATCGAGGTTTCTTCCTCCTTTCCCCTCGTCTTTCATTCCTTCCTTTCTCTTTTTGTTGTCCATGTTTGTCACTGTATTTACACGAGTGTGTGTGGGGTGCAGGGTTCCTTTCTACTCCACTCATACTGATAAATGTATTCCTCCAGAGAGCCTCAAATCAGTATCATTGTGGTTAGAGACTTCTTTGGTGGCAGTAGTTGCTTTATAGGGATGAAGGACCTCGAGCTTAAGTCAAACTAAAATGAACTCTTATTGTGCCTCAGTGGTGTCTGGGGTGTTTTCCCTAATACCCAGAGAATCAGGATGTTTGTTGCAAGAGAGACAAAGGCAGCAGAGTGGCACAGTTAGAGTGCTGGGCTCATAAACCAGATATTGATGCACTGTAACCATCTTCTGCTATGGCCTCGCCTTTTCTGCAGTGCAGGCTTCCTTTTCTTCCTCTCTTTTCTCTCTGTACACATTCCTTCAGAGTATTTTGAATTTCTAATCACATAAATCATGACTTTTAGTTTCTATTTCTGTCTGATTATTCAGGGTGCAAAGTGCATTGTGGGTGGTTACAGGGAAAAACCCAGGAGCCCAACAGTTGCCCTCATGAGTGCCTCCCTCCTTCTCCAGGGAGTGCCAGTCAATCTTCCCAGGTAAGAGCTTCACAGTCATAATTTCATTTTGTCTTGCTGGGGGTGGCAGCCATCGAGCTTGTGACTGCAAGATTATTCCTTTGGTCTGCTGGTAAGCAGCACTACTAAGCAAAGCCTAGACACACTGGCTAGGGGTTGTGCATTCTCCTTCCCCTTTTCTCATCAGTGTCTGCGCCACAGGTTTCCATGGTTGGGCACCTCATTACCCTGGGAGGTCAGGGAACAACACAGGACAACAGCAAAAGAAGCAGAAGCACCGAAGATGAGCAAAGCCACTACCCTTGCCTGAACATCAATGGCTCACATTAGGCAATGAAGTGCCACACTTAATTCTCTCTGGAGTGGTGGTCACCTTCATTCACACAAGCCTCACAAAGGTCCATTACTGGTCCTATCCCCACCTATCCACCATCCCATTCTGTTGGGCCATTCTGTTTGTAATGCCAATTGATATGGCTGTCCCAAACTGCCACTGACCATCACCAGGACAGATGCAGTGAGCAAAGAGCTCCAGTCTGTCCTCTGTTTAGTGGGACTCAAGCACAGGTTAGTCAAGGCCCTGTGTTATCACTGCCTTTCTGACTTGCCAAACATGTGCTCAGTCTGACATTAGGCTATGTTAAGGTATAGTCAATTAATAACAATTCTGGTCTTAGGGAGAAGAGTGTTTTAGGGTGGGAATTGATGGAAAAACTCAAAAAAGGTAACAAACTGCACAGACAAAAGCATAAACCGACCAGTAATTGGCGATTCTGTCTCTAAAGGCTTCACCGTATCACAGAACAAGTTAGTTAGCAAAGAACAGTTAATTAAAGCTGACCAGGTGTCCTAGGTTATGGTTGGGCCATCCTGTTCATTATGCCAATTGTTTTAATTGCCTCAAATTCTTCCCATTGGTGCGGGATGGATTTCACCCTAGGGTTAAGCAGATGGCCAAACACATGCCACCTGACACTGGACAGATGCGATCTACAGCACTTTGTTAGTCACGTATACTCACAGCCTGTGGGAGGAGGACCTGCTTGCCACACAGGGTTTACACTTGGGAATGGAGTGAACAGGCAGGGTCTGTGGGAGGCAGGCTTTGTAGTATCAAGAAGGTGAGATGACCCCTTGTTTCCACTAAAGGATGTGATTGACCTGTTTGAATAATTCCGTGGGCTGGCAGGGAAATGAAATCCCCTATTCAGAGATAAGCAGGAATTCTGCCTGGTCCCCTAGACTAGGAAACTTATAGAAAGGGGAACTTGCAGTTAAGCCATGCAAGTCTTTATTTTACCAAAATGTTATGACGGCACATATGAATAGTTTTTTGGGTCTTATATCTGGGTCCTGCACCACATATATGTTCTGTCCATTTTTGCTGAATATATTTTGAAACTCTGTTCTTAGGTACATTAACATGCATGTCTACTTCCTCTTCTTGAATCATGGATCCATTTATCATAAATATTTGAAAATCATATATTTGATAGGGGATTTGTATCCAGAATGAATAAAGAAACAAGAAAAAGACAAATAACCAAGTTTAAAAATGAACAAAGGGTTTGAATAGACATTACTCCAAAAAGAGCCAATAAGGACATGTTCAACATTTGATTAATCACACCAATGCCAATCAGAATCACAAGGAGATATCAATTCACACACTCTCGGGTGACTATAATCAAGAAGAAAAAGTACTAAGTTTTGGAGAGGATGTGGAGAAGTCAGAACACTCATAAATTGCTGTGAGGATGTCAGACAGTGCAGCCACTTTGGAAAACACTTTGACAGTTACTCAAAAGGGTATGCTTAGTTAGCATAAAACCAAGCAGTTTTACTCCTAGGTATATACCCAAAAGCAAGGGGAAAATATATGCAAACAAGAACTTATACATGATTGTTAATAGCAGCATTATTCATATTAACCAAAAAATTGAAACAATCCAGCTATCTACCAGCTGATATATATATTAATAGTTAAATACAATTTGGTATATCCATACAATGTGATATTATTGGGTAATAAAGAGAAAATAATTAGTGATACATGCCATGACATAGATAAACCTTGAAGACATTAAAATGATAAGATTCCAGTCACAAAAGATCATAATTTGTATGATTTAAATTAGACGAAATGTCTAGAATAGGGAAGTCCACACATTTGGAAAGTAGATTCATGGTTGTTTAAGTTTGGAGGAGTTGAGGATAAATGGGGAGTGACCGCTAATGGATATGGGGTTTCTTTGTAGAATGATGAATATGTTCTGAAATTGACTGTAGTGATAATTATATCACTCTAGAAGGATACTGAAAACATTGAATTGAGTACTTTAAATGTGTGAATTGTATGGTGTGTGAGTTATGCCTCAATAAAGTTGTTATATTAAACAAACAGATGCCTGCCTCTCTACAAAGAAAACAGCAGACTAGAGGACTTCATTGGTAAGTCAAGAAGTACCAAATTTACACAAGATATTCCATGTGATAGAAAAAAAAAAGAGTACTCAAACATATTTTATGAGGCCAGCATAATATTGATATCAAAACTGACAAAGGCTGTGAAAGAAAGAAAAGTTGCAGGTGGATCTTCTCATGAACATAGATATTAAGATCCTTGCCAACAAAATCCAAAACATAAAAAAGGCATAATACATCAAAACCAAGTTGGGTTTATTTCAGGGATACAGGCAGATGCTAACAGTCAAAAATTAGTGTACTTAAAGCCCCTCCCAAGTGCTGGCAGACCACTGCACATGCGAACAGCTCACCCAAGGAAACATCCAGGGAGGAGAGACACAAATCTCCAGAACCATGCCGGGAGGAGAGACACAAATCTCTGGAACCACGCCAATATATAAAACCCCAACTAAAGGGCTGAACAGCACACTTGGATCTCTCAAGTTGCCCGATTGGCTCTCTTCCAACTGTGCTTTACTTCATTTCATTCTTGCTCTAAAACTTTTTCATAAACGTTCAGTTCTGCTCAAAAACTTGCTTCGGTCTCTCACTCTGCCTTATGCCCCTCAGACAACTTATTTCCTTTGAGGAGGCAAGAATTAAGTTGCTGCAAACCTGTGTGGGTTCACTGCTGTTAACACTAACACAGATGTTTTATTAGGATTTATTTTTGACATTTCAATAGGTTTTCTCAAAAAGATCATAGAAAATTCCAAGTATTCCATCATCCATCTTGACCTATGTATTTCATTATTATACAGTTGTTATCTAAAAATATGACTGCTGCACAAATTAATTTTAGAATCATGATAAAATTCCTGATTCTCAACTGTTGACTAATGGTCAATAGAATAACAAAAGATAGAGTGAAACTGTCTATATTCTTTAAAAACATTAATGACTTTCCCTGGTTATTGGGAGCTTTTATTAACATGAGCTTCACACTAAACATTTTTTCATGGCTAATAGAATTAAGCATCTCATATTTTATAAAACAAAACTTTCAGTATAGTATGTCTAATTTGTGTACCTATTGATTTAAGCTTTGGAATTTACTATGAATACAGCCAAATATAAGTGAGCATATCCTGAACATTATGAAGTGCATTTATGCATTTTTATGAATCGGCTGCTTTCTTAGCTGGTTGCATAACCTCCATAAAATTGAATACCTGAAGAATTTAAATAGCAAATAATTGACTTTCCACTCATTTATTGCTACTACTCCTCATTTCTGTTTTCTTGGCACTAAATAACCTAAGCTTAGAAGCATGTATCGAGTAGTTTTCACGTAAATGGAAAATTGACATTGTTTGCTAAAAGAGAGCACTAGCCAGTTATAATAAAAATATTGGACTGCCCTACTTGTTAAATATAAATGTTATATGTTCTCATTCAAACACCCTTTAATATTCTTGGTTCTCTATCTCCATTGTCACTATCCCACTTTAACTCCAGTTATTTTCTTGCTGGATCCATATACAGCCTCCTATCTGTTCTACTTACATCCACCCAACACAATTCCAATCATTTTCCATACAGTAGTCAGAGAGATCCTAATAATGGGACAAATAAATTATGTCATTTTTCTGCTTAAAACTCTTCAAAGTTTGCCCAGTGTTTCCACCCTTTTCATTATCTCTCTTCCACTCACTGTGGTTTTCTTTTAAACAGCTTCTTCATTGAGATAAGACTCTAATGTGTTTGGAGTCTTTACATGTACACTATTTCCTCTGCTTAGAAAATACTTGGTCTTTTACTTCACAACCAGATTAGTTTCACATTTATATTTTATTCTTTATTCATTCAGGAAACATATTTATCATGTACAATGTGCCAGGTAACTGTGATAATACTGGGGAGTAACTTCAGACATGCGCCCTGGCCCTCAACAATACTATAGTCCAAGGACCAAAAAAACAAACAAACAAACAAAAAGCAGCAAATTATTGCACAAATTAACTTGCAATTCTGAGAAAGTGTTCCAAAAGAAAAGCATGTGGTGGTATGAAAACATATCCTAACAGTGTAATAAAGAGATTTCATCTAACTATAGAGGACAAAGAAACTTTCCAGGGAGAAAGGATGATTAGCTGACCTGTGAATGAGTAGCAGTTGACTAGGCAAAGTGAAGGAAACTGCAGCAGGAAGGGTGAGATCAAGAGTGAAGACCTGAATTTCCCTTCCTAGTGGAAGGCCTCCCAGACACCCCAGATGACAACAAAGTGCCCTTGCAAAGTAGATCCCTTGCAATCTGCTCTCCTCTTGATCTTCTCTGTCACGTAGTTCCATTTCATTTTCTGTATTGCTCCCCATCATTGACATTCATCTACTTTGTGGCTTGTAATAATGGCTGTTCCAAGTTCCTTGTTTACAAAGATTAACATCTAGAACAGAAATATACTCCTCTTTCCTTCCCCGACCCCCAGAGGCAAATTCCAGGGAAGGGCATTGATTGACCCTGCTGGGTCACAGGCTTGGGCATTATTGTTGGCTATCCCTGGATTCTGTGATCACTACTGTACCCAGGGTCAGGGCTTTTTGTCAGAAGGTGCACAGGGGAGAATCATGCTGAACAACAAGAAACAATCACTGTGACGATTCTCAACCACACTCAAATTTTAGCCCCCTCCACTAATTTTTTTTACTCTCATTTACTTATTTGAGAGTACTTCACTTTGAAAGGTGGTTCAGTCTTCTTTAAATATTTAGAAAAATGACAAGCTTAAAGAAGTCTAAGAAACCATTTACAATGTGACTAATGTAAACTTTTTTTTTTGTATTAGTAAAGTTGTTATAGTGGAATACTTGAAAGTATATCACATGCTAGAATTCGGAAGCATTTTATAACCACAAGAGAATTAGAAAATTTTAAGCCAGTTGTTTCAGCTTTCATAAGAGCTAAACCTTTTTCTGTACTCACTCATAAGGTAAGAATTGATTGTATTAACTTTTCCATTATACTGAAAATTACGATCTCACCCATGAAAGCCCTCAACACCTGGAAAATTCCTCCAAAGAGGAAATAATGCATCTAACATGGAAATATTTCACCATCCTCGATAAAATGTAATATGGATGAAAATATAAGTGAATAAAATAAACAGTTTATAGTAAACTCACCAAGTTGGAATGTTAACTGTTATTTTAAGAGCTGCCAATCTACGTTGCATATCATAATAAATTCCAGAGTAGAGAGTGGTGTTTTGCTTTATCGTTTGGGATCCCCGGGACTCATTCAAGGGTACAAAGAAAATAAACCCATAGTCCTAAATTATCTATAGTAATATGTTTGTCTCTATGTATGCTAAAATTATATATAGCAACAATTTCATTTAATGAGAGTGAGCATTTACAAATTTATTGAATGCTTACTCTATGCATGGCACTGTTCTCAGTATTTGGGATATGTCAGTGAATAAAGTCAAGTCCTCTGAACTTAAAGAATTTATGTCCTAGAAAGTTCTAGTAATTATTTATATTAATAGTTATGTGAAAATTTCAAAGATGTCTCACAATGTAAGGAGTAAGGAATCTAGGATGGCATGCTCCTCAGACCCTACAAATAGGAATTTATCTTGGAGAAATCAGTGTGTTTCATACACTGGCTTTGATCCAGATAGATTAAGAAATCTGACATTGAGCACATCAAATGGCAGGATGTCTCTCACAGGTAGAATCAATTAGCTAAGTTTACAGACGTCAGTGACTATAACAAAAATACTAATTTATTGGCTTACATTGATAACTATGAAGGCTGTTATTCAGGGACTAAACAACTTTATGCCTTCTTTATGTCTGTAAATAGTTTCTGAGAAAAGCCAAACTGTAATAAGAAAATTGCTTGTAGAGCACGATACTAACAACATTGGAGCTGAAAATAGGTTTCAAATGTTTGCAATATCAGGCTGAACATATATGCTAATGTGAGCATTCTATGAAATATCTAGCTCCAAATTTCTGTTCAAATTATTTTGCCTTCTCTGATATTACCCTAAAATCCGCCCATAGAGAAACAGAGATGCTCATACTTCTCTGTGGCTGATTATAAAAAGAGCACTCTGATTGTCTGATTAGAAACATTATATCCCAGTCTTCCCGTTGATTTTGCCTCAAATCCACCAACTTGGGAAAATAAACGGAAAAACGTGCAGAAAACACACTTGTCTCTGCTTTTGTTAATTGCATGATCTTCCTCCTTCCCAGGTGACCTGTCTTAGCAAACATAACACTGGATTTCAATTTATAACTCCCTTTCTCTAAATAGACAATGATATTCTCAAATGACTTTTTTTTTCTACATGGTAAGCTCTCAGTCTGTGACACTCTCTGTTTCTGGAGTTACTCTCTAAAGCTGCGTTTTATGCAGTCTTAATGATATTCCTCACTTCTTCCCCACCAACCACAAGTATATTATTTTAAACTGTCCCTTGTCTGCTCGCTGTAAACATCTGTTTTTTATTTGTTTGTTTGTTTTGAGACGTATTCCTGCTCTGTCGCCCAGGCTGGAGTGCAGTGGTGTGATCTCAGCTCACTGCAACCTCCGCCTCCCAGGTTCAAGTGATTCTCCTGTGTTCAAGTGATTCAGCCTCCTGAGTAGCTGGGACTACACGTGTGCCACCGCACCTGGCTAATTTTTGTATTTTTATTAGAGAAGGGGTTTCACCATGTTGGCCAGGTTGGTCTTGAACTCCTGACCTCAAGTGATCTGCCTGCCTCAGCCTCCCAAAGTGCTGGGATTACAGGCATGAGCCGCCGCACCTGGCCTGTAAATGGCTCTTTAAAATTGTTTGGCCTTTCATGCTCCTGGTGCATCCTCTGTAGATGAGTTTATTAACTTTCTTACTCATTTCCCCAATTGCTGTGTCCTGTGTCTCCATGAGGAGTTGTAAGTCTGGTTTATATATATATAACACAAAAAGTGCTCCCCACAAAAACAGTGGCAATTGTGCAAAATGTGGTACTTTCAATGAACTGTAACATTGAAAAACAGCACTTATGATATTGAATTACATATAAATAATGTATATACAACAAGACCAATGGTGTGCCTGTTCTTAAGGATCACTCTGAAAATGGCTTCTAATTTGCCATATAACCCATGCTTCTCTAATTAACATCAGGAGATCTGCTTCTCTTCATTGCACGAAGTCGTAATGTCATGACCTATAGGATAAATCTAATTTTATCTTTGGTCATTGGTATGTCATGGAATTACCCAGGACATGTTCCTTTGCTAGTAAAATCATTGCTGCTGAAATATTCATTCGTTAATTCATTCATTCTTTAGTTGGTTAGTTAGCTATTTATGGCAGATATAGAGATTCACCACTAAGATCTTTCTTCCTTCAAGCATTAGACTCATTACCCAGCTGCAAGCACTATAGGTAGCCCTACAGCTTTAACTCGTTCATGGTTTGATGGCTGTCCTTGCCCACTCCTGCTTCTTCTTATTCCCTTTCCCAGGTGTGTTTGCCCAATATAACTTTTGTAGTCCTAATTTCAGTCAGTATCTGTTTCCAGGAGGATGCAATGATACTAGAACTGAGGTTTTTGAATTGGATCACTTAGTGCCTAACTGGGAATGAGAACCACATATCGAGTGAACTGTGAGTTATGGATAGTCCCCAGCTCAAGCTTGCAGTCCAACTGCTAACATTTCGCCATGTCACTGGTGCAATGACTCAGGTTATTAAAAATGCAGAGAAAACAATGCATACAAGGTAAAAAATGGAATTTGTTATTAAATTTCATTGCTAACCTGCAGAAAGATACTGAAAAGCTAAAAACTGTGAATACTTGAAAACTAAGTGTAAAAGCCAGGACCCCTAATATTCTGCAGGGACAGAAAATAAAAAGCTAAAGACAAACTCAGAATTTAATAGAATGGCCAAGCTTGAATGACATTTGAATATTCAGCTAAAGCAGGTCTATTATGCCAAAGCTATGGCTGTGATTGAGAAAACCTAGGTCTCTCACACATGGGATCTGGGTAAATGAACCCAAAGCTATCAACTTCCCAGATGTCTCGGAATCATCAGAGACTGTATAGGTGGCCCATCCTTCCCCACTAAGAGTTGTGATTTCCCTGTGTGGGAAGACACTGCAGAAGCCTCTCTCAAGCAAAGTAACAGGGCTAACCTTGTTAGATGGTGAGGGATCTGCCCTCACTATCTGTCCTGTCTTCAAAGCCAGTGGCTAGAAGTAAGTAGCAGCATATCTTAGCCGAGAGCCTGCTACATACCCCTACAGAGGTAGGGGACTCTGTCAGAAGAGCTATAATTAGCTGGCAAGTAGTGGCAGGAGCTGGAGGAGTATCAGTGAAACTAGATTTTGAGAAAGTTTGATAAAGAGGATATATAAAAAGATTAGATAAAGGAGGATTTATTGAATTTGGACCTCCTTGGGATACGCAATTTAATATCATAGCAAGCGCCCCAGCAAATTTCCTCCTAGAGTGGTACTAAAAGCCTGAAGAAAATGATGGTTTTGTTGAACCAAGCTGAAATGTCAGATGCCTTGGCAGAAATGGAGAAATGGATTAAAAGGCTCAGGAAGGTGAGCGAGAAGAGTGGATATATTCTATGTAAAGCCAGATGCTCCACCAAAAGATGACATTTCTGAAAAAGACAGACACACAATTCACCAAGACCACCAACAATGCAACGGTAAAAAGGACACTAATATTACTAAGAAATTCAGTGATGCCTCTCCTTTGCACTTCCAGGGCTACAAAAAAGGCTGTCACAGAGTGTGACTCATTTAATAATGATGAGGATGATGAGTTTGTGAAACGATAGAGATCCTGTTGTGGTGCTTAATAAATAAAGCTGGGTGTGAGGGGAAGCAGAGGTGTCACAATTTTATAATTATTTACAAGGTTGGAGTGCAGCCTAGGGTATCTGACATTCAGAAAGTTATGGAGACAATTAAGTTAATATGGTGCCCCTGGGGGCAAGACAGAGGGGCTATTAACAAGGTATTGCTTAATATATAGAATCTAAGTAAAGCAAGAATAAATCACAAAAGCACTGTACTGCTAAAATGTAACCATCCCTTGTCAATTTTCCTGGACTCAAACCACTTTTCAGACTTACAACCTGTTGACTGAGGAGATGAATGGTTCCCCAGGAAGAAGGACCCTCTAAAACTGTGAGTAGTATGTACTGTAATGATTCCCGTTAGTGTTTGTGTGTGTGTGTGTGTGTGTGTGTGTGTGTGTGAATGTGTGTGTTTGCTTTGTTGTTCTGGGTTTTTGTTTTCATGTTTTAAAAAAAGCTTTCTTGACCCACTTTTGAAGCTCTGGTCAGTATCCCTTCTTGAGAAGCTGATTTAAGTTCATATGCCAACCACTGTCCTTACTAGGCTCTTAAACTCTGGGCCACTATTCAGTCCCTAATTGTCCCAGAGCCAGATGACAGACAATTAGGGACAACACCTATGATCCAGAGCCTGCAAAATCATTCAAATTAGCCAATCTAGAGAGAGCCCAGAAAACCTAACTAACCCTACCACACTTGCTGTAGGTAAGCTGCCCTGTAGAGCCCGAGCTTGCTGTTACAATGTCACTGGTGCAACCCCCTGTGTGGCTCTTCCTGCAGCCTTGCTTTGTATGAAGCTGTAAGCAACAAAGAGTTCGCCTTCACCTGCAGTTTTATTTATAGTTTCATCTACAGTTTCATCAATGGCATCTGTGGTGTCATCGTGTTGTGTTCCACCATCAAAATTGTCATTAAATCTTATAAAACACCCAGATTTTTTCCAGTGAGACCTATGGAATTTACTAGGGTAACTCCACATGGGGGAACAACGAGTTAACATACATATTTAGCAATCTGAAATGTTATTCTAGTTGGGGGATGAAGGGCTTAGGTAATATGTAGAGTCTGGTTGAGGTTGAGTTTATGGTAGATCCACTGTGTCTATAGACCCAACTAGGGGCCATTTCCAAAATTCTGGAATGTAGAATTGCTACAGACACATACCACAGCTGGAGTAACCACTATATTGGTTTCTTAGCCTGTAGATTAAGGGCTATCATAGTAGCAAAAAACAAGTCGAATTATCTGAATTATACTCCAGCCATTATCTCTATGAGGATATTAGCAGAAATATTTTTAAAAATACCGTGGCAGTTGTCTCTATTATATATTTCCATTACATTAGTAAGTATGGTTTCTGCAGAAGCTAGATAGATCTTCAAGTATAACTAGACTACCAAACCCCTCCAAGAAGTAGACCTGCACCCATGCTCATGTAGTTTATTGCTAGAGCAGATTAATGTGTCTTAGGTATGTGGTACATAGCCACAGATATAGTAAATGAGTTATTTTCTATCCCAATCGGGAAAGGGGATCAGTTTACATTATTACGGAGTATACAGGGCAGCAACTGAGAAGGTATATCATCAATGGCTCAGACCACTCTACTTAACTCTTTTTTACAGGAAGATTAACTTGTGATTTATTCTGATAATTTGGTAAAGGCTTTGCTCTCTAAGCTCTCCTGTGAACTGTTCTCCTGTGAACTGTTCTGTGGTTGGTTTGTTTTGTTTTTCTAATCAATTTTAGATGACATCTAGTGCTCTATTTCTAAAACTGCTTACAGTGTTACCGGAAGTAAGTTACATCTTTTGAACAATGACTGGTCAGTAAAGGCTGATATAGTTAAAAAGAAAAAAATCTTTTAAATTAATTTGAATCAATTATATTTTTAAGAGGCAATCAGAATAATTTTATTGATTTACTAACTACAGATTTAAATTGTGAATACATTTTTTAAATTTTATTTACTTTCTGTGTTTTGTAATGTACTATATTTTTGCACAAATTTTTAATTGATTTTTTCTTAGGTTGTTAAATTTAGTGTGCTCATATTACAGACATTTTAGAATTTTATACTTATATTTAAAATTCAATGATACAGAGAAAAAATAATAATTAAGCAGTTTTTGAGGAAAAAATGATAGTTTTATAGTTTATGGTTTCCTAGTTTTAAAGAAAGAAAAACCTCAGAACCTTAAAGGGTGGAGTTTCAGAAACTGATGAGAAGTTATGAAAGACAGAAAATGTGTGAGATATACAGATGAAAGGGCTGATAAAAAAGAAAGAAGAAAAACAACTTTCTTAGAATGGAATGATGATGATATCCAGAGATTTAGAGGAGGTAAGATTAAAAGAATTTAAATTACTTGGTCTTCATCCTCTTAAATAAAGTAAAAATTGAGAAGGAAAAGTGAAGTCTATAGTGATTTCTACATATATTAATCCATCAATTTAACCTAGTAATTCTAAAATACTTCAATGTAATTTTATTTTATATTATGAAACTACCACTGTATCCTTGTATCAAATTCTATCTTTTCTAATTTTTTTTTTTGTTCTCCATTCTTCCGAATAATTTTCATCTCATGTTTTGTATTTGGGCTGCGTAGTTATACTCCTGTTTCCATTTATTCTAATCCTCATAGATGTCTCACTAACTCTTAATTTAGTTCTGTCAGCTACACATGCAGAACACTCTAGTATAATAGCAAAGACTTGCTGACGTATGTGGATATGTAAATCTGTCTTAACCCTCAACTGTTGTTATCCTGTTTGTTTCTTAGCTTGTATTGTTGAGCTCCATATAATATTCTGTAAGATCTTAATTATTTTCCCATTATTCATTTGTTTATTGTGTTTATTTTTATGTTTCCTTGGCTATGTCAGTCATGGGTAAAAATATCCAAATGATACACTTTTCTCTTTTATGTAGAAAATAACCCCCTGGGTATTCATTAGAATTTATTATTAGAGTGTTTTTCTAGATGGCATATACATCTTTTAGTTTAGGGTTCTCAATGTTACTTATATGCCAACATTATTTAAGAACCTGCAGTAACTGAAATAAGAATAAACAGTAAGCATGTAATTTCTGAATACACTACTGAATAATTCATTTCAAAATTCATTGCTTTGGAAATATGCCATCTATTTAAAAAGCTTCAGATAGAAACTAAAAAAGTGGAATATACTTTTTAAAAATGGGCTTCAAGAGATATTTGCAAGTATCTTAAAATTGTATCTTTATTTTCTTAGAGCTGTTTGATAATGAGAGATTTAATCTAGATTCAAAACTCTTTATAAAAATTCTAAGGCAATTTATGAAAGAAACATAAAGGGAAAAAGAATGATCTAGTGAGCAATCAAAATAAAAGTGAGGATATATTCAGGAAATTGTGATTACTCACACATCACTTATGACTATTTTCTTATTCCAAGTAAATGGTTATTTGGTCATTTCATTTAAAAGTTTAAAAAAATCTTGACTAGTTGTCCAAAGAGACTTAATCAATTTCCCTAGTATATTATTTTTAGAATTATTGCAACTATCTTTTAACAAGCTTTTATATATTTTAATGCAGAGTGTGAACATCAGCCTACTTCTTTATTATAGCATTATCCAGTTCTTCCAAATGTATTGATACTAAAGCAAACTTAATTATGTGATGAATATGACATTTTTTTCTCTTCTATGTTTTTCTATTTCATTTCACCCAATGAAACACTTTTGTGAACAATTTCCAAATTATCTCATCCATGTTCTTCCACCCTAGTCCCTCTTTACCTTCTTCCTTATTTCTTACCATTTTTTCTTCATATACACTACTAGTTTCTACTGGCATCTAGATACCGTGTTCATTTTAAAATGATCCAGATTTTTAGATTTGTGATTGCATTTTGTTGGCTAATTTATCAAAGTGCTTTTTCCAGTCCATGTCATCTATATCAGAAAAAGTTCTCCTGGAAGTTCAATTGCAGAATTCTCCAACATGGAATTTCAAGCAAATTAAAAGTTTTCAAAAACAAACAGAATCTCATGATCCTAGGTATGCAAATAGAGCTACACCCCTGTAGTAGGTTTCTCTAGAGGGACAGAATTGATAGGATGATGTATATACAAAGGGGAGTTTATTAAGGAGTGTTAATTCGCATTATCACAAGGTGAGGTCCCACAATAGGCTGTCTGCAAGCTGTGGAGCAAGGAAGCCAGTCTGATTCCCAAATCTGAAGAAGCTGGAGTCTGATGTTCCAGGGCAGGAAGCATCTAGCACGGGAGAAAGATGTAGGCTAAGCCAGTCTAATCTTTCCATGTTCTTCTGCCTGCTTTTATTCTGGCCTCATTGGCAGCTGATTAGATTGTGCCTACCCACCTTGAGGGTGGGTCTGCCTTTCCCAGTCCACAAAGGCAAATGTTAATCTCCTTTGGCAACACTCTTGCAGACACACCCATAAACAATACTTTGCATCTTTCAATCCAATCCAGTTGACATTCAGTATTAACCATCACAAACCCCCAGGGCCAGCTGTTAACATCTGTTATCACACTATTGAGTCTGTTAACATTACCTTCCATTTGTAACTGAACATCCCCCAAATGGTGCCTTATGTGTGCTCTCGATCCACTCATCGGTGCAAATCTCATTAAGTCTTTCATGAAGAGATAGTTCTATCAGTTTCTGGTCTTCTATCTTAAGGAAACACAGGCTGAGCATGTATACCATATCATCACTTCCGCATGCATTTATTCTCCATACCCAAAACCTGTACAAAGTAGGATAACAGAGGAGCAGGAACAAATAAAGCATTGCCCCACTGCTCCCAGAAACTGAGCTACAGCTAAACTAGATACAGATTTTTGTTGGGTCTCTGTTTCCCATGGGACTAAAAGCTTCTGCAAGAGAGCAAATGAGGAAATGTGATGCCCCACCATGAACAGCAGGGATCTGGGCCCATGTTGACCTTTCAGAAGAGCAGTTGATATTCCAAAAAAAACTTAAATGAGGAAGTATATATAAAGATATTTTTTGAAAAGTAAGCCCAAGTTTCCCATTATTATAAACACAAAGAATAATGTTAAAATGTGTAGTTGTTAGGAAGTTCTTTTACTTGTATGTAACATATAACAACTGATACATTGTTTTCAAGCAACAACGGAAAAAAATAGCAGAATTTATATGAAATATAAGAGAGAGAAGAAAAAAACACAACAGATGGCTTTTATAAAAATATTTATTTTTCCTTTCATATTAGCTGGCAGCCGGCAAAGAGGCCAGTCAGGGTGTTCTGCCTCTTGGTAGTTCAATGGGTCATCAAAGAAAACTATTTTAACTGTTTATGGATTCTCTTGACAAGCTTTGGTGCACCTATAACGGGTTGTCCCTGTATAGTATCTATCAGGGTCCTTTGTTAACACTTCCTTCTTAGAATAGTTATGCACATGGTCTTTATATCAGAATTCCTCAAACTAGAGGTGGGAATCAGGCGACATGGCTAAAATTCCTCAGTGAAAAGCTGTACCACCTCTGGAAACAACATAACCTTTCATTTATTTATTTATTCTTTGACTATATTTTTAAAAATCAGCATGTGTTTCCACTTTTATCAGCTTACTGTTATGGTATTACTATGAACTAATAAATATTTCAAACTCCCAATTGCAAAACAAAAGTTCTGAATGAAATATCCACCACCATCAACAACCTGCACATCTCTCAGTCTCCTCCATTGCAAACCTTATTTGTTCAGTTGCCTCAGAAGAAAAATTTAAATGTGAAATTCCTGGTCCTAATGGGCTCATCAGAAGCACAGCAAGTAAGCCTGGGCCTGATGGTAGTAGAAAAGCAGCAGGTGTGGCTTGTAGAGCTCTTGATCACGTGGAGTTTTGAGGCAATTATAAGGACTCCTGCTTTTACTTGGGAGGATTTGATACAGTTTACATTTTAACAGGAGCCCTCAGTGTGGGTATTGAGAAAACAACGCTTGGTAGAAATGGTGAGTACATGAACTCTTTTAGGTGGATTTATTGCAATAATCCAGGCAAGAATTGATAATGACTTGGACTAAAGTGTATCTATAGAGATGTTGAGAAGAGTTGAGATGCTGGGTAAAAGATATGTTTGTAGAAAGCATGTGGGATATGAGAGAAAGAGGGAAATCAAGATCGACTCTAATTGTGTTGAGCTTGAACATTGTACTGAGGAAGTTTTATGCCTTGAACATTCTACTGAAGTCGTTTTAATAGGGTTGTGTGTTTGTACTTGTGGAAATAACTGAAGAATTAGAACAGCTGCATTTCATAGGATTATTTTGGACATCTAGATATGGGGTAGAGTTGTGAGATATTGAAAGGATGCTCGACCCCATTCATGGCTAAATAAATGCAGTAAAAACACCAAGGAGATATTTTTCCCTTATCAGTTTGGCAAAAGCACAAAGTTTAATAGTACACAGAATAAATATGTGGGAAGGAAGGGATTTTCATACACAAAATGAAAGTGGGAAAGTAATTTGGTAGGACCATGGATGAGGGTGATATGATATCTAGATTTTAACCAGAAATTTTACTGCTCAATATTTAGCCTACGGATAGATTTGTAGATATGTTTCATACGTGAAGACATGCATGGTAGCTCTTTGTTTTTTATTTCTATTTTTTTTTGCAATAAAAATCTAAAAGCAACCTAACTGCCCATAGGTCACTGATTGAATAAATCATTTCTCTCTTCTGTGTACATTCGTTTGAAAGATTACTATGCAATAACTTTTAGAAGGTATGTAATTCACCTCTATATTCTCAAGTAAAAAGTGGAAGGTAGATAAAGGTTTATAATATATTCTTTTAATATAAAAAGGATATGTGTATGTATTGGTATATAATATCTATGTATATATGCTTTTCTATACATAGAAAATGTCTTGAGAATATAAATCATTTAAAAAAGTAGTCTTTGTGAAGAAACTGTGTTACTTACAAACAGAGCTTTATGCTGGGCCGCTTTTGCAGTGCTGGGTTTTTTTTTCATTTGCGTGTAATACATACTTAATTAATTTTTAATTGTTAAAAATATAAAATTTGACTACTGTTCTCCTCTATGTTTCCAGATGCTATCAACATTTAGCTTAAAGACACTAATGCCATAGGAATATTTAGGACACTGCTTAGCATGTTGCAAATTTGACATTATTACCTGTTTATTAATTAACTATCATTTAATAATTCTGTCTTTAGTTCATGAAAAACACCAGGACTATGTTCTATGTTTCACCTTCTGATTTGTTGCATGCCAAATTTGCCTATAATTTTAGTTTCAGAGGTTCTGAAATAAGTTAATTTCTTATTGTCATCAAAATCCTATCAAAATCTTATTAATCTAAAAAAAAAAATTGACTATCACAGTGAAGTGGTATGACCTAGTATAGACCACAGTAATGTAAAATATCCATTTTTTTACCTTTTGAATTGTTCTAATTTTAATGTATTACAAAATATCTATTAAGTCTCATGTATATCGTCAAAATTCCCTGAGTAATTACTTTACTAAATATCTCTTAAATTCTATTTTGGACTCAAAGTGAGCATTGAGTTCTTCTTGTGTACTTGTGTAGAGACTGGATCAAGGAAACACCAGTGACTTCCTGATTGATAAACTTAATATTTGCTTTTCAACCTTTATTCTATTTGATCTCCTTCAAGCATTGCATTGCATTGTCAAACACCTACTGATAGATAACTGTATTCTAACTTTACTTCAAGATATTATGTTCTCTTGAATATTTTTCTTTTCTACTATTTCTCCCCAAGTACTTTCACTGGTAGCTCCTCCTCTTGTATATCACCCTGAAGAATTCATTCTCCCCAGGGTCTGTTACTCCAAGTCAAACATTCTTAACTTGAAGGTTCATAGGCTCAAAGTTGTTCCTCGAATTCAAGGTACCTAGAAACTTGGCTAAGAAAAAAAAAAATATATATATATATGTTATATTTTTATTAACTTATAACTTAAATTTTGAATATAGACAAGAAGCCACAATAGTATTACAGTACGTATATCTGTCACTGATAGAAATTGAGTATGTTGATATCATGTGATCGTTATTATAGATACTCAGTATACCTTTTACACCCATCACTAGTTTAAAGTTATAGTAGTTTGATTTTCCACAGAGCTTGTTATTCAGGTTGTTAGTAAAGATGCAGATGTATGATCATAACTCAAATATGTTTATAAATATTTTGGTAATTATATTTTAATAAATGGTTTTCTTTCAGACCCTATATATTTAATATGACACATTTAGAAGATTTATCTAAGAAGTTTTCAGAGACTTTTTCCATTTTATCAAAGTTGCCAATAACATAGAAAAGTGAATTCTTTACTTGGGTTAGTTCACCACTTCCAAGACTTCATTAATCACTAAAATGCAAATAATCCTTTAATTTGTACCTTCAATAAAGACATTTCTCCTGAATTAGACCATACGCAAGTCTCATAAATTCAACTCTTACAGGTTGAGACTCTATTTGTCCATCACTTCTTACTTTCTCCATCTCCACCTTCAAACCTGAACCCTCCTATAATCCCTGTATTTGATCATATTGCCCACATCAATCTAGTTTTGTAAACCAAAAATCATACAATCATTCTCTCTTCCTCTGGCTTTATTAAAAAATAGAAAGATTCCATTTGATAATTTCTGTGCCAGGAGTTATTCAGGATTTGCATCTCAATTTCATTTTATCTTCCCAACAATCCTACACACAAAGACAGTTATTGATCCCTTTGTAGGCAGGAAGACTAATTAGCATAATAAACGATATTACTAACTGACAAAATTAGGATTCAAGCCCAGATTTGTCCAATTTAAAAGCCTATGCTCTCTCTATCACACAGGAGGTGAATATAGTTCATTATTGTTTTTCTTAGCCCACCAGGAACTCAAGGAAGCAGGACCCACACCTCTTCCATTTATTCATTCTTCAAACATTAATTGATCTTATTCTATGCTTTAAAGAGCCTAAGCTCTTTGTTCAGAGGAAACATAAAGTTATATGAGACAGACTCTCAATACCTTACAGTTTACTTTTTCTGCAATTTAAACATCACCTTCAGGCAAAGCGATTTCCATGAATTGGAAGACATTAAACATTGCCTTAACATTTGGATAGTTTAATAATGAGGATACCGAATATGATTGTTAATGCCAACTGAAATAATGAAAAAAAATAAGTATGGCTAAGGATAGCTTCCAAGCAGCAGTTACAGGATTTGTTCTGCTGTCTTGCATTTGTTACCCAATCACATTCTTTTTGGTGAACATATTCCATGCAAGGTTTCCAGCACTGTCACAGATAACAAATTTGCTTACAAATGTGTAGACTGCTGTGACAGAGACCATATATTATTGTCAGTGATAAAATCTGAGTTTCCACATTTTTTAATTTTCTCACTGTGACTAAAATAAATAGGTTTTGTAGGTTCTTGAGAATTTTCACCATAAGAAATATGACTATATTTAAATATTTGAATAGTGGTTTTGGAATGACTGATTTAATTTTTTGAAAAATAATAAATGGTTAATTAAAATATATATATATAAATTCAAAAGAAAAAGGTAGTAGATCATCTAATATCTTATATGCAGATAAATATGATTGATAGATTACCATCTCAGGCAACTCGATCACTTGCACAAATGGAAGAATACATAGATAGAGACGATGGAAATTTTTAAATAAAAATTTGATTATACATGCCATTTTGATGCAAAGCTTAAATAAATAGTCTTCTTTTTTTTTTTTTTTTTTTTTTTTGAGACAGGGTCCTGCTCTGCTACCCAGGCTGGAGTGCAGTGGCATGATCACGGCTCACTGCAGCCTCAACCTCCTGGGCTCAAGTTATCCTCCCACCTCAGCCTCCTGAGTGGGTAGGACAACAGACACATACCACCATGCTCAGGCTAATTTTAAAAAATTGTTTGTAGAATCAGGGTCTCACTATGTTTTCCAGGCTGGTCTCAAACTCCTGGGCTCAAGCTATTCTCCCATCAGGGCCTCCTAAAATGCTGGGATTAGAGGCATGAGCCACTGTGCCTGGCCAATAAAGTCATTTAAAAAGGAATATATGGCCAGACGCAGTGGTTCACGCTTGTAATTCCAACACTTTGGGAGGTTGAGGCGGGTGGATCACGAGATCAGGAGTTCAAGACCAGACTGGCCAATATGGTGAAACCCCATCTTTACTAAAAATACAAAAATTAACCAGGCTTGGTGGTGCACGCCTGTAGTCCCAGATACTCGGGAGGCTGAGGCAGAAGAGTTGCTTGAACCCGGGAGGCAGAGGTTGCAGTGAGCCGAGACTGTACCACTGCACTCCAGCCTGGGTGACAGAGAGAGACTCTGTCTCAAAAAAAAAAAAAAAAAAAAAAGGAATATATTTTGCCTCTCTTGGCAAATTTTAATTTCCTAAGTGTTTTCAAACAAAGGAGAAAAATCTGGTTCAGAGTCTAAAAATGTGTTTAACTTCTCAATTGAGTGAAGCAAGTCTGTTGTAATTGCTTATTTGACAGCATTAGACATTGTTTATGAGGCAACCGGTACAATTAATTAAAGAAGAAAACATTAGCATAGAGGTGGTCCTCAGTAGTTGGGAGGAAGAGAAACCTTGCCGTCAGAAACAACCTGGAGAGCTGTTCCATTGTAGTAGCTAGTAGCCGCCTTCATGTGCTTTCCACAATCACTTTGGCTTTTGAGCCTTACTTAACCTTGCTGGTTGGTCTTTCTCATTTTGTCTCCTACAATGGTTACTTTTGGACACAAGGTCATTATTCTTGGATTTATCTATTTTTATCTCTGTGCTGCCTCGCCTAATGTTCTCCTCCATTCCCAGCTTTGTGTTTTTTAGTTTATTTATTTACTAGTCTCACAAATCTTCAGAAGGAGTTAAGTTGTATCACTCTGTTTTAAAGGAAGAAAGAATTGAAAGAGTAGCAGTTTTATGATTTACCAGAAGGTATAAAATGGATTATAGCAGTTATAACTAGAGCCTGGAACCCAGTGTCCTGGTCTCTAAAACAGGACATTCTCTACTACATCAAGACATACACCTTAATTGATATTACCAGTGAAAAAGAAAATACAGTCATCACTTGGTATCCATCATTCCAGGACCCCCGTCAGATACAAAATCCAGGGATATTCCAATCCCTTAAAAGAAATGGTATAGTATTTGCATGTAACCTATGCATGTATACTTTAAATCATCTCTAGATTATTCACAATATCTAATACAATGTAAATGTTTTGTAAATAGTTATCATATATTATTCTTTAGGAAATATTAACAAGAAAAAAGTCTGTGCATGTTCAGTAGACACAATTATCTTTTTATTTTCCCTGAGGTTAGTAGAATCCATGAACATGGAACTCACAGTTACCAAGATTTAACTGTAGTAAGAAATTCACAGAAAAGTACAGTGGGAATATTGCCTATTGGATTTTAGTATATATGAGCTATTAATGTTATCACAAACTTATTCTAACTCCAACATATTATGGTTAATTTGATTCTGGAATCACATTTTACTTGATTTCTTTTAACTCATTGTAGTCATTTCCTTTGAGAAAGCTCATTAGCTGAACCAAAAATAGAAGAGTAAGTTGTTCCATGCAATTTAGAACATCTGTAACTAGGTGCAATTTGTGTGTGTGTGTTTTAGTCTTAACAAAACCAAATATAATTATGCCTGCCAGAATAAGAATTTGGGGTAGGCAAATTGGGTATCTTAAGTTTGATTGACTATATTTTTATGTAAGGTTATATTTTTCTTCCTGAGCTAAGATGTGAATTTTAGAGACTTAAAAGCTGAGCAGTTTAAGTATCAAATCATAGGTCGGTGAGCCCCGAATATCTGAGACAGGTCTTAGTTAATTTAGAAAGTTTATTTTGCCAAGGTTGAGGACGCGCACCCGTGGCACAGCTTCAGGAGGTCCTGATGACATGTGTCCAAGGTGGTCAGAGCAGTTCGGTTTTATACATTTTGGAGAGACATGAAACATCAATCAACGTATGTAAGATGAACACTGGTTCAGTTTGAAAAGGCGGGACAACTCAAAACAAAAGTGGGAAGACTCATGCAGGGAGGGGGCTGCCAGGTCATAGGTAGATAAGAGACAAATGGTTGCATTATTTTGAGTTTCTGATTAGCCCCTCCAAAGGAGGCAATCAGATAATGCATTTATCTCAGTGAGCAGAGGGGTGACTTTGAATAGAATGGGAGGCAGGTTGGCCCTAAGCGTTTCCCAGCTTGCCTTTTCCCTTTAGCTTAATGATTTGGGAACCTCAAGATTTATTTTTCTTTCACAGGTCCTTAGTGCTAACTTCCAATGATTACAAGGTATTTGTCATTCCTGCATATAATAATAAGCTCAGAAAAAAATTAATGTTGGAAAGTCATTCTAATGGAACCCCAAACTCCTCTTTCTTGGTTCCCTTCTTCAGCTCTTTGTGTCCTCCAGGGCCTCTATATTCATGGTCTGGCTTCCCTTCAAGATCCATTAAGGCCAAGCTATTGTCCTCAAAGGTGATGATGATTTATCTGACAACAGGACTGGTTGATTGACAGAATTCATTTTACTCTTGAGTTCTATTCATTGTGATTACTGTGTTGAACCAATATATGAAGGGAAAGTTGTTCCTTGTGGCTGCTAACCCTTTGGCACCTCCATACCTGGCTTGAAACACATTCAGCCAGCTGAAAGCTAGAGTTGGGTTTCACAAGCTCAAAAGGATTGTCTTGCATCATTATTTTGTTTCAGGTTTATAATCCTTGCACAGCTACATACCATTCACTATAGCAGCTGAGGGACATATCACTAAGTTTTATATATTGAATCCAGGGGACTAGAATGTCAAAGTGTGTGGCCTTGGCAACACCTGGCCCTTCCATAATGGAATGAGAATGGCTTCCGCAGGTCTGGCCCTGACTCAGCTGGGAAGCTTTTTCATTTTACTGAAGCTCAGACCCCACCGCTAGATGTTTGATTTAACTGGTCTTACATGATCCTTAAATGACTCTAATTTCCAGCCAAAGTTAAGGCCTACTGGTATTGCATTGGTAATCAGAAATGTTTACCAGCTGGGTAGGAGACTGGTTGCCAAGTGATACCTTAAGGTAGAACCCAGTTGCTTTACCTTTGCTATGATCTTGATTTCACAGCAAAGCAAACCCATGACAAGGTAGATCTCATAATCATTATATCTAAAAATATGAGAAAAATAATTGATGCCAGTTATTTGACTGAGGATTACTCCTTTGGTTTATGGTTAGCCTTAGCATAGAATATATATTCAGTCCATTTATATACCCACAATTTGGCTCGTTTTTCTATAAATAAATTTAAATTGGCTTTAGTGGCTTTGGTCTCTAGAACTCTACTACGTCAAATATTCAGTAATAGAAATACATATATAATAATTTCAACTACTCCTGTCTTTGTTTTAAGGATAGCTCTACTAACAACTAATGTGAGCTAGGGCACTTGGGGCATAATAATTATGATTTCTCAGTGGTATCTGGCTTCTGTAGCTGACAGGCAATTGGGGAGCTATGATTCCAATATCCACTGAGAGGTATTAGACTCATTGGCTGATGTCAGTAGTTTTGGGAGCATTTGCAATTTTCAACCTTCCTGGAGAATCAGAATCTTAGTGTGGAAATTATATATGGACTGCATAGTAACAAAAACATACCTTCAACAAAGGCAATTAACAGAAAAAAGCAACTATACTTATGTTGGAGTTCTATACAATGAACTCACAAACTAAGCAAACAAATCTGAGGTTTTGAGGTTGTAAGAATATTGGAAAATTAAGGAATGGAAAAGACACCAAAGAAAGGATAGGAAAGTAGTTGGAAAGTCAAAGTGTAATAAAATATCTCAGTTCCATTAGAGATGTGTGTAAATGTGTGTGTGTTTATGTGTGTATGTTAAGCAAGCTTTCGCCAAGAAGGAAAATATTTTGTTAAAAAGGTAATATTTTTAAGTATTGAGTGAAATATAATAATATAAGTAGAGCACAGCATATAAGTTGTATCAGCCCTATTTAACACAAGGGGGTTGTAAAATAGATAATTTGATAGTTAAATACAATCAATCATGAAGTCACTATAACCTCATGTGTCCTTAGAACAAAGCACTGTAATTTTTTCAAACTGAGATTATTTTTAGAGGGTATATTACTGCTAAATCTCTCCTCTTTCCTTCTCCCTTCCCTAATTGTACAGTATCTCATGCTAAGCAGATGTGGAGTTTCCTTTTGGTGCCGTAAAGGAATAATACCTACTGTTTTCAGTCATACAAAAATGCCTTTAAAACAAAAATATAAACAGTTTTCTGATGATTGTAATAGCTGTCTCTTCTTGAAATATATTTTAGGAAAGTTCAGCTAGTAGGTATAAAGTTTTCATGGAGGAATTATAAAGTTTTTATATTTAATGAATATATATGTATATTTCTGCATGATTCTTTCTTGGTGCCTTTCCTGTCTAGAAAGAAGCACAAGTTCATTGATGAATAGTATGGGTTATGCCAGGCTTTAATGCTGATGTCACTCAGCTTGTTGGGGGAAATGGTGTGAAACTGGAGGAAAGCTGTGAAATAGTTACTATTATTATTCAGTAATGACAGTATCACACAAGTCACCACTATACAAAATATTAGCAGCTGTCACTGATGACTGGGCATTTGACTATCCTCAGGGGATGGGTCTAGCTGGGGACTGCCTTTGCCTGCCCCGCTAGTATTTGAATCTCAAATAACAGGTAAACCAGTTTTCCAAGGCAGTTTTGGAATCAGATGAACTCTGCAATTTAGTACATGCTCAATGAGAAAAAGTGTAATTTGCTCTCGAAAACTGACATAGGTACAGATACCCATGTCAATATATACATGTTTATAAATCCATTTACTCTTATTATAATTTATAGCTGGTCTTATTTATAAACTTAACCCAGTTTAAATCATATTTCTTATGCCCCAAAGTCTTCTACTCCAAAGAAGAAATTGTCCTTAGTTTGCCTTCTATTTATTGTGGAAATGGATGTCACTTTAGGATTGTCCCATATTGATCACAGAAATGTTTCCTAGAAATGCTTTCTCTACAATGTAAAGTCGGATACTGTGAAAAAGGAAAGAGATACCATTAGCTGTTTTTCTCCTAGTGTGGATAGTTCCATGGTCTAATCAATGCTGAAATGAGAAAATTACTTTTTCTAGATCACAGCTGTGCATAGGCATCTGGCTTAGAATTAGAAGACCAGGTGTTATTTCTGGCACACCCATGTAGTATTCTGGGCCCGTCATTTAGCTTCTCTGATTCTCACTACTCATTTTTAAAGTGAAGGTAATACTTTTGCCTCAGAGAGGAATTTTGAGGATTCATTTTTAAAAAGTCCTTTGTAAACTTGTAGTGAGTGGATTATGCAAATAACTGCTAATTGTTTAGCATAATTTATGAAGGATATATGAGGTAGCAAACATGTAGTGTTTCATACACTTTATTTTGGTTTGTTTTCAAAACAACCCCGTTGCATAGTGTTTTGGTTATCAATTGCCACATAACAACAAACTACCCCCAAATTAGCGGCTTAAATCTTTTTGCACAATTTTGTGCATCAAGAATTTGGAAAGTCTCTGCTGGAGGGTGTGACTCAGATTACACTTGTGGTGTCAGCTAAGACAGCTGGGACCAAAGGCTCCAGCTTTAATACGCTTCTGGACTCAATGTGTGGTGTCCCAGGGCCCCTTAGGTTCTCTTTCTCTCTCTACCTGGCTTCACATCCTTTATGCCTTCTCTATGTGGCTTCTCACAGCATGGTGATCTCAGAGTAGTCACTCTTCTTATGTGGTTTCAAAAGAGAGGAGCAGTCGAGCTCAGTTAAGGGTTGTTCTTTCCAGAATTCGTAGCATCATCTCCACTGGAGTCTTTCTATTGGTCAAAAACAGTCATAAGGACTATGTGGGTTCAAGGGTCTGGAAATATCTATTCACTTGAAAATTGCACTCTTGTTACACTGAAGATTGATAGTTGTATAATTACTCTCAGATGCTGAAATTTTGTTTGTCTGATACTGAAAGATAGAATATTTACACTTTATTTTGGCCAAGTCATGAAGGCAACTACCATCTCTGCATGAGAGCAGTCATGCTGTCCATAAGTTTGAAGTGTGAAAATACATTTGAGGTATATGTGGTATATCAATGGGACTTATATCACCACTATTCCTTAGAATAGTTGATTAACTAGACCACCACATTCCTTCATGAAGTCAGAAAACAGAAGACTTGTTTTTCTAAAATTGCCGTGAGTTTAGAGCCATAATAGCATGACCTCTATAGGGAGCTTAGTTACCATGGAAAAATCCTACTGTGGTCATTCTTCAATATTGTGAACTCGATGTTGAGGGACAGTTTGCTTTCTGTGTTTGTTTGTTTTTAACCTCATTATTTTCCATCTATTCTGGAGTAATCTCAATATCACTTTTCATCCCCTATCCTTTGTATCATCTTCTTGGCATCTGTTCCTCTGACTTTCTCCTCTCATTCTCTGCTTGCTCCCTTTCTAAAAGGATTTGGCCAGGCACGGTGACTCACACCTGTATTCCGAGTACTTTGAGAGGCTGAGGTGGGAGGATTCCTTGAGGCCAGGAGTTCAAGAACAGTCTGGACAAGATAGTGAGATACCATCTCTACAAAAAATAGCAAATAAAAAAAATTAGCGGGGCATGATGGTGTGCACCTATACTCTCAGCTACTTGGGAGGTTAAGGTAGGAGGATGGCTCGAGCCCAGGAGTTCAAGGCTGCAGTGGAATATGATGCCACCACTGCACTCTAGCAAGGATAACAGAGAGAGACTCTGTAAAATACATAATACTTAAAAAAAAAAAGGATTTGGTTATTCATCACAGTGAAGTAGACCCCAGGAAGAGTCACACCATTTATAAGCATCAGGATCTTAAACTGTATTATGAGCCCTCTTCTCACTTATGTCTATGATACAGGTTGGACACAAGAGAAATTGGGCCTTCAGGCTTCATCTATTTTTCCCTATTTTTCTCCTATTTGTTTACCCTCTTGCGACATGAGTAAACAAATATTTCTCTACTATAAAAAAATTTCATCTATAGTAGCTGATACTCAGCCTCATTGTGGAGGAGACAATGAAGTGTGGTGAATACAACAAGTGCAAGGATATAAGCCCTATGGAAGAGGCACAGGCCTCACTGAGCTCCAGGTGACTTGAGGTCATGTGAAAATGCAGAGCTGCTATATTAGTATCAGATCTCATTTTAATATGAATTCTCCTGATTTATAAAAGTTGATGACTATTTAAAAATTAAAAACACAGCAACATATTATATAGCCCAGTGGGACATATCTATGAGCCAGATTTTCCCCACGGACAACTAGTTTATAAATCTGTTCATGACTCTAGACTCTTATCCTCCTCTTGAGCTCCAGATTCACATTCAACTGCTCCTAAATTTTCACCAAATATCTAAAACTGATCATGCTTAATATATCTAAATCAGAGATTTTACTATTTTCCTTAATTTTTCCTATCTCAGGAAATGGTTCCATTATCAACTTAATAATCACTTAATTGTAACTTTTTTCTATTCTTACCCATAACTCAATCCACCAACAACTTATGTCACTTCTAATACTCAAAAGATAGCTAGAATGCATCTATGTTTCCCTGTCTTCACTACCACTAATCTTTGCTATAATTTTATACTCCTAGATTAATACAATAACCTTTAGATTGGTCTCTCTGCTTTGATTCTTTCTCCTTTTTGATCTACACTCTGTCAGCAGTGGAGAAATATTTGACAATAGTAAGAAAAACAACAGCAACAACATTTTTCCTCCATATATCAGTGACTTCCATTGCTGTTGAAATAAATGCCATAATTTTCTCTATGGCCCACTTCTTAGTAACTCACTATTACCACCATTCACTATTCTTGAGCCACATAAGCCTTCCTTCTGCTATTGAAGAAGTCAAGCTGTTGTACCTCTCAGGATCATGGTGTTCGCTTCTCTCCTGGTGACTGGCTCCTGCTCTATTTCATGTCTCAGCTCAAACGTTTCCGCAGCGAGGCATTTCCTGACCATCCTATCTAAAGTAACCCCCTCCACTCCGTTTCTCTCTGTAACATCGCCCTATTTATTTCATTATTCTATTAATGAATATTGATAAAATTAATATTTACATTGTATTTATATTACAGCTTTATTTCTTTCTTTACCAGCATTAACTCTTCCCAGCCCAGCCCTTTGCAGTGTAAACTCTATGAAGGCAGAGATCTCATCTTTCTGTCTTGTTTGCTATAGTAGCCATAGTATCTAGCCTGGCACGTGGTACTTTCAGAATAAATATTTGCAAGAATAAATGGTTTGAATATCTATGGAAACACACTTAGCATGAGCACCTCACTATTTTGCAATGAGTTTTAAATTTATAGCATGTTCTATGTTATCTGGACCTGCCTACATTCATCATGTCAGTCAGCACCATCCTTCTGCTCTCTTTTGAATGAGTCATGTAACTCCCTCACTCAGTGTCTTCATAGATGTTGTTTCTTCTGCCTTTAGTGATCTCTTAACTCACGCTCCTTTTAGCTAAGTCTTCCTCATTCTGTTATCCCATCAAATCTCAACTGAAAGTTATTTTGTCAGTGAAGCTTTCCCTGCCTGACTTCCATCCCACCTCCTGAGTCTTGCGTAGGTTTCCTCCAAAATGTGTTTTTATGTACCTTAAATTTGTATCTCTATCCAATTTATAATTAACCTATCTTATTGATAGCAGCATTTGTTTACCATCCTTAAGGACCAAGTCTGTCAAATTTACTGCAACCTTATCAGCTTCTTACAAACTTTCTAGAGCAGAATTGAGACTAAATAAGTGTATTAGTCAGGTTTCTCTAAAGGGACAGAACTAATAGGATAGATCAATATATGAAGAGGAGTTTATTAGGAGAATTGACTCACACAGTCACAAGGTGAAGTACCACAATAGGCTGTCTGGACACCGAGGAGCCAGGATGCCAGTCCGACTCCCAAAACCTCAAAAGTAGGGAAGCTGACAGTGAAGTCTTAAGTCTGTGGCCTAAAGCCCGAGAGCCCCTGGCAAATCACTGGTGTAAGTCCAAGAGTCCAAAAGTTGAAGAACTTGCAGTCTGATATTTGATGGCAGGAAGCATCTAACCTGGTAGAAGATGGAGGCCAGAAGACTCATCCAGTCTACTACTTCTATATTCTTATGCCTGCTTTTATTACAGCTGCACTAGCAGCTAATCAGATTGTGCCCGCCCAGATTGAGGGTGAGTCTGCCTTTCCCAGTCCACTGACTCAAATGTTATGTCCTTTGGCAATACCCTCAGACACACCCAGGAACAATACTTTGCATCCTTTCGTCCAATCAGGTTGATACTCAATATTAACCATCACAATAAGTATCCATTATGTGTTTGCAGACAAGAGGCAAATGCAAATTTAGAACTCATGAATCTGTCATTCCTGTTCTCCCACGGTACAATTAATTAACATTAACACAAATCAATTTGTATGACACCGGCTGTTATCCTCACTTACTAATACAGGATATTCATTCTCTGAAAAGTTATCTTCCATTATTTTTTGGAGGTCTTGAGGGATTTGCATGTGTGATCATGAGCCATTTTCATCAGCCATCATGAAGTCGGCTGTTTTGTCTCCTCCTCTTTGACCCATTGCTTTCTTAATATTTGTCACCAGCAGTCATGTGTAGATACCGTGCCACTGTCTTCCAAACTCTCAACAAGACAGACTTCCATTTGTTACCCTTTAATAACATCACCAATCTCTGCCAACCTCCATGCCACTGCTGCTCTGGAAGTGTTGGGTGAAACATTTTGTGTAGACTCACTCTGTTGAGTAACATACAGAAAAAGAGGGAGGGCTCCTTCCTTTCTCCTGAATTATACCTCATGAAATAATAACACCTTGTATTCCAGTGTTCTGAAGATTTTTTAGAGAAGAGTTTGATAATTTATTCATGTTATTTAAATTCATGGCTACCTTTTTTTAAATTGAGGCATAAATCCATGAGGCCCTGAATGAGATACAAGTCTAGAGACTGTTCCATGCTTTTCTCATAATTACTCTACCCTTCTGATAATTGAGGCTTAGACGTGGTTCAAAAACAGATCTCTCTCCAAGGAGAGTCTTTTTACATCCCTTAGACACATACATATCTAGAGAACAATTCTCAACTGTTTTCTGGACTTGGAACACAACTGAGGATTCCCACACCTCCAAATTTCAGTAAGGAAACAGACATGGCAGCCAGGCAGTTTCAGATCTGTGTTCAGGTCTAATGGGAAATGTTTTGCAATTCAAGCATGATGATCCACCTGGCATTGCTGTGTGTTGTGACACTGTACAAAGGCAAAACAATTAGTGTGGTTTTTGCATCACAGATGTGGCAAGGGGCCTAGGGTACAGATATAGCAAATCCATCAAAATCATCAGGGATCCCAGCCAAAACCTCTTTCTTTCTCCTTTTTCCCATACCACCACTGATGATTCCAAGGAATTTCATATGCATATAAATGGAGAAAACACTAGTGTGAGCCTAAGGACTAGGAATGATGAGGAGTCTGTATTTCTGCAGGAAACGTTCTTTCAATGTGCACAGTGACTAAACTTTTCCATTGAAAAAATTTTCCACCCGGATAAATCTGCCACACTTTATGAGCAAATGCAAAACAGGATGATAGACACTGAACAGCCTAGAGACAGCCTGACCTGCCTTTTATTGCCTTCAAGGAGCCAATTTGAGCTCTGAGCAATGAAATGAGTCAGTGCTTGAGAAATGTAGAAACACCAGGTGAAACTTCAGAAGAGGTTTTTTGTTAAAATGCAAAAGGTTTTTTTTTTTTTTTTTTTTTTTTTGGTAAAATCAAAGTCTTATTCTTAGGAAAATTAATAGATACAGAACCACCCTGAGAGCAATTGTTTAATTCAAGGAGAATAAAAATCGTTAAGGAAAGCATAGACTGAAGAAAGACTTTACCATTTCTTAGACTTTGTTTGTAAAGAGGAACCAAAGGGAAGAATGAATATAACTGGAAACAAAAAGCATTGCTGTGAACAACTTACTTTAGCACAGAATTTCTATGTATTACTTTTAAATACTTAAAATTATAGTAAGATTTAAGAAAGTATCCACATAGCAATTACAACTACATGCGTCGCAATGTCTTTGCTGATTTTTATCACATGCAACAGTGCTGTAAGCTAATACTTCATGTCAGTGATGAGAGATTATAAGACAGCATTATTTACAGTAGGTATCATTGTATTTATTCGGATGTGCACAGAAGCTGGGACTCTTGTTGTAATTAAATAGAACTCCCACTAGGGGGGGCAAGAAAATAAAGCTCAAGGCCCTGTGTACAGGCACCTTTCCAACCAAAGGTACGCTAGATACCAGACGAAACTGCTCAGTATTTATTTATTTATTTTTCTTCCTGGTGAATCATTTGCAGCCTGCTTTTCACTGTGGGAAGTTTCTTTCAGATTTATTTTCTCTGGTTTTTCAGCAGCTTTCTTTGGTTGTAAATCCATGCTGTGGTTGAACAGCAAAGCAATATTCCAGCAAGCTCCAACAGGGATATATTTTTCTACAGGATTTTTAAAACCTCGCACACTCAGTTTCAGCACAGCCTTCCCCGGTTCCTTGCCAAAGGTAGCACTCTGGTAACTGAGCCTGAAGCTGATAGAGGGATAAAATTAGATGAGGAGGGACACACTGCTAAGGGAAGCTTTTGGAACTGCTTATTGACTCAGAAAGATAAACCGGGGAAGCAGGCAGGTCAGCACAATAGAATGTAATTAACAAATGCAATTAGCATCAGCGCATAAATCCCTCCCCCTTGACATTCTCCTTTGTATTGCCAAGGCAACCCAGGCAGCCTCCTCCTTTCCCACCTCCTCCATTCCAGCAACTCCAGGCTCCCCGCCCTTCTCACTCACTGACTTTGCCCTTGGAGTTAATTTTAAGTAGGTCGCACCTGGATTAACATGTGTGTGGGTGGAGAATGGGGAAGATGGAGGAGTGAAGGAAAGGTGAGGAGAGGGTTGACCTAGGTTTTGCAGTTGCAATTTTTATTTTTTGCTGGTTTACACTGTTTTTGGAATATAACCCATGCCAGTTTGGGAATATTTTATTACTATTTGTGACCATCAGCTGGTTTGAAAAATGCCTATCTTGTCATCTATCCAGTTTGCAAATGGATAGATGTACACTGAGGCACTTCACTCTGTGCTCTAAGTGTACATATTCTACACTTTGGTGTGTCATTTCAGCTAGTTTTTTGTCAGAGAAACAATGTTTCAAGTTAATTTTCAGAGCCACTAGTAGCCAGAAAAGAAATGAAAAGCACTAATATATATATAATTTATTATATTAATATTTAATGTTGAATATATCTATATAATATGTATATTTGTATATGGGCAGTAGTAATATCTGAGTGAGAGGTGCTGTTGAAGGCAAAAGTGGGTACTTTAATTTTTATTTAAATAGTTTTGTTTTTTATCATTTTAAACAAACACATGATGCTTTTTAAAAACACAAAACTAATCCAAAAATTAAAATAAAATGCCTTTAAAAATAAAGATATTATGATCAGTTGGGAAAAAAAGTTATAGAATATGAATGAAGCAAATAACTCCAATAACTACAGAAACCTTTATTGAATGTTTTCTGAATGCCAGGAAGTATTTAAGCACTTATTTGAGTCGCAAAAAAAAAAAAAAAAAAAGGAAATAAGTATTTTTATCCCATTTGTTTTTCCAGAGAAGGGAGCTGAAAAACAGATAATTTGTCCAATATTTCTTAGCAGTATAAACCACCATGTCATAATGCCTCTCATATTAAAAATTATATTACAATTTGCTCATGACATTATATTAGTTGTATATTCCTTTAAGAGAGAAATTACAGAGGAAAGGTAGGCAGCTTGATAACATTAAACATAATAAACCCTCATGTCAATGTGACTTTGGTGTCCTGAATAATCTTATGGATTTTGGAGTCAGCTAGAAGTGAGCTCACATCCAGGCTTGACCCCTTAGGCTTGGTAGGCTGCAATCTGAGCCTCAGTTTCCACATGTGAAAAATGATCTAGTAATAGGCATCTCTCTTCCCATGTGCCCACTTCCCTTTAGGACCTCATTTCACCCACACCCACCACCACCCTGATTTTAGATACTGTCTTCTTTTTGATGAGGAAGGAAAGACCTGATAAACTCATTCAGATAATACTTTAGTTTCATAATGCCTTCTCTAGAGTATTGGCACTAGTTAAAAAGATCCAACCAGGAGTAAAAATACTTATACCAAAGGCATGGTTTATTTATGAAATATTGTGCCTTCCCTAGAGTATTGACACTATTTAAAAAGATCCAACCAGAAGTTAAAATACTTATACCAAAGGCATGGTTTATTTATGAAATATTGTGGGGATGAGATCCTTAATGCAGCTACACCCTGATTTGTACTCTCTTAATTATTTGCATTTTCTATTTGTTCTGTGGTAAGCAGGTCCCAAAGTTAAAGGAAGCTGAGAGGCTGGAAAAAGAGAATGACAAGTCTAGTTTATGAGAAATAAACATTTAATAGAGACTTATGAATAGCAGCCATAGACTTGGGCAGCGGTGAGATACGACGATCTGCCTCACTATCCCCGAGACTCAGGGCTTATATACTATAGGGAAAGGGATATGTACAGCAATTGCTTAAGGGCTAAATTTATGGTACATACACTAACGTCAAAGTTGTTTTGACCTAAGGGCAGGAATTACAATAAGTAGTACATGCTGTTGCACGAGGAACAAGGGATAGAATAGAAATCTTAGAGGCATTCCTGGAACTGAGGTTAATCAGAAGTCAACATGGTGAGGCAGGGCAAGGTGGCTGACGCCTGTAATCCCAGCATCTTGGGAGGCCGAGGTGGGAGGATCACTTAAGCCCAGGAGTTTGAGACTAGCCTGGACAACACAGGGAGACCCAATCTCTAAAATATTAAAAAATAAGAAGAAGTCAGCATGGCAGATTAACATCCAAGATGGAGTTGCTTTAGCCTCCCCACTACCTAGGACTTAAATGTAGTTTTCCAAATTAGTCATATATGTATAGCACATGCAGAGATTTAGAAATGCTGGGAGACTTTGCAGCACACTTCACATAAACGCAAAGCCTTTCCATAAGGACAAGTTCACGTGGATGACGCAGCCACAAATCAGGCCCCTCAAATTTTTCAGCTGCTTTTTCCTCTAGAGGCTATTTTATGAGGAAAAATTATATATCGAAGACTCCTGTTTCATTTTATATGGTGCCCTTGAATGTGAGGTTTAAATGGCTTATATAACTCAAAGAAAAACCTGCTGTCCTCAATGCAGACTCTGGACTTGAGAAGTAAACAGCTATTAGTCCAAAAGGGACCCATATCGCTTTCCTGGGTAGGATACCTGCTTCCAGACTCCAGGAATCGGAAACTTTCCTTCAGCTATGTTCAGGCTACCACTTGTTAAACACCAAAAACAACGTGTTAAACACCCAGGAAAAAAAAAAAAAAAAAAGTAAGTGGGACCTTCTGTGCAGACAGGGAATTTGGTTGTATGCCCCAGCTGCTTGGTTGGTGCCACAGGGTTTGGCAACTTCCTGAGAACAGATTGTAGGAGAGGAAAGTTTGAATCTGGAAGGGACCCTCCCACACACACGCTTGGGAATCCATCTTTTTAGCTGGCATTTTCAGTGAATATTAACATGACTAAGGGAATAATATCTCGACTTATTAGAAAATGGTAGCCAAATGGGGTAGAGCTAGAGGGTTTTCTGTCCATGAGAATGATTTTGGCTTCACCTAAAAGAAAACTTCAACTCAAAATGTCTCAAATGATTAAGAAAATGTATTATTTCACATTGTAAGGAGCTTGGCAATAAGCCGATTCAAGGGTGGAATGAATGAGTGAACAACAATGTAATCAAGGACAGAGTTTCTCGCTGGCGTTCCCTTCTGCCATCCTCACAACGTTGGCTTAGATCCTTGGCTTTGTCCCCTGGCTTTGTCCCCTTATGAACACAATATGGCCTTGCACTTCCAAGAGTCGCATCCTCAAACAAAACATCCAATGTTCCAAAGCAGGAGCAGGGGGCGGTGTGTGGGGAGGAGAGTGCGACCTCCTTGTACACTTTTGAAAAGCCTGGGAACCCTCCTGGCAGCTGCTTCAATTGACTTGCCTCTCACCTCTCATGGGCCCGCATCATGTTCCTATTTCTGAATCAGTCATTGGCAAGGAGAATGCCAGTACTGTGACTGGAATAGAATAATTAAGGTCCATCCCTGCCTTATCCTGAGATAATAGCCACATCTCTGGAACCAAAGCAGTTCCATTAGCAAGGAAGTAGATGAATGTCAGCCAATGTTGTCTGGGCAAGGGCCAGTGAGCATGTTTCAGAGACAACCTAGGAAGTTAATTACAAATTATCTCCTCTGCTGTAACTCTGATCTGTTAACCTTGAACCTTGAATGATATCTGGACAACCTTTTTTCATTTAGCTGTGAGCCTTACAGGAAAGGCCTGTGGCACACCTGAGCCAGAAAGGTAAGCGGAAAGTGGCATAACCTGGAACCTTCAATGTCATGGCAGCTGTGCTTAGTAGATCCACAAGAGAAAAAAGAATCTGGGGCTAGGAGTTGGGGCTTCGAGATCCATCTGCTCTTTCTCAAGTGGATATTTCTGTCCCAATTTTCTCCTTGGAGGATCCATTTGCTCATTCAACAGATTTTATATGAACATCTAGCATATAATCAGGCTTAGTTCCAGGCACTAGGGATACATCAGCAAACAAAACAGAAGTCCATGTCCATGGTGCTTATGTTTTAGTTAGGTTAGTGGGGAAAGAAACACTGAAAAACAAAATAAACAAGGAAATCGTTTAGTACATTGAAAGGTTATAAGCCCTATGGGGAAAAAAAAAAAAAAAAGCTGAGAAAGGAGCAGAGGGGACTGGGAAGTGGGCAATTTTAAACACGGTAGTCAAAAACAATGACACTGCGAAATAGCATTTGAGAAAAGTCTTGAAAGAGGTGGGGGAGTGACCCATGCAAATGTAGTTGTGAGAAGAGCATTCCAGGGAGTAGAAACAACGCATACAGGCCCCACAGTGTGGGGATGCTGGTGCCTCCCAGTAACAGGAAAGAGACCAGTGAGGCTTGGGGGACAGACTTTGCCTATAAGAGCCACAGCAAAATGAAACAAGGTTGTCAAGAGGCCTGGCTTTTGTCAGTCTAAATTTTTAGGGCACCAGCCACTGAATCTAAGATGGGTAGAAGAAAAAGAGAAAAAAATACCCTTTTTATGGGTCATATTTCTATAGTGATTGGGTCCTCCAGGGCAAAATGGGTTGAGCACTTGCCTCCAATCCTGACTCTGTTAGTAGCTCACTTTCTCACCTTGGGCCAAGCCACGTCATCTTTCTGGATCTCATTCTGTTTCTTTTATAAAAGTAAAGTGCCTTCACCAGATTATCTGAGGTTCGTTTCAGATTCAACATTCTATGATTCTTTGTGTCTATTATCTGATAGAGCCAACAGCTCACTCTTCAAATGTAATTGAGAATAATTGTAAAAATGTCACACGAAAGATGGTCAAAACGACTTTCTAAATGTGTTTGGGAACGATTTTAATTCAGAAATGAAGGCAGAATTATTTTAAGGTATTATTAGTATATAAATCATAGATATTTCTAAAGGTCCAAATATTTGAGCATCGGAAATAATTGTTTACGAGTAAGATAATATCAAGTGAGATAGTATATTTTTGTAAGTTTGAATGAATTGCAACGTTTCCTTCCCTCAAGAGAAGAGTCTTCTATTGGTCTTTGTAGCTTGGTTATAAACCATTTAAGAAACGTCAATTAAAACCAAAGGTATGCCTCAGTAAAAGTTACAGAAAATATCATACCAAATAAGTTGATTGTTGACAGATTCCCAAGTCTGCATTATCCATCCATTTATTTCAATAACATTTATTTTTAAATTAATCCATGATTTAAATTTGTTGAGCATGAAGCCTTTATTCTATGGCCCAAATCACCCTTCAATGAGTCATTTCAAATAGTCATTCAAAATAAAGCCATTCAAATAGTCATTTCAAAAAAGTCCTCTCAAAGGGTCTTATTACAAATTTTGTGGGAAACTGAGATTCTTGTATAAATTATTCTCATAGGTTGACTGTTCAAAAGCTGTTAATTATTTCATTCACTCAGTAGACATGTAAAGAGCCTATTATGTGCTAGGCACTACTTTGCTTCTTGGAGACAGAGCTATAAAAATAGTTCCTCGGCCTATAGAACTTTACTTTTAGTTTATTCATGTTTATCTTTTACATGTGAAATGGAATAACTTAGAAGAAACTAGGGCGCAATATTGAGTATTTAGAGATATAATTCTTAAACAAACGTTGCTGCCTCATATGTTTAACTTCAATTATTAAATATTGCTTGCAATTTTTTTAGTTTTTAACTCTTAGTAGTGCTGCCTGGCACTGATAAGTAAGCTGGAATTTTTAATAGCTTTTCATAGATGAAGGATTTTTCAACTAGAACAAAAAAGCGTACTTGTTTGTTTCAATAAATACAGGTACAATGATTCGGAGTGAAGAAATTGTTTTTAGAATCAGAAGTTTAAGCTCTAGCTCTGTCACGTACTGTGGACTCAAGCAAATTGCTTAACTTGTCTGAGCTGAGGCCTCATACATGAAATGGAGCCTAGGAATGGGTGCCTCTCAAGGTTAAATCTGCAGTAATATGAAATAGCCTATTATTCTAAACTCTAAAAGCATATCATATTATGCAAAAGTGAAACACTAATTTTTATTTAAAACCATAACAACTAAATTTATTGTAGACCTATAATACACACCCATTAAAAAGAATAAAAATACAAATAGCATTTAAATAACTTAAATTTTATCACATCACTTCATTTATTGAATATACCAGATAAGTCCTAAAAATGTATCAATGCATTTCTATTTTTTTAACTTAGATCAGAATAGCACACTCAAAACAGTGTGACAGAAAATATGTTTACCTCTGCTGATCTAAAAAAAGACGAGCAAGTATAATTCATTTTAAAATGAGAGTTTTGTGCACCCAAATAGCACATACACATGACCTAAGAGAACATTTTTCTCATCTCTAGTATCATATCACCCTTCAGAGATTTACTAAAGGTGTAAAAAATATCCCACAGGTACTATTGATTAACTCTCCAGGATTTGTTAGACTCAATGAGATAATAAGATAAGGTACCCACTGAGAGAATTTAGAATCTCAGTAGAGAATGGAAAATGAACAGCACCAACCAAAAGTATATCCCTACAGATAAGTTAAAATGGTCTTTTAACCTTTCACAATCAATTTAAAGACTCCAATGAGCAAAATATAAATAATGGCAATGCCCTGTCTGGAATGAAGCATAGGTTATATACTAAGTGCCTATCACTCATCTCAAGCAGAACAAGCCATCATTTTCAGCCAAATGTCAGCCTCATATTTTACTCTCTATGTCTCCAAGAATGTCCTAGTTCTAGAGCCTTGCTAAGAAGATGTTAAATATTTTAAAATATATACCTAAATATTTGCAGGGTAACATTTTATCGTTATTCACTTAGCATTTGTCATAAATGTTGTAAGACTCCAAGATGATATCACAGAAACTAATGCTTGGAAAAAGAAAAAAAAAATCTAAGTGTGGTGATGTATATTATTAACTAGCATTTCTTACTATAAAATAATCTGGGAAACTCAGGAAGCTGAGGCAGGAGGATTGTGTGAGCCCAGAAGTTCAAAGCTACAGTGAGCTATGATCCTGCAACTGCACTGAAGCCTGGGCAACAGAGCAAGACCCTCTCATTTTGTGCCTAATCCTGTGATCCACATTTTACAAATCACTTATTTAATTTTCATGTTTGCTTGATGAAGTTCTAGACATAGTCTTTGTGGACCCAAGGACTGGAGCAGGAAATAGACTTAAAAAAATCAACATTTATGTGATATTCAGAAATTGAATAAAGAAAATTTCTTTTAAATCCTACAAACATAAATGATTGTTTTATATTATATCACCATTTAAATAAACGATTCAAGTTGTAACAGTTTCTTTTGTAAACTAAATGCACTTGCAATCATATATTAGCATGTGATTTGTGTCCCACATAAATTCCCCTGAAGCTGTTCCCTTCCTCTATGCAATAGCAATAGAATGGTCTATGGAGAAAATTTAATAGCTATGCTGCACTTGGTACACCACTTGTCTCATGCAGCTTCCCACCAATTTTGAGTAAGGAAAAGAACAAAATTAGAACTAAACTGTTATGCCATTGACAAAATAATAAGTAGGAACCCAATAAAATATAGTGAAAGAATAAAGGCATGAGGAACCCATTACTGAAGACATTGATTTCACCCCCACATAAACCTAGTTTAATATTCCAAAAAGTAAATACAGATCAGAAAAGTGAGGTAAAAACTACATGCACGAAAGGGATGAGTAATTAAAGAAAGTCTTAATATTAAGTTTAATAATACAGACTCATTCAAACTCCTTTTCTAAATAAATCTTAAATTAATATTTAACTTTGCTTACATTTTCAAAGGTCAAATAGAAGCTCAACAGATATCATGTCCTAAAAACACAACGGTAAATAAATGTGTCAATTCGCTGTAGTGAATTCGCTCCTTTAGAACCAAAGCCCTAGTTTCCCCAGGTGCTGGGAGTGATGCCTGGCTCACAGCAGCGTCCTTCCCCAATAACTGCTTTCCGCAGAAAGGAGTGATCTCTCTGCACTGGTCCAGGAGTGGAAGACTATAAAGGCTAAGCCCTCTTGACTCAATCTAGGAAAATTCTGAAGGGCCATACCAACTCCAGAGCTCCCCCTGCAGATCAGCTAAGTCCTGTTTCAACTCTATCGCTCTTCACCTTCTCTCTCTGCCCAATTCTGTATTCTTCACTCTCTTCCTGGTGTTGCTCTGAAGAGCTCCACCTGATAAAACAGATGCATGCAAATATAAAATCTCAGAGTTGGCCTCTGGACCTTGGCATTGGTCTCCTTTCTAATTAATAATATTTTGAAACTGCACACACTGTAACAGGAAATTGAAAAATCTATGCCTGTTCTCATTATTTTGCCATCATTTTATTAAAATATTTTTCCTATCTGTCTCAAAAATCCTTATAATGCTTTCCTCTTTTTCCTCTATTACATCCTTGATCAAATTCTGATCATATCAAGAATGCAGGACACTGGCTTTTTCTTTTCTAGATGATAAAAATCATAATTTAATAAGGACAAAGAAATTTGAAAGGTCTTTGAATTCAGTTTTAGTTATAGTTTTTAAAAACCAGTAGACTGAACATTTTATTTAGTCCTCCAAATTAGCATTAGTCATTGCTATTCAAAAACGCCCTTGTCTGATAGTTCAGATTTGTATTTGCAGAAATTGGGCTACTATGAAAATTAAGTTTAAAAGAAATAAACCAGAAGTTATATCCAGAACACTGCTATATTTCTATTAGGGGCAATGTATATTTTTTAAAAAACATAAATAAACCCAATGTAGTGATTCCTGAAAGACCTAAACACAGAGCTACCATTTGACCCAGAAATCTCATTACTGGGTATACACCCAAAAGAATAGAAGTCATTCTGTTATAAAGACATGGGCATGAATACGTTCATTGCAACACTATTTACAATAGCAAAGGCACGGAATCGACCTAAGTGACCATGAGTGATAGACCGGATAAAGAAAATGTGATACATGTACACCATGAAATACTATACAGCCATTAAAAAGTACAAGGTAATGTCTTTTGTGAAGACATGGATGGAGCTGGAGGCCATTAACCTTAGCAAACGATTACAGGAACAGAAAACCAAATACCACATGTTCTCACTTGCAAGTGGGAGCTAAATGATGAGAACACATGGATGCATGGAAGGGAACAACACACACTGGGGACTATCGGAGGTTAGAGGCTGGGACAGGGGGGAGGATCAGGAAAAATAGCTAATGGGGACTAGGCTTAATATCTGGGTGACGAAATAATCTGTACAACACCCCTGTGACACAAGTTTACCTGTGTAACAACCCTGCACATGTATCCCCGAACTTAAAAGTTAAAAAAAAAAGGTTTGACAGGAAAAATAAAAAAGTTAATAGCTAAATATATATAATACTTAAAAGCAGAGCAAATAAAGGTCTAGAAAATCCCTCCAAAACCCGTAAATCTATTAATTTTAAAATGATTTATTATTTACTGACAGTTTATATCTACTATGTATCATACTGGGTACTTTTTATATACCTTTGCTAGACCTCTCAACAAACTGATATATATTTATATGCTATGTATTTATCAGTATTATACAAGGAAAAATAAGTGAGGTTCATGACTATTAAGTAACAAGGCAAGACTACATGTTTAATTAGTGGTAGTCTTGAAGCTCATTGGCCAAAGGCTGCCAGGGATTCATCTGTAGTCATACAATGTCAAATTTACTGAGCTTGCTGCAGCAAGGAAGAACACTCCACAGGCAAGTTTTAGGAGCTTCTGAATCTGAGGAAGCCAGGACAGGCTTTTTAAATAGGGTCTTGGGGCTTGGCTTAAGTGGCTTTAAGAAGGGTTGTGCAAAACAGAGTGGATTAAAAATGATAAACTGAGATAAGCAAAGGATATTTGCTGATCTCAGCTTATAAGCAGAATCTATTCACCGCCTTCTGCACACTTTACCTGTAAGGGAACTGAGGATGTTTGAAAGGCTGCACTCACTAAACGTCGCCCATCCTGAACCCTTCCGGTACCTTTTGCTGAAAATATATTATTTGACCTCATCATAGAAAAATGTAGCTTGGAAACAATTTAGAGTGCTCACGTTCACCAGTTCTCAAAATAATAAACTTTAGTTATGATGTAGATAGCTGGAACTAGCAGAAACTTCTGACAAAGATATATGTTTAGACAGGACATGAGCTCTGCATTTAATTTTTCTAGGTCATATAATCAGTATATATACACCTTTTTTTAATTTAAGAAAAATTATTTGAATTTTATATACATAGCTTACACCAAACTCAAGTTTGAAAATAAGTTGGATTCTTAAATGGGACTTTGTTTTTAAAGAAGATTTTTTTTCCTTGGAATATTATTTACTTAAATAGATTTCCGAAGCAAGAATTTCATTATTATCAATTTGCACATTTAAACAAAATAATATATCTAAGATTACTAATTAAACTAATAGTGAAATACATGTGTTCTTTTTTCAATCAACAATTCATGAACAAGGGCATAAATTTCAATGTCTGACATCCTGAAAATCATAAATTAAGACCTGCTGGTTTGTAAACATGTCACCAAGTAAAATCATCATTGTAAACTGTATAATTGGCAGTGAATTACAACTAGAATAATTTTGTAAAGTTTAAATATCACCACTGGCTTTACTTTTAATAAAACTGTTTTATAAATTATCTTTATTATTTGGAAAGATTAAAATATTTAATCTAACTATACCTGAAATTATTTCCTATTTTCATAACTATTATTTTATGAGATTTATAACTTTATTCACTTGATAAGCATTAATTGCACTTCGACTCTTGTCAGACCGTTATAGGGTTATAATAATGCACGAGACCAACTCCATCCCCGTTGTTCTGAAACTTACATTTTTTTCTGAATGATGCAAACAAAAAAAAAAAGCAAAATAGCTAAATATAATATAACATAGGAATTAGTGTCATAAAAAGTTAAGTCAGAGAAAAAGACACAGAATAAAGGGTAGAGTGGGCAGGGATACTCTTTCAGGTCACTTGGTCTTTTTCTATGTAGGTGCCATTTGCAGATGGTAATAAACTGAGAGTGAAGCATGCATGACTCTGCATCAAATGATCTCTCCTTCCCTGACTAGATTGCTGAACTGTTTTATGGTACTAATTAATATCTCATTATATATGTACCTATTTTATTATCTGCTCCCTTGGAATGTGAGCTTAAGGATGACAGAAGTTAAATCAGTCTTATTCATCATTATATCTTCAAAGAGAGTACTATACATATATCTAGTTTTACAGATGAGGCAGCAAAGGCCCTTTGGCAATCAAGTGCCTTAACCAAAATATCACACAACTTAATAAATAGGATGAGAAGTTAGGAAGAAGAACAGAAAGTATGTTAAGTGCTCATATGTGCCAGATATCATGGCAAGTACTTAATATTATTAATCCTCAAAGCAAGTGTAGCAAGCTGAGTAATGACCCCCTAAATATCAACATCTCAATCCTTAGAAACTGTGACTGCCACCATATAAGTAAAATGTGTACCATATAGGTAAAATGTGCAGATGTGATTTAGCTAAGCATCTGGAGATAAGGAGACTGTTCTGGATTGCCCACGTAGGCCTGGTGTAGTCACAGCAATTTTATAAGAGGGAGGCAGGAGAGCAGAAAGGAAGTGACTTTGGAAGCAAGAAATGGGCATGATGGGAGGAAGAAGCAGGAGCCAATGAAGACAGGTGGCCTCTAGAAGCTAGAAAAGGCAAGGAGATGGATAACCGACTAGAGTCTCTAGAAGGAAAAAGCCCTGTCAACACCTTGACTGTAGCCCAGTGGAAATGATTTTTGACTTCTGGCCTGTAGAAATATAAGATGATTCATTTTAATTTTGTGTTGTCATAAGCCACCAAGTTTGTGGTAATTTGTTATAGCAGCCAAAAGAAATTAATACAGCAGCCCAGATGGGGAACTCGGGTAAAGGTTAAATAATTTGTCCAACATTACAATACCTCTGTAGCAGAAAGTTAATGTTATTTTCCTGTATTCTCAGCCAAAGACTCAAGGCTGATAATACTCGGCAGAAATTGCCCCTATATTTTAGAGTGTCAAGTAGTTACAAGTAACCCTTATAGTATTTAATCAAAGATTGCAGGGTAAGTCTTTTGACACTCATACCCACAACCCATCCAGACTAAGTAAGGCCAGGTCTAGAGGGGTTTACGTATAGAGAGAATTCATTTGGATTGTTGGCTTGTCAGACCAGAGGAGAGTAATGGGGAATGGAAGCTTTTTCTCTCCCAAGGCAATGTAACCTTAGAAAAGCATGCAGAGAGACTGGCAGTGGTTTTAAAAGATGTAGACTGTTTCTCACACCATGGTTGAATGTTTATGAGCCACAGATTCTCAGTCTCATCTTGGGGCATTTCTTAGAGGAGAACACTAGACAGTGCTTAACCGAGTCCTCTAAAGGGTGGATGCATTTATGCATATGAAAGCTTAGACCTCTTTACTGCATGGAATCTTCTATGGGTGAGAATGTGGCTTGAGCAGCCCACTACTGCACAGGAACGTGTAGGGAAAAGAATAAAGGGACTTGCACTTCCACCATTGGAGCTGGCAAAGGTGCATGGGCCAATAGAGGCAGAATAACATAGCCCAGCTTAAGTCTTTTTGAATGTACCCTAAGAAAGAGGGAAGCCTACCAAAAGGAGAGTCTCCAGGGCCTGACACCCATGTGACAATAGTGTGCATTGTAGAGGTCCCTACAAGAACTCTTTAAATATTCACATACATACCTTACCTAAGCAATCATATATGAATGCTGCCAGGCAACAAAAACAAAGGCCTAACTATAAAAATAGGGGGAAGGAAGACATTTGTATCTCTTCCACCAACTCTCCTTTCTCACCTCATTCTAGAAGGAGGTAGAAAAATAAAGAAAAGGATGATGGAAAGTGAAAAAAAATGTCAATATGCCTTTTGTCACTAGAAGCCTTTGAGCCACGGATCAATCTTGAGTTGTGCAGAAGAGAGAAACTTTGAATGGAATTAGAGTTTGGAGCTCTGATTTAGATTGGAAAGAACATCTGAATAACAGAGAGTGAGTCATAATGATTGAAAAGAAAATAGAAGTGACTTGAAAGTTATGGGATGCTCATAATGTGCTATCAGGGGGTGGAAAGATTTTGAAGAGTTCATGAAAAATAAAGGGGCTTCTTGAAAACATTTTTAAGTTTAGCTCACTCAATAACCAGTTAACCTTGTAAGGTATGGAATGGAGAAGCTGGGGCTTGAGAACAGACGTCTAATATTTTTGTCAAGTTTTCTACACCATAATTGGTTTCTACTCCTCCTAGAAATCATCTTAATATTAAAATATAATCTCTTATGGATTTTACTTCCAGTGAATGTGGCTTTCTAATACATTGTACAATGTACTGATTTTAGTAGTCATCCATCACTTCTCTTCCTGCCTTAAAGAAACCATATGAACTTTACACTTCCTCAGTAGGATGTTTCTCTTTTTCTTACTAACTTATCCTTTCATTTTCAGGTTTGCCTAACTTACCACACTTTGTTCTTCCTCGGAAATTTGCCCATTTTTTATATGGTAGCCAAGAAGGAGAGAGATAAAATTATAAGGAATTAAAAGATTTGTTTCCAGGAAAAAAAAGATTAGGTTACCTTTATTAACCTGGGGACAATTTCAGTGTAACCTTTAGGATTTATGATTAAAATGAAAAGAATGAAGAAGATAAAACAAAAATAAACAAGAAAACAAAAAACTGGGGAACATTATTTTGTCTAAGTGGTTTCTTGAATAATTCAAGGTGTCTTGAATATCAACCAATCAAGAGACTGTCAATTTGAATAACTCAATTCTGCTAGTAGAAAACAAATAAATAAAAATGAGAGAGAGAGAAAAAAAATCTGTGTTCAGTTATTAAACAGCCTAATTACATTTATGAGATAATTAATGAAGCCCCTCTTGAGACAAATTAAAGCACAAAACATTAGTAAAGCTGCCAAGCTTGTCCAACCCAGGGCCCGTGGGTCGCATGCAGCCCAGGACAGCTTTGCATGCAGCCCAACACTAATTTGTAAACTTTCTCAAAACATTATGAGATTTATGCATGGACCTTTTTCTTTTTTTAAGCTCATCAGATATTGTTAGTGTTAGTGTATTTCATATGATGTGGCCCAAGACAATTCTTCCTCCAGTGTGGCCCAAGGAAGCAAAAGATTGTACACCCCTGTCAATTATACAAATTTTCTTTGGAAGAGTGAAAGCTCTCTTCTTTGTCCCTACTGCTTGAAAATTGCTAAGACTCTACGTTTCTCAATTTTCTGTTTCATACCATGAAGCTTAACACTATGGTATTTAAACTGACATATATTAAGTATAAGCCTGGATGGCTCCTTCTATTCTACTTAAACATTGTAAAATATATGTGTCTATCAAAAATGTTTCAGCCTACTATGTATGTATTATTACAGTATTTAATGGTCGTATTCTTTCCCTTCTTACAAAACAAGCAGTTAGTTATATAGTTACAAATTGTCAAATCTAGTTGGCATATTAGCGCTTGTCTAGATTATACTCCCCTCATGGTGGAAGTCGGTTGTGCAAGATTTCTCACCTAATCACTTGTAGAACTTGAATCAGTGAGCAATTCCACTGAGTGTTAACTCCTATCCAGTTCATCCACACTCTCTGAATAGCATTTTTTCTTTCTAAGCTCCAAACAGCACATATATTTGCCATCCCCACCCAAATAATACAAGATAAATTGTGGGACAAAATATTATTTGCTATTTCCTATTTTCAAAATGCAAAACCATGTTGTTTTGTGAAGTGCCTTTTCTCCTCTTTTTTTGCCTCCTCATTTCTGTGGCTCTAATCCTTAATACTTTTAATTACTCATGCATTTGAACAACTTTGAAGTGGAAACTGCTACCTGGGACCTGGGGAATCAGTTTTAAGAGAACAGCACAAAAAGTAGGAAGATGACAAACCGGAGAACATGGATACAGTAGTTTGACCCATTTTCCAGTCACTCAATGTTACCTTATAAGGGTTTGCTCTATTTTATGCCAAATTAAGTGCGCATGACAGCATAAAAATAAAATAATTCTCATCAAGTTTCCATAATCATTTCCGAATGAAATAGGGAAGACTAAAGCTCTTTAACAATAGACTCAAAATGTAATGGCTCAGAAAAATAGACATTTGTTTCATTCTATGCCATAGTCTAAGGCAGTGCTCCCCAAAGTAGGATCCCTGTAGCCATAACCTGGGAGCTGTTAGAAATAAAAATTCTTCAGCTCCACCCTCTATCTGTTGAGTCAGAAACTGATACTGAAGGCCAACAATCTGTGTTTAAACAAACCTTCCTGGGTGATTCTGATGTAAGTCAAAGTTTGAAGTTCACAGAGCAATCAATCCAGAAAAATGTGTGTGCACAAGGATGAGAAGGAGGTTGTCTCTACTCCATAGAGTCATTCAAAGACCCAAGCTGACTGAATCTCTGTCATCTTCAACATGCCCCCATGAAAAAGGAAAGTATAAGTATATGTGGGACGTTTTCTAGGACAGTTACAGTGCTTCTTTATAAGAAATTCAGCACATGGTCACAGATCCCTGCAAGGGAGGGTGAAAAATGTAATAGAGTTTAAAAATAACATGCCCATCTACTGTAAAAGAAAGCAGAAAGGATTTTGGTAGTCAGCTGATAGTCTCTGCAATGATGACATAATTATCTGTGGATGATCAAGTCTGCTGGTCATGTGTTGTATTTCTTTGTTTTCTTACATTCTCATTGTTTTTGCTTTAATTTGGGTACTTGCTTTAATTCTGGCATTGGTCAAGTATACTGCATAAAGAGAGCTGATGAGTAAGCTGATGAGGTAACAAGGTCTATTAGTCTGTTGGTGTTGCTAAAAAGGAATACCTGAGACTGGGTCATTTTTTTTTTAAAGAAGTTTATTTGGCTCATGTTTCTACAGGCTGTACAAGAAGCATGGTGCCCGTATCTGCTTCTGGTGAGGGCTTCAGCCTTCTTCCATGCCTGGTGAAAGGTGAAAGGGAGCCAGTAGCATGTTCAGAGATCACATGGTGAGAGAGGAAGCAAGGGAGAGGGAAGCGAGGTTGCAGACATCTTTTCACAAGCAGCACAGGGGCCGTGGGGCCTGGGGGACTGAGAGAGGACTCACTCATTACCACAAGGAAGGCACCAAGCCATTCATGAGGGATCCACCCCTATGACCCAACACTTCCCTTTAGGCCCCACCTCCAACATTGGATATCAAATTTCAACATAAGGTTTAGAGGCTCAAATATCCAAAGTATAGCAGAGGGTAGTTCAAAAAAGAGGAAACACTGTCAGATGTTGCTGAGAAATCAATTAAATGGAGACTAAAAATGTGCCTTGGATTTGGCAAAATGGAGGTCATTGATGACTGTAGGAAGGAATGTTCCATAAAATAATGCTATAGAACCATGTTGGCATGGAGTGTCTTAGTAATTAGAGAACAGAGACAAAAAAGTGTAATTTTTTGTTTTTTTTTGAGATGGAGTCTCGCTGTGTCACCCACGGTGGAGTGCAGTGGCGCAATCTTGGCACACTGCAACTTCCACCTCTCCAGTTCAAGCAATTCTTCCTGCCTCAACCTCCCGAGTAGTTGGGATTACAGGCACCCACCACCACACCCAGCTAATTTTTGTTTTTTTTTGTTTTTGTTTTTTTTTAGTAGAGACAGGGTTTCACCATGTTGGCTAGGCTGGTCTTGAACTCCTGACCTAGGAGGTGTTCAAGGTCTTGAACACCTGCCTTGGTCTCCCAAAGTCCTGGGATTACAGGTGTCAGCCACCATGCCCAGCCATAAATAATTTTTAAAAGATTATCTACAGAGTGGAGGACAGATAGGGCTGTAAGTACAGGAAGATATGGGATAGGGGCCTGAAGATTAATATATTTGATGGAAAATATTAGTTGAGAAATTGTAGTTGAATACTCCAGAAAAAGAAGTTGGCTACTATTCCTGAGAAAGTATAATGGAGCACAAACATACCAATGGGAAGGATGATGGAATGTAACAGGAAGTCAGGAGACATTCACAGATGTGGAGAAAATTGAAGCAATCATTGGGAAAATTGAGACAAAGTTTATAGAGTAACACAGATGGATTGCTGAGCAGTAATAAAGAACTATTTGAAGTTACCTTGCACAAATCTACACAAAACCATTACAATTGCACATTCAAGTTCAGTGGATTGCTATATTAACTTGGATGTCAAAAAGCCCTAAAATTACATCTATTGTAGTTTCTGTTAATTTTTTTGTTTTATAAAACATTTTACTGGCCAAGATTAGAAAAACTATAATTTTATTCTGCCTAATCCTGCTTAATTAATCATTGTTAGGAATGCTTTAGTCAGTAGGTTTATGATAAATACCAAACTGTATAAATTAGTAACTCTCCCAAGGCTTCAAAATTAACACTCTTGTAAGAGGTTTTAATAACATGACATCATTTCTCTTTTATTGGAATTACAAAAAATTCTAAAAAGAAACTCATCAAATAAGCCAATGCTTCCTGTTTATTAAAAATAATTAAGAAAATTGAGTACACATATTAACATTCAGGTTTTTTTCCCAGGATGAAAAACAACATGCATTTCTCAATCATTAAACATATTATTTCAAAAATCAAGTCTCTAGGTGCTTACAGATTGTGAGCTGGGCACTTATCTAATGCTGTGCTTTCACCCTAGCAGTGGGACTTCTTTAGACTTCTGAATGTGTCATGCACTTTGCTAAAGCTCACCATGTTGCTCTGAAAAGTTGAGTCAAGCCTAGGTATTCTCTGAGAGCAGATTCAGAGATTCTAACTACTGCTTGAGACTTAAGATTCACCACTTACCTACAGGTTGAGTAATCCAGGATGCCCTACCTCTCAAAGCACAATACTCTAAAATCATATAGAGATTATCTTGATAATTCATTGTCAATACATTCACATACAGTTTCCAACATTTATTAGGAATTGAAATACTTAATTTGATCCATTAAACTGTATTTGCATGGACCATGTTGCTTATCTTTCTAAGTAGGCATATAACCTATTTTTGAAAATAATTTTATCATGGTTGGTGGTTAACAGAGGTTTTCAAATAACATGGGTCTCCTTTGAGTCATTTTTGATAAAGGCATATGTAATTATCTTTGCTACCTGAGATCTCTGTGATTTGTATCTAGTTCTTTTTCTACCTGGTTTCTACCTTTAAAGGTGGGTATCATGAGAGGACATATTTATGGTTGGCCTTTATAGGAACATTTTCCCACCTCTTCAGCAGATGTGAGAACACAAATGGGCTTTATCAAATTAGATTGTCATAATTTTTACAAATTTATATTGGATGATTTGTTTTTTGATTTATGCAAAGCAAAGCCTGGTTTCATCTGACTGTGAATGTTGAAGAACTTTGTAGAATTATCAGTGCTTTCTAGAAGTGGTATAATTTTTAAAATGTTTTTTACTGTCTCAACTACAATAAAGGAATCCAGGAAAGACCACAGAATCCGAAGAACTATCAGTTCTTTATCCATTTAGATAAATAGTTTAATTTCTATAAGTGAATAATACTTTTAAATAATTTCAACATATATAATGCTGTGGTCAACAAGTTAAATATCCCACCCTCAAAAAAACATTAAAGAAAACAAAATGAAAGAAATACAGGCGGATGGTAATTTGGCATAATTGCATTCCATTTTTGTGGAATTGCATTCCACATTAATTTCATTTTTATATTCCTCGCCATTAGTGAAGATGGATTATGTATTTATCCACGTAACCAATTATTATTTTGCAATTATATTTAAAAGTTTAGTAACAGGTTTCTCTATTGATTATATACTAAATTTTAGTTGTTGCTGCATAACAAGAGAGCAAAAATGTCTATTTTCAGGTTCACATCCTTACTGTCTTAGTTGACAATGCTAGGTTCATGAATAATTGGTATTTTTATTACTTCTCTGATCACTTACTCATTCAGCAAGTAGTTATTAAGCTTCCTATCATTTGAGAAGCATTTTATAAGGATTGTGGATACATACAGGAAAAAAATAGACAAGAGCTCTGCCTTCATGAAACTGATATTCTGGAGAAAGCCTTGAAGTAAACAAATTAATATATATTTGGTGATGAAAACTGGAAAAGAAAATAAAGCAGAACAAGAAAGCTAGAAAACACTGGGTTTATTTTATACAGGACACTCAGGGAAGATCTCTGATATGGTAACATCCGAGCAAAGACCTGAGCAGGTGACTTAATTGAGGACATTTTGAGGAAAAAGAATTACACTGGAGTGCATTCAAGGAAGTTCAGAAAGGCCAATGAGACAGAAGCAGAGTAAGTAAGAGGGTGATACAGGTATGGCCAGATGGTTAGCAGCATCAGATAGGGCAATTAGGGATTATAGGCCATGGTAAGGACTTTGACTCCTACTCTAATTAAGGTGAAGGCCCACTGTAAGAGCTGAGTGGGGAAAAGACATGCTCTGATTAAGTTATAAAAGGATCATTATTATGGCTTATCTGTGGAGTATATTCTTCAGAGGGATGAGTGAAAGCAGGGAAGCCAGTTAGGAGGATATTTTAATAATCCAAGTAAAATATATTGGTGACTTGGACAAAAAAGAGGTGGGATACTTAGAAACATAGTAGGTATATTTTGAACATGAGTCGGCAGAATTTGCTGATGGGTGGTTGTGGGTATGAGAAAAATGTATGAGAAAAGAGTCAGTGATGACTATTCCCTATCTTCCAGCTAGTGGAAATTGGAAGAATAGCATTTCGACTTATTTGTATAAGCAAGAGTGCAAAATGTGAAAGTGAGGTGGGTGGGGGCTGGAGTTTGGTTTTAGATATGGTTAGTATGACTAATGTAGACTGACATTATTTAGAATTACAAATGTAAAATAGATAATTGAATATATGAACTTGGACTTAATTGGAGAGTACCACAGTAGAGATAAATTTCAGAGTTATCAGTGAATGGATGGCTTTTTAAAGACAGATTTTATTAGCTGAGATCATCAAGGGAATGAGTGTACATTGAAAAAAAAAAATGATGTTAGGGCCAAGGACTGAGCCCTTCGACATTTAAGGATTAAAGTTGGAGAAATGAGGGAAAGCCACTTAGAGAGACTAAAAGGAAACCAGTAAGTTGATAAAGCACCCCGAAGAGAGTGATAACCTTAAAGAAAAAGGGGGGCATTATCAACCAGGTCTAATATTGATATATTAAGAAGGAGAGGGACTAAGAATGGGTCATCAAAAGTGCGACTGGTAAGTCACTGCCTCCCTTAAAAAAAATCACAAATAAATCCACATTATTTTATTTTTGTTATTAGTGTACTTGCAGTCTTGATGTATTTCACCTTAGTTTTCCCTCTAATTTAACATTCCTTATATTTTGATGCTAAATTATTTTCTATTAAAAATGCAAACAAAATATTTAATATCTCATATTTTGATGCTAAATTATTTTCTAATAAAAATGCAAATAAAATATTTAATATCTCTTTTCTTATTCCCAGATCTATTATTTGGTATTACATTTTGCTTTGGAATATAAAATCGGCAGCAACATTTTAAACATTTCATACTTGTGGTCTGTATTAAATGGAAAAGAAAGTTTTACTAGCAAGCGAAGTATCACTTATTGGAGTTTTACTCTAAAGTTAGTTGTTCATGTCAAGGAGTCATAGTCCCTGATAGATTGAGTCAGTTATCTTTATTAATTTATGGCTGAATAATGCTTGGAGTTAACTTTTGTATTAGACCATCCTCACCTTAAGTGAATGATAAATTATACACTAAAACACAATATAATAACATTTACAGTACTAGCAAGATATCTTTGAGGTAAAAACACCTAAACCATACATCTCATTACATAATACAAAACACTTTACCCAATATTGTCACATGAATTCATAAAATAATTAACATCAAGTTTTTTATTCCTTCATAAAAATACCATATACTTGTTGAATTTTTACTAGAGTACAATGTGTTTTTACAGCTATACTATATATAGTATACCCATACTGTATTATATGTATATCATGATACTGTATTTTTATTTGCAGCACTTATCAAAATTATGACTACACAAAGTTTTGTATAATTATGCAAATTCTTCATAGATCATATACTCACGCAATTCAAAACATTCATGCAGTTTAAAGTTTCCAACCTACCGTGGGTGCCTTCCAATAAAATTCACCCACCTCTATCCGTGACTTGCATTTACCATCATAGTTAATTATTAATGTCAAATTTTTAGCATATATACACACATACACGCACACACACACAAACATACTTTGCTTATCAAGCAAATACAAATAGGATTCTTATTTTCTACCTTTTTTTTACATACAGGTTGTTTTTAGATGCATTGTCCTATACTTTTTACTTAACAGTGTACTCATAAAATAATATAAAGCTTTTTGTATTACTTCATAAAATAATAGTACTATATATTTGTTGAGTTTTTACTAGAGCACAATGTACTTTTATAGCTATGCCATGTACTGTATATGGTATATTCATACACCTATGGCGTTTCAGGTGTATTAACTATTATTGAGTACCTACTGTGTTTTGGGTGTTGTTCTAATAATTGGATATACAACAGAACACTGTAGTTTAAAAACTCCTGCCTTTGTGGCATTTACCTTCTAACATGAGATAGCTTGAAGATATTGTTGTTGTTAGGGTTTTTGTTTGCAGTTTGTTTTTTCTGTACTTACCATTTCGTTGAAAAGATGGTTCATAATTTAGGTAACACTTACTGCTATTACCAATAATTAAACTGTCACATTTATAGTTTTAGCATGGCTTTAGAGATAACTGTAGAGTAAATGTTCCACAGTGGGATGCCTAGATTAGAGGTATTTGAATTATAACTTTTGTACATTTTATCAAATTGTCATCCATAGGATATATAAGATGCTTCTATCTATTCTTCATTTATGGAATATTTTTATCAAGAATGATTGCATAAATTTCCTGATGTGGAGTTCATTCTCACATTGTTATGCAGAAAATCCTATAGAATCCACAAAAAAGCTATTAGACAAATAAGTGAGGTTAGTAAGTTTTCAGGATCATATTGTCTGTGGATAAAGACAGTTTTATTTATTCTTTATCCTTCTGGATGCCTATTATGTATTGATTGCCTTATAGCACTGGAAAGAACCTGCAGTACAATTTTGATGCAAACCAAGCCCAGACAAAATCATCACAAGAAAACAATCTAACAATATCACTTCATGAATATAGATATACATATTATAAACAAATCAAATCTTACAATATAAAGAAGATCATACATCATGATCAAATAGGTTTATCCCAGGAATGCAAGGTTGGTATTTGAAACCAATTAATGTAATACACCAATATTAACTAAACACAAACTCGTATGGGAATAAAAAATTTTTTTGAAAACAATTTAAATTCCATTACTAATAAAAATCTTCTTAAAACTAGGGATACCTGTATAAGGGAAGCTCCTTAACCTAAGTAACAGCATCATTGAAAAACCTAAAGCTAACATTATGCTTAATAGCAAAAGACTAAATGCCTTTCCTTTAAGTATAGGAAAAAGACAATGCTGATTGAGACATGAAAGACTTGGAAAGAACTTCAAAATAGTTTTTTTTTGTTTGTTTCCACTTCCCAAAATTTCTCGTCTTCATTATTTGTGTCTAGAATTTCATATTTTTGATGCTACTGAAAATTTTAATTTCTAATTGTTTATTATTAGTATATAGAAATGAAATAAAATATTTGTATGCTAATGTATCCTGCAACCTAACTTATTGAATATATAGGCATATATATATTCATAATATTCTCTTATTTTTTAATTTTTCAAGAATTTTACTGATACAGCATTTCTCATTCTTGATATTGGGAATTTGTGTCTTCTGTATATTTTTTTCTTTTCAGTCTTGCTAGAGATTTACCAGTGATATTGACAATCTCACAGAACATGATTTTAGGTTTATTAATTTCGTGTATTCCTTTCTGCTTTGTACTTCATCAATTTGTGCTCTGATCTTTATTTTTTTTTCATTTACTTCGACTTTGCATCTCTTATTTTTCTAGTTTTAAAAAGTGGAATTTGAAGTCATTTATTAAAAACTTTTTTTAAAAATTTTAAGTTCAGAGGTACATGTGCAGGTTTGTTGCATAGGTTAACTTTGTCATAGGGGTTTGTTTCATCACCCAGGTTTTAGGCCTAGTACCCATTAGTTGTTTTTCTTGATTGTGTCCCTCCTCCTAGCCCACAGTGTGTGTTGTTCCCCTCTATGTGTCTATTTGTTCTCATTATTTAGCTCCCACTTATAAGTGAGCATGTGGTATTTGGTTTTCTGTTCTTGTATTAGTTTGCTAGGGATATGGCCTCCAGCTCCATCCATGCCCCTGCAAAGGACATGATCTTGTTCTTTCTTGTGGCTGCAGAGTATTCCATGGAGTATATGTACCACATTTTCTTTATCCAGTCTACCATTGATGGACATTTAGGTTAAGTCCATGTCTTTGCTATTGTAAATAGTGCTGCAATGAACATATGAATGCCTGTGTCTTTATAATATAATGATTTATATTCCTTTGAGTATATATCTAGTAATGGGATTGCTGGGTTGAATGGTATTTCTCTCTTAGGAATCACCATACTGTCTTCCACAAAGGCTGAACTAATTCATACTTCCACCAACAGGATATAAGTGTTCCTTTTCCTCCACAACCTTGCCAGCATCTTTTATTTTTTGACTTTTCTGTAGTTGCCATTCTGACTGGTGTTAGATGGTATTTCATTGTGGTTTTGATTTGCATTTCTCTAATGATCAGTGATGTTGAGCTTTTTTTATATGGTTGTTGGCCTCATGTATGTCTTCTTTTGGAAAGTGTCTGTTCATGTCATCTGCCCACATTTTTATGGGGTTGGGATTTTTCCTTATAAATTTGTTTAAGTTCCTTTTAGATCCTGTATATTAGACCTTTGTCAGATGTACAGTTTGCAAAAATGTTCCTCCATTCTGTAGGTCATCTATTTACTCCATTTATAGTTTCATTTGCTGTGCAGAAACTCTTTAGTTTAATTAGAACCCATTTGTCAATGTTTGCTTCTGTTGCCATTGCTTTTGGCTTCTTTGTCATGAAATCTTTGCCCAAGCCTGTGTCCTCAATGGTATTGCCTGTGTTGTCTTCTTCCAGGGTTTTTATAGTCATGGGTTACATTTAAGTATTGAATCCCTCTTGTGTTAATTTTTGTATGTGGAGTAAGGAAGGGGTCCAGTTTCAATCTTCTGCATATGGCTAGCCAGTTGTCCCAGCACCATTTATTGAATAGGGAATCCTTTCCCCGTTGCTTGTTTTCGTTAGGTTTGTTGAACATCAGATAGGTGTATGGTCATATTTCTAGGTTCTCTATTCTGTTCCATTGGTCTATGTGTCTGTTCTTGTATGAGTACCATGCTGTTTTGGTTACTGTAGACCTGTAGTATAGTTTGAAGTCAGGTAACGTGATGCCTCCAGCTTTGCTCTTTTTGCTTAGGATTGCCTTGGCTATTTGGGCTCTTTTTTGTTCCATATGAATTTTAAAATAGTTTTTTCTAGTTCTGTGAAAAATGTCAATATAATGGAAATAACATTGAATCTATAAGTTACTTTGGGCAGTATGGTCATTTTAACGATATGGATTCTTTTTATCCTTGAGCATGTAATATGTTTTCATTTGTTTGTGTCCTCTCTCATTTATTTGAGCAGTGGTTTGTAGTTCTCCTCGTAGAGATCTTTCACCTCCCTAGTTAGCTGTATTCCTAGGTATTTTATTCTTTTTGTGGTAATTGTGAATGTGAGTTTGTTGGTGATTTGGCCCTTAGCTTGACTGTTGGTGTATAGGAATGCTAGCAATTTTTTTACACATTGATTTTGTATCCTGAGACTTTGCTGAAGTTGCTTATCAGCTTAAGAAGATTTGGGCTAAGATGATAGGGTTTCCTGGGTGAAAGATCATGTCATCCGCAAACAGGGTCAATCGTGTGTGTGTGTGTGTGTGTGTGTGTGTGTGTGTGTGTGTGTGTGTGCTGAATTGCATCCCTCCAAAATTCATATGTTGAAGTCTTAACCCCTAGCACCACTTCAGAATGGGATGGTAATTGGAGATGGGGTCTTTAGAAATGTGATTAAATGAGTAGGCCCTAATCCCATATAACTGGTGTCCTTATAAGAAGAAGAGATTATGACTCAGTAAATACAGAGGGAAGAGCACGGGGAGAACAAGGTGGCTATTTACAACCTAAAGAGAATGTCTCAGGAGAAACCAACCCTGCTAATGCCTTAAACTTTTAACCTCTAGAATGATGAGAAAATAAATTTCTGTTGTTTAACTCAGGTTGTGGAACTTTGTTATGGCAACCCTAGCAAACTTATCTATCTATTTATCTATCTATCATCTATTTACCTACTCTATTTTTTATGTGTAACTATGTAGAGATGTATACTGATATATTTGGTTAAAAAGTATAAAATTTGTTACTTTAAATATAGACAGCTTATTTTATATCACTTGTACTTCAGTAAACCCACTTATTTTCCTTAAATTTGTGCAATATACTTGTGAAAAGGCATAGAATTTATTGTAACTGTCACTATCATTTATTCAATATAAGAGATAGAAATTATAGATAAGTATATTAATTTATCATATTTGCTATATATGCAACTTTTGAGAGTCATCAACAGAACAAAGAAAGCATAAATACCTGTTCTTTTTTCTGAGATGCTTTTTGTTTGGGCTTATGCTGTTGTTTTAGCTAGTAATTTATGTCTGTAGTTTCTTGGGAATTTAGAAATGGAAAAGACAAACACTTTTTTTCTTCCTGTCTCAGGAATGGAAATTTAAAATATGTAGGTAACTTTCCTAATTCAATCATTTTAGAATAAGACTTTTCAAAATGAATTTAAAAAATTAAAAATTATTACCACTATTAATTCATAATCCTGTTTTACCTGTGGTATAATGTAGACATATAGTTTTTGGTTTGGGATTTTTAATTTTTTAATATCTTTAGTCAATTTTGAGGTTCTGGTTAGAGACTGGTCAATTGCCCTTTCTCGGAGCCTGATTTCTTCCACACTCCAACCACTTCCTTAATCAGGTTCTCATACTGTGGGTCATTATGCACAAGCCCTAATTGCCCCAGGCCAAATCCCAGACAATTAGGCACAGCATTATAACCAACCAGAAGGCAGTCTGAGAAACCTAGCTAACCCCACCTTGCTTGCCATGGATACCCTAAATAGCTGCCTCCTACAGCTCTCTTTTGCTGCTACCCTGTCCCTGAGTGCAATTCCCTATATGGCCCTGCCTGGCAGCCTTCTCTTATTAATAGCTGAAAGTAATAAGAAATTCTGCCTTTCATGTATTTGAGTGACAGTGTGTTGTATCCTTCCATCAAAATAATCCTTAAATCTTATAAAACAATTTGCACTGTGAGCAGATAGCATGGCCGTGACTGCTGACTCTTGGATAGCTTTTCAAGAGGCTGCTCTTGGCTTACTAATTGGTTCCAGACCTCTATGAGAGTGACTTGGACAGAACTGGAGCTTGTGCTTTAGCCCTGTTGCCTGCTGCTGTGTCTGTCTGTGTTTGCCATGTATCCCCACATCGCTCAGAATATTCTAATGAACAGTGCTAACAGATTAAACTCTGGAGGCTCAATAAAAGCCTTGGTGGGGGCCCACCCCATGGATATGGGAGTGATGGGCCGCTAAAACTGCACTTTCTGGCGTTGGGCATTCTATCCTCTTTCTAGTCACTGTGTTCAACAGAGGCTGACCCCAGATGCCCTTACCTCTTTGTTTCCTTTTTTATTACATATACCAGAAATAAAATTCTAAGCCCACTAACTGACTGACAGACCATCTCCATGGCCAACAGCATTCCAAAGTTAACCTGAAACACTAGTTCAGGGCCACGATGGGAAGTAAGGGCTGGACATGCCTCATTATACTCTCCTCCCTTTGAAATTCAGGCACAACTGACCAGCATTGACATTAAAACAGAGACCCTATGACTGATAGAACAGACTCTTTCAGTCTGATCGGAAACATTTTCAATCTATTCTCTCTGAAGCCTGCTACCTGATGACTTTACCTGCGCAATAGGAACCTTGATCTCAACAAACCCTTATCTTAATGCAGTCACTTTCTTCTACTCCAGATCTTTAGATAAACTCTTTCAACCAATTGCCAATCAGAAAATCTTTGAATCTACCTATGACCTGGAAGCCCCCACCACTTCAAGTTGTCCCACCTTTCCAGACCAAACTAATGTACATCTTACATGTATTGATTGATTTCTTCTGTCTCCCTAAAATGTTTAAAACCAAGCTGTAGCACAACTGCCCTGCATATGTTGTCAGGACTTCCTGATGCTGTGTCACAGGCATGCCCTTAACCTTGGCAAAATAAACTTCTAAATTGATTGAGACTTGTTTCGGATACTTTTTATTGTATAATCATTAATTAGGGCAGAATGATGATTTGTCCATGTGTTTCAGGCAACCTTTGTGAAAAAAGATGTTGGCTGGGGTCCCCCATGGTAAAGAAATGGCACCCCTGTCTCATAGTCAGTGTTGCTCTGGTCGGGTAGCCGTCGACCTGCCTTCTTTGCTGCATATTTTGTTGCTGTTTTTAGGGAACTTCAAGTTCCCCAGATCCTCAGGAATATCATGGGCTGCCCCGTTGGATACCAGCCATTCAATGTTTAACCCAGAGAGGCTGTCTGTGGCAAGGAAACAAATATCTCACCCCAGCAACCCCCTTCTGAACACCTGCAAAAGTTACCCAGTTGCTTAAATGATGCAAGGCCCCTAGCCAGTGTGATTGGGCTTTAGTAAGTGCCCCTGCAGGTCAACATGCAAAGGGAAAAAACTTAAAGGAACTTATTGCCTGTCCCAAGGACAGGTGACTGCAGCTCTCAAGTGAAATCCCATTCTTTCACAGGTAGACTGGGAAGCCTTAGGATGAAGAATGGCTGCCTACAAGGCAGACCACTGGGCCGCTTCCCCAACTCCTTTCCTGTAACCACCCAGGTTTGAATTATGAACTATTAGATACAGATGGAAACTAAAAACCATGACTTCAGGAGGCTAGAAGCCCAAAACAGAGGAGAAATAATGGAATAAAGAGAAAACTTTGATATAGGAGAAGAAATTTAAAAATAAATAGTATGTGTATATATACACATATTTATTTACTTATATAACTCTGTATATATACGTATACACACAAAAAAATTTGTACATAAATTAACCTAATTAGAAATCCAAAAATCTGCTAAAATATTTTTTATAACACTAATATGAAATGTGTACTGATTGGGCTTTTCTGTCTGTAAAAGATAGGTTCTAACTTAACTTTAAGATCTGCTAAAATACACCAAACGACAAAGCTTTACAGACTTAATCAGACTGGGTCTCAACTTAGAGTTTTACTCAGGGATCTTGCTAAATTTAAACATAATACTTCCGATATTCTTGGGAGAGTAACTAAATATAAAATAGAGCCTGGTCCAGTAGTACATGCCTGTAGTCCCAATTAATCAGGAGGCTGAGGAGGATCACGGTTGTAGTGAGCTATGATTGCACCTGTGAATAGCCACTGCACGCCAGCCTTGGCAACATAATGAGACCGCCATCTCTTAAACAAACAAACAAACAAACAAAAACTTAAAAAAATTTTAAATAGAGAAAAAATAGGTATTCTTTACTTTACTTATAGGGTTTTCTAAATTCCATTTGGAGCATATGTGTTCTGATACAATGAGCAATGCATTAAAATTAAATAAAGTTTTTGGCACTGAAAAATAAGCCTGAGAAACAAGACCCTGTGGGCCCCCTTACTAAAACAGTTAAGATGTTCCAATGTAAATTTTAAAAGGACCTTCAGGAATTCAAACTTATTTGTATAAAATTTAACTAATATTTGCAAACCTCAAAAAAAATAAATAAAGACAGACGCCTCAGGGTGGTTTATTACAATGCTGCGGTTTCATCTGTTGTGATCCTCATGCGTAATACCTAAATTATTAAAATTACATCATTTAACTAATAACCAGTAAATACTTTGCTATTATAGATTTTGCTAATATTTAACTTTGGTGGCTATTTCAATGGCCTCTTGACTGTATTTTGCCTTTATCTCCAAGGAAAAAAGTATGCTTTTCCTAGTTCGCCTTATAGGGCACCTCAACAGTGTTGCCATTGCATGCAATCTTTGCAGACAAGAGCTTAACTGCACCCACCTTTCTCCAGCAGCACAGGTTTGATATTAAGTTGATAACATCTTCCCCTAAGGAGTTTTATTTGACATACTCATTATAAACATAAACTTTCAACATCTTTTAGTTCTTTTTTTCATTCTGGAGGCAATATATTCCCATTTACAAATTCTACTTAATGTCTCTGATACTGCTGTTTCCAAATAAGCTCACCTTAATTGGGGATCACTCAAATAAAAGGCTCTAAATTCTTTCCAACTTAAATTTAGCTGATCCTGCAGAGGCCTGTGACTATAAAGGGTGTGTCAAAGCCTTCATCAGGAGCTACCTTCTGAATCGCCACATCCTGATTCACATTGGAGAAAAGCCTTTTATTTGTGCAGCTAGTGGCTGTGATAAAAAAAAAAAAAAGAATCCCACAGAAAATCCAACTGGAAGAAACATTTTGCATGCAAACATGAAAATCTGCAAAAGCAATATGTATGCAATTTTGAAGGATGTAAGAAGACCTTTAAGAAGCATCAGCAGCTGAAAATCCATCAGTGCCAGCATGAAAATAAACCCCTATTCAAGTTTAACCTTGAAGGATGTGGAAAACACTTTGTTTCACCCTCCAGGCTGGGAGGACAGATGCAGGTTCATCAGAAAATTATATGTCAATAGGGATGTTCTTTTGTGGCAGAAACATGGACAGAGAGAAATCCATAGAAAGGAAATAACATGATGTATGCCAGAAAACATTCAAATGTGAAGATTATCTCAGATAACCTGTGAAAACTCATGCCTCAGAAAGAGATGTATGTCAACATCCAAGAGAAGACTGCAGAAGAACTGTATTTAATCTCCAGAGCTGTCTTCTTTCTTTTCATAAGGAGAAGCACCCATTTATGTGTGAACATGCTGGCTGTGGCAAAAGGTTGGCTATGAAACAAACTCTCACAAGACATGCTATTGTGTATGAGCTTGACAGGAAGAAAATAAAGATCAAAGTAAAGCTATCTTCTGAAAAATGAAATTTGGCCTCTCATCTCAGTAAAATATCCCTCGTAAGAGGAAACAAGAACGAGGTTTATCTTTGCATTGAAATGGAGAGTCATTGAATTGTATTGATCTCGACAGCTTTAATACTTACTCTCAGCTAAAAATCAAATTTCTTTGTTTGAAGGACTGCAGACCAATGAGCTCAGTTATTTTCCCTCAGAAGTATATTTTTTGTTATTAAAATCATTGATTTAGGAAAAAAAGAATGACAGACACTTGATAGATTCACTATAGAAGATTTAGCAACCTCCTTTCATGCCTCCTGAAGTCTCTGGACAACCTATGATGGCCATAGGTAGCCCATGGACTTTTAAAACAAGAAACTGACCTTCCTGACCCTGTGCTATATATAGCATTAGAGCAAAAAATGTTGGCCACATACTGGAACCTCCTGGAAATAGAGGCCCTTGCAGACCCTGAGCCTGTGATTCTCCATAACCAGTTGCCCATTATGCCTTGGATCATAAAAGCAGCATCCCAAAAACTCAGCACTGCTACTGAGGCCTCCTTAATATAATATGGAGCCGAACCTAGTCCCTCTGGATAATTAACCTGGAAGGGGTGGTCTCCACTGTCAATTCCTTGACAGATGCAATGGTGTTAAATGAAGTCACCTTTCCCTCAAACCCGTTGGCTATATGAAGAGCCCCTTGGGATTAACTGAGTGTTCAGCAATGGGAGTTTGTAGGCTGTATGGATGGCACTGTCACCATTGTAAGTGATAGAACTCACTGAAATTTTGTTGTTTTACTTCCTGACAAAAGGACAGAACCCCAGGGTCAGCATGATTGGCCGGACTTCAGGTAGTCATCTTAGCACTGGATGCCCTGGTCAGCAAATTGCCTCACAAGCAAATGTTCGCAAATTATTTGGTCATTGCCTAAGAGTTGTCCCTTCAGAATAAAGAACTCTGTGAATCCCTTGCTTCACAGATATCCAAAATATAAATAAAAATCGCACATATCTCTCTGTATACTAAGGCTGTAATATGAAGCTTTTCTAGGACACTCCTTTTTCCCCTTGGAGTTCCAGACATTAGTGGTAGTAATCAAAGCACACATTTCATTTCTCAGAATCACACCAGGCTCTCAAAGAAGGCATTCAATATAACTTTCATATCCCAAATATGTCCAAGAAAACTGGTTTAACTGTGAGGCCTAATGGGCTCCTCAAAGAACTTGTATTTAAGTTGCAAAATAACCAATTAACCCCTAAATGGATATCTCAGTCCTGCGCCAGGCATTAATATCTCTCAACTCAAGGCCCCTCAGCCAACTCACACCCACTTTAAACAAACCTTCTTTTGGTGTTTTACTCATGAAGTCTTTGCCCATGCCTATGTCCTGAATGGTATTGCCTAGGTTTTCTTCTAGGGTTTTTACGGTTTTAGGTCTTAGGTCTAAGTCTTTAATTCATCTTGAGTTAATTTTTATATAAGGTGTAAGGGAGGGGTCCAGTTTAAGTTTTCTACATATGGCTAGCCAGTTTCCCCAACACCATTTATTACATAGGGGATCCTTTCCCCATTGCTTGTTTTTGTCAGGTTTTCAAAGATCAGATGGTTGTCAATGTGTGGTGTTATTTCTGAGGTCTCTTTTCTGTTTCACTGGTCTATATATCTGTTTTGGTACCAGTACCATGCTGTTTTGGTTACGGTAGCATTGTAGTATAGTTTGAAGTCAGGTTGCACGATGCCTCCAGCTTTGTTCTTTTTGCTTAGGATTGTCTTGGCTATACAGGCTCTGTTTTGGTACCATATGAGATTTAAAGTAGTTTTTTCTAATTCTGTGAAGAAAGTCAATGATAGCTTGATGGAAATAGCATTGAATCTATATATTACTTTGGGCAGTATGGCCATTTTCATGATATTGATTCTTCCTATCCATGAGCATGGAATGTTTTTCCATTTGTTTGTGTCCTCTTTTATTTCCTTGAGCAGTGTTTTGTCGCTCTCCTTGAAGAGGTCCTTCACATCCCTTGTAAGTTGTCTTCCTAGGCATTTTATTCTCTTTGCAGCAATTGTGAATGGGAGTTCACTCATGATTTGGCTCTCTGTTTGTCTATTATTGGTGTATAGGAACCGGGATCTAATTAAACTAAAGAACTTCTGCATAGCAGAAGAAGCTATCATCAGAGTGAATAGGCAACCTATAGAATGGGAGAAAATTTTTATAATCTCTCCATCTGACAAAGGGCTAATATCCACAATCTGTAAGGAACTTAAACAAATTTATAAGAAAAAGACAAACAACCCCATCAAAAAGTGGGCAAAGGATATGAACAGACACTTCTCAAAAGGACATTTATGTGGCCAAAAACATATGAGAAAAAGTTCATCATCACTGGTCATTAGAGAAATGCAAATCAAAACCACAATGAGATACCATCTTACACCAGCTACAATGCCAATCATTAAAAAGTCAGGAAACAACAGATGTTGGAGAGGATGCAGAGAAATAGGAACGCTTTTACACTGTTGGTGGGAGTGTAAATTAGTTCAACAGTTGTGGAAGACAGTGGCCATTTGACCTAGCAATCCCATTACTGGGTATAAACCCAAAGGATTCTAAATCATTCTACTGTAAAGACACATGCACACATATGTTTATTGCAGCACTGTTCACAATAGCAAAGACTTGGAACCAACCCAAATGCCCATCAATGATAGACTGGATAAAGAAAATGTGGCACATATACACCATGGAATACTATGCAGCCATAAAAAAGGATGAGTTCATATCCTTTGCAGGGACATGGATGAAGCTGGAAACCATCATTCTCAGCAAACTAACACAGGAACAGAAAACCAAACACTGCATGTTCTCACTTATAAGTGGGAGTTGAACAATGAGAACACATGGACATAGGGAGAGAAACTACAGACTGGGGCCTGTCGGGGGATGGGGGCTAGGGGATGGATAACATTAGGAGAAATACCTAATGTAGATGACGGGTTGATGGATGCAGCAAACCACCATGGCACGTGTATACATATGTAACAAACCTGCATGTTCAGCACATGTATCCCAGAACTTAAAGTGTAATTAAAAAAATTAAAAAATAAAAAAAGCTTTCTTATCACCCTCTGCTATATTTAAAGGGAGGGAAATGTCTCATTTCCATTATTATGAAGACTCATTATATATGTGGCCCCTTATTAATGTCTCCTCCTATCTTTTTAGATTTTCTATTTTGCTTCTACCCCATAAAGGCAATACACCATATCTAATCAGAAACTCCTTTGAAACCCATTAACCATTGATTGTCCCATAGGCCAGAACACTACCCATGTGCTATGGGAAGCATCTGAGTCAAAATTTCCACCATCCAATTGACTTTCTTTAATATTTACATTGTACGAAGTGGATGATTACTTCAGGCTCTCCCTCTGATTCTCTGTAGAAAAATTAAAATTGGTTTTCCAGGGCCATTCCCATAGACAGTGTGGACTACCAAGAAAAGAGACAGAAAACCACACTTACTGAATAAAATAAAAGTAACTTTCAAAGGTAATAGTGAAATCAATGTCATATCTCACAATGACAAAAGCAGACAACACCTCACTGGCAATAATATGTCCTGGTGGAAAATCAGCATCAGATAACAAAGTCCTGTCAGGTGCAGCTACACACCATTCTGTTAACCACTGGTTTCACTACTATAGGTCTGGATACTTCCATTGGTTTGCAGCCCAGAGGCTCAAACTCTCCAAGTTAGCCATTGTTTGACCACAGCAAATGCTTAGGTCCATATTCCATTGAGTTTGGCAAGGTGAGTAGAAGCCCTACAAACAAAATACTCACCTGGTTTGCTCATCTGCAACCAAACCAGCAACTGAGGCAAAAGGCCCATTGGCTAAATTGGAGGGCTTGCCTACAGGCTAATGCTGATCCTCCAAGCTCAACCACAGGTATTTTAATAGGCAAAATTGTGACACCCTATTAACCACATGCATGCAAATCTGGCCATATCATTTAAAACCTATTTGCAGCAAAACCCTCCCCATCACCCATCCAGACAAAACCTTGGACTATTGGGGGATTTTTGGTTCAGCCACTCTTAAGGCCTTAATTGTGCCAGCCAGGTTACAGGGCTTTGGTTCAATTACAACAACATCACAAATGCCAATATCACCATTCTTAGCTATGTACTCATAAAACCTTGTCTTAAAAGATATGTATAAGTCAAATTCCCAGGTGCAAGGTTGCCTTAAAATTTCTCAAGAGGCTCAGTCTTACCATAATATGGTGAACAAGACCCACAACAACTCAAGTGGGTAACTACTTATGAAAGTACCTACTATGGAACCCTAGTTTCATAGACCAGATCACGTTGACCTGTCCTAGGAGTTCACTGTTGGGGATGACATCACCTCAGGCAATGTCAACCCAGCCTGAGACCACAGAATTGGCGATGGCTTCATCCCCTGTGCCAAAGACAACTTCATCTCAACACCAAGACCGCCACGTCAACAACACTCCCAGGATACCTCCCCTGACGTTCTTTCAAATGGAACCCTGGACATTTATTACTAATTTTTTCTTTTGATATTAGGTTTTATACTACATTTCCTGAGCTTACTGTTTGCTTAGCGCAGAATCCTGGCATGTTCCTTGCTCTTTATCTATACTCCCATTCCTAAAAGGAAACCTTGTGAAGTTGCTACTCTCTGTGCCATTCTAAAATTAATGTATGTTATTGCCTCATACTGGTCCATACTTGGACTGGACCTCTCACTCCTCAGAAAACTTCTCCTACCCTCCTGCATCCTCCAGGTTGCCACTGCAACTTCCTGCCTTGCTGATCTGACCATGACCACCACAACTACTCCTCCCCTCGGTTACAAATACTGCTAGCCTTTACATACACCTTATTAAACTTTCAGTTCATATTCTCCAACAACAAAACTGCTGTACCTGCCACCTTGATTCGAGAAATACACTGTTATTATTACCACAAAAACATAATAAAACTCATAATTCAAACATACTTTATTGGAAGTCTCTGAGCCTACTCTGGCTTAAGGGGCTTTCAATATACAATAATAGTGAAAAGAAAACACAATAACTCCAACAAGATACTGTTAGAGACCCCAAAATTTCAGACTTTTTTGCTATATACATGGGAAACTTGGTAACAGGATGGCCTGCAAGGACTCCTTATATTTCTACTTGTTTCCTTCCTTTCTACTCTTACACTAAATGTTTTTGTACACTGCTTAGGGGAGCTTATACCCTACTGTTTAAAAGTCTCCATTACTCTTTGGGCCACTGTAATACCCCTAATAATTGAGTTTGTCACTAATGTCAAGACAACAAGGGGTCCAACTAGGTATCTTAACCTAGTTTTGAGTCTCTGGCTAGAGGCCAGTCAGTTCCCCCTTCTGAGAAGTTAATGACATCCACACTCCAACCCCAACTTATCAGGCTCTTATACTCTGGGACCAATATACACCCCCTTATGCCCAGAGCCTGCAAACTTATTAGCCAGCAAATTTGCAGGGGGCCCATGTAACTAGCTAAACCCATCCTACTTGCCCCTACAGCTATAGATTGTCATTACCCTGTTCCTACATACAATTTCCTATCTGGCCCTACCTGGCATTCACATCTTGGTTCGAGCAGTAAATAGCAGAGTTCTGCCTTTATCTATCCTAGTATCAATGTGCTGTGTCCCACCATCAAAAAAGTCTTTATATCTCATAAAACATGTAACTTATCCTCTTTTACTATAAAGCAATTACAGGAATGCCCTGCCCAAATCTGAAATTTTCTAAATGCTTAGAATTGTCCTCAAATAAAAAAAAGTCATGTCATTTAAACAGAAATTGATAATATGACATTTCCACCTTAATAAGGGCATGTAACCCAAATGTCAAAGGAAGATTAAACTGATATTGACTTTTCATAAATATTCTTTTTTTGTCTCAGTGTTTATTTTTTTCCTTCTGTTCAAATCTATTGTATCTGTTTCTTCTGGCCTCATTTTTTTTTATCATTGGTATTCTAAATTGCGTTCTTCAATACAGTAGCTACTAGTCAAAATTAAATACAATTAAAACATTTAAAATTTTAAATTAACCGAAAATTAATTTGTAAATAAAATTAAAAATTAATATCCTAGTGACTAGCTGTATTTCAAAGCCTCAATAGGCACATATGACTAGTTGCTATGATATTAGCCAGTGCTGGAGAGCCTTTTTTTTCATAGCAGGAAGCACGATTGGAGATGTTTTCTCTAGAATATGTGTGCCTATTAATTCCTTCATTTACTACTGGCATTATTTGTCAGGAAGAGTTTTATGGAGTATACCAGAGATATTTTATTTGAATATATGTTAACCTAAGTGTAAGATCAGATAGTCTGGGAGAAAAAGTTATGGGAAGTAAGACACAAAACACAGCAGAAACATTTTTTTCATTTTTTTAAGCTAAAGAAAACAGAGATAAAGTGTCTGTTATGATAGACCAGAAATGACACATTATCTTAGATTTGACCTCTACTCTTCTGGGTGGTGACGGTTTTCCTTAACATGTTTGGAAAAAAGAAAAAAAAAGAAAAATCAAGCATATGCTGTTTCACAAAGCCAAGAAGGCTTCCTTGGATGGCTCTGAAAACGTGTTCATCACAAGACGGTTAGCCCTCCAGATATGGCTTGTTCATAATGTAAATAGTCCATCCTTTGGGATTAGACTTTCTGGCAAGGCCTGCTGAATTGAAGGATGGTTACTTTCCCAATTATATATGCATTGCAGCCAGACATATTCACTTTGATTCAATAAATTACATGCCCATATATGTCTTATATAACCTATAAGAAACAGTGTTCAACACTGGTACTGGTTTTGAGGTAGCCTAGTTTTCATTGTCTGAAAACTAGGATGGTGCGTCGCATGCCATGTTTAAGATTAAGCTTTGTTACATTAACATCCTTATAAGATGCAAATGATCCAATCTGCTCTTTAGAGTTAATGAATGTGGCCCTGATTATCATTCAGTTTTATGTATCCTGTATGTGTGTGTGTATGTGTGTATGTCTATAGCAGTGTTTTCCAGCTTTGGCACTGTTGATATTTGAGGCATTTGAGACAGTATAATTCCTTGTTGTCAGGGTCATAATGTCCTATGTATTGGAAGATGTTTGGCAGCAACATGGCCTCTAGCCACTAGACGCCAGCAGCACCCCTCCACCTCACCCAGTCGTGACAATGAAAAATGTCTCTGGACATTGCAAATGTCTCCAGGAGGGCAAAATAATCTGTATTTGGGAAGCACTGATCTATGGTAACCTTTTAAAAGTGAGACTGTAAAAGAAGTGATAATGACTAAACACAAATGATGCAAAAAAATTACATTTTATTAGACAGTATAAGTATGTTTATAAATACATTTCTATAAATGAAAATATAATGTGCTATTAGTAACATGTATTTAGTGCTGCTTTTCACCCTCAATACCTCCTTACTAACAATGTAGTAAAGCTACTAGGGCTGGGAGGTATTTATTTAAGGTCTGGACCTCAACTTTCCATTCTTTCATGATAATTTTTTAAATTTGCTAAAAATATTATATAAGTCACGTAATATTCTTTACTACATGGTCAAATCTCTGTATTAGATCTTTTAATAACAAGGAATAACCATTTCAATCTCACTTTAAGCATAGTTGCATGAATTTGTAGTCAGGATTCTACCTCTGTTTTTAGTTATCTGGTATGAACTTGGAAATAGTAGGAAAAAACAAAAAACACAAAACAAAAAACCCTTAATCCTTTGCTAGGCTCATAGAGGGATGTCTAGTAGGTCTTTTGGTTTGAGTAGAAGGAAAGCACACTCTGAGTTGAGAATCCTAGGTCAAGATCTCTTTTGCTATGCAAAAATCATTAACTCCTTGATGCCTCCTGTATGGCAATAGCAAATGTCTCTCTTGAGTATAGCCACACAAAGTTGTACTGTTTAAAGCAGACATGGCTGCACATTGTATGGCACAGTATTATAGGAGAGTAAAAAGTGATTTTTCTTTATGACTTCAGAGCTTTACTCATCTACTTTTTGTTTAGTTACAATAATGTACTGACTTAGACATGGTTTAATCAGCCTTCTCTAATTCTGTATGACATTGGGCTGGGCACATTGCAATTAGAACTTTGTTTTCTTGCATATAAAATAAAAATCAGATACCTGTTTCTGAGGTTGTTAGGATTTGAAAAGCTAGCCCTGGCCTAGTGGCATTCAGGGAAGGTCGGGTCCTTTTTCCTAATAAAGGACAGATAGAGAAAGTAGTTCTTATACGTTATGCTCTAGAAGTCCCTTCTTGGACTCTGATAACATAAGGAAGCAACCCTCCTGTCTGGCTGAAATAGACCTGGACTCAGATTTCATAGCAGTTGTAGGTAATAGCAGAGTAGCAATGGTTGCCAATGAACCTCATCTCTGGCTCAACTCTATTGGAAACAGTTGCAACTTTCTGCTTCAGTGGCAGCCCCAACAAACATTAAGGTAGGAGGATCAGTTCTTAGGAAATGTGAGAGACTGGCAGGGATTCAGGCTGTACTGGAGTGTCAGATCAACTAAGAAAGAGATGGTGCTTAGAAGCCAAAATAGCCACACCATCTTCTGCCTCTTTTGTCTCAAATGGCTCACACTAAAACAGTCTGGGACTGTGTGGCATAAAATACATACTCAAAACATCATATGTCAAATCTGTGGCTTGTGAAAATTTCCTGTACAAAAAGAAAATTCTTTATTAACAGTATGGAATCAAAATCAGCTCTATGAAAACCTTTCTTAATAGAGCCCTTAATAAACACATTGATTTTTTAATCATCTCAAAGATGGCCTTTTCAATGCAGACTATTATATATGATCATATCTAAGTCATTATTTTTGAAGTAAAATTACAAGGGTGACAAAGGAGCAATGCTACTTTTCAGAGTCCAACCAGTGAGAGTGATAAATGAGGCAAATAGTTCATTGAAAGTAGTCACGTTGCCATTCTCGTGGTTTGTCTTCTACAAACTGAGAGTTTTAACACAAATCAAAAAATATTTATGAAAATAATGTTACTTTGCCCAGACAGCCTCTGATACACCTTTATTTAATTATAATTAGTTAAAATTATCTTAACAGATAAGGAATTGATGTCTGGCCAGATTCACACATTCATGAACGACATAATGGTCTTCTCAAAATGAGGCTGCACAAGCCGTCAGAGATATGCCTCCAAGACTAGAACAGGGAGTAACTTTCTTCCAGATGTCATCATGGGACCAATATGACCAAAATCCATGATTGATGCAGTTTGAATATTTGTTCCCACCTGAATTTCATGTTGAATTGTAATACCTGCTGTTGGAGGTGGGGCCTGGTGGGAGGTGTTGGATCATGAGGACGAATGCCTCATGAATGGCTTGTGCCATCCCCTTGGTGATAAGGGAGCTTTTACTCTGAGTTTACATGAGATCTGGTCATTTAAAAGTGTGTGGCCCCTTCCTTCCCATACTCTCTCTCACTTGTTCCTGCTTTTGCCATGTGACGTGTCTGTACCCCCTTTACCTTCCGCCATGATTTTAAGCTTCCTGAGGCCTCCCCCAAAGCCAGGCAGATGTTGGCACCATACTTCCGGTAAAGCCTGCAGAACCATGAGCCAATTAAGCCTCTTTTATTTATAGATTACCCAGTCAGGTATTTCTTTATAGCAATGCAATAATGGCCTAGCACAATGGTTCATTATTAATTATTATTTCAAAAATCTTAAAACATTTGTCTGAAAAGCTCAATTATTTTGTATTATAGTTTAGTGTTAGAATAGTTTATAGAAAAACATTTAAATATTAAAAAAATTATAACACTTTTTTTTTAATTTTTGATATGATGGTGACCTAAAAATTGGAGCTTTCTATCTCTGAGAGGCTCTGCTAATGTCATTCTTACTGTTTATTGTAATGGCAACCTGCATAGCACCAGAGCGAGAGGTAATTGGACCACTGAATAACATCTGAAGTCTCAGTAACAGTCCTTTGTCATGAAAGATGATGACTGAAAGCATTTTGTCAATGTTCTGTAGGACAGAATCCAGAATTCTGGACTATCACCACTCTATCACTCCTGGAGTCCAAAAAACATTAAAAAGGATTTAACAAAATAATTAAATTGAGCTCATAACTTGAGGAGATTTTGTATTTGGCAAAGGCACTTGAGAGCAAAATCTTCCTTAGCAACCAGTTAATTATGATCTCTTGGCTATGTTCACCAATACCCCCATCATCCATTCAGACACTGTTTTTGTCCGCATTTCGCAGATACATATAGCCCTCAATTCATCTAAAGTCCTGGGTGCTCTACTTAAGAAACCAATTTACCTGTAGTAGATTAAATAGTATACTTGATGGCATTTTGAAATGTAAAATACACTAGAAATCGGTGCTGTTATTTTTCTCAGATAAATCGCCGCACTGATTACCATGAAGTACATTGATGTCACTATCACTATGACAACATTGTGACAAGAACTAGTCACTCTAAGCTACCTAGTAAAAGGAAATGTCATCTATATTTCTGAATAAAATGTAACACACAGAACCTCTGCTTTTGTACATAAATTAGTACCTTACTGGCTAGGGAATGTTGAATCACAGTTGGATGAAGAAACAATTCATGTTAATGTTTCTCTAAAGGTAAGATTTGAATATTTGAAAAATGTATGCTTTAACTTTTTGATCAGTTAAAAGGGAAGCATGGTTTTATCATTATAACATAAGGATCTATTTGATGGAATAAATGCCCTTCTCTTTATTTGCTTATATTTTGCACTTAAAGTACAATTCAGTTATAGGAACAAATAGTCTAGATAGGTGAGTTTTGAGATATATTTGAAGATTATTATGTGAAGTAACATTTGAATCAGTCTTTATACTTTTAGGATATTGCATAATTTTTAATTTTCAGCTTTTAAAGATAGAAGTGAGTCATCTACTTGTACTATTCCTTTTTTAATTAAGCAAAGATTTAAAATCTTTTTGTTGTTGTCAACTTTAAAAATAACTTGTCTCTCATGTGTTTTCTGCCCCCTTTCCCCAGGGGTGTCCTATAGAAAATAAACGCAGTGTGTTATAACCACAGAAAGAAAATATTAGTCATCACAAACACCACTCGTTTACAAATGCACAGCTGCCAGTATTTTTGGGTTATTTATGCTCAATTTTGTACTTGTTTTAGTTTGTACAGTATAGTGTCAGTATTCTGACATTTGGTGTTTAAAGAACTGTATTACCACATGATATGACATGGAACAGTTGACAAATGGCAATTTTCCCAGTAATGTTTGCCTTTTTATTTGATCTGAGCCAAATCTGAAACTCATAAGAGGAATTCCTTCCTGATAACACTTGTTTAATTTAAATAATATATTTTAAATAGTATGTTTTAATTTTATTTTAAATAATTTTAAATTTATATGTTTTAAATTTATTTTAAATATTTATAAATTTAAGTATCTTAAATTTATTATTATAAAATAATATATTTTAGATTTATTTTTATATGTAATTTATATATACACAACCTATCTGAAATTTAAAATTTTACTATTTATTTTGGTCAATTAAGACAATGTGACTGTTATGCGTCATATATAATATGGGCTGTAATCTCAGAGATGGTCACTTTGATGTCTTATAATTTCTTAGTTGCATAAACATGATTAAAAGGCTATTTGTTTTCTAATGCATAATTTGGTGCTAGAGACACCCAAAGAAAAACAGAAATATCTTTGGTGAAGGGTGTGTTGTTCTGAGTGTATTAACTAACACAAAAACAAAAAAGAAAAAAAAAAGAAAAAAAAAACAAAAAAACAAAAAACAAACAAAACAAAACAAAAAAACAAAACAACAACAACAAAAAGAAATAGTATGATTAACTTAATTTTCAATCCATATGTTATTGTATCAATTTCTGTTTTAGAGTCCAGATATACATATTTTGATTATATTAATTTTAACTAAACAGTATTTTCTAACTTATACTGACTGTGGCTATAATATACACAATATAGATGAGGAAGAAAATACATTTAATTTCAATTAAAAATGTTTTGAATATTCCTTAATAGTATTTTAAATAAAAATTAAATAGAGGTAAGCATAGAGATAAGTAGAGAAGAAATATATTCAGAAGTCTATTGGATATGTAGAAACTTCAAGACGGGAGGATTTCAGACTTGTATTTTTAGTGAAAAAACTTCAAAATTGATTGCCTTGTAAGAGATTTATTTTCAAGAGGCATACTTCCCCTACAAATTATAGTTTCTATTTTAAAATAAGCCTTTAGCAGAGCATATTGTATATCATGAAAAAAATCTGTTCCAAACCATCCATCTAACCTATTTTTATCATATAATACAAGCATTAGTTGGATTTCCTAGACCATATATAACGTTAACCCACTTTCTGCAAGCTCCCACCTATATGTATGTATACACACATACGCAAACACACATTCACATGCTTTGTGTTTAGAGTGGAAAGATAAGTATCTGCATATTCTTCTCTGTAATCCAAATGATATATTTCGCTATAACTACATTTTAATCTCTCTGTTAAAAATTTTGAAAGAGGCAAACAAACTTAGAATCCAATTTCCTAAGAATGATTTTTTATTTGAAGATTTAAGCAACAGCAGATTTTGTCTTTTTTTTTTTTTTCAACAATCTTTGAGAGGACATCAGCAATCATCTTCTTATAAGAGGCATTCAAATATTAAGAAATTGAATTCAGATCTAATGGAATACTAGTCATATCTTTAATTCATCACTTCAATGTGATGATTACTCCTTCATCTAATGTTTTAAATTTATTTAAGTTCAGTGATTTTATAGCAAGACAGAAAGAGAAGATAGCAAGTTATTTTTTTCTTTTCCTTTCCTGTGGATTTGAAAACAAACATTTTAGTTAACTGATCTGGAAATGAATAAAAATTGTTGCTTATAAATTTAGGATAAAAGGAGAAGCATAATCTCTGTTAGTCACAAAATTATTTAGTCCAGTTTGCCAGCAAAAGTTACATCAAATAGCTTTTAGAGTACATGAGGAATTCTAAAATTTAGAAATATATTAAATCTAAAATGGAGATTTTTACTAGTATTTATGTTATAGTATGATGATACATTAAGCTTTAGTTTATTTGCAATACATGGTGAAAATGGCACTTGTGAATAAAATAGACATTCCAGACTCTAATTTTTTTCACAACTAGAACCTAATGTAAACTGGCCTGCCATTATTTTCTGTAGCAATATAATCTTGAGTTTCTTTAAAAATGCCTTCAATAGGTCAGGCATGGCAGCTCACACCTGTAATCCCTGCACTTTGGGAGGCCTAAGTGGGCAGATCACCTGAGGTCAGGAGTTCAAGGCCAGTCTGGCCAACGTGGTGAAACCCCATCTCTACTAAAAGTACAAGAAATTAGCCGGGTAATCACAGCTACACAGGATGCTGAGTCAGGAGAATCACTTGAACCCCGGAGGCTGAGGCTGCAGTGAGCCGAGATTGTGCCACTGCAATTCAGCCTGGGCAACAAGAGTGAAACTCCACCTCAAAAAAAAAAAAAAAAATGCTTTCAATATCCTTTTGTAGGCAAGTTTAGGTATTGCTGTGACTTTTTGAAAAAAATAAAAATAAAAGATTTTCATCTATCCAGGAATTTTTCCACAGTGTTGCATTTGATACGTTTAATTTTAATGTACTTATTATTTCTTTTTTCATTCTTTTTCCTAAATAAGCCTAGTTGGTTTCAGAAATGTTGCTTTAAATTCAATTGACTGTCTTGCCGTTAGAATATGAAAAATTGGCTAGGTATTTTTACTCAGCTACAAATCTTGAACCACATAATTCTTGTAAAAGTACTGTATTTAATGTTCACACAGACAGCTATCTTGTGGCTAGAGTTTTCCGCCAAGAATACACCACAAGCTTTTTGTTAATATTATTCAGAAGTGGAAACGGAGGTAGGAAACTTGATTTCCTGCAATATGAATGAGATTTTTTCCTCTAATATCTCAGAGCTCAGTCAACACAGGGGCACTTCGAAATATATTTATTTATGACTATTGTTCCTTTCATGAGCCCAAGAATTCTCCAGCTTCTGAAATACACATCTTGTTTACTTGCTATCACCATCTGTCAGAAAATATTTTGAGTTGAAAAAAGCAGCAGCAGAATAATCCCACCTGCAGATGCTGTTCAACTGAGAAATTAATCCCAACAATTGAAGTCATCAGGAAGAGAACTCTGACTTAGTTCTGTTTTCATTGTGACACAAAAGTTTACCTTATTTGACTCCTTGGGAAAATGAAAGTAAATGCTAATTATATTTCATTCAGATTTGCGTTTGAAACTTTAGGGCTTTACAAAAAAATGGTTCAAGAATTCTGTGACACCTTCCCTGCCACTTCCTGACCTTATTTCCCTGGTATCTGTGCCATCCTAGTGTACGCTGTCCATCTGCACTCCAGCCTGCCGTTCAGAAATGGTGTCTATGGCTGGGGAAGAGTGTGGGGTTAACATTTGAAAGAGAGATTCAAAGAATACTACGCAGTGTATTCCCAGCTTCAAGATTTGCATCCCTGTTAAAGCAAGATAAAAGTATAGCCTTTGGGAGTCAGGGGGAGAATTACAGAAAGGCAATCATTCACTTTAGGGGAAGGGGTATGAAAACAAGAGGGCAATTTTACCCGCTTTCACTTTGTGATTGATGACACGGGAGCATTCTGAGGATATGCTATGTGTTTTTTTCTCCTCTGGTTTATTTATTTATTTATTCCTTCATTTTTCCTATGAGCAACTCATTTTTTTCATGTATTCAATCGACTAACATTTATTGAACATTATAGCTTTATAAATCTTTTTTTTTAATTTTTACTTTATTTGCCAAACCTGTTTCTGCCTCAAGGTTTTACAGTTTTACATTACCCTGTTTTACTTCTTTATAGCACTTGTCACTTCTGGAAACCATACTATTTGTTTGCTATATTGTCTAGTTCCCTCTTAGGAAGTGTTAAGTTTCATGAGTAAAGAAACTCTATGTTGTTCAATGCTGAATTCTCCAGATGTAGCAGGATGCCTGGCATGTGATGGTGATAGTTCATCATCATCATCGTCATTATCATCATTGGTAGCAGCCAATCTCTACAAAACTTTTAATATTTTTTCAGCAAATGAAATAATGAATGATTGAAGTCATGTCATATAATTTATTGGGATTAATTAAGCCCAACCCATGTTACTACACTTAATGATCTATTGATCCCATAAATTTTCACTTTCAAATACAGTCACATGCCACATAATGATGTTTCAGTCAAGGATGGACTGCATGTACAAGGAGGTCCCATAAAATTCTAGTGAAAATGAAAATTTTCTATAGTCTAGCAATGTCTTAGACTTCATAATGTCATAATGTGTCAGTAGAACACATTGCCTTTTCTATGTTTAGATGTGTTTCAATACACAAATACTTACCATTGTGTTATAATTGCCTACAGCATTCAGTTTAGTAATGTGTTATACAGTTTTGCAGCCTAGGAGCAATAGGCTATAACATTTAGCTTAGTCGTGTAGTAGACCAATGGTCCAAACCGTTTTGGCATGAAGGACCTGTTTCATGAAAGACAGTTTTTCCATGGGGGTTGGGGGATGCATGGTTTTGGGATCATCAGGCATTAGACTCTCATAACGAGCACACAACGTAGATCCCTCGCATGCTTAGTTTACAATAGGATTCATGCTCCTGTGAGAATCTAATGCTGCTGCTGATCTGACAGAAGGTGGAACTCAGGCAGTAATGCTCATTGGCCCACCACTCACCTTCTGCTGTGCAAACTGGTTCCTAACAAGCCACAGACTGATACTGGTCCCTGGCCTGGGGTTGGGGACCCCTGTAGTAGTCTGTGCCATCTAGGTTTGTATGAGTACAGTTACGACATTTACACAAAGAGGAAATCACCTAACAACAGGCTTCTCAGAAAGTATCCCCATTGTTCATTGAAGCCTGACTGTAACTCAGTTTCCTAAGCTGGAGGGTATCTGCAATCACCCTTCTTTAGTATCACCCAGGCATATTTGTGTTACACAGGGATTAGCATCAGTATTTTGCAAGATCTGAAAGTATGAAGTTGATATTCATTTAAATTTTTTGCGATACTAGAAATCTTAAGAAAAACTGACAGACGGTAATATCAAGATTCTACCTACCTTTGGTTGTTCTCTGATATCACCATAATCTGTTGCTGCAATTGTTATGATTGTTTTTGTTAACTCTTTTACAAATAGCATAATGCTGGTCAAGACAATAAATCATCAAAATAAATGACAGACTGGAAAACCAGTAAGATGAATTCTGCAAAAGTGAATGGACTCTCTTATATTTAGTTTTAAATATGTAGCTGATAATACATAGTAAGAAAAAGCCCAAAATAACAGTATTAGCTTTTAAACAAATACATCACATTATTTGCATGATGCAAATGTATGGTCAATATGCTAAAAACATTAAATTACCTGTGATTTAATCAATGTATATGCTCAAATAAAGAATGCCATGTACTACATTTCAAGAGAAATATCACATTTTGCTTCCATTTTGACAGGGTCTGCTTTTCCAGAGCAAAGGGCCTGAATTTAGTCACTGGGAATTTTTGGGTAAAGAATGAGTAACTCTCTCCCTGTGGCCTTGTAAGGAGAATCCAAACAATGGCTAATAGAAACAGCTGGATGACACTCAGGTTCCTTCAAAGTCTGAGATTTGGTTATTAGGTAAATTACTCAAGGCAAAAAAGGAACCCCAGGAAAGTGAATGGGAAAAGACAGTTGGGATTTTTATATTTCCAATCATCAAAGAACTTATTAAATTGTTTTTCACAAAGAGCCCTCTTGAAATCTTACAATTTTGATTCCGTCTATATTTAAAGGAGCCACAAATATGTAATTTATTACCATAGATTTTTTACTGTGAATACAATATTACATTTAGCTTGATTCAAGTAGTCATGTACACAAACACAATAGATCAAAGATTATTCAAATCAAATGTTCTAAAGCCTCAAGTTAGAAACTAATTTAAAAAATTGTTCATGTTCTAATTGTTACTTATCACCTAAAAGCTAGCTTTTTTTTTTATAATCTCCATACTTTAATGTTTTGTTGAAAAAAAAGACAAGAACAAAGATCAAACTTGTCTTGAGATAAAAAGATGTAAAGAGGATCATATAAATATTTATTACCTATTTGCAACCGGTAGCATTAAGGAGAAATGGACAAAGGTATTTCAGTTTTGAATTTCTCTACTATATGGAGTGTGGCTGAATGAGCTGTCACTCTTTTTACCTCACTATATGTTTGTCAGAAATAGAAATACTCATTAATCCTCAGTAATTATTAGAGTAGGTTATTGCTTTGCACTAACTTTAGGTTGCTTTCCCTCTCTCTCTCAATCTCTCTAATACATTTTGCTCTAATTATTTTATCTGGCTAAAATTTTCTACTGCAATTCATTAGTCTTACATAAGTTACTTACTTTTAGCATTTTAAACAATTCAGTAAAAATATTTCAAGTTTTTTAAGCTCTATAATTACATTTTTGCAGAAAAATATGTATAAAATTAGGCCAAAAAAAATAAAGTTTTGTTTTTAATTATGAAAGACTTTTTTTTTTTTTTTTTTTTTTTAATAAATCACATGCTTGTAAAGTCAGAAAACGGGCTGGGCGCGGTGGCTCGCACCTGTAATCCCAGCACTGTGGGAGGCCGAGGTGAATGAATCACTTGAGGCCGGGAGCTCAAGACCAGCCTGGCCAACATGGTGAAACCTCGTCTCTACTAAAAATACAAAAATTAGTCAGGCGTGGTGGTGCATGCCTACAATCCCAGCTACTTGGAAGGCTGAGGCAGGAGAATTGCTTGAACTCAGGAGGCAGAAGTTCCAGTGAGCTGAGATAGTGCCATTGTGCTCCAGCCTGGGCAACAGAGACTGCATCTCAAAAAAATAAAAATAAAAATAAAAATAAAAATAAATCAAGTCAGGAAACACTTGTTCTTTAGGATGTGCTGTGAATGAAATAGTTTGTTTGCATTCTTATGTAGGAGTTTTGAAATCCTCCTAGATTTTCTCCAGCACATATGGATTAAGGTTTTCATTTAAAATTTTCCGTCTTTCAAGTAAAAAATTCTGCAGCTAACCAGCTAAAGTTTCAGTCTAAAAATAAAAGTTAAAATCAATTCAGTAGTTAAAGTGAACCAATAACTACCATAAACCATTTCACTAAATTGGTTCATTTCAAATAACTGGCTTATTGCAAAGGTTTGCATTATATATAAAATGAATAAAATACATCAAAATATATTGTACAATGTACAATTCATGCATAATATTTCCTTAAGATGAAATTTGAAAGAGCTTTAGATATTAAGCATCTTGCATTATTTTATTTTTATTTAACATTCTGCAATGTAGATTTTATATGGTATGTAATGAAATATTCTCAGTAATTATATATAGCCCCTTCTCTGATTCTCAATTATTTATCTTTATAGTGTCTCTATATTTGAGCTGACAAAAAAAGGAAAGAAAATTAAAAATTAATTAGATTGCCTGAGGTTATTCCATGGAATGGGGCCAAAAATAAAAATCCAAACAAATCTCTCATCTGGTCAGTCTGTTCTAATGGAAGCAGCACAAGCTCAGGCAGTAAACAACTTTGATTGAATGTTCCCTTAAAGGCCAGGCATGGTGGCTCAAGCCTGTAATCTCAGCACGTTAGGACGCTAAAATGGGAGGATTGCTTGAGGCCAGGAGTTCGAGACCAGCAGCCTGGGCGACATGGTGAGACCCTGTCTCTATTAAAAAATAATAATGTACATATATATATATATATACACACAAATATGTGTGTATTCCCTTGAAACTTCCACCATTTCTATCTAATTAGAATTTTTCCTTGAATAAGGAAAAGGATGGGAATCCATTCTGATAGTACCAGCTTGAATCATTAAAAATTATTTAGTAAGTTTTTATTATGTCTTTCATGTTGTGCTATGTGAGGTATAAAAAAGCCTCTTAAGACTGGGTTCATCAGTGTACTATATGTCTAACTAGGGGGACAAATTTAAGAGTCAAATTGTATTTTTCTTTTTAGCCAGTAGAAAACAGGAGAAGGAAATTGTTAGCATGGACTGTTGTAATAAAATTTTTATGGATGAAAAAACTTCAACCAATATTAAGATTTTATTTCAACCATTAAACAGAAGATTTTAGACATTTTAAGTTTAAGAAATTTTGAAATTGTTTTAGAATATTTATAAAATTATTGTCAATAAACCTATTCTTAAAGAAAAAAATCTCCAACCAGGGTATCAGATTTGGGAGGATATAGTTTTTTTTGACAGAAGTATAGATTCATATCATGATGTACAAAAATGTAATGAAAAGAGCAAAATGGAAATGGCTATTTTAGAGTATGCCTATGTGTGAATTGAAAAATGGTTTTCATTATGTAGGACCAGTGCCAAATGAAAGAGAGCATTGAGGGGCCAAACATGTCATTTTTGAACTAATGAGACTTCTTTTTTAATAGTTTTATATTATTTTGATGTCAGGCCAGTGTAAGTTTAACAAGGCATGAAGGGTGGTTTTGCTATATTATAATCACTCAGTTCTATTTCATTTCTGTGTGTTAAACCAAATTATAATTTTACTTATGAATGTATATGAGATTAGTAATCATTAATTGATAACCATGAATATACACTGCTACCAATCCATAAGAAAAAAGTGTTTTATTTGTTTTGTTTAATATTCTAAAACTTGGTGTACATTTTTCTTAGAAACCATGCTATAAATGATGCTCAAGTTTCTGTTAGCAATTTTCACAAGAACTTCTTAATAAATTCCATCTACTTGAGATGAGTTATTCATATAAAAATATGCTCTGAGTTCTACTTGGGGTATTAAAAACTATTCCCCTCCTCGTACTTGCATATTAGTTCCATACTAATTTTTATAACTCCTCTCATTCTTAACTATATACTTATGGCAATATATTTATTTTCAAAGTACAGTGTACACAACCATCTCCCAAATCTATGTCTTTAAAATGACTTAACCCCATTCAAGTATAAACCAATATAACCTACTGCTTCTAGGATTTTTCTACTTGCATATCTAGGGTATATTCAATTCTACATATCAAAATAAAATGTATTCTCTTCCAACTAGCCCTGTACCTTATATTCTTCTGATCCTCCCAAATGAAATTTGTGTTAACATCATAAAACCAATCATGAAGAAGGAAATATTGTGAATCCATTCCCTCTACCTCTGCTTTTTTCACTACTCAGATCTAGTCAATCCATATCCCTTATTTATTTTATCTTCTTTATGCTATTCAAATTGTAATCATTGTTGGGTTATGATCCAGTACTATCTGTCACATAAGCCATTCTTAGTTGGGTTTCAGTCACTTGCAACTAATATAACCCTGAATACCATAAAAGCCTATAATGTAAATCTTGAGTGTCATTGATTTGGTTCAAGAAATTATCCCTTTTGCATCTTATCTCATTTAATGACCAACAGTCAATTCCTCCTCAATATTTCCTCCTCAATCTTGCCAGCAAGATCTCTTAAAAATGAGAGCTTGATCTTCTCACTTCCCCCTAACTAGCCCAACTCCTGTTTACAAACTTCCAATTATGATAGATTAAATTCTAGTGCCCTCTGCATAACCTGCAAGATCATTGATTTACTGGCCTTTACTAACCATCTAAATTCTGTCTGTAATACTCATGTGTTTTATTTTCCATTTATCTTATTTATTTATTTTTGAGACAACGTCTAGCTCTGTCACCTAGGCTGGAGTGCAATGGTGCGATCTTAGCTCACTGCAGACTCTGCCTTCTGGGCTCATGTGATTCTCCCACCTCAGCCTCCCAAGTAGCTGGGACCACAGGTGCAATCTACCCAGCTAATTTTTATATTTTTTGTAGAGATGAGGTTTTGCCATGTGGCCCAGGCTGATCTCAAACTCCTGAGCTCAAGCCATCTGCCTGTCTGGCCTCCTAAAGTGCTGGGATTACAGGTGTGAGCCACTGGGCTGGGCAATCTTAAATATTTATAACTCTTCAAAATATGATGTCATTTTGTGACTCTATGCCTTAGCACATATTATGTGACTCTATTCCTTCTTCTTACTCATAACTCAACTGATAAGGAGATTGATTGTTCCAAATGTTCACTGGGCATCACCTCCAAAGTAAAACCTCTCCCTATTCCCAAACTTCCACACTTTTTCTTATAAATAATTTTCCCACTGCAAATTTTTCTGAATATCTTTATTATAACAAATATCATACATCTGTGTATATATATATGTATGGATAATTTTATTTTTACCTTTGTGTCTTCCTAATTGTGCTATGTGCAGCTACAGAGCAAGATCTGTGCTATATTTATTCACGTTTGCCAGTGCTTGACTGTAACGTGGTCAATTTTATTAATATTGATCAAATTAGAGCAAATCTCCCACCTACTACAAGGAAGACCAAAAAATCTCAAGAAATGTTAGCTGAGAAATGGGAATTTAGCACATACTTAAAACCAGGAGCGCTACAACAAACCTATCTGGCAATCAAATCTTTCTCCATCACTCCCTAGCGTATCAAACAATTGTCCAACCATTGTCTCTGAATTTTAGTAAGTGAATTGATTCTCAACAGGCAGACGACCATTCCTCCACTCCAATGTGAATTTACTTTTAAGGAAACACCTGATTAATTATTCATAAAAGGGTTAAACACTTTTTTGAATTCTCAAATATTTGTTCATCTTACCATTTACAAACTAAATAAATTGAATTCTGACTGTTCCACTGAACTTTTATTTTGGCAAATTTGATTACTTCAATCAAATACTTAGTAGGAACTTCCACTGAAATAGATCAAAGGAACAAATGTGCACATCAACTGATTTTCCCTGGCTACCATACTTCCCATCTTTTGTTAGACAATGAAAAGTACATTTTGTGTATTTGTGTATTTATTTTGTCCTTCCAAAGCTCAGGGTTTCCAGAGCAACTATTTAGTTTTATATAAGGTTCTCCTTTTAGTAACCCCCCTCTTGGCCACAGAAGAGAGCATCCACCAAGCAAAATAACAAAACGTTTCTGCTCATGTATTTTTAAAGCTGGGGTTATGGGATAAGCATCCTTTATTTTGGAATGGAAATCTAAGAGGGGAGAGCCTGAAAACTGTCTGGTCAATGTTTCTAGCTTTATAAAGACAGTTTGAGAGAATAAGACAAGCAGGGCAAGGGAAACAAATATGAGAACGGAAGAGAGAAAATGAAAGTGCTCAACTGAGCAAGTGGCTTATAAATTTTTGGCTCTGGTTGCTTTGAGATCTGTAGTTTAATTAATGAGTCAATATAGTTTATATCTTGCCTAAGCTCATTTTTGTTGAGTTTCTGTCACTTGCAACTGGTAGAATCCTGAATCATATAATAGCTTATACATTAGTAGCTGTGACATTGTATGTTTAATGAAAATATTAAAATGGAAAAGGAAAAATTGTATCTCACTTGAAATCATTGTAAGAAACTTTATTAGCCTTGCCAATTTTACTAACATGTTTTCTGGTCATTTGCCTGTATACGTGCTTACACACACACACACACACACACACACACACACAAACACACACACACACACAGCTATAGCTATTTACAAAGCACTCCATAAATATTAATCTGTTATGTGAAAGCACAGGTAGATATTTCATTACATTTTGAATGAGTAAAAAGAAAGAGACAAAATTTGACCTATCAGGATCATGATGAAAAGCGTCTATTTATAAATATGAACACATACTCTATACCTCAGAATAAATTATTTCATTCCAAATCTAAAAATATTAATGCAATTTTGATCTTTAAAAAAGGCAACACAATGCTTATGTTGTTGCTATTACTTTAATCACTACAGTAGGAAAGGTCGGATATCTTTTAAAATTCTGTTGCTGAAGTAAAAAATGCAAATAGATACAGCCATTCTCACACTGAAAATTACCTTATTCACTTCTGAAATTGAAGAAATGGTACTCAGAATATGGATATACAAGATTTTTCTCTATTTTGAATATCTGGAAATGCCTCATAAAATATGCAAACCATTTCATACATAATGAATTAAACTGATGATTGAGAATTATACACTTGTGTCACATACTATTCAAAGTTACAATTTTTTTAAAGTTTTAGACAAACGGTTTTATGGCTGGTGATATTGTAATTTTAAAGAATTCGTAAATATATCGCCCCACTTAATATCAAGGCTGAGAGGACATGTTTTTACCCATTGGATAGATAACATGGTTAATTAGTGTGCAATACTTTGGGCTGTGTTACTAGTAGATCATTTCTGCATTGTGTGAAACTTAGATCCTCTGAGCAGCAGAGGCTGAGACTGAAGTTTAGAGGGGCTAGCAAAGTTTATTGGAGAGTAACACCTATTAAAAAAAGGGCTGTGGGTGGGGTGAGAAAGAAGCAGGATTGTGTAGGAGGAACTTTCAGACCACAGTTTGGATTTTATAAAATCTACCAGCCCAACAGGGAGGTCTGAAAGAAACATTGATGGTTAGGAGAGTTCCGTGTGAAGCAAAAATGGCCCGACATTTGTGTCATAGTTTGCTCAATTATCTCCTGTGGCCACTTCAAGAAGAGTGACCCCAGCTCAAAAGCTGTGATGAAACAGAAGGAGCTGATAGGTGGAAGCTGTTGCTCCCAACCACACTTTTCAGATCTGGGCAGGTGGTTCTCCCTTGCATCTCCATAGGCATGGCCCTGACTGCCACATGTCAGCCACATGAGGCTAATAAAATGGAGTGCACTTTAATCAACTTACTAAACACAATTCATTGAGACAGAACCCTTTAATAAAATCCTAAATTATATGTGCTTAAATTAGAAAGGTTTGGTTACTAAAGAGTCTTGGCGTTATCAGCAGGGTGTGTCTGAAGAGAAAATGGAGGAATATGGAAATAAAATCAATGTTTTGTTCAAAAAACTTTATTATGTGGAAAAAAATAAAAGCTAAGCTTCATGCACACAAGTCTTCAAAACAAATACAATAAAATGCAAATATTTTCAAAATATGTTAAAAATTCAGGAAAAAGCAGAAATAGAAAGCATTATGACTGAACATATGTCAAAGATGGATGGAATGGAAGGCTCTCCTGTATACACATTAAATAGATTTGTATGCTTTTTCTCCTTAGTCAGTCCACCTCATGTCAGTGATTTTTAGTGAGCCTTTAGGGAAAAGAGCCTATAGCCCTCACAATAACCTGTAATAAATCTTTAAATTGAGATGTCATGTTCTCTGATGTTTGTCCTAAGCCCTCCGCCCACGCCCGAGATCATGGGTAATAAAACATTTACCAATGGCTTATCTTTGGCTTAATTTGACAAGAGAAATATTTGTTAGTATAAATTATAACATCTGGGAGGAAGATAAGATAAATGTATTCACAGTACAAAGTATACAGTATTCACATTGATGTCAGAATGGGCAAAAAGATGATCTGTGATGTGACATTAGTAATAATAACACAGATTGACCTTAGTTGGTAGCAAATAAAGTTTAGGGAAACCCCTCACTTTCATTGTCAGTTTCACTGTTTGACTGGATTTTCTCTAACTTCATTATACAAAATTATATTTGTATAATAAATTTTTCTCAAATTACAATATACAGGAGCTTATATTTATATACTTCCTACTCTTATTTGCCTTTACCACAGCACTATTTCTTTATTGATGATACTTTCAAAATATATTTTATTTAAAAAAATACAGTTCTTAGGTCCATCTTGTAAAACAGTAAAAAATAAAGTCAGAGGATTGCCTGTAGTTTTAGTATATAAATGTAAGTCCTGGTAATATATTTGGTTCATTAAAAAAACTTTTTAGGTGAAAACTTCATTTCTGTAATCAAGTAGTATAAAAAATTCAGATTTTGCTTTTTTAAATAGATCACAATTTTCCAAGCTGTTATATATTCTTTAAGTACTGTTTTGAGTGGCAGCAAAATTTTCAAAGTAAACTAAACGCATTCGTCACACCTCACGCTTGATTCTTATGTTTCACAAATTGATCTTCAAAATGTATAAATACATCAAAGTTAAGAGGCTGATCTTAGTTATCATATATCTGTAACTTCGCAGTTGTCTTCCAAAAGTCACACTGAGGTACATTTCTAATTTGTATCTCATGCCTGTGTTCTTAAATGACTGACGATGAAGTTGTCTTCCCTGTAAAAATACAGCCAGTGTGACCGCTTTGTGCAAAAGTGATGAAAGAAAATGTTATGTTTTCCCTCATGATTGAATATCAGAATCATTTTGCTTAAGGAAAAGCATGAATAATTCTTATAAATAAGTATATGTGTACATATTTAGATATTTTTAGGTATATAGACATTTTCATATGAAGTGGGATAAAATCTTTTAGGTAAATGGATTTAAAGTGAAGGATAAATACTATAGAAAACTGCCTTTTTTTTTTTTAATCTCAGTGGTAAAATCTAATGTTATAGAGCTTTTCACTCACTTCTCCCCACAGATATGATTGTGGAGGAAATACATTCACCTCTCCAGAAATGAAATTCTTAAATTTACTGAGCTTTCCAGTTACTTCTTTCAGGCACACTGAAAGAGCACACTGGAGCAGTTACTTAGTAAGCATGGCAATATGTAATTTGGTGACAAACATGGTTACTAGGCTACAAATGAGTTATGTTGTCCTTAGTGAATCCTAGGGCTGTAAATACCCAAATTTAAAAATATTAAATTCAAGAAGCTGGATTATGATGTCAGATTGAAGGAACAAAGGCATATAACTCCCCTCCCATCTAAAATGCCCTGAGGATAAAACACACATTTAAAAAAAAAAAACTCTATTTCACTGAAAATTGCAGGTATAAAATTAGTCAGCTAGGTATAAAATCAGTCTGTCAAAATCAGTAGCTTTCACATAAACCAGCTATAACCCATTAGCAAATGTAACTGAAAAAAAACTATAAAGTACCTAGAAATAAACTTATCAATAAATGTACTAATTATATGATGAAATGTATAATATTTTTTTCTGAAGAATATAAAATAACTGAACAAATGGTAAAATATTCAATATTCCTAAATGAGAAGACACATTTTTAAAGATGTCACGCTTTATCCAACTGTCCTCCTGTTGATCTATACAACAATAAAATCCCAAACAAAATATCATATAAAACACCAAATCAATATCAGTCATGATTCTTCAACCAAATGACAGAGATGAATTCCAGAATAAAACTTTGGAATCATGTGGTTAGCTTTTTATTTGGATTCTGATATTCTGAATCTGGATTATTGATTCAGAAATAAACACAGTCATTTTCTCATATATAGGATTTTAATCCACCTAAAGGCTTTTGTTCTTAAGGGAGGCTCCCACGGAGGAGAGAGAGATTCCAGCACGCTATGTGGGGACAACATCCTCACAACATCCAGCTCTGTGCCCAGCAGGTGTCAGGAAACTTGCTTTATGAAAACAGTTACATTTACATCTAAGGAGGTGATAAAAACATGGCCAAGGATGTGCATAATACTCCCGCAGTCATATGCCACAAACAGGCTAGAGTTGAAAAGGCTTGAAGCAATGAAAATACTGGTTACTTTAAGAAAAGGAAATGGCATTTTTGGGACATTTGGTCATAAAGCCAATAATTAAAGGAAGAATATTGAAAGAGAAATTTCCCGAAGCTTAGGCTTCTTCTTTGTTTTTCTGACTTTATTAACATCTCCTGGACGGGGTGTGTGTGTGTGTGTGTGTGTGTGTGTGTGTGTGTGTGTGTGTGTGTGTTGGGAGAGGTATTGGTGTGGGGTTTGGGCTTAACAGGAAAACTAGTAACTGTGTAACACATTCACTGTCTGACATCTACTCCCTTTATTTGTCTAAAATAAAACCATTGCGTTGTATGCAGATTTCCCTCAAGGGATGAGCCCTTCCTCATGAGACCATTCAGGCCTCTCAGAAGTTTTCTTCATTCTATCCTGGAAAACTTTGCAGCTCTTAGAAAAACTAACCTGTTAGATGTGTGAGTTTCCTCTATACAGTAATATGGACACTAGGATTGACTGGATGTTGACTTAATTTTTATAAACCGATGCTGCCAAAATTGTTTGAATAAGAACAATCTAGAATTTGTATAAGGGTTACAAATTAATGCATTTAAATTGTACATATAAGATATAACAGATTCTACCCTAAACTGATTTTACGTAAACACAATATTTATCAAGTAGTTATTTGTTAACAAGGTTGTATTTCTATTAAAAAACATTTTAAAGAAATACTTTTAAAATTTATGATTTTATAGTGCTACGAGAGTCAACTAAATTTTGAACTTTCACTATCTTTTTATTTGTATCATTCATTTAAGACTCTATAAATGAATCCATTTACTTTATTGCCAAATTAAATAATTTCAGGTACACTATATGAAATACTTTGGGGCAAGTAAGAAAAAACCATGAAAAAAGTAATAAATACAAATGGTAATACAGAAAAGTAATTACAGAAAAAGTAATAAATAGACATAGGCATGGTTACACATTGTGGCAGTCTTATATGAAATAGAAACAGTTAACAAAGCAAGATACAGTATATAAATGGCAATATGTAACTTATAAAGAAGGAGTTTCAAGATCATTGTTAGGTGCACAAAAGCTAGCCTCAGGAAATATATTCATATATTCCTCCTGATTGTGGCACACTTCTGTAGTCTTTCTTCAACTTCTTAGTTGAAATTTTTCTCTCAGCTTCTTATATTATCATGCTCTTTTGTACCTCAGTTATCACATTCTGCTTTGTATTATAGTTGGCTACATAAGAAACTGTCTCCAATGCTAGATCACATTATTTATTGTATCACTCCCATTGGTACCACACAATAAATAACTCTTCAAATAGACCAAAGCAGCATTCTAAGTCTTTCTTCTTGGTGTATCACTAGAAAACTCCATAAGTAATGTAGTCTTTTTAAACAAATGATTGTTAGGGATGTTCAAATTCTGTCTGGGGAACCCTCTTTTTAGTCATTGAATCAGGCTAAGCATTTTAAAGATTTTTTATGCCCTTTTTTTAAAAAAACTGGGATATTCGATTTAATTAGATGCTAAACTTTGAAACAGAAAATTTTCAACCATGAAACTAGAAAGCTCAAAAGGTTGGCAAATTCCTATTTGGGCATTTGATAGCCTCTGAAAAATGTTTGTGTATGACTGACAGGCTTTAAGTGAAAATTTCAATTCCTCTGCAATGGATATGTGAAGGTTGGGTTGGAGGGAGGAAGCCGGGAGGTAGCAGACAGGAAGAAAGGCTACAAGAATGTTTAACTTCATGTTAACTGCTCATTTGCCTTAAAAAAAAAAATTGAAACGACTTTTCCCTCTAGTAGAAGTATCACACTTCAGATACAAACAAAAATTCACCTTAATGCTGACACCTACGGATCTTTACATCTGCTCCATTGCACTCATGGTTATATTATCTTCTTCTCCTCAAGTGCCTGTATATTTATATGCAACCACATTGATCTTTGATGTTACAATAATATTTCTTGTATAGACAATGAAATTTTGCTGAAAGCTAAGAGCTTCTAGAGGTTAAGAAGCTGTCTTATTCATGTAGCCTCTTTGATACTAATAGAATGTGTATGAATTCTTGGTTAAAGGAAATTAATTAGCAGTTCATTTTCACATCCCCTAAAGATATGAGCCCATTAGTAAATTACTTACTACTTTGCAAAACCTTTTGATTTTTAACAAAGGCTTCCTAAAATCCTTACCAAATATTGACCAAAACTTTAATTTATTAAATTGCAGCACATAGTTATGTGCTGGTAGTGAACTTTGCTGAGTAATAGAACTCAAACTTTTAACAAATTTATTGAGTCCTTTACTATGTGGACATAGGAGTCATTGTAGGGGCAAGATTCATTCTGGTTTGGGGAGGATTCTACTATTCAAATGCACTGCATTTGAAATTATCAAAATGTGTGAAATCTCCTTTATGCATAAATGGAAAAGGCAGTTAGTTACTTTAATTTCCTAATCTCTATTTGAAAAATTTTTACATCTATCGGTTATCATTTTTCTTAAAGTTACCCTGAGATGAGTCTTAGCATATTTTGAATTGCTGTTTATTTGTTTTATATTTTGATACACCTTGTTATCACGAGTTTTGCCAATGTTATTTGTATATCTGTCTTAGAATGATCATATTTACTCCATGACAGGTGCTACTCTCATTCAGGCTACACATACCTCATGCCTACCTCTTCAATGTCATTCTAGTAGTTCTTACAAGGTAGTTAATCTCCAATGGCCTGAAATCAAATTAGGTTATGAGGATCCTTCAAATACGCTGTCTGTTTATATTATTTGTAACAAGAATTACTTACATGGTGATTACCTATATACTTATGATTCCACATATCATCTGTGAAGTTTTCTCTAAAGAGAGCAGCTTCGTTTATCAGCAGCACCATTGTTTCAGCCAGATATTTTAACTAGGTTTATCATTGCTTTCCTGTTTCTTTTGTGTGTTCAAGTTTTCAAGCATTTCTTTCTATTCTTTCAGCTACTTCCTTCTTTCCTTCCAGCATCTTGTTGGGCAGGGAGCTTTAGGCTTTGCTTAAACTGAACGTTTACATCAATGCTGTTAGTTATTTCTCTCTGAGATGACTACATTCTTCTGAGATGCCTCTGAGATATGTTTATCCTCAGTCACTTGAGGCTTCCAGAAGGAAGTTAGTTGAATATAAATAGCTCTGAGGACAAAGTTTTGCTTAAAGGAAAGCGTATAGTTCAGATAGCTTAGGAAAAGTGTATACGATAAGAGAAAAAAGAGAGGAATCCCAACATTTTAGAAATTGAAAGAGAATGAGATTCTTATGAAGGAAATTAAGAAGCACTAATTTTGGCAAGAATTGTTCACACACATTTTATTTCTTCTCTTATTCACTGTGAAACTGGAACAATGGTAATACAAAATCTTGGTTCTGCCCTAAATTTTTCATTAGATTTGTTCTTGCAAATGATTTTTGTTAAATTAAATGTCCACATTTATCTCCTAATTTTATTCTATTTCTCAGCAATTTTTTTATAGTGTTGGTCTCACCATTATTCCAGAAACTTTATTTGCTTGCCTTTCACAACCCTACAGTCAGCTGGGAGCTCTTCCAGACTCCTTAGCTGATTCTCTTGTCTCCTCTATTGTACTCTTCCTTTTCCAAATCTCTTAATGTTGAAGTTTGTTCAGGCTCAGTTGTAGATCAGTGTATCTTTGTATGCTCTATCTATAGTTTGTCATTGATTTGGAAAAAATATATACATAAAAAGGATATGATATGTAGACTCTCAAATTTGAACTTGAACCTAAACTTCTCTTGAGCATTTCAGCTCTATGTAACCAACTATTTACTGGTTATCTCCACTTGGCTATATAGTAGGTATCTACAATTTTATATATTTTATCACACATATGTCTTATTTTCCATATCTCCTTTTCTTTCACCTTATATCCAACACATAAGTAATTATTTGTTCTTCCTGCAGAATGCATCTTAAATATGTCCACATTTGTATATCTTGCCACCATATTTGTAACCCCCTCCCCCCAAAAAAATCACACTTGCCTGGATGTCTATAATAGCCTCCTAATCTTCTAACCTTCAAATTTGGTTTCTTTCGAGTTTATTTTCAATTCAGTGGCTGGAGTAATTTTTTAAAATGCAAATCAAGTCAAATCACTATACTGCTGAAATCATTAATGATTTGCTTTAACTTAGGATAAATTAGAGGCCTTGCAAGGCTTTGCATGATTTTGCTTTTTTTCTTTTTAAAGTCTTATCCCATACCTCTCTGACACTTAATGTATTTCTCCAAGCATTTTCATCTTCAGTGCTCACCTGCCTGAAATGCTCTACATCCCCTTTACCAAGAGACTGTTCTTAACGGTCAGCACCATGGACATCAGTTGCCAGCTTGTTAGAAATGCAGAATCTCAGCACGGAATGAACCATTCAGTTTGAAGGTAGAGAAGACAGAGAGGATGTCAAGGTTATTGACTTAGGCAAACAGGCCCACACCTCCTTCCCTTTCTACACCTACTGTAAGCCTCAGAATAGGTAAAACATCTTCAAGAAAGCCTTCTTTGATCCCCTAATAAAGTGATTAGACCGGTACCAAAATCACCTGGAGGGCTTAGTAAAACACAAATTGCTGGGCCCCAGTCCCAGAATTTCTTCTTCAGTTGGGCTGGTGGGAAAGGCTCAGAATTTGCATTTCTAACAAGTTTCCAGGTGATGCTGAAAGCTGCAGGTCTGGGGGCCCATACATTAAGAACCAGTGGTGCTCTCATAAACACTTCTTAGCCTTTGCTGTGCAGTAGAGTCAACTGGGGGAGGATTTTTATTTTAACCCTAACATTTGGATTCTTTACAGTTCTTGTTTAGTATGAATAATGTTACTATGAACATTTGTGCACAAGTTTATGCATGAGCATATGTTCTCATTTTTCTTGGGTCTACACCTAAGAGCAGATTTGCTAGGTGAACTGGTAACTCAAGGTTTAACTCTGAGGATCTGCCAAAATGTTTTCCAGTGTGGCTGCACTGTTACATGTTCCCATCAGCAGTGTATGAGTTTTCTAATATCTCCATTTATGTCAACACCTGTTATTACCTGTCTTTATTATAATCATCCTCGTGTGTGGGAAGTGATATCTCATTGTGGATTTGATTTGCATTTTCCTGATGACCAGATATTTTGAGCATTGTTTTATGTGCTTATCAGCCATTTGTATATATTATTAGGAGAAATGTCTGTTAAGAGCTTTCTCCCATTTAAAAATGATCAGTCTTTTATTATTGAGTTGTAAGGGTTCTTTACATGATCTTTATAGAATTCCTTTATCAGGTAAATAATTTACAAATACTTTATCCATTCAGTAGTTTGTGCTTCAGTTTTTTTGATGATGTTCTTTGAAGCACAGAACTTTAAAATTTTGAAGTCCTGTTCACTTACATATTTTCTTTTTTTGCTTATGTTTTAGTAAAGTATCTAAGAAGCTATTGGCAAATCCAATGTCAGAAATTTTACCCTGATATTTTCTCTAATAATTTTATAGTTTTTATACTTACATGTAGGCCTATGGTGTATTTTTAGAAAATTTTTATGTTGGGTGTGAGGTAGGTAGGGGTCTAATTCCATACTTTTGCATGTTCAATTGCTAAAACACCATTTGTTGAAATGACCGTATTTCCCCCACTGAATTGTTTTTTCACTGTTGTTGAAACAAATTGTAAATGTGATGGTTTATTTCTAGATTTCCAATTATATTCCATTGATTTATATAATATCCTCATGCCAGAACCACTTTCTTAATTACTGTTGCTTTGTGGTAAGTTTTGAAATCAGGAATTATAGGTCCTCAAACTTTATTTTATTTTATTTTTGTTGATTTTGAGACAGAGTCTCGCTTTGTCACCCAGGCTGGAGTGCAGTGGCATGATCTCTGCTCACTGCTGCAACCTCTTCCTCCCAGGTTCAAGCAATTTTTGTGTCTCAGCCTCCTGAGTAGCTGGCATTAGAGACGTGCGCCACCATGCCTGGCTAATTTTTGTATTTTTAGAAGAGATGGGATTTCACCATGTTGCTCAGGCTGTATTTTTTTTTTAATTTTGAGGATTATTTCAACTCTTCCAGCTTCCTTGAATATTTATATGAATTTTAGAATCACTATATTAATTTCTTCAGAGAATCCAGCCAAACTTCTGAGTTCTTAGATGTCAGTGATTCTGTAGATCAATTTGGGAAGCATTGCTATATTAGCAATATTAAGTCATTCGATCCATGTACGTGCGATGTTATATCAGTTTGCTATGACTGTCATATCAAAGTACCATAAATTGGGTGGCTTGGGCAACAGAGATTTATAGTCTTATAATTTTGGAGGCTAGAAGTCTAAGATTAAGGTATCATCAGGGTCTTGCTCCTCTGAAGGTGCTGAGGAAGAATCTGTTCCAGGTCTCTCTCCCGGTAGTTCCTTAAATTGTACCAGTATAACTCCATTCTTCACATAGCATTCCTCTTTGTATATGTATGTGTCCAAATTTTCCTTTTTTGTAAGGATAAAGTCATACTGGATTAACTGCAAGCAATTGTCTGACCTCATCTACACCTATAATATCCTTAAAAACCCTATTTCCAAATAAGTTCACCTATTAAAAGTACTGAGAGTTAAGACTTCAGCATATCAATGGGGTAGGGGGACACTCTAACCTATAGCATATCTTTCCTTTTATTTAGATCCTCTTTAATTTGTTTTAACAATGTTTTATGGTTTTCAGGGAACAGATTTTTTTAACTTGTTTTGTTTTTATTTTTAATAGACTTTATTATTTGAGCACTTTAATGTTTATAGGAAAAATGAGTAGAAAATAGAGTTCTATATACCCCCCTCAATGCCTCTTCTCCCCAGTTTTCTCTATTATTAACATCTTGCATTAGTGTGGTAATTTTTTTATAATTGATGAGCTAATATTGATAAATTATTATTAACTAAAGCACATAGTTTACATTGGGATTTGCTCTATATTGTACATTCTTTTGGTTTTGACAAATATATAATGATATGTATTCACTATTATTGTATTATATAGAATAATTTTACTGCCCTAACAACTTCCTGTGCCTCGATTGTTCATCTCTTTTTCCTCCATCTTATCCCCAAACCTCTGCAACCCACTGATGTTTTTACTGTCTTCATAGCCTTTTCCGGGATCTTATATAATTTGAATAATATAGTATGTAGTCTTCACAGATTGGCATCTTTCACTTAACTTACATTTAATGTTCTTCCATGTCTTTATGTGGCTTTGTCCATTCCTATTGCCAGTGTGTTTATCCGTTCACCCGTTAAAGGATATCTTGGTTGCTGCTAAGTTTTGGCAATTATGAACAAAGCTGCCAGAAACATTTCTGTGAAGGATTTTGTGTGGAGTAGAAGTGGAAACAGCAGACACCCTTGTCTTGTTCCCATCTCAGGAAGGAAAAATTTAGTCTTATCACTATTAAGCAGGATGTTAGCTGTGGAATTTATAGATGCCCTTTATCAGACTGAGGAAGTTACCTTCTATTCCTAGTTTTAGTGATTTTTCCACTAATCATGAAAGCATGATTAGTAGAATTTTGTCTAATGTTTTTACTGTGTCTATTGACATGATTATATGCTTTCTGTTTTTTATTCTATTAATATGATATATTATATTAAATGATGTTTGGATGTAAACCAAGCTTACATACATGGAACAGATCCCACTTGAGCATGGTGTATAATCAACTTTCTGTTTTACTGGATTTGATTTGCTAGTATCTAGTTGAGGATATTTGTATTGATATTCATAAAATATATTGGGCTATACTACTTTTTCTTGTGGTATCTTTGTCTAGTTTTGTTATCAATGCAATCCTGTCTTAATTGAATGAGTTAGAGAGTGTTTATTTCTCTTCTATTTTTTGGAAAGGATTAATATTTATTCTTTAATATTTGGTAGAACCCACCAGTGAAGAAATGCATGCCTGGACTTTTCTTTTTAAGTAATTTTTGTACTTGATTTAACCTGTTGCCTTATTATAGGTCTATTTGGATTTTCTACTTAATTCTTGATTTTAGTAATTTGTGTCTTTTTCCTTTTTTCTTGATCAATCCAACTAAAATTTTGTTAATACCTGATCATTATAAATAAAAAAGTTTATGGATTCATTAATTTTCTCTACAGCTTTTTTGTTCTCCATTTCATCAATTTCTGCTCTAATCTTTAAAATTTCCTTTCTTCTGGCTGGTGAAGCTTTAATTTTTCTCTTCTTTTTTACTGGAGACTAAGCCGAAAATTTAGGTTATTAATTTGAGCTATTACTTCTTTTTAACGTAGGAGTTTACAGCTATAAATGTGACTTTAGACATTGTATTAGCTGCATTTCATTGGGGTTTCCTTGTAAGAGATGAGTAAGGGATGAGTCATGTTTTTCTATCTGCTTTCAAGATTCTCCTGTAATCCCAGCATGTTGGATTTTCTCTTTGTCTTGGTCTTTCCAACATTTTTTTTCTTTTTTTTTATTATTATACTTTTAAGTTCTAGGGTACATGTGCACAATGTGCAGGTTTGTTACATATGTATACGTGTGCCATGTTGGTGTGCTGCACGCATTAACTCATCATTTACATTAGGTATATCTCCTAATGCTATCCCTCCCCACTCCCCCCACCCCACAACAAGCTCCTGTGTGTGATGTTTCCCTTCCTGTGTCCAAATGTTCTCATTGTTCAATTCCAACCTATGAGTGAGAACATGCAGTGTTTGGTTTTCTGTCCTTGCAATAGTGTGCTGAGAATGATGGTTTCCAGCTTCATCCATGTCCCTATGAAGGACATGAATTCATCCTTTTATATGGCTGCATAGTATTCCATGGTGTATATGTGCCACATTTTCTTAATCCAGTCTATCATTTTTACTATGGTATGCCTGTGTTCATCTCTTTGCATTTATACTATTTGGAGTTTGTTGTACCTCTTAAATTTGTAGATCAATGTTTTTCATCAAATTTAGTAAGTGTTCAGGTATTATTACTTTGAATATTTTATTGCTTCTAAATCTCCTCCACTCTTATTACTTCTGTTATACATATATTGATTTCCTTAGTGAGATACCACATTTCTCTGAGCATGTGTTAATATTTCTTCTTTTTCCTCTTTATTTTTTGACTATAATGTTTCTGCATTATGTTTACAATTTTCTATATGATGTGTGTAATTTTTCTGTTAAAGCATCTCTAAGATAAAACTTATTAAAAATACAGTTAGAAGCGGTTTTCCAAAATACTCGTACCAATTTAATACAATCATATGCTACAATACAACCCTTTGCTATAAGTCATCTCCAACATGTGATGCTGACACTTGCTTAGGCGATGAGTGTAAATTAGCATCTTATTGCTTATGTAATTTGCATTTCCTTATTATAAATGAGATTGAATATTTCTATATAGATTTTTTTATTAATGTTTCTTTTGTAAAATACCTGTTTTTTCGTATTTGTAAAAAATGTTGTTTGGCTTGCAAAATTTCACTTTGTATACTGAATATAAATTCTGTGTTGCTCATATGAGTTGCAGATGTCTTTTCTCAATTTGTGTTTTGTTTCTTCATTATTCCTTTTTGTATCTTAAATCACTCATCTGGGTTCACTTTATTATATCTTGCAATATATCATTTAGTTGTTTCTTGTTTTCTGATTTTTTAAATGCAAATCTTTTGGCATATTTCTATTTCTTTATTTTTCTCTTTTTAAGGAGTTTGTTCTCTCTTTATTGAAGATATTACTCCCATATCTTCTAGATTCCCTTTTTGCTGTTGAGAAGTCTGATATTAACTTATTATGTTGTTAATGTTTTTGTTGATTCTCCTTCTTAGTAGTAATTTTTATTATAGCTCATATTTTACTAAATGTAATAGAGAACACCACAATCTTAAATTGGTAGTAGATTGGAAATATCTACTTCCTGACAGAATTTTAGTCTGTTTCTGATGATGACCAGAGATGCTACTGACAAGTTTTATCTTTTTCATGGTCTTTAGATTAATGTGAAAGATTTAACTTCAACTTCTTCACATTCCTGGAAGATCTATTTTTTAGTATACAGATCTCTGATTGCTTATATCTTAAGGTGGACCATTTTATGTTTTATATTTTTCTTGCCTTGTATCACTGCTCAATTCGTTGCCGTTGTTTTAAGCTTCAGAAATTTCCTTAACATTCTAATGAAACCAGTAGTGCATGACACTTACTGTATGTTGTAGTTCATGCAGAGGCTTAGTTGTGTCTGACAAAACATGATTTAAATGTCATACTTCTAAATCTGAAATTTTACAAGGAAAATTCAGTGCAAAGACAAGGGCTAAGAGTTGTTAAACATTTTTATAATAAATAAAGTTAAAATAAATTATCCCTTAGTACAGATTAGGAAAAGAAATCTGTTAAGATTTGCTATTCTATTTCAGATGCTTTGTTACATTCTTGCTCCTGAATTTCATTCTCAGTGTGCCATAAAAATTGTTTGCTTTTGTTGATACGGCCCCCTTCAGATAAGGAAAATAAAATCGCCAATATATTAACTTTAAATTTGTGAAAATATAACCATTCCCTCTGAGCAACCACGTAAACTGTTGCTTCAGGTGTGTTGGTTCAGTGAATGTCTGAAATCCATTCTCTGAAGGGAGGGATTGTTTATTTTTTTCCTTTCAATCATCACAATATTTTGGTTTGGTGTGGAAGTCAATTAATTGGAAAGAATAAGAATAAGTAAGGGGAGAAGTTCTGCAATGAAAGTAGTAGACGAATGATAACGGATATGTTGGAATTATGGAACGTGTTGCTCTGAGAAAGAATAACATGCTTGGACCAAAAAGGTTCTGGGGAACTGAGTATATACCACTCATCTAATGCAACTCTTTCCCCAACTTCTATTTGAACATACATGTTAACACATACATGATACAAATTAAGACACCTACACACAGAGACACACATAAAAACTTTCAGGTTTGTTTTTAAAGCTCTTCATATATCTATATGAGGAAGAACATTTTTCTCCTATGAGTATCATTTAATATATCCTATTGTACAACCATATAATTACATTAAATTGACTCTTTTATGACTTTGTTTTAACATAAATGCTTCAGTTAAAGATATGTATAATTTCTATGTATGTTTCAAAAAATTAAGGATTGAAGAATAAATCTTTTAAAGTAAAAGTTTACATGTCGACAATAATTCAACCAGAAACAAATGGAATGCCAGAAACATAAATTAAAAGATCCTTAACAGAACAGTTTTGTTTTTCCATTTCTATATAAAGAAGTTTGTTTTACAAGCAAAATAACAAATGGCTTAAAACAATCTTCTTGTTGCTAGGCTCTCAGATACCTAAACAGACCTTATACTTTTTAGGTTTAAACATAACAAACTGAAACATTATAAAGATACTTAGTAAAATAAGAAGGTGAATCATCTCAAAAATTAGAATTTTGCTTTCCTAGTAAATGTCCTTGATATTGTGTATAATAAATATTGATTTCTTTTTTTTATTTTCTCCCTTTTTAATTCTTATCTTAAGTAAAACAAACTCTCTATGCTAATTAATCTTTTAAAAAATACAACACTTCTTAAAATATGTTCTTAGAGTATGACTTATTTCTTAATTGTTATAAATAAACTATTTCATTTTGAAGTGTTTTAAAATTATTTATATCAGGTAATAAATGTGAGTTTGATGATTTGTTGGATTATACAATGTCAAATATAATATAAAAATAGATTGAAGAACTTGATTCAAATGTTAGAGGAATCTTACTAAGTAGTACAGATACAGTGGTAAATAATATTGAGAAATGAGCTTAAAACTACACTTTCAGAAGACCGAAGAGGCTTTCCAGTTTCTATTCTTCAATGGCTAGGATATTTGGTACAAGTCACATTCCGTTTGAAAACTTCCTTGTTTCCCACTCATATAATGACAGATTCCTTTGTGGTGCAAGACATTTGGAAACATGAGGGCCTGATATTTGTGTGTATGTGTGTAGTTTGTAAGTGGGGACAAGGATGCTGTTATTGAACTATGTTATCTTAAAAGGTAGGATTAAATATCTTATTGTAGATTTTATTTTATTCTATATGCTGTGTGTATATATGTTGGATGAGGGGATTCAGTTTGAATAAAATAGTGCCATGATTACGATGCAAAGAAATATATTAAGAAGACAGTGTAAAAACAAATGGGAGTTTGGTTTGGATAGATGTACTTAAGGAAATGGAGGGTCCATTCATTTTCTCTTCAAGCCTTGGTCTATGATTTCTTTTTTTCCTTAAAACTCTGTCAAAAGTCAAGATTAAATTCTACTGGAAATGTTAAGCAGATTGTGAAAAACCAAAAGCACAAATGCTGTAGAACCTATATGGAATAAAACTACAAAATCAACTGGGAAAATTATGGAAAACTTAGCAAGAAACCCTTAATACTAAGCAATATATATATTCTCAACAAATCAAAATGAAAGAGATCTCAAGAATACCCATATATTAATAATATTTTATCTATTAATGTCAAAATAATACATTAGATGTTTAATATATATTCATTTTGAGACATCTGAAAGGAAAATATTTAATTACGCAGCATCTCAGTAATATTAGTAATGAAATATTCTCCCCTTGAAATTCAAGATTTTCCTTTTAGATTATAGATGTAGAAAACTTCAGGAAAACGTTGTGACTTGTCTACTATAAATAAAATTTTTTAATTTACCTAATCATATGATGTTGATAAGTAATCAAAGAATAGGAATTTTACTAATTCTAAATAATAACAAAAGTACAATAAATAAACATAAATTGCTGGAATATTGATGTTTGATTCTACCTTGTTTTTTCATTTATCTTCATTTTAAAAAGTTATATTTCTATTAATAGAATATTTGTAATAACATCTGTTAGTTGCCTCTGTTTAGTGGCATGTGTTCTGATATAGTTGCTTCTGATATGTGCAGTCTTGTACTTGTGCGTGTGCCTGTGTGTGAATGTACAGGAGAACAATTACTACAGTTGCTAACATTAATGGATATTTATAAAAGATCTGATTGTGTATGTTTATTTGTAACCAGATCAGTTTTTAATATTGTAAGTACATGTTTAATTGATAAAACAAAGAAAGTGGGCAAATTGTAAGTGTACAGAGCAATACATTTTTACAAATGAAACACACCCATGTAACCAGAACCACATTCACGAACTAGAACAGGACAAATGTGCCTACTTCCTTCTGGTTACTACCGCCTCTCCAAAGACAAGCACACCTCCACCTTCTAACTCTATTGATGAGTTTTGCCTGCTTTTATGTTTCATGTAAACACAATTATATAATATATACATTATTATTATCTTTCTCAGCGTTATGCCTGTGAAGACTTATACCTGTCATTGCTTGTAGTTGTAGCTGATTGCATTTTTGTTGTGTAGTATCCATTATGTGAATTATACCGCAATTTATTTTTCCGTTCTTCTGATGTGAATATTTAGGTTATTCCCACTTTCATGTTATTATGAATATGCTGTTATAAACACATGTATATGTCCTTTAGAGAACACATGTAATTCATTCTGTTACATACATACTTCAATGCTTGTTATTTTTCTACTAGATTATTTTCAGGTGATAATCATATGATTATGGTATGATTATCGCCAGACAAAATTATTCTGATTCTAAGATTTATGCTTCTAATATTACCTTATGATATACTTATGGTATATACAAACCAAATAAAATGCAGATTTTAATTCATTTTTTTTCCATCAGTCTTAGCATTATTGACATTTTTGATAGCATATCTATTGATTGTGGGGGTCTGTCCTGTACATTGTAGGCTAGTTAGCATGGCCTCTACCTATGAGATGTCCCTATGAGTAGCAACTTCCTCACACACACAGTCATGATCAAAATTGTCTCCAGAAATGCCAAATAACCTGGTCAAGGAGGGGAGAAATCACCATCCATTAGGAGTCACTGGGATGAAATTTCCAGAAAAATTAATAAGTAATAGCGGTTTACGTATTACAGAAGAGAAATTATGTGATTTACTTCTCAAGAAAGTTCATAGAAAAGTTCTCTAAAAATTTTTTATTGTAAAGGCAAATGTGATTATGAACTTCTAATTTTCAAAAATAATTCCAAAAGAACAATGTTTAGTTACTCTAGATTTCAAAATCCTTTGTCATCAGCTGTTACTGCCTTCTATTCTCTTCACGAATATCACACATTCCTATTTCATTAGGTAATTTCAATACTGACAATTCTATTACTTGCTATTGGTGTTAAATGATACAAAATAAATTCGTATTCCTGGATCTATCGTTTACTAATTTTATGATCAAAAGTGAGCTGGTTAGTCTCTGCAGTTCTCAGTTCTTCCACCTGCAGAGCATTTTTGCCACTAGCAGGTAGAATTATGACAGCTAAGTGTAATTCTGTATGTAAGGTATTGGGATAAGCAAAACAACACTAATTAATTTATTAGGTAATAGAATGAAATATTATTATAACAATGGGATCGATGATGAGCTTTAATTCATTTATCAGCTTGCAGAAAACTCCGCTGTGTTAATAAATTGGCCTGTAATGAACACACTTTTCAAGAGGGTGAGAAATAGCCTCGTAGGGTAGTGAGTTAAGAGTGATCCATTGCTAGAGAAAACAGATGAAACCTTAAAAGAAAATAAGGAGTTGTGGGGACCAGGTAAGGAGTTAATTGACTTAATAATAGTGAAATGTAGTAAAGAATTCAGAAGTAATAGATTTTTAATATTCATTCCATTTTATTTTTAATATAACTAATATGTTATTTTAATTTTAATGATAGCTGTGTTTGACAACTGCATCACAAAATTCTTGAAAATTTAATGATCGGCTCTTGTCTCTTCTGAGTAGCTACTGTGGAAACACAGGAGATATATATATGTGTGTGTGTGTTTCACTTCAAAACTGGTTATTACAAATCAAATTTCTTTATAACAAATGTCTGGCCAAAAAATGTCTCTGGATTATCAAAACATCTAAAAACCCAAGTTTAGGACTTATATTCATTATTCTAGAACAATAAAAATAATGAGGACAATTTCTTCTCAGAATTGTCTGTTTAAGCTTATCTAGTGGAGTGGTCCATGAACACAAAATGTGTCTATTCAATAAGTGTCTGGAAGTAATCATTTTATCTATTGTACACTTCGTTTGTTTTATTATGTCAATATGACTTTTAATTATAGAGGTTTTTTTCTTATGGCATATTATGCATACTACTAGAATTCAAGAAAGAAATTAATTGATGTATATGAACATGATTTTTTTCATTATAAAACTGGGACTTCATTAACTTTAGTAATGTGTAATATTTGTATCTAGGAACAATGTTATAACACAACAGATAGACAGGTTTAAATATATCTCAAGTGAAGGAATGCAAGCATGACATTTTCAAAACATTTTTCCATATAGAATATAAAAAGAAAGAAAATAAAGCACACCATTATCAGTAAGTCAATCAGTCATACAACGAATATTTAATGAGCAATTACAACATGGTCATTTAATTATTCTACGTATGTATGAAATAGACTACATCCCTGTACTCAAAGAGATTTTATTCTAGGGATAAAAACAGACAATGAGCAAATGAAAAAAAAAATCACATATAATGCTAGATCAGGCTTTGAGACAAATTAAGTAAGTGCTATGAAAATAAAATAATTCATGATATGAAGATTGCAAGTGAAATGCAAAAGGTATTTTAGGTAAGGGGATAAGGAGAAGACTTTTGAAAAAAATATTGAATTTTTATTGAGGACTAAATTAAATAAGGAATTGAGTCATGCAAATATCTGGGGAAAGAAAATTCCAGAAGACAAAGTGGAAAAGTCAAAGAACCTGAAAGGGAAGCATGTTTGGAGAGTTCAGGGAACAGAAAGAAGTGAGCCGGAGCGCTTTAAACTGGAGGAAGAGTGGTAGATGGAAGAGATACCAGGTGCAAAATCACAGCCTGAAGCTGTAATTACTTCAGCACTGTTAGAATATATCTCACTATTAAGCCACAAATGAGGAGACTATGACCGTAATCATCCACTTGTAAAAACATAGAAACATAAAAGAACTTTAAAGTAAGGTTAAGCGATTAATATTAATAATATAAATATAATGTAATAATGTAAATGAACAGGAATGGAAATAATGTTCTTACTATTAAATTAAGATGTATCCTGTTGCTGAATATATCGTGTTTTAAACCAGCCTAAAAGAGAAGTAAATTATAATGCATGCCTTTCTCGCCCCTCTTTTTCTTTTGAAAAGGGATGAAGACTTCTCTTCATTTCCAGTGGTAAATTAGTCATTAGCAATAGTCAGATTACCATTTAGCACAAATCTGATTCAGGATCCGGAATGAGGAAGAGAGGCCACCTTAATTAAACAAATTGTTTTGCCTAATCTAAAAAAAAAAAGTTTTTTTAATCTGAGGTCTGCTAACAAGCAGGGATTGAATAAAATAGTGGTTGAGTGGACAAACAATAAATCTGCCATTTTATATTACTTAATTTACTTAAATTGACAAGACTTTCATTCGGTTGCAAAGATAGGTTTATGAACCAATAAGCAAAAATGAATGAGGCTCCAAATATATGATTACTTACTGAATTCTAAAATTAACTGTTACTAAAGGTTGAGTTGAAAAGTAATGATTTAATATTTTTTGAAATTATACCTTATTATGCCTGTTTTGCTTCTAATCATCCGTTTTATTCATCTGTATCTAAATCATTTAGCATAATCTTTCAGTCTCTTTCCATTATATTCAAACCTGAAATCTAGTACCATTAAAAAATTTTGTGTAATCTTATTGTATGATTAGGAACTGACTCCTTTTGCTACCCGGTTTCTCAAAATGAGTAGATCGATTGGTTTTTACATTTAGTACCATTCACCAATATTTAAATCACCCTCATTAATTGTTTGAGTGCCATTTCAAGAATTTTAGGTAAACTGTAAACCATCTTCACAAGTAACTATATATGTTTACAAATTATGCATACAATTTTTGGAATGAACACTGACTTTGTATGAAACCCATTTAATTATGCTGAAAGTCCATGGACCTCAGGATAACAATCTTAATGTAAATTAATATTTGAAAAACATATCTTCTTCCTATTCAATTCATTCAGCTAATTTTAATTAGCTGGATCCCAAAATGATACAGTTCTATCCAAAAATCACATATCAAATACTTCTGTGGATAAGGCTGTCAGTTTGTAAGACCAGACTCCACACAACCTCAGATTAAGATCCTGTTTCATCACATAGGCTGTTTTAATAATTTATTTTTTTTGCAAGCACTTGAAAAGTGGTCATTTTTAATGACAAAATCAGTTCTATTTATATTCATTCCTGCTATCCATGCCCTACTGAAGTTAGCTGGCTTTGTTTTCAGCAAGAATAAGTAATTCATCTCATATATTTTTATGAAAAAATATAACTCTGTCTTCCTCACATCTAGTATTTAAATGATGGTCCTTACCATAACAAGAAGTATGATCTGTACACTTTGACAATTCAATAATACATTTATATTCTCTCCTATCAAAGTCGTATTTCAGACCTAAGCTATTTGAGAGAGACAGTCTAATAAATTATTAAAAATCAGTAAATATCATGCTGTGTCTTCATAAAATAAAATACTTGGAATCTCATCTCACTGTCCAAAGCTACGTATCTAAACTGAAATAAAGTTTGTCAATGTTAATAGTTTTTATAGAATAATAACACAAAAAATAAAAAATAAATAAATAAAGGAAGAATAAAGAGGAAACAAAAGAAATTATAGTTGGTTTTGATATAAAAATACACATGTGCTAATATACACATTCTTATGCATGTAAATTATTATATTATCTGAGTATATAGTCTTTCCAATTTGGCCTTATTGATCTATTTAACTAATAGAACAAAGGTTGGCAAACTGCATATGGCCTGTGGGCCAAAACTGGATCACCAGTTGTTTTTGTGTGACCTCAAGCTGGATATGGTTATTAAAGGAAAATTTTTGCAGTCAATTTTGATGATGGGGCACATTAACTTTCAGCCCAATTAAGTGAAATGTTATCCCAGAAAAAAAGAATTCTGTTCTTCTCAGCAGAATTATAGTACAAAAAAATTGTACTCAATTATTACATTTTGAATTTTGTCAATAAAAACTTGTAGAAATTAAAAAAAAAAAAAGGCTTGAAGACTCTGGAGGTATCTGTCATCTTAAAAAGGTCTTACCTGAAAGTACATTCCCTCTTTGAGATTAAAAAACTGTCACATGCCCTATTTGTGTTCTTGTGAGAACACAGCGACTTTGGCAACTCATAATTACATATAAAGCCATTCATTAAATATTTGCTGAGTGTGTGTAAGGCACACAGTACTGAAATGAGCACATTTGAATTTTTTATTCAAATAAGACCATCATTTTTTAGCAGGTTGAGGCTTAGTGTGGAGACTGTGTATAAGAGAAAATTCAATCTAAAGGGAAATTTTACTCTGGCCTGGTGCAGAAGCCAAGTCACCACACAGTGTTTTTACATCCCTGTTCAGTAGTAAAACCATAAGAAAAAAGAAGTCAACATTCAAATTAAATAAATTTTTCAATTTTATAAATATGAATTGGCTGGGTGTGGTGGCTCACGCCTGTAATCCCAGCACTTTGGGAGGCCGAGGCGGGTGGATCACGAGGTCAGGAGATCAAGACCATGCTGGCTAACACGGTGAAATCCTGTCTCTACTAAAAATACAAAAAATTAGCTGGGCGTCGTGGTGGGTACCTGTAATCCCAGTTACTCAGGAGTCTGAGGCAGGAGAATGGCATGAAGCCGGGAGGCGCAACTTGCAGTGCCATTGCACTCCAGCCTGGGCAGAACGAGACTCCGTCTCAAAAAAAAAAAAAAAAAAAAAAAAAAGTATTATATTTTCATGATAGCAGTTTCATTTACTTTGTGCTCTATTTCCTCAAGTATGTTTTAAACTTCTAAAAATGGCAGGGAACATGCTTTCAACTTCTCTGAACCTCTATTCTACCTGTCAGAGTGCTCAATTTCCAAGAGTTAGAATGCCAGGTCAAGATGCCACCTAAGTGATGGAGTTGGAGCCATCACAACAGGAGAGGGGATTTTGTCTACTCTCTAGTTAAACTTCACTGAGAAAGGGTATTTCTATTTGATAATGCGATAAGCACTACTTTTTTCAGCACTCAACAAACATTTACTGAACATCTATTGTAGGCTTGGCATGCGCTAGACTCTGGGCACGAGATAAATTCTGTAAATCAAAATTTGAACTTATAAAACATATACAATAAGAAATTCATTTTTATGTATGTCAATAGATATTTATTGGGTACATACTATGTACAAAGTACTAATGCAAAGCCTAATTTAGGGTAATATAGGCAGAGGCACCACAGGTAACATGATATTAAAGATAAAGAGAAATAGAAAAAACAGTTTAAGAAGAGAAAAAAAATAGAGAAAGGCTTATGGTCTTTATAGGACAGCAATGTGTGTGAATCTGGTACTTAAATGCCTTGCCTCCTTTTATTCTCATAGTAATGTGTTAGGTGGTCACTGTGATTAACCTCATTTCATAGAGAATTAAAGAGGTTAGATCACATGACCAAGGTCATACAGGTATTAATTACATGGTAGGACCAGGATTTGTTTAATGCTGACACCTATGCTTTTAATTTTTATGATACTATACTGGAAATGAAGAATAATTTTTTGAAAGGAAGAAATATAAGCAAATAGTTACACATTACATTTCTCAGCAAGTACAGCACTAGTAACCTAATACATTGACTTTTAACTCACAATATGTTTTCAATTCTGTCTTTTGCGAACTATTTTTCCTTTGGAATACACCTTTACTTTTAAAATAAGAAGCAATGAGAAAACTAAAAAAAAAAAGAAAGAAAGAAAAGAATAATAATACAAGAAATGTTAGATTTTGAATAGTGATTTTGGGTTCTTGATAAAATGTGGTCCCAGACAAATGTGTCTTACAGAGAATTCCAGAAATATGTTTGTCTGTCTCTCTACAGATTTGTTTATACATTTTATCAGATAAGAAAAATAATGCAACTGAAAGTTTTCTTTATTTATTTTAGTTAAGAAGGAAACTCAGTGCCTAATTGTGTGCTTATCTGTTATCAGTCCATCTTAAACGCCTAAACATGTTTACTCTCCAGCTCTTCTTACTTGCTCTGTATTCTGTTTAATCTCTTAGATACCACCTTTAAAATTATATTCAGAGCCATTTCAGCATCAGTAGGCAACATATGCACATTTTTAAAGCACCCTGATATTTTGTGTGTTCTGAGACTAGGAGACCAGATGCAGAATATCCATAGTTTTCTAGATTCCTCTTTGCATATGGGCACACACAGAGATGTGTACCTGCTTAAATACTTGTGTATTTGTATGCACATATTCATATACAATTGACACTTAAACAATGTATGGGTTAGGGGGACCCATCCGCAGCACAACAAAATATTTAAATATAACTTGTGACTCCCCAAAACCTTAACTGTTGGCCAAAGCCTTAATAAACAGTCAACTAACACATGTTTTGTTGTATTATATACTGCATTTACGACAAAGTAAGCTAGAGAAGAGAAAATGTTATTAAGAAAATCATTAAAGAAGAGGAAGTGTATTTACTATTCATTAAGTGAAAGTGGATCATCATAAAGGTCATCATCCTGTTGTCTTCACAATGAGTAGGCTGAAGAGGAAGAGGAAGTAGAAGTATATGGTTGTTTTTGCTGTCTCAGGGGTAGCAGAGGCAGAAGAAAATTGCATATGAGTGGACCTGCAAAGTTTAAACCTGTGTTGTTCAAGGGCCAGCTGTATATTAGAGCAGGGAAGAGGGAGAAACCACAAAAACAGTAGGGAAAAGAAAAGTCAAGAAACACATACATATTTCTCATTGTGTTTCAGATGCTAAGATTACTTCCTTTAATATTAGCAATGATGCTTTAAAGCTGCTATTAATCATCTTCCTATTTTGCAAATTATACATATACACACAGACTATATATAGTAATGTTATTTAAAAAAATAAACTTGGAGTCTCCATTAATATGTACCTGTGAATGTGATTGTTCAGTGGTTGGAGCTGATTTGCCCATATTATGCTGAAAATATGCAATGTACCTGGATTCTTGTAAATATAGATATACATGATTGTCTCCTTTCTTTGAAAGGAGAGCGTCTTTTTATAGGAGAGTCTTCATATAAACTTTATATAAATCAGAATTTGAATACACTTAAAAAAACCAACCTATATTTAGAAACATGAAAACTTGTTTTTATTTAAATTCTATTAGTAATAGATTAATTGATTAATACGTTGATAGTATATACATTGTAAAAGCCATGAAGACATGTATTACATGGACAATAAAAATGAAAAAAATGTAGCAAAATTATAAATTTAACAAAAGATGTGTGTGTGTGTGTGTGTGTGTGTGTGTGTGTGTGTGTGTGTGTGTGTAGTGAATGGACATAATCACATCAATAGCTGGTTTTATAACCCTGAAGCAGAAAGTCATTACAAGGAGATATTTAATCATTTACACCATGGGAGAAACAAAGACGGGGCAGGGACCACCCTGATATAAATGAAAGCCTAGTCCCCTCCAAGTGTCACCACTGCAATGATTTAAGTATTCTCTGCCCTTTTGTAACACTGCTCAAGGTTCACATTCCTAGAAAGGCAAGTTTTATTGGCCTGGAAACTTGGAAGCCTGAGAAACAACGCAGCAGGATGACATGGGAATGGGAGAGTAATCATTTACCAAAGGAAAGTCTAAGTCTGCTGCCAAAAGAAGGCGGGGGTGGAGGATGCCGAGCCCGCAAACAGGCCTGCCCTGTGTTTCCCTGCAATCCTGAGCTATGACCACCTCCATTCCTAAGTCTTTTTCCTTCCTTTCCTGCTTCTTTTTGAAGACATGAAAAATCATTATAGACAAATCAAAGCAAGGCATTTGAGACATTTAAGGATTGGTAAAGAAATAGAAAGAGTACTTTAGAGGTATTTGTCTGCCGCTATATGAGTTCCTCCTACTGTACCCTTCAGAAGGTTCCAAGCCCTGTCTTTAATTACTCTCTAAAACTGGGGACAGTGTACAAGGAAATTATGTACCTCCCATGTTAGTTTCCAAAAAGTAATGACCTCATGCTCAATTTTAGCCTCCTTTTCATTTTGCTCCTGAAATAGGAGTTTCTCTTCATTCAAATGCAATACTTCTATGTGTGATTTTGATCCAATTTAGTCTATTTTTACAAAGACAAGTTCTTCATCACTTTTCTACGTTCTTGTTTGTACAGTCCAATCTCTATCCAGTGACCTCACTTTGCTCTGAAAATACATTAGAGTTTACCTATATAAACCATGTTAAAAACCTACAGAGGCTCCTTATTGCTCAAACTCAAGGCTCTGAAAAATCATGCATCTTAGTTTCTTCTTTCTGAGACTCATAGTCAACATCCTCTGATTAGCCACCCATTCATTACTTGCTGCCTGGATTAGCATTTCCCAAACTGAGTTCTATAGTCTTGCTACTCAAAATGTAGTTGATGGACAACCAATGTGGGCATCACCAGAGAAGTTTTTGGAAATGAAAATCCCTAAACATTTAGAATTAGAATCTACATTTCAACAAGGATCTAGGATGACTTGTTTTGAGAAGCACTTTTATACAAAATATTAGTTCCATGAGGTTTTTGGGAGGAAATGGGGAGAAAGACAGAGTGAGAAAAGAGATAAAGGGAGAGAAAAGAGAGGAGAGGAAAGGAGAGAAGAGGAGAAAGTGTTACTTGCTTCTTGGGTATCCACAATGTAATTCGTCTGTAAAGTCTTACCATACAGAAGTAGTATTCTGCATGTATATACATTGAAGATCTTGTAAAGATCATCATGTACATAGTAACTATTTTACATTCACTCGTTTCCTCATTTTCTATAAAATTACTGCTGCTATTTATGATTACTATGACCTGACTGAAAATAACTAATGAAAAGGTTTATTTGCATGCATTCAGTAGAAAATGCATGTGATAGTTTCATTTATTTTATATAAACTTCTTTTTTTGTCAAAAATTGTCTGATGGGATATTTTAATTAAAAACAAAAACCATTTTGGTTGGCATTCTAATCATTGACGCCTGTTATTAAGCCTTGGCGAAACTCTTGTAATTCAATCAAAACTCAAAGAGTTCATCTTGCTGTTGCTATAAATGTTTTTCTCCTTGATAAATAGCTCAGTGTGACACACCTACCTCTTTTACAATAAATGCTCTCTTTTTTGTTAGTTATTCCCTTTAAAAACAGCCACAATTCACAGATCGATAAGCCTGCCAAAGCCACTTTAAATTGGAAAACCATTTGCGGTCTCATTAGAACACATAAAGAGACAGGCCCCAGCACCACGATTTGTCAGCTGATATTCTCAGAAAGAAGCAGGCACTTGAATGCTTTCCTGTACAGTAATACTCAAATTAGCTCTAAGGCTTCTCTCAATGTTAGTACATAATGTGCTTTCAGAACCAGGAGCCTCTAAATGTAACATTAGGCTGTAGGTAGAATTATGGCTGCAAAGAAATTCAGTTATGTGGGTTTACTTTCATTAGTTTCAGTCACTGATAAAAATGCATTAAATTTAAAAACTTGGACAGATGTCAAAGGACAGATCAATAACCACATGGAGTTTTAAATCAAGTTAGGGGATTGATTGAAATAGACATTCTTTATTGTAAGCATTTGACTTTGTTTCTCACCTGCTTCAGTATTAATTCTTAAATATACCCTTCTTTGCATTTTAATTTTACATGATAAATTTTATTGTGTCAGGTAGAATATTATTTTAGAGTTTATAAACCAAACAAAGATTGGTAGAATGTATGTATAAAGATCACTTTTACTTGTTGAAATTAGTATCTGATGATTTCTTGTTGCTTGTCTCTTCTCTAGTTTGAAGTCTACTTTGTACATTCAGAAAGTAATAGCTTAACCCTAAAATGATTAAAAATAAATAAATGAAAACCAATTTTTAATTCAATGAGATTATAGTATGTCAAGTACTCCAGCACTCACAGAATTGATAATCTAGCATATTTTCACATAATTGCTTGCTTTTCTCTATATCACACTTGTAATTCATATTACAAAGACTTATTTAGACCATCAACACAAAAATACATAATGTTTCTGTTGAAAATTTTTAAAAAGAGATATTTCTCTCCTGTGAGCAATTTATTACATAAGTAATTTTGGATATTAGTGAAGTCAAGAGGGAAACATAATTCAAATTATTTCTCTGCTGATCAAATAAATGGAAGGTGAAATTATTCACGAGGTTTAAGCACTGAAATCTTGTTTATTGAACCCAGAGCTGACAAGTCATTCAAATGCTCAGTTTTTCCTGAGGGAATTGATCTTCTGCAGAAATAAAACAACAAAAGGGTATTCAGGCCCATAGTATTTTGCTATGCTATGGAAAAAATTTTTCACTGACAGATTGTCATTTTTCTACAGACTCAATGGGTGGATTTCAGAGAGGAACATATTGGGATATATAGTCAGGAGCACAAGCTTTCATGATTCTTGGCTTATGTGCTATAATTGATTTAAAAAAAAGCAATTTTTTGTAATTTTCAGATATCAACCAAACAGAGGAACTTCTAGGGCTGTTGAAAATTAGATATTTTTAATATCTTAAATATTAATCATAATCGAAGAGCAGCAAAACATAAAAGAGACAAACGAGGAAATTTGTATTCTGTAGAAGCTTGTTAAACTTTACAGGTTCCTAAAATTTAAATTCATGTATTAATAAGACCTTAGTTGCTTTTTTATCTTTGTATACATTAGTTTTGGAAATTGAATAAGTTAAAAAACATTTAAATTCTGAGGACTGCAGAGAGGAGTAAGACATAATTTTTATCCTGAAGGAAATTTTGGAGTGATGCAATTAGCACAACAATAATTGTTTGAAGAAAGAGGCAGAAGAGAGATACAAATGTCAATGAAAAATGCATTCTATTCATTCAATACATAGAGTACACATATATGATATGCAAAGCACTATGCTAAGAGTAAGAATTTAATTGGGGGCAAAGGGAGAATTTTTATAGGCCCATCAGATTTAAGAGAGGAACTGAAGGATTGATAGATCCAATTTGCAGTTACAGAGAAGGAATAGGACATGTCCACCAGCGATACGAAATGGTTGTGATGTAATGAGCATTATGGAAAAGTTTAAGTATGTTCTGTTGATAGAAAATAATCGAATAGAAAATAATTAGTGATGTTTTAGTAGTAGATTAACAGGGAAACAAAGATTTATTGTAAGGGAGGGAAATTCTGGTAGTTAGTGCCTCTCAATGCCAGGTTCATCATTTTTATAATATGCTCTGTGACAACAAAGGTGGGAGTTTGCAAACCCATCTCTAAGATTCCCTTACCATCCAAGAGGTAATAGTGTGAGATTGAAAGGACAGAGGAGCAGATAGGAAACTATTCTTGCCCCCAGGTTATTTCAGCTTCAGCAGACAGTAGCAGCTCCAGTGCCATTTGGTATTACTGGACCGACCAAATAGCAATTTCCAAGGTGGACGAAGACCATCCATAAAGTTCCTATCACTCACTGCCTCTTTTTTCCCCCAGCCTCCCACTAGGTACCAACACCAGTTGCCTGGAAGCCCTTTGGTGGTCAACAGATTAGCTTTGATAAACTCCTAGTTTCTGGTGACCCTTATGATACTTTGGTTCTCAAGCCTTAGGTGCTATAGCTGCTTCTTTTAGATCCTATATTGTTTTGCGTTATTAATACCTGAGGAACCAATTATTTACATTAAGTGACTTATGTTTGAAATTCCTAGCATGATGTCTATGTTTTGAATGTGCCTTACCTGATATGGAAAGCATTGAGATATTTTGCCCATAGGGGTGGCATAAAGTAATGTACTTTTAAAAGTATAATTTTATGGTTTGCAGTATTAACAGAATGTACAATAATCTGACTAATGATGTTCATTACGAAGAACTATTAGTAGTTTAGGTAAAGATAAACAGTCTTTATTTTTTCCAAAATGGCTGAGTGGAAGCATTTCCATCATGCTTCATCTACTTAAAAGAACCAAAACAGTGTGTGGTCAATCACACTTTCAATACATTATCAAAGAGCAAACATGGGAGTTCAACAGAAAAGCAAAGGGAAGATTTGAAATCTGGGATGAAGAAGGAAAATAGGTAGCCTGAGTGTCTGGGACTGGCTGGGAATCAGGAGTAAATCCCCACCACAGGAGAGAGAGAGTGAGTGCCTTTCTGCAGCCCATCTTCCCACATGGGATTTGTACAGTCCAGAACATGGGAGAGCACCTTGACCCTCCCAAGCTATAAGCCTAACTTGGGTAGCAGCTGGGAGACTGTGAAAAGAAACTTCTCCAATCTAGGCAGCTGTTCTGGAGTGTCATTTTCAATCCTAACTCTTGGCAGTCTGTCCATGGTCCTGGGAACCAGCAGCATTGATTGCAGCTGTTGGAGAAACTCAGGTAGTACTTGCAAAACCAGGGCTTGAGCAGGGAATGGACTCCTGCAGCCAGTTCTGAGAAGTGAGTGTGGAGTGGGCTCCAGAAACTGGCAATGAAACCAGGTATCCCCACCCCCCGACCCACCCCGCTCCCTGGGACCTGAACAGTTGAAGAGTTGCTCCTGAGGCTTAGTCTTGAGCCAGGTGGTGTATCTTATAATCCAGGACTTAGCTTCAGAAGATGCACAAACTGCTGGAAGTGACTGGTTGGCAGACTGTCTGCCACAGCCGTGGTCTGAGAGGAATCCATGTTGGGACTAGGTCATAAGAGGAATGCAAGTTCCACTCCCTCCAGCCAAAGCTGTGGCTATGGGGACTGTTCCACCCTCCGCATTCCAAGATCTCAGCACAGCAATGGTCACTTCACACCCAAGCATTTTCACCAAAGGTCTGAGGACTGCCCCACTCCCCCTATCTAGATACCAAAACCAGACAAGGACACAACAAAAAATAAAACCCTACAAACCAATATTTCAGATCAACATAGATACATAGATGCTTTTAAAATACTAGCAAACTGCTGGGCACGGTGGCTCACGCCTGTAATCCCAGCACTTTGGGAGGCCAAGGCAGGTGGATCACGAGGTCAGGAGTTTGAGACCAGCCTGGCCAACATGGTGAAACTCTTTCTCTACTAAAAATACAAAAATTAGCTGGGCTTGGAGGCGCACGCCTGTAATCCCAGATACTCAGGAGGCTGAGGCAGGAGAATCGCTTGAACTCAGGAGGCGGAGGTTGCAATGAGCTGAGATAGCACCACTGCACTCTAGCCTGGGCGACAGGATGAGACTCCATCTCAAAAAAAAAAAAAAAAATACTAGCAAACTGAATCTAACAGCACATCAAAACGTTAATACACTATAACCAAGTAGGTTTAATACCAGTGATGCAAGATGGTTTAACATATATACAAATTAATAAATGTGATACAACACATAAACAGAATTAAGGACAGAATCATATGATAATCTCAATAGACAAAGAAAAAGCATTCTATAAAATTCAACATACCTTCATGATAAAAATACTCAACAAACCAGACATAGAAGAAACATCCCTCAAAATACAGAACGTCATGTACAACAAACCCACAACCAACATCATACTGAACAGGGAAAAGTTGAAATCATTCCCTCTAAGAACTGGAACAAGTCAAGGATGCCCATTCTCACCACTCCTATTTAACATACTACTGGAAGTCCTAGGCAGAACAATTAGGCAAGAGAAAGAAATACAAGGCATACAAACTGGAAAAGAGGAAGAGAACCTATCCCTGTTTACTGATGACATAACATTATATCTACAAAAACCTAAACACTCCACCAAATAACTTTTATATTGATAAATGAATTCAGCAAAATTTCAAAATAAAAATCAACTTACAAAAATCAGTAGCACTTTTATATAATAATGACCCTAGCTGAAAACAAATTCAAAAAGGCAATCCCATTTACAATAGCTATAAAAAACTAAATACTTAGGAATATATTCAAACAAGGAATAAAAGGTCTGTACAAGAAAAACTACAAAACACTGATTAAAAGAATTATGGATTACACAACCAAATAGAAAAACATCCCATGCTTATGAATTGGAAGAAATACTGTCATTCAAATGACCACTCTGTCTAAAGCAGATTTAATGCAATCCCTATCAAAATGCAAATTTCATTTTTCATAGAATTAGAAAAAAATCCTAAAATTCATATGGAACCAAAAAGACCCAAAAGACCAAATCAATCCTGAGCAAAAAGAACAAAGCTGGAGGAATCACATGACCTGACCTCAAATTATGCTATAGGGCTATAGTAACAAAAACAGCATGGTACTGGTGTAAAAAATAGACACACAGATCAATGGGACAGAATAGAGAACCCAGAAATAAAGCCACATATTCTCAGCCAAGAGATCTTTGATGAAGCTGACAAGAACACATATTGGGGAAAGGACACAGTTTTCAATAAACGATGCTGGAAAAATTGGATTGCTGTAAGCAAAAGCATGAAACTGAACCCCTATCTCTCAACATATACAAAAATCAACTCAAAATGGATTAAAGACTTAAACGTAAGACCATAAACTACAATAATACTAGAAGAAAACTTAGGGAAAATTTTTCTGGACATTAGTCTAGGCAAAGAATTCATAACTAAGACCTCAAAATTATAGGCAACAACAACAAAAATAGATAAATGGGACTTAAGTAAATTAAACAGCTTCTACACAGCAAAGGAAATAATCAACAGAGTGAACAGACAGCCTGCAGAATGGAGGAAAATATGTGCTAACTGCATTCTACAAGGGTCTAATATCCAGAATATACAAAGAACTCAAATAACTCAACAACAACGAAACAAATAATCTTATTAAAAAGTAGGCAAATAAGATGAATAGACATTTTCCAAAAGAAGGCATACAAATGGCCAACAGGTATATGAAAAAATGCTCAACATCACTAACCATCAGAGAAATACAAATTAAAACCACAACCTTACTCCGATCAGAATGGCTACTATTAACACATCAAAAAATAACAGATGTTGGTGAGGATGCGGAGATAATGGAACATTTATACACTGTTGATGGGAAAGTACTTTAGTACAACCTCTATGAAAACAGTGTGGAGATTTCTCAATTAACTAAAAATTGAACTCCCAATTTATTCAACAATCCCACTATTGGTTATCTACCCAAAGGAAATAATATCGTTATACCAAAAAGATATCTGCACTCATATGTTGATGACAGCATTATTCACAAGAGCAAAGCTATGGAATCAACCTAAGTGTTTATCAATGGATGACTGTATAAAGAAATGTGATGTATATACACAATGTAGTACTAGACTGTATAAAGAAAATGTGATATGTATGTGTGTGTGTGTGTGTGTGTGTGTGTGTGTGTGTATACACAATGCAGTACTTTTCAGCCATAAAAAAGAATGGAATTATGTCTTTTGCAGGAACAAGCCATTATCTTAAGTCAGTCTCAGAAAGATAAATATTGCATGTTCTCATTTGTAAGTTAGAGCTAGATAATATGTACAGATGGATGTCAAGTGTGGAATAATAGACAATGGAGACTCAGATGGATGAGGGAGTAGGAGGGGGATGGATGATGAGAAATTACTTAATCGGTACAATATACATTATTCTGATGATGTATATCCTAAAAGCCCTAACTTCACCCCCATGCAATCTACACATGTAAAAAAGTATTGCACTTGTCCCCCATAAATTTATGCAAATAGAAATATTAAAATAAAATAAATAAAAAATGAACATACACACAAAAAGAAACTGTGTGATTCTGTTTTGACAGGAGGTCACTGATGACATTCTTAAAAGCAATTTCTCTGACAAATTGCACACAGATTGCAGATAACAGTAGGATGAGGCACTGGAGAAGTTAATATAGCATGTGTATATCACTAATTAGGGAAAAAGTATTTATTTGTGAAAGAACAGAGAAATTCTGTAACATAAAAATATGTGTGATCAGAGATTATTTTTGAGTGAACAGAGGAAACAAGATATATATTTGTTCATTATTTTGAGAAACTAAAGTGAAATTCTGAGAAAATTTTAGTAAAATCAATGTATCAGTAGGATAACTAGGTATTTAGATGGTTAAAGTTTTTTGAATATTTGAAAATTCCTTGTGTCTCCATGATTACAACTAAATAGATTTCTATAAACTCATGCACTAGGATGCAAGCTCTACAAGTTCAGGGCTGTTTGTTCACATCTGCTCATTAAATATCTGTTGAAAGAATCTATATTTTAGCATATTTATCTTAAATCATAAATAGAATTTTAAATGTATTTTGTTTTCAAGTTGAAAAGACTTATATTTAATTAGATTTTTCAAATTCACAGACTATTTCATTAGTTACACTTCTCATGTCATCTAGATGTAGCACTATGAAGGGTACATTTGTAGTAACTATCTTGCCTTTTTATAGACTTGCTCAGAATTTACTATAAATTGCATCCAAGATACTAGCCAATAATGTAATTCTTGTAAATTGAATCTTAACTGAGATCTCAAAATCAGAAATTTTAGAGCAGATTTTGCATATAAATATTTAGGAAAAAAGAAGATGCAAAATGTAAGTCAGCTGCTACTTTATGTACAACTTGTTATCATGTTTTGAAATATTCTTTTGATGATCCTGAGTTTGTTTTTCATTCTCTGATATTTTTCTATGAACATAGATATTGTAGCTTAAGGAGAAAATGAGGAAATGGTAATTGAAAAAGGTATATTTTTCTTCATAAAAAGCAGAAAACAATACACCTTTTTAAAAGTATATATAATTCAACCTTTATTTTAATATTTTTTGACCATGACTTCTGTGTTTAATACTGCCAGATTTGTGTAGGAGTTTGCTTTTTTTTGTATAGTTTTAAAATGTTTCAATTAGAGAGCTGATATAAAGCAAAGCAAAACAAAACCTACCTAGCATCCTCATAGATCAGGATGGATATTTTTTAAAAGATAAGGATAATGTGTGGTAGAACAGATGTTTTGCCATACCCACTTTCAGAAAGCAAACAAACAAAAAAGTTAAATAAAGTGTTTCAAACTTAAATCAATGAACTGGAAATAAAATTAATTCTTAGTGGTTCAAACTAAGGAAAGGGAGGAACTTCAAACTAAGGAAAAGAAGGAAGTCATAGTTAAGGAGACCATTCTAATGAACTACTGTCTCCTTATCCCTTAATAAAATCAGACCCCACAAATTCTAAATCATCATTTATATAGATAAGTAAAAGTATCTACCAGCCAACCACTCCAACAAGAAACTCCGAGAAACATGGCCTGTCTTGAAAGTTGATGCTTGGTGTAGACAAATAATCATCATCATCATCATTCCAGTGAATCTGTAAAAATAAACATGCTCCTTCAAGAGTCTGCAGCCCAAATTTTCACTAACCTGGTATTTCAAAACCGAAAGCTCAGAATTATATTCAAATGAAAGGGTCACCAGAACCCTTCCAACCAGATGGAAGCAAATACGAATCTTCTGTAGGGAACCACATTCAGCAAAGCATCAAAGGATTTCCATGGTAAATTTTAAAGGAAAATGAGCAGATTGCTGAAACTTACAAAACACAAAAAAAGAAAGCAGGCACTACCAACAAGAGCTAGAAGAAATAATTAATACCAGATTCACTTTCAGAGATATTACATGTTGGGTATATCAGAAATAAAATATAAAATACTTATGTTAAATATATTTAAAGAAATAAAAATAATTGTTGAGAATATGAGACAGCAGCACAAGACATAAAAATTGACCAATTAAATTTGTAAAAACAAACCAAAAACATAAAAAAAATCTTGAAATATGGGACTTCTGGTTCCATGACGATAGAGAAGCTTATTCTTCACAGATCCTCCCACTTACCACTAAAAAAAAAAACAAAAAACACTAAACATAATGCAAAGCAATGAGAAAAAAATAGGAAGATTCCAAAAGGTGGAAAAAAAGTAGGCTAGCTGTCTAGGAACAGCAGGACTTGAAAAATGAAACATTCGAATATTCAATCAAAAATGACTCATTATATATCAAAAGCAAGGGAAATCACAAATTAAATGAGAAAAGAAAGTCAACAGATGCCAATATGAAAATGAATCAAATGGTGTGGTTGTCTGACAAGAATTTTAAAGCAGCCATAATAATTTCCTTCAAAAAGCAGTGATAAGATCTCTTAAAACAAGTGAAAAAAATGTATGAAATGTAATCCATCACAGAAACAGTTTAAAGAAAAATCATGATTATATTAATAGATGCAAAAAAAGTGTTTGAAAAAAATCTATTCATGATAAAAACTCCCTGCAAACTAGGATTATAGGATTTTTCTTTCAATTTGGTAAAGAAAATCTACAGAAACCTACAGTTAACTTCATACTCAACGGTGAAAAACTGAATGTTCAAGATCAGGCAAGGATTTCTGTTCTCTCTACTCTTATTCAACACAATATCAGAACTTTTCTACCCACTGTGATAAACTGAAGAAAAGAAATAAAGACATGCATACTGGAAGTGGGGGGGGGACCCAATTATTCCTATTTGCAAATGACATGAAGGTCCACATAGAAAATCACATAGAAACTGAAAAACTAAACCAAACAATACCTTGGAACAATAAGTGAATTTTGCAAGGTTATAGGATGTAAGATCAAAATATAAAATAACTTGCATTTGTATATACTAATTATGAACATATGACAACTGAAATTAAAAACACAATACGATTTACAATTGCTCTAAAGAAGATGAAATATTCAGGTACAAATCTCACCAAAGACGTATAGAATATATATGCTGAAACTTAAAAATTTTTGATGCAATAAATCAAAGAAGACCTAAATAAGACATACCATATTCATGAATTAGACAACTCAACATAATAAAATCTATCAATACTCCATAAATTGACCTATAAGTTTAATCCCTTTCCTATAAAAATTCAAGCAAAGCCTTGCATCTGGAATACATTTTAAAAATCTCCAAACTCATCAGTAAAAATCAGGCAATCTGCCTAAAAATATGCGCAAAATACATGAACAGATATTCATCAAAGGAGATATACTGATGACAATTGCCATGTGACTCAATGGTTTTACTCCTCAGCATTAATCCCAGAGAAGTAAAGCACATGTTCACACAAAAACTTTTTCACTGATGGTCACAGTAGCTTTCTTTGTAATAGGCAAAAACTGGAAAAAACTTAGGTATCCTTCAGTGGACGAATAGTTGAACAGACTTTGGGGCAACCATATCATCAGATACTACTGGGCAATCAAAATGAAAACATTATTAATACATAAAAAACTTGAGTGAATCTATAGAGAATTGTAGTGAGTGAAAAAAGCCAATCATTATAAGTTACCTATTGTATGATTCTATTTATATAACAAATTTAAAAAGACAACATTTGAGAAATAGAGAAAACATCTGTGGTTGCCAGGTTGGGGACAGGGGAAGGAGAGAAGCTGTGCAGCAGGGAGGTTGATGTGATTATCAAAAGGCAACCTGAGGAATCCCCGTAAGTATATATAAATGTAATAAAATTGTAAAGTTTCCCATGAGAGGAGCTGGGTAAAGGGTACTTCAGTGTTTCTGTATTATATCTTATTACTGTTTGGGACTCTACAATAATCATAATAGAAAATTTAATTTTAAAAATATCATGCTGTGCCAAATTACACAAAATTCAATGATTACTATTGAAACAAAACAATCTAGAAATAAAAAAAAATTGGAAACCTTTGATGGATGAATTTTTATTAGATTAAACCTATCTGAAGAGGGCACTAGTGAACTATTAAGATAGATCTGACCAAGTCATCAAGAATGCAGCTCGGAGAGGAAAAATATGAGTTTCAGGATTGTAGAGTGAGAAAGAGTCTAATGGATATATCTGATTAAAACTGCAAAAGGAGAGAAGAACAAAAGTACCACAGAGGAAATCTCTGAAGATATAACACCTGAGAACTTTTTATAACTTTGGAAAGATTCAGGAACTCCATAAACTAAAAAGAGAAACCAATTTCATAGTGAAATTAGAAAATACCAAAGAAAATAGAATTTGCCTTCTAGGAAATCACAATTTGACTGACAGCTGAATCAATAGCAATATTAGAACGCGTAGGACAGTGGAATAAAAGCTTCAAACTGCCCAGAGAAAATACCTGTTTAGAACTGCATACCCAGCAAAAATATTTTTAAGAACTATAGAAAAATAAATACAATTCTATAACAAAAATAGAAATCCACAAAACCAAGAAACTAAACAGTTAGAATGAGGAGAGTGTCATTAGAGCTCAGTTACAGGTAGTTAGTAATCAAGACAGACCTGCCTTCTGCCTTCAGGTCATATTCAGAAACTTTATTGTGAGAATAGGACAAAGCTTTTTTTTTTTTTTTTTTTTTGAGATGGAGCTTCACTGTGTTGCCCAGGTTGGAGTGCAGTTGCTCACTGCAACCTCCGCCTCCCGGGTTCAAGAGATTCTCCTGCCTCAGCCTCCCAAGTAGCTGGGATTACAGGCATGCACCACCACACCCGGCTAATTTTTGTATTTTTAGTAGAAACAGGGTTTCCTCATGTTGGCCAGGCTTGTCTCAAACTCCTGACCTCAGGTGATTCGCCCGCCTTGGCCGCCAAAAGTGCTGGGATCACAGGCATGTGCCACCGTGCCCGGCCAGGACAAAGCTTTTATATAGAGGAGTTTAAAAAGATTTTGATGGTTGCTCCATGGAGAATGGATTGGAGAAATGCAAGAATGAATGCCAGATATCAAAAGGGATGAATACAATGTTTCAAGGAGGAAATAATGATGGTTTGAACTACAATACAGAAAAGGAAAAGGAGAATATATTTGAGATTATGAATTTCAAATAATTTTAGATAATTTGTCTTCTAACTTGCATATTCTACAAATAAGGAAACAGAGCTTTGAGTGGAAAAGTGACTTGTTTAAAAATCACAAAAGCATATAATCTCATTTATATGTGGAATCAACAAAAGACAATCTCATAAAAATAAATAGAAAGAGTCTCATAGATATCTGATTGGAGCTCCAAAAGGAGAAAAAGAACAAAAGTGCAATAGGGGAATAACTGAAGATATAACACCTGAGAACTTTTTATAACTTTGGAAAGATTCAGGAAGTCCATAAACTAAAAACAGAAATAAATATTATAGTGAAATTAGAAAATACCAAAGAAAATATAAATTGCCTTCTAAAAAATCACAATTTGACAGACAGCTGACTCAATAGCAATATCAGAACCCATAGGAGAGTGGAATAAAACTTCAAACTGTGTACCAAAAATACCTGTTTATAATTGGATACCCAGCAATTCTAGAAGAATGGTTACCAGAAGCTGTGGTGGAAAAGGAGGGATGGAGAAAGGGGAGATGTTAATCAAAGAATACAAAGTTTCAGTTAGACTGAAGGAATATATTTTAGTGCTCTATTGACTGCATAGTGATCACAGTAATAATATGTTGTCTATTTCAAAATTGCTGAAAGAATAGATGTTTCAATGTTCTCATCAGAAAAAAGGATGAGTTGGTGAAGTGATGGGTATGGTGTTTAGCTTGACTCAATGTATCTTCAATTTACACAGAGCTCAAAACATAACACTGTATCTCATAAATATACTCAATTATTATTGGTCAATTTCATAAGAGTTTTAAAATCACACAACTATTTAGTAGCAGAGAGAGGATAAAAATTCAGGTAACAATACTATCCTAGCTAACAACTTAGGATGTTCTTGGCTACACCATGCTGAAATGAAGCAAGTATATATGCTTCTGCCTCCTGTCTTCTAAACCCTGCTGTTATTCTATATCATTTTTGTAAAGAATTCCCCAACTTCTCTTTCTCAATCTCCATACCCACCATCTTTGAGTGACGGCACTATCTAAAGCAATGTAGTATGACAATATTTATTTTTATGAAGAGCCATACTACTCCCCTAATAAGTCTGATACACACACACACACACACACACACACACACACACACACACGATGGATACACATATATATGTAGACATATATACATACATAGTCTTCATGTTATACTAGAGACAGTGGGAGTATAGACGTACATGGCACCCCATCCCTGGAATCTATTAAATTAATCACCTACTCTCCCTTCCCTTTGTAAATGTCGTTGCTCTGGTTTAGCCTTTTTAATTATCTGCTTTGGTCATGGAAACAGTTTGTAATTGCTCTTCCATCTTGCTTTTCTTTCCATTTTTTTTCTACATCAATATTTATGAACATAATTCTACCTCTACTAAACAGCATGTTGCATAACATTAAGGAAAGACGCTCTTTGTCGAAGTCATCATTTTAGCATCTCTTCTGAAAAATGCACTTATTGTAGGGTTTTGGTAAAGATTTTTACAGTTCTGATTGAATGATAAGTAACAAATAGTTTGCAACATACCTCCTAATCAGAACACAGTGGATTGGGAAGATACTGAGGTTAAGAAAAGCTTTTCTATACTGCTACTGAAATGACTGTTTTAAAATGTAGATTTAATCACATTGTATCTTGCTAAAATTCCTTTGAAAGACATCCACAGTTTTTAGGGTAAGTTTCAAATTCCTTAGTATAGTTGTCAAAGTAATCTCTGGTTTAAGTCTTGCCTTCCACTCTTGGGCCCACAAAACACATTAGCCCAAGTTTTCTCAATTTCTGCCATGTTGACATTTTGGGTCAATTATTTTGAGGAGCTTTCCTGTGTATTATAGGATGGTTAACAGAATCCTTGGCCTTTACATATTTTATGTCACTAGCACTGCCTGTGCCCTAGTCATAACAATCAAAAACATTTGCAGACATTGCAAATTTTTCCTGGGGAGCAAAATAACCCTTGGTGGAGAACCACTGTGATACACAAACAACTTACATTTTTCACATGGGTTATGTTATTTTTCTAATGATGTTCGGTTTGGTATAGACATCACCTTTTAGGAATTAATACCTTTCAGTTTTTAGGACAATATTACCTTTGCAGAAAAATTAAGCAAGTAGTTCCGAATTTGTATATACCCTTCTCCTTCTCCATTTTGCCAGCACACATCTTGCATTCGTGTCCTACATCTCTTATAATTAATGAACGAATATTGGCACAATGTTATTTCATGCATCCACAATTACAGTTTCATGTAGAATAGTTTTGACACCCTAAAAATCTCACCTACTCACCACTTCCCCTCTCCCTCCAAAACCTCTGGAAACCACTGATTATTTTACTATCTCTCTAGTTTTGCCTTTTCGAAATGTCAGATGGGAGGAGGTGAGGATTGAAAAACTACTTATTGGGTACTATGCTCATTACCCAGGTGACAAAATAATCTGTACACCAACTCTTCACAACACACAATTTACCTATGTAACAAATCTGCACATGTGTCCCTGAACCTAGAGTGGGAATGGAAAATTTAAAGTGGGAATGAAAAAAAATTAATTTAAAAAGAAAATGTAATTTAGTATGGGAGTCTTTTCAGGCTTACTCAGAAAAATACATGTAAGTTTATTTATGTCTTTCCTTGGCTTCATAGCTCATTTCCCTTTATCACCAAATAATATTTCATTTTAGAGACGTACCCTAGTTTACTTATCTTTTCCTCTGTTGAAAAACATCTTGGTTGCTTTCAGTTTTTTGCAATTATGTATAAAGCTGCTATAAACATTCCTGTGAAGGGTTTTGTGTGGACATAAGTTTTCAACTCAGTTGGGTATATACTTAGGAGTGTGATTGCTGGATCATATGATAAGACTATGTTTAACTTTGTAAGAAACTGCCAAACTGTCTTCCAAAGTCACATTTACATTTTGTATTCCCACTAGCAATGAATGAAGTTCTGGTTGTTCTACTTCCTCACCAGCATTGCGTATTGGAGAATTTTTGGATTATAGACATTCTAATAAGCATATCATGGCACCTTATTGTTCTTATAATTTGCAGTTACCTAATAACATATGATGTTTTATATATTTTCATGTGTTTATTTGCCATCTGTATACCTTCTTTCATGAGGTGTCTTTCATATATTTTTCCCATTTTTAAATTGTTTCCTTATGATTGAGTTTCAAGAATTCGTTGTATATTTTTACTAAAAGTGCATTATCAGATATGTAATTTGCAAATACTGTCTTTGAGGCTGTAGCATATCTTTTTATTCTCTTAACAGTATCTTTTGCACATAAGTTTTAAATTTAATGTCCAAATTATCATTTTTCTTTTCTTGTATGGATTTCACTTTTGGCAGTGTATCTAAAATCTCATCAGGAAACACAAAGTTACCTAGATTTTCTATGTCATCCTCTACATGTTTGTATTCATTAGTTTGTTTTGTATTGCTATAAATGAATACCTGAGACAGGGTAATTTATATAGGAACGAGGTTTATTTTGGCTCATGGTTTGCAGACTGTACAAGAAGCATAGTGCTGGCATCTACTTCTGGCGAGGGCCTCAGGAAACTTACAATCATGGTGCAGGAGGAGAAAGCATGTCACATGGAGAGGAAAGGAGCAAGAGAGAGGGGAGGAGGTTAAACAACAAGCTCACATGTGAACTAATGGAGTGAGAACTCACTCATCATGAAGGGGATGGCACCAAGCCATTCATGAGAGATACACCCCATGACCCTAACACTTTCCACTATGCCCCACCTCCAACACTGGGGATCACGTTTAATAGCTCATTTCCCTTTATCACCAAATAATATTTCATTTTAGAGATGTACCATAGTTTACTTATCTTTTTGTCTGTTGAAAAACACCTTGGTTGCTTTCAGTTTTTTGCAATTAAAACCTTGCGATTGGAGGGGACAAATATCCAAGGGATATCAATGATTTATAGTTTTGTGTCCTACATTTATTCCTATAATCTGTTTTGAATTATTTTTTGTGAAACATGTAAGGTCTCTGTATAGGTTTCTACATGTATGTATGTATACATTTGCATATGGATATCTAATTTTTCCAGCAGCACTTGTTGAAAAGACTATTTTTTCTCCATTGAATTTCCTTCACTCTTTTCTCAAATATCATCAGTTGACTATATTTCTGTGGGTGTATTTCTTGGCTCTCTGTTGTATTCCATATCTAATTTGGCTATTCTTTGTCAATAACGTGCTGCCCTGATTACAGTAGCTGTATAGTAAATATTGAAGTTGGGTGGTGTCAGTCCTCCGACTTTGTTTTTCTTCAGTATTGAGTCACCTATTTCTGGGTCTTTTTTGTCTTTCCATATAAACTTTGTGTGTGTGTGTGTGTGTGTGTGTGTGTTTGTGTGTGTGTGTGTGTGTGTGTGTGTGTGTGCGTGTGGTGGAGTCTCACTCTGTCACCCAGGCTGGAGTGCAGTGGCATGACAGCTCACTGGAACCTCCGCCTCCTGGGTTCAAACGATTCTCCTGCCTCAGCCTCCTGAGTAGCTGGGATTACAGGCACCTGCCACCACGCCCGGCTAATTTTTTGTATTTTTAGTAGAGGCGGGGTTTCACCGTGTTGGCCAGTTGGTTTCAAACTCCCGACCTCGTGATCCGCCCCCCTCGGCCTCCCAAAGTGCTGGGATTACAGACGTGAGCCACCATGCCCAGCCCCATATAAACTTAAGAATCATTTTGTTAATATCTGAAAATAACTTGCTGAAATTTTGATTGGGATTGCATTGATTCCATAGATCAAGTTGACATATAGATCAATATTGACATCAAAACAATATTGAATATTCCTACTATGGATATGAAACATCTTTCTATTTATTTAGCTCTCCTTTGATTTTTTTAGGACTTTGTAAATTTCATCATATACATCCTGTATATATTTTGTTAAATTTATACTTAAGAATTTGACTTTACTATTTCACTGATTTTAGAGTAAATGGTATTGTGTTTTAAGATTCAAATTCCAGTTGTTCATTGTCAGTGTATAGAAAGGCAATTTAATTTTATGTATTACCTTTGTATCCTGCAACCTTGCTACATTTGTTTATTAGTTTCAGGAAGCTTTTCCTTTGTTTGTTTCATTTTTGTTGTTCTTTTTTGTACTTTTACACAAACATGTCTCCTGTAAGAGTTTTGTTTTTTACTTCCCAGTATGAATGCCTTTTATTTTCTTTTCTTATCTACGAAGTTACCTAGAACTTTTAGTACAATGTTGAGTAAGAATGGTAAGAGGAGACATGTTTTTATTGTTTTGGATTTTAGAAATAAGCACTTATTTTCTCATCACTAAGTATGATGTTACCTGTAGATTTATTGTAGATATTCTTTATCAAATAGGGGAATTTCTCTCCTGTTAGCAATTGAGATTTTTCATGAAGAATGGGTGTTGAATTTTGGCAAATGCTTTTTCGGTATCAATTAATATGATCGTATAATTTTTTCTCCTTTAGCTTGTTGATGGGATTGATTATATTATTGATTTTCAAATGTTCAACTAGCCTTGCATTCCTGGAATAAATCGCACTTGGTGGTGGTGTATAGTTCTTTCTATACGTTGTTGGATTCAATTTGCTAATATTTGGTTGAGGATCATTTATGATATATAATTGTCTATAGTTTTTCATTCTTGTAAGGGTCAGATTTAGATATGAGGGTAATGCTAGCTTCATAGAATGAGTTGGGAAGTGGTCTTTCTGCTTGTATTTTTTTGCAACAGATTTTAGAGAATTGGTATTATTTCTTCCTTAAATGTTACAATTCAGCAATGAAACTGTCTGGGAATGGTGTTTCTGCTTTAAAAGGTTAATCATTGTTCATTTAATTTCTTTAGTAAATATAAGCCTATTTGGATTGTGTGTTCCTGCTTATGTGAGTTTTTATAGATCATGTCTTTCAAGGAATCAGTCCTTTTTAACTAAATTATAAAATTTGTGAGAATAGAGTTGTGTATAGCATTTCTTTATTATCTTTTTATTATAAATGGGATCAGTGATGACCTCTATTTTGCTACAGATGTTAGTAATTTGCATCTTCTCTTTCTCTCTCTTGTTAGTGGCCTGGCTAGAAGTTCACTAATTTTATTGCTCTAAGATCTAACTTTTGCTTTCATTGATTTTTTTGCTATTGATTTCATGTTTTCCATTCTGTTTATCTCTGCTCTAACTTCTATTTTTTTATCTGATTGTTTTACATTTATATAGCTTTACTTTCTCTAGTCCTAAGATGGAAGACTTGATTGTTGATTTTTAGATCTCTCTTCTTTTATAATATATCAATCAGTGCTACAAACTTCCCCTCTCAGCCTGCTTTTGTTGTGTTCCACATATTTTGACATAAGTATTGTTTTCTTAGTCATTTAGTTTAAAATATTTTAAAATTTCTTTGGAGACATTTTATTTGACTTATGTTATTTAAAAATGCTGTTTAATTTCTAAATATTTTATTATTTTCTAGCTATCTTTCTGTTATTGATTTCTGCGTAGTTCCATTTGAGAGCATACTTTGCTTGACTTATAACCTCTTAAATTTGTTAAGGTGTGTTTTAGGGCCCAGAATGTGGTCTATCTTGGTGAGTGCCCCATGGGAATGTGAAAAGAATGTGTATTCTGCTGTCATTGGACAAAATCTTTTATAAATGTCAATTAGATATAGTTGATTGATGGTGATATTCAGTTCAATTGTATCCTTACAGATTTTCTGCCTGTTGGAGCTGTCAATAGCTGTTATAGAGGTGTTGAACTTTCCAACTATAATAATGAATTTTCTATTTCTCTTTCTATCATTTTTTGCCTCATGTTCTTTAATGCTCTGTTTTTAGGTGCACACACATAAAGAACAATTATGCCTTCTTAGGGAATTGTCAACTTCATCCTTATGTAATGCCTATTTTATCCCTTATAATTTTTATTGCTCTAAAATAGACTTTGTCTGAAATTAATACAGTTAATCCAGCTTTACTTTGATTAGCATTAGCATGGTTTATCTTTCTCCATCCCTTTAATATATTTGTTGAATCTTTTTTTACATGTCCTCTGACAAGTTTTTATTGTATGTATTTAGATCAATCATATTAAAAATGACTATTTATATAATGGGATTGGTGTCTAGCTTGATTGTAACTTCTTACACATTGCACTTGCTCTTTTTTTAAAGTCGTTCCCTCTTTCACTGCTTTCACTTCTTTTAATTAACTATTTCATATGATTATATTATTTTCTTCTATTTTATTATATTATTATACTTCTTCAAAAATGTTAGGGGTTATCTCAGAGTTTGCAATATGTATTGGCAGCTAATCTGTGTTCATTTTTCAGTATAGTATACTGTTTCAAAGATGGTACATGCATGTACCGAATAACAGCATATATCTTCTTTTTCGCTTTTATTCCATATAACATTGTTGTCATCCATCTTACTTATCCATAAACTATAAGCACTCCATACATTATTCTTATTATGTTGAATAGTTATCTATTAGATTAATTAAGAATAAGAAAAGCAAAACATTTTATTTTACCCTCATTCATGCCTTCTCTGATACTCTTTCTTTGATAAATTCAAATTTCTGAACTATATATTTTTATTCTCTCTGAGGAACTTGTTTTAACATTTCCTGCAAGACAGTATTACAGGTAACAAATTCCCTGTTTCTCTTTTGTTTGTTTGTTTGTTTGTTTTCTGAGACAGTCTTTATTTCTTCTTCCCCTTTGAAGGATAATTTTACTGGATATAGAATCCTAGGTTGGTGGGTTTTTTTCTTTCCACACTTTAAATACTTGTCTCCACTTTCTTCTTGCTTGCATTGTTTCTGATTAGAGGCACAGTGTAATTCTTATTCTTGTTCTTCTATAGGCAAAGCATTTATTTTCTCACATTTGTCAATATTTTCTCTTTGTCTTTGCTTTTCTGCAGCTTGAATATAATATGCCTGGAAATATATCCTGCTTAGTGTTCTCTGAGTTTCTTGGATCTGTGGTTTAGCGTCTGCCATTAATTTTGGAAGACAGCTGTTATAACATCAACAAATTTTTCTTGTTCTTTCTTCCTTTTCTTATGGCGTTAGGGTCACATTCGGTGATTCAGGCCAGGCTGGAGTGTGGAGGCTTGATCATAGCTCACTGAAGCCTCGAATTCCTGGGCTCAAGTGATTCTCCCATTCCAGCCTCCCAAGTAGCTGGGTGGGACTAGAGACATGTGTCACCAAGCCTAGCTAATTTTTATTTATTTTATTTTTTGTCAAGACAGGGTCTTGCTGTATTTCCCAGGCTGGTCTCAAACTCCTCAGCTCAAACAATTCTCTCAACATAGCCTCCCCAAATTGTGGAATCACAGGTGTGAGCCACCATGCCTGGCCTCTTATTCTTTCTTATTTCTTCTCTTTCAGATGATGCTTATGTTTGTAATTGTCCCATAATTCTTGGTTAGTCTGTTATACTTTTTAAATTATTTTTGCTCTTTATATTTTATTTCAGAAGACCTTATTTTCCTCCTGTGTTCAAGCTCATTGATTCTCTCCTCAGTTCTGTCCAGTCTACGGATGAGACCATCTTAAATCTTCTCCATTTCTATTACAGTGTTGGTGTTGTTTTTTTTTTCTAATTTCTAGCATTTCCTTTTGATTCTTTGTTAGAGCAGTCTTCTCTCTGTTTACATTCATTGTCTGTTCTTGAATGTTGTCTACTTTTTCCGTTAGATCCTTTAACATATTAATCCTAGTTATTTTAAATTCCCTATTTAATAATTTTAAAAATCTGTGTCATATCTGAGTCTAGTTCTGATGCTTGCTTTGTCTCTTCAGACTTTGTTTTTTTCTTGCTTCTAGTATGCTTTACAATTTTTTGTTGAAACCCAGACATGCTGTATTTGGTAACTGAGGTAACTGAGCCTTTGGTGTGATCATTTATGTCAATGTGGCTAGGAGTGAGGGTTGTACTTAATATTTGCTATATTGTATGTGCTAAAGGATTTAGTTTCTCCTAGATTCATTTTCTTTCGTTTTGTTATTGGGTTTCCCAAAGAACTTCTTCTTAGTTAGAGTCTGTATCTTGTAGCTCTTTCAGTGGTAAGCCCTGTTGATGAAGTTCTAAGTATTTGGGCGTGTAGTTTTCTATAATCTTATGATTAAATCTCAGTTTTCTTAGTGGATCTGAGTCCTTTGGCAGAGACCTCAGATGGGTATATCAGCCTTTCTTTTCCTTCCCCTTATGTGAAACAAGAAGGAATGATGGAGCTGAGCTTTTTAATTGATGCTTTTCCAGGTCAGAGAAGGCTCTGGCAAGGTATTTCTCTTGAGAGCAATTCTTCATTATAAATACTATGGACTTATTTCAAAATCATTAATTTCCCCTGTGATATTTTAAAACAATTACTTTTTCCCTTCCTCTCCCTAAAGCATGAGGGAAAGTAATTTTTCTCCAGTCTTCACCATGAGAACCTAGTAGGGCTACATTTAACTATTAATACCAGTTACTTGCTCAAGTGTTTTTTCCTAGGTAAGCTGATCTCGGCTGTGATTCTCTATGTTTGCTTGTCTCTTCGATTTTGTGGGTAGTAGTTTACTCTGTGAACTCCATTTGCTGATTAACCTAAGAAAAGTTATTGATTAGCTTGCTTAGCTTTGTCTTGATGTGTGGATGAGAGTGATGACTTCCATGCCCTTTATATGTTGGAGTGAGTTGAAACTATAAGTCAAAAGATTTTACCATTATTTTTTATCTAGCAAGTCATCCTTGAAAATTCTTCCCAAATGTCAACTACCCCAGGAAAAACTTCCGTGTCATTTTCTTCCCATTTCAATTTAGTTTGCCTCCTTCTTTGCTCTTCCAGACCTACTTTTCCTATTATCACTCTCCTCTGAAATATTAGAATTGTTTCTTGGGTTCCACCTAGTTAAAGGTCCTTAATGTCAGAGAAATATATGGCATTTGTGTTTGTATTTACAGTGATTAGCACAATATCTAGTATGCAGGACACAATTTTCTTACTCAAAGGTAATAAATATTATGATGATTAGGATACATAACCTCAAGAAGTTACATGTTTTAGTGAGAGCAACAGGAGCATTCATAGAAATTTTCTAGAAAATGTAAAAAGTGCCATAATGGTGGAAACAGAATAACTGCTCAGTATGCATGTGCAAAGGTAGTCAACAGAGGGTGAAATCGTATATTTTCCAGAGGAGAAGAGAACAGAGCGGAGTGTGAAATAAGGGTTTACTGTGTGCCAAACAAAGCAAGGAAAAGGTCACATCGCCATCAATCTTTCAGGGCAGAGAAGACATCTTGAGTACTGACAGGACAGTAGTATGAAGACTCACTGATCCACAATGCTGGAACATTGTGAGTGAGGCTGGCGAAGCTAAGAAGAGTGCTAACCAGCACCACCTTTCTTGATGAAACTGAAGGAAATGACATCTTCTATGAGAAAGAAAGTTGAACAAAGTGGGGCACTTGACGAGAACCACAAAATCGGAAAGAAATGGTGGAGAATAATTACCTTTGACAAGTGAAATAAGGAATATTCATTTAAAATAATGAGGGATAACTTAAAAGGAACAGAGAAGTGCTTTCTGTACGAGACAATATGAAAGATGGTCTATCTGTAGGTAAGAGGTAGACGTATGGGACACTCATATGTGTGGGAAACTCTGCACCCTACAAGAGAAATGGAGCCTGGAGCCACAGTTAACATCATAAAATGACATAAGCGATAAAACCTATGATGATAGATTTTCACGACAATATTTAGCCTTGACACTGGCGTCCACTTAGTCCTACTTTGTTGCAGCTAAGGAAAGAAATAATGATGAATTTTGTGGCTGAATCTACATAACACTAAATACTTTTTATTTTAACTCCATTAAAACAGTTCTGACTTCTCATGTAAGCTATTCAACAGCCTCCTGCGTGGTCCTCCAGGTGCTTGTCTCATTTTGTTCCAGCGCATTCTACCTATTACTATCAGATAAATTACCCCAACCAGTCCCCCAGTGAACTCATTCCTCTGAGGCACACTCTAAATGTTTCATTGTTGCTTGATCTAACTGTTAATGTTCTTATTGCAGGAAAATAAAATGAATTCTGCTTACCTGATGCAAAATTATAATATTCAACAAATATGAAGTAGTTGACTAACTAAAAGAAACCACTATAGGACTGGGCTTAGAAACATTAGGAAATAGGCCTATTTGGAGATCTAGATATGAAACATATGAGGATGTTTCTTGTGGAATTTATCACCTCCAACAGCTTTGCATACTTTAGAAAGCTTAAATTTCTAGAGAGAGATTCCGGTTCATCTAATATATGTCCACTTGGCCTTGGAAACAAAGTTGCCTCTATTTATATTCCAATAAAATTGTATTCAAAGAAAAATCAGAATTTGTTACCAGAAGAAGGGCGCAGGACACTGAGTAGAAGCAAACAAACTAAAACAAGTACAAAACAACCAGAACTCTGATGTGTTTTGAACATAGTCCAGACATTTTAGATATTAGCCAGACTTTCCTTTTTTCTGGCATCTGCATACTGTTTTATTGACATATAATATTCTAACATGTTATTATGTAAACAAAGTTAGAAACTCTATAACAGAGAATGGTCCATTAATTTTACTAATTGCCTTCATTTTTATTTTCACATCTTTGGTCTCCCATCTGAAGTCAAATGAAACAGCGTTGTCGCAGTTTTGCAGTTTTGGATCATAGTACCCAGATGCTTTTCCTATAGCTAAGGTACTTGTGAAAACCGCAGGTGGACACATACATCTTTCTCAGGTGATATAGATTTGAAAAAGCCAGTCTGTTTTTTAAAGGGAAACACAGAAAAAGAAGAGATTTATCAACAGTTCCTGAATTTGTTAATTCAATTTACACTTGAGTAGTTAATAAATCATTAAACTTCAGTGACAAAGCACCAGACATTGAGCTGAGTGTTGGAGCCATAGTGGGAGGAAAAAAACTCTGAGAGTCCTGGTACTTATAGAGCTTATAAGTTAATAACATTGAAAAATATTTAAAATAATAAATATACTGTATAATTAATTATCCTAAGCCCAATAAAAAAATGAAAATAGAAACACTTATACTCCAACACCAGAATATGAAATAACTTAAGATCAATTATTTAAAATATTTTCAGCATTTGGACAGGTCCTTACACAACTACACTTATTGATACAGTGATAATTTTGGTAGTGCTTCTGATTCCATTATTTTTTTCAAAGAACTAAAGATAAGCAAATAAAATATGGCCCTTCTGTCAATGAGTTCATACTGTAATTGGAAATCACTACAAAAAATTGATAACTATAATAACATGTTTTACTACATGTATACATTGTAAGGTCAATATATATATATTAAGATTAATGAGTTAATGGCTGTATACAGTTATTTCTTACTTTGGCATAAAGCATATGATACATACTATACATTGCAGTAAATATGCATGTGCTTGAGATAGATTACAACATGAAAAAATGAAAGAAAGCTTGAATTTGGAGTTTAATTAGGTTATTAAATTATCACCCCCAGGTCATTTAAAGCTAATATAAAATATCAATATTTCAAGCATTAGTGATATTCTATACTGATTAAACATAGATTAATCAACTAACTGTTGTATTGCCCTCAGCATTCAAATTTCAAATCTTAAATAATATTTGTCTCTTTAAAGTGGAGAAGCAATGTAGCAGAGGTGTTAAGAATAGGAACTTTGGAGCCAGATTAGAGAGATTCAGTGCTTTTGTCATTCCCACAGGTTGTATATCTTTGGATAAATTAGTTAAGTTCTTTGTACTTCTGATTGTTCATGTGAAAATTGAAAGTAACGAGAGTATCTTCTTCGTAGGATAGTTATAATAGTTAAATAAGGTGTTATTTGTTGATCATATATCTTAGATTAAATCCTAACATAAAAGTATTTTTTCTCACTAAAATGAACAATTTTGGTAGCCAAAAAAAGAAAACCAAAAGTTTCCATAAAGGTTTATGTCTTCCAGTCTTTTTCTTTTAATATGTTTTGGAAGAAATCTTTTCAATGCATAATAAATTACTTATCATAGGTGTGTTTTTTGTTTTGTTTTGTTTTGTTTTGTTTTTTGCCTTCTCCTAATATATAAGGTTCTTTCTTTCTTTCTTTCTTTCTTTCTTTCTTTCTTTCTTTCTTTCTTTCTTTCTTTCTTTCTTTCTTTCTTTTTTTGATGGAGTCTCGCTCTGTCACCTAGGCTGGAGTGCAATGACGCAATCTCGGATCACTGCAACCTCTGCCTCCCAGGTTCAAGCAATTCTCCTGCCTCAGCCTCCCAAGTAGCTAGGGACTACATTAGTCACTAGTCCCAATTAGTTGAGACTACAGGCATGAACCACCATGCCTGGCTAATTTTTTGTATTTTTAGTGGAGGCAAGGTTTCACCATGTTAGCCAGGCTGGTCTCGAACTCCTGACCTCAAGTGATCCACCCACCTCGGCCTCTCAAGGTGCTGGGATTACAGGTGTGAACCACTGTGCCCAGCTAATACATGATTTTGATTATTTAAAGCATCATTAAATCACAGTGTCCCAAGATTATCCCAATGGAACATAATTTTCCCCTCTTAATTTTGATGTCAGTTTCTATTGATGTAAAAGTACACATTATGTGCTAATGTTTTATAAAAAAAACTATTCCACCTCAAAAGCCATTTTTAGATAAATCACCCAAGACAAATATGGTTTCTGAATTCGGGTCATCCCAATTGAGGAATAAAGTGACTGATTTTTAAATATATATTTAATCATTGTTTTAATTATGCAATGTATTCTTATTTTGCAATCTGACATGTGATAAAGGCCATTTGCAGATTTAAATTTTTATACTAGCCAAGAAACCTCAGTTTTAAACATTGGGCTGGGTATAACTATTTTAAACATGTTAAATGAAAAACATTTTTTTTTCAATTTCTACAAATTATTAAAGTGCTTCTTAACAACACTCTACATAGACCTATGAAGCTAAATCCCAGTAATATAGTGCGTGCATAATATTGATATTCATAAGGATAAAGAGGCTATTAAAAGCATATAAGAATGATTAGTACAAGGCAACATTGCACAAAACAACCCCTCTTTCAGCATCTTTCTTTATGCTGAGTTTTTTTGAGAATCTGACATTTTAAAATATGGTTATAATATAAAGATAAGACATTATTCACCGTAGGATGAAACGAATTGGCTTTAACAGACATAGCTGTGTGAGCTGCACAGTACATACATGATGAAGTTTTTCTTCTTCAATTCTTCAAGTTGGATGCAGGAAATGTACAATAGAAAGCCATCGCTAAAAGCATAAGAGTTAAATTTTAAGGACATTTAATTGAGGCTTAGAATGAGCCTTTCTATTTTACCCACACATTTTATTATTTTAATATCCATATTTATCTTCCAGCCAGTCATAGACTGAGAAAGTTAATTGAAGAAATGCATCCTTACTTTTTCAAACTAACTTCAAGGACAAATACCACACAGATGGCTGATTTACAACAGTGAAGATAATGATAATGAGTTTTGTTATTACATTTCCACAATTATATAGCATCTGTTTTTTCAACAAAGTGCTTTGTTAAAGTCACCCCAAAACCAGTCTATATGTATATGCATTTTGATGCATACTGCATGAGGCTATCATTACTGTTACAAATTTTTCCACTCTTCCTTTCAAGTTACCTGTCTTTATAGAAGTTACAGAAAGGTAAGATTTCATTTAATAAAAAATAGCTCTAAGGTTAAGTCACATATAAGATATGATAGAAAGCTATTCAGGCCCTCCCCAACTCAGCCAAAAAAAATAAAATGCTTTATCTTAAGGCATTCTTCTCTAAATTGTAAACAATATAAACAGATTTAATCATTTAGATGGCTTAAAGCTAGTGTATTTATTTGCAGTTGATAGCATGGTGTTTTAAAGATTTAGCTATTAGATGGAGGTTTTCTGTTCTCTTTCAAAACTGACATTTAAAATGATTATTTGATACAAGTCCATATCAATACAACTGAAAATCTTTTCAGTGCCTTCTGTGTGCAGGGCTCTGTGTAAATATGAATATAATTTGGCCTCTAAGTCTAATGTAGAGACACCTAAATGGCCTCCAGCGTGTTAGAAAGAGTGATGGGATATTGCTCAAGGGTTAGAGTGGGTATAGAAGAACTAGTTAAATTGGCCTATGTAGTTTCTCAAAAAAATAAAATAAAATCACAATATGTATGCCTTCTCTTTTTTTAAACAATTGGTCTAAATAATAAAGTGAGGTCATGCAGTATAAAACGTGGACATTTTCAGGAACACTGTGTGGATGACCATTGCTAAATCAATTATAGTTTACTCCACATCCATCACTGAGACAGCCAAATAAATGGCTGGGCTATATTACAGTCTGCTAATTTTCCACATAAAACTTCAGTTGGACAACTACAATTTCTCTGTCACAGAATTTCTATGCTGTGCTTTAAATCGTGTTTTGCTGCATTTTCTGTGGTTCCTTAATTATGTGTCCAGCTTAGGACTTCACACATTGTGGGTGGCTCAGAAAGTTTGACTGAATATCTTCTCCCCTAATTAATATTACTTATCATTGCTCAGACCACTTTATAATACCAGGTACCTTCATCGAAGCAGAGGAAGAATTGCCTTTCTGATTTAAAATTGCCTACTAGGTCAACAATAAGCTTGCTGCCCCTAAGAATCATTCAGATTCTGCCATCACCATTCAGTTACATATTCATGTATAAAGAAATAAGAATAATTTGAAAGTCATATACTTAAATATTAACCTCAGAAATTATGGTTTCAATGAAGACAGGGCACACAGTTATGGAAACCATTACCCCTGTGCACATGTGTGTGTGTTCATGCACGTATACATGTAAGCGCACATGCAGAATGCTGCCAGGCACTGTGCTATGTGCTTCACACATGACACATTATTTGATTCTCTCAACCACTCTGTGGGGTAGGTGCTATGGCATCCTCATTTCATAGGTGAGAAAACTAAGGTGTAGAAAAAAATTATTTTCCCAAAATCATGGAGCCAGTAATTAACCTAGCTGGGAATTGAAGCACGTCTGTTTTGTGACAAAGCCAGGAAGTCCAGTGGAAAGGCCTGTAAATGGCCTGCCCAGAAATTAGTGATGGTGATCTATTTTGTTAGTTTCCTCTCCTGTAAAAGAGGAGAATTGGACCCAAAGAGATCTGAAGGCCTATCAAATCCCATATTTTATGATCATTATTCTTTTCAAGGGGAGTGCAATAATATCATGTCTTTTCTGAATCTCTCCTAGCCTTCCAGCTTATGTCCCACTGATTCATTGATTTAAAACCAGTGGAAAAGCTCCCGTATGGCACTTTGTTAAATTTAGGAAGTAGCTATCCTCTCATGATTAAAGCCAAAGTTGGTAAGGATTTAAATTATTGAGCAATTTATTTTTTTTGAAAGATAAAATACTTATATAAAAAATTTAAAGTGAGAATACCTTTATTTATGGGATTGTATATTCTTTAAAAGATAAAGCTATATCCTATTGAACTGTTTCTTTTCCCAATGCTTTGCAGATAATAGATGTTTAATAAATGTTTGTTGAAAAACATTAACATGACAAAGTAATTTTTAAGCACCAGTTTACATACAGTGCTGTGATTAAAGATGGATTTCTGGAGGCCGGGCACTGTGGCTCACGCCTGTAATCCCAGCACTTTGGGAGGCCAACGTGGGTGGATCACGAGGTCAGGAGTTCGAGACCAGCCTGACCAACATGGTGAAACCCTGTCTCCACTAAAATACAAAAATTAGCTGGGCATGGTGGCATGCGCCTGTAATCCCAGTTATTTGGGAGGCTGAGGCAGGAGAATCGCTAGAACCCGGGAGGCAGAGGTTGCAGTGAGCCGAGATCACATCATTGCACTCCAGCCTGGGCAATAGAGCGAGACTCCATCTCAAAAAAAAAAAAAAAAAAAAAAAAGACAGAAAAAAGAAAAAAGATAGATTTCTATCTAATGTCAATAACTTCTGATACTTCACAGTTTAAGTGCTGTCTCTCATCATTTATTTTGTTTGTTTAAGAATTAATTTATTAAGAGTGATGAAAGGTAAATGAAAGTTGTCTTGCTTGTAATCCTTGATATAAGGCCAACATTTTAGGAACAAGCACACATAAATGTGTAGCAATCTGTTTTTGTTTTTGTTTTTTTTTTAAGGCTCTAGTCCAGTAATCACAAGACTAGGTAGGGATTTAGAAGTCAAAAGGGGAGTAGAGAGAGAGCTGTGAATTTCTTAGGGATTAAATAGGACCCTGAAAGCCCCCTCAGGAAATTAGATTCTAGATAACTTTATTGATTGAGTTTGTATAGTAGAAAATTCATTTTGGAGGAATCTTAAGGACAGGCATTATTGTGCAGTTCTGTGGAGCCTGTGAGTGATAGATATGAAAGGACACTTAGAGACCCTGAGAAGTGAGTCACATCCTTAAAGTGCCAGTTATTTAGCAGCAGAAAAAAGACGAAAAGAATTCAAACACCCTTATTTCCAGCTCACTTATCTTCCCAATGCCCTGCACTCACAGATTAATTCATTCACTCACGTATTCAAACGTTATTTTACTGTGCACATACCACTTTCTAAGCACTTTGGTAGATGCTAGAGACGCATGAATGAACTAAGCAAACATGGCTTGCTTTTGCTGTTGTACAGTTTGCAAACTTTTGGGTTCTCTTCAGTAAATGACTATCATTAAATTACAAAATTTAGTTTGGGAATACTTGTTTTGATGATGAAGGAGATGTAGATGAAAATTAATATGATTCGTTTCTATATATTTTCACAAATTGATGATTATGTTGAGGAATGAGTATAGAGCAAGTTCATTTTTCTCTTATTTTTTAGATTGATGAATGATAAACAGATTCCCATGAAGTTTCTGAAAATCTAGTGATGGGAGCAGAGAAGCATCTTGGAGAAATGGGCACAGTGTTGTAAGGGAGTGATTTGTAAGTTTTACCACAAAATGGAAAATCTTGAGTTATGAGTCAGGAATAAGATTCAATCACCAATCCTTAACTGAAAATTTTCTTCCTCCATTACCAAACCTTGTAGTTTTAAGAGAGTGGTTTTTTCTTAAAGTGAATCTTAGTAATGCTATAAGCTGTTAAAAAAAAAAAAAAAAAAACTAACAAGATGGATGTTAAATACTCATTACCAATTATTTTAACATCTTGTAGTTCTTCCAGCTCTACCCAGACCAGATGTTTAGACTCCTTCTTATTTATAATGAAGATAGCTAATAAATTATGTCTCTCAATAATGTTTAGAGTGTTAGTGCTCTTCCTAAATATGATTTAATTTCAAAATGGGAGTAAAGGTAAAACAAAAAACAATAACCAAAAAGATCAAAAAGAAAACCCTGCTAAACTACAAATGGCAAGATCCTGCTAGTTATAGTAAGGGATGAATTTGTTGAGCAGGGCAAGTTTAAAATCATACCATTTGTGGATAAAGTTGGCCTTTTGTATCAAAATGTATTTCTATGTGCTAGAGACTTCTTGTGCCTACTTCCTTACACTGCAGTGTACACAAGTATAAAAAAGGTACTCTTCAGACTGTTAATAATATTAATTGTGTGATACAATAATTATTTAATGGACAGACAACAAATGAAGAGAAAAATAGCTATTTGGCATCATGTTTAATTAGAATTTTGACGTTAAAAAATTCTGGATGCTATTCGCATTTAAGGTATTATATGATTTTTAAAACAAAATATTAGCCTCTGATAAAATCTGTTAAAATTGAAGTTAGGCTGGCTTTGGCAAATTGATATTTGTTGGATAATTGATAAATGCTTTGCTCATTAACTGGTCTTTGTTTAGCTAAAGGCAGTATAAACACATCAGGGAAAGATGTATTATTTAATCCTTTTGGGTTATTTTCTTCCTTCTGGGTCTTTTCTTATATTTTCTTTCTTCCGTGTTCCCCCTCTGTTTAATTTAACCCTGATTAACCCTGATTACACAAGCCCTAACAACTGGGAAAAAATATGGCCAATATGAAAAGTACTCAGAGGCAGAAATAATTAAAGGCGTGCATTACAAATAAAATCAAAAGGAATTAAGTTTATTTTTAGCTCAGACAACTGGAGGCTGAAAGTGGATTAAAAGTACTATTCAATTAAGTGATGTGTGTGTGTGTGTGTGTATTTAGGAGGGGTTGTTCATGATTACTCAATCTACAGAACAAGAAAGTGAAGACAGACTATTACTAGAGCAAATGTTACTAGTAATTAAGAAGTATTCTATTCTTTGGGGGATTTGAGAACGTCTTCCATTTCTAAGTTCTGCCGAATGTCATATTTTTTATGAGAATATGTTGGAGATTAATGAGAGCAGCCAATAAGGAGAGCAAATGAAAGTTAATAGAAGACAGAATCAAGTTGGTTTTACCAGAGTCTGTAGCTGACAGAGAGATGTTAATGCATTGAAATCATTGAGAATATTATATAGATAAGTTAAGAGCAACCACGGGACTTCTATGTCAAGATACCCCGTGTATAAGCTGGTAAGCACACTGCTTAATAACTGTCTGGTTTTGTACACAGTCCACAAAAATCTTGATTATTGACTTACTTACATTTTTCTTACCCTAATACACTATTTTACACACGTGCCTCAAAATTGTTATTTTTATCTGTGCCCTGATTGGTTACACATACATAGAGTTTCTCCCAATATTTAACTGCCTTTCTACTTCATCCATCCTCCAGTCACCTGCTCCGAGGTTACCAAGCCGGAATGCAGCAAGAGCGTCTGCAGCTGCTACAATTGGTAGAAGTGGCTTCGGCAGATGGTTGCTGAACAATGACCCACCAAGGACTACAGTTGTAGAAGGGAGAGGGGAGACGGGTATCATATTTCCTCCCTGAGATGTATAGTGAGTGGTAGTAATTGCAGTGAATCCAGCTCACTGTCTCAACAGCCTCTCACCTGCACCGTCTCCTCCCCTGTCTTATAACTGGACCAGCAGTTAAACAGCTGTATAGCCTTGTCTCCCTGTCTCATTTTCCCCTGAGCTCCATCAGCAAGAGTAGCAATAGCAGCTGGAGAAGCGGCAGCCAGAGATAGGCAGGGCTGGTGCTTGCAGCCGCGCAAATCGCCTCCTCCTCAACACACACACACACACACACACACACACACACACACACACACTGCACAGACTTCCAATATCAACGCGTCTTGACATAAATCAAGGACTAAGAGAGACTGAAGAAGAGCGTTAGTCATGGACAACAGGTATTTCATCTCTGACAAATTGTTTCCTTCAGCTGCTTACTGGTTTGGATGATAAAATAATCATTTGTGATAGCTAGCTTGAGTGGGAGTCTGGAGGACTGGGGGTGGACGCGATAGAGGAGCGGGGATGAAGTGGGAGGAGTGAGAGGTGGGGAAGGGGGACGCCAAAGATGACTTTCAGGCTCCGGAAACCTACGTCTTTCAGCCTCCGCTGTTTTTTAGTTGCAAATGATCAGAGACGGGTGAACTGCAGGCAGCCTGTGTTGCTGCCTGGAAGTAGATTTCCATCTTTCAGACACTAGTTCCAATGGGCCGGGTGTTCTGGAAGGGGGTGGCAGTGGGGAGGAGGATGCTGTGAGCAGAGTTCTTGAAGCTCCACTCCTCTGGGGAAGCCGAGCTGTGTGGGAGCCTTCTTACTGTGCCGGGAGCGTGTGAATTGGAAAGGATCCTGAGAACTGGCTAGTCCCAGTTCCTCTCCGGAAAAGCAGTGGCTCTCGCTTCAGAGATGCGCTCAGCTTTCGCCTGCATCACACTGCAGTAAGTTAAACTGGACATGGTTGGCAAATTGAGTGGCTTCTGGGTGTGTGGTGCGGGGGAAGGGAAGCTGGGAAGAAATGGGGAGGAAAGTTAGAGAAGCATAGCTTTGAATTCTCCATGAAATGTTAAATCGGTTCGTCTCCCTGACTCCTGTCCTAGTTATGCTATAGTAGGGGTGCTCTGTGATTTGCAGGCGGATGCCGCTTGTGTATTAGCTATGCAGAAAGTGCCCTGTCCATTGTGATTTTGGGCAACATAACTGATAAATGTTTTCTAAATTTAATTCCAAGAGTGGTCTCCTGAAAGTTACCAATGAGATAGCAGCTTGTCTTTTCAAAATGTAATTCATAAAGAGGCTGGCTTGGACTTTCAAATGCCCTAGTTAATTGTTACAAGTTCCAGTCCAGATTTATTCCTAATCTGTGAACTAAACAAGCAAGCAAGCAAACAAAAGTCTTCGATTTACCTTATTAAATTAAAATAAAACGTGAAGTAGGTCTCTAGATAACTGCTAGGCAACAGCCTAGGCCACACTGATGATATGATAAACATTCAAATACTCTTCAGTGGGTGCCACATGGAGGGTCCCCTCAGTTTCTTCCTGCTGCAATAATCTCCTCCACTTGCTGAACAGTCTCTTTCTTGTGATTTTAAAGTGGCGATTTTTACATAGATGGCTCTATACTTAGAAACCAAGCAGCATTGTGTTCACTGGCAGAAAATGAAGGCTTAAAACTTTTATAAAACAACTTCAACTGGTTGCTCAAATTGCAGATAACCAACTCTTTTAAAAACAGGTCAGCAAGGACCAGTCCATTGTAAAGCAAATGACCAAATAAACATGAATGCAAGCAGAATACTGAAGGTCTTTTCTAGAAAATAAATCAGAAATAATTAATGTTAAAAATGTTGGGGTACCTAACCAGGTCCTCTTGCATTGACCAGATTTTTACAGTGGTGGTGGGGCAGTGGGGGGTGGGGGGGGGTGGAAATCCCTCAAACAGAAAGCATATATTACACAAAAATGTTAGACTTAGTTGGAGGATCATTGGAGAAAACACTGTATTAGTACATTTTTCTCCAAGAAAAATTATTGACAAAACAGAAATTACCTAAAAGAGAATGTAAGATTTTAATCTGGATACGTCCATAGGCTAGCATATATTCCATAGGAGAAGAAGCTTCAAAATTTGTGAAATAACAATTGTGAAAAACAAAGTAATTCTGAAATCCTCTGTCTTTAGAAAATGGGTAACCAAGGACTACTCTTATCCTATAATTTCAGTTTTAAATTGTGCTACTCTTTCTCTAATCCACCAAATCTTCATGCTTTTACCAAAAATAAAACACGTCAAGAATGTCATTGGAATAGTCTTGGCTAATTTTCTACTCATCACGGGGATCTCCAGGTATAAAGGCTTACTTAATATTTTTTGGCATTGTTGGAGTGCCCAATTTGTTATAGGCGATCCATGCCACACACATACATAGTATCCCTGTGCATAAAGTCTACATGTGACCTTGTGAATCACTGAGTAAAATATAATGCAGGGAATATATTTGCTACAATAGTGCATACATGAGGGTGGTTAAAAATTTTTGACAGCAATGAGAAAGAAAACGAAAAGTCTATATGAAGAATAGAAGAATATGGTTGGAGCAAATTTGCAAGCAGTTCCCTAATACTCTAGAGTCAACTATTATTACCTGAAATCTTTATGTAGCTAAAGAGGAAGAAAATTAGGTTAAGAGCACTGATAAAAATTTGACAAAATTTTTTTAAATCTAGAAACTTATGTAGTTGGAGTTGAGCGGTGGCAATGCCTTTGCTTCATACTTTCTTGTCCTACTGGTAAGCAAAGCTCAAGTTATGACTGGGAAGATTATAAAAATCATTTGTGTAATAAAACAATTATTTAAATTGTTTTAACAATTTAAAACCATTGGTAAGTTTTGCTGGGATAGTGTCTGAACTAGTATCCTATGACTGATGCTTTTTCTTGCACACTATTGAAAGAACGGAGAGTTGTAGTCAGACAAGCCAGATGAAGATAGCTGCTGATCGCGAAATCTAATTCTGCCTACTGATAACGACTATGATGTGATCTATAGGCTTGAAATGACATTTCAAGATGATCCTCTCCTGGATGTTTCTTCTGGCTGCCTTCAGGAACAGAGCTGTATTTATATATGCACAATACTGTTGCAGTATTCTCTAAAGAGTAGTACCTCTAGCCGAGGAGCACTTGCCCAGAGCAAACTCCAGGAAAAATAGTGAAGAAGCCTATTCCTGTTGCCTCTCTTCCAGCAATAGCATTCTCTTTCTCTTGTAAAACACCAACGCAAATTCTGATCAAGTGAGTCACATATGTTATGTCCCAATACCATAGTCAATATCTTGGGTATTTACTATGAAGTAGGTTCAACTACTTGATAGCCCTGGATTATTTTCTCATGTGCTTTGTTCGTCACACAACGAATGAGTAGTAGTGGGCAGTTATTTTGAGTGCAGCAGTTGCACATACTGTGTCAAGAGCTTTACATATGCTCTCTCATTTACATATGCCCCTCACAGGAGGGAGACGGCATTTTCTCCCCTTTAGAAAAAACTCAAACTCAGGGGGAATAAACAAATTTCTGAAAGCAACGTATTTAGTGAATGCTGGGTTAGAATTTACCACTCGATGTGACTAACTCTAATTCTTAACTGCTTTGCTACTTAAAAAAAATTAAAATGGTACTCTACTATGGATCAGGGTGGGGTTGAGCATATTATTTTGTGGATGCCGTGGGTGGATAGTGCTTGAGAGATCTTCCTTCTCTGATGATACCCAAAATTGGATCCACCTAAACTGGAATCCACCTGCATTGACCCCAGATCCAAAGTTGGCACACTCACGATTCCAATTTCAGGCTTTGCTTTGGCTACCCAAACTCTGAAAATGAACATGGGGACATTTCCAGGAAGGAAATGGAAGATAATGCAGTTAATATGAGAGGAGAAAAGTTGGAAGATCTAAACACAGAGAGGTATAAAAAGAAAATAAGGGAATCATATAGTGGAAGGCTGGTCCAAAAATATGTCCACACTCTTTGTCCTGAGGGACACTAAATAACAAACTCTTTGGGGTGTGTGTGTAGGGTAGAGATCTTTAGTCACAGATAAAGTGCAGACTCAAAACATCTCTTTAAATAGCTGTAAAGTCTTATTATAAAAATTAGATTATGCTAGTCATCAGATAATCTCCTTTACATACTCTTTTTAAAAGTGGAAAAACAATGATTCAAAGACAAGTGGCGGAGAAAGGCCAGATGCTGACTGAAGAGGTAAAAGAGTAGTTGGACATATCGCTGATTCTTGCACAATCACTTTCTGAAAATTTGCCAGGAAGCAAAAGCCATCTTTAACTGGTGAGGATAAAAACAAAATGGTTCATTTAGGTAAAATGTGAAGTGTTACAGAGACTAACATGATTACTGTCACTTGTCTTATCACAGAAGACAAACACTAACAAAGAATAAAGTGAAAATGTTATGGGCGTAGAGCCAAACAATATTTTAAGATTGGTCTTTCTCAGCATGCTAAATTTAAACAGCCGAAATTCTTTTTTAAGGATATTCTGAGTCAACAATTTGAAATGAAGGATTTGCCTTTTAACAGGGAATTTGTATTGCATTGTAAACTTGAAACACAATGTCCCCAACTCAGTTATTTTTGATTGGCAATATGCCGATCACTATAGATTCAAGGAGCACAAAAGCTGTTACCTTCAAAATCAGAGAATAAATGGACTCGCTCCATAAGCGAACTGGATGCTCCTGAGCTATTGTCAGATGTGTATGTGGTGACAGAGCTTTGCAAATACATTCACATTGTTGGCCCTGATTCATTCTCTTGTCATTTGTGACACTTCAGGTTGGGGTTGGGAATAGAGTTAGTTTTCAGGATTGATTTTTGAATGTGGTGCTAAAATCAGCTCTCTTGCTCATTGGCTCCCTTCCTCTTCTAGTTTAAAAATAATGATAGTAACTTTCATTGAGTGCTTACTACATGGCATTTGCCTTTATAAATATCTTGCATATTTAATCTTGATCATACCCTTATGGGATAATTATTATCCTCATTCCCGTTTTATAAAAGAGCAAACTGAAGGACAACAGGGTTAAGTGACTTGTCACAGTTACAAACTGGTAGGAATAGAGCCGGGGTTTGAACCCAGGCAGTCTAGCTCTGGAGACCACTCTTCTAACCAAAAGGATCTAAATCCACTATTAACCACAACTGGCTTATTATAACCCTCCACAGTTCGCACAATGTTGCACCTTCTTTGTCTCTGCTTACATTTGGCTCTCTGTAATTTACTTTTGGACACCCAAACTCCTCTGCCCGCTCTCCATGCTAATGTGTTTCATTTGATAATGTGTTTTTGTCCTTTAATCTCCTACTCTAGTATCATGACACTTTGAGGTATCTAGTTGGATTCTACCACGGGCCCAACAGTCTTTCTATATGGTTCCACTGAAACTTGTGCTTGCCTTTATTATTGAATATGCCACAGAGAATTGAAATAATCTGTTTTTTACATTGAGGAAGGGGTTCAACCTTATTTATCTTTGGAAGTTTAGTGCTTAACACAGTGTCTAATATAATATTGGAGCTTAATAAACACTTCTTTTAATGAACTGTATTACAGGCTCTAATTCTATCCGCTGAAGGAATAGGTAGTCCCACTTCCACAATATTTTGCCTTTGCCCCCTGCCCACCAAAGACTAGAGAACTGGCTTTCAAATAAAAACTATGATGTCTGAGAGCAAGTGTGTATTTTAATAAGTAGAAGTCATGATTAGTATAAAATTACTCAGAACACATTTATTACCTTCTGTGGTGTTACATATTTAGAATACGTGGGGCAATATTTTGGAATATGATGGATAAAATATTTATTTCCATATCACAAAATTAAAATTTTTACTGATACCTATTTTCTGGTTTCAGGTTATTAACATAGATTTAGGGAGGGAAAAAAACCCAAATAGTAGAATAAGTGGTTCATCAAAGATGTTTTGCTCTTGTGGGACAATAGTGTGAAGTTGTGAAAAGGTGATTTTTAATTGTTTCTTAAACTCTTATTTCCCTTTAGAAAAAACACACTGATTTTAATTCAATCATAGCTCATAAATAGTGAATCATATCTGCAAGCAGACATTCAAGACTTCACTACCACTAGAGAAGAGTAAAGTGATGGTTGATGGTGGGAAATTCAATCCAGAAACCCTGTCCTACAAATTATCAGGTTATGTGATAATTAAAATTCTAATTTTAAATTCTAATTTCAAATTCCATTTTTATACATTTATTTCATTTAGTATTCAAATATTGTATCTATGTGAACTGTATAACACGTAGGGCTTTCCAAATACAATTTTTTTTAAAGTACCATCTTAGGTCAAACTATCCTATTTTAGTCTTCTTTCTAATCCACATGAATCAGTTATCAAATAATCAGGGGAAGGACAGATGGGATGAGAAATGCGCAGCTATTTAAAATGTCTTTAGAGTTCCATCAATAGAGTAATCTCGGAATGAGTTTCCCCCAGTGAGGCAGCTGGGCCATGCTTTATAATACACTTTCTTTTAGAATCCCAAGTTGTGTATTTTGTTCTGATTGTTCATAATGAGATGGAATTGTGAATAAGGTTATGGAGAAGTCAACTCTATATATAATTTCTCAATATGAAAAGAAGTTTTATTGAGTTTCATCATTTTCTTAGGTTTGATGATATAGGACTTGAAACTTACTTTCTGCGTTCAAACTGTCTGGATGTAAAATCCTTACTATTTGGATGAATTTAAGCAAGTAACTTAAATTCTATGCTTTAGACTTCTCCTTGTAAAACAGGAATAATGAAAATACAAGCCATTTCATAAAATTAAATGACGTAATCATGAATGTAAGGGGCTTAAACAGAATACACATAATAAACATTAAAAAATATTAGCTATTATTTCCAACTTACTTGGAATATTGTCTCAGAGAAAAAGTATCAGTAGTAAAGAAAATGTTCTAAATGAAATCTAAATCTAAAAATATTCCTTAGTTTTATATTAATAAAATATTTATTGAGGCTACAAAATTTATTAAATATTATTATAAACACTTTGTAAGATTTCATTACTTACCGTTGTGCCCCAAATATTCTTATTAAAATATAAAAAGAGGTAACTATTAACATAGATAAGTTAAACAACACACATAAACTACCCAGAAGAACATCTGGCATGCAATTAATCCTCAGAAATTTTAACTCCCTTTCCCTTACCTAAAATGATGAGGAAAGGTCTTTCATTCTTTCTCCTCTGATCTTCTGAAAACATAGTCATAGCTATCATCCTTTAATATACAAAAGGATATTCTGTTTTGCTTTATATTGGCTACTCTGCTATTTGTACCTAAGCATGTTGGGGAAATATGATCTCTGATGTGAGGAAACCTATTAGTTTCTAGATCAAACTCCCTTTGGATTATATGAACTGGAAAGGAAGAAGAAACAGAGGTGCTATAGAAAAGCATGACAAGATCCTTGACCTGAAAACAAAACTTCACGCAGAAAAGATGAGTTTGTAGTTTATTCAGTAACTTGTTTTGCTGAGACAGAAAATATAAGGAAGTGTTTCTTGTTTGGCTCTTGACCAATGAATCTGTTTGTTGGTTCCTTAATGAAAAGAAATAAGGGCTGGAGAATTCTCACTTGTCTTGCCTTCCCTAGTGTGTATGGAGATTGTCAGTCATACTCAGCTAGTTCTGGGAAGTCTAAGATTCATATAGAGATATGAAAACTATCCCTTAGGAGACAGAAGTACTTACTTATACCACGGTCCTGTATCCTATTCATCCTTTAGTCATTGACGGGCTACTCTGTGTCAAGCATTCTGCCAGGATCGGTGAAAGAAGAGGAATGGATGGAAAAGTTCCTACAGTACTAAAGGTTGCACTTTGGTGAAAGACGGATATGAACAGACCTAAACAAGGAAACAAGTCCATGATTTGCTGTTGTAATAGTGCTGTGAAAGGAACAAAGAGCTGATGTTTAGATGAGCAGAAGATCCTATTTGCATAATAGGAATAATATAATTAATAGGAGAACAAGCTGGTTTCAGGAGGCATAAGGACCACTCCTGCCCCACCTGCAAACCTCCATTATGTTTTTTTCATTGTAGACCTGGTCTGTCTTGTTGACAGTGAGTATAACAGGTGGCAGTGAGTAGAAGAGGCTTATACACCTGAAGCAATTTTTAAGACTAAAACAGATGAACTCACAGTGAATCAGAATTTTAGAATTATTAAACAAAACATTTTCATTCAGTCAAAAACATAACTCCCACATTGCTTTTCCTGTTACCTGTATATTATAGGATTATTCTGCTTTGGACAGCTTTTAAAGATTAGAAAAATGCAAGTACTTAATGTTGCTTAGTAACTTCTCTTGCCTGTCATTTTGGGCTGCACATAAACAACCTGTAACTTCCTCACACTTGTCCCACATAGAAAAACAGCACAAAAAGCTGATGAGTCATTTTGCTATCATGTTGTTCTTCATGAGAATTCTGATCACTAGGAGGGGTGCTCTATTGTTATATAATGTTGTTTGTCATGATATATATTAGAAGTTTCTATTTGGCAAATAGAGATTTCTTCTTTGTTACACATTAAAGATAACATAGCATAAAAGCCATTTATGGGAGGACTGTTGTTTTGGGTGTCTGGCTTTGAATGTACTCTATCCAAACTACTAGACCACATATTCTGAAAGTGAAGTGATAAGGCTTTTGAGCTTCAAGTGGAAATTTTGTTTTAGAGCTATTAATGCTTTTTTTGTCCAAGGTACCTGCATAACTGCATGGTGGTACATTTGGTGCTTAGGCAACTATATTATCAAAAAGATAATATCAAAAGTGAAAGAGCACTTTCAGTAAACAAAACAAAACAATGGCTTGAATGTGGCTGTAATTATATTGCTATTCTTTATGGCTAGGCAATGTCCTGAATTAGTGACTTTGTAGAAAACAAAACACAAGAAGAATATGTTAGATTTGATGTATTTGTCAATATATAGCAATGCCATATTGATAAAAAATTTTTCTCCACTAAGAAGTTTCAAAGCTACATTAAAGAAATTAGCGCCTGTGTCTTATCACCATGGAGCATCCTGATCAAAGAGAAGGTGCCATCCTCTCTGGTTCTCTAATATGCGTTTTGCTGATCCTCATGAGTTAAAATTCAAACTATGTTAAGAGATAAAGAAAGACTGTTTGAGGAATGCTAATACGTATGTTAAAAGAGGAAAAGAGAAAGACATCTTCCTTATTTAAATATTAAATAAAGTTGAACAGTTTTTTATTTTAGGAACTTCTTATAGTCCTTCACATGAGAATCGGCATCTCTAAAACAGGATTTAGTATAAACTTCCCTGGCCTTATTTAACCACAGAATCCCTCCTTCTGGGAGCATCTATTAATATATATTTGGAAACCCTGGAGCACATTTTAGGAAGTACTGGTCTATTGGCATTTAAATGTTCACTTAAAATTTTTGAGCACCTACCATACATCAGAGTAGTAGGTTCTGGAAAAAAAAACTTATGAACAGAACCCGATTTTGACATTATGGAGATCCTATACTGGGATTTGGAGGAAGACACATGTATAAATTATAATACCATGGGCTATGTGCAGTTGTAGAAGTAGGCACATGTTGCTATAGGAGATGGGGAGAACAAGAGACTCAGGAATTAATCACAGATAATTTAGAATTTGAGTTAGATCTTGAGGGAAGAATAGAAATTTACTCAAGAGGGGAAAATAAAAGCAATTCTCAAGATATACCTAGAAATCATTATTCTTTTATCCTCCTGTGAAAACGAGTATTTCTTTCATTTATTCAAGTGTAATTCTAGAGTGAACAGTTGGCTATATGATTAAAGAGATAACGGCAACGAACTAGGAAAGAGATATAAAAATTTGGTGGCATAGATGGGGAATGAAGTCTTGGCATCGCTACAAATCCCTGGGAAGAGAACGTAGAGTGAAAAAGGAGGTAATTTTAGGAACAAATCTTGACATATCCTAATACTTTTAAAGTGCATTGGAATAGAAGAGTTTGCAAAGAATGAAAACAATTTGTTATAGAGGAAGAAAACAGCAACAGAAACCTGGAATGTTCTAAAGACCAGGAAAAAACGTCTTTTAAGGATGACAAAGTAATCATCACTGTTGGATGTTGCTGAGAGGTTAATTGAGATGAGAACTAAAACATACTCATTGGATTTGAACACTGGAAGATCACTGGTGATTATAGCTAAACATGTATTGCTGGAGTGATGAGGGGTGAAACCCAGACAAAAACTTGTTGAGTGAGTAGGAGTTCAGGAAATGGAGACAGAGTGACTCATTCAAAGAGTTAATCTATGAAGGTTTAAAGAAAGGTAGAGCTGTTTCTGGAGAATAATAGAAGTTTGAAACAGCTTTTATGTTTCTGAATTGGGAATTTTTGATTATGTTTAAATATCTACGAAAAGTGTATATACACATATATACATATATACATACATCTATATATGTATGTATATATACACACACATATGTGTGTGTATATATACACATAGATATGTATATGCGTACATATATACATATACATATGTGTATACACACACACACACACACACACATATATATATATGGTATTAGTTGACTTTGACCAGAATGTACACTGCCTATAAAGAAAAAGCAGAGAAAAGAAAGAATATAACAATTTGAACAGGTATTTAGGTTTTATAGTCATAAGTTAGGGATATTTCTGGATTTTAAATTTTCTCTGTAGAGTTTGAACAAGGTGGAGAAAATTTGAAGTTTATGGATAAAATTAGACAGGTTTTGGACCAGAGTCATGTACTATGATCTAGGTTGTATTGTGGGGGCAGGTGGAGATGGATATTTGACAAGATAATCATGAATTTATAATGATAACAATTTACCTTAATGTGTAAATTTATTCATATGTATTTATATATACACATTTATTTATATGTAAATATATATGTATATGTTTTTCATTTTGCCTTGATTACATTACCACCATCTACCCCTCAGTGTCATCTATTATCTTCCTTATTACTCTTTCTGATTTAGAGGTCTGTATGGCAATTTTCCTTTATTTATACCTCTTGTCATCGTTAGGATTGGTTAGAGTACATAGGTAAGGTAAGTCAATTATCCTTGGCAGAAATCCCTTAATCGCCTTACCTTCGCTGACATTCTACTTCTTTCCACGTTATCCACTGGGCATTGCCTCCATTCTGGATCTTGGTATTACCTGGAACTTCTCCACTTTGAAATCATGAGATACACTAAGTGATAACATTGCTCTCTCTTCCTCCCACCAATATCCAGTAGCTTGACCCACCTCATTTTCTTCCATGACTTTTTTCTCATTCTCCCTTCTCTTACTGTCCAAAGAAGACCTAGTATACAATATAAATAGCTCTATTGCACAAATCTTTATTTTCCTGTATTACTCTTTTCCTTCCTTTTTCTGTCTGGCAAAATCCTTACCCTTTCTCAATGGCTTTGCATTTTCAATTGGGGTATTGAATGCTATTGAAAATCACAAAACTATGAAAACTGGTGTCATAATAAGTCTATGATCTCTCATCTCAGTCTGACCCTGGTAATTCTTCTAAATGTCCATGTTTTATTTTTCTTTTCACTGTCCACAGCAGTTTTCTTACAGAGCCCTGCCACCCAGGTACTTCATATTTTCTTATGAAAAGAGAGATAAGTATTTTGACTTCTTCTTTGTGTCATTTATTTTTATTTTGGGTACTAGCATTGAGGCATTTGAATTAAATTTGGATTTTAATTTAAAAATCATTAATATCCTCAATGACGTTAACCCTACTTCTCTCTACTCACAACCTTCTCTGTATCCCTTGCTTTTACGCAAAGCTTCATAACATGGTCCCTCTTTATCTCTTCAGCAATACCTATTGTCACTTTGTTCTCTTCCAATCTAATGTTCCTTTGACATTAAGCTGCTTAAAGTATTCATTCTTTCAGTGCTGCTTTTCCGCTTTACTTGCACTCCTATTGTGTCTCTGGTTCTTTGTTTTTTTCCAGTGGTTTGAACATTGCCTGGCATAAAACAGGTACCTAAAAAGCACTGAATAAGTAGGTGAACTCTGATAATGCCCCTTTCTTGATTAGGGATGATGAGTTATCTCATAAAGCATCTCTCTGGGTCAACAGTGTTTTTATCGTTTTGTCTACGTTATTAAAGAGGTAAGTGACTATCTTCTTCATTCTCTGAAATGCACTATATTGTAGTATATATAGAGTTTGGTACTATTAGCGGTTTCGCGCATCTACTTGGTGCTTTGGAACGTATTCCCTGTGGATAAGGTGGGAGTACTGGTACCTCCTCTTGGTCCATTTATCAGTATGGTTTGTACTGATGCTGAACAAGTACCTGTACGTTACCATATTTTCCTCTCTTTTATGTTTAACAGTAATACTTATATTTTCTTGTTCTGGAGATAATACTCAATAATGTTATTCTATTTTGAGAGAATGAAATTATTTTTAATTCGACTAAGTGTAGTCATTGGAGCTTTCTTTAATCAATTTCAGAAGCGTAAGTTAGATTTAGGGATTTTTTTTTTTTTCATTTGTGGCATTCTGTGAATTGGTCATGGGTATTCAGATTGTGAACCTGGATATAAAGAGGAGGGATGAACGTTATTTTCGGTGTCTGACAAGAACAAGCATGGAGTCTTTGAGGTCTTATAGGAAGTAAACAGAAGTCTAAGAGGTCACACACGTGAGGAGAATAGGTGATTAGCCGGTGTATTTTCCCCAGTGCTATGTCATTTTCTCGGAGTCTCATTTAAAGGATAATATGCCCACAGTAACAGAAAGAAGATGTTTTTCTCAGACACATCCCATATTTACTATATGAAGTGTGGAGAAATGCTTATTAAAGATTTTTGTCATGATTTCCAGGTTCAGTTCAGGAGTGGGTGGTCACTTGTGCTAGGACTTCATTTCTTACAGCCCTATCCCCACATCATTTTTCCATGGAAGTAAATATTATCTAATGAGATAAGCGAAGGCATGTTAGAGGAAAAGCATGATTTATAGCAAACTGTAGCTTCAAATGGATTTATCCATAGTAGTATACTAGTCTATTTTGCAAGTGTACATTTCTCATCTATCAAAAATCATGCTATTTAGCTTCAGAAATCATAAAATGAGATTGTCCCTGGAATAACTTTTAAATATCTGGCATTTCTTTCCTATGTAATTTTACGTAAGCTATATAAATAGGGTTAGCTGTGACCTAAAAAATATACTCAGTCATTTTGTCTGGAACACAATATAGCATGTGCCCTCATTAATTTTATCTGTGGGATTTTTAATGGTATAACTTTGCAAGATAATGAAAACTGTATGGAATGAAAAGACTCTCAGACTGAGGAATATCATTAGATTTTATGATTAGGTAAATTCTGACAAGTTGATGCATTTTTTAATGCATACATGTTTTACTTTTCCTCTTTTTCATTGTTTTTATACATCACCCAAAGGGGTTAATGTATTTCTGTATTATATTTATCCCAGGCCAATCAGAAAAATAATTGAAAAACTTATTTTGACTTTGCAGAAATACTTCCTTGACAGGTCTGGGTTAAAAATTATGTCTACTTCTATCAAGTCAAAGTTGTCCCTATCTTATGCTGTTCAGATTCCAATTCCATACTTTTTGTTTTTGTCAGTTTGGAGTGGAATTTTATGTCTTTATTTTAGGACTCTTTTCCTTTCCATTTCTACTTTAGATTGCTTAGAGATTGAATATAAACTATTGATCCCTATGAAACTTTTTTTTTCTTTTACAATGAGAAAAACTTTGGTGGTCTGTTACTATTCAAGGATTATTTATTCTTTGCTAGCTGGATACACAACTTCAGTTTCCCAAACCAAGCAGTGATTTGTGAGATGAGCTTCCTCTCCCATCTCCCATCTCCTTTTCAAGTGGGTTTTTTGGTGGGCCATAACCAGGCCTACTACACTGGAAGTTTAGATGGTCTAAGAAAGCACTAAGAAATAAAATGCAGAGGTGTTTATCTGAAATGCCACAAGAAGCTCCCCTAAAGGGGCTAGCCCTTTAGTCCTGACACAACCTCCCATTCAGATGATTATAAGAGATCAAATTCCCATATTCTGCACTTTGCTGACTGAGAGGATTGCTCCCTCTACATGGAATGCTGGTAGAGCTGAACTTTGGATATGCCCTTGTGTGGAATAAAATAAAGCCTCAGGGAGCATCTATTCACTTGCATTCTTAATCTTGTGTTTATTCTTCACAAGGATAATTTGCTGATATGATAGTAAATCAAAGTGAATGCTAAACATAGCTGAGTCATGGTCCTCATTCTTGCCAATGCTGGAACCTGAACAGCCTTTTTATTCTGACCAGCGTAGAGTCTTTTGTGGACTGGCTCCTGCACTTCTAGCTGCTTTTTTAATAATGTAATTAACATTTCCTGGCTGCTACAATCCATGGTGTTACTCTTTTACCCAGAGTCAAACACCCAGATGCAAGCTACAAAGTCCAGCTAAGAGTTTTCAAAATCATTAAACTTAGAAAATTATGACAGGCCAGGAAATATTACACTTACCAAATCCTTATGTACTTATACTTCCCAATTTCAATATTTAAATAAGAAGCTTCAAACACTACCTAAATGTAGCCAACTTTGAAACTTAATTTCACAACAATGTTCTACCCTGACAATTTTCAGATATACAAAACCTTCTTTACACAAAGATGAAAGTGAAGGAATAGAACCAAGGGAAACTTTGAAGAATTAACAAATATTCTCTTTTAGATTGCTCAGTCTTTTATTGGTATTCCAGTTTCACTTTGCTTTTAAATCTACCAGTGGCATTTTATTTTCCTTACACTAACAAATAAGTAAGGGGGATATCATTTATATTTTCGCTGTAAAGTCTGAAATGCAACATGAAATGTAATGTATTCTAAGCAATGATCAATCCTCACAACTTTCCGATGTACGGCTCCTTATTCACACAAAGAGGAAAATGAAGAGGGACAATCCTTTAGGATTTAAGATGCCCAGTAAGGAAGAGGACTTTTTAAGTATGTGTGAGAGGGGTATGGCTATGTTTGTGCAGGAAATTTCAACACTGGTGTATGGAATGAAAAGAACCCGTGTGTTTAGAATAGTATCTACTGTATCATGCCTACCTTTGGAGCCTCTGTCTCTGTGCCTCCCACTACTTCCTTAGCCATTACCATCTGCTATCAGTATGCATCATACTTAAATTGGCTTTGAAATGATTTGATAACTTCCTAATTATTAAATATATTTTCCTTCTACCAGTTCTTGTCTTTCTTGCATTTCCTGTTTTTACTAGATTTACACCTTGTTGCAACTCTGTCCTCCTTTGTCATTGGTAAGATTGCACTACCCTGATATTATTTCTACTTATTCAAGCAGCCAAAAAGCATTTAATAACTCCCATTCAACAGGTATTGGGAAAACAATGGTAATTAAACACATAAGAAGTTTATGTCTCCATTGAGTTTTCAGTGTAGCGACAGTGATTGATATTATCTGTGACGTAATTTCACAAATATATTTTGAGCAGCTACTTGATGCCAGGTGCTGTTCTAGACATCGGAAATGCAGTTTTAAAGTAGCATATTTTAAAATTTTCATTTTCTTGGAGAAGATAGAGAGTAAAAATTAAATATATGATACAATTTTATATATATGTCATGAAGAAAATAAGTCAGGGCAAGAGGAACAAGAGTGATGGAGAGTGGGTGCTGTTTTAATTAATGTGCTATTTTAGATTTATTTTTAAAATGTGTTCCATTCCTCTATCGACATAATATATTTGAAATGTCTCTAAGATCTCCAAGTGATGATGTTAAGTAGACAGTGGTTATATGAGGCTGAAATTAAGGGGAGTTGTTGGAGACAAAAATCTGGGAGTTGTTTGTAGACCTGTAACCAGAAGAGACCCCTTAGGGACTGAGTGTACACAGAGAAGAAGGTCCAATGCTAAGCCTTGGAGTAAACCAATTTTTTTGCAATAGAGAAGAGGTAGAGAAATCTGCAGAGTAATTAAGAAGGAACAGGAAGAGAAAGCCAAGAGAACGCACTGCCTCTGCTGCCAAGAAAGGAAACGTTTCAAGAAGAAAGAGCTGTGTCAATTGTTGCTGAGAAGATCAGCAAGATGATTGCAGATCAACTACAGGATTGGGAAAGATGGATCTTTGCTGGCCTTTTAAAGGGGAATTTCAGTGGTGTGGTGGAGCAAAAGCCTGATTGAGGCAGGTAAAGTGTGAATTGTTGGTGTTAAAGTGGAGAGAAAACATATATAATAACCACACAAATAAACAGGAAATCACACCAGAAATCTTTTAAATATGACACTATTATCTGACCTAGTCAAGAGAATCTGAAAGGCTTTTTGAAGAAATAATTATAAATTGCGATTTGAAGGATGAGTCCGTATTAACGAGATAATAAAGAGAATGCAGAAAAGCATGTAAAAAGGCTTTATTGCAAGGCTGACTTAAGAGCTAGAAGTCCATTTTGGCTGGAGTGGGTATGATAGGAGATTAAGCAGGAGTCAGATGGCGCAAGGCTGTTTTATCTTTAACCTTAGAACATTGGAAATAATTGAGGATTTAAGGGAGGTGAGGATATGTGGACAGCATAATTTATGTTTCGATGGGATTACTCTAGCTGCAATGTGCTGGATGAACTGCAGGTGGGCCAGATGGAAGGTGGTAGCCAGCCAGCTATTGTGGTAATAAAGGTGAGTGATTATTTTAGCCCAGATTACTGCAGTAATGGTGTCAACGGTGAGAAAGAGAAATTGTAGTGATATTTATGAAGTGAAATTGACAAGACTTGTGATAGTCTGAAATTAGTATATGAGGAAATGATGTAGAAAAGTCAAGAGTGGCCTTTAGCCTTCTGGTATTTGCAACAGGGGAGCCAGTGCCTTGTACCATTTGAGAGAGAGAGTTCGAGCAGGAGTCTTTGGTTTGCTGTTATTTTTGTGTCTCATGAATTCAGTTTAAACATGTTGAATATGAAGGACTTTTGAGCCGTCCTCATCTCCTACTAGATTTTTCTGTGTATGTATCTTGCTGTCACCTCAAGAATAGTATCAAAACTGAGCTTATCTGCATCCTTCCAAACACTTCTTCCCATGTTCAGATCTCCGTCAGCTTGAAATGGTCCCTCTTTCTAGTAACCTCCCAGCTTCCATATTGGCTAATTGAAATTCTATCTTTTAATCTTTTCTGTCTCTGTTGCCTCTCACATTTGTCCTTTTCTTTCAATTTCTGCCCGTACTAGACAATTACAAACTCTTACATTTCACTCAACTGTATTCTTAACTTGCTATATGGTCTTTTCATTTTCAATCCATTCTTGCTTAATACTTGTATTCCATCCTCCTCACTATCAATTTTCTTGTATAGGGTTTTGATTTTCCCATGTTCTTGCTCAAAATAATTCAGTAGATCCTTCCTTTATTTTTTTCTAAATTAGCCGTAGATTCACCTTGGCCTGGCATTCAAGCAAAAAGAAAAAAAATTCTGTAGATTTAGCTTGCTACAATTGTTTAGCACAGTGATTAAGAACTACTTGGTTTAAATCCTGACTTTAGCACTTACTAGTTGTCTGGTTTTCATTAAATCATTTAATCACAATGTTCAGTTTTTCAAATGGGATTAATAATAGCAACTCATTTAAATGATTGTTTTAAGGCCTAAATCCATGGAATTATCTTAGCACAGTCCATGGTACAAAATTACCATCAATTGACGCAAGTCCTATTATTATTCTATTAATAATAGAATAATTTTTAACTGTGCCCCATCCATGTATGTAGGCACGTTTAATCGCTTAATGAAGCACACCTTTTATTTTATCTCTATGTGCCACTGTACACTCCTTGCATTCTCCTTCTTCTCTCATAGCAGTTGACCCTCCTCACGAGTTTCTTCCTGTCTAATTTCTTCCATCTTTCCAGGAGCAGCTCTATTCTCACTCTCTCCAAGAAACATTGCTTTCTCTCCCAACCTTTTCTTCATCCACAACTCCAGGTTCTGTTATTCCACCTTTGTATGTATTTTGATGTTAATCTTGTTTGCCTCCTATATGTCTGTAGCTTTCTTAGATCTTCTGCTACATGGTTGTCCTTGAGTGCAGGAAATTTATTTGTGTAGTGCCCATAGTTATACAATATTTGAGAATAAGTGATTGCAGTGTTAGCAATCCCTTCAGTTACATGTAGATATTCTCTCCTTTCCTTCCTACACAGACTGATTTTGGCTCTACTCATCATTCAAGGAACATCAAGTTACCTCGCTCAGATGTTTCTTAAAAATAGGAGCTTTCAAGTCAGCAATCGTCTAAACCAATCAAGGCTAATGCATTTTTCTGTGCTCCCAGGAAGTCTAAGAGCATTTCAACTAAGCCCTTCTGTCAGTGATGGGCCTGCTTTTGCGTTCTAAAGTCCTTAGTTTTTTGTTGTTTTTCATTTTCTCTGAGTTTTACGTGATTTAAGGAAAGCAGGCTTAGGAGAAATCATGAGGTTAATATTGTTTCACTCAGAGATATCTAATCATTGGCTTCTTAACAAAAAGTGGCATGAAAGAGAATATTTAGTATCTTTTCTGTTTCCTACCTAATTTCCTCTGGTCTAAATTCTGACAATGGCCTTTGGAGCATGAGTTGCCGTTTTGTAGGATGTTCTAAAACATGAATCAGGATTGATTCTTATTTTATTCATGGCTATACTTGGTGGTAATTTACAGAGCCTGAGATGAGGGTTTATTTTTCCCCTCTGAAGGTTTCAGGGATGTTTTTGTCAGGATTTGGAAAATGTGCTCAAGGAGCAGAGTGATAAATTGAGTGCTGCCTCAGAAAAAGTCAGGCTGTCAGGGAAGATATTTATCTCCATGTTTGGGAAGCAGAGCAGGAGAAGTACAGATATTTTAAAAAGCTGTGTGAAAACCTTCCAAGGTAAGGGACAAGGTCAATCTTCCATGGCTTCCTATCCATTTTATTTATAACTAAAGGCTGCCTGGAAATAAAGAATGAACTGAAATTCACAATCATTCAAGGATGGACCTTTTCTTTTTTTCCTGTAATACTGAGGGAAAATGGATAGTTAAATGGTTCCGTTTCAATAATGGATATAGTATAAGAGAAATAAATAATTATATTAAAAATTCTCTCAGTGTTGCCTAGAACAAGGGTCTGATTGTATTTGTAAATAAAGTTTTATTGGAACATGGCTGAATTCTTTCGTTTGCATATTTTTAGGGCTGCTTTTGCACTGCAACAACAGAGATCACTAGTTGCAACAGAGACCTATTGGCCCACAAACTCTAAAATATTTTCTACCTGGTACTGTAAGAAAAAGTTAATTGACCACAGGCCTAGAAGGACACCTTAAGATTCAGAGATGTTTATTCCTTTTGGCTCACTTTGTTTTCTATAATGACATTAATACAAAGTTGGCTGTCACTGTGATAAGTGACGGAATGGTGATGGAAGCACCTATTTATTAATTGGTGGTCTTATTCTACTAATCCACTTGTTTGTTGGGTATCATTGGGTTTAGAACAGGGATAAAAGTGAAAAGAAAAAAATGTATATGTGCTTCTTTCACTACAGCATTTGTTATGACCTTAGTTAAATGTGGCACATAATTAGGTATTATTTGCAGAGCTCCTGAATCCACTTATGTGTGCAAAATGCCAATTAAGCCTTTAGGTTCAGGTTTCTTCTTTTCATAAAGGTTCCGAAAAAGGGACTCTCAAATTTGTTCAAAAGTATGAATAGTCACAGTGGTTAATACAAAACCACATGGCTCTGAGTGTACACTCCAGCTTGCAGCTATCTCAATCTCCATACAACTAACTCTATCATCTCTATATCTCTATCTCTATGTATATATGTGTGTATTCTCCCACTTTAATATTTATTTTAAAAAGCTAGAAAATTTGATTTCATTCAATATATTCTAGATCTACATATTTTGTGTTACAATGTGCATTTGTTTGTGTTTCACTGGCATTCAGTGATAGTCATTTAATCAAACATTACCACTGTGCTCCATCCCAAAGGGGAGCAAAATGGCTTGCTTCCTAATTTTATTGAGGCTTCATACTTTAGGGGAAGATAGACCCTTAAAACTTTGCAAACAAATATATAGGTATATATTGTATATGTGTATACATATATGTATATATGTAAAATGTATAAGTAAATTACAAATCTAAGTTAGGCAAAGACAACAAAGGAGGAGGAGAAAATATATCCCAGAAAATATCTTTATACATTCATGATTACAACCAAGTACTCCACTGTAATAATGCTACATTTTTTCTGGAAAGCATGCTTTCATGTCATCAGAAATGACACAACTTTTCTATTCTTCTTAAATCTTCAGCCATTACCTTTTACCCTACTCTCAGATAGCCATATTCCATATTTCATATAGAAATATAAATGAATAATATGTCAAAAGATACCTGCACTCCTGTGTTTATTGCAGCACTATTTAAAATAGCAAAGATATCAACCTAAGTGTCCATCAGCAGATGAGATAAATAAGCAGATAAGATAGGGTAAGATAAGATAAGATAAGATAAAGAAAATGTGGCATATATACACAATGTAGTACCATTCAGCCACAAAAAAGAATGAAATCATGTATTCTGCAGCAACATAGATGGAACTGAAGGTTATTATCTTGAGCAAAACAAGCCAGACATGGAAAGGAAAATATTGCATACTCTTACTCATAAGTGGGTGCTAAAAACTGTGCACATGGGTATAAACAGTGGAATGATAGACAATAGAGACTCAGAAGGGAGAAGGGATGGGAAGAGGATGAAGGATGATAAATTATGAATGGGTCAATATATGTTGTTCTGGTGATTGGTACACCAAAAGCTCTGACTTGACCACTACACAATCTATGCATGTAACAAAATTGCACTTGTATTGCAAAAATTTACTTAAATAAGAAAAAGAAAGTAGAAGTTCAAACATTAAAACAAACAAACAAAAAACAATACTACCTACTAATCTATAATCCTACCTCATCCCTACTCTCTCTCCTTTTACTATTGTGAGCAAAGAAGATATGGTCCTTGTGTGAAATCCAAGACTCTGGTATAAACTCTGACTGTCAAAGACTGCCCTTTTGTGGACTACATCCTTCAGGTATTCATTCTCTCCCTCTTTCTTTTTCTCTTATCCTCGATTTCTCTTTCAGACTCCCAAATATATCCATATTTACTTTCTCACTTTTTTAACTCCAAATTTTCCTACTCTCTATTAATCTTTTTGAGACCATGAAAATCTCTTGCCTGGGAATGTTCTGTTGAAGTAGAATTTTTTTTTAAGTTAAAAATATAACTTACATAAAAAATACAAAATAAGCTTATTTCAAATATGTTATTTGGCTCATTCCTTAGTAAAGGAACTAGTAAAATAGCAGGACTGATTAAAAAAAATTAAGAGATGTGAGATTTATAGAGTTGAACAGTTAAAGGAATGCAGAAACAAATTTGCCAAAAGTTACTAGAGTGGTTAATGGTGTACAAGGCAATATATACTAACCTTTAGGTTATGGTATAAAAGTCATTTGTTTTTCTTTTGGACAAAAGTTATTTAAATTTTTCTGAAAGAAGAATCATTAGCATTTCACTCAGTCTTCTACAGGTTAACTACGGCTCTTAAAGAGTTCAACATATTCAGGTCAATAGTAAATAGGAAGTTGAAGAAAGGTACACAACCCTACAAAATCAGAAATCTGCACCACAGTGTTCCTGGTACAAAACAACTAGCATTCTACACACATAATACCTAGCAATCATTTTGCCTATTTCCTAAAGTTAATAAATGTTTATGACTTAATTGTTCTGCATACACTCTTAATTCCCAATTTACTCTTGAGAAAATGGCAAGAATGTTCTTTTGGCAATTTTGTTATATAGAAATTTAAAATATCTTGGAAAAGTTATCTTAATAAAAATCAAAAGCAAATGACTTGTTGAGAGAAAATACTTGTTGTCATAATAGGCAAAGGGTTAATTTCCCTAGTGTTCAAGGTTGTACTAAAATTGCTTCAAAAATGGTGACAGGACTATGGAAATAATTCAACAGAATAAGAGCAATCAATTTATAGAGGTGACTCTAATGGCCAAATATGTGAAAAGATGCTCAACTTCAATAATAGTCATTGAACTGAAGTAATGATCACAATACCAACAACAACATTATAAGCCAAAGTTCTCTCATCAGATTGGCAAAATTTTAAAACATTTGGTAGCATCTAGTCTGGCAATGGTGTAAGGAAATGGTTTCTTATAAATTGTCATAACTCTGTAAATTACTGTAAAATATTAGAAATATATTTTATCATAACTTATTAAAATTCAAATTTCCTATAATCTTTGGCCTAACAGCCTCATTGTTATTTATTTATTCAATAAAATAGACACTTGAATAGAAAGACATATGACAAGGAATTTTTATTGAAGCCTTGTTTACTGTAACATAAAACTGGAAACGAGCAAATAAACATAAGTAGGAATATGGTTGAATTAGTAGCAAAACATTATTCCCTATATATTATGTAGTTGTATAAGCAAATATAAATCTATACACTAAGTTTTAATGGTGATTAAATTAAAGTTACGAGCTTGGTATGAGGCTCCTAGAGACGTCGTTAGTTTTGATACTTAAGCATTTTGTTAAAAAGAGCATAAACTTCACAATTATAGCTACGAATAATTATAAGTTATTATACATTATTGTATCTCAGCTTCCCTGCTCAAAGTCTTGAGGGGCTTCTTATGGCATGAGGATGCAATCCAAACCTCTTCCATTTGTAAGTTCCTTGCAATTCAACTAGCTATTGTTCCAACTTGATCTTGAGTAACTAGCAATCCATTGCTTCATCTAGAAACAATATGCAACTTTTATTTGCTTTATTTATTTATTTATTTGAGATGGAGTCTCACTCTGTTGCCAAGGCTGGAGTGCAATGGCACGGTCTTGGCTCAGAGCAACCTACGCCTCCCAGGTTCAAGCAATTCTTCTACCTCAGCCTCCCGAGTAGCTGGGACTACAGGTGTATGCCACCATACCTGGCTAATTTTTGTATTTTTAGTAGAGACAGGGTTTCACCATGTTGTCCAGGCTGGTCCTGAACTCCTGGCTTGTGATCCGCCTGCCTTGGCCTCCCAAAATACTGATGAACTTTTATTTTATTTTGAAAGAATGCAACTCTTTCTTACCTTAGAACCTGCCCTTTCCTGACTCACTACCTCTGGCTGGATCCACTTTTTCCATATTCTGCTACTTCCCTTTAAATGTCACTTTCCTGAAATTACCACTTTGATCCTTCAACTGAAATTATTTCCCCCAGTTATGAATTCTCATAAGGATTCTTAGGGACACAGTTTTTTAAATAGAAACCAAATTGTCATCTTGTGAGGCTGAGAAATGCTAAGTAATAGGAAGATTTTGAGTATGCTGGGCATGATGAACTAGAAATTATATATAATTTTTTAAAACTAGATTCCTATTATGAGAGAAAACAAGAATCAGACATACAATTGTCATTTATTAGTCATTTTGCACAGTTTCTGGATTATTTCACTTTAAGAGAATTTTAACTTGTCATACAAAAGTCTTATAAGGAAAGATTCTTTCAGCATTGAGGTATTTTACCATGGAGAAGAATGAATGGCTTGTTGATTATTCTTCCCAACTAAAGGGACTGTTACTACGAATGTTTTTGTTGGGTCAAAGAAAAGGGTTTTACAAGTTTGTGTACTAACAGAAATATTAAAGATCACAGGGAGATACTTGGGGCTTCATAGCCTTAGGTCATTTCAGATATTTTAAAAAAGTTTCTGCCACTCAGGTTAGTACCTTTTAAAGACATAAATATTTACATAGAAAGCAAGTTTTACTTTAAGAGAGCCTGACAAGATAACGTATGAAATAGCCAAATAACCTGAAAGAAAAGCAAAGTGTTTTTTTATATTTAAAGAGCAAACTCACATCTGAAGTGATAGAAACAGTCGTTCAAATGATACAACTGATCCTGACCGCATTCATTTACTGAATGCAAAGCATGGAAGTTTACCATATTAAATATTTTTTTAGATAGACTGGGCTCCCTAACATAGACAAATCAGGAATCTAAACAGAATATTCTATACCTCAGGTCATGAATATTTTGAAATACACTAAAGTAGATTATTTTTATTTGTCATTATTTGAGAAGAACTACTTTACCTTAATCTGTGAATCATTGTCTTGATATACATTAGTTCTTTGCTAAAACAAATATATCAAGGATCTGTGTGACATTTTCCTCTGTCTAGTAACAAGACCATGAGTATTTAATTTACTATAACATAAAAGCATGTGTTTTTGAGCACCAAAATATAACAATTTATAGAGCTATAAAATTTATTTTGGTAGTGATGTTTAAATAGATATTGATGACTTTTGATATGAAGTAGAATGGCCGGCAGATCTTGTAACCTATAGCCTATATGCTAAAACATATGCAAGATTTGCAATGGATTCAATAGAAGGAAAGAAAAATTAGTTTGTGAGATGTTTTAATAAATCACATGATATAAATAATAAATATTTAAGTCTTTGGTTTTTTTTTTTTGTTTTTTTTTTTTTGTTTTTTGAGACGGAGTCTCACGCTGTTGCCCAGGCTGGAGGGCAGTGGCCCAATCTCGGCTCACTGCAAGCTCCGCCTCCCGGGTTCACGCCATTCTCCTGCCTCAGCCTCCCGAGTAGCTGGGACTACAGGCGCCCGCCACTACGCCCAGCTAATTTTGTTTTTGTATTCTTAGTAGAGACGGGGTTTCACCATGTTAGCCAGGATGGTCTCCATTTCCTGACCTTGTGATCCACCTGCCTCAGCCTCCCAAAATGCTGGGATTACAGGTGTGAGCCACGGTGCCTGGCCAACTCTTTGATATTTTTAATACCCAAATAAAATTATAGTTTATAAGTGACTCTTCACCTACTTTCGAATTATGGAGTGAAATGTATAGTCACATAAGTGCTCTGGCTGCTGACAGTCTTTTAAAGCTATGATGCAGAGACATTAGAACAATTGCAAAAGAGAAAGATAAAGCCGTCAGTAAAAATTTTACTCTACATTTCCATTTGTGAATGCAGATAAAATCAAAAGGTGGATGTAAAAACTATTGTTAACTTGTGAATTATTATTGCCATGAATATTTTCTTGCCAACTTGGTTTATAGATTTATATGTGCAAGGGTAATACACAGATAATTTTTGTGGACAGGCTCTATTTGTTTATGTACATATTTCACTGATAAAATGCTGTTGGCTTTTTTTTTTTTCTGTTTTGGGGCAATCCTAAAGTCACCATAAGATCGATGAATTAAAAGTGTCTATATTTGTCCTTCTATAAGAATTATTGTCACAAATAGAGATTCTTTATTTGAACAAATACATAAAAATTGGCACTAAAGATATAAAAAATTTATAACATGATAATCACTCCCTCAAAGCTGGGAGTTTGATTTAATTTTTCTATATACGATTTTTCCTAATAGCAAGTCAGTATATTTTCAAAAGCTTCAAGGAATTATTGTTTGTGGAACTTAGCATTGTGAAGAATTATTTATTTCTTGGTAAAAGGTTAAAATTTGAAGTCAACTTGGTAAATAAACATTCCTCAAGCATTTATCACAAGCTCAGTTTTCTGCAGAACATTTGAAAACAGAGGTTATAAGTTATAAACCATTTATTTACGCAAACCTCACAGGGTGATGGAAATGCAATGCCAGAGGGGTCACCCAAAATAAAATTTTTCTTTACTTTTCTTTCTGTTTTTTGTTTTTTGAGACAAAGTTTCGCTATTTTTCCCCGGGCTGGAGTGCAATGGCGCTATCTCAGCTCACTGCAACCTCTGCCTCCTGGGTTCAAGGGATTCTCCTGCCTCAGCTTCCTGGGTAGCTGGGATTACAGGCATGTGCCACAACACTTGGCTAATTTTTTATTTTCAGTAGAGACGGGGTTTCTCCATGTTGGTCAGGCTAGTCTCAAACTCCTGACCTCAGGTGATCCGCCAGCCTCAGCCTCCCAAAGTGCTGGGATTACAGGCATGAGCCACCACACCCGGCCATAAAATTTTTCAAAAGGATATTTAAGTAAGAATGAGACCAAAAATTTGGCCAGCTCTCAGCAATCGTATAATAGGGGGTAAACCACATGTGAATTCTGAATTCTCTGAGATTAAAAAGAGAGACAACATGTGGTATATAGTTATAAAACTTCCCTAGCATCTCAGCATTGTTATATGAGAAAAAAGTTCTCGATTAACTGTGGTTATATGAGTTCTTTTATGTATTTTCCACATATTTAGTGCTTCTTCGTAGCACTAAACACAGTTTTAGCACATAAAATGTGCAAGATATTGAAATCACAGGCATGGTCTAATTTTTCTTTTCTGTAAACAGAATTTGGAGGATATTGCTAATCTTGTTTAGTAAACAACATATAAGAAAAGTAATTTGGAATATAGGTTATTTATAATTTGATTCAACTGAATACAAATATTTACACTGAATGTATGATAATTTTGCTAGGCACAATATACTTTTAACATACTTTGCCTAGTTAGTTGAGGAGGTATATAGAATTTTGAGTCTATGTCATTGATTGACAATATGTAGCATCAGATGATTGAGTCTCAACATCAGTTGTACAGCTAACGAGTCCAGGAAAGCAACCAAGTTGCATGAGCTGAATTTGATGCTACTTGTAAAAACAACAATATAAAACTTACACCATAGAACTCATAGTAAATAAGCAACAAAATCTAAGAAACCTAAGAAGTTTAGGAAAGTTGATTGAGTGCTAGCTTGATCAGTAACCAAGTTGATGCTGCAAAGGCGAGCTCCAAAGTGAGGCTTAGCCCGCGAGTGTTGTTGGCCTTGCCCAGGAAAGAATTCAAAGGCAAGCCAGAGGCAGAAGAAAACAGCTTTACTCAACAGGCAGTGTTATGTTTGTGGCCTTGTTACGGCTCTGTGCCTGCTCCTGCAGAGCAGGGCTACCCCTTAGGCAGAGAGTAGCAGCTCACTGTAGTTTTGCAGTCATATTTATATCTCCTTTAATTACATGTAGATTAGAGGCTGTTTATGCAGAAATTTTTTTAAAAGGGGTAGTAACTTTTGGGTCGTTGTGTCACTGCCATAGAAAAAGGCAGTAACTCCCTGGTGTTGCCATGGCAATGGTAAACAGACATGGCACACTGGTGGGCATGTCTTATGGAAAGCTGCTTCCACTCCGCCCTGTTTTAGCTAGTCCTCAATTTGATACGGTGTCCAAACCCTGCCTCTGGAGTGGAGTCCTGCCTCCTACCTCAAAGGCAGAAATGTAGACAGGATAGTGATAAAGGTCTTATTTTTTACCTGAATAATGCTCAACCGTGTAAGGAGATGATTTCCTTTTATCCCAAGAGTGTCCAATCTTTTGGCTCCCCTGGGCCACATTGGAAGAAGAATTGTCTTGGGCCACACATAAAATACAACTAACACTAATGACAGCTGATGAACCACAACGACACAAAAATCACAAAAAAAAAACCTCATAATGTTTTAAGAAAGTTTACAAATTTGTGTTGGGCCACAACCAAAACTGTCCTGGGCCACATGTGGCCCAACGTGGGTTAGAAAAGCTTGTTTTATCCTAATCTGTTCACTGGGATTAAAATGTCACAGGCACACAAATACGCAAAGTGTTCAACATGTACACACTTATTAATTTTCATGAATTTCATAATGATCTTCACTGATAATTACTGAGCAAGAAGATCAACAGTAGTCCTAACAGTTTTGCGTTATCTACTTTTACCAATAAATAAACAAAGGTGAAAGCAAAAGACATTATATTATGCTTGACACAGGCATTCTTATTTCACAATGTTGCAAATTGGTATATTTCAGATTATAGTGTTTAATTACCTATGTGGCTTAATTTTTTAAAAAAGCATGGTGACTCCTGAAAAGTGAATGATTAAAGTACTCCCAGATTTTAAGTTACAAGCAGGTAGAAGCAGCAGAATTTTGTTTTTGAATTAAACAAAATAGCATTCGGCAGTCAACGAGGATGTTAGAAACAGCCAGGTGGCAAATAAATATAGAGGTATGAAACTTATTTTGTTTGTAGTTTATAGAGACAGCTTCATTTCTTCATAATCATTTATCTTACTGTGATATTGATCAAACTGATCAGTTATTGTTATTGTTATTATTATTATTATTTTGGTATTCTCCCTATGGCTTTCAGGGGAATTCATCTTAGCTCCATCACATCTATTTAGTGGTACACCAAACTTCTCCCTAAACAATGGGTATTTTTTTCTCACAGAAGAAAAACTCCTTACCATGTAAAGGCCCTTGTGGAATTATGTAAAATATCTAGCTGTTTAATTCTTTTTTACTTCCCCGTTACGCTAGCAAAATAAAAAAGAGTTTGGGAAGGGAAGATACTGTAAAGCTGTTTTTTCCTACTTCTTTTGGAAAACCAACTTGAATATTTACATGCAGGGGACTATGTGATCTAAAACTTTATATTGTATCTACTAATAAATCTGTGTGGGGGAATTGATTTGGAATAATGCCTAGAAGATCGGCATATAATTTTGTTGCAGTTCTTGCTTTTTTCAGTTGTTCCTGTAAAAAGCAGTATTTCAGATGGCTTTAATCTTTTATAGCAATATTCCCCCACTTCTTTTATTATTGTTTTTCCATACAGAGGAAACATATTAACTACCCCATTTATATATAGATATGTGTGTGTGTGTGTATATCCTTCTATATATAGAAAAAGAGAGAGAGAGAAAATTATATGATATGTGCTTTGTAAAATATTGTAGTGGACTTTCCTCACTATAATCTCGTAAGATTTTGTAGATACAAAAATTGGGATTCTCATAGATTATGTTCATCTGATAATATTAATACAAATGAATGAAAACTATACATTAATGTTAGTGGATTAATCTGAAATGTGGAAAATGCATGCTGTTTCCAATGCTAAGCTATCAACTAACTTGTCTCTCTAAAAATCGTATTTTTGTAAATGTATGTCTGCTTAAATTATCAATCAGTTCAAGTGTGGTTTAGTAACTCCTAATTAAAGAAAAGTGAGAAAGGCAGCCAAAGAGCCTGAGACTTACCAGAGAATATCAGGCTCTGAATTTGTACGTATTTTAAAACAAGTTTCTCAAGGAAATGTTTGTCCTTGTGTATGTGTAAGTGGTGCTGCTAGATAACTGAGTACATCCCTTCTTCATCTTCAACTGGAGAAACTCAACCTTTGTTTGATACATAGGTGTACTGGTAGAATTTTATTTAAAGACAGATTACTGTTACTAAAAATGTTTTAAAATTAGTACTGCATATTATTTGTTTCATTGTTAGTAATACAGCATTCTATTTTTATGTTTTGATTAATAAGATTGTTATTCCATATTTTATACCAACTGCTTATGTAATATTTTACAAAGAGGATACCAATGTAATACATACAGCCATTACTAAATTCTAACTATTATATTTATTTTTAGAAACTGAATACTTTTAAAATAATTTTCACTTAATTCAGACTTTTGGCAATCGTGAATCTATAATTTTGGAATATAAGGGCAACTTTGCTAGAAACAGTGGACTCAAAGTTAACTATAAATTGTTGTGTATGTACATATTATTGAAAAATGTGCATACATATGTATGTGTATATATATATAGTATATGTAAACTTCTATAATAAGAAGTTAATGGAGATTAGGTTGGTAATATTTATCTTTATTCTTTTGATTTGAATCTTTTTCCACCAAAATTATAGATACATTGTTCAAAATAAAAATCTAATGTTCCTGAATTTCTATAGTTTGTTATACTTGAGTAAATTTCTAAACTTATAGCAGCCTTATTATCTTCCTGCCTTATATCTTTACTCTGTGATCAGAATATAGAAAAATTAAATTCCATGTTTTAAGACGTTTTCAGTTATGGTACTATTAAACAGGCTATTATCATGATTAAGAACAAAATATGAAAATGCCTATTTGTCTTTTATACATGAACAAGTAAAAATGGGCTAAACTAAGTGAGTATTTGAATGCAAGACCACAGAAAGTGTAATAGAAAGGGATGCTAGCCCCATTGACCTTATGTCAAGAAAGTTATTACCAGACAAGAACTTCCCAAAGATAAAAAGTTATTCCTGAGAAGTTTAACGAACATTCATGAAAATTCTATTTCTCAGCCAGGATGCCTTTTGATAACAAAATATTTTAGGGTAGTTTGAATTTCCCATTACCTAAGTCAATTATTGTAGATTATTTTCGTTTCTGGTTACTTTTTAGAACTTACACTTTGGCATCGGAGGCAAGGGATTACATTTTAATGTGTTATGATTATCATTAAATATTTGTGTTCTTACTCTCTTGATTATCAAATAAAATGTTGAATTCTTAGCTCCTTTTGTATTGGCTCTGATTTTTAAATTGGAAAATCTTTTTAAATTGGAAAATATTAAAGCTTTATGAAATATATTATATACATTATAAATATAAATTATATTATATACATATATGTTACATAAACAATCAAATTTAGAATTTTAGGAAGCAGGTCCCCTTTCCCAGAATCCAAGAGTGAAGCTACAAGAGTGTCCTTGAGTAAAGAAACCTTGAGGCCGCACAGTATCTAATGTCTGTGAAACAAGCTTTGATTTCAGAATTTTTGCAACAACTTAGTTTCTTTAAACAGTGAGTATAATGGTGTCACTGTGCTTTATAAACATTCACCAAAATACTACATTATTCGTTTAACCAAAATTTATCCAGTATCTACCTTAAATAGGACCTACGTTAAGCATAGAGAGTGCATATAACATAAGGCAGAAACTTAGCTGTGAAGTTACTTTCTGTAAATTCTGCAATTCTAGAGCAGGTGTTGACAAATAGTTTTCATCACATATGCCAACATCAGTCAACCGGTAGTATTTGCCTATAGTGTGCTCTGCGGAGATCCTGAGTCTGCTGCCTCTGGAATCATCAGCAAAATGTTTTAATCATTTATTTGTGATTGTTGCTAGTGGTAGCAGGTATAGCGTATGTTTGTTATTCCTGTTCTGCCGCTCTTATTTAGAAATAACATTTCATTGGAGAAATTGGTGTCATTTATAAGTTGCATATTTACGCAATGAGAAATATGAACAGATTAATATATGACAGGTTCTTATTAAACCCTAGAGATGACTTATGATGCTTGATCCTTCATCTTTGAAAAATTCATATTTATTTTTAGATCTAGTGAATCACCACTTTGCCCTTTGCTTCACAAAGAACTTGTAGAGGTTAATGTTCCTGAGAATCCCGGTTCTGTCTTGAAGATCGCTGTATTTAGGGCAAAGTGCCGTATAAATCATAGAAGCTTTAGCAAAAAACTTCAGAGAATACTTGTATTTCAAACTTCTAAAGGTTATTTAAAATAAAAGTATGAAAACTAAATGGGTAAAATTGAAAATTCATTTTAATTATAATCCACTAATGTCTGCATGATGCCATCCATCACCACACCTCCCCATATATAGCAATCTGCCTAATAAATATGTTAACATTTTTGTAAAATATAAACAGTGCTAGGCACTTAGAAAAAGCTCACAAATGCTTATTAATGATTTGATAGATGAGTGAGCTGCGTGTTCCTAATATATTTTCTCAGCATTGTGTTACGTATGTTTTATAAGAAACAGAAGGCCTAATTCTTCTCAGTCAGTCTAAATTCCAGGTGATCATAGCATACCAAGTATCTAGGCGTATTAGCATCCCCATACCAGAGAACAGCAACAGCTTCATAAGTAAGTGATAAACTGTACGAGATTGACTCTGTGGATAGTAAATTGGAGTAGGGTGGATCATGGTAACTAAAGACAATCTTTTTCAAAGTGATTAGACTATTTACTCTTTGACCAGCATCTCCCCTTTCCCGTCACATTTTGTCAACCCCCACCAGCCTCTGATAATAGGAGGAATGAGTTCTGGTGACCTATTGCACAGCATGGTGACTATAGTTAATAAAAATGTATTATGTATTTTGAAATTGCTAAAAGAATGGATTTTAAGTGTTCTCAATACAAAGAAATGATACATATATGCGGTGATGGATATGCTAATTAGCCTGATGTGATCATTCCACAGTGTATATGTGTACCAAAACATCACATTTTACCCCATAAATATATAGTTATTATTTGTTAATTTTCTTTTTTTTTTTTTTTTTTTTTTTTTTTTTTGAGACGGAGTCTCGCTCTGTCGCCCAGGCTGGAGTGCAGTGGCGCGATCTCGGCTCACTGCAAGCTCCGCTTCCCGGGTTCACGCCATTCTCCTGCCTCAGCCTCCCGAGTAGCTGGGACTACAGGCGCTCGCTACCACGCCCGGCTAATTTTTTGTATTTTTAGTAGAGACGGGGTTTCACCGTGTTAGCCAGGATGGTCTCGATCTCCTGACCTCGTGATCCGCCCGCCTCGGCCTCCCAAAGTGCTGGGATTACAGGCGTGAGCCACCGCGCCCGGCCAATTTTCTTTTTTTTAAGACAAAGTCTCGGTCTGTCACCCAGGCTGGAGTGTAGTGGTACTATCTCGGCTCACTGCAACCTCCCCCTCCTGGGTTCAAGCGATTCTTCTGCCTCAACCTCCTGAGTAGCTCAGATTACAGGTACACGCCACCATGCCCGGGTGTTTTTGTATTTTTAGTAGAGACGGACTTTCACCATGTTGGTCAGGCTGATCTCAAACGCCTGATGTCGCGATCTGCCCTCCTCGGCCTCCTAAAGTGCTGGGATTACAGGCATGAGCCATCACACCTGGCCAATTATTTGTTAATTTAAAGTAAAATATAATGTTAACAAAAGTTCGTACTTAAGTCTTTGTCAGGATTTCCATAATTAGAGAAAACAGGAAAATAATTTTTCAGAGATGGTTGGGAAATTTTTCTGAGCCAGAAGGCAAAGGTATTTTCTACAGAATTAACTCATTAATTATGTGTTTACTCTTTTCATTTTACTCATTTATTCAATATCGTTTGAGCACATAAAATGCAGATTACAGGAAGCTACAAGGTAGAAGAAACAGGAGAGTGGAGAGGGCACTTTATCTGAGGTATCTGTAGGCTACGTAGTTAAAGATCTCCAGTGAGTATATGGCTCTGTGGGCCTGGGTGTTAGGTGAGAATGGTGGGCTGCAGTTAGGTTTAGAAAGGTTTTTCATACAGGTGGCAATGGAATCCATACATGTGAATAAGACCACTCAGGGAAGAGCATCTAGAGCCAAGACACCCAAGATGCAACTCTGGGTCTCAATATTTAACATGTTGATAGAAAAAACTGCTAAATAAAAATTTTAAAATAGAGAGGTTGGAGAAGTCAGGAGAGAGTGTAATAAAAAAATCGTGGGTTATAAAACATTATTTAAATTGTCTTCCAGATCATAAACTAGATCTGGTATAGCATGAGCATTAGCGAGTCATCTCTTGTTTGTTTATTACTGTGTCATAACCCATCAATACTGACTGGATATGTGTAAATATATGTAAATATAAACAAAATTAATTTAAATATATGAATATATATTGTGTATATAACTGTTGAAAAACATTAGTAACTTAAGTATAGAATAGAGAAGTGCCCATGCATAGTAATTATGTATAATATATTCTTCCCTATTAATGGTCTATTTTCACATAGTTCAGTGAGAATAAACTGACAGAAAAGCTTTTGTTGAAGTATGATTGATTATATTTCATTTTAAAAGTAAAGCATGTAATTGTTTGATATGAATTATTTTATTTTTTCAAGAATGAGCATTAATAAAAAATACCATGATAGCACATGAGTTTAAACACTTTTGTAAAAATACAAAGAATGTTTCTTAATTGGAGGAGTGTATATCGATTGTAAAGTTGTAATACAATGTGTCAGGAAAAAATAAAAGAAAACCTTTAAGCTTTAAAATATACAAGAAATTACGGACCCAGTTAAACCTTAAGTGTATAATCCTGTCAAAATCTGACAGGATTTCAAAGTCTCCAAGGTAAACCCCAATGTGAAGTAAAAGGCAAGGCTAAAATCTAAATTGAATTTTGTTTTCTAAGAACTGCAATAGATTATTTTTAGTTTTCATTACTCATTTTGATGAAGAACAATTTTTTTTAATGTAATATTCCCTTTGGCAAGATGCCATTCCTTATCTGTATGGGCTTGGTTATTTTATAGATTGACATGCCAGGTCAGAAATGATAACATTTAGTCATGAAGAATTCTGACAATGTTTGGATTAAAACACCTAGAAGGACTGTCCTTAGAATTTGAAAAAATGTTCTATCTTTACCTCTAAGACAAACAGTGGTGAGGATTTCTTTCTCCAAGTGTCTTCATGGAGCTGTTTTATGTCTTGATCTTCCCTGAGGAATTTAAAATTTGCATCCATGCAAGGAAGCAAAGAACTAACAGTTTACTAACACTGATTTAGTGCTTAAATATGCAACAGAATCTGCTAGATTCTGAAGTATTGCCTTTAATTTCACCTCAGCTTTGAGGTAGTCACCATTTTCCCACATTATAGTTAAGAAGGAAAATTTACCTTCTCTTCCATTTCTAAAGAGGAAGAATGGAAAGTGGAAAATTGGAGAAATTGAGGAGAAGGGCAATTTCTCATTATAGGTAAAATGATGGGGAGAGTTAAAGGGAAGAAGTGAGAAGAAATTGGGATGAGGGGCAGAGCTAGAGCTACTATTCCACATAGAAGGTCTGTGAAGTCCGAGGTTAGGAGTTCGAGACCAGCCTAGCCAACATGGTGAAACCCCATCTCTACTGAAGATACACAAAATTAGCTGGGCATTGTGGCACACGCCTGTAATCCCAGCTACTCAGGAGGCTGGGGCAGGAGAATCGCTTGAACCCAGGAGATGGACATTGCAGTGAGCCGAGATCCTCCACTGCACTCCAGCCTGGGTGACAGAGAGAGATGCCATCTTAAAAAAAAAAAAATGAAAAGGAAAGAAAAAAGAAAGTCTGTGAAGTCTGACTATAGAAAAAAGTGGCAAGAGGCAAGCATAGGGGGCAGTGACAGAAGGGGCATTTTGCTTTGAAGAATGTGTACCATAGCTGCTGCCTCTGTATTTTTCCACAAAAGCATCCACAAAATTCACATTATTGTCAGTGAAAGACTGACCCTAGGAGGGTTCTTGGTTACATCAGAGCCAGAAGAAGAAGGTCTAGTTACATGGACATATGTTGATGATGAAATGGAGACGCAGAGGTGTTAATTAGGATTAAAAATTGGGATTCAATCCACGCCGGTCTGACTTCAAATCTCAATTGTTTTGTTCCCGTATCTCTTTTCGTGCAATTTGAAATCAGCTGTAAATCCAATGGGGAGCACCTCAAGAATGCAGCAGGATTCTTCGCTGAAGCTACCTTAATTAGTGCTAATGATGTTTGACTGGGACAGCTGATTTGATTGTTTTGGCAGATACCTCAGTTAAAATTAGACATAGGTTAAGGAATCCATGCTAATTGTTTTTACATGCATATGCTAAGGAACCGTATTTTCGCTGCTCGGCTAGTATATTTATAAAGAGCGCTCTCAAAGGAGTAAACAGAAGCTTAAATTAGTTTTACGATATATTAAAATGAAAATATGATTAGGGATATTTATATGAGTTAATTACATTTATATTTTAATAATTTATACATATTTAGAGGTTTATAATTAGTTTTCACAAACAGTATGCAGCAAATGAGGTTGAAAAAAGTTGTGCTCCACTATCAGGAAACACAAAATCAGTTTTTAAATGTAAGAAGTATACATTGGAGCAAAGATAGTCTTTCAACAAATGAACATCCACATTAAAAAAATGTGGAACAAGTGAACATCCACATTTAAAAAAAAAAACAGAATCTAGACATCTAGACATAGACCTTACATTCTTCACACAAATTAACTTGAAATTAATTGTAGACCTAAATATCCAATGCAGTAGTAGCAAAATCTTAGAAGATAAGAGAATACTTAGATGACCTTGAATATGGTAATGACTTTTCAGATACAACACCAAAGGCAGAGTCCATGAAAAAAATTGATAAACTGAATTTCATTAAAATTATAAGAAAAACTTCTGTGAAAGACAATTATCAGTGATTGAGAAGACAAGGCACAGACTGAGAGAAAATATTTGCAAAACACACATCTCATAAAGGACTTTTATCCAAATTACAAAGAATTCTTAAAACTCAACAATATGGAAACGAATAACTCAATTAAAAATGGGCCAAAGACTTTAGCAGACACTTAACCAAAGAAAATATACAGATGTTAAATAAGCATGTGAAAAGATGTTCTACCTCATATGTAATCAGTGAAATGCAAATTAAACATCAGTGAGATATTACTACACACTTATTAAAATGGCCAAAGTCTGGAACACTGACAACATCAAACGCTATTAAGGATGTGGAGAAACTGGAACTCTCACTCATTGCTGGTGGGAAGCAAAATGGTGTAGTCACTTTGAAAAACAGTTTGGTGGTTTCTACGAAATGAATCATATTCTTTCTATATGATCCAATCATCAAGTGCCTTAGTATTTACCCAAAGGATATGAAAAATTATTTCCACAAAAATCTGCATATGAATGTTTATAGCAGTTTCATTAATAATTGCCAAAACTTGAAAGCCACCAAAATGTCCTTCTAGGGTGACTAGATAAATAAATGATGATATATCCAGACAATGGAATATTATTCAGTGCTAAAAAGAAATTAGCTATCAAGCCATGAAAAGACATAGAGGAAACTTAAATGCAAATTACTAAGTGAACAGCTATATACTATATGATTCTAAGTGTATATAACATTCTGAAAAAGGCAGAATTACAGAACAGTACAAAAGATTAGTGTTTGCAAAGGGTTGTGGGGAGGGAGGGATAAATAAGTAGAACAATAAGCATTTTTAAGGCAATAAAACTACTCTATAAAATGAAGAACATGTCATTATACATTTGTCCAAACCCATAGAATGCGCAAGAGAGATCCTAATGTAAACTATGGACTTTCGGTGATTATGGTGTCTCATGGTAAGCTCATCAGTTGCAACAAATGTACCACTCTGGTGGGGAATTTTAAAAAGAGTGGAAGCTAGGGATGTATATGGGCAGGGATATGAGAAAAATCGCCGTACCTTCCTCTTAGTTTTGCTATGAATCTAAAATTGCTCTTTAAGAAAAATTAAGTCTTTAAAAAACAAGTCTATGCTCCTCTTAGCCAGGACTCTTGTGTTGGAAGTAACCTTCCTCTATTACCACTTCTCATCTCCCTTCTATTATGATCTGTATTTTTGTATTCATCTCTGTGTCTTTGGTTATACAGTGAAATGCCTTATTTTCCACCTTAACTCATGAAAGTTATATTTTAAGTGGTCTCTTTAGGTTTTACTTTTTCTCAAGTACATTTCAAGTTATTCTGAGCCATACAAAGTCCTCTATCCCTCAACCTTACCTCTCTCATTTTAGCTTAACTCTATTCATGGTCTTCTTTTTACTCAGCACGTGCTTTCGGAGTAATTATCTCTCCTATGCACATGATGACTCCCAAATCTTTAAATTCGACTTCAACTCCACCCTGGATTACCACTCTGGCATTTACTCATTCTCACTGTATATGATGGCTTGAATATTCTACAGAGAATCCACCAAAGTTCAGCCAAGATACAGGAACCATTTTAGGCATTTGGTAACAAAGACAATGGAAAAAGGAAGCCAAACGGAGAATAGCAACAGCAGGAAGCCACTACTACTTTAGAATTGAAGACGGTAAAGAGAAGTTTTAACAATAATCCAAATGTTGAAGCTGTCCTGGGGGAGCTTAGTCCACATTGGGATGGCCAATAAGGTGAGGAGCTAGAATTATAAATGAGATGCAGCCAACTGCCAGAAATAGCACTATCCACATGCAGGCAGGGCAAGAGAGAAGAAATACCTTGAGTACTCCTACTTGCTTCATTCCTATGAGATAGTTTGGTAAACCCAGATGGCAAGGGCGCCCAGGAAATGTAGTAGGAGAAAAGGCAATGGAACTGAGGATAAATAAGCAAGAACTGGGATTCACAGATAGAGAAATGCAACATAATTTTTATTCAACTCATTTTTTCTTAACCCTAACACAAGTCTGTTGCTCCTCCAGAGTTCCATTAATGGAATTAACATTTACATGGGTCATCTTGATCACATTTTGTTCACCAATAGGTCATCAATTCTTTACAATTTTAACTCTGGAATTGCCTTTTCCTCTTCATCCCTCATCTCTGCTGCTGTGACTTTTGCGTCTACTCTTAATATGTCTCTTCTAGTACCCATGCAAGGCATTCTCATTAGCAGCTCCACCTCCAGTCTTTCCTTAAATGTTAGCAGAATTCTGTCTGGAAAATGAATGAAACCATGAAATTCTCCCACTTGTATTTTAAAAATAGTTACCCATCCCTAAAGGATTAAGTCTTAAGACCTGATCTGGCTTCTAGCCCCATATTTTTTTTTTTTTGTCATCATCTCTTATCCCTTTGTCCATAGCCTCTGCTCAGTCCTATTACATGGCTTGTAACACCCCGACTGTTGTACATTTCTCTGTCTTTAAGTATATTGTTCTTTCTGCCTGGCTAATCGCTGCTGCTTCTAGAGGATTCTGCTCTGATATCCTATTTTCTGCAAAACCTCTTCTCTAAAGCCCGGAATCAATTGTTTCCTATCACTCAATATACCTGGGCATAACTCTATTTGTATTTTTCTTTCTATATTCAAAATACATACATAACATTTATTTCCAATCAGACTGTATAATTTTCAAGGGCAAATATTGTGTTTCATTTACCTTTGTATCACTAGAATGTGGTAACATGCTAGGCCTATTGTGGACGCTACATAAAGACATATTGATTGAAGGATGGTGCATTTCAAGTGCTCATATGATCCACTAAGTTAGCTCTACTCTGATTACATGGGTGTGTTTGTATGTGCATGTGTATGTTTGTTTTTATTGTTTTTTGGTGAATATTTGACATAGATTCTGCTATTTAAGTGATTTAAACACAACTAGGAAAACACAGAAAGTTATCTGTACGAAACTATTATGTAAAATAAAAATCATATAATTATAAAATAACAAATACAATTGGTTATAAATTTTCCAATAATTTCAATTTTCCAGTGTCAATGTTCCCTTTTTTTTTTTTTTTTTGAAACAGAGTTTTGCTCCCGTTGCCCAGACTGGAGAGTGCAATGGCATGATCTTGGCTGATCGCAACCTCTGCCTCCTGGGTTCAAGTGATTCTCCTGCCTCAGCCTCCCTAGTAGCTGGGATTACAGGCATGTGCCACCACGCCTGGCTAATTTTGTATTTTTAGTAGAGATGGGGTTTCTCCATGTTGGTCAGGCTGGTCTCGAACTCCTGACCTCACATGATCCACCCTCCTAGGCCTCCCAAAGTGCCAGGATTAGAGACATGAGCCACCACACCCGGCCTCCATTTTTAAGTTAATTTTTTTTTAATTTAACATATACTGCCCCAGAATCATTCTTACCACAAAAAACATGAAAAGTTGATGTGGTGATGGATGCGTTAATTAGCTTAACTGAATCTTTCTATAATGTACATGTAGATCAAAACATTTCATCATATCCCATAAATATACACAATTATTATTTGTCAATTACAAATAAATTTAAAACTTTAAACTATATTTTAATTCATATTACAGCATTCTTATTTAGGTAGCACTGTAAGTATGTAGTATATGCCCATCTCTATTATGTTTACAGTGATTTTCTACTTTCTCCTATATTAAAGTGATGTGGTTTAGAATTAATATAAAGATGAAATTTTCCAAATAGTGTATTGGGAAATTTTAGTTTTATAGTTAATTTAAATTATTTAATTTTTAATATAAATATTATTACCTTCTTGACCATAGTTTAAAAATATGACTAATAATTTTTAAATCTAAATGAGAAACATATTTATAAAACATAAAAGACACAGATGGTTAGTACCTAATATAAACTATTATATTAAGAAAATTGGTAGAAAATACTCAAAATTTGAAGAGACAATTCACACACAAACTCACACACACACAATTACAAATGCTTAATAAATATGGAAAGTTTCACAACATCTCTAAAATTTAAGGGGATACAATTTAAATGGTTTGGCACTTTACCACATAAAAATAAATTAAAAATAATATTATTAAAAATGATATCAAGCATTTAATTTCAGCCCTCCACCATGACCAAATTTACATTTCCTGACTTTTTATACAAATGTTGCTATTGTGACCTCTTACAGTATCTAATATAAAATGAGTTCTGTCGAAAGGCATTTAAAATAATCATTTCAGAGGGAAAGCAGAGAAAAAAAATCAAAGGTTAGTATACTAAATTTTGTGGCTATATAATATGTTTAACACAGTAGAATTAAAGTGGCTGAAATAAAACACAAATATCCAAAATAGTGAATGTTGAATGAAGTTGTAAAGTTGCATTATATGTTAAAAAACAGTGAACAATTTGTACAGAGAAGTTATAAGCGTTCTTGATTCTTTTCTTTTGGCTTTTTTCGCTTTGAATTCTGTACTTTTAAGTACAAGCAAAAAACATTTAGTCCGTATATAAGGGAGGCAACAGAGTATAGTGTAATTACAATTGGCTAAGAGTTGAGGCTCCTTTATTGAACTCCAAGAGTTTGAATTCTGGCTTCATTGCTTATTAACGGTGTGACTTTTGGCAAATAATGTAAACTCTTCATGTCAGTTTTCTTATCTGTAAGATGAAAATAATATTATTATAATACCTCACCCAGAAAGTTGTTATAACCACTAAATAAACATAAATTCTAAAAAATGTACTTAGGTTATAGAGAACACTTAAAAATCATTAGCAGCTATTGTAGTGTACAGCATGGTAATTATAGTTAAGAACACTGGATTATTTACTTGAAATTTGATAAGAGGGTAACATTTAGTGTCCCTATCATGTACATACACATACATACACACAGTGGTAACTATGTCTGGTGATGAATGTGTTAATTAATTTGATTGTGGTCATCATTTCACTATGTGTATGCATATCAAATCATCTCCTTGTATGCCTTGAGTATACACAATTTTTATTTGTCAATTTTACCTCGGTGAAGCTGGGGGGGAAAGAAAATAAGATTCTCAAGTTCATTAATAGTTAAGGAAGCAAAAATTTAAAATCACAGTATCGTTTCATATGGATCATGTTGACTAAATATAAGAAGTCAGATATTATCAAGTATTGATGATAATGTGGATCAGTGGTAAGTGCTGGTGGTCATATAAATGAGAAACACTCTTTGGAAAACGGTGACGCATCACCTTACAGGTATAAGAATATTCCTAACAGCATTTCCATAAGAACAAATCTTGCAAGCAGCTCAAATGCCCTTCAACAGTAGAAGAGAATAATTAAGATGTATTCAGACAATGGAATTGTCACAGCAGTGAAAATGAAGGAATTCAGTTCTATGCCTCAATGTAGATGAATCTCAAAAAACATAATACTGAGGAAATGAAGCAAGCACAGACAAATAAATAGAGTATGATTTCATCACGGTAAAGTTCAAAACAGGCCAGGCCATAATAGGTGGTAAAACTATATAGATAATCATAAAAACATAATGAGAAACAGTGTGAAAGGGAGTGCTTTAAGAGACAGGCAAACAGGCATCTAATGTGCTGGTAATGTTCTATTTCATAAACTGCATAGCAGGTACAAGGGAGGGTACTTTATTATTTTTCTTTCAACTTTTTATATAATCCTATACATTTCCTATATGTACAATGTATTTCACAAGTGAAATGTTTAAATAATGAAAAAAAGATCAGCTATGTTTACTATATTTGAAAGCTTATTGCTAACAATTTTTTTGGTTTTTATTTTTAGCTATATCAGAAACTTCTTAAATATGGATTATATTGAAAGTCATATTTTAATACGTTTTTATACTCAAAAAATCTATGTAGTAACGGTATTTTCTTTTTGAACATATAACTGAGCAGAAATAGTTTTGTACATCTTATTGGATGCCTCAAGTTTAGAGAATATGAAATATAAAATATAAAATACTCAAACAGTATGAATTATATACCAAGTATGGTGGTCAGAGAATTTCAGTGGTCTAGGATTTATTACACACATATGCCAGATACCTGGAAATACAAAGAGATTGTGTGAAAATCACTTAGGTTTTGCATTCTGAGTCTGAATTCTCCCTATATTGATCTCTTACATCACTGCTAAGAAAGTGATTATTAATAGCAACTAATTGCCAGGGATATAGTGTGGCATGCAGTGTTTATGAAGGACATACATTGTGTCTTCTTTAATTCTCAGAAAAATCTATTATCTTAATATTTATAATTGTATTTTCCTAAGAAAATGTCACAAAATCTATAAATTTTCTAGGTATGCATCCATATTTATACAGTTTTGCACATAAAATCAGGTTGTTCAAAGACCCCCTGAAAATATACATGAACAACTTAATGCCCTAGGGAAAGACTCAAGCCAAGGAGGTTCTTATTACAATCCTCTAAACATAGTATAACTGTGTGCTTTGAAACTCCAAAATCAATAACTAACTAACAGTAAAAATCATCTAATTAAAATTTTTCTCTAGATAAATGTTCGGCCACTGAAATACTCGTCTCTTAGGATTTACATATTATTCATTTATAAGAGGTGACAAAAACAGAATGGAGCATATATCTTTGGGAAATTACAGTAAAATACCATTTTTAAAATCCTCTTTTCCTTACCTACTTATCTTGGGTTTTGTCTGCCCTTCATGAAATAATTTCCTGAATATTAATTTGTTAGGCATCAAGCACACATACAAAAGAAATAAACAATGGAAGACGTGAATGTATGCAATTGTCATCAAAATTCAAATTTGATCTAAGAAACACTTATGTTACAAGGCAGGTGATGAATTAGAAAGAATGAAATAAATTTTTGTAAGAAAATGCTTACTTCTTTATAGATTTGAAATCTAAAATATTTTTAAGTAAGTGATTTATGCTCTGAAATTTCACAATTTCTAAAATGGTAGATATTTTAAGTTTATATTATGCTGTCCTTTTTAGTCAAAGACAGTATTGAACAAGGAAAATACTTGGCATATTGTTGTTAGAGTGTATCATGTAAGTATGAAAATACAGAGCTGCTTTTTCCATTATTTCAGTGCTTAAAGAAACTGTTTTCTTTTTGTCGTTTTGTTTTCAACAGTGAAAAATAAGTAAGTAGGTATCATCAAATTGCTTCTTATTTCTTAAGAAGAAAACTTTCTGGGTCATATTGCCTAACTTTTTATTTCTGGGCTTTGGGTACAACTTCGGTGAAAGTTGGTGCTGTGTCCAATCAACTGCCCATGTTGTGTATTATAAAGTGACATTATAACATAGATGGGATCATTGGCTTTAACACAAGCTATTGTGAGACGCAGAGTTATGCATTTCAGATATTTGCATTTAGTCAGGGAAGGAGGTACGGGGAGATAGGAAAATATTTATTAAACAACAGGTAAGTTTCATAATTAAAGTTCCGAAGTAAATGTTGCATCAAGATAATGTAGTTACTTTCAGAGGGTTGGATAGAGAATGGAAAAGAAAATTTGTGAATTCCAACAACAAGGAAAACGAAAACCCTGAAAATGTGTATTTTCTCCCATTCTCAGCTTTTTCTTTTATGCCATTGCTTCTATATCTATTGTAACCCACTAGTTACCTCTGTCACTCTTGCACATTCTATAGAGTGCAGTGTTCCCCTGTACTTGAGCTCTCTGCTTCACCTTTTGAAGTCATTTTCTTATCTTCTTTCTGACTCACCTATATAGTCCGTTTCTGACTCTGAACAAATATATCTAATGAAGTAATAACATTTTGTGGCTTTCACATATAACTGGGAAATCAAATCTCATTACTGAGACTGACAAAGGAGCCTCAGACTTTGACTCTGCCTCCCTTTTTACCTTCCTCTTTTCTTGATATTCAGGTCTTTTGTCCAGGTACAAACTGCTTTTTTTCCCAGACCTCAGTTTCTATTTCCAACATCCACCCACACCCCATACTCTCTGCCTCGATCATTTCTTGATTACTGATCATGACATTTCTGCTGCCTGGAATTTGCCTTCTCTCCTGTTCTCTCTTTTGCTCCTGGTGAACAACACATAATCCCAGGTCAGACTTTGATTCCACTTCCTCTTTCTTGGTTTCTCTACTGACTCCAGTTAGAATCACACTTTCACCTCTATGCTTCCCAAGCATTCTGTTATTTATCAAGCTGTCTCCTATGAAGATGAATATGTTTGTCTGTTTTCCCTAATAGACTGAGATTATTGAAATCTGAGGCACTGCTTAATCATGTTTACTTTTCCCGGAACCTATGACAGTGACATGCACTTGTCACTCAATAAATGTTTGGTTAGAATATCTGTAATCTGTTTTGCTGGCTAGTCTTTATCAACTGCCTTGATGATTTACTTTGTCTCTATATTTTGGTCAATTACCTAAAGCTCCTACTCATATCTCGGCTTTCTGCTGATCTGGTTGATCTTTCTCTTTTCCTTTACTCCTTGATCTCTTGCCATTTGACACCGTGACAACTTAATATCCCTCACGGTGCTCTGCCACCTAATGATAATCCACCTTCTGCAGACCCAGTAATTACTGCATAACCCTTTGAAGCTGCCATCCCACTTAACAAATCTTGTTTGTTCCTGCTCCACAGGGCAATATCTTAATCAAATATGGAGGTTACTGTACCCTTTCACAAAAGTCTTTCATTGCTTTTTCATATATTCATATTTTTCTGTACATATTTTCTATTTTATTTTCTCAGAAGAAATACATTCATATCCTAAAATAAGTAAGAGAAAAGTATGTTCATAATTTTTCTTTGATGTGTATTACTATTTATTTTCAAAGGCCTACAGTTAAATTGTAGTCATTCTTGAACTTAGATATCTGCTGTAGACAATTTGGTTGTGGCAAGAACATAAATACGTTGAAATACTGGCTGTTTCCAGCGAAGCAGCATTGTATTGTGGCAATTTAAAGCAAAAGAGAAGCCCTAAAATTGGTTCCAGGGTATGTTTTTAAACTGCTGATTGTTAATATTGGAAAACAATTTTACCATCAAATACCCGTTCCTCACTCCTGTCATGAATATCCATTTGCATTACAATGAAAAATGCTGTTATATGTGACTGGAATATAAGCCTTAATAATGGCTGAGAACTACTATCCTTTGAGCATTAATTATAAAGGTTCACCAGTCAAATAAATAATTATCCATATGGCCAAAGATACATTCACATTGGACACATATTTTCTAGACTTCATGTTTCTTAACTGAGATAGTTAAAACTGAATGTGGTATGAAAAAAGTGTATAATAAATTATAAAATATGTATTGATACATTTAAATAAAGTAAAATTTAAAATCCTAACAAAAAAGGCACCAACTAGTACCACCAACTGAAAAATGCTTTAAACAAAGAAGCTATATATGAAAAACCCCTATATATAAAAAAGAAAAAGGAAAGCATCCCAATAGAAACATGGAAAAATGATATAAATAGGCAGTTTATTGAACAGAATATTTGATGTTTCAAAAAGCACATAAAAATATGTTTAGTGTTTTAGAATTTTAAATATGGAAAATAAAACAAAAATAAGATGCCATCTCATAAACATTCTATTACTTTATGTTTTAACAAATTACCACAAATTTTGCAGCTTCGAACATCCGCTATTTATTATTTCAGTTTCTGTAGATCAGGAATCTGAGCCTGGTGTAGGTGAATTCTCTGCTTAACGTCTCACAAGGTTGAAATCGAAGTGTCTGTGGGTTGTATTCTCATCTGAAAGTTTGACTAGAGAAAGATCCACTTTGGGGGTCCTTCAGGTTGTTGACAGAATGTATTCCCTTGAACCTGTGGAATTCATAGAAGCTTGCTCCTTCAGTGCCAGCAACACACACACACACACACACAAACACACACAGCAGGGGGTTGGGTGGAAGAGAGAGAGAGAGAGAGAGAGAGACAGAGAGAGAGAGATCTTCCTTGCTGCTTCAATTCTCTTACCTCTAGACCTTATTTTTAAAAATTCATCTACTAGATGGAGTTCACCCAGAATAAGCTTCTTTCGATGAACTTAAAGTCAACTGACTAGGAATTTTGATTGCACCTGAGGTTGGACATATAATGTCATCTAATGTAGGGAATGACATCCCATTCATGTTGCCATGTTCTATTGGTCAGGAACATGTTTCAGGTTTTACCCACATGCAAGGGGAGGGGAGCTGAGGTTAGGGGTGACTCATGGGTGCTTACCCTAAGGTGTGTTCCCCATACTCATTTATGGGCAAATACTTAAGAAGCTGACTAAAGTAAGTCCAGTTTGGGAGGAATTTGGCAGCCTATAATAAAGCATACCCTAAAACCCAGTAATACAATGCATAATAATGTGTCCAAGAGAAGTGTGGGTATGTTTTTGCATTATTGGTTTTAATAATGAAAAATTAAAAATAAAGCCTAAATCTTCATTAATAGAATACTAGATGAATAAATTTTATATATATATACACACACACAATGAATACTTTTACTCTACAGCAGTGACATCAATGAGACAGAGCCACGTGCACTAATATGAATACATCTGAAAAACTTGAGTAAAAAATGCAAGTTGCATTAAAAGGCCATCTGATACAAGTTTTATAAAAGTTCAAACATGTAAAATGGTACTATAATGTGTGGATACTATATATATTTCACATTCAGTAAAAGAATAAAAGAAGCATAGAAATAATAAACAGTGGTATTAACATCTGGAATTTAAAAGGTGAGTTTTCTGTGAATGTGGAATAAAATATAGGCTTACCAATTGAAAAAACATCAATCATAGTTGTATACTTTTATTTTTGTATTTCAATGAGAATCTTATTTCAAAGGATAGTTCAGGATCTTTGTGTTTTCTGTTCTACTGAGGTAGTTTTCAAATTTTAATCTGGAATTTTACGACTCTTAGAAATAAGCCTCAGGAGACTAATAAGGAAACATTCATAAGTTGAAAGTGATTCACTTATGGGTTCCTTATAAAAAGTATTCTTAATGCCATTAGACTTATATCTGACTTTTAGATCTGATTTTATCTGTCATTAAACTTGATAGGCATATGTGCTTCAAAATTCAAGTGCACTGTAGAGGTTTAGGAGTATGTTAATTATGTGTGTGTGTGTGTGTGTATATATATATATATACACATTATCTAAATTAGCATATTGTCACTAAATACTACTAGTATTACTAGAAAAGTAGCAATATTTTAATATAGTGTGTCCTACATACTTCATGTTAAAGTTTTATGTTTCTATTATTTATGATAAGTTAATCAGGATAAATATTTTTCAAAGATATATATGAGTTGCTCTTTACAGAAATAGAATTGAAATTATATCAAAAGTCCTATCTAATCCACATCAAATAAGGTGTTAATATTTAGGAATGAAAATGAGGACAAGAAATTAAATATGAAAAGAATCTGGGCTTTCCAAAAACATTATGATCAAAAGAATTTTTGGTAAGTAAAGCAATAACTGAGACTTTCCTTAAAGAACTTACTCACCTATAACCTAGGAAGGCAAAATGCTGAATCAGCATCTGACAAAATGTGTGCATATGCATGGGGGTATGTATGTATTGTGTGTGGGTGTGTGTTTGTGTGTGAATGCACGTGTGCTTATTTGGGTTGGAGGTCAGCTATGTCTGTTGGTCAATGCAAATACAGGTTTATGTAATCAAATTTTCAGTTCTAGATCTTTTTTCTAGTATGTCCTACTATGTTATATGTAGCACATATTTATAATAAATACCTCAAGATTAAAACTATATACCTAAGTAGAAGGGATATATATTTTGTCTCTGAAGGAACCTTGAAGAAGGAATCTGTTAGTTGAAAGTCAATGTCACTGTGTGATTTAGGCTCTCCCTGGATTTCCAAGTGTTGCTAAATTTAGTTCATTCTAACCAGGAGAGGCTGAGGCATGCTATTTCTCTGCTGATCTCCAAACAGCTGCTGCTGTTCACCAATCTTTTTTTGAGATAGACCTAATTTAAAATATTACAACCTCATTTCACACCTTGAATTTGTCTTAAAAAGGAGTAATTTATTTCTAGTAGCTTTTTTTAGAAACCTACATTAGAGCCTTTATAATATGGTTCAGTTTTTTTAGAGTTTCTGTTCATTTGAAGGGTGTCTCTTGGGTTCTCTTGAATGCATTACATCTCATCATGCAATTATTCCAGTTCAGAATTTGTTCATTTTTTTAAATCATTCTTTGGTTTTAAGAGCTATTACGTGTCTATTTCCCTTCATATAGGCCACGTAACACAGAGTAGACCAATTTTATTAATCAATCAGTTATTTTGTAATTCTGTGGATAAACTTCTATAGATTAAAAAGAAAATCATAGCTCGTACTAACAACCCCTCTTTCAGTTCAGTCATCTACTACAGGGGTCCCCAGCCCACAGGCCTCATACCAGTACTTGTCTGTGGCATGTTAGGAACCGGGCTGCACAGCAGGAGGTGAGCAGTGGGCCAGGAAGTGTTACCACCTGAGCTCCGCCTCCTGTTAGATCAGCAGCCGCATTAGATTCTCATAGGAGCACAAACCCTACTGTGAACTGTGTATGTGAAGAATCTAGGTTATGTACTCCTTATGAGAATCTAATGCCTGATGATCTGAGGTGGAACAGTTTCATCCCAAAACCATCTCCCCCACTCCATAACCACCTGCCTCCACCCCTCGTCCATGGAAAAATTGTCTTTCACGAAACCGGTCCCTGGTGCCAAAAAGGTTGGGGACTGCTGATCTACTATAATAAACGTTGTGGCAGGTATTAAGTGTCTTACACAACAGATTTAGTCCTCCTGAGATCATTTATATTATCCTTTTGCTCACCATGAGAATCAGGTATAAAGAATTTAAATATCAAAGTGACAGTTTTAGGCAGATTAAGCTCCAGAGTTACCTTACTGAAATGTCACATGCTAATCAGTTCAGAGTGTATGGCTAAATTATATACGTTTAACTTGGCAAATCGCATATAATCCTATGGGTAATATAAAATTATTAAAAGATGCCAGATGAGGAAATCATATGCAGATAGACTTTTGGAAACAGTATGTTGATCTTACCGCAGATAATGAAATAAAGGGAGCTTACTGCTAATGAGTCAGGCAAGATGTGATAAAGGTGTGAAGTAATTCAATGACCAGAGGGATAAAAGCAAAATATATTTTACTAATAGAATGTCATGTGAGGTTTCTACCAATTACCATTTTATGATAAATTTTTTTTTTTTTTTTTTTTTTTTTTGAGACGGAGTCTCGGTCTGTCGCCCAGGCTGAAGTGCAGTGGCCCAATCTCGGCTCACTGCAAGCTCCGCCTCGTGGGTTCACGCCATTCTCCTGCCTCAGCCTCCCGAGTAGCTGGGACTACAGGCGCCCACCACCACTCCCGGCTAATTTTTTGTTGTTGTTGTTGTATTTTCAGTAGAGACGTGGTTTCACCGTGTTGGCCAGGATGGTCTCGATGTCCTGACCACGTCATCCGCCCACCTCGGCCTCCCAATTACAGGCGTGAGCCACTGTGACCGGCCTGATAAATTTTAAAGAATAATTATATTTCAAAAATGTTTTAAACTCACTTCTAAAAGTGTTTGCAATTTATGGCTTAAACATTCCTAGTCATGTATAATTTTTAAACAAAGCACACTTAATATTCTATCAAGCAGAAAAAGGCAATATTATAGATTTTAGTAGTAGCAACAATACAGAAAACAAGTGAGAAAATGATATTGTAAATGTTTCTTAGTGGTATATTTGGTGAGCCAGTATGTACATGAAAGGTATAAGGCAATGCTTTCAGAAGAAAATAAAAGCATATACAGTCAAAATATGTATTTTTCTATTGGTGACATCTATGCTGTGTAAATTGAGTCCATTTCTCTGTTTTTATACTGTGAATTTACTACAAGCATTATTTGTTTCTCAGTGCAGACATCAAATATCGTTTGGTAAAAAAGTCCCTCGCGTGCTTCAATAGTGATTTTCCTTAGGCAATTTTGTACTCTGTTTTGAGGTTGAATAACAGCATTAGAGTAGATTATTTTCCAGGGATTAAAGGTTTGAAAGATATTAGTTCTTTGCCCGCAATCATCAGTTTCCAGGAAGTGCTCGTTACTGAATTTATAATTTTTTAATTAATAGAAAAAATTGTATAATTGGTTAGCACATGAATTCCTAATTCAATACAAAGTCAGAATATGTATTATATCATAGTGTCCTTGGGAAAGGAGTTTTTCACTGGAAAATTATTTTTGGTAAGTTTCTGTTTTCTTAAGCTGGGGATGGAAAATAAAGATAAATTTATCAATTTGCAATAATCAACATTCTAGGAAATATCTGTTTCTGTTGAAAAAGCCCCAGGTCAGATAGATTGAGAAAGCCATTCAACTGCATTCTTCTTTAATCGGTATTCTATCCTGGCGGGGAAGGAAAGAGTTATCCTTTATTCGTAGTCATTTTTCTCCTCTTCGTTTGGGCTCATATTTGTATTAGGAAAATTTTTATGAAAGACAAAAACAAATATAACAAAAATAACAAAACATGTCCTACAAAATGGATCTTTTCTTTTTCTGGGCTTAGAACCTTTTTCTTTTTCCAGTGTACTATGCTTGATTTCTGTTTTTTTTTTGACTTTCACTATTTTAGCTATTCCTCTTTGCAAAGTCCAAAGCAAGAAGAAAACTTGGATTAAATATTTATATTCAACTACCAAAGCCCTTCCTTATTATTCACTTCAGAGGGAGATGAGAATTGATAAACAATATGCACCTGGCTATATAATGTAAGAATGGTAAATTAAATTAAACACACACACACAAACACACACACACACACACTTCTTTCAGCATATGCTAAAATGTAAAAATGGTAACAATAATAACTTAATAAATTAAGAGTTAAACATACACACACATATACTTCTTTCAGCATATGTTAAAATATAATAATAATAACTGGAATAGTAACAGTATTTTAATTTCATTTTATATGTGTCAAATGTTACCTGAAGTAACTTGTTGTAGTTACTATTGCATAACCAACTACCAATAATTAGTGCTGTAAAATAATCGTTTTACTGTGTTTATAGATTTGGTAGGCCAGGAATTCAGAATGGGCATAGTAGAATTGGCTTGTTTCTGTTCTATGGTATCCTGGTAGCTCAGCTGAGAAAACTTCAAGGTTGGAGAATGGGGCTACTAGGCAGACAGCTTGGGCTGCAATCATCTGAAGGCGTCTTTACTCATGTTTGGGGGTGGAAGCTGGCTTGCTGACTGTGACTTCATCTGGGCTGTTTCCTGTTACACTTATACATGGCTTCTTCAAGTGATCTCTTCACATGAGCTACTTTGAGCATTCTTTGGATATGTTGGCAAGCTTCCAAGAACAAGTATCCCAAGAAAGAAAGGCTGAAGTGTGTGACAATTTATGATGTACATGCAGAGCATCACTTCTGCTATAAGGTATAGCTTCAGAAAGTCACAAAGGTATTAAGTGCAAGGGGAGAAGCCATAGACACCACCTGCTGAAGAAGTATAACAGTGTTCCTGAAGACCATGTGAGATGAAAGGTATCGTATCATCATTCTTGGAAAATAGGATCTATCATAGCATTTTACATTATTTCATATTGAGAAGATTCTATCCCTATGGATAGAATCTATCTTTATTTTCACCTAACCTGCCAGTCTCAATACTAAAAGATATTTTAAAATCATAAGTGAAAAGAAAGAGAATAGAAAATTCACTTGAAGGAACTTTCTTAACAAGAATAAGATAATAAACCAAATTCAAAATCTTAACTTTAAAAACATACACAGTACAAAGCTTGCTATATTTTCCTCTTTTGCATCACCAAAGATTTCCCTTGAATTTTTTCTTTTAGATTTTTTGTGTCAGCAGAGTCCAAAAATAACACAATTATGAATTTTATATTAAGCCACCCACATACTCCTCTAAAAGAGTTTAGATTTCCAATCTTTTCCCCCGTATATGTACTGTATATATGTCCAATTTCAATTCTACTAATAAAAGCAATTCTACTTGTAAAAGCAAAGAGAAAATAACCATTATTGAGAGTCTCTTATTTGTTATGTACTGTGCACATGCTATTTCTTTAAATGCTAATGCTCTGTGAAGTGGGAGATATTATCTACTTTTCATGAGAAAGGAAAGTGAGGCTCAGATAGATTTAATGATTCACTACACAGTGAAGACACATAGCTCAGAAACTGAATGAGGATGCAGGTCTATCTAACTCAAATGTGTAAGAATATGATTATTTGTCCTTTAGATTCCTTAGTCTATAAATTAATAATTAAGAGGAAGCTGATTGTTGTAGCTCTAAGTTAATGAATAGTAATATGCAATTGGCTTTTAACTCTGCTGTTTTTACTATGTCTTTAGTGAGATCACTTCACCACATTTTTAGGTAATTTTTTCATATATTCACACTGTTATTTCCCTCTTCCCCCATCATTTCCTCCTAACTCAACTCTCAGTTCATCACTAAGACTTATACATCATTGAGAAAACAGAAGTAATCAACCAGACATCCTCCATTTCCTAAACACTAAATCCACAAAACTACTTGCATCTGTATCCATCCTTAAGATTAATTTTGGCCCTCACAGACTTTCTGGGACTTATCTCTCCCTCTTTTCTAAGGAGTTTAAAACACTACTCAGCTTCTCTCTCCTGAAGTTTGAACCAGTCTCACTAATAAACTCTTCTCATTAACTTTAAAATCGATTCCAGTAATTTCTACAAGAAAAAAAAAGTCTCTCGATTTCATATTTTTTCTCTGGATAACTACTTCTGTCTCTCTGCTTCTCACAATCATACTCTCCAAGGGTTGATGAGTCAGTCTTCACTTCCTGTACTCAGTTTCATCATGCCACCTTTACTATCTAACTTGCCCAGCTTCAAAGAAATTGCTATTGCTAAAGTCACCAGTGGCCACCATGTTGCCAATGGATGCTTCAATTGTCATTTAATTGCTCAGAAACTTTTGAAAAGTGTCTTCTAGTCTCTCCTTGAGGGATTCTTTTCTTTCTCTTCTGTTGTCTTTTTTGACACCATATTCTTTCACTTGTTTTTAGGGGATGGGTTGAGGTAGGATAAAGTGGGGGAGGCTTTTTCCACCTCTAATCTCTAAATATAAGAACTCGTCTCCTCAGAGCTTTGTTCTGTGTCTCCTTCTTCCACTACACTCTTGCCCCATATGTGATGGATAGTGTCTATTTTTCCCCTTTAGATCCTCCCTTTATCCTTGTCTTGAGGCTCTGTGCCTCTTGAGATTGTTTGAAATTGGTGAGACTGATCAGTGGTGGTCTGTGTCCTCTGGCTTATGGTGAGGTTTGGTCAGTGTGAGGCACTGGAGGAGAATGGAGATTTGGAGGATAACATTAGGTAATTTATTACTCCACCTCATGCCCAGCTAGGTCATCCAAAAAGAAATGTGTCCTGTTATCAAAGGAAATGACTCCTGTCTCAGTCCGTTTTGTGCTGCTCTTAACAGAATTACTGATACTGGGTAATTTATAATAAAGAGAAATTTATTTTATAACAGTATTGGAGGCTGGGAAATCCAAGATCTAGGTGCCAGCATCTGGTGAGGGCCTTCTTGCTGCATTGTCACATGGTGGAAGATGGAAGGGCAAAGGGGCAAAGGAGGCTGAACTTGCCCTTTTATAAAGGCATTAATCCCATCTAGAAGGGTGAAACCGTCCTGGCCTAAATACCCCTCAAAGGTCCCACTTGATAATATTGTTACAATGGCAATTAAATTTCAGCAGCAGTGAGGGGGACAAATATTCAAATTATAGCTACTCCTATCAGATGACCCTCTATATACAGCTACTCTGGGGTTTGTTAGCTAAAACATCCTTAGTCCCTTCAGGATGTTCAATAAGTTGCCTACTATTGCTAGTTCAGGATACTGCATTAGTCTCCAATAGCTTTCCTTACCTGTCCACATTTCCTAAATAATCTTTTCATTAAACTCTTAATTATCAATTTTAAGTGTGCCATCTGTTTCCTACTGGGATCCTGACATGTGGGATTCTTCACTAGGAAACAAACACCAATATGGAGATAGGGATGCAAACACATATCAGATAATTATTCCTATGAAACACAAAAAGGGGAAAAAAGCAAGCAGAATTGGGCAAGGAAAGCTTTCAGATTGTAATACAAAACTGATGCTTTTGAAAAGAGAAGGGGATATGCAGGGTTGGTCAGAAATAGCCTCAGACCACAGTGCAGACCTGATAAATTCTCAACCAGCCCATTGGGGAGCTCTGGAACAAATATGGACCATTTAAGGGGTCTCCATTGTACAGAAATATCATGGTCCTAATACATCCATCATCTTTTTGTTATTGATTCTTGTCTGGGAAAAGTGTGACCTCAGTTCAAAACCTAAGTTGACTTCTGAAGACAAGAAGAAGTACAGGCTCTAAGAAGTACAGACTGCTAATTGCAGTCTTTGCCCTGAATGGCAAGTTCTATTTTGAAGCAGAGCTTAGGGGAATAGCTTTTTGTCACCACATCAGGCAAACAGCCATTCCCAATTCTTGAAATATCATCTATATAGAAAACTGATAATATTATACCTCTTATCTCTTATCTTAGCTCTAAGCTTAACTCAAAATCTACTAGTACATTCAATTCAGATATATGATAATCATCTCAACTTAATACATCCCAAAACAACATAGTGATTTTTCTGTTCTCATCAATCCTGGTTCTATTCTAGTATTTGGAAATTGTTTAAATTCTACCTTTCCATTTCCTGCACTCAAGCCAAAATACAGGAGTCATTCTTGATCCCCTCTTTCTGCACAGAACTTATCCTATTCATTTTCAAGTCCTACTTCAAAAATATGTCTTGAGTTCAGTTTTCAACCTTGATCTTTATTGCCATTCCCTAAAGCCACCAGCTCTCACACAATATTGGAACAGCCTCTTAATTGGTCTTCCCCCTTCCATTCTTGTCCTATTCATATCCACTGATTAAAGTGGACTTCTTAAAATATAAATCAGTCATGTTAATCTCCTGCACAAAAATATTTCAATGGTTTCATAATTTACTTATGACAAATTGTACTGTCCTTAACATGGCCTCTAATAATCTCAATTATGTAGCTCTTTTTAATTTTTCCAGTCTAATCATGTGCTCCTTTACTTCTTGCTTACCAGGATCCAGTCATAACTGACTTCTTTTGAGATTTTATAATATTTGTAGTTTTTTTCTTTACTTCTAAGTTTCTGCTCAGGATGTTTTTAATCTTCATTCAAGTTTAAAATTATTTAACTTTTGTCAGTTAGTTTAAATAAACCTGGCTTTCTGAATTGCTCTCTGAATCTCTTAAATGAAATCAGGACTTCCTGTTGTAGTTTTATAGACTTTGTTGCCTTTTTTCATATAACTTATCACAGTTTGCATTTATTTATGGGTGTAGTTGGTTTAGTTATTGTAGCTCTTTCCCCCTAAACACAATTTAATAGCTCACGTATCATATCTGTTTAGCATAACACTACATCCCCAGTGTCTGGCATGATGCCTTGCATCTCATTCATTGGGTCTCAAATTTAGACTTCTTTTTATGGTTAAATGAACAAGCAATTATAAACCAACCTATAGAATTTATATTCCATGTAATTTCATCCTACTTCTTCAGCAATTCTGTAGTTTTTATTTTGGCTCTGCATCCTTTCCCATCCCTAGGATTTTTTTCTGTTGGAAATCTTACAGTTTGGAGTTTATGACCTTTGAGACCCAGTATACGTATATTCTTCAGTATGTCTTTTTTTTTTTTTTTTTTTGAGACGGAGTCTCGCTCTGTCGCCCAGGCTGGAGTGCAGTGGCGCCATCTCGGCTCACTGCAAGCTCCGCCTCCTGGGTTCACGCCATTCTCCTGCCTCAGCCTCCCGAGTAGCTGGGACTACAGGTGCCCACCACCACGCTCTGTTAATTTTTTTGTATTTTTAGTAGAGACGGGGTTTCACCGTGTTAGCCAGGATGGTCTCGATCTCCTGACCTCGTGATCCGCCCGCCTCGGCCTCCCAAAGTCCTGGGATTACAGGCATGAGCCACCGCGCCCGGCCCAGTATGTCTTAATGTTTATTAACTTCTCTTCAATTATTGAAGTCATGAAATACTGACTTCTAATAATTACTTATAAATCTACACTTAATGTGACTCACAGATGATGCGTCCAACCCAATAGATTGACTCATCTAGATATTGCCGAATGGCGTCTTCACGAGTAGGTTGATTTCTCGCCTAATTATAGGGATTGTGCTTTAGCCCAGGTACAGTGGCCCAAAGAGCTTTCTTCAACTCTTCCAACGTAGTTATTTCCTGCTACAAACTAAGCAAAGTGGCACATCCACTGACTAGAAGAGAAAGCCAGAATTAGACTGCTTGCTAAAAGCCAGCAAAGTGGATCCCTCCTGACACTCATTTTATGTGCCTAAAGAAAGACTTCTGCAGGGGAACAGGAAACTTGTGAATGCACCGCAGGGAATCTCAGCTGAATATTGTCACATTCTTTCTACCCATTTATGAAGAGGCGGGGACTATAAGAATGTGCTGCCATCATTTTCATTACCTTCTGAGGCATGAGATATAGCTGTGCCTCTGTATTTGAAATTACACGTGAAACATTTCTTTTTTCATAGGCTTGTGTATGCCAGTTCAGCTAGTAAAAAGATTTGACTAAGAAAAAATTCCTCACTTGTAACCAACCCTTATTTTTACTATTTAGCTACATGTCATATCACGTGATGAGGGTTAGAACTATGAGAATTATGAGAAACCAATGGCTTACACTAGAAGAAAGGTGAGAAAGAGAGGATTTATTCAAAGCATTTTGGTATTGGAATAAACCAAATCCAACAGCCAAAGTAAATTTACTTTGAGCCACTCAGAGATACCATTATTTTGTAAATATCACTTGTCAAAATGCAAATAGGGGTAGATCAATCCAGAGAAGCTGTCCTTGTTATAAAAAGTGAAGACCTAAGTTGACCAGGTCATGCTAAATCAAAGAAAGTTAAGTGGTGTTTTTGTTAGATATTGATAAATAAAAATATACTTGGTGGTCATGTGTAAGTGTTGTTATGGTAAATTGGTTAGCTGACATCACAAGGCATCCCTTGGGAATGATGCTTATTTATATGGAGTTAGTTTTACTTAAAAAATTCACAAAATGTGTGAAATAATGCCACCCATTTTCAACTGTAAAAGCTTTGTACCTGAAAGTGCACTTCTTTTTTTTTTTTTAATGCCCATTCAGTTGAAGAAAATGGATGTAGTCCCTAGGAAAACTGAAACCCAGAGTGACTTCTGTTCTTGTCTCCTTTATGCACTATTTTCTCTTTCTCAACCTCAGGGCCTCCTTCTAATTAATTCTTCCACTCAACCTTTTCTTTATGAACAAAAAGGAAATAAGTGAATTCATTCAAGAAATATTCATTGACCTGAGACTATATACCAAGCACTCTTCTAAGCACTGGGAAAACAGCAGTGAACAAATGAACAAAAATTCCTGCCCTCCATGGGGCTTACATCGTGGAGTGTAGCGCAGGATGGTGATGCAGAATCTAATATATAGGTTGGATGAAAATCAAGGGCAAACCTAGTACTTTTAGGTGTTTTGTCCTTTTTGTGAAATTCCATCAGGGCTCAAAACAACTTATATTTCCCCTAATTGTAGTGTGTGGAGACAAATGTTAAATAATATAAATAAATGAAGTATTTGATGTTAAAATGTTATATTCAAAACAAATGTAAAAAATGAATGAAGGGATGGTCTGTATGAGTGTGCAATTTTAAATTCAATAACCAGGTGAGCCTTGATACATGGTTAGCATTCCTGTACAGATCTAAGGATGGCAGTTCACCAGTCATTTTAAATTTGAATTTCTCATAATGAACTGGGGGATATTTTTCTTCCTTTTTTTCTTTCTTTCTTTTTTTTTTTTTTTTTTTTTTTTTTTTTTTTTGACACAGGGCCTTGCTCTGTCACTGAGGATGGAGTACAGTGGTGCAATCAAAGCCCACTGCAACCTCTACCTCCTGGGCCCATGCAATCCTCCCACCTCAGCCTCCTGAGTAGCTGGGACTACAGGCACATGCTACCATGCCCAGCTAATTTTTGTATTTTTGGTAGAGACAGGGTTTCTCCATGTTGCCCAGGCTGGTCTAGAACTCCTGAGCTCAAGTGATCCACCCACCTTGGCCTCCCAAAGTGCTGGGATTACAGGCTTGAGCCACCGTGCCCAGCTGGGGGATTTTAATTAATTTCAGAGCAGGTAGGCAGGTGGAAAGATATAATTAAGATAATTATTACAATTATAACTTATTAATTAACTTGTTGTTGGTAATTTGTCAGACAGGCCTCAGGAATCATCCTAGTTCATGACCATCCAAGGACACCAAGGGGGTTTGGGAAATGGCCATGTTAAGAAAGGGAGAGAGCTCAGGGAGCGAGTTAAGAAGCTATCACAACAATGCAAGTGAGAGAGAAAGGAACTCAATGAAGATACTGACATTTCAGAAATGTAAGAGTGATCAGGTTTCTGGGTTTTTTTGTAGTCCTTTTGTTGTATCTTATTTCCCTGAGGATAATGCCCAAGCCTCTTTATTTAGTATTGAAATCCCTTCAAAAACAACCTATTGCTGTGTGCTCCAATCACCTATATTTACAAAAACAGGTGGTGGACCAAATTTGTTCCCTGATTAGTTATTTGCTTACCCCTGTCTAGTTTATGTGGGCTTCCTATCCCTAACACATAGCCTCCATATTAAAGTTGTCTATTTAGTACAAGAAACTTCTGGGTTTGCAGCCAACATGTCACCATTTCAGGTGGTAAGGTGGAGGAAAAGAATAAAAGGTTGAAAGGGCACTTGCCAGCAACTATTTCCTCTAATAGAACTTTTCTATATGCTTCACCAACATCTACTTACATCTCATTGGCCACTTCTTCATGTAAGAAATCTAGGGAATGCAGTCATTTAAACAGATTTATTTTCACTATCTTTCTTGTTACCAAGTAAGCAAAAGAGAATGGATACTGGGTGGGCTTGGAGCAGTCTGTGCTACACCTACCAGATTCAGTCACCAGTGTCACTTTCTCTATTTGTCAAAAGGGGAGACTATTAGCACCTACCTCACAGAGTTGCTTTCTGAAGATTGAATGACCTAATACAGTCATGTGATTAGGAGACTGCCTTTCGTGTAACTGTAAGCTCTCAATAAAGCTGACACATTGTTGGAATAGCATTATTTTCATCTTTTTATGTTTTGATCTTTGCTCTAGCTTCATTGCCTAGAAAGCTTTCTGGCAGACAGCAAGGCTCAACAAATATTTGAATAAACAAATAAACCGTTGTTATTACCAGTTAAGATTTTTGCCTTGTTGGCAATTAAAAACTTATTCTGGCTCACTTAATCCTTGACTTTAAAAAAAGTTATTGGCTGGGCGCGGTGGCTCACGCCTGTAATCCCAGCACTTTGGGAGGCCGAGGCGGGTGGATCATGAGGTCAGGAGATCGAGACCATCCTGGCTAACAAGGTGAAACCCCGTCTCTACTAAAAATACAAAAAATTAGCCGGGCGCGGTGGCGGGCGCCTGTAGTCCCAGCTACTCGGGAGGCTGAGGCAGGAGAATGGCGTGAACCCGGGAAGCGGAGCTTGCAGTGAGCCGAGATTGCGCCACTGCAGTCCGCAGTCCGGCCTGGGCGACAGAGCGAGACTCCGTCTCAAAAAAAAAAAAAAAAAAAAAAAAAAAAAAGTTATTAAAATTTAATTAACAAATAATAATTGTATGTATTTATAGGGTGCAGTGTGATGTCTTGGTATATGTATACATTTAATCCTTTTTTTTTTTTTTAAGACAGAATCTTGCTCTGTTGCCCAGGCTGGAGTACAGCAGCATAATCACAGCTCACTGCAGCCTCAGCCTCCTGGGCTCCAGTGATTCTCCCACCTCAGCTCCCCCACTATTCCCCCTGAGTAGCTGAGACCACAGATGTGCACCACTACATCCAACTAATGTTTTTTTTGTAGAGATGGGGTCTCGTTATGTTGTCCAGGCTGGTCTCAAACACCTGGGCTCATTCCATCCTCCTGCCTCAGCCTCCCAGTGTGCTGGGATTATAGGCATTAGCCACCTGCCTGGCCTTAATCCTTTATTAAAAGAATATCACAAGCTTCTGGAAGTGACAAGATAGCTGGAGAGTCAGGTTTAGACAGGAATGAGTATCCAATTATTTCTGTTATGATTTAGGTACAGCTGTTTTCACCCTGTCATTGAATCACTCCACTCAACATTTAAAGCCCTGGGAGACAGGTGTGTAATGTGCCAATGTGACAGAATCATCTGTCTCCCTTTGGTTAGAGGAGGACAGAACACATCATTTCACAGTCCCACCAAAACTGCCTGTAACCAGAGAGAGACAGACAGTTAGGATGAAATTAGTGTGAAAGATGAAATCAGCAGAAGGAAACTGGGTGGAAGATGTCCACAATTGTCATTGCATATTCCCATTCTCTTTCACTTGTGTTGCTTCCCCAAACCCATGGTTGCCCTTGGGAGAGAAAAGAGAAAAGATATCCAGCAGTTTGGTCTCTGTGAGCACATCAATATCATCATTTCCCCATTGTATATTAAACTACCATATTGTAAAACAGAGTACAGGGACGTGACCCCACGAGACCAAAAAGAACAGTTTTTAAAGACAAGGATGACAGGATTTGACAGTGAGGTCCTGGGGTTGATATTGGAAGACAGTAAAGAGATGTTGAAGAAAGGCAAGGCACTAAGACCAAATGAGTCTTGTCTGTAGAAGTAAGGTGACTTTAAGTAATGACATCTGTATAAATAAACCTTGCAATGATTACAATTTTACAAAAAAGTAACTCTTACTAAATACTTCATTTTCTGTAAAGAATACAGTGCCAATCTGGCTGATTATTGAGCAATTGATTATAGTCTCTGATAAAAATGTTGAAACCAGATGGTTTTTCATTTTGTTTGCCTTTACAGATATAGCCAGTGAATGTAGGTCCATGACAACCTAGAGATTTATTTTAAAGCGTGATTCACAATAGAATCATCTACTGTCATTACACAAGTCTTTCAGACATTTGGAATTGCTTTAATTTGGCCAATCTTTTGAATTTTTTTAAATCATAAAACTAAAACTTAATCTTTATTTGATTGCTAGAACAAATTATATGACTTCTCCAAAATTAATTCATATGATTGGAAATATATATGCTAGTGCTGATGAACATTCCAAGCAATTATTGGCAGTCTATACTGTAAACTAGCAAATCATATGTATAGGGAGCTAGAGAGCTTATTTTAGCCTCCTTGGATAATTTAGGTCTAGATTTTATATGTAATGTTTACATATTAAAAAATTGGTACAGACTGATAAAAATGATACCACTGTCTACTCGTGGAATGTGGAGTTTGTAAAACTAGACATAAAAATGTACATTTATGAAAATGTGCTTTATAAGATTCTTCTCACAATTTGTACTCTTAATTTATATGATTTAAAAAGTATTTAACATTCAACACCTTGACATTTTTTTCCTTTGTGCAATCATGTTAATCTTTTGATCTTGATCTGTTTTTTTTTTTTGCAGTTCTTTAACACATTATTGAAATTACAAGCATCCAAAGCAGTTTCATGTGGACAGATTGCATATTTTGAAAGCCTGAGGTATTTTATCATGAAACATGCCATGTGGAATCTTTGAAGCATAGACCTCTGCGCAACACCTGAATAAAGAATCTTTTACCTGGTATGTGACAGAGCTTCTCACCACCACCATGACAAACCAGGAAAAATGGGCCCACCTCAGCCCTTCGGAATTTTCCCAACTTCAGAAATATGCTGAGTGTAAGTATTCATATTGATATTATGAGATTATTTGACATTTGTGCTAGACAAAGTATCATTTATTTATAAGAATGGATCATAGATCCTGTTCTTCATGGGGATAGATCCAGCTCTGCCTTTTGTGTTTACAAGTCAGGTTGACTTGAGACTACCTTTTTGACACAAGAGAAAGGAAAAGGTAAATTAAATCAAGTATTACATCTTGAAGGAAAGGAACTAAAATGTTAGGTGCACAATTAGGCTTGGAAAACACTCTAGCTGTAATAGAAATAAAGCAGAGGATGAGACAGCCTGGCAAAATGGAGAGTGGTAATACTGTAACAGACAGGGAGAAGGACAAACGGGCGCAGAGAGTGAGAAGGAAGGAAAAAGAGGAGAAAAAAGCAATGCTGTGCTTGAGACAGTATGGTCTGACTCATAGATATCAAGAGGGAGGGAAAAGGGAGAGGTGTGTGTGTGTGTGTGTGTGTGTGTGTGTGTGTGTGTGTGTGTGTTAAAAGAGAGTAGGAAGCAGGGAGTCATAGATACATTATGGAATTAGAATCAGAGGTTGTAAAAGAAAGAGGTGTCAGGACCTCAAGTTAGGACCGCACAACTCTTTTAGTGTGTGCATTGATACAAGTGATAGGCTATGATCATTCACTTCACTGTAAGTTTTAAAAAGAAAATATTGTTTCTTTGCATATGTAGAGTAAGATTTTATTTATAAGAAATTTGTTTTTATTCTAGATTTTCAGGAATATGTCTATTTCATAAAGTGACTTTCAACTATAAATATGAACAGCAGTTGGGTCAGGTGTTGAAGAGAGAAAAAGAAACAACTAATTAATAGCAGGCACCAAAAGACTTGGAAAATGATGAGTACAGAAAAAGCAATATATAGAGAATGCAATAAGAATGATAAGAATGGAAAGAATAACATGGTGACAGGGAGAATAAAATGCAAGAAGTGGAAAGGAGAAAAAGAACCAAACAGCACGTGATAGTGAACGAGGTAAAAATTAAGGCATCTGGTCAACTTATGCAGAAAGATGTTGTGGGATATAAGAGATGTGTATCAGGAATTAGTTGGATGATATTATAAAGTAGAAGCAGAGAAAAGGGTTAAACACATATAGGGACTTAGAACATGAAGATAGATGTGATGGTAATAGCGAATACTATCACTCACATTAATTATAGAGTACATATTATGAGCCAGGAACACTAATAAATGCTTCATGTATATTATCTGAAAAGACCAGTTTCAAAGGTATTCTAGAAGCTTCCTAGTCTGTGGATTGAATGAGGGTATGAGAATGCTGCTGGGTATTTGTAAGGAAGTTCCAAATCTATAATTTCATAGGCATTTTAAAAAACTAAAAAAAGTCTATGACTATTGACTGAGTCAATAATAATAAAAATATGATTACAAAATATATGATATTTGGAAATTTTGACATAACTTATGGTTCTCACACTCAAAACTGTGTAGAGCCTCTGAATGTACAATATATGCATTTATCATATTACGAATATTTACATTTAGGTTTTGGAGGTGTAGGCAGAAGGATTGCTTGAGCCCAGCAGTTCATGACTAGACTGGGCAAAACAGTGAGACCCTGTCTCTATGGAAAAAAAAAAAATTAGCCCAGCAGGCTGGCATGCACATGTAGTCCCAGCTACTTGGCAGGCTGAGGTGAGAGGATTGCTGGAGCCCAGGAGGCTGAGGCTGCAGTGAGCCATTGTGCCACTGCACTCTACCATGGCTGACAGCCAGACCCTGTCAAAAAAAAAAAAAAAAAAAGAAGAAGAAGAGTAAAGAAAATTTAGTTCAGAATGGCCTACTTCTTCTTTATCACTTGCAGTCTTATACTCAATACTTTCTAAATTGGTTAAAAATTGATTTGCCTATGATTTCAAATTTCCATATGCTCTGCTCTTTGCTGCTGTGGTAATCCAATCATTAAGTAAATATTTCTGAGCATCTTCTTCAGAGTGAGTTTTCTGCTTGGTGCTGCAGGAGATGCAAATATGAAGAGATATGTGTCCTCCATTCAAGGAATTTATAGTTTAAAGAAGGCTAGAAACTAATAGATAAATAATTCTATGTCTAGCCAGAATATTGTATGTGATACAAGCAGACTTTAAGGTTATATGGGGTTTTACAATTCCATTGGAGATAGGAACGGAAAGGGAAGTCTTCGTACAAGAGGGAGGATTTGAAACAAATATTTAAAAATTAGGTTTAAGGTAAATGACAAAGGAAATGATATGGATAAAAAGGAAAATTTGGCATAAATTTGAGGAAGGGAGGTGAGGCACATTTAGCCCATCACAATTGAAGGGAGTGAGTGAAGTCTGTAAGAATGCAAGCATATCAAAATATGCCGTACTTGAGTCAAACAATGAAGTCATTGTACAGTTATAAGTGGTAGAGTGACAGAAGCAATGTTATGCTTCGAGAAGTTTACTTTGACGACTGAGAAGATGGTATATGGTGATGGAAAGATGCTAGAGACTAGAGACTAGTTAGTAGGGTATTGGTGTAGACTGCATAACGTAGATCATGAAAGACGACTGGAAAAGTGGGGATTCAGATTTTATAATATTGAAATTAACAGAGGATATCTTGGAAAATAATAAAATACAACAACTGACAGAGAGAGAGAGAGAGGGGAAGAGAGAGAGTGATCTGAAATTTTCCTCCAGTTTTAAAAGAAGGGATTATGGTGATATCTGTCAAGTAAAGAAAGCATTGAGTTTGGCTTAGGTTATGTTGAATTTGGCTTGTTTATTAAAATATATTTTCCAGTGTTTAAGTACTTATAAGAAAAGTTCCTGTATTATATGAAACATTACTATAAAATATATAAATTATTGCTATGATAGCTAATGTTTTATTCATAATTGCTATTGCTCAGATATAGAAATTCCATTTGAATTGATTAGAAGAAAGACATTTCTACTAAATTCTTCAGTGTATTATAGGCTGCTACTTGTATTTCATTGGCTAATGAATATGGAGGTACATTTAATTATATCATAAGAATACACAAATCAGTAATAAATTTGTGAAAATTCCTAAAACAAGTGGTAATAAAAATTATCATAAATATAAAATCCATAATATACTGAGACAAAGATCAATGGTTGTTCAGTAAATTGGTAGTATGAAATGTCACACTGAGTGTAAGAGCATTATTAAAATGGATTCTATGAGAAGACAAATTAACAGATTAGCTGTGACTTTTAAAGAAATAGTGCCAATTCCATGATTATTACGCTATTTTTAAATAACAAAGACAACATGAAAAGTGCTAGATTTCCTGCTCCAAGGACTTTCCTGAATAATTAGGAAGCAAAGAATATCATGATTAGAACCTATTCTTGTGTAATAAATTGCCAGTGCCAAAATATAACAGGAAACAAACATCATCCTGAAGATTATAGAAGTCATTCATTTTTCATGCTGTTCAATATGCATGATCAGTTTATCGGGGGCTTTAAAGATTAGATTTTTCATGTTGCAATGCAGTATTGGTAAGTGACATTCCTCCATACTCTATTAGAAAAATGATACAATGCATTCACTTTCTTGAGTTTGATTTGTATCTTTTAATAAGAATTTCTTTATGTACATTAAAGAAGTATAAAAAATCAAGTTATTGATTTAAAGTTAAATTTGCAACATGCTAAGATTATATTTGGTATATATCAAATAAGTATTTTATTTGCTTTCTTGGAATAAGGTGGGGCTGTGGAACTATTGGGCAAGATGAGTGAGCTCATGGGACACCAATTCCAGCAAAACCAAATCATTCAATGTTGGACCTAGAGAATACCATAAAGATAATTGTCTCAAGTTATCTGATTTTACATTTCCTCCACAATTGCCAGAATGCACCCTGTAACTATGATTGTTCTCCTAAATGCTAGGCTTTTCTTAAAAATAATTAAGGATAAGTAGGGTGATACTGGCACAGTATTCTTGGATAGGTATCTAGCATACCAGACAGCTTGTGTTTAAATACTGATCCTACCATACTTCAGATATCTGACTTTGGGTAACTTAATATATCTGTGTTTTATATGGAAAAAAATATGTCCAGTGCTATAAGTATTAAGTTGAATGAATCAGTATATATGAAGTATGAATTAGTATATATGAAGTAATGAGAGCCGTGCCTGGCAAATTGCTAGTGATATGACTGTTTACAATTATTATCTTACTAGAGAGGGAGTGTGTTCTTCTGGCTGTTTGAACATATTGTTGATGATCAAGTAGAAAAGAGCCACAGTTTGGAGCATGAAGAGTCAGTGTCTGTTTTTCTTCCACTAGATTAGACTCTTCTCACAAGGTAGAAGCTTCTGGTGTAATTGGCAGCCTCCGCTCTGTGTTGTCCCTACAAATGCCGAAGGCAGCTGATACGGAGCCTGCTGTGACTGCCTACAGCATGCTGTGACCGTGCTCCGGTTTAGGGTTTCAGGCTGAGTCACTCCATGGGAAGCATTTCCCTTGATATGTGGGAGAGGAGTATAATTTTCTTCCTCACTCTTGATATAAAGTCATCCAAACTGTTGTTATAGGATAGAAAGCTCTCACTCCTGCCCTTTAGAGAATTAAGCTTATCACATTATTGGTCTGTCGGTGCTTTCTGCTGTGGTTCCACGTCACAGCAAAGGGTTAAGAAACTCCTGGGCTTTTCATGGATAACAATATTTTCTATGTGAAATCTACGTGATATTTCCAAATGATTCATTATCTGCCCACGTATTGTCACTTAGGGTTAGCTTTTTATTTGCTATATATAATGTGTGTTATATAGCATGCAAATTATTTTCGAAAAATACTATGTTATTATGGTGGGAACCTTTCCAAACTTTCATAAATTTCATACAGTTTATAGCAGCTGGCATTGTGAGGAGTTGCAAAATTACAGTGAATTTGTTCTTTTCAATAAGGACGAATGTGCATAATGTTTGGACCTGGTGTGCAGTTTCTTCCATTGCAGTGAGGCATGTGGTGTGACTTAGTGGAAAGAGCTTTGGTTTTGCAGGCAAATATTTGACGGTGTGGAATCCCAGCCCTGTTTTCTACTTATTAGTGGTATGGCCTTCGTAATGTAACATAAACTACCTGAGCCTCAGCTTTCTCACTTGAAAAAGTAGAATCCCACCTCAAAATCTTGTTGTAGGATTTAATGAGACTATAATCAGCGTCATACTAAATAATGGATTTTCAGTGCCTTACTGTAAATAGTATACAAGTGTTAACTCATTTAATCCTCGCAGTAAGCCTCAGAGGGAGACAAATTATTGCTGTTTATGGCAGAGTAGCTGGACCAGAACTGTGGCACAATAAGTGATAACAAAGGTCAAAACAGGAATAATTTGTTTATGTTTTTCATGAAGATTGATATGTTAATAAACAGGTTCTTAGTCATGTTTCCAAAATAGGAAAAGCTAGAATCCAGGATTCAGATAATACGATATCTCGGTCCTGAAAGGGGAGAGAGAGAGAGACTTGACCTCCTCACAGGTGTGTAGTCAATTTATTTTTAGGCAAATTTAGATCACACGCTAGCCCTCTTGCCCGTTTGTCATGCTGAGATTAGCTTTTACTTCTGTCCTGAGCCCTGTGTTAGATTGGCTCTATTTTGGGAAGCCCAGCCACTTATTGATAATTACCCTCTTTGTATGAGACAGAAGGATAAATGGCACAGGGCCATTTCGCAGTGTCTGAGAACACATAATTTGATGTCAGACAAAACTGGGTTTGAAGGCTAGTGCTGTGATGTATACTTCAGTTTCCTCATGGAGTTGCCTTGCTGATTAAATATGGAAATGTATGTGAAGTGCTTGGAATTTAATATATTACTGTTATAATTAGGATTGTGATAGTGGTGGCTGAGGCAGTTGAATATGAAATGTGGACTTTTAAAATATTTAAGCCTTTTCAGTTAAAACACTTATCTGAAATGTTTTGACTTACCAGAAATGTCTTGACTTTACCCTGACACTTGGTCTGAAACTTGAATCTGCAACTGTTTTAGGTAGTGCATGTCTCTCATTTCTGACTCTTTCTTCTGATTCACACTGATTAACTCAGCAGTTCCTGGCTCTGACCCAGATTATATTTCTAGAATATATGTTGGCTTCATATATTCTTTTGCCTCATCTCTGGCTCTGGTTCCTATTTGTTGTACTGCTTCAGACACAATTTCCTGTTGGTGGCTTCTCTGTGTCCATATGTCTTAAATCTTTCAATACCTAAGTTTTGCAATAGTAAAAGAAAAAAGTAACTATGAACGTCTAAACTCCCATAATTTTCGTACCCTAAAGATGCAAAACTTTGGGTAAGCTCTTTTCAGACTTGACCTCCCCCCAAAAAATCCATTTGAGTCCAATTTATGGTCAAGCAAACATTGATACTGAAGTAATGGCATCTGTGGAATGTTGGTCAAAGTGAGCCAAATCATGCCATGTCTGAAAAATGTACGAAGTCTTAGTGGGCTAACACAACAGAAGTTCATTTTTTGCTCATATTACATTTCCAATCTGAGTCAGCAAGTGGTTTCATCTCACATTGTCTACAGTGAAGTCCCAGTCAGATGGAGCAGCCATGAGCTTTAAAAATTGGCAGTTGCTGTGACAGAGAGAGAAAGAGAGAGAGAGAGAGCACTCGTGACTGTGTGCTGGCTCTGATACCTTCTCCCTGCAAGTGATACGCTAATATTTCTTTGGCCTAAGCAATTCACATGACCATATTTAACTTCAAGGGAGTAGCATTTCTTCCATCTGCCCAGTGCCAGGGGAGAACTGAGCTATTTGGTGAAAACTACTAATTTGGCCATTATCACAGGAGTAAAATAGAACCTACCATTTACCTTGGGACATTAGCCAAGTCATCACAATTTCTTTATACTTTCATTTCATCCCCTCAGTTTATACTGAAGATAATAATCCCTACCTATAAAATGATAGCTCTTATTTTTGTTAGTAATATTATTATAACAATTTATAACAAAAATTATCACTAAGGCTTATGTATCTTAAGTTGATACTTTATCCTTAACTCAGTGATGGTTTACAGGTTGTGATTCACTAGAATTTTCCAAGTTTCCTTAGTTACCACTTTCCACATTATTATAGGAAGTGCCACAGTAAATAATAAATAGAGTACACAAGCTAGAGGAACTTAACTGTATTCATTATTCAGCAGCCTGTTCGGAGAGACAGATCCAGTGGCAAATGATGACAAAGCAATGAAATGCATTCTCTGAATGTTACGTATGCAAGATTCTTGGAGAGATTTTAACTCTGCGCATATGGATAGAAGTTGAGAGTGGAATGGGGTTTTAATTTGAATAGAAAGTATTGAGTAGAGGTGGGGGAAGAAAAGAAACTCCAAGCAGTTATCAGAGCATGTGGAGAAGCAGGAATGACTGTTACATATCAGGGAAGAACTTGATGTGTGTGTTGGTGTATAGACATATTTGTGTATGAGCATGCATGTCATGCATGTGTGTACATGGGCATGAGTCTAAGCACTGAAGGTAAGGCTGAAGAATTTAGCAATAGTCACAAAAAGTGGGTCTTTAGATGCCATTGATAAAATATTATCCATCAACATTGCCTAACAATGAAATGAATACACTCCTGAGAAGAAGTCAAGCCCCTCTCCCCTTTCCTTGTGGAGATGTTAAAATCCAAATCCTGGAGTCTAGCTTTTCCTATTCCTGAAACATGATTAAGAACCTATTTATTAACAAATCAATCTTCATAAAAACACAAACATAAACATAAAAACAAACATAAATCTTCATAAAGACATAAACATAAATCAATATCTTCAATATTAATTTTGGAGGTAGTAAAATATCTGAAGATATTGAAGATTTTAATTCTGGAGATAGCAAAATTGTAAGATTTAAATTTCAGAAAGAAGTAAATAAATTGTATCTTTGATGAAAAGGAGACTAAAAACCTATTAGGAGATTATTTTACTAGGGCAGCCTATTGAATATGTGGGGTTCCATGAAGGTTAAGGCATTGTTAACAGAGAGATAAGCACATGTTACAGGGAGTATCTAGAGGCAGAATGAACCGAATTCAATCACCAACTGAATATGGAGACTAAGGAAGAAGGATGGGGCATTTCAGCTTTTAGAAGTAAGTCAGTGTGGCTCACCCAATCCAGGAAAGGAAAACAAAAAGAAATAATTTAGAGGGAAAGTAGAGTGGTTTGATTTTGGACATATTGAACCTTAAGTTCACAGGTTATCAGATTGAGATATAAATTCGATACTTGGAAATACATATCTGGAGCTCAAGAAAGAAATCAGAGCCAGACATATAGAATGGGTGTGCCTTTGCATTGTGAGTAGTTATCAAATCATGGGCATAGATGAGATGTTTTAGTGGAAGCAGATTGAGCAAGGAGAGAAGGATGGAGATGAAACTCTAGAAAGATTTATTTATAAGACAGTTGGAAGATGAGATCTCCATGAAAACAACTGAGAAATTGTAACCAGAAAGAAAGAAGAGAATAAGTGATTGAAAGTATTCCACAATCCAAAGAAGAAACATGTTTTCAAAAAATGAGATTGAACTTGAGATAATAACCAAAACGCATCCCGAGTCTTTATCATTTAGAATGCCACTGGTGATTTTAATATGGATTTTTTTAAAAAACAATAATAGATGAAATGGATGGAAAACAGGAAAGACAGAGAGAACACATGTAAGCTACTCTTTATATAATTTCACCATGAAAACAAAGTGGAAGGATTATAACTAAAGTAAACAGTGTAAATAGAGGGATTTTGTTCTTCTGCATAGGAGAGAAAGACATGTTCACAGGGGACAAGTGGAAGATTTAAAACAGAAAGGAAATAATTTGTGACAAAAGATTGTGATCCTAAGGCCAAATCTTGATTTTTGTTTTTGGTTTTATTCAGTTTGCTTGAGTCTATATCAATTGTTTATTTCCTTAACTTGTTAGTTTTGGCCGTCAGCAACTTATGTAACCTTTTCTAAACTTTAATTTTCTCAACGGTGTAATTAAGAAAATAAAAAAGACTATTTCAAAGGTCGTTATAAGACCCAAATAAAATAATGTGTGGAAATGCATTGTAAACTGCAAACCACCATATGTAAGTTAATTATTGCTTTCGTTGTTATTATTAGGATGTACTGAGTTATTGTTCTACTATCTTTTCTTTTTCTATAGTTCTATATCTTGGCTTCTCCGAGATATATTCTTTATTGAATTTTGCAATTTGCTTTGGTGAGACTATGTGAGAAATGTCCTTCTGCTTATAGTGGTCTGATTTTCTTCTTTTACCTCTTGGAACGTAAATAAGCGTAGTTTATCTTCAAATCCGTTAGGAGCAATGATTATTTTCTGATACTCAAAAAGGCATTTTACAACAAAGACCATTGCCCAGACTGTGGAAGGTCTGAAATATTTCTGTAATAACTGTGTAATAAGATAGCCTGCTGCAGATCCTCGGATGCTAGGAGAAGACATGAGACTCCTGGCTCTGAGACAAAGAACTGTATTAATTATGTCATAGCAAACAGCATGTACCTCATGTTTTTTTTCTGTCCCCCTACTTTAGTTTTATTGGGAAACATGAAAAGGGCCAGGTCACATCTGCACAAGCAGAGAGTTGTGTCAGGAGGAAATCCCCAAATTTAGGGAATCTGAGTCTTTTATAAAGCACAACAAACACATCTTCTTTTTGCTCAAAGGAGAGTTATAATCTCTGTCTCCCAAGGTTGTCCACTACAAAAACATCCTTGGAATGACAGTCTGGAACATAGGCTGTAGATGCTTCTGCTTGTGAAATGTACAGAAACATGAAGGAAACATTGAGAATTATCTTTCAATAAATATTAGCATATAGTAGCCATTAGCATCATTATCAGTGTCCAGAAGGTAATCAAAATACATATTTCCCCATCAGGTTGCCTTTTGGTCCATGTAAATATATCCTCAGATTTGTGCACAGAAGTCTCCTTGTCTTGGTCTCTCACCGTTTATTTTTCTCCCTTTGCCCTATGACTAGGTTCTCAGATACATCTTATTTGTGCCCTACTTTTTCAAAGTAGGAGATTTACTCACTTTTCTATATTTATCCAGGAAGAATGAAGGGGAATTCACGTAATTGCTGTGTTTAATAGAACCTAGCCATGAAAAATAGTCTTAATTCTTCCATTTCATTTTAAAAAACTAAGTCTCTTAACACACAGATATTCACACACATACATGCACACATGCACACACATGTGCATGTGTGTGCACACAGTTTTTCTTACAAATATTAGTTATCATTAAGTTATTTTCAGTACTTTATTATAAAATGAACATAGAAAAATAAATAATTTGGGGCAAGAGGTCAAATGGCCCTAATCTAGCTGCAGTAACTTCTTTTGTAAAATGCCTTGAAAACTCTTGCAAGTGAATGAAACTCCAGCATGCCATTGATATCCCACATGGTGTCATAGTGTCTTTAGAGCAGGCTGTGTTGCTTTTTGAGTGACTGCAGCTGCCAAATGATGAAAAACTTCTAGAATATTTTTCAGGTTAGTTTCTTACTGAATCAAGGCAATCCATTGTCTCTTGAAACATACCCCAAAACTGAGGTCAGTGGAAAATGAAAGCTTTGGGGTAGGATATCAGGAAAGGAATAAAATGCTAGTAACTACAGCTTTGACTTTGAAAGGAGAGTTCCCCAGATATTTACAAAGTTCTGCTAAATATTTCTGGTTTACAGCCTCACTATGGATATTAGAGAATAGTCATGGTATTTTTTTTGAAATTTCTGCCTATTAAATTATTTCTCTAGAAATGGGCTCTTAAAAGCTCTGCCTTGGTTAGAAGGAATTCAAAGAGGAAGTCTGTAATGAACAAACTCCCACAGCATCCATGGAACAGAGAGAATAGATTCTGATTATTCATAGGATATGATTTGGTATGACTGCTGTAAAACTCTCTTACTAATATCAGATTAGCTGTTTCTAATGGGAAAAAAATCAACACATACAATTTTTTTTAAAAAGTACTGGTCAGATGCATTTTACATAAACCTTCCTGGAGGGCACATTTTACTTTCCACTCTCCTCCCCATACTCATCTTTGCAGGTGCCAGAATTAAAGATAATGGTCCTTAAACATTTTTTATTTCTGGGGCCAGAAATACTGCCCAGTGATCTCTAGAGCCTTCTCTCTTCCTAGGTATCAGATGATATCCAGTGCCTTCTCCCTCCCTTGGTTTCAAAGACATGAGGCATTGCTCTCAGCATTTCTGGGAAGTATTTCCGAAGTAGCAATAACTGTAGCCACAAGCCACTTATGAGGCACTACTCTGTGATACCCCTCAATTAATAATATGTTTTGTCTTTTCCAAAGCTGCTTTCTAGTGAAGGCATCTTGAAGGATTTTTTCTTCTCCTATTGGCTGCCATAATCATAGAGTTCTGTGTTAATTTTCCTCTTGTTACCTTATCTACAGTATGATCAAACAAGCATGGAGTTCAGAATTTAAAAATAACACCATTAACATAAGGATTGCTTCACGCAATCCCTCAAAGAATCCATCTTGGAGAAACAGACATTCCTAAAGTGTTCACTGATAAAACTCCAGGTGTCCTAGAATTGCATATTGCTCCACTGTTCCTGAGTCTACATTTCGCAAAACATGAGAGAGCTTTTCCTCCTCCCTTCTAGTTTCCCTGTCACAGATTCTTTCAAGTGCTTGGGTATCTAAAACCTTCCAGTGTCAAAGAAGCTTATACTTTGTGTGTGACTTCTTTTCCCGACAGCCTGTAGGCTGAGATATCTGAAAATTTTCTCATGGTACTTTCTGACTTTTATCTGATTATACAAGTAGGCACAAAGGCATTTAAGGGGAGCATGATAAGATGTCAGACACTTTCTTCCATAAGTGGTAATGAATAATGGGTCAATACCAAAAAGTAGTTAGAATTTGCAGACAGCACTGGTAGCAGAAGGTGGGGCGCCTTTTTGAGGAGAATGGCATGAGCTTGCCCATGATGCACCCCTACCCATGAAGGTAAAGATTGGAAATTCTCATTCCAACCATCTAACACTTCCACCCACCTGTCAGCTTTCAATAAGACACATCATCTGAGTTGATTTATGATCTTTGCCTCGTGAACCATTTCTATTTTTTTTCTAGGTTGTTGATAAACTTCTGACTTACATTCTTGCTTAGCAACATTAGTCTGGTTGCAAGTTCTGGCTCCACATGTGTCACTTCTCTGATCTCCTCTGGCAACTTCAGGGGCTCTTCAGCACAGTTTGCCCAGATGCAGATAATGTCCTACATTCAGACTACTGAGTGTTATGTCAATAATCACTGTGGGAAAATGTGGACGCTGATGCCCAGAAATGGACTAAATAATAATGGTGACTTGAGAGTCTTTGTCCAGAATTTGTCTTCATCTGTTAATGCAGAAACTTTAGACTGCTTACACTTTTCTCAGAGTATTGCAAGATAGGAGCTCTAGTAGTATGTTACTGCCAGAACCCAAGCAAATCCAATACCATGACATTTTGTCCAACTCTAGGAAGTAATTCCTTAGAAGTATAATTTACTAGTATGTACTAAATACTCTCTCAGATAGTACTGGTAGCAGGAGGTGGGGTGTCGTTTTGAGGGGAATTCATGAGCTTGCCCATGTTGTTACGCCCCTTCCCGTGAAGGTGAGGATTGGAAATTCTTATTCCAACTGTCTAAGGCATCTACCAATATGTCAGCTTTCAATAAGACACATCGTATGAGTTGATTTATGATCTTTGCCTCTTCAACTATTTCATTTTTTTTCTTGGTTGTCAGTAACCTCTGACTTCCCATCTTGCTTCTCTTTGAATTAATGGAAATCACAGGGATGCTCAGACATCTTGGAGAGATTTATGTTGTCGGGCAGAGCTTGGCACTAGGCTATATATTACTCCCACCAGCTCTTAACTGAGTCTCAATTGGTTCCATTTTCCTAAGCCTTCCTCTCTAATGTCCTTTTAAAAAACTTTCTAGTATATCACAAAATTGCATTTATTTTATCTGCTCTTGTCTAGGTTGTTAAGAACTTGCATATGTATCTTGGCATTTTCTAAACTACTGAAGATTTACTTTATAAACTACTGATCACACAGACCTCAGCAAAACATTGGTGCTGCCACCTTCCCCAAGTTTCTCCAGATTTTCCTCCATAAGCCACCTTGAAGCTGACATTCCAGCCTCCCACATTTCACATTCATTTCGGAGTTCATATTTCTGTTGTCTATCTACTGCTTGTTCAAATTTTCTTTCCCTATAACTTTCTCAATAGCCTGACAAATATTTTGAGTTTTCAGTGCCTAGTGACATGTAGCAGAAGCTATGCTACTTATGCATCATTGTCTACAACACAGGATCTGTGTGGAGATTACCCAGATATTATGTAGACCACCAAACTAAACCATACCCCCCATAAGTCTTTCTTCTCCATAAGGCGTCTCCACATTTCAAAAATAAACAATGCACAATAAATAAGGGATAAGTTATTCTGTAACAGTCTCCTTGACCCAATATTTCCTGGAAGAAATTTCTTTGAGGGATAAATCTGATAAACATACATAATATGGGTTAGTTATGACTTTGGAGTAGAAACAGCATTTTCAAAGAGTAGTTTCTTCCATCAAGTCCACTGCTAGAGGTTGAGATTTCTCCGTGTAGTTAGTCTGTCTGTCTGTCTGTCTGTGTCTGTCTCTCTCTCTCTCTCTCCCTGTCTTTCTGCCCCGCAAATGCTCTAGGCCTCTCTATTATTCAGTTTAAATGCCACAGAAGAGGCTTCTGAAACTTTCAGTGGCATACTTGGATTCAGGTGTGACCATTCCACAGGTCAAAAATTCTGGGTAATGCCTTATCTAGTTGTTCTCATGCTATTTATTAGTTCACACAATGTTTTAAAGGTAGTCCCTGTACAGTCCACATTCCACAAATAATATGATAATATGAGAAGGTAATCAAAAATACACCTAGAATACACAGGATGGGTGAAAACACTTGTTTATTGGTTGGGTGGTCTTTCTTCTGTTTCCCTTCCTTCTTTCTTCTTGTAGACCATTCTTAGTCTTTTGACTCCATTCTGCCTGAGTCCCACAATGTTAAAACTGGCAATGCCATTGTTTTAGCATCACGTACCTTCAGGGCTAGCCATTATTCATGGATGTACCCCTAAGAGCAAAAGATGGCTCACTAGGCTATTTTAGAGTATTCACAGTAGTGCATTTTTAAGACAAACAGTGTTTACATGCTGATATTTATCATCACTCAGAGCATATCTTAGATGGCAAATATAATATCTAACACTTATAAAGAGCTTATTATTATAGGTCACATTATGCCTAAATTTTAACTATGTTAACACATTTAGTCTCCATAGCAACTCTACCAAGCCAGTACTTATTATTATTATTGCCATTTTTCCGATGAGGAAATTAAAGCCCAGAGAAGTTCAATAATTTATTTGCCTAAGGTCAAAGGGATCTTAAACTACAGGGTCATGGTTCAAATCAGATGGACTGTTTCCAGAATCCATGCTCTTAGTCACTCTGCTATACTGGCTCTTGATATATTATCTTTTAGGTGATCATTATAATAAAAACAAACTACAAACTAGCAAAACTGCTTTCCAACAGGAATGCAAATAGAAAGAAAGAAAATGAATATAGGGACCAGGAAGCCCCATTCTGCTTTAAGTTCAAATTATTCATGAAAGGTGAAAATGTTTGATATGACTAAGACAAAATATAAAGTATGGTAATTCCTGGAATCAACTGGTCCAAGAAAGGATAATTTTGAAAGTGTTTCCTTTAAGAGAGGTTTAAGATAGTTCTGATTGACGGGGAATATGGACTCATTTTGAAAGCATCGAGAGTCCCACGGAATAATTAGAAGTTATAGGCAGAAGCTTCCACGAAGAAAAGGATCTATTTCTCCCAGGCCGAATCCATTTCCAGGTGTTAGTAAGAAGAAGGATGATGAGGTCAGCCAAGTTGTTTGAGTAGGCACTTAAAGGCTTGGCTCACTTTCACTGCAAGTTTAACACTGCTACTTCGTGCAAGCCCCAGAGCGATGTAGGCAAAATCAAATAGGCTGCCTCAGGCAGCAGCAGTAAGGAGAAATGCTGAAGTTATAATCCCATAAGTGGTCAAAGGGAACTTTGGAGAGTTAATGCAATTGACAAAAATGACAAGAATTAGTCAGAAAGCCCAAGGGACCTCCGTGTTTGTGTTCCTTCAATCCTCCTCCTAATAGTTTATCATTTGTTGATATAATACAGAGGTAAGAGCTCACTTGTAGTTTTGTTTTGCATAGAGAGTTAATTTTAAGGAAGGGAAAAATTGCCTGGATCATTTGCTTAAATTGTGAACTTTTTCTAACGTATTTATGGAGAGCTTAGTTGATCTAAAACAGGGGTCCTCAATACCCCTGCCACTGACCTGTACTGGTACCATGGCCTGTTAGGAACCAGGCTGCACAGCAAAAGCTGAGAGGCAGGTGAGCCAGTGAAATTTCCTCTGTATTTACAGCCACTCGCCATCGCTTGCATTACCACCTGAGCCTCGCCTCCTGTCAGAGTAGGGTGGTATTAGATGTCACGGGAGCACAAACCCTATTGTAAACTGCACATGCAAGGGACTAGGTTGTGTGCTCCTTATGAAAATATAATATCCGATATCTGTCACTGTCTCCCATCATCCCCAATGGGACCATCCAGTTGCAGGAAAACAAGCGTAGGGCTCCCACTGATTCTATATTATGGTGAGTTGTATAGTTATTTCATTACATATTACAATGAAATAATAATAGAATAAAGTGCACAATAAACGTAATGCACTTGAATTATTCCGAAACCATTTCCCCACTCCCTGGTCCATGGAAAAATTATCTTCCATGACACTGGTCCCTGGTGCCAAAAAGTCTGGGGACCAGTGATCTAGAAGACAGCCCTGCTCTGAAGGGCAGCTCCTCAATTCAAGCCAATTGCATGCCAGACATTTCACACCACTCAGGAACACATATAGAACAACAGTATTGATAAATTAATGCTCTATATATCTCTGCTTACCTAGTACATGTGATATATATATATATATATATATATATATATATATATATATACATACACATACATATATATATACACACATATATGAGATAAATATGTATATATGGATTTAGGTACATATTAGTTTGTTAGTTTGGCTTCAGTTTATGTGTCCAGCAAATCAGCTATTTTTCTTGGTACTGGTCAATATGGGATGGATTATATTATTACAATAATCAAAAAAATCTAAAATTATGTAACATTGTAATCAATAAAAATAGACCTCTAAATGACATTTTATACAACTTCATATACTATGATCTTGAAAGACAAAGACTAGATCAACTTAATAATTTTTAAAAGGGTAAATGTACATAAACAACACATTTTCTAATTTCTCATGTAACTCACCTTGGATCACAGCTCAGAAAATATGTTGTGACGTGCTGTGACAAAGCAAATCTTTACCAATATTTCTTTAAGTCTAGGCTAATGAAAACATTTTTCAGGATCTTGATTATTTTTTCAACTATATTATATAATGTAGCTTTCTGAATGCTGATTAGGAATAAAAATAACTTGGTAATTTCATTTCACAAAATATCTAAATTTGATCTATCTCCCACTCTCTCTTTTGCTTAGTCTGTCTTCTCACTTATTTCTATTTCTCTCCTACTTTTTCTCCCTTACACGTTCTAGGTCCTTACCCAATTCTAAAGCCAGACAGAACAAAACAAGTATTCTAAAAGGCAAAAACAAAATTATTATATTTTTAACGTGAAAACGTAATTTATCAATTACTGTTTAGAGAGAAAAAAAATGAGGAGAACAAGGTTATGCAGCGATATGGTTTGTCTGTGTCTCCACCCAAATCTCATCTTGAATTGTAGCTGCCGTAGTTACCATGTGTCCTGGGAGGGACCTGGTGTGAGGTAATTGAATCATGGGGGGTGGGTCTTTCCTGTGCTCTTTCCCATAATAGTGAATAAGTCTCATGAGATCTGATGGTTTTATAAAGGGGAGTTCCCCTACACAAGCTCGCTTGCCTGCTGCCATGTAAGACTTGACTTTGACCCTCATTCACCTTCTGCCATGATTGTGAGGCTTCCCCAGCCATGTGGAACTATGAGTCAATTAAACCTCTTTCTTTTATAAATGATCCAGTCTCAGGTATGTTTTTATTAGCACCGTGAGAACAGATGAATACATAGAGCTAAAAGAAAAGTCAATGGTGATACAGGTCATGTTAATATAGATTAGTAGGCAAGGGCAACTGATGAAATTACATTTTATTTTTAAAAGCTATATGAATTCCTTTTAGGTAACCTGCAGTATATGGAGAAGCAGGGAAAAATGTAATACCTTTAGCCTCACTTTCTTCTAAGATGTTTTCAATCACAGTTTCATTGCTGTGTTTTTTAATTGCTGTTATTTTGTTTGGGGTAACAAATTCTAAACATTGTTTTTTTCTTTTTCCCAGTGTCAAAAATAATGATGTCTTTAGTGCAGAGATAGATTTTAAAATCTGACATTTTAAAGCATGGATAGTCAACTCTTTCAATTAGTTCTCTCAGTTTTCCCAAACAGTTCTCTCAGTAGAAATTAGCAAAAAAAATCTGAAATTCTCTATGTCTTAGTGATTTTTACCTTGAATAATATGTTACAATAACTGTGTTTTCTCTCCAAAGGCTAATTTCTAACAGAGCAAAAACATTCTATGTTTAGTTTTACCACAGAGATCAAATTTTTAAATTGAGAAAATATTTTTAATCTGCTGGTTTTAGAAATAAAAAGTAGTAATTAAGCAGAAATAGGTCTTAAAAATCAATTAATAATTATATATTGTAGCTTATCTACATATTTCAATACTGTATCCATTAATTTGCCTAATTGTATACCCTACCTAATTTATTTTATATAGAAATCTCACTGTTTCTTTACAAATTTTGAATAGTTTTTTTAACTTAATTTTCTTTTAACATACAAAGATATCTGAGACTCTTTGTAATTGTATGAGATGAGATAATTAGACATATATGTAATTCTTAAATTTTTTTTAAAAGTACTATTTACAATAGAATAGGTAAATTGGGTTAAATGCTTGGTAAATTCAGCTGAAAATGGATTGAATTATCCAATTATAATTAAGATATTATGTAGAAAAATATATTTGAAGACATCTCTGATTTCTGAGATGAAAGAACAAGGTAAGTAGAAATAGATTGTCATAATCAGAAGTTCAAGTCTTTAATTTGCAATTTTGTGTTTGTTAGAACAATTGTGGAAGAAACTAACACTTTGATCTGTTATTTCGTAGTTAATATTTAACCTTCTATCAACTCACTAGCTCTAAAGTTGATTGATTTCAAGGATTTCCTCTATTCTGTAGACCCACACCTACAATTCTTATTTTCTCTATGATTCTATCAACCTCTAAATACACTGTAGAATAGCCTGTCATATAACAACAGCTTGACCAAACATATCTACTCCCTGTTCTACTTAGCTGTCTGGCTTCTGCTCTTAACAATCTCTAAAACTATTAAGGCTAAGGTTCTAATGGTCAATAGTTTTAACTTCATTACCTGAGCTCTTCAAATTATTTGACTTAGTAACCAATCATTTCTCCCCCAAATCCTCAACTGTCTCGCTTCTAGATCCATAATTTCTTCTTTCCTACCCTATATCTGATTATCCTTTTCATTCTCCTTTTTAAAGTCTTCCTTCTAAACCTGACCTCTAAATCTTGGCTGGTTCCTGGATTATGTTCCCTTTTAAAACTTAACTTTCATTTCCTCTGTGATCATCTGTTCCAAAGCTTTAAATATCACATGTGTGACAATGACTTCCAAATGTATATTTCTAACCCAAACCTCTCCTCTCAATTTCAGGTTTGAATAAGCAGCTGTCTAATTGACATCTTCAATTGGATGGCTCACTGGAATTACACATTTAACAGTTAAAAAATGCATTATTTAATCCCTTTCTGCCCGATTAAAGTAAACTGAAAATTAAATACATCTCTGTCTCTCCCTTAGGCTATTGCATTTTTAATTTGTGCTACCATCATTCCATAACTTTGGGGGAAAATAAAGTTATGACTCAACCTTAATGCATCCAAGATGACTTGTCCTCACTCTCAACATACCAACTACCAGCAGGTCAACTATCTAAAATAATTTCACCATTTCTCTTAATTTATGCTGTTCCCACTGTAAGCTCAGTCACCAGTCTTTCCTGAACTACCACAGGATCCTCCTTCTTGGTCTTCTTGCCTCTTCTCCATGTCTCTCTCCAACATGTCCTCCACACAGAGAGGCCAATAAATTCCTTGAAAAATATAAATCCAACTATGTCATTCCCCTGCCTAAAATCTTGATGTCCTGATGTACATAAAGCACTATTCAGAATCCCTATCATGTCCTGTAAGACGTATGTGGATGTTCTCTGGCCCACCTTTCAAACCCATCTGAAAACCACTTTCTTTTGCCTTCTACGATCAGCCACACTAGTCTTGTCGTATTCTGCTCCCTTTTTCTGAATATATTTTTATTTTTATTTTTCCCAAGCTTCCTTTTCACCTTTCAGTTTTCGGCTGAAATGCCAGCCCCTCTATGAGACCTCTCTTGGCCACTTGAAGTTCCTCCTCTCTGATATTATCTACATCAATACCCTGTTCATTTTCTTCAACACAGTTAATGTGATTGGATTTGTGTATTTCCTATTTAAATTATTTGTGTTCATCATCTTTAGTTTCTGAAGATAGTTTACTTATTCACAAATATGTATCCAATGTATAAACATGGCATTTAATATATAATAGGCACTCAATAAGTATGGGTCAAATGAATCAATGTCACCTAGGGTAAATAGAAAAAATAGCTATAGTCTTCATATATAGAAAGAAACTTGTTAGGGGATAAAAGATGCTTCGATACAAAAATAAACTCTTCTAACTTTAAGATTTTACCCTTTTTAGTCAAAGGTATGTTATTGACTTAAATGTGAATAGACCTTTTTTTATCTCTAAGTGATTAAGTGATTATGGGGTAGGAGCATAGACCTTTCTGGAATCTGGTGAAACATGTTCCTAGAGAGGACAGACAATTCAGTATATTTACTGTATATACCTAAGTTGTTTCTAAAAAGCCTGGTCTAAGATAATAACTATGAAATTTGGCCCAAAAAGTCTTCTGTGGACCCAATGCAGTTCTCTGGGTCCAGCTTGATTTAATTACCGAGCCACATTGTGCTGCAGAATTTTTCAAAGTTCTGTCTCTGAGAAAACACACTATGTTAATTTTGGGTTAACATAGTCAGAGTTTCTTGCCTTAAACCCAACAGAATGGACATGTCAAGGAAGGAGCATTATCCTCCATAGCATTTCATATATAACACGCTTACATGAAACATTCCCCAACTATCCATCCAATGACATTTAGAGCATTTGCTGTTTTCTTGTACTTTTCTTGATTTAATTTGAAATAGTTTGAAGTTTGCAATAAGCCTAGCTAATGTAAAACTTTAATTATTTGGAAACTATAAATGGTAAAACACAATTTCCTGATTATATTTGCAGTTTAAAATGATTTGAAATGCCCAACCCAAGAAAATTGTTGCATGCACTGTAATAAGAGGCACTGCAGAATACCATTGCCAGGGGTTGCATAGGATTTTAGCATTTGGCACACCATACTATAGCGTTTAAACAATACACTATGGCACAAGCAATTTGGAAAATAATGAAAAAACATTACTAAATTCCAAGTTTATTTAACACGAGATTGCCTAGATATTATTATAATAATAAAGGAGTAGTATTTTCTAAAAGGTGTTTTTAAAAAACATGAATTTAAATTTGGTTTAGAGGGTTTTTTTATTGATCTAGGATCTATATTATTTATATAAAAGGTGACCAAGTATGGCTTAAAGCCATAAAGCATCATTAGATGATTGAATGTTACTAGGTAATTCCTACTACAATGAGCTAGTCTCATGCCAGTACTAAAAAAGAGAGATAAAAAAATTGTAATTTCTACCTCTCTTTTCTTTACCTTCTCTTTTATTCAAAAATCTCTCTCCCTAAAAGAACCCAAAACACAATATGGATTGTGTGTTTGCTGGGGCGGAGGGTGGCTGTTAAAAAACCTCTCTGAATATTTATACCTATTCCAATCTTGGTCTCTGGAATTCATTGCATTTCTTGGCTATGCCATTTATTTGACCCTTCTATTAGTTTTAATATTTTACCTAGTGTGTTTACTTCATATACTTTTTTTTGACTCTTAAAGATATATGGTATAGATATTAAGAACATGGGCTTGGAATTTAACTGCCTAGATTTAAATTTTAACTCTACAAACCATACAACTTTGTTCAAGTTTCTTCATCTCTGTGTCTCAGATTTTTCATTCGTAAAATGTGGGTAATTATAGTACCATATGTGTGTCATAGGGATGTAGTACTAGCAATTATTATTATTATTTTATTTTTACATTTTTTAGACTGTGTCTCACTCTGTAACCCATGCTGGAGTGCAGTGGTGTGATCTCAGCTCACTGCAACCTCCGCCTCCCAGGCTCAAGTAATCCTTCCACCTCAGCCTCCCGAATAGCTGGGACCACAGGCATAGGCCACCATGACTGGCCAATGTTTTTTTGTATTTTTTGTAAAGACGGGGTTTCCCTTTGTTGCCCAGGCTGGTCTTGAACTTCTGGGCTCAAGCGTTCACCCGCCTCTGCCTCCCAAAGTGCTGGGATTACAGTCGTGAGCCACCACACCCAGCCAGCAATTATTATCATTACTCACTATTGTTATATACTTGGAAAGTTATTTATTTATCCAGAAAGAACACATATATCTTAAATGCAGGGACCCTATGTCCCAATTATCCAGCAGGGTTATACACACTAGGTACTCTGTATGTATTAGATGAATGGAAGAGAGTGGAAAAAATAAATAGAATATGAAAAGAGAATGAATCATTGGCATCTGGAAAGGACAGGGCGTAGACTAAGAGAAAACCAGCAGGAAGTGGAAGGTGGACACAGGAGTTGTGTAGAGGAGAGAGCAAATAGCCTAAAGATTTGATACGCTCAGTTCCATAATCAATAACTAAATATTTGCTATCATATTCATTCTTAGATTGCAGAGCTATGCCTATTTGTGTAGTAGACACTTAAATCAGACTTCAAACCTCGGTGCTTCCACATAACACCATCCTCTCTATCGTTTTTTCTCTCCTCCTCAAATCCTACCACCCCTAATATGTAGAATTTTGAGCATACAGCAGTCCAAATATAGATTCAGCTACAATTAACATATTATTGCCTTTATCCTCATTCCCTTCTCCTCACTAGAAAACTTGCATTTCACAACTAAAAGTTGAATTTAGAATCCTGACTGATAAACTAATCTGACTGGAGGTGATTGTATTCTTCAGTTCTTTTTCTTTTCCAAACAGCCATTGCTTCATTTCTGTTTCCATTATGTCGTAGCTGTTCTATAGTTCCTTTCTTCATGTCCTCTACTCAGAGTTTTACCCAATTTTTGGATACTGTGGCAATAGGGCAGGAAGCAGAAGGGAAAGGGTACCTGCAGAAGTATAGTGGGCTGTTTCTCCTTTCCGCTGGGGAACACAGTGGGCCACACAGCCTGGCTATTTATCACTCACCCTTTATGTTTGCAGGCTGCCATTCCCATCAGAGCCTGCTGGTTCAAGATTCTAGAACTGTGTGCATTAGAGGAGGCAGAGTTAAGTATCTGAATTAATAAAGAATAGAAATTCGACCTCCCTTGACTTAGCCATTTTATTTATATTTCTGGAAAATACCTTTAAACTACTTTCAATGGTCACTTGTAGGAGGATTATTCAATGGCCCTTGATGTTTTTGAAATAAATGTATCTTAGTTGTTAAGGGGACCCCTTCAGTGAGCATATACAGGTATAAGGCTCTTAAGAATTCACATTATAATCTTCTGGGATTTTGTTATTATCATGGTTTCCTAGCAAAAGTCATAATTTGTGTACCCAAGAGAAAATCTGGAGTTTTTCCCAGTTGGTATCTGGGTTGCTTTCTCTTATATTAGCACCTAGTAGAGAAAGTCAGAATTAGGCTTGGCAGATACATGAAACGCCTACTGATTTTTTTTTTTGTCACCAGAATTGATTCTTGCTGTCAGCATCATGCCATAATTTGTGTGCTTCTATATGCACATGTACATTTGCTTTAATATGTTTCAATAGGAAGCATTTAAAAATAGACTTCACTTTGCGCTATATCATTATTGTCAATATCTGTGGCAGGGATATGGAAATAGACACTAAGTAGACAATTGGTTTTGACAATATAATCTAAACATTGTGTCATTTGTGCTTATTTTAGATGAAAACATGCATTTCCCTGGCAAGAAGGAAAAATGTATGTTAATTAAAAGACCTAACTCTTATTCAAATTCTAAAAATGAGTAAATTACTGTAGAAGCATATATATGAAATGCCTCAATAAAGAGAAAAATTTTTACAACCTTACAAATCAAAACCCAATGTTTACTTCATTTTTAAATTACTTTGTTACCATTCTGATTGTTTTTATCGTCATCAATACCTTAGAAGCTTTTATGTTTTTATTTCTATTTGGTTTTGTTTGATTTTTTAAAAAATATCATAGCATCTGGCTAGATTTCATCTTTTTTGTTTGTTGTTTTCAAACTAAAACCAAATTTTGAGCCTAGACACTTGCCAATCAATTCTTATTCTGGTGTAACTATACATGTATTATGATTGACAAATTAAAACTTTACAACATTCCTCAGACAATGGGATGCACTCTCAGTGGAAGAAGTAACTAAAATATCTCAATAACATCTAGTCAGATATATGCATGTGTTAGGGGCAACCATAACGCAATATTATCAGAAGTGAAAGTCAAGATCCCCGAGGAAGATGATCTTCTAATCAAAATAACCTGGAGATGGACTTCAGGAAACTATTAGCCCTTATATAATATAGTGTAGACTATTTCCTGAAATCTCAAAAACTGGAACTGGATCTGAGCTTTAGAAGGGATTAGAAAGTAGGAAAATAAAAAGATAAAATATTAATGCATATTATGAAAAGAAACATCTTACATACAGAAAACTGTGTTAATAATCTGCAAGTTTTTATATTAGTGTGTCCAACTAGCAGCAGAGAACACAAACTCACCAGCTTATCCCTGAATAACATTACATAAATATGTTGGGTACCTGGAGAAAGTCAATGTTATTTTCAGCATATGTTGGTTCACAGGTGGTTTTATTTTTGCTATTACAAAGTGTTGACAGAATGTAGATATCATCCTATTGGAATAATTAAATTCGTGCATATGTAAAAAATCATGTTAAATCCTTTGCTCTCGTCATCTCATTTAATCGTTACATCAAATGTACGAGATAGTATTGTTTTTGCTATTTTTTTCAACCAAGAAAATTAAGATTTAGAGAGGTGGCACAGTTATAACATGCAGTCAGAAGTGTAAATCTGGTCTGATTCCATAATCCATGCTCTTTATTCACTTGCTATTCTGATGAGGAGCCGCAAATCCTTTTGCCTAACAACAACTAGAGACTAAAAGCAATGATCAAGGATTGTTTCAATAACTTCCAGGATTCAACATGGAGAAGAGTTGAGAAAAACAAACAGCAAATTGGCAGTCTGGGTGGAGAATGAAAAGGAACATGAGGTTTATTTCTTTTTTATTTTCTTTTTAGACTGAGTTTCACTCTTGTCACCCAGGCTGGAGTGCAGTGGCATGATCTCTGCTCACTGCAACCTCTGCCTCCCAGGTTCAAAGATTCAAGCGATTCTCCTGTCTCGGCCTCCAGAGTAGCTGGGACTACAGGACCATGCCACTATGTCCAGCTAATTTTTGTATTTTTATTAGTAGAGACGGGATTTCACCATGTTAGCCAGGCTGGTCTCGCCCTCCTGACCTCAAGTGATCTGCCCGCCTCGTCCTCCCAAAGTGCTGGGATTACAGACGTGAGCCACTGTGCCCACCTGAGATAATTTTTAATGAAAGAATAGGACTTTGTGGTTACTCTCTACAGAGATAAAATATAGCAATGCCTAGTATTATAACAGCTTGCAGCGTGAGCCATTTACATTTAAAAGCTGCATATTCTTCCTTCAGTTTCACCTGAGCAGTTATATTTTATCCATCCCCTGGTACCCAACAGATCTGGTCCAGGGAATGCTTTCCCCCAGTGTGTTCCCAGCAATGTGTTCTTATCACGATTGTACACAGTCTGTGACCTCCTCATGACCTCTTTTTGTGCTGCTGTTGAATAAGGAAATAATCAAAGGGAGGAAGAGGGAGTTCTGAACCCGCTTGGTGGGTGGTTCTGTGGTTTGAAGTTCTCTATCCCCAACACTAAACCCAGGGGATGGGGTCACCAAGAGAGCCACTCCTAGAGATCAGGATGGCTAGAAGAGAACAAGGCACATAACTCTTTGTCAGATCTCTGGTTAGACTTAGGTAATGTGCCATAGCACCTATGTAAGCAAGAGAAAAAAATAATCATGTGGAATGAATAGCTGCAAAAAGAGAGGGCAGAAATGGGGCAACCTGTATCTCATCTTTTGGCATGGCAAGGATGTGTGAGTTCCCCATAGGTTAAATGGATTTGCCAAAAGATATCCAGACTTGAGATATTTTGTGTGTGCCATAATCAACAGGGAGACCTGCTGTAAGGGGACCTGGGAGCAAGGACTCTACTAATTTAGGATGAGCAAGAGAGGATGAGCTGGAGACACATTTTCCGTATCAGGGTCTGTGAATGGGATGCGCTGGATGCAGACTTTACTTACAGAAGAGATTGCTGACATTTGATACCTGTCCCACAGTGAATAGTGACAGCCATCACTCACAGTTAGATAAGCAGCCACTATAAAGATGGAAACAAGGAGACTTCAATAAACATAAAAACAAAGTGGAACATGTTTTCTTACTTTCTATATCAATCCATTTCCTGTTTATACCCCTCTGTATTCATTCACAATTCGTAATATTTCATGTGTAATAATGTAGAATGACAGGAAAAGGATTAACTATTAGAAAAAAGAAGAAATATGGAGGTTAGAGAAACTATAAAATGCTGTAATTAAAATGCCAGAATAAAAGAGCAAAAGGAATAGATCACAAATATTAATTAGTTATGTATTAGAATAAAACTTTTCTGAGCTGAAGAAGAGCATAATTCTGTTGATCAAAAGGGTTAAATGAATAAAGTTACCTAGAGTATGTTCATAACATTTTAGAATTTGAAGGATAAAGAAAACATTTACAAGCACCTTAAGCAAGTAATCTAAAGGAGGAATATTTGGTCAGATTTCATAATTTACCTCTTCAGAACCAATTTTCAGAGAAAAATAACGTTTGTCAGTTGAATGTTGAGTGGGAAATGAGTCCAGAATTCTTAGCTCAATCACATTTCCATTCATAAATGAATGTAACAGATACCAATACCCAAACATTTATATAAGTCTTTCGATCTTGAAGATTACTCATTTTTAATAAAAAATTAATTTAAAAAATTCTTATTGTAGAGAATGTTTTCAGCCACAATAACAGAATTCCTGACTCAAAGTGACTACAATACATATCTCTGTGTTTTTTCATACAGCAAGAAGGGAGAGGTAATGTAGGCTTCAGGCTTGATAAAAACAGCTCAGTGTTATCATTTTAAAAATCCCATTTTTTTCCATCACTTTATTTTGCTGTTCTTGGTACTGGTTTGACCTCACTCTGGTAATAAAGTGGTTGTAATGGTCGTAGCCAATGTCCAGAGAAAGAAAAGAGCCAACTTTTCTTGTGGTTATATCTTAAGAGAGAAGACACTTTTTCTGGAAGCTCTCTGAAGGATATCCTTTTATATCCCATTAAATAGAATTGGGTCACTCACCATGCCTGAACCAGTCTCTAGTTGGCTTGGATTACCCATCTTGGGTGGAATAAATATTGAGGAATCAATTGTAATGTTCACTATGGTCTTCCAACAACTAGAAAATAAACTAAAATACAGAATTGAGAAAACGTATGGAATATAAGATTAATAGCAATTACTAAAATTGAATATAAATAGAATGCATTGTAAATATTTGTTTAAAATATGGCGATAGAATAGAAATTTTCAAAATTGTTCATCAAAAGCAAACACATAATATAAAAACACAAGCAAATAATTTCATTTCTTAGTTTTCAGATAACACCAATGAAAATGTGTAAATAATATAACAAATGGATCATAACTACTGAAGTTAATGAAGGATTTTAAAAAATCACTAGAGTAAAAGATTCAATGAAAGAAAACATTATATATCACAAAACATATAAAACAAAACAGCTTAAAAGCATAAAGCAAGATGACAGGAGTAAGTTATTACAATAAATATAAATATATGTAATTTTTCTATTAAATGGCATACAGTTTAATTTTGAGTTAAAAATAACATACAGCTATATACAGTCTACAAGAGACAAAGGTAATACAAGGTGAAGCAAAAAGGTTAGATAAGAAAGAGGAGAGAAATGTTCTCTGGGGAGAAAATATCTGGTGGCTGCTAAAGGGCTCCACAGCCATCAATTCTGGTGGCTCTCAGGCACACTCCGCTAGCCTGAGGTTGTGCTGCAGATTACTTTGTTTCCATGTTATCTCTCTCATTGGTACTCATTTATGTGGTTGCTTGACATTCCCAAGAGCAATCCTCATAGGTATACTAAATAGGAGAGTAGTTTATTTATTGAAGTTGAAGTAAAAATTAAATGTTGCATTATTTACTACTGCTTATCTATATATCTCTTCCTTTTTTTCTAAGACTTGCAAATAAAAATAGCTTAAAGCAAGGAACGCCGAGTGTTAGAAATTCAGGTGGTGAAGGTCCTTTGAATAGTTCTGGTTATTAATAAAATTACTGAATTCCTCTCACACATCTTTGAACATTCCAAATATGGCATTGAAAAAGTTAGAGAAAAGTCTACTTTTTCTCAGGATTTTAAGAGCTTTGCTCTCCTATTTTTAGATCGTATTTGTTGCTTCACTGTTTTTATTTGTTTTTCCTTGGTTTGGATCATGTGTTCTCAAAGTCATATTTACTAGAGGGGAAGGAATCACAATGGAAAGTGAGTTGTGGATTGGGAATAAAAGGGAATTGGAGATAGAGGAAGCACTTAACTGATGCTGCAAAATTGCTAAGGTGCAGTTTCATAGGGCTAAATTTACCCTAATCAAGCACACATGGTATTTTAGTTGTTGAAATTGTATTGCTTTAAAAATGAGTTTTTAATACCAAGAATAGTTCACGTGTGGGAGCTAAGAGAAGAATTAATAGAGTGAAGAGGGTTGAAAGATTGAAGCCTGGGATATTTGACAAGATAAATTCTGACAGAAAATGTGACACTGGGATAATTTATCTGGGACCCTGGGAGCTGTAGCTTAGAATATTCTAGAGACATTTTTAATTTTTGGAATTCAGTATGCTGATATTTCTACAGGTGAAGTGGTTTAATATTAAAGAAGAATGACTTTAGAAAATATGGTGGAATCAGAACTAGAAAATAAGGGGCAGAAAAAATTTAAATGTCCACGTGAGTGAATGTATCTGTTCTATTAGGAAGAAGGACTATAAATACTATCAAGACACACACACACACACAAAATGGCTTTATTTTATTTCATTCTAAAGTGAAAGAAAACTTCAATACCATTTTAATGAGACAAAAGCATGAAAAATAACTGGGCCCCAAACTAAAGACAGGTAATAAAAGTGAAAGCCCATGACTCAAACAGATATTTGGAAATTATGTTCAAAGCAGCATTATTCATAATAACTAAAAGCTCCAAAAGCAACCCACGTGTCCATAGAAGCATGATTTGATAAACAAAATGTAGCTTATACATGTAAAGAAATATTAGCCTTAAAAAAGAAGGAAATTTTGACACATACTACAACATGAATGAAGCTTGATGACCTTATGCTAAGTGAAACAAGCCAGTTCTCGAAAATACAAATGTATGATTCCACATACACGAGATACCTAGAGTCGTCAAATTCGCAGAAACACAGGTAGAATGGTGGTTGCTAGGGCTGAGAAGGAGTGGAAGAGAGGGAGTTAGTTTGATGAGTAAAGAGGTTTCAGTTGGGGAAAATAAAAAAGTTCTAAAGATACATAGTGCTGATGGTTAGACAATAATGTGAATATACTTAATATCACATAACTGTACCCTTAAAAATGGTTGTGTGTGTGTGTATATATACATATATATATTTATGTTACATATATATATTTACTTACCTCAAAATAAGGGATAGCCCAATTTTTAAAACTCTAGTGACAGGATAAATATGATCAGCTCAGGGAATTCTGACATTAGAATATTGTTTTAATTAATTACATAAGTAATTTGAATTATCACCTTCACCTGAAGTTGATATGATATACTCATTTTTCCATTTCCATGATTATGTATTTGGAATAATTACAAATCATATGAAAAGAATTTCACGTTGAATAACTTGAATAATTTCACGTTTGAATAATAAGAATTTCATGAGAAGCATGGGTTTTCATCTAGAAAAGCCAATGTTTAAAAGCATGTAATCTTTCTTATTTTGTAATTCTGAGTAAATAATTTAAAACTGAGAGCAACTTCAGTATTATTAAAACTTCCTGTTACTAGGCCAGGTGTGGTGGAGTTCTCCTGTAGTCCCGGCTACTCAGGAAACTGAAGTGGGAGGATCACTTGATCCTGGAAGTTTGAAGCTGCAGTGAGCTATAATCACACCACTGCACTCCAGCCTAGGTGACGTAGCAAGACTACATCTCTAAAATAAATAAACAGATAATTTTTTACAGGGATTATGCTCATAAATATTGAGAAATCTGGCGTATTTCAGCGAGATCTATTCTGAGCTTCCAGAATGCCACTTTTTAGTTATACCATCAAAATCAAAGAGCATTTTAATAATCTTCAAGCTCATGGTGCTCTGCTTGGACTGTTTAAAACATCTGAAACTGTAACTTCATTGTCTCAAATGGTAGCCACTAGCCACACATGGCTATAGAGGTGAAAGGTGGCTACTCCAAATTGAAATGTCCCATAAATATAAAATGAACATCACATGTCAAAGACTTTGTAAGTAGGCCGGGCGCCGTGACTCACACTTGTAATCCCACCACTTTGGGAGGCCAAGGCAGGCAGATCACTTGAGTCCAGGAGTTCGAAATCAGCCTGGCCAACATGGCGAAACAGCATCTCTACCAAAAATACAAATGGTAGCCTGGCATGGTGGCGCATGCCTGTAGTCCCAGCTACTTGAGAGGCTGGGACACACGAATCGCTTGAGCCTGGGAAATGGAGGCTGTAGTGAGCCAAGATCGTGCCAAGATTGTGCCACTGCACTTCAGCAGGCTGCATGACAGTGTGAGACTCTGTCTCAAGAAAAAAAAAGAAAGGCTTAGTAAGAAAAATTTATTCCTTAGTGTTTTAAAAATATAAATGACATTTTGAACTGTTAATATATGGGGTATATTGAATAAAATAAATTATTAAAATTAATATTATGTTTTTATGTTTCTGATATGGCTACTACAAAGCTTTAACTTGACATTTGCAGAACACATTTGTGGCTTGCATTATATTTAAATGTCAGAGAGCTATCCCATAATGTTGTAGTCTAAACATGGCTGAGAATAACAATGAGAGTCAAGTTTAAACCAAGATCCAATCAGTCTGGGTATAGATTAATTGCCATGAGTGACTAGGTTTCACTAGATTGGTAGAAACTAGACAATAGGTCACTTGTTTCCAAATCATTGTAGCATCTTGAGAATGGCACCATGGGTGCTTGTGTCATTGACCTCTGAGCCTAGTCTTTAAGGATCATATTTCCTAGTTTCAGGCCAATTCCCAAATATAAAAAGTAATTCGTGTTTGCAACGTGCACGAATTCTTTCAAGTCTCCAGGAAAAACTTAGATAAATTAAAGGACTAAATGAAGAATCTGATTTGAAGGAGTTAATGCAGAATCCGAACATGTTTAACAGTGATTTGCTTGTGCATCAGATTTAGTGGAAAACAGGGAAGTAAATGCAATCCTGAAAGTTTCAGATTGAAAATCAACAGAAATATATTTTTCTTGTTTGTGCAAACACCCTGATATTCCTAAAAATTGCTAGGGGATGCTGAATAAAGGACCTATTGCTCACTTTTATACATGTAGTTTAGAGCAACAAGACTACAATTTTCTTGAGGTAACAACTACATTCACCATTTTTAATGTTCCCCATTCCTTGCACTTTTATGGTCTAAGCCACTGCTACACCATTGGCACTGAATTATTATACACATTTGATTGAGATGTTTGTCAGGCAGAGATTCAAGTTAATTATGCCAAAGATATTAAAACTTAAGAAAAATACTTTGGCAAAAAAAAAATATTGTCCCAGTGTTATGCGTTCTTTACTCATAAAAACTTAGTAGGGGACTCCAAATTTCTTACATGTCTCTTGGAAAAGCCCTGCATTTCTTACATGGATGCTATTAAAATATGACCTCCATGTTCTTGGGGATGGTGACATCTCCTACATAATCTGTACACTCCTTGGTCCTAGCTTCACTTGAACTTGAAGTCTTTAACTTCATGACTTCCTCCCTCCTTCATGTTTCACTCCCATGTTTCATAACCTTGAAAACATGGCCTCTATTCATATTTGACCTGAAATGCTAGAGATTGAGGAGCACTAGGACTATAGCAGGAGTCCAAGTGCTACCAGGTGAGTAGTTAAAACTATCGTAAATTAAATCACAGTCTGTACATATAAAATACTATTAAGTGCCTGATATAAATAATATAGTTAGAATTCTTAAATTTCGGGATAGAATTTCTTTTGAGATATTCTGATCACATGTTGCTTTTTTAAACTTGTTTTATAATGCAGTAGCTGTAAAGATAATACTAAGAGAAAACTCAACCTACATTAAAGTTATCACTTTCTCATGATTTGTTTCTAGAGTTCTCTTTAACCTCTGTTAAAAATAAATGCTTTTATTTCTACAATATTTGCAAAATTCAAGCAGCTCCAAGTATAATGGAGGATGGCTGATGTGGCAAGGTTATTCTGGAATTAGTAGGAATTTAGAGCTGTACCTTAGTTGTCATCTATTTCATTCCTCTATTTTCAGTTGAGGAATAGACCTACTTCTTGAGTTACACAAGGTCACACAGCTGATTACAGATCTAAGATAAGGACTTGGAGTACCTATACCCTAGTGTGTTCATTCCACTGTTTCATCAAGAGCCTCTTGGCGTCTGCTGGCCAAATGACACCTATGAATTAAAAGCAAACATTCTATTCTCATCAGTTTCCACCTGGGTTACTGTAACAGCCTGTGTTTTAATTCTTTTTTTGCAATCTCTTCTGCTGCATTCATTTTTTACCCAATTATTATTTCCATCAAGTCTTTATCTTGTGCAAAACTTCTTCACTAAAGACAGATTCAAGTTCAGTGTCCTTATTCTATCCTTGAAACTCTTTACAGTGAAATCTCTCTTTTTTTCTAGTTAATCTTATCTTATTACATTTCATTTGGACTCTTCGTAGTTATAGTGAAGGATGATGAACATTTAGGAAGCATTAATGTGTGATTTTTGAATAGTTTGGGATATTTTCTACAACTACCTCAATGTGCAAGTTTGTTTACCCTTTTCATATTTCTAAGTATTTATTAGTTTTGTATAGGATTTTCTACTGTAAAAACTTATTTGCTTCATAATGCTATTTTCTGTAGAGCAAATATTGTCACCTTTGGGATTAGTATTTTGGGGAACATTCAGGAAATGATCATCTAATCTATTTGTTCATATAAACATCACTTACAAAAGACTTGTTAGTCTATAATAAAACAACAATTTGCAGTACTTCTGTCTATCTAAAAGAGGAACCTCTAAAGAGCATTCTTATGACAATTGAAGATATTAGAATATGGGTTGGATATTACATTGTAAATGGTTGACAATTATTTTAGTCATTATAATGACATCTTAGCTTTGTAAGAGAACATCTCTATTCCTAGGAGTTATGTATTAAAGAATTTATGATGAGACATCATGATATCTATTCCTGGCTTTAAAATAACACCAAAATATAAATGACCACAAATGAAATATAAACAAATATGACAAAATATTAAAATTGTTAAAGCTATTTTGAGGACATGCTTTTCATAATACACAATTTTTTAGAACAAAAACAAATTTAAAAAGCCCCAAAAGGAGATGCTTTAAAGAGCAATAATACTCAAAATTATTCTACCATAAAATGTCTGGTTGATGACATCATCATCGAAAGCAAGAGCTTCTGTGGCAGAGAAGAGAGGATGCATGTTGAGCTATTTCCAGGACTATATGTTCAAATCTATCTCTTTCTACGTCGTTTTATATCACTTGTGAAACACAACAATACTGATCTTATTTAATCAATATGATTTGACACCATAGTTAATAACTATTTTTCTAATTTGAATTCTAATTCTTCATAATGATTTCCCATGGGACAGAGTAGGAGAAAAACCATGTTTATTTTCTGCCAACTTAATATATTGAGCTGAGAATTATACAAAAAATTATCTAATGATAATTTTACTTAATAACTACAGTAATATATCTATGGAAATTTGTGTATTTATTCATTCTTTATTTATTAAAAATTTAAGTTGGTCATTAGGATAAGAACTGTGCATAAAACAGATAATAAGAAATCATCTCAGTTCTCAAGAAACCTAAAATATAGTAGGTGAAACAGAGGAAAGACCAGACAATTATATGTGTGAGGTAGAACTCCTGCAGTTAGAGAGAAACAAAACTCTAATTGACTACTATAGAAAGAGACACGGAGGGAATTTATAGACTTAACTGAAAAATACCAGAACTGTTACAGCTTCAGGCATAGTTTCATGCCCTCAGGAATTTGTCTTCATCTCTCAGCTTTTTATTTTTTTTTTCTCCAAGAACTTCCTTGTCTCTCCTTCTGACAACAGGATTACTCCAGCAGTGATAGATGAATACCCAACTAGTTTGCAAACTTGGCAGAATAGGCTATCATGTTTTTAATTTTTCAGGGAAAGTCCTGAAATTGGCATCTCAGCACACTTGCTTATCCCTACAACAAATGCCCTGGCTCTAATTTTCTGGGCCTAGGTTATATTTATCCCTGTTGCCCTGTAATAAAGGAGACTTCTGGAGCAAAATGATCTGAGAATAGCAGCATCAGGGATTCTTAAAGGAAATTTATATGTTATCAGGAAAAGGAGGGCAGCTTATGAATACCAAATAGGCAAATATAACAGATATTCATTGTCTAGAAAAAGAAGATGTGACTGTTACAAGGTACTACAGAAAAATATAAAAGACACACTATATATCCATAAAGGAGGTGCCACATGAGTTAAGAACATGAGTACAATGCCTTATTTTAAATATTTTCACGTTAAAATCTAAAACAATATCGATGCTATTCACATTTTTACAAAATAGAGAATAATTATTAATTGCCCATTTATGTTTACTATTTTCTCAATTTGAAATTACATATTTACATCACTAGCAGTAAAGAGCTAGGTATTAAATGTTATGAGCTTAACTAAATTTTAATTTATACGTATACAAGACCCAGATTATTTTTACCAATTTTATTGTAGACTCTATAGCCATATAATGTATATATAGTACAATGTGAGGTAATAATCCTAACAAATATATGAAAGTATTAATTGAAACCATTCAAATATCAATTGGATGAAGAATATATTTTGATCTTTATAAACATCACAACATAGCACTTTGAGTGAAAGTTAGGTCTTCATGAAGACTGCAAATTAAGCTAGAGTCATAACAAGAATAGAAACTAAGCTTCTCTGCAAACCTACGACGCGGGAAGCAAAGAATTTTATGCCATTTTGTAATGTAAATTTATAAAAGAAAAGATCTCAACTACTTTCTGAGTAAAATATGAGGAACTGTAATCTTAATATCCTAGAATATATATAAATATTCGTGAAATTATTACTTGAAAATTTTTAGAAAAAGAATCAAAGTTAGAATAATCTGAAACCATTTGAACTGGTCTAGGATATTTTCTAAAATATTATTATAAATATAAAATATATTTTAATTAAAGGAAATATACTTTAGACTCAAATTCTCTAAATTTTTGGTAAAATTACTCTATATGGAAGTTTTGGCTTGGAAAATTTGAGAACCAGAAAGAAGCATAAGCATAATTTCCTTGGGATTCTTGCCAAGATAGAATTGCAAGTTCATATCATTTTATTATAAACATTTACTATGTTGATAAACTAGATATTTTAAAAAGGAAAAAAAATTCTCTAAAGATTAAGATAGACTTCTCCATGGACTAAAAATTGGGAGGAATAAAAAGTAATATATGTAGCCAAATACGCACACATGTTGGACTTTGCTTTTTGTTCAAATAAAAGAGGCTGAAGCTTCAGTTGCTTTAAATCCATGGCAACTGAAAAAAACCATGAAAAGTGAGACACCAGAAGCAGGTTCAAAGGTCAGATCCAGGTACTATGATGAATTTAACCAGTTAATGAAAAGAACTTTAAAAATGAAGTGCCTGCTGCTTGGGACAGTATATACAGAGAAAAAGAAAGAAGCAGCTAGAATCTTACACTAATCCACTCACAGGTTTATTCCCACTTTCACTATTGAATGGTGTCCCCTAAGGCAGCAGCCTGCAATGTGTAGATGGCATATTGCACAATTCTCTGGGCTATCACTCACTTTGGAGTCCAATGAAATGGGTCCATTGGAGTTGTGTAGTGATAGCGCTATGCTGCACTCCTGGAAATAGCAATTCACTAACATAAATTTTGTTTTTTGGCAGTTGGATTTAGGATTGAATGGAGACAACTAAAAAATTTCTATAAAGGAAGAAGTGAGAATAATACAAGGAGAAGAACATCTTCTACTCAAAATGTGCCTAAAACATCAAAGCACAATAACTAATAAAACCAATTGAATGAAAATCAGACAATAAAAATCAGCTCTAAGACCAGAATTAATAATTATATAATGACTAAACATTATGAGAGGTAGGAAAGAAAACATATAAATAGATAACAGCAATAAGAAATAATGAATTAAACAGAAATGAAAAAAATAACAGGTGTACTTGAAAAGAGACAAATCTAAGAAAATATAGTCATTGAGGTGCTGTAACCTCATTAGATGGGAAAAATGCCTATATTGGAAACAATCAAAGAGATTAGTGGATTGAAAGAGAGTAGAGGATTATTCCCCAAAAGTAGCATAGATGAAGTTAAAGTAACAAAGGAACAGTTAACAGATACCAACAATAGTTTGAAAATAGGCAAAATAAGACTGTTAGGAGTGCCAAGTAAAGAGAATGGAGGTTGAGAGTTGATATTTGAAAGATTATTTCCATGAATTGTCTAGAATTGAAAGAGGACACACATTTTCTACCTAAAACTGAACACCTAGTGCTGACCTGGAAAGACAGACATGCATGGACAAATGATGGATGGATGAATTAACAGAAATAGGTCGAAATAATAATACATACGTACATAGGTATTTATGTTTGTGGAGAAATAGATAAAAATATAAGCATAGAAAATAAATACTTAGACTATCATGCTGAAACTGCAAAATATATAGGATAAGGAGAAAAATCTTAAAACCGACTAGAGAAAAAAAACATGTTACCTATGTTTTTTAAAGATAGAAGATATCCCATGCAATAAGAGACATCAGAAGACAATGGAAAAATAATCCAAAATTGTCAAGCAAATTAACTGTAAAATAGAATTCTATAAATTGATAATAACCAGTCCAGGAATAGAGGGAAATAAAGCATGCAGTCACAAAGTTCAGTACAAATAGGCTCTCAATGAAAAAAATTACTAAACACACACACACACACACACACACACACCCAAAAAGTGAAGTCAATGTGAAGAAATAACTCACAAATGAAATGAGTTATTGAGTGGTATAAATAATAATAATAAGTAATTTCTTTATGTTTCAAAAGAAAGTACTAAAATTCTGGATAATGATTCCACAGAAACTAAGGGAGATGTTCATTTTTGAATAAAGCATGCTAAGTATCTTTTAGAACAGTAATAAAGATATTGAGCTACGTTAGACTTCGTTGAAAATTATATTGATTATTTGTATTAAGCATATAAGGGTAAGTAACTTGAAAAATGGTATACACAGTTTTCAAAGCCCATAGTAAATACTAAGAAAATACAGAAAGCTTTATCTATCCTCAGAAGCCAGAGAGGAAAATCAAATGAACGAGGAAAGATCTTAGTAGACCAAAACGCATACACAACAGGTGGCAGAAATAAATTACATTAAAAAGCAATCATAATAAATTCAAACATACCTAACTCAGCCCGAAAGGGACAGTGTCTAACAGTGTTGAAGAAACAGAAAGCCATTTGATTCTTTAAAATCGACCAAAAATTTACAAATGAGAAACATACAATTAAAAATAAACAGGTAAAAGTAAAATAATGGTGAGAGATGTTTAGTTACATTGTAATCACTTTTTACACTTCTTACATCTTACACACAAACACACTCACATAGAATTAACTGGTATAATAATATTAGTATTAGATGCAAGGATTAAAACATAAAAGCATCACTAAGGAAAAAGAGGGTTTTATCCTTGTATCTGGAGACCCAGACCAATGTAATAATAGATGAGGAAAATAAATCACTTTCTCTCTTCTCCTTTAATTGTTTGCTCAAGACTGGTGCTGTGACTCACACTTATAAGCTCAACTGCTCCAGAGGATGAGGCAGGAGGATCGCTTGAGGCCAGGAGTTCAAGACCAGCCTAGACAACATAATAAGATCCTGTCTCTAAAATAAGTAAATGAGTAAATGGAAAAAAAAAAAAGTTTGTGCAAATGACACCAAAAGGCCTACATTGACATCTCTATTTAAACTGCAACCTACTCCCAGTTCACCTACTCCAAATTTTCCTTACGTGCTTTGTTTATTACAGCACTATCGTTTTCTAATATTTTTTAATTATTTTTAATTGTATGAGTGAGATAAGTTTTTGAAAACTTTTATAACCATTTATGTAAATATTAGAAAAATAAGCATTCTCTATGTGAACATATAAATATGCAGTAAACGTATAAAAAATTAGCAAGGCGAAGAGACACTTTACTTTCAGGAATGTAGCTATTTTCAGGGAAGGTAAGAGGAATGTAGGTGCAGATTTTAGTAAATCTGTGATTTTTATGTTGATTTTTATAAATGAACTGAAGAAAATGAAACATTTAACATTTGTTAAATCTTTGTGGTAGGTTCACAACTATTCATGGTTTTATTCTCTAAACTTTTCTGTATATTTGAAATATTTCTAATAGGATGATAATTTCATCTACCATAATTTGGTAAGACTTCAATTCAGCATTGGTTTATAAATTGAATTATATCAAGAATGTTAACAAAATTTTTAAAATCTTCAGAGACATTGCAGAAATTAAAAATAATACTTGCAAAATCTTCAAAAAATAGTCTGAGAGAAGCCAGAAAACATACTACTGACCTTATTAAGCTGAGTAGCTTTTAGTGGGCCTACTAATTTAAATGCTATAACACTCACTGTTGCCTACTGTTTGCAGTGGACATTTCCAGAAAAATGATTGCTTTTGTAAAATTAATAAGAAAAGAAAACATGAGAAAGCCAAAAGTGAATTATAGACATAACTACTACTTAAAAAATTTGATATCAGTATTAGTGGTGGCAATAATTGGAATCATTGGAAATTAAATCAAGATTAGCAATGATTAAAATTATCTTTATAGTTTGTAATAAAAGTTAAAGTAAGCCCACTCTTAATTTAAAAGGACTATAAATAAGTGGGACAATTCCCAGACTTGGACAGCAATCGTAATATTACATATTAGTCAGGGACTTCTGGAAAAACTGAGCCAGTAGCATATATTTGTGTGTTTCTCTCCAGGAAAACAAAACCAGAAACATATATACGTATGTGTGTGTATGTGTGGGGTATATGTGTGTGCGTGTGTGTGTGTGTGTGTGTGTATATGTATATATGTGTGTATATGTGTGTATATATATATACACACACACATATGTATATATATACATGTATATATAGATACACACATGCACATATACATATATCGGGGGGAGAGAGAGAAACTAATTTATTATGAGCAATAGGCTAATAAGATTATGGAGGTTGTAAAGTCCCTCAATGTGCCTTCTACAAGCTGGCGATCCAGGAAAGATGGTGGTGTAATTAATTCAGATCCAGTTCAAAATCCTGAGACGGGGGGAACTGATAGTGTAACTGTTAGTCCCAGGACTAGAGAAAATGAGAGAAGATGTCCCAGCTCAATCAGGCAGGCAGAAAAAAAAGGGACAAATTCTTCCATCCTACACCTTTTGTTCTATTAAAGCTCTGAGTAGACTGGATGATGCCCACTCACATTGGGGAGGGCAATCTATTTTACTAAGTTCACCAATTCAAATGCTAGTCTCATATGGAAACATCTTCACAGACACACTCAGAAACCATGTTTAATTTGGGAACCCCATGCCCAGTCAAATTGACACACAAAGCTAACCATCAGATGTCCACTCCTTGTCAGCTGAGCACCCATGCACACCCCTTAAACCATTCTTAATCTCCAAACAAAGACAGTAACAAGATCATAATTCTGCCTAACATGATGCAACTATCCTGCATACAACTGAAAATGCGCTGGTCTTTTCCCAGAAAAGGAAGTAAAGTTCGTGGAGTGATGTCTACTCTTCTCCTTGGTATCCTGCAACTTAAGTCCTATGATGTAGAATTAATACGTCTTATGCCACATGATAAGGGAATAAAAAAGGGAAGGAATCAAATATATATATGCACATGCACATACACTTATTCATAACAAAGTAAGGAGGAAACACTTATGACCATTACAGTCCTTTTTTCCTTGTTTCTATAGCTGATCACATGGTTTTAGGTGGTGTTTATAGCTACCTTCTTCTGCTACTCATGCTGTATTCTCTTGCTTTCAACATGTACCTCAACTGGTCATGGCTCTTTTCCTGGCGGGGTGACTCACACCTCCATTCCTGAAGGATTGGGGCCATTACTATTTCTGCCTGGTTGGGATTGTTGTAGTTTTCCATTGACGGGCCATGGTAATACTAAGCCAACATTGTAACTCAATTCTTTGCCTGTTGATTCAAAGGCATGAAAAGTCCAAGTGGCCTGGCAGTCTTAACTTCCAGTTCAGTAGAAACATTGGGTCTCCTGATAGAAGCATTTCTCCCTCTAGAACCAAACCTCTAGACAAGCATAGCATATATAAAAAGGTGAGTTTACTAAGTATTAACTTATACAATCACAGGGTCCCACAATAGGCTGTCTGCAAGCTGAGGAGCAAGGACAGCCAGCCTGAGTGCCAAATCTGAAGAACTTGGAGCCTGATGTCTGAGGGCAGAAAGCATCCAGCACGGGAGAAAGATCAAGTCTGGGAAGCTAGGCCAGTCTCTCCTTTTCTGCCTGCTTTATATTTGCTGACAGCTGATTAGATTTTACCCACCAGATTAAGGGTGGATCCACCTTCCCCAGCACACTGACTCAAATGTTAATTTCTTTTGTCAACACCCTCACAGACACACCCAGGATTAATACTTTGTACCCTTCAATCCAATCAAGTTGACACTCGGTAGTAACCATCACACTGGGGCCTAGTAGCAGGACCATAGCTGTTTTTGAAAAGGAGACTAGACCGAGCGCGGTGGCTCACGCCTGTAATTCCAGCACTTCGGGAGGCCGAGGTGGGCGGATCATGAGGTCAAGAGATTGAGACCATCCTGGCTAAAATGGTGAAACCCCATCTCTACTAAAAACACAAAAAGTTAGCCAGGCGCGGTGGTGTACACCTGTAGTCCCAGCTACTCAGAAGGCTGAGGCAGGAGAATCACTTGAACCCAGGAGGCGTAGGTCATAGTAAGCCAAGATGGCGCCACTGCACTCTGGCCTGGGCAACAGAGTGAGACTCTGTCAAAAAAAAAAAGAAAAGAAAAGGAGAATAATTATATGCAGGCCCTTGCATCAAAATACTAAAAGTCCACACTGTGCTTCACCAATAGAATTCTACCAAAGGCTCCTCACACCATCCCAATCTGCTGGTTCATATGGCCCAATTGTCATGGCAGCTCACACAGCAGCCTGTACTTGCTGCAAAGCCTTCTGTTATTCTGGGCCCCATTTAAAACTAGCAGCTTTTCAGGTCATTCATTAAATGAGCTGAGGTAACACATCCAAATGAAGACTATGTTCCTTCTAAAATCCAAATAGGCCCGTTAGAGGTACCGCTTTCTTAGTTGTAGGGAGAGCCAAATGCAACAACTTTTTCTTCACCTTAGAAGGGATATCTTGAACTTCCCCACACCACTGGAGCTCTAAAAATCCCATTGAGACAGAATGATCTTGAATTTTAGTCAGATTTACTTTTTACCCTCTGAAATACAAGTGTTTTACTAATAAATCTAGAGTAGCTGCTAATTCTTGCCTCCTACATCCAGTTAGCATGATGTCATCAATGTAATGGAATGCTGTGGTATCTTCTAGAAGGGAAAGGTGATCAAGATCCCTGTTAACTAAATTATGAGGCAGAGTGGGGAATTTATCTATCCCTGAGGTAGGACAGTGAGAATGTATTTCTGGCCTAGCCAGCTAAATGCAAACAGCTTCTGGTGGGCTTTATGGACAGGGATGGAGAAAAAGGCCTTTGTCAGATTAACAGCTCTATACCAGGTACCAGGAGATGTTTTAATTTGCTCAAGCATTAAAACCACATCTGGTACCGATGTTTCAATTGGAGTAACCACCTGATTAAGTTTATAATAATGCACTATCATTCTCCAAAGTTCATCTGTCTTCTGCATGAGCCAGATACACAAATTGAATGAGGATATGGTGGGAATTGCCACCCTTATACCTTGCAAGTTCTTGATGATGGCACTAATTTCTGTAATCCCTCAGGGACGCAGTATTGCTTTTGATTTACTATTTTCCTAGATATTGACGGTAGTATTGTCTTCCACTTGGCCTTTGCCACAATAGTAGCCCTCATTCCATAGGTCAGGGAATAAATGTGGGGAGCTGCTGACTATATCTGTTACAATTAGGCATTCTGGAACTGGGGAAATAACCACAGGATGGGTGTGGGGACCCACTGGACCTGCTGTGAGATGAACCTGAGCTAAAATTCCACTGAGAACCATAAGTCCTGTTATAACTGGTGGGCCAAAGTGATGTTTTGGGTGTCCTGGGATTAGTGTCAATTTAGAGTCAGTGTCCAGCAGTCCCCAAAAGTCTGATTATTTTCTTTTCCCCAGTGTACTGTAGGGACCAAGGGAAAACTCCCCCTTTGCTCTCTAATGATTCACTGAAAAATCAACTGAAAAAAGTCAGCTTAACAGGATGGAAAGTATACAAATTTATCAACATGTAAAGGAGGTTTACAAAATATAAGAACTCAAAAGGCCAGGTGGTGGACACTTTTATACTCATCTTGTGGTTACAGCAATAATGTGGAGCTTGAAGCATGGCAACACAGGTTATACGGGCAAAATAGCTTATGGGAGAGGGAGAAGATGCCTGACTAACAAAGGTAGTCTTATTGATAGCGATAGGAAACAGACAAATTCCTAGGCAGACAGGGACAGGTCCCTGGTAAAAACCCAGTCTTCAAGCCAAGGACAGTTTAAATCCTGAAAACACAACTGACAGTTCCGGATAGAGTCCAAGACCAGAGTGAGAACTTCCATCCCCATCGTACCCACTCTCTCTTGATTGCTCCCTTCTGAATTATGGCTTTTAACTAATCGAATGATGCTCTTTCCAAGACCACCCATGGACCAATCAGCACACATTCCCCCATTCTAAGCCCATTTAACTGTGGACTCGGCCTCACAGACAGCAACCTGATTTCGGGTCCCCTCTCCCTGCTGAGAGCTTTCTTTCTGCTGCTCAATAAAATTCCACTCTGCCTTATTCACTCTCCGGTGTCCATGTACCTTATTCCACTTGGTCATGGGACAAGAACCCAGAACTTGCCAAGCTGCGGGCAGTGGGAGTAAAATAGCTGTAACCCTCCTTCCTGCTCTGTGAAAAACAGGAGAAGGAGCCACTGAGCACCACTCCCTCCCACTCACCAAACAATGGGAGAGAAGAAGGAAAGCCACTGGATGCTACTCCCTTCCTCTCACTGAACTACAGGATAGAACAAGCTCCAACATTATTATGTAGATGAAACCTCACAGATGGCAGCCCTCAGGAAAAAAAAAAAATAAATAGATGGTAAATATTCCTTTCAGAATTTTAAAGGTTTCAGACTCTAAGTTATAACTTTCTGAGATCCAGACAAGGAGAGCCTCTGAAAAAGCCTGATTTTATCCATGCAGATTTGGATATATATTTCGTGGAAATATATTCCACGAAAGACAGCTTTTCAGTTATCCTTATATTTGTAGCCCTTCTGGATAAGCATCTTGAAATATGTCAAAGAAGTATATTTGTGAGTGAATTATTTTGGTTTCCTTGAGTATAATTATCCTGATAAAATGCCATAGGTCCTTTGGGAAAAGGCTAGAAGAAATATTAACATTATAATATTTTGGAAGTGCATTGGGGTCCTTCCTCAAGAGGACCTGGACTACCTTTCATTCAAGGAGTTCTAGGTTTGTAAACTGGCTCAAATATGGGAAATGATTGAGGGGCCATGACTCAGGTGAGACTTTTGTTCACTTGACCTAGAACTTTGCTGCTTGCACAAGAAGACTTCAAAAAGATCATGAAAAACATGAAAGTAAAAAGTAAAAAGTAAAAACATTGACTTTATTTTTCAACATAAACTCCACCAGTCAAGTTGCACTTGTAAGCAATGATACCAACCATTTAGTCCATCCTTAAAAGACTGAGGGTTTTCAGAATTTAGCCATGTCAGTATAGTCTCTTTGCATTATTAATTAAAGAAAAGTGAGTAATTTTGCCTTTAAAGATTTTTTTAAGGTTTGGAAACAAAAAGATGTCAAAGGAGCCAAATCAAGACTATAAGGTGGATGATTAATGATTTCCTATCAAAATTCTTGCAAAATTGCCTTTATTTAATAAGAGGAATGACCAGGAACATTGTCATGGTGGAGAAGGACTCTCTGGTTAAGCTTTTCTGGGAGATTTTTTGCAAAAGCTTTGGCTAACTTTCTCAAAAATTTCTCATAATAAGCAAATACTTTTTTTTTTTTTTTACTTTCTAGAAAGTTTACAAGTAAAATATCTTCAGCATTCCAAAGACTGTTACAATGATCTTTGCTTTTGAGCAGTTCACTTTTGCTTTGACTGGACCACTTCCACCTCTTGGTATTCATTGCTTTGATTATGCTTTTGTCTTCAGAATTGTGCGGGTAAAGCCATGTTTCATCTCTGATTACAATTTTTCAAAGAGATGCTTTAGTATCTCTATCCCACTTGTTTAAAATTTCCATTGAAAGCTTTGGTCTGGTCTGCAGCTGATCTGGGCACAACAGTTTTGGCACCAATCAAGTGGAAAGTGTGTTCAACTTTAATTTTTTAGGCAGAATTGTGTAAGCTGAAACAATTGAGGTGTCTATGGTGTTGGCTACTGTCTTTGCTGTTAATTATTGATCTTCTTCAAGTAGAGAATGCAAAAGATAAATTTTTCCATCAAAAATTGATGTGTATGGTCCTCTACTGTGGGCCTTGTTGTCAAAATTGTCTTGCTCCTTCTTAAAGCAAGTTATCTGTTTGTAAACTGCTGTTTTATTCTGGGAATTGCACCCATCAACTTTTTGTAAAGCATCAGTGATTTCACCATTCTTCCACCCAAGCTTTACCATAAATTTGGAGTTTGTTCTTACTTCCATTTTAGCAGAATTAATTTTGAGAGCAAAATTAATTCCTATTAGAGATAAGGGTTATTTTCAAACTGATGTCTTATCCTCCTTAGTGCCTCAAATTAGATCCTGTTAAGACATGTCATAACATTAGTACAAGTTTATTTTGGTGCAAACATTTTTGAAATTCATGCATAGTTTTTCATAATATGCTTTTAAATAAACTTTTAAAAGACCCCTTGTACAGATTAAGTAACAATTTGACAGATTTTCTATTTCACGTCTAGAAATGCCATAATCAGTAAGCCTAGTCCATAGGTCCATAGGTCAACATATCAGACTCTTCTGATTGCTGCTTTAACTCTACTGTCCATTACAGTAGCCAGGTAACCAGCTCTACCTTGTATGTGGTGACTGAGTGGCCCCTCCCACTCCAGGATCCAATTACTCCAATTGCCTTTAGGCTTCTCAATGCAGTGACTACAGTTCCCACTCTGAGGTCTGGCCTACAGACAGTGATCACAGAGATCTTTAAGGATGACAGGGCTCCACTGACAAATTTATTATTCACAGTATTGGTGAAAGGTATGCCTTCTGGACTCTCCCACTATGGGTAAGTAGGCCTTAAATGACAAATCTACCCTAACATTACAATATATCCCTAAGCCTTTGTATTTCTTCTACATTGCAATAAGGCATGCCAAGTATTTTCAACTTTCTCATGCCGGACTACCTTTTGGTCCATATCTCAGCAGTTAACCAACCAACCTGTTAGAATCAAACTCCACAAGCTGCAACATTTAATGCAGAACCTTTGCTTAATGAGTCCATGCCAAATTCAGCCTGATCCAACATTAAGTTCCTTCCACCATTATCCCACATCCTTAGTTATCAATTTCGTACATGTTCTCCAGATTTCTGTCTGTATAAATTAAAAACTCAAGTAGTTTGTTTGAGTTTAACATACCTCCTCATGGGTCACACATTGTACCTCACCTTTAGGAGACTGATGAGACTTGAGTCTAATTATAGGTCTAGAAGCAAAGAGTCGGTTCTGCAGAGAATCAGCATTGTCTTGTATGGCATCTGCCTTGGGGGAGGTCATTACAGTTTCCTTAGGCAATGTAAGGCCAATCTTTTATAACTATAGAGGCAGAGATGCCAGTACCACTATGGGTGGGAATACTGCTGTCACTGTGGGTAGAGGAGGCCAATTCTGCTGGAGGTTGGGGAGATCTCTTTTACTGGTAATGAAGACTCATCAGAACTTAGAGGCTCAATGTCCACAGCTTCATCAGGATCTATCCCACGTGTTCCCTTTCCAACTTAGAGGATCCCATTCTTTTTCAATTAAATGCCTTCATTTTAACTGTAGACCTCCTGCCAGACCGAAAGCTCAACTTGCTTTGTAATTCAGCCAGTTGCAAGATAATGCTCTGCTTTGGATTTTTGACAATTTCAGTCCTGCAGCTCTAGGAGATAAGGCTATACTTCAGGGCATACATGGAAGCTCCTAAGTCATTTATGCAGCACTTGAGCTGGGAATTCAAATCCTTAGCTTATGTTTTTCTTTTACCACTTGATCAGCAACATCAGGAACAACCAACCAGTGTCATTTTATTAGTTAGTTTTCTGAAAATCTTCAAAAGTATTTTATACAGAGGTATCTAGCTCTTTACTTCTTGTAAGTAGTTGATTAGGAGTATCCAATGCAGATATTTTCTATATCTCCATAAAAATTTTAGGCCCTAGTCTATCAGTGCTCCCTTTACTCCTGAGAATAGAGTTATTAGTGTCTTGAAATATTATCAAATACAGAATCAATTCTAGAAACTCCAGAACCAATTTTGAAAACTTATCTTTAAAATTACGTTCCTCTAGAACCACTCTTGGTTCCAAAATCTGTGTTAGTGAGGGTTCTTCAGAGAAACAGAACAGATTTATTGTGAAGAATGATTTACAAGATTGTAGAGGCTGAGAAGTCTCACAATGTGCTTTCTGCAAGCTGTTGACCCAGGAAAGCTGATGGAGTAATTCAGTCCAAGTCTGAATGTCTAAGAACTAGTGGAGTAGTTGGTGAATTCCTATCTGAGGGCTGGAGAAAATAAGATGAGCTCAGTCAGGCAGGCAGGAAGCAAAAAGAAGCAAGTTCTTTCTTCCTGTACCTTCTGTCTTACTCAGGCCCTCAGTGGATTGGGTAATGCTCACTTACAGTGGGGTGGCAATCTACTTTATTGAGTCCACAGATTTAGATGCTAATCTCATACCAAAACTCCCCCACAGAGACACCCAAAAATAACGCTTAATCTGGGTATTCCATGGCCAGCCAAGTTGACATACAAAACCAACCATCACAGATGTAATAGGATAATTTCTCATAGAGATAGTTAATTTCATCACAATTTTTCTGTCAGCTTATGCATATACTCTTCATAAACACAGAGAGGTTTATGTACATCCTTCTCCTCCTGGCAAGCATTATTGATTATCATCATAAAAACTGTTGAGTATTAATTACAGAAAATATTTGAGTGATACTTTAAAAAGTATGTAGTCATCCCTGATTTCTAACAGCTGAAGATCCTGAGGCTCAGGAGCCTAGGCATAGAATACAAAGCAGACAGAAGGCAAAGCATCTTCAATCCTTTCAGGAAATAGAAAGGAGCAATATGGCATTTAGAGTGTCCTAACTGAGATGCGTAGGGGAAAAGACAGGAATGTTTTCTTGGGGTAGCTGTGGTAGGAATGCATGACCCAATCAGGCAGGATTGGCGGGGGAGCAATTCAACCATTGTCTTTTCTGAATCTAAACAATTTTACATGACATTTCTATCTTACAGAATGCATTTCTAATAGTCTTCTATGAGAATAATGTCAGTATTTTTCTTAAGTGTCATTATAATATTTATGTAGAATTGTTATTAAACCCATTAAGCATTCTAAGAAGTCTGTGGCTCCTGTGTTTACCTTCTTTCCTCTAAAATGTGTATTACATACGCATATGTTTGGTAGGGGCAGTCTTTTTGCAAAAATCTCATTTGGTGATTTTGCCTCAGACGACTTTTTTTGTCTGTGTATATCTTCACATACCTGTGTTTTTCTTCTCTATTTAACTCAAATATTAGTCTTTCTGCCAAAAGAGCATTTTTATAGAGTTAATCTGTATGTTCATTAATTGACGAATTCAATGAATTAAAAGTAGCAGTAATTTCCTATAGAATTTCCTTTTATGGGACTAGTATTATGAGATACATTTCTTCAAGTGGATTGAAATGGAAGTATTTGAATAGAAAAAATGTCAGGGGATAATAATCATACTGTAGATATGGTGTCTTTTCCTAAAAGATTATGCAAAAAGATGAAGTGTAACTATATTAAGCAAGCAAAACATATTTTAACTTACGTTTGCAAAATAATCTTCAAACTTTGCTCAACAGATATTTTTTTGTTTGGTTTAGTGTTCCTCTTTTCACTTGATTCTCTGCCAGCTTATTTTTACTGTAGGTATGAAGATATTTCAGGGAACCAGGGTTGTCATTTACAGAAAGATTAGAAAAAAAAGATTCATTTTGCCCAAAGCAGATGAGTACCTTTTCTTACTTCTGCCTATCACTGTCCACCTACTTGAGTTGAGACTTGCCTAGTCCCAGGCCTTCCCTGAGTGGCTTCCAAGAGATATTATCTATTCCCTTTCTACTTCTATTACCTGAATTTATGAATAAAGGATAAGAGTGCTGGTGATAATAAAGGCTATTTTAAAACACGAATAAAGCACTTAATATATACCAAATACCTTACATTCATTATTATATTTAACTTTCATTACATTCTTTTGAATTCAATAGCATAATTACTGCAAATAATACAGCTGAAGCTCACAGAGATGCTGAGTAACCTGTAGATGTCATGTAGCTAGAAAACACAAAAGGTAGATTTTGAATTAAGCAAACTAAATTGATAATTTAATATCTTCCAAAAAAGAAATCCCTAGGCACACATGGTTTCACTGAGGAATTTTATCAAAAATTTACAGAAGAATTAATACCAATTCTACACAGTCTCTACCAATTAATAGAAGGGAAGGGAATACTCAGCAATTCATATTATAAAGCTTGTATTACCCTGATACCAGAACCAAAGAGTAAAAATATGGAAAACCACAGACCAGCATCCCTCATGAACACAATGAAAAAATGAAGACCAAAAAAAGGAAAGATGGATGACTTTCAAAAGGATTTTGAAAGATGTAATAAAATCCCTAGTGTAGAATTCAGGAATACATAAAATGATACGTCATGTCCAATTATGGTTTAGTGCAGGGATATGAGGTTAGTTCAATATTAGAAAATCAATCAGTGTGATCTTTCATATTAATGGGATGAAAATAAAAATTTCATAATTATATTAACAAGTACAGAAAATGTATCTGACAAAATCCAACACCCATTTGTAAAATAACAAGAAACAAAACTTCTCTGATAAAACAGAAAAAGAAGGGAATTTCCTCAACTTGACAAAGAGCATCTATACAATACCCACAGCTTAACATCTACATAATGGTAAAAGAAGGCTTTTCTGCAAACATTGGGAAGAAGAGAAAGATGTCCATTATCCCTTTTTCAATTCAACATAGTGCTTGAATTTCTAGCCAGTGCAATAAGACAAGTAAAGAAAATAAAAAAATTATATCAGAAATAAAGAAATAAAACTACCACTGTTTACAGATGACATGATTATTTTGAAAACCTCCAGCAATCTCCAAAAACAGCTTCTTAGAATTACTGAGTTTAGAAAGTTTGCAGGATAGAAGATAAACATCCCAAAGCCAATTGTATTTCTATATATTGACAATGAAATTCAAAATACAATATCATTTACAACTCCCCAAAATACTTAGATGTAAGTCTAACAAAATATGTACAAGACTTGTGTGGTGAAAACTAAAAAATTCTGCCAGGCACAGTGACTCACGCCTGTAATCCCAACATTTAAGGCGGCAGAGGTAGGAGGATCGCTTTAGCATAGGAGTTCAAGACCAGCTTGGGCAACATAGTGAGACCCCGTTCTTTACAAAAAGAAAAAAATTTTTAAAAATCTGATGAAGGAAATATAATAAAATCTAAATAAATTGATCAATATACAATTCATGGTTGGGAGTCTAAACATAGCAAAGATGGCAGTTCTCCCTAAAATAATATAAAGATTTTAATGTAACTGTAATCAAAATGCCAGGAATTTTTTTTGGCAGATATAGACAAGTTTATTTAAAGCGTATGCTAAAAAGGCAAAAGAACTAGAATGGCCAAAATTATTTAGAAAAATAAGAATAAAGTGGGAGGAATTTGTCTACCCAATTTTAAGACCTTACTATATACAAGCTACATTAATGAAGCCTGTGATATTTGCAGGATTAAAGCATAGATCAACAATGACAGAGAGAACCCTAAAATAAACCCATAAAAATATGCCTAAATAATTTCTGACAAAAGGACAAGAGCTCAATATTAGAAAGATGCCCTTTTAAACAAATGTGCTTGAGTAATTGAACATCCATTAAATAAATAAACCAGCCAACAACAACAAAAAAAATGAGCCTAAATTGTGCACCTCAGAAAAATTAAACAAAATGGATGTGGTCTTATATTTAAAACATAAAACTGAACAGTTTTTGGGTGAAAAAAATGTAACATAAAAGAAAATCTTTGGGAACTAACGCTAGGCAAACATTTCTTAGACTTGATATTGAAAGTGCAATCCATAAAAGGAAAAATAAATTGGACTTCATCAAAATAAAAAACTCGTGGTCTTCTATAGATTCTGTTAAGAGAAATGAAGAAAAAGGTAGACAGTGGGAGAACATACTTGGAAAACACATATAAATCACAGGACTAGCATGTAAAATATATAATGAACTCGCAAAATTCGAAGTAAAAACAAAACAAACAATCTAATTAGAAAATGAGCCAAAGGCATGAACAGATATTGTCCTGAAGAGAATATTCAGATGGTAAATAAGCACATGGAAAGCTATTAAACATCATTACCCATTAGGGAAATGCAATCAAAACCAAAAAGAGATATCATTATTCAGCTATTAGAATAGCTAAACAAAAATTGGTAACGACATCAACTACTGGAAAGGGTGTGGAGACACTGTATCAGTCATCCTCTGCTGGTGGGAATTCAAAATGGTTTTTCAGCACTCTGGAAAACATTTTGGCCATTTCTTAAAAAACTAAACATGGCACTACTATATAACTCAGCAAATGCATTCCTAGGCAAATGCACTCTGGGAGGAATGAAAATATGTTCATATAAAAGCCTGTATGAGACCATAACTCTGCAAAATTTTTTTTTAAATTAGCCAGATGTGGTAACATGCACCTGTAAGTCCCAGCTACTGGGAAGGCTGAGGTAGGAGCATCACTTGAGCCAGGAGGTCAAGGCTTCAGTGAGCGAAGATTGTGTCTTTTTTAATGAGACAGGATGAGACTGTCTCATAAAAAGAGAAAAAGGCCTATACACAAATCTTTAAAAGCACTTCATTCATAATAGCCCAAAACTGAAAACAACCCAGATAGTCTTCAACTGGTGAATGCTTAAGGACACTGTGGTAGCCCTATACCACAGAATAGTATTCAGTGATAAAAAATGGATGGATCAATAATAAATGCAACAACATGGATGCACATAGCATTTTTGAAAAGACACAATTATAGAAATGAAGAACAGATGAATGTTTGCCAGAGGTTGAGGAGGAAGTGAGAGACAGAGGGAATTGTGTATGATTACTAAAGGGCAGCATGAAGGACCTTTGTGGTGACAGTGTTGGTCTGTTTATTGATCATATCAATGTCAATATTCTGCTTGTAATATTGTACTGTAATTTTGCAAGACATTACCATTTAGAGAAAATGAGGAAAGGACACACGAGATCTCTATGCCTTATATCTACAAGTGAATCTGCAGTTATCTCAAATTTCAACATTTAATTAAAAAAAAAATTCCTCCAGTGGTAAGCTGCAGCTTTTTTGTGCTTAAGGTTGGGTCTGGAGTACTGAATTTTTCTGTGTTTCTGCTCCACTGTTTTCCTTCGGCACGCCTGGAGTGCCTGTGACACAGAGGGGGCTTTATCTGTGCTGCCTCCCACCTTTGGGGAGAAGACTGCTATTGTATTTTCCTGGGCATACGGTTTTTTTAAAAGCAGGTTTTATTATTTAGGCATCACAAGGCCAACAGATTAGGAACTGACTGCCATTGGGAAGGTAGTTTGTTGCACTCACGAATCCCGAGAGAAAGGAACCCACTGTACCATGGGACAGGCAGTACACAGGGAAGCATTAGGGGAGACCAGGAGGAGAGAGGGTGAGAAGAAAAGGTGGGCAAGAAACTTGATTGTGTTTTCCAGGGGAAGTAAGAGGCTCATCAGGCTTGGGATGGGCTAGTTTAAATAATTTCTGCAGGTTCTGAGTGATATGGGCTACCCATAGTTGTCTGTTACCTGGCCCTGAGGTGATTAGGGTAAGTGGATAGTGGCACAGAGTATGAAAGCTCAGTTAAAAAAGGTGTTGGAGTGTAGACTGGATTCATTGGTTTGTGTTTGATAGGAATGCTCACAGACAACTATTTTGCTGTCCCTAGGAATTAGCTAACCTGAGAGGAATACTTCCTCCAGCATTAGCAAGACCCCAAGATGTCAAAGCATGAAAACACAGAAAATAAAAGGCATAGTTAATAGACAAGGCTTTGGTGGATTTTGAGGTGGTGGTGGAAGCTTTCAGATCTTCTGCTGCATCCTCAGGCTTAGAAAGATTCTGTACACCTGAGCTTCAGGGATGGGGCTCTTTCTGTGTTCCTGATCCTTCTCCAGACGCAAACAGATCTGTTTTGTATCAGGGCAATGCCATGGGCATTAGAGCTATTTGTGCCCATCCTTCAATAGCAAGAAGGTTTTGTCTGGGATAAAGGTACCAGAGGATACCCTTTCCCAACAGCCACCTTGCTGTGGCTTGTTACTCAATGGGATGCTGCAAGGGGCCCGGGCCTTGTCTTTACTCTCCTGTCATAACCTCAGTCTTAGCCAGGCCCTTGGCCAGGCCCTATGTGCCTCTGCCTCAAAGGCAGTCAAATGCTGACCTGTAATGGTGGTGGATCTTGGGTGAGAGGGAGTTTCCTCCTCTTTGCTAGCAGCAGAAAACTGCTTTGTTTCATTGCAGGATGCAGGCAGGAGAGGTTTTCCTGTCCCTTCTCCAGCAACAGACAGCTTTGCTCTGTGTGAAGAATCTATGCAAAATTTGTATTTGATTCCCAGCAAAAGCCAATCACTGGGGGTATGCTCACGTCACCTGGAGGAGGGAGGCCTCTCAATCACTTGCCTGCCCACATTATTTCTTGTCAGCACCTTCAGAGAGGGGTGGAGAAGAGCTGGTGACTCTTAGTTCTCCAGACTAAACTGTTACCCCGACCACACTTCACCTTTAAGAATTTTAAAAATGTATCTGTTGTTTTCTTTTTATGCATCTCTACGTCTATCACCCTTTCTTCTTGGCCTCTGTCAGTGGTGAAACAATGCATGTGTCCTTCAAGGATCTTGTCACTCTCTGGAATTAATTTCACCATATTGCTTTGAAGTCTCAGCTAACTTATGGAATTAACATAAAAGATACATAGTGTTTTAGATTAAAAGGCTTTTTATTCTGTTTGATAGGGGTGACATTCTCTTGCAGATTTCTGTGTAATAAGTAGGACTCTGAACTTAGCTTTATTTCTAAATAATTGCATTGCTTGTGAAATGCTAATTAATTTTTAATAAATTGCTAATATATAAAAAATTAAAATGGTACATCTTCTGCCCCCACACTCCGCTATAAAATTGTGTCCTACTGTTGTTGCTTAAGCTGGTCCTGAGTTCTTGGCCCGTATCTGGGAAGAATGAGGTGTGCAGATAACTGGAGGGTGAGTAAGGTGAAGAGGTGCTCTATTGAGTGACAGTACAGCTCTCAGGACACCCAAACGGGGTAGCTCCTATCTACTGGCAGGTTGTCCCAAAATCTGCTCAACTCTCAGCTAAGAAGAGACTTACAGTGGATAGCTCCTCTCCACAGTCAGATCATCCTGATATTTGCAGCTCTCAGTGGAGAGGAGATCCACAGTGGGTAGTTCTTCTCCACAGGCAGTCACCCCGTCATCTGCCTGAGTCTGACTGAGTCTCGGGTTTTTAGCTGTTCATGCAAAGGGGCACCTGCGGGCCTATGCCGAGCCATCCTCAGTGGCCCCTTGGCTTCCCTGCCGTGCTCATTGGCACCCAAAATCTGGAGGGGGCTGAGGTGACAGGGGGCTGATGTGTCAGTGTCACCCCAAGTGCATGCACATCTGGCCAGGTTGTGACACAGGCTCAGCCACAACTTTGCTCGGAAATCACAGTGGGTGCCAGGAGCGAGGAGAAGCCAGGCAGTGAGAGCAGGTACTTCTGAGCACAGTGTCCGCAGCTGTGCCTGGGAGTGCAGGGCTCCTGGCCCACCAACTCTTAAGGGGACAGGCCTTCCGCCTGTTCCTGGTTCCCCCCGGCTCCAGGGAATACACAGCCCTGGCCATGCCTCCCCACTGCAGCCAGCTCTTTTGCAGCAGCCACTCCAGATGGGCCACAGCTGCCATCAATTTTACAGGAGTTGATCAGTCTGTTTTGGGAAGTAATTGACATGGTCTTTAGGTATTTTCAGTTTAAATATGGAGGAATGGCAAAAATGTTCCAAAGACATTACAACCTGATTGGTAAAATATAAACACACACACAAACATGCACACATTCAACCGATTATAACCAGTTAGGATTAGTTAGAAATTAGTTATTTGTAGATATCCAAGTTCGTAGGAAACTAGCCACTACATACTAGAATATAATATCTTAAGGCTGTGTGCGTGTGTGTGTGTGTGTGTGTGTGTACATGTTCCTGGAAATTTTTCTAATCTTTGATTCCTATGAAGTTTGTGACACAGGAAATCTCTGTACAATTGCTTGCAAATGTCATGAAGACGAAAAAAAGGAAAGATGGATGACTTTCAAAAAGGATTTTCTGCCAAGGAATATAAAAACTATTTTGTAAATAATTCTTTAAGCTTATGGAATAAAAACTTGAAAGATGACTTTCTTTATCCGTAGATCTTACAGCTCTTGCAAAAAAAAAAAAAGAAAAACTTCTTCCTTTAATGTCTGAAAATTGTACTTTCTAATAGTATTCAGATAAATTTGATGTAGTCTATATTGTGGAGTGTAAAATAAATGGTTAATTTCACGTGGTGTTTCAGAAATAATGGCTCTCATGGCTTTTGAATGTACAATGGCTGTGTATTTCAAGGTTATGTTTCAATATTTAATTTTCTATTTTAGAATTTCAGCTTGGCAGAGCAGGCTTACAGTTCTCTGTGACATGCTTTTCCAGTTATGTGCTTTCTCCCACATGTTTTTGATGCAGGTGGTCTTGAATTTTTAATTCGGTTCTAAGGAATCCTCTGTCTCTTTCAGTTCTGCAGACAAAAGTACAGCAGTGAATGGATATAATTTAATTTAATTTAATTTAGTCATGACGTTTGAGGTTTATGCCATGTGTGCACAAAATTATATACATATACATGTATATACATACATGTATACATATGATTTTGATGAACTAATCTATAAGTGAATAGATATTAAGAGCCAAAGTAAATCAAATGACAAGGCAAGAAGATTAGAAAATGACACTGAAGCTATTTTAATGAGCTAGTGAGTTTGCCTGCCGTTTTCTATACTTTTTACAAAATACTTATAATAAGATACTTGAAAAGAATTTTAAAATGCCTATTTGTTATTTATAAACCTTTAAAGTGCCATATTTTATATAACATTACTTTTTCTTTATATTTTTTCCGAGACTTTGAAAGTCATGTGATAAAATAAGTGTAAAATGTCAAGGGGAAATGAAAAATACAGATAAAATTGTTCATGATATTTAGTTGACTCTTTATTGCCCTTTCTTTATAGAAAGCACGTTGTGACCTCCATCTCACAGTTGACAGAGATAATGGACAAGTTACTGTGATACATACATAACCTTAGTTTATAATAGCTGTGCTATCATAAAAGAATGAGAGACCAGTAGTGTGGCAGACTAGACATATTGAAAAGTATTTCAGCAACAAATACACATAGAATATATTGTAGGGATCACAAGAAGTATAAAAAATTCCCAAAGGCCAAAAAAACATTAAAAAAAAAAACAGCAGTTGACACAGGAGGTAAAATAATGAAGCCAGGTTGCCCTGGGGCAAACAAAATTAAACAGATCTTAGGTGCATAAGTAATTGTAATAATTTCTAACAATGACTAAAAAATAGATAACAAAAATCCTAATCAAAAATAGCATATAAACTGGGTGCGGCAGCTCACACCTGTAATCTCAGCACTTTGGGAGGCTGAGGTGGGCAGATTGCTTGAGGCCAGGAGGTCGAGACTAATCTGGCCAACATAACAAACAAAACCACATCTCTACTAAAAATATAGAATTAACTGGGCATGGTGGTGTGCACCTATACCCAGCTACTGGGGAGGCTGAGGTGGGAGAATCGCTTGAACCTGGGAAACTGGGAGGCAGAGGCTGCATTGAGCCAAGATCGAACCACTGCCTTCCAGCCTGGGCTACAGAGTGAGACTCCAGCTCAAAAAAAAAAAAAAAAAAGCATATAATTTGGACGGATGGTGAACATGGTCAAAAAGGTGTTTATATTGTTCTGATATGATTAAAACTAGACTTTAATAACATAAGAATGTATGTTGTTCTCTCTAGTATAACCAAAGAAAAGCTTAGACGATAGAACACACAGAGCAGTAAAGTAAAAGAACAAAAAAGAGCTTCAGCTGAAAAGGATACATCAGTAGATTGTAGTAAAAAAAAAGGCAATATATATCATAATCTAATTATATTTACTTCAAGAATGCAAGAATCACAATTTACATTAAAAGATTCATGTTTAAAAAATTAAAAGCATTCAGTAAAACTCAACATTATATTTATGATTCAAAATTCAATATTGAATATTTATGATTCTTGTAATTCTTTGTAAACCAGGAAAACAAGAAAATTTCCTCAAATCAATTTTAAGTATTTAACAGAAATTTAACAAGGGATCATTTTTGTGCTTATTCTTTTATGTGTGTGAAATACTCTATAATAAAAGTAATTACTTACTATGAAAAAGATCCCATCTCTTTCATTCTCTACTTTAGAAGCCATCAGGAAAGCATTGAATCTATCAAGGCCTGTTCTCTCATCTGAAAATAAATTGCACTAAACATCCTTGGTATTTACTTTTTCCCTTTCTTTATAAATGTACAGTCTGTGGAGAAAGGTAATTGCCAAATTTAATGATGACAAAAGGAAGGCCAAAATATTTGCACTTGTCAATGTCAATAATAATTCTTGTATTGGAGTTTTATAATGAGCAGAATTTATTGAGATAGAAATGACCATACATAACCACTCCATTAATTGCCTAATGTCAAACAGCAAAATCAGGCAGCGAAAGCAGGATGAAATGGCTTCAATAAGTGAGAGGAAATTCAGGTATAAGGGCAAGTTGCAGTGGGAAGGCAAATTAACTTTATTCCACATTCATACTTGCAAGTGTTTCAAAACCTTCAAAAATCTTTGAAATATCTTGTGATCAGTAATTCAGGAGTACATATTTCTTCCTCTTTCATTTATGCGGTGTGACAAGTGAATCCGAGTTTTGAAATTCTTGCTTAATGTATTCTCTTTGGTATAAGAATGAGCCATATTTTGAATAACCATATCCTGTAGATGTGCCTAAAATTCACGTAATTTGATCAGGTTGACAATCAGCTCTTTTATTCATTATTTCAAGTAATATTTAATCTTGTTACTATATGTTTATTACTTACCAGGGATGGTGAAAAGGATTGAAATGATCGAGCCTTCAAAAAACTTATGGAAGACTTAGATAATAGCCAAATGGAAAGTTAAGAAAGGCAAAGTTCATAAACTCTTACAGAGAATAGTATAAAATAATATGTTCACATAGCCAGATATGTGAGCCAGACAGGCTCACATCTGTAATCCCAGTGACTTGGGAGGCTGAGGCTGGGGGATTTCTTGAGCCCAGAATTTCGAGGCAGAAGGGAGCTATGATCATCACTGCACTCCAGCCTGGGCCACAGAACAAGACCGCATCTGTCTTAAAAATATATATATATATATAATCATGTGAGCAAACTGAGGTACAATCACACTAGCCTCCTTACTCTTCCACTTTGCCTTTACACTAACCTCGAATAGACTTTCCCATCTTCTATGGGGCTTTCTCATCTAGATCTTTGCTGAATTGTCACTTCTTCAGAAGGACATTCTCCAACCCTCCTGTTTAATTCACTCTCTCCTTCATCACCTGTAATTCTCTATTACAATTTTATCATTATTGGTGTAATATTTGTCTTCTTTTTCCTCTGATCCCTTCGCCATGAATTTTTCCAAGAAGTTAATATTTCTTTTGGTTTCTTATGCTTTTATTCCACATGCCTAGAGCAAAGGACAGAGTAGGCACTGAATAAATATTCTTGAAAAAAATAAAATTATCACAAATGAGATATACCCAGTTAGAGGGTGAAAGTTTTTTTTCCAAGGTTGAAGAAACAAAATATTAAAGTCTAAGTATAGTGCAATCATAGTATTCATTACTTAACTCATTCATTTAAAAATTCAGGCCGGGGGCACAGTGGCTCACACCTGTAATCCCAGCACTTTGAGAGGCTGAGGAGAGCAGATCACTTGAGGCCAGGAGTTCAAGACCAGCCTGGACAACAAGGCAAAACCCATTCTGTACTGAAAATACAAAAAATTGCCTGAGTTTGGTGGCACAGGCCTATAGTCCCAGTTAGTCAGGAGACTGAGGCATGAGAATTGCTTGAGCCTGAGAGGGAGAGGTTGCAGTGAGCCGAGATCTCACCACTGCACTTCAGCCTGGGAGAGACAACAAGATTCTGTCTCAAATGAAATAAAATAATTCCATCAATTATTTTTTTTAAAAAAATGCTTTCTACTTTTGGCCAGATATTGTGCTAAATACTAGGGATTAAAGATGGCAAAACTCTGTGTCTTCCTGGAAGGAAGGAAAGAAGAAAAAGAAGGATGGAGAGAGGAAAGAAAATACCATTTTCTGATTTAGCTGGTTATGGCCTTACACAAAAACTGCATTATTCAAAAGGATTGTAAGGATATAAACTTGTGAAATATATTATCTTAGGGTACAGTAATGAGGATAAGCCCAGAGTTATATGTTATAATACAAATATTACATATAAGAATGGTGCGTAAAAATAACTACATAGTTTTCAAGTAGAATAGTTTGTTTGAATAAAGACAGACAAGCTCAAATTTCCTGATTAAGAACAAGTCTCTGAGTAATTTCTATTACAACTGCAAAGTAAATGTGACTTAATTGACAGCCCAGAGCAAAGAAAGGAAAACCAAGGAAAAATTGTGATTAAGAGAAAATGAATATAGAAACCACTGGCTTGAGACAGAATATTAGCAGGTGAGGAGAGCTGTGGGGAGGCAACCAGAATAGTTAGTAGAAGAGATAATGGTGAGTGAGTTGCAGCAGTTTCTTCTCTTCTAATATACTCAAAGATGTTGGATGTGTAGTATTTGCATTCAGCTGGTGTAAAGAATACTAATTTCTAATTGAAAATCAAAGTGTACTTATGGAGGACCCAGAATGTGAATACTGAATTGAAAGATAAGCAGAATAAAGCAAATCCCATGTAGGAGTGAAATACACAAAAGCACTTTATACCAGTATATTGCCCTCCACCCTTGTTATTTTTGAAGGCTGTGAGTTAGTCGGCCCCTTGCTCAACCACACATCTTAAGGGAAACGTTACCTTTTGATAGAACCAGGCTTTTATGGTTAAATAGACTTACAAAACTGTGAAAGAAATCAACCATAGGTACTTATTGCCATCAAGTTGGAATGTTTAATCAAGAATCACAAGATATTTGAAGAAAATGAACAGCCAGGAAGAGAAACATCAAAATAAGAAGTGACACAAATGAATCTGAACAAACACATGACAACAAGGAAAAGAAACCATTGGGAAGCAGAATGCATTTCTATGTATTATTGTTAGAGCTACATCATAAAAAAAGGCAAGTAAGTGTATGCTGAGGTGGGAACAAAGAATAGCAAGCCTTCTCAGAAACTACGTTATGATGCCAGCATAAAGAATGTTAAAAAGGCAACTTATATGGGTGAATAAGATCTTAATTATCTAAATATAAAACCCTGGATCTATTTTGCACATAGAGCAGAATATGAGAAGTATGGAAGGTCTAGTGTTCATATAGTAAGCACCTCAGTAAGAATAAAGAAAGGCACATAAGCAGTGTGAAAAAAAAATCTGTGGAACATCATGCTCAAAATGCTATGCAAACTAAAATACAGCATGGGTTGAGCTACTGATTGAATATAAGAATAAGAAAATGGAATTTACCTGATGCTTGGAACATTCTCCAAGTGGCATAGAATTAACCTAGCATCACAACTGCTCTCTCAGGGGCCAGCCACACTATTTGGTTAAGAAATAAATAACACTATTATATGCCTATTGTTGTAAATGGTGCTAAGTGGTTTTGAAACTGTAGAATAAAAAAGTAGGCAAAATACGGAAATGTGTTTTTTAGGGTGGGCGAAGATGCTAAAGCACAGAGACCAAAAATTCCTAGATTTAAAGAACAAAGACATTTATATCCTTCCTGCACAAAAGAGTCAGCTGGAGAATTTTCCAGATCTGTGGGTGGCTCTCCATCACAGGGTCATTTATAGACTCATGTTACTTTCATCATGTGCTTTAGGCTGGGTCTAGGTCCCGCTCATTTCCCAGCTGGCAAAAGCAGGGCAGAGAAAGCATGCAGAAGGCACATCACTGTTTAAGTGTCCCAACATAGAATCAGCATAGATCACTTCCATACTTTCCATGCCCCATTTCTACATCTTAACTGGCCATGCACCCAGCAACAAAATTAAATATAGAAGAAGAGGAATCTCCATGGAGGAATACAAATGTAAAAATAAAGGTATAGTTAAGAAAAGGTGGAAAAAGAGTGGTGAGAGAAAGAAAAAGCTAGGTCAAACCATTTTTTGCAGAGTTGGTAGAGAACAGACAATAGATACTCTGGAGTTGAAGAATTAACAAATAAAGTTCTTAGTAAAATATTTACAGTTATAAAGTGCCAATCAGAAGACTAAAACCAGAAATATAACCAGTAAAATTTTGAATCTCTCTGTGTATGTTGGATGTATATTTCTCACCTTTTATAGCAGGAAATAAATAGATATTGTGACAAGAAACAGATGGTTAAACAAAACAGAAGTGGATAAAATATTCAGTTCTGGAATTTGTGGGAGCCTTTACTTTTTATTTTATACCTTTTGTTATTTTTTAATATTTTGATTATTTTGCTTAAACTAGCTGAATCTTAATTGATGGTTATAATCATATTCTTTTTTTTCTGTTGCCCAGGCTAGAATACAGTAGCATGATCTTGCCTCACTGCAGCCTCAAACTCCTGGGCTCAAGCCATCCTCAGCCTCAACCTCCTGCGTAGTTGGGACTATAGGCATGTGCCACCAGACCCAGCTAATTTTTGTATTTTTTTATAGAGACCAGGTTTCACCATGTTTCCCAGACTGGTCTTGAACTCCTCGGCTCAAGCAATTTGCCAGCCTTGGCCTCCCAAAGTTCTGGGATTACAGGCATGAACCCCACCCCTCTCCACCTGCTTTTACAATTAAAAATAGAATAATGTTAAAACAGGGCAACTATGTGTCTTAAATAAAGATGACAAACTTTTCATATTTTATTTATTTATTTTTGAGATGGAGTCTCACTCTGTCTCCCAGGCTGGAGAGCAGTGGCACGATCTTGGCTCACTGCAACCTCTCCCTCCCATGTTCAAGCAATTCTCCTGACTCAACCTCCTGAGTAGCTTGGACTACAGGCATGTGCCACCACGCCTAGCTAATTTGTGTAGTTTTAGTAGAGGTGGGGTTTCACCATGTTGGCCAGGTTGATCTCGAACTCCTGACCTCAGGCTTTCTGCCCACCTCAGCCTCCCAAAATGCTGGGATTACAGGTGTGAGCCACTGTGCCTGGCACATAATTTATTTTGATTAATTTAAGCAATTGGCATAAAAATAAAAAGAAATATTTTCTCTTTCTACTATGTAACTTATACTTAAAAGTCACAAAAATGTGCTAAAAGCTACATTTAAAATGCTTGGTTATCTATAAGGGTCAAGGTTACAAGTCAACTCCCTCTTCACCTCTCCCTTCTAACTGAATAAAACCAATCGTTTCTTAGTTTAGGTATGTTTTTCTGTTAGTAAACTTTGCATGAGACCTCAATTAACTAGTTTACCTTTACCTTCTAGTTTCTCTTTACCTTCTAAAAAATCAAGCAACTGGAAGAATGATTCCATCTGCCAAGGGCTACAGAGTAATTAATACTGGAAAATCAATTATCATTTTATTTGTACAATCCTATGAAATGAAATCTGATTAATAAGCAGCCTAGCATGCTCATTTAAAAATATATTGTAATGTGGAGCGTGTAGCACATAAAAATGACTGTTTTGCAAGTTAGTTTATGCACTAGGTTCTATGAAAAAAAAACAAGAAAACAGGTCGTGGGTATTAGCTTAATGGAGACTGCAATATAGCATACAGGGAATGTTTTAGAACTGGAAAAGCCTTGAGATTGCTCAATCTGTCATCTTTATTTACAGATAAAATAACAATAAGTTCCAAGGAATGTATTTGCCCCACTTGCACAGGTCTTTTAACTCTGAATCCTGTTCTCTTTCTGCTTCAAAGCAATTTTCTTCGTCAGTCTTTTATCTTTAAGAACAGGGTGTTCAGTAATCACTCTACTACAATGCAAGTAAGTCAGAAAATTTACTAATACTGATGTCTCTTTAATTAATTCACGGTGATATGAAATCTGAATTAATGTGACATTTTTACTGAAGCATGTGATTATTGTAGCTAGATTTAAATAGATCTGCTTCACATTAGAATTATTTCCAGATTCTATACACAAGAGCCAACACTTCCCTCTAATACACTGCTATGACAAATTAAATTAGTTCAAACTTGCTCAAGGGCAAATTAAGCAGGATATTAAAAAAGAAAAAAAACACCTTAAATTCTGTGAGCCCGTTGACCCGTTCACACTACCTTTAGGAATTTATGGTAAGGTTCAGATGAAATATGTTCTAAATGTGTATGTATTAGTCCATTGTCACACTACTAATAAAGACATACCTGAGACTGTGTAATTTATAAAGGAAAGAGATTTAATGGACTCACAGTTCAGCCTGGCTAGGGAACCCTCAGGAAACTTACAATCATGGCAGAAGGAGAAGCAAACATGCCCTTCTTCACATGGCAGCAGTAAGGAGAAGTGCAGAGCAAAGAGGAAGAAAAGCCCCTTATTAAACCATCAGATCTTTTGAGAACTCACTATCATGAGAACAGCATGGAGGTACCTGCCACCATGATTCAGTTACCTCCCACCAGGTCCCTCCCATGACATGTGGGGATTATGGAAACTACAATTCAAGATGAGATTTGGGTGGTGACATAGCCAAACCATGTCATTCTGCCCCCAGCTCTCCCAAATCTCATATCCTCACATTTCAAAACACAACCATGCCTTCCCAACAGTCCCCCAAAGTCTTAACTCATTCCAGCATTAACTCAAAAGTCCAAGTCCAAAGTCTCATCTGAGACAAGGCAAGTCCCTTTTGCTTATGAGCCTATAAAATCAAAAGCAACTGAGTCACTTCCTAGATACAACGGGGGTACAGGCATTGGGTAAAAACACGTCTTCCAAATAGAAGAAATTGGCCAAAACAAAGGAGCTACAGGGCCCGTGCAAGTTTGTATCCAATAGGGCAGTCATTAAACCTCAAAATTCAAAAATGATCTCCTTTGACTCCATGTCTCACATCCAGGTCATACTGATGCAAGAGGTGGACTCACAGAGCCTTGGGAATCTCCACCCCTGTAGCTTGCAGAATACAGCTTCCCTCCTGGCTGATTTCATAGCTAGCATTGAGTGTCTGTGGCTTTTCCAGGCACATGATGCAAGCTGTTGATGGACCTACCATTCTGGGGTCTGGAGGATGGTGGCACACTTCTCGCAGCTCCACTAGGTTGTGCCACAGTAGGGACTCTGTGCTGTATAAGGGCTCTAACCCCACTTTTCCCTTCTCCACTGCCCTAGCAGAGGTTCTCCATGAGGGCTCTGGCTCTGCAGCAGACTTCTGCCTGGACATCCAGGCATTTCCATACATTCTCTGAAATTCAGGCAGAGGTTTCCAAATCTCAATTCTTGACTTCTGTGTACCCACAGGACCAACACCACATGGAAGCTAACAAGGCTTCGGGCTTGCACCCTCTGAAGCCAAGGCCCGAGTCATACCTTGGCCCCTTTTAGCCATAGCTGGAGCAGCTGGAATGCAAGGCCCCAAGTCCCTAGGCTGCACACAGCAGGTGGGCCCTGGGCCCAGTCCAGGAAACCATTTTTTCCTCCAAGGCCTCCTGGCCTGTGATGGTAGGGCCTGCTGTGAAGGTCTGTGACATACCCTGGAGTCATTTTCCCCATTGTCTTGGTGATTAACATTCAGCTCCTTGTTACTTATACAAATTTCTGCTGCTGGCTTGTATTTCTCCCCAAAAAATGGATTTTTATTTTTTTATCGCATCATCAGGCTGCAAATTTTTCAAACTTTCATTCTCTGCTTCCTCTTGAATGTTTTGCTGCTTAGAAATTTTTTCCATCAGATACATTAAATCATTTCTCTCAAGTTCAAATTTCCACAGGTATCTACAGCAGGGGCAAAATGCTGCCAGTCTCTTTGGCTAGCAAGAGTAATCTTTGCTCCAGTTCCCAACAGTTCCTCATCTCCGTCTGAGACCACCTCAGCTTGGACTTCATTGTCCATATCACTATTAGCAATTTGGTCAAAGCCATTCCACAAGTCTCTGGAAAGTTCCAAACTTTCTCACATTCTTCTGACTTCTCTGAGCCCTCCAAATTCTTCCAGCCTCTTCCTGTTACCCAGTTCCAAAGTCACTTCCACATTTTCGGATATCTTTACAGCAGCACCCCACTCCTCCCATGACCAATTTACTGTTTTAGTCCATTCTCACACTACTAATAGAAACATACCTGAAAATGGGCAAATTATAAAGGAAAGAGGTTTAACTGACTCAAAATTCAGCAGGGCTGGGGAGGCCTCAGGAAACTTACAATCATGGCAGAAAAAGAATCAAACACATCCTTCTTCACATGGTGGCAGCAAGAAATGCAGAACGAAATTGGGAAGAAGCTCCTTATAAAACCACCAGGTCTCATGAGAACTCACCCACTATCACAAAAACAGCATGGAAGTAACCATCTCGATGATTCAATTATCTCCCACTAGGTCGCTCCCACAACATGTGGAGATTATGGGAATTATTAGGTTGGTGCAAAAGTAATTGCAGTTTTGGCCTTCACTTTCAATGGCAAAAACCGCAATTACTTTTGCACCAACCTAATATAATTCAAGATGAGATTTCGGTGGGGACACAGCCAAACCATATCAACGTATGTATATCACATTTATTTTACTGTTAACATGAATACAAATTTAACAGTTATTTAAATGCTCAAAATAAGAGGCTGCTTGAAAAATGAAATTGTGGTACAGCTATAAAAGAATTACCATTCAAGCAATACTGTTGATAGTATGAATATATATATATTAACATGAAAATAAATTTAAATATATTAAATTAAAAAGTAGCTTCAAAATGCCATGTAATCCCTAATTCCATTTTCGTAATTTTGGATCCCAATTTTCTAAATATGTATTTATGCTCACGAATTCAAAATATTCTAGAAGGATATCACTGCAGTGATAATAGTAGTCATTTCCAGGTAGAAAAATCATGGAAGGTTATATATTCTTATATTTAAGTGCTTTTAGTTTTTATGAAATGGGCATTTTTAATTACACAATCATAAAAAATGCAATGATCTTGCCTGTAAACATAAAAGCCACTTCAGCTTAATAGCAAAGAAACACATGCCACTTAATATGATGTCAATCTGGACAATACAGCCAAGGCATGCAAAGAAATCTGTGATGGAAAGAAGATTTAAGACAGGGAGGAAAGAAATTAGAGAATTCTAAAACAATAACACATTGTTTTTTAAAAATCTCAAAAATTGAGATAAATTTGCTGCCAATTTCACTTAATTCACCATCTGTCTTTATTAACTTGGATTTCCTGAGAAAATCGAATAATTTGGAGAAGACTGTTGCATATGACTATATATATTCTAAGGTTGAGAAAAGAATAATTGATATTCAATTATGATCCAAGTTTTAAATAACATTTTCAAAGCACCAGTGGTTTAAGTCATCAATGAGATACCCTCATTCATAGCAACATTCAAGTAAAATCATCAGTATGCTATAGCAAAGTAATAGTGATAATAATATGTGAATAAGAGGAGACCTAAGATTTTTGACATTTTCCATTTCATACAGCCTCTATTTGGCTTTTCCGTAACTTCAGATTTCAAGTGGAACAAATATCCAATCAAGTTAGAATCTTCTTTATACTTCTGTAGTGCTTGGACAATGTGCCTTAGGCAAAGTTCTTGCAAGGTAACAATCAAAGTTTATGTAATTTCTTGAAATATTCTTTATTTAGATAGCTTTTCTCCAAATCGACTGTAACTTTGGAGGAGATACTTTCCAAGTGTTTTCTCAGGCTCTTCCCATTAGAGAAACAACAATGCCTAAGACATTTCTCTATGGCTTGAAAATCTTTTCTGCCCAGTCATTCAGACAGATTTTTAACTTGTCCTTGCACTCCTCCCAAGCCTATGAGTGAGAATAAATAACACTAATGGAGTGTCAGGGCAAAAACAAACAAACAATCAAACAAAAACCAAGGCAGCTGGCTGTCACAAATTCTAGTAATTTAAGTCCATTTGCAAAAGCCACACCCTCAGGAAAATGAGCTTATTGTGTAGGAGCCTTTTTCCCCCTTTGCCGAGAGACTACAAAACACTTAAAAGGCAATGTGGGTTCATGGAAATGTAACTGTTTAGCACTAACAACACAGGATGTAATGTAAAAGAATTTCCCACAAAATGTAGGCCAAGTATATATATATATTTATTTATGACCCATCTACATGTCCTGGTGATCTCAGCTTTTGCCCACAGCAAAAGCCATCCCATTCTTCTTTCTGGAACTTTTTCTAAGGTAGAGGGTTTTGATCATGTGTTTTTGTGCCCCTCATTGTTGATTATATTACTATATATGTGAAGATAGAACCCCTTATTTAGAGCAGCTAACAAAGGGGACTACACTGTTCCAGTTTAGTTGGACTGTCCCATCTGCTTGGTTAACTTACAATGCTATTTTTTGCTTTTCTCACTCTTGTGGTCTCTTCATTACCTTCTCTGTCATTCTTCATTTACTTTAAATTCACTGACTCTGTACCTTTTAGTTCTACATAATAAGTGTAATGCATATATCCTTCATTATCTGAATCGAACACATTATTGTAAACATGTTAAACATTGATTTTTTTAATAGTAGGGGCCTGTATGCTGTTATTTTTAGTAGGGAAAATAAGAATGCATTCTCAACCTATGAAAACACCCAACCAAATTTTCCCAAGTAATAATAAATACTGAAACATGTATATAAAACTCAACAAAGACTTTTTCGTAATATAAAGCACTAAAGTATCAATTATTTAATCATTTAACACCTAATTATTTAGCACTTTATGTGCTTATTAGTACATATCCATTCTATATACAATGATGCTGTCTTGTAAAGTATTAGATACAAATTACATTTTTCTTCTAAGCAGAAGCTTGAAGAATAAATAATATGTTAAAAACACAAGGAATAGAATTAACTCTTAACAAAGCAACATAGGAGACAAGGCATGTTTTGTTTCTTTTGAAGATTAAAGCATTGAAGATAACCCAATTGAGGTACAGCGGTGAAAAGAGAAAGCTGGAAGATGTAGTCAGTGCTGCTGCTTGCTGAAGGGGAAGGATGAGCAGGAGGGAACTGGTGAGGGGTGAGAAAGGCAGAAAGTAAATGCCTGAGGTCTGGCTATGTCCAAGTACAAGAAAACAATGGATGATTTCCTCCTGGTGGTTTTGACTCTGGAAATGGATGGCTGTCCATCCTCAACTATCAGCTGATGCCATAGACAGCAACAATGGGAGGATTAAAATTCACATTGGATATCTCTTTCCATTCACTTTCTTGGTGTCAGTGTAACAGATGATAGGAAGAGTGTGTGATGCATTCATGTCATAATCATATCCAATAGCTACATTATTTTATCTATGTGATCTAAACTTTAAAGATTTTCATCAAATATGCATGCTTTCTCTTCTAATTCATAAGAATTAAGTTTAGTAATTCTTTTCTGTAAGTGTATTTCATAAAAATTCTTCAACATTTTTACTATCCAATGTGGTAAGACAGTCCTCCACACCAGATTAACATATCTGTTTTGTGTAGTTCTCTTCAAAAAAATTTTGGAAGTTTAGCGACAAACTGTAGAACCAGTTCTTTTTTCATACTTTATTTATTGTTAGGCATGAGATTCTTTTCATAGCCCAGTTGACCAATTTGAGTACCTACTTGCTGTCAATGAAAAGAGTCAAACTCTGTAAAATGTTTTAAGAGATTTATTCTAAGCTAAATATGAATGACCATGGCCCTTGACACAGCCCTCAGGAGGTTCTGAGAACATATGCCTAAGGTGGTTGGGGTACAGCTTGGTTTTATATATTTTTAGGGAGGCATGAGACATCAATCAAATACATTTAAGAAATACATTGGTTTGGTTCAGAAAGGCGGGACAGCTCAAAGCCGGGGGCTTCTAGGCTCTAGGTAAATTTAAACATTTTCTGGTTGACAATTGGTTGAGTTTATCTGGAGACCTGGGATCAATGGAAAGGAGTGTTCAGGTTAAGATAAAGAATTGTGGAGATCAAGTATTACTGTGCAGAGAAATCTCTCAGATATCAGACTTCAGGGAGACAGCAGGTTGTAAAATGTTTCTTATCAGACCTAAAAGGGTGCCTGGCGCTTAGTTGATTATCTCCTGGATCTGGAAAGAAAGGAAGGAAAACAAAGGGGGAAGGGGATTCTCTATTGAATGTGGATTTTTCCCAAAAGAGACTTTGCAGGGCATTTTCAAGGTATGGCAGGGAAATATATTTTGGGGAAAATATATTTTGATTTTTTCCCTAGTTATGCCAGAATCAGACTGGAAAGTAAGTCACAATATACAGGGTTAAATAAAACCCATCTGATGATGAGAATTTATGATTTGTAAGGCCCAATTCCCTAGACCCCATAGAAAAGAATTTGGGCAAGAAAAAAAATCAGAGCTTTGTCCTCATTGCTATCAAGACCATTTAATTAATCCTTCATCAAAGCAAAGTCATCTATATAAGCACCCCCTTTAGATACTACATCACCAGCATTGGGTAATATTGTTCCCAGACTAAAGTGAGGGTCAGGCTGCTTATTCTTGCCGCCCAATAACGAGATGCAGACAAACTGGGAAAGAAGAGAGTTTATTTCTGTTACCGGGTACAGGGAGAATGCTGGGAAAATATCACCAGACCAACTGAAAATTACAGTTTCCCAGAGCTTGTATACCTTCTTAGCTATATGTCTACATGTAAGTTTGTATTTACCTAAAGACATATGTGATTAACCTCTAATCTATAACTAAGGTCTGAGAGTCCTGAAGACCTTCCTCTGGAGCCTCAGTAAATTTACTTTAACCAGATGGGTCCAGGTGCCAGGGGTGGCTACCCTTATTTTGCTCATGCTAAATCAAAGAGATTTGGGGAGTTCATTTAGACCCCAATAAAACTTGTTAGTGGAGGTGTGAGGAGTTCCTTCAGATACCCCCAATAAAACTTATTTAATTCTAAACATATCCTGTGAAGAATTCCTTCATTATCTTCTTACGCTTCAAGGCCCAGGAATGGTCTAGGCAAAACTCTTGGTGGGCTTTTGTTACATTCCACCCTTTGTATAAGAGCACTGGCTCTATCCGCTTTTAATATTTAAATTAACAACTCAGTCAGTGCTAAAACAGTTGTCATGGAGGCCTGTCTGTTCAGCTGTTAGTGAAAACTGGCCTGCCACAATATGCCTTCAAGGTTGCCAATACCTCTTGGCTCTAATCATAACAGTGGTGCTAGGAGGCATAAAGATCTCTTGGATATTGTCTCACAATCACCAATCCTAGAATGATGTCCTGGGATGTTCTAGAATTCCCTAGAGATATCAAAGGAACTATATTTGCAAAATTTTCCTTCTTCAATTTTTCTTGGAATTTTGATGAATGGTTACAGAAAACTTCTCTCATGAGCTTTGACTATCTATTCTTCATTTAGGCATGACACTTTAGATTTGCTACAGTTCTGACATGGAGGCATGCTCTCCCTGGACTGCTCCCAGGCAATGACCAAATGCAGTTGTGATGGTGAATCCAGGACATTTCTTTATAACAGAGAATCCCAACAATGGATGATGTTGCTGGAGAACTCCTTCCTGGCCTAGTGGAGACATTCTCAGAGCTATACCACAGTATGAAGCCTTGCAACCCGATTCTTGACCTTCTTGTCCCCTCTCGCTGCTGTTAGACCAGTGTCATAGTCTGAAGGCGCTCCTTGCCTACTCCTGCTCCTCTTTATCCTTCACAGGTGTTCCTACCAGCTTCTTGCAACTTAAGGCTTCTCAGAGGCCCTAAATGAACATACCACATAACAATTTTACAAAATTCCATTAGGATTTTAGGGCTATGCATCAGAGAAGGTTTGTTTGAACATCACCTTTAAAGTTTTGCCTACTGAGTTCAATTAGTTTCCACTTTAAAATAGATATGTCCAAATCCTAAGCCCTGGATACTGTTAAGGTGGCTTTATATTTGGGAAAAGTAATGTAAATTATTTTGTAATTACATTTGATGTGATTTGTAAGTATAATCAAATTAAATATATCACGATGAGATTATCCTGGATTTCTGATAGGCTCTAAGCCTAATGTGAAAGACAGAAAGGGAGAAGATCATGTGACGACAGGGCAGAGATTGGAGGGATGAGTTTGCAAGCCAAAGGTTGCCAGGGATTTCCAGCAGCCACCAGAAACTAGAGGAGAGGTGTGAAACTAATTCCTATGAGAGCCTTCAGAAAAAAACAACCCTGCTGACACCTTGATTTCAGACCTCTGGCCTCCAGAATTATGAAAAAGTAAATTTCTGCAGTTTTAAATCACCAGGTTTGTGGTAACTTTTTATAGCAGCCCTAGGAAACAAATAAATAGTGTTCGCTTTCCTTTGGCAGATTTTATGTTTGATGTTCTTGGCAGTTTTTTTTTTCATTACTAAATAAATTTATGAGATGGTGCTTGTTAAAAAAAAATCCCAATATCAACATGACTGAGAATGTTCTTTGTAATATAAGCACATCGGTCAAAGGAATTCTACAATTCACTTTGAAGACTGCTTTAGCCTTACACATTGCAACTGCTCTTCTTTGATTTTCAGATAGTGCAATGTTGCATGGACTATAAATCTCTAAAACCATATCAAACTGGCTTTGTAACTAAACTCCTTTACAAAATCTTTCTTTCTTTCTTTCTTTCTTTCTTTCTTTCTTTCTTTCTTTCTTTCTTTCTCTCTCTCTTTCTCTTTCTTTCCTTTCTTCCTTTCTTTCTTTCTTTCCTTTCTCTTTCCTTCCCTTCCCTCCCTCCCTCTTTCTTTCTTTCTTTCTCTCTCTCTCTTTCTTTCTTTCTTTCTTTCTTTCTTTCTTTCTTTCTTTCTTTCTTTCTTTCTTATCTTTAAAAATGTTTACACAGTGTAGGGGTAGCTTTGTTTTTACCAGATGAATGTCTGAAATACGGCTAAGATACATCATAAATCATCTCGTTTAAAATACCCTACACATTTAGCTAGTATTTGAACAGGTATTTTTTAATTTGATAGCAAATTATGACAAAGTTTGTTATAACAAATGTTCCAATGTAAGAACATAGATTGTGAAAGGTGCCATTTTGTACAAATCAAGATTATAGATTTCCCTTCTAAATACTATTTCACAGGGATTTTCAGAACTAAGAAACAATATGCATACTTGCAGTGTTTTGATTCCAGTCAGTTCTCCTCCCCTAAATTTTTTAAAAAATGTAAAGATTGATTGTCACATTGTAGGCAATGTTCACAGCTTAATACAGTCAACATAAACTTTTAGAGAGCTTGATCAAATGATTATTTTTAGAGTAATAACTGTAATTCTGAAGATATTCCTGAATTATAACACCAGTGCAAATATCACTGGAGGTACTGATACCATTGGGGAATTTGATGTGCTAGAAAATTATCTCTTTCTGAATTGGGAAGGGAATGTTTAGGAGATGTGGGGCTGCAAGTTCTAGTAAGTATGTGGAGATATGCACTATCATAGAATCAGAGAATGCTGTACCTGGAAGAGTCCTTAAGTATTGTTTCTTTGAAGTATTAGAAAGAGAAAATGAAGGTCTACTTTGTGAGAAGAATATCCTATAGATCATCTAAGAGCCAAGATCTGGAAGCAAATTCTTCAACTACATTTAATTATGTGTCCAGTTAGTTATAGCCTCCTTCTCACATTAAAGCTTCATGCCTCCGGACATACCATAAAGATGAGTGGATGCATAAAGTCACAAGGTAAATATGACACATTCCTGAGTTTTGTTCTCAATGTAAGATTTGGGAACAATATTTTGGAGTTTTATGTTCTTTAAAATATGTATGTGAGCAAATAATATTCCTTAAAATGTATATGCTCACAGGATAAATAGACTTTGGTTTCTCCACATTGCCTAATATTGTGTTTGTTGGTAAGTGTACAGAGAGCTGAATCTTTTTATGTTCAGAAACTAATTGTCAACTTTAATGATTTTGTATTGTCTTAAAACAGGATGTTATTAGTGTTGTGACTAGAGAATACAGAATTGTTGCCAGAATGTTTGGTTTGCCAGTAAGTGTTTTGCAACCCACATAAGAACTTAAAAAAAATAAAATGAAGTTGTCATCTTCTGAACTAGCGTGGGTTTAAATATTTTTAATGTACACATTCAAAAATGTAACTCATACTTGCATTTCCTTAAACATTTTGATTTACACACATAAAATGTCTGCATTTAATTCTATTGCCCACAAAAGTGAATTTTACAACACAAAAAAATATACAATTTCTATTTTACATATAACTTTAAGACATCTTATATTGTATTCAAGTTGTTGGTTAAAGAGAGGAAGTTAAAAGCATCTAGTGAAAATGTAAAAGAAAATTAAGAAAATTGTGAATAATCTGAAATTAAGGTTATAGAAAAATGAAATCCCCGGAGCTTAGCTTAAGCCTGATGGCACAGATGATGATGATAAGGGCTCACTGTCAATGAATATATACTATGCACCAGCTACTAATCCCAGCCTAAGGACAAAGAAAACATTATTATTATATCCACTTACCAATAGTAATGATGTCATGACAAATAGTGAATGGTAATTAAGCAGCACTTGTCAATCTGCCTTCCTACTTAGGTAAACTGTCCATGCCTCCACTCTAAGCCAGACCTTCTGCTATGAAGAAGATTGCATTCTCTCTTACCCACTAAAGGACAACATTCTAGTGGGTGTTTAAAAATTTTTTTTTTAATTTTTTATTTTTTTCTCTCTCGACTGAATAATTTCTATTAGAATGCTGTTTTTTTTCTCTTTTTTTAAAAAAATTTATCTTGCCTTCACTTCTTGCAGTCCAGCTACTGCCCAAATTCTTTCCTTCTATGGCAAAAAATTGTTTTTGAATGAGTTGCCTATATTTGCTGCCTCCCATTCCTCTCATCATATTTTCTCTTAAACTCACTCTGGGTTTATTTTTTTTTTCCCAGCTACTGAATTGAAACAGCCCTTGAAAGGGACACAAATGATTTCCTTCTGGCTAAACTTAAAAGTCTTGCTAAATCTGCTCCTCATTTAACTTGATATTACATGACACTTTGCTTTTGGGATACATTATTTTTCCTGGTATTCTTGCTATTTCACTAGGCATTCATTCTTAGTTTCCTAGCAGATTGCATCTCTTTTCCTGGTACTTGAACTGCAGAGTGAACTGAGACTCAAAACTCAGTCCTTGCTATCTTATCTATCTACAATCACTATACATGTGATGTCATCCAGTTAAATACTGTTTATATAGAAATTATACTCAAATTTCGTTCTTCAGCCCAGGCTTCTCTATTGGGTTCCACACTCATAAATAATTGCTTTCCTAATGGCTACACTTGGATATCTAATATATTTATGAAATATAAAATGCCTAAAACTAAAATTGAAGACTCCTCATTCCAAACATGCTTCATCTGCAGTGTTCCTCATTTTACTTATTGGCAAGTTTATCCCTCCAATTGCTCAAATCTACAACTCTGGGACTCTTGACACATTACTGTCACAACCCATATCCAATCAATAAGGAAATTCTTTTGGCTCTACTTTCAAAATAATTCATCTTTCCTACTCCACCACTAACACCTCCATGCCATCACATCTCTATACTGCATTGATATAAGATTGTCTTAATAATGTATTATGTTTGTAATCTATCTTCTTGCACTAGAATACAAACTATAGGATTAGGCATATTTTCTGTTTTGTTCAATGATATATTCCAATAGTTGGAACAGTACTTGTTCTAAACTCAATAGGTGGCTTGAGAATATTTGAAAGAATGATTAAGAAGTCATAGCTGCAGGCTTTTTATTTCCGTTCTTTATCTCCAGATTTGTCTTTAAAGACCTATTTATTGTTTCTAAAGTACAAATAATCACATATAGATTGATTCATTAATTATTGCTTATCAGAGCTGAATGTTAGCATTCTTTCCCAACTCCACATTAATGATGTCATGTGGGAGGCTTGAAATTGTCATGGTGGAAATATTTACAAGACAGCAATTGGCAAACACTACAGTAGGCACCCTTCACATCCCAAAGAGTTGTTAAACATTTACCAGCACACTATTGGTCCACACCAGTCAATTCTGTCCCTAATAGTATCTCTTAATTAGCAATTATGTTTTCAATAGAAGTTTTTAGTTATAGTATAGATGAGTGGCTCGAAGGCAAGTATACTCTTTTTCTTAATGTATTTTCTACACAATAAAATACGTATAAAGGTGGAAATTATTTCATAGGTTCCTAGTGTCTGGATAGGGTTGCTGGCTAAATTAGCAGATATTTGTCTATCAAAACAAATGACTCTTACAAATATTTTGTGCAAGGCATTGGATTAGATTCATACATCAAAACATTAGATGTAGATAGATGAAGGAGTAAAAATTACCAGCAAATACAAGAAAGAGTTAATAAAAACTGATGTTTAAGAGGATTAACAACGATAATAAATATGAAAAGGAGAAAGGAAATTTTCTTCATGTTCTCAAATCTGTAGTCATTTTGGAATTAACTAGTTTTTATTTTTGCTAAGTAGAAATACTTATTGCTATATGTGTAACAGGTTGCTCAAAGATATTATGCCCATTATCTTTTTAAGCTAACGATGATCCCAAATGCTTAGCAGGAACAAGTAGAGAGTGACTTGCACTCAGAGCAGCTTAAAGGATTTTCCCAGAATCCTGTGGTGAGCCTGGAGCAAAGACCTGAATAGAGGGTTTGGTTTTTGTACAGCTTTTCCCACTGTAGCAGTATCATTAGAATATTATTTTTAGGATTTTAAAAAATCCAAGTGTATAGATTTCAAATAGCATATAAACTGCTACAATATGGCTGTTATTATTTTTAACAATAGTTCCATATTTCTTTTTCAATCTCTTTGTACTTTTATGAAAATTCTCACACAAGTAGATAAAAACTTCTGTTTCTTATTGACTAGTTCTCTAAATCTCTTATTCTATAGTCCTGTAGGTATTTATTTTCTGCTGCTGGCTCTAAGTAGAACTTCTTTTATATCATCTGGGGAATTTCATTTAATGACAATATTATTTTCTGGATCTCTCTGCTGGATTCCAAAATGCTATTTTTGCTATTGTGACCTAAGGTGAGAGTAAATAAATCTTTAAATAAAATGTTCTCATGAGGTTTTTTTTTTCTTCCCTAAAAGAAGTTCCCCGTGTAGCAATCAGACAAAATATATATTCATACATAGGAAAATTTAGCAGGATAAAAATTGCTGATTAACTCTCACTTTCTTTATGCATGTATTTAAGGATCAGAGCAGTGATTAATTCCATCTCAGCTGCATATAAGACTCAACTGAGAGCCTTTTTTAAAGGTCCTCATGACTAGCCAGTCATGGAGATGTAGGCTAATTAAATCTGCCTCACTGTGTTTTGAGTGCAAACATCAGTGTATATTAAAAGATCCCCGGATGATCCTGATATGGATCCAGGTTTGAGTATTACTGGGTTAAATGAAGATAAAGCACTATTTCACTACTTTTAAGTACTATGTAGCTAAGGGAAACTTTATGAAATGTAACATTGGACTGAATGCTACTATGTTGTCTGCACAACAATTAATACAATTTAACTATACAATTATACAATTAAATTATATAAATTAATTATAACTTTAACATTGACATAATTGATAAAGATTTTTCTAATTTAAATACTTAGCATTAATGCGTCTGCACATTAATGCTAGCTAAGTATTTAAATTAGAAAAATCTTCTCTTTAAACAGTTGAAGTTGCAGAGCCCTCTCTACTACAGGGTTAATATAGTTCCTGAAAAAATGCTTTTTTGCTGAGCACAGGAAAAGTCTTCTATACCACGAATATCTTTTGTGATAAGAGGAAAAAGCTATGTGGGGAGGCTTAGATTTTAAAGGAAACTTTTGAAAGCACTGAATTGAGAGACCCGAAAGATGACTTTTCCATGGTCCCATTGAGCCTCTCTCACTTTGTAAAAACTATCATATTAGCCTGGAAAACCAATATCTCTACTGAACGTGGGAAACATGGCACTATTTTGGTTAAAAACAAAAACACCAGATAATGAACTTACAGTCAGTCCACTAAAAACACATTATTTACAAAAATGACAAATGCATTTTGTAAGTTGGGTCTTAGCTTTAACAGTAGAATATATGATAGTCTTCTCACAGCAGCTATGACTACTATTTAGGTGGCAAAATTATTGGCCTTGATCTTTAAAATATATTTACTGTATAGGAGTTTGAATCACTACTGTACATTCTTTTGGCTGTGTGATTTTAGCTGTTGTAATAATGAGGTTCCTAAGCCAAATTATAAACTTGTATTTGTTCTTTTTCCAAAGTGACGAGAATGGGTTTGGGTCATATACAATAGCTTGAATCATTATGTGAAACTTTTTAGCTGTGTGATCCTAAGTAGGTAATAATTTCCTTAACTTTGATTTCTTCATGTGTTAAGTGGAGTGAATATTTGTTAACATTATTGTGAATTTTAAATGAGATAATAGAACACTTTGCAAACTCTAAAATGCTCATGCATTCAAGCTATAATTAATAGTGTTACTAGTGCCCAATGCACAAATGAGATGTAGATTCTGAGAGAGTTATTATGGGGTGTCCCATGGAGGATGAGTTACAACCTACTGTGTTTGAGGAGGTCCTGAGAGATTTTGTGGATAAGTTGACAGATAAACCATGCCATACATTATGTTGAACTTCACTCAACATTGGCGGGATTCCTGAGGAAAAAAAAATCATCAGCAAAAGAAGAGCTCTAAAATCATGGGATGATGGGATGCCTTCACAATTGGATGAATGGATATTGAATAGTAAATATGGAAGATACAGAAAATAACTGTTGGAAGATAGATTTGGATCATATTTTGACACACCTATGGTGCCAAGAGGAGGAGTTTGTGCTTCAATCCAAAAGCAACAGGAAACAGTTGAAGGGTGATGATTTGTTTAAAGTCACATTTAGGATGAAATAAAGGAACAAGGATTTATTGGGCACCAGACACTTTGCTAGACACAGTATTGCCAGATCCCTATCATTATTCTAATTTTAAATATTAGAAAACTGAACCATAGAGAGGTTAAAAATATGCCCAGGGACATTCAGCCAAGCATTCTGGAGCCAAGATTCAAATCTAAATCTAGCTGGCTTTAAATCTCTCCGTTACTTCATGGGGCCTTTGAGATTAATCTGACAAGTATGTGTTGAGTTTTTTGGAATAAAGAGACAAAGAGGCAGGAAAATCACAAAGGAGACTCACTCAAGATGTAACAGATGCCTAAAGAGATGTGAGAGGAACTAAGTGTTTCATTTTTCATGTAGTACTTTTTATGATCTATTTGCATTTTCTAAACGTTACCAAATGCTATTAGTCATTTATTTATTTTCAATTCAGACTAATGTAAAGGGTCTTTAATTTTTCTTGAAAATCGTTAAAAATTCTGAACATTTTAAAAGTAAATAAAAATTTAACGTTGATCCCTAAAATGTAGTTCATTTAACTCTCATGGCATTGTTTATTACATGACTCAGCCGAAATGAGAAGATTGACAGGGTGTGTGCATTTTGGGGGGCCCCTGGAATTACTCAAGTACCAGAGCAGGTGATAGAAAGGTAAAGTATAGGAGAAAGTCAACTCATCTCCCCATAAACATTTTCTTTGTTCTTTCCCAGCTCATTCCAAGAATGTTTGCTTAATAAAACACCTCCCGCTTTCATGCTCAGTACCATTTTCAGCTCTAAGTTGATTCTGACAGTGATGAAAAAGACAGCCCATTGTCTCAGCTGTAGTTATTGGTATAGTATTAAATTACTTGCTGGGAAAATGGATATGTTAGTCAAAGGGCAGTAATTTGTATTCACTGTTGTTTTCCAAGTATCCTGCCCTGCCAGTCAAGCCAAGCATAGGAACCTCTGAAATTAGCCCCATGTTTCAGAATTTCCCCAAGTCATACCCCTCCTTTGCTTTCCAGGAGACCCAATCTTTTGTGCTGCGCATCTGTCCAGCTCCCTTATCCCAAGAACTAAACCTGCTGTTTTCAACCTGGCTGCTCAGCACTGGGCTGCCTAGCACTTCACTGGCCAATCTTCCAGGTTCTTTCTCCCATTACAGACATGTATTTACTAAACTGATCTCCAAGCTCACAGCTGCCTGCCTGGCTGGCTGCTTGCCTGGATTTCTCAGCATTGCTCAGCCTAGTATCTGTCACTGTGCTCTTTCCCGAAGCTCTATTATTAGCTGAATTATGACTGAGGCCACGTCTTACTATCTGTTCATCCAGGTATAACTTCCTCTGTTTATTTTGTCCTAGAAGGCAGGTCAGGCCTAGTTATAGATCCTTTCCCCTCTCCACTGCCCCAGTGTAGTTTTGGACAGAATGTAACTCAGAGTTGGCACAATAAAAAAGATAGGAATGTTTATGGTGATAGGCCATAGGAAGAAATTTGGACAAGCAGTTAACTTACAAATAAGATAAATGTGTGTTCCCCCCAAAAGAAGGTAAAACATAGCAGTAGGATTTTCACAACCTAGTGCAATTTGGGTGTCCAAGAAGACATGTAGATAATTCATGTAAAAACAATGCTGTTGAAAGGTTATGGATATCCTGAACTCTCTGGTGTTCCATGCGCAAATCCTTATCTTTAGAAGATTGACCGGTCAAATCAGGGCCTCAGCCTTAGAGAAACTGGGCCCAAGAAATGTTATTGAGACAGGAATACAAAAACAAGATAATGCTCCAGTTTCCAAACTAGATTGTAAAGTGGAGATCAGGTCATAGTTAAACTTCAAATATTAAGATATTAGAACTGGAACTTGAGAATTGGAGAGGCAGTGAGTTGAATTGATAGTGATTCATCTGAATATCAACTAGAGCACTTTAAATTGTCTCAGACCAAGTCATTGTTGAGCCCTAGTTCATGGAAAGGGCAGTCATATATCTAGAGGTTTTTGGCTGTTAATTTAGCTCATGATTTCTCTACTAAGAATATTCAGTATAAACTATGACCAGTACACTAATAAAATATTGTAGGAATAATTTTATGAGCTTTCCCCTTCTCTGAGTCATTTATAAATAATTACTGAATATGTTTTTTACTCTCATAGAAACCTGAAACGAAAAGGCCATCTAAGCAGTGTCTCTAAAGTTGTGGGGCAGGCCTATGTGGGAGAAACCAAAATTGTTTTCTCCGCCTTCCATTTTATCATTGGCCTAAGATATGGTTAAAATAAACATAGTCTCTCGAGATATGATATTCCAGAATGTATGCATCTGTGTATGTGTGTGTCTCTGTGGGTCTGCACAGTATGGGTTGCATCTACGATTATGGATAAAAAGAAGTAAAAGCAGTTCTGCTAACTTAGAATAGTGCCTTATTACCCACAAAGAAGAATTTGAGAATAAGGGGTCAGCTTCATGTCTCTTTTTGATATGCAGTTTGGTCTCTCTCTGCAGTGTAAGTGTCTAACAAAGTACATATAGAAGCAATTATTGTAATTTTTTGCCATTTAGGAATAGCTCTGATTAATTTAATCTCAATATTTATTGCAATGCTATTGTTTCAACTTTGTGATGAAGTTGAAAGTTGTGCTAAAATGAAAACACACATTTTCTGCCCGAGAACAACCTCCAATCTAGCAAGGGACATGACATAAAAAATTAACTCTGATCACAATATGGAAAATGCCAGCAAATTATACACCAAAAAGGAAATACATAGGAAGCTGTATAGGCATCAAGCAAATGTGCGTACACACACACCCCCCAGAGGATGTCCACAACAAAAAGACAAACCGTCCAATTAAAAAATGGTCAAAGAACTTGAATAGACATTTTGCCAAAGAATATACAAACGACCAATAGGCATATAAAAAGATGCTCAGCATTATTAGTCATTAGCGAATGACTAATCAGATGTGAGTCGAATCATTTCACATCCACTAGGATGGCTGTAACAAAAAAAGGGTTAGAAAATAACAAGTTTTGGCAAGGATATAGAGAGACTGGAATCCTTACACCTTACTGGTGGGAGTGTAAAATGGTGTAGCTGTTGTGAAAATCAATTTGGCAGTTCCTCAAAACACTAAACATAGAGTTACTGTATGATCTGGCAATTTTACTATCAGGTATATAGCCAAGAGAATTGAATTATATGTTTATACAAAAACGTGTACACTTGAATGTTCATAGCAGAATTCCTAACAGCCAAAACCTGGAAACAAGTTGAATGTACATCAGCTGATAAATAGATTTATTAAATGGAGTATATTCATTATAATGGAATATTATTCAGCTATAAAAAGGAGTGAAGTACTGATACATGTTATAACATGGAAAAACCTTGAAAACACTAAGCTAAGTGAAAGAAGCCAGACACAAAGGAAACATATTATATGATTCAATTTACATGAAATATCCAGAATAGGCAAATCCATAGACACAGAAAATAGGCTAATGATAGCCAGAGGTTAGAGGGGAGAAAATACAGGGAGTGACTGTTTAATGGGCATAAGGTTTCTTTACAGGGTGATGAAAATGTTATGGGATTAATCAGAGGTAATGATTGCACAACATCATGAATATGCTAAAAATTACTGAATTGTACACTTTGAAATTGTTAATGTCAATTTTATGTGACACGAATTTTATCTCACTTAAAAGTACTGTTTCACAGGCTGAGCACGGTGGCTCATGCCTGTAATCCCAGTTCTTTGGGTGGCTAAGGTGAGTGGATCACCTGAGGTCAGGGGTTCGACACCAGCCTGGCCAACGTGGTGAAACCCTGTCTCTACTAAAATTATAAAAATTAGCCAGGCATGGTGGTAAGCCCCTGTAATCCCAGCTACTTGGGAGGCTGAGGCAGGAGAACCGGTTGAACCCAGGAGATGGAGGTTGCAGTGAGCCAAGACTGTGCCATTGCACTCCAGCCTGGGTAACAAGAGCGAAACTCTATCTATCTATGTATCTATCTATCTATCTATCTATCTATCTATCTATCTATCTATCTATCTATTGTTTCACACACATACACAAACCCACAGAATTTACAATATAAAGAAAGGAAATGGTACATTCCAAGTAAAAGTACAATTCACAAAATATAGGCATTATATATTCAATGGGCATCTATGAGAGAGTTTTCTAGCAGGATGTTTCAAAAGCTAATTTGTGAATTAGTTTTCTGGAACTGGGAAATATTTTGTGGTAGTCCAAGTATCACTGACTCTTAGGGAAGGTCAACAAGAATTATATTCAATTGGTAGCCAATAATTTTCCATGCTCTGTTCCATAAAAGAAAACTGGGAAATCCATGTATTTCCTACATTTTAATTTTGAGGTTTTTTCATTATTATTCAAACTTGATTAAATATTTAGATGACTTACCCATATTTGTTAGCTATTATTTCCTTCTAACTTAAAAATGCGTTGTAATTCTGAGATTTCTAAATCAAAAATTATATTTCAATAAGTATAATGAGCATATTTTAGTAGACTGAATGTATATATCTATATCATATTAATGTATTTAACTTTAATTGTAATACTGATAATTCTTTTATGACATTATTTTATTAACTTAAAATTTCTTGTCACCAACTAATAAGATGAAAGGTTTAAAAATAATAGTACTTTTGAAGAAAATAATTTATAATTCTTTTGGTAATATGTCTAAGCTTTGTTTCTTCATTGAATAGGGTAAGCTTTAATTTATACATAACAAAACTAAAATGTTATTCGTAATGCATATATAGGGTAAAATATGTGACACAACTAAATTAAAGCTTACTTACTAAAACTTTAATTACTAAAGTAGGCTTTAGTTTAGTTGTGTTATGTATACAGAGAAAATTCTCCTTAAAAATATCTACAGATACTAAAATCTATAGCGTCCCTCTAAATGGATTCACCATTGAGGCTTAGCTACCCATATTTTTCTTATCCAGCTGTATTGTTTTTATTTAATGCAGTGATCTTTTTGCTCCTTTGCAATTTCTTTTCCAATTAAATAGCCTTTCAAAAATGGCAAGAGATATTTTATGTGTTGGTTTTTAAATTTAGTTTCTGCTGATGCTTATTTACATTTTAAGTGGTCTCTGTTTCTGGACTGGGCTACACAACCACAGTATGTGCATATAAACAATTTTTGTGTTTTCTGTTTTTTATAGATTCTACAAAGAAATTAAAGGATGTTCTTGAAGAATTCCATGGTAATGGTGTGCTTGCAAAGTATAATCCTGAAGGGGTAAAACTTCTTTTTCTTTATATCAGTTTCGTATATATGCTTGGAAGAGGGTATTTCTTAATAAACAATTCTTGGAAAAATGTATGTGTGTGTGTGTGTATGTATATGTACACATATACATTATATATGTATGATACAGATGTATGTATATGTGTATGTGTGTGTATATATATATATATGCACACCATAAACCATTTACCATGTATCATAACATAAACAAAATGAAGTTCATAATGCAGTGCTATTCTAGAAGATATATTAAATGTTGTACATTTTTCGTTCAAATAACTCTTCTATATTGTATGCTTGAAAGAATATGAATCATTTAAGTGTAGCGTTGGTTCTTTTCCTAGAAGTCAGGAAACAGCATTGGATAAAATAGAGAAGGAGTATGCTTGGCTCTCAGTCTATGACCCACGAATTTCAATCCAAAATGGATATTGGTGTAGGGGTAGGGAGTTACCCCTTTCAGGCAATTATTTCCTTGACCAAAGAAGGATTTTGTGTTGCTTATACCTGGTCCGTCACCTTAAGGAACCAACTTGTACAAAAAGGGAGGAATTTTTTTAATCTTCTATTTTACCTTTTACCAGTAAGCTTAAGATTTCTTTAAGATTTTCTTATGAAAACTTTGCATGTCTTGTCAATTGCTTTTGAATACCATGCTGGAATGAATGCCTTTTCCTTCCTAATTGCTTGTTAAATAACCTATTTAATATTAGTTGAGAGATGTTACATTTTAAATGTTCGATCATCATTACTGTTAGTTCATTTGCAGCTTCAGAAGGCAACATTTACGTTGCTTCATACTTCTCTTTGCAAAAGACCCTTTTGTCAGGATGTATTAACTAGATAGATTTGTTTGCTGACTAAAATGTGACTTATTTTTTGCTATTATTGTTTTTTTTTTGTATGTTTGCAAGAGCACACTTCTTAGTTATCTTTCAATATTGTACTTCCCTGGGATTTCTAGAACTTAATTTTAGTTATCATAACCCTCAAGATATTCAAATTGTTTTGAAATTTCCTATCAGTATTTCTCGTAGTTAGCTATTTTTCATGTCATATTTTCTTATTCTCTCTACATTCTGGTACATTACTGTAACTTTTAAAACTCTTTAGCCTGGAATTTATTTTCTTCTTAAAAAATAAAATTAATATTTGGTGCCTATAAATGATGGAGAAAATAAAGGCTATTTAAAGCCGTTCCCTTTTTCTGTATTAGAAAAAAAATAGATGTTTGACCTACATTTCCCTTGTATTTTTCTAGATGCCATAGAGGAGGAGGAAAAAAAAATTAGCAGCTAAACTTACAAAACTGAGAATCTCAAAGCCTAAGAAAGCAGGGTGGGAAACGTAAAGATGAATTATAGCACTGAATTGCTATAAGACACAAAAATTGTCATTAATATTTATATTCACAACAATATTTGAAAACTTACATGCTTATCTAATCTATATACAGAGATAAAACCTGTTTTTCTCCATAATGATAGCTGCTGGCTACAAACTCAGTTAAGTGATCTTGTTTGCAAAGCAGCCTTTTTGCTTCAATTATTTTTTATTTATAGGACTCTCAAGACTTAGTCTTACTGTAATTATATATTTCATGAGAATTATCAGTCACCATATGCTGCATTTTTTGAGGTAGTTATTAGATCATTATTAGACACACATATCACCCTTTTCAACAATGTAATACATTTCATAAATGTACAGATCTATTGTTGAAACATGTTATTAAAATAACGAACAGTTGAAAAACAAAAAGTTAGATCTCATTACAACCCAAGAACAATTCTAAATTAAGAGCAAAACCACTCTCTGATCTTAGTTAATTTTCATAAAATTTTTCCTTCGGAAGAAAATTTTAAGGCTTATATAACCATTTAAAAAACTAGTATGTATCTTCTAAAAGCCAATTGAAAATAATTAAGAATATCTAATGATGAGAAATAAATCTTTATGCCCTTAAAGTTCTCTTCAATACATGACCTCATCCAATTTATAAAAAATTACTCTTACAATATGGCAGAATTCCTAATGTCAATTCACATGTGAAGTTATCACTCTGCATTGGCTGGTCAAGTTGACCCCAAAGTTGTTTGCACTGATGACTAGTTAATGATGCTGAATTATACAAGAAAAAATGGACAATTGAGTAATGCAACCTGAATTTGGAATGAATAATTAATTCATCGTTTTCTAAAAGGAACATAGCTTGTATCATTTACATAAAATGTATTTGCAAAAATTAAATTGCTTATCCTCCTACAACATAAAGCTGTTTAAATCGTAGATGTACTATTTTGCTTATAATTCACTTGAATTACTGAAGTTTTAAAGTGCTGGGGATAAAAATTTAACCCAAAAAGATATGACCTGTTGAAGTCTATTTTAATAGAGAAAAAATATTAAGTATAATATGTGAATGAATCATTTACTTTTAATTCCCATCTTTTAAAGATCATTTGATAATCATTCCTTGAAGAAATGAATAAGAGAAATCTAAACAATAGCCTTAAAGATTCTGTAGGAATAAAAACCATTCAAAGGTCTTGAGATTCCCAAATTAATAAAATTACAAAGTTTTTAAATAAAGAAACTATTTTAAGAAAAGTGAAATGATTTGTCCAAGATTCACCAGCTAGCTTGTGACAGTAACCACAACAAAAACCTAATTGACTAGAATCCCAGTTTAAGGCTAATGCCCTGTGCTCTTCACTTCATTGACCAAGCCATAGGGGAGAGGAACATCCTCTTAGATAGGAAGGAGAAAGGTTAGGGGAAGGCATGGGAAGACATTGCTTTTGTAGTGAGTGTGGCACTTCCCAGTACACATACATATTAATGACTCATGCCTGACAAGGGGAGAGAGTCTTATTAGCCTCCACCTACTCTTGTGTAAATAATATAATGTTAAGAACGTTATTACAGCTAGTTTGTAGCAGAGATCCAGTTTCAGTGAGGTTATTCTCAGTAAAACATAGTCAGGCCATGTAAATAGTCTCCTGAGAGCAGTAGAATTTGGTAGTATGAGGGGAAACCAGTTTAGCATTCCACACATTTTTTTTTTCTTTTGATCTTGGACTTCAAGTTCAATTCCAAATTGTTCCACTCACAGCTGAGATATGGGAAGAAAGTGGCAGATGTGTATAGAAATATATTTTAATCTTTAAGAGTATGGAGAGATGCTAGGCGTGACGCTAATAGAAGGATATCTTAGGAATGGGAAATACATATTCAAAATCTAATATACCTTTATATAGATGGTTATATTTCTGTTAATCCTCTAAAATATTTTAATCACACTGTATGTGTTACATATTATATTTATCTAATGTCAGAACAGTTTGCTTATTATATACAAAGATTGATCTAGTCATTGATTCTGAAATTTTAGTGTACCTCAGAATCAACCGGGGGGCTTGTCAAAACATGGATTGCTGCCTGCCTCCCCCCGACCCCACGCAGTTTTAGATTCAGTGTTTCTGAGGTGGGGGTCAAGAATTTGCATTTCTATCAGTTTTCTAACTTATGCTGATGCCACTGTTTCGGAACCACCTTTTGAGGCCTATGGATCTAGGGTGTGTTTTAAAATCAACCTGTAAACTTGAACTTTTAGCTAAATAATCAGAGATATGAGATAATGAGTATAAAGTATCTTACATTAACACATGTATTCTTTCTTTCCTTGCATGCACAGAAACAAGACATTCTTAACCAAGTAAGACATTTTCTTTTCTATTAAAGTCTGTCTTTTCTTTCTTTATTCTGATATGATCTATGAATTTCTCATCCATATCACTGAACTATACTTCTGTACCAATATGATTTCTATAGTATACAAGGTTGCCTATAATACTCATAGGTTATAACTAAGCTGGATGTGACAAAATTTTTAATCCATCAAAGGATTTCGTGCCTTAATAGGAGCTGGTACCTTAATAGACAAAAAGGGTCTCAAGTGTGGCCTTCAGTTTTGTAGACTCTGGAATTTATTTTTCTAATTTCATGAAGATATATAAGGCTGTGCTATTATATTTTATTTAGTAAAAGTCTTAATTTATTAATTTACCATGGGAAATTTTAAAATTGCATTTAAAATGCAATGATAAGGCTTTGTTTTGTTTTGTTTTGTTTTGTTTTGTCTACAGTGCTGTGATAGAATATGTGGGGGAAACATAAGCAAAGAGTTGTTGATTTTGCCCTCCTGGGAAGATTATTCAATCTGTTGCTTCAACCACTCTCCCTGAAAATCTGTTTTGTAAATTAAGTTTTAGAACAGTAGTTCAGTTGGGTGCACAGAATTACAACACATTTTCAGGTGCTCTAAATGGACATTTTTAATCACACTAGAGTAGCTATATCAATTGTCTTCGCCACTGTAGAAATATTTCTTGCTAAAATGTATGAGTTATCTAAAACCGTAATATTGTCTCCTTTGGGCAATCTTGGATATGTACTAGCTTCTTCTTATTCTTAAATTGTTTGATGCTTTTAATGACAACAGCCACTGTAATTTCATGTCCAACACGTAAAGTACAATTATAACATCAGAATGATACTGGTGGACTTAGATACAGATCCTACATCTTACAATATTCTATAAAGAGACATTGGTAACATGGCAACTCATTGACTGTGGCGAGATTTACTAGCCTCCATTTCAGAGCATGGCCTTTTCCTGATTTCATCTCTGACTTTTCTGGAAACTTGTTTCCCCAAATATGGACTAAATAGGCTTTATGACACTTAAGAGGCAATCCCTTGGAGTAAATGATTTGTTTTCATTTACTCTAATGTAGTCATTCAAGAATGTCTACATTTTCAGGACTCGGCTATTAAATGACTTTTGTTGAGCACCCAACAAACACACCTTTCTCCACAACCTACATCCTTACTAGAGGCTGTCTGAAAATTCATGTCAAAATAAGCTCTAGCTTTTTGGAGAGTCAGCAGAGTGAGTTTCTTCCTTCCTTTTCCTTGCCCAGTCTTTGTTTCATGTGCAGTGGCTTAGTAGGCAAGCAATTGCAGTTACAGAATAGAAAGAATTGACAAAACTGAGGGTGTTCAAGGGGAGAAGAATGACAGCCTGCACATATTACTGCTCTATGTGTGCTCTTTGTCTATCAGTGTTCTCTGAGTGTAGGATTTCCTCCGTACATGTTTCCTGTCAGTAGATGTTCCTTGGCCTGAGGCTGAGTTACGCTTTCATAACTCCACAGGGGCTTGCTTTATTTTCGCACTTTGTACTCTGTATTGTAGTTTCTTTTAATGTGTATACCCTTTGCATTCAGACAATATGCTTTTACCCTTAATAAGGAACCTGGGGATTCAAAACCTACCTTTTGTAGTGCTGCTGCCTAAAGTAATATTTTAAATGTCTTTAACAAGGATAATGACACTGATATAATTATTAACAATGATATAAAAACCTTTTTACTGTAATCTATAATTATCCTTCTAGAACCAAATTCAACCCTTTCCATTATGGAAAGGATAAGGAAAGTATAACAGAGAAAATATGGTCTGAGGAGTCTGACTGAACCGAATTCATCTTAACGGATCTTGGACAAGTTTTCTATCTTTAGTTTGTTCACTTATAAAAGGAAGAGAGCATCAGCCTTATTGGACTGTTAAAAGGGTTAGGTTCTAAAATGTATGTATAATAAATAGCTCTGTGTCTTGCACATAAAAGGTGTTCCACTAATGTTTAGAGACAGTGGCTGTGGTCATACTTTAATGACCAATGTGATTTCATAGAAAAGTTCTAGAGAACATGCCAAAGATGAAAGTGAGAATATTGGAGATATACCACCAACAAATTCTATTTCCTTTATTTTCTCAGGACCTCATTTTCTCATTTTAAATTGAGGAACTATAACTCTGATGTCTTCTGCATTCAAAAGTAATTTCCTTCCACCATGTGGTAGGAGTGGGGAACATGACGTGTAATTTGCTTCCCCTCCCAAACCTGGCCACAATCCTGAGTGCTGTTCTGATAGCAGAGCTATTGTCTGTTGTATTGCTTCACTTCCTACAACTGCATGGTGCTAGCACAGTTAGTTAGCAAGGAACAGAAATAGTATGTTAACCAGTATTTCTGCTTCTCTTCACTATTACCATCAATATAGTTTCAGTGATGTTCCTCTTCTTATCAAATCTACCTACAATTATAAAATACAATTATACCAATTGTGATCAATTGCTTTCTTTACAAACAAGTTTTGAAATCAAGCATAAATACATTTGGGAAATAAATAAACAAGTAACTCTCCTTAGTTTAATGATAAATTCCAACTTTGAAAAGTGGTATTTAAATTCACACTGTAGAATGTTTGTTCTTTCATTTCTTTAATAACATTTATTAAACAATTGATATAGAAGTTAAAAACTAATGCTGGGGTTTTTAGGTGATCTTTTTGTACTTTTCCAAGTATAAGTTAAAACCAACATTACTCTGTCACATCTAAGTTTTATTTTTAGGGTTTATCTGTTGTTTTTACTTGTGCTTTTTCATCATTAGAAATGGCTTTTTTGGCCAGGTATGGTGGCTCACACCTGTAATCCCAGCACTTTGGGAGGCCAACGTGGGCCAGTCATTTGGGGGTCAGGAGTTTGAAACCAGCCTGCCAGCCTGGCCAACATGGTAAAATACTGACTCCACTAAAAATACAAAAATTAGCTGGGTGAGGGAGTGAGCGCCTGTAGTCTCAGATACTTGGGAGGCTGAGGCAGGAGAATCACTTGAACCCAGGAGGTGGAGGTTGCAGTGAACCGAGATCGCGCCATTGCACTCCAGCCTGGGCAACAACAGAGTGAGACTCTGTCTCAGAAAAAAAAAAAAAAAAAAAAAAAGAAATAGAAATAGCTTTTTCAAGGGAAAGAACACTGCAGGGTACTAAAGGAATATAAATCTAGACATTTTGGTAAAAAGGCTTAGAATGTCTACGAATTTTAAGTTTTATAGGTGAAAGAAATTATAAATCATATTTTTAGGTGAACAAGTTAAATTCTCTATTTAGAAAAATACCTCCAGTAGCAATGTGGGGCATGGACTTGGGTAGAAGAGAAGACTAGATATGAGTTATGGAAGCAGTCCAATCAAGTAAGAACACTAGATGACAATGGGCATCAGAATGGAGATGGAGGCGGGCAGATTTGAACACATTTCAGGTATACGACCCAAAGTAATAGGTTGTACTTTGAACATCGAAGGTTACAAAAACAGTTACAGTCAACACAACGTTTTCAAGAGTGGGAAACTGAATAATCGTACCATTACTTTTAATTGTTATACCTTATTTGTGTATATCTTTTTTTTCTCAAACGGCAGACCAATTTGACACAGCAGCAAATGCATCTAATACTGATAAACCAGTGGGAAATTACCTTATACCATGTGTTAATATTGCAAAATCTGTTTAGAAAATTATGCTTTAACTATAACATAATGTGCATTGAAGCTAGAAATATTTATGTCTTCAGTGTCAATTAGAAGCTTGTGGTGTTGGGCAATTTAAGGAACTTTTCTGAGCCTTAGTTTCTTTGTCCATAGGTTTTGTGATGACTAAATGATAGCACACATATAACATATTTAGTGCAGTTCCTAAAACATAGTAACATTTGGATAGTGTTACATAATGAGGACCTGTAAGGTAAAAGACTGTGTCATACACTTAGTGATGCAAAGTCGTGTTGGATCATATAGCCCTTCAGGAAAGAGAAGTTTTGCATGGAATCTGTCTGCTCATATGTGCATTATAAAAACCCCCTGTGGAGATTTTCTTTAAAAGTGAACATACAAGTAAGGAATAATTAAAAACTGATCTTATTAATTGAAATTATATATACAAAGGTTTCCAAGACATTTTTATTGGGTTTTATTTTTCAAGGAGAAAATGTTAGAGGATTTATGTGTGTGTTTCAGTAACACTCACTCCTGTCCTAGTGACAACACCAAAAAATGTTTGGTGTGACAAGACAGTGTCACACCAGATTAAAATAGATTTCAGCTGAAGAATAAAACAGTTAGCTATAGATCCTTGATTAAAAGACATACTGAAATCATAGTAAAAATATTCTGCTTAAACTTTTTCGAATCCATTATTTGCTTTTTGTAATTAGTAGAATGTAGTAGCATTATCTTTCGGCCATTTCCTATTTTTTACTAAAATAATATATTTCTAATTGTCTTTCTACTGAGTCTTCATAATTCTAGTCTTAGGTAAAGGTAGAGTTAATGGAGTATGTGACTCTGAAGTGCTAAAATAGTTTTCATTTGCCAAAACTAATTTAAAAATTAAAATTCAAGGTTTTCACACTTTGTACTCTTTCTCTTCAAAGGAACTATCTATATGACAGCTTTAGGGGACTATCAAGGAACTCTCTGAAATTTGAAATAATGAATAGTCAATTGCAGTGCAAGATAAGCATAAGAAATGCAATATTTAAAATATAAATTTTTCTAAGTGAATTTTAACATAAAAAATTGTATTTTGAAATCTCAGTAAGATAGCCATGCTGCATATTTAATCAATATACTTTTGCTCAGTGACCTTCATATCAATTTTTGAGTTTGATATAATTAGTTAATGATATAAATTAGAATGCGAAATAGAAATGGAACTGTAAAAAAAACTCTGATTAATTTAAATTATTATCTAGTTAATTTCATCAGAGTTCTTTGCCCAGTAAGCGCATAGTATTTTACACATATAGGTACTCAGTCAACATTGGTTGATAGATAAAGTGATTTCTTTGTGGTTTCAAACAGTTGCTTTATCTATAATAGTTGAATGATTCATTTTTGTGTTTTAGGAGTCACTTATTAATTAGTGGTGAGCTAGTTAGAAAAACATAAAAACTGATGATAGGCTATCTTTTGTCTGATACAAATAAGTGTTATAATGGTCACATGGTTCTGTTAAAATATGAGTCAGATCATGGAATTTCCTACTAAAAACTCACTCCACATTAAAGCTATAACTCTCTTTTGATGATCTAATATCCTGTATGCTCTGCCCAGTCCACACATTGCCACAGCTTGAGTCTTTGACCTTGTATTCTACTACTCTGGTCCTCCCTCACTCCTGCTCCAATTTCCTGCTCCTCCTCACTGGCTCCAGTGGAAATTTCTCTAGCACAGGGGCATCATTATACCTCAGGGCCATTGTACTAGCTGTCTTCTCTGCCTGAAATGTGCTTTCTCCAAATATGTGCAAATATGTGCCTCATCACCTTTAAATCTTTACTCAAAGAATAGCTTCTCATTTCCTGATAATTGGATTTAAAAAACTGCAAGCACATTCCCCCAAGAAATCTTTTTCTTCTTTATTTTTTTTCTATAGCATTTAATACCATTAGACATTGTAGATTGAGCACATTAATGTTGTTCTTATTCCTTTCATTAGAAGATAAGCTCCCTCATGGAAGGAATTTTGTGTGTTCTAGTAACATCTTTACCCAAACACCTAGAACAGAGCCTGGTGCAGAGTGGGTGCTCAAAGAACACTTTCTGAATATGAGAAAATCTACAACCCAAAACTACCAAAAGAAATTAAGGATAGAGTGATGACATTTATTTTCATTCACTTTGAATCTGCATGGATGAATACTAGTGTCTTCTCTTTAGTATTAACAGGGATTTAAAAACAAAGGATCCAGATGGTCAGAAATAATAATGAAAGGCATATAGAAATGTGCCTTGAATCTGTGCCAATTTGGCAGCGACATCTGAGCAGCTCCCTCAGTCAGTCTTCTTTACAAATTCTCTGTTATCTCCCTAAATAGTCTGTGGCTGTTCCTTAAGGAAAAAAATGAGAAAGCAGTTTTTAAAATTTTGAACATTTGTGTGTGTGTGTGTGTGTGTGCGTGCGCGTGGATGTGTTTGAGCCCACAGCAATTCAATTTTTGAATAGTCATTCAGTTAAGTCTGACCCAATTTGTATCATTAATGGCTTCATTGATATGCATATAAATGATCTCATTCTATTTAAAGGTCACAGTCTTCAAAAAGCAATTCTAATGCTGTTACATGACAGCAATAGAAACTCTGATGCCTAAATTTGGAAATTTTCTTGTAAGTCATGATCTAAGGAAAATGTACAGATGAAGATATCATCCATTTATCAGAAATGTCTAATAATGTGGACAACATAGAATTTTAGGAGATATTTGAAAAGATTTTACTAACAAGAGAAGAAAAGGGACGGGTTAACCAGGAAACACATTGAAGAAACATTTCTCAATGAATTGAAAACTCTGAGTTAGAAAATTAAAAAAAAAAACTATTAGCCAGGCATGGTGGCACAATCCTGTGGTCCCAGATACTGGGGAGGATGAGGTGGAAGGATTGCTTGAGTCTGGGAGATTGAGGCTGCAGTGAGCTATGATTGGGCCACAGTACTCCAATCTGAGCAACAGAGAGAGACCTTCTCTTAGGAAAAAAAAAAAAAAAAAAAGAGGTTTGTGTTTTCCCACATTGCAAGCCCTATCTAATGCCAGAAAATGTGAGATAAATTAATTTTGCTCCAAAGAACACAGTGAAGAAGTTTGAGAAACAAGCTTACATTGTCAGTAACACTTCAGCAATAAATAATGTGATGTCATCTTGTAGAAATAATTTAAGAATTGAGGAAATTTTTACTCCATTCTTATATCTGTAATAGGCTTTTATTTTTCAAAGGAAGATTTTTTTTTTAGAATTATTGCCTTATAAAAGTTGTTATTTGTCTCTGTTATCTGACACAGAAATGTTATAGCAAAGTATTTGAGACACACAAAACCTGAAGTTTTTATTCAGAAAGATGCAATGAATTTTACAGTTTTCTGTACCAATAAAAAGGCAAATTGGCTGGGCATGGTGGCTCACACCTGTAATCCCAGTATTTTGGGAGGCCGAGGCAGATGGATCACCTGAGGTTAGGAGTTCATGACCAGCCTGGCCCACATGGTGAAACCCTGTCTCTACTAAAAATACAAAAATTAGCTGGGCGTGGTTGTGAGCACCTATGATCCCAACTATTCGGGAGGCTGAGGCAGTAGAATTGCTTGAACCCAGGAGGCGGAAGTTGCAGTGAGCCAAGATCACGCCATTGCACTCCAGCATGGGGTGGGGAAGAGCAAGACTTTGTCTCAAAAAAATAAAAAAAGGAAAATTAAAGTAACTTAAAAATGTATCTAAGCTGAGGACAGTTCTTCCTTTAACCTAATCCTTTTATTTATTTTATATATTATGTGCCCAAGTGTATGCTAAGTGCTTTACATCAATTTTTATCATATTGGGACAACTCTGAATGATTGATTCCTTTTTTTTGTATATGGAGTCTCACTCTGACACCCAGGCTAGAGTGCAGTGGTGTGATCTCAGCTCACTGCAACCTCTGCCTCCAAGGTTCAAGTGATTCTCCTGTCTCAACCACCCAAGTAGCTGTGACAATAGGCACATGCCACCATGCTAATTTTTTTATTTTTAGTAGAGACGGGGTTTTGCCACATTGGCCAGGCTGGTCTTGAACTCCTGACCTCAGGTGATCTGCCTGCCTCAGCCTCCCAAAGTGCCAGGCATGAGCTAGCATGCCCAGCCTGAATGAATGATTTCATATACCACTTTATATAGAGGGAATTAAGGCTTAGAGCTGTCAGAAAATAAAACAGTATTTTGCTTGCTGAGCCAGAGAGAACTATACTTTAGAAATTTCAGAAAGTTTTCCTGCATGCTGAAAAAAGAAGAGTCAAGAAGAAATGTGTTGCTTATTAGGAGAAATGCCAGTGATGCAGGAATTTTTGCTCCTTAGTTCAGCTAAATCCAGGTTCTTGTCTCATGACCAGGAAAAATTAAGCATGCGACACATTGAAGGCTGAGGAGGGCAGAATTTATTAAGTGAAAGGAAAGTGCTCAGAAAAGAGAGGGGTCCTGCACACAGGTTTTCACCTCACAAATTGAATACCAGGCCACCACACATGAGCTGAAGAGGTCAGGCTCCTCCCCTGCATAAAGCACAAATTTTTGGTGGCTCTGCCCAATCATTCCAGTGCACATGTGGGCCCTTAGTCTGAGCCACTACACATTGATTTATTTCCCTACTGAGCATGTGTTAAGGGACAGAATTTTTCTCTGTGACCATGCTTAGGCAAGCCCCCCTGTGCTCAATAACCTGAGTGGGTCAGAGGTTCTCTGTGGACCCTCCTTTATCTGCCTAGGCATTTGCCTCCTACTTCTATTATTCTTCCCTCTAAAGTGGTACACAAGAGGTACTGCAGTTAGAATAGGGACGAAGACTGATCTTAACTGCTTCCTGCTCTTAGGGGGCACTGTTTTGGAAATATGGCAGTCATAACTCTCTCGAAAGCCTATTTAAGGGTCTCTGTTAAAAGGGGCCATTGTTTGAGACTCTGGTTGCATGATCGCTTGGAGTTTGATGGCCTGAAGGTGAGAAGAGACAAACGGAGTTATTAGAAGACATATATTAAAACCAAACAAAGAGGGATGGGTAAGGGCAGCTGAAAAATCCCAAGGCTGTCAGCATGCCCAGATAACTGGTGGCTATAATTATGCCTGCTAAGATTGGTTGCATGGGGCTTGGCTTTGGTTTGCTCCTTTGGTCTTATTTTCCCAGAGGAACCTCTGGGTTATGGGCACCCTATTTACTCCTATCAGATGTCAGGATTAGCAGGATAACTGCTCAGAATTAAAATATTGATCCAGATTATTACATTACCCATGCCTTTTGTTTCTTCTGAGTTGTAGCCAGAAATTGCTGGTTGGTTCACAGGAATAAGAGGGTTAATGTAAAATGTAGGCAAAAAAAAATTCAAAACAACTAATGAGACTAGAATTTAATGACAAATGTGTGGTAAGTTTTGAAACATAATTTTTATCTCCCCAGTCCTCATTTTTGTTAAAAACAATTCATGATAGGACTGAGTTGTTTGCAAAATAGACTTCAGTCTTATACTTGGCCTGACAGTTTGCATAAAGTGCAGCAAGAATAATTATTCTTACATACACTTTTAAAATTGCTTTTGATGGAATTCTGTTCCATAAGGAATCTCAGATAGGACTTTGGAAAGCCCAGCCCAGCCATGGGTTAGCACCCTCAAATACCTATGAATTGGGTGAATTCCTCTCTTCTTGAGGTTCCTAGAATATAGAGTTCCTGGGCCCATTAGAAAGTGACATTCTTTACTCATTACAGATTAGGAACCCTGTATGAGGACTGTGTAGACAAGGTATGAGGCCAGTTTTCCCAAGGGGCTTTTATTGACTCTGCAACTCAAGCTTGATTCCTTAAAAGGAAGTACACCTCTCCAGTCAAAGCCTTGGTAAAACAACCCATCTCTCCAACTGTGTACTGTTGCCAGAGAAAATGAATTCCTATTGCACTGATGCAAATAACCATATTGCCATAAGTTAAGAATACTCACAGATAGTTTCCAAATTCTAGAAGAACCAGGCAAAGAGAAAGAAGTATGCTCCAAATTTTGTTCACATGAGTATAGCTTACTCAATTATTAAAGACTGTAAATAGCTCAAAATAAAAGTTTTCTTGACTCTGAATAACAAAACAAGGACCAGCAATGTTTCAAGCAAAAGGTTTTAAAAAAAGATTACTTCAGTTTTCTATTAGTTCAGTCCATTCAGTTAACTCATGCTCTGCTTGATATTCGTGAATGTTTCAGCTCTTTCATGAGTCCTGTACGTTTTCCCTTTAGTCCAGTGTTAGAGTCTCCAAAGTTATCAGAAACTTGTATTGGAGAACACCCATCAAACTTTTATAGCTGATTATTAACCATCTTTTGAAGGGGATCAAAAGAAGACAATTGTTTATGAATAACAAAATGACCAGGGTAGTTACAGTCAGAAATGTGATTGACAAAATGTGGTTATCTCTGTGGCTTACAATAACTTAATATAACAACCTTAATTGTGATTGATAGCATACACTCAAACATTAGAATTTTAGAAATCCCATAAAATTCTGGAACATATGTTAGCATTATTCACTAAAATATAACCTGAAGAAAATTAAACATCATTTTGGAGATCCCATGTACCTAACCATGTTAAATTATTCTGTTTACCTCTCTTCTTCTAGATGCTCTAGGGACCCTCTGTAGCATCCAAAAGCTAGGGGTCAGGAAAGACAACCTTGAAGCTGAAATTTGATTTGGGGAAGCCTGTTAAATGTTAGAGGTTTAAAACACTTGATAATTTGAAATACAATCCCAGTTGGTTATTTTGTTAAAATGATGACTCAAAAATTTTAAAATAGGGAAAACCTTTACTCATCAAGAGGAAGGACTTAGCTTTCCAAACAGTTTGTCTCCTGTCTTCTCTTTCTTTTCCTTGGCAGTCTATTTACAAGGCACATGAAAATCTTTCATTATTCATTAATATTACATAGAAATCTTCAACAAGGGAGAGAGAGAGCCAAATTTTACCCTTACATTAGTTTACTATTAATCCCAATTTTCTAATGAAACCTTATAGACAATTCTATCCAATCTAAGCCAGTTGGACCATGAGGTAAGATTCTTAAAAACCTTTTATAACCCTTTACACATTTTGCTAAAGAACAGATTAGTACCTTAAGAAAACCTTGTTGTGCTTTTATTTCATTGCTCAGTTTACAGAAAAAAACATATAATATCCTTTGAGTTTAGTCAATGTTCATACACAGGATTTCTTTTGCAATATTAAATTTAGAAACCTTCCACAACTATTTAAACCTTTAGCTTGACCTTATCTAATTTAAAACAATCCTTTAACCCTAGGCAAAAAGTTACTTGGATTTCCATGCCTTCTTACAATCTTTTCCTGAAAACACATTTTACTCTTCTTACACACCTTGCATGTCAATCTATTTTCAGTGGTGGTCTCAATTACATGTTATAATGGTAACTCTTAGCAATTTTAAACTTTAATGTAAAATCTGATAAGTTGTTTTAATTATGTACTAGGCACCAATAAAGTTTGATTCCTTCTAGCCTGTTCAAGGGCTTGGTTAATTCAGTATGTCCTCAGGCCTTACCAAGTTGTAAAGCAGGCAAGTTGAACAGTTCTCTAAGGCCAAAGAAGCAGTTTACAACCTTAAAACATTTAGCGAACCTAGTATCTGACTTCCATAATGTAGACCACCTATTTAAATTTTAATGACATTTGAATTTTACCAATAATCTTTAAGACTTTTTATTTCTCAAAGATTAAAGCTACATGAACTAAAAGTTACTACAGCTTGTATTTTCCTTGAAAAAATATTTGATCTAATGCTTATTTTTCTTTAGGCCAATTAATTAGAGTGCTTTTATATAAAAATCACATATATAACTACATAGACAGACAGAAGAAGATCCAGTAGTTGTAAGATTTTTCATTTGCCAATCTCCTAATTGGATAATTGGCCTGAGGGTGGAGCCCTTCAAGAAACAGAGGTAACAGTACCTAATAAGCAGATACAGGTGGAAGACAAAAACAGATTTTGAAAGGGATCTATCTGCCTCTAATTACTGGGGTTCCATGAGGAAAACAGAGGTTTCTCCAAAAATGGAATACATTATATCTTTTCCATTTTTCCCAAGTAGTCTCTGTTCATCAGAAATTATCTTAGGGTCTCTCATGAGTTCATTAAGAGTGGCAAGATAAAATGGAGGAAGACAATTCAGTTGACTGGGGAAAAAACCTTTCTCAGAAAAACAAGATCCATGAAGAAAAAAACATAAAGGTCTTTTAAATATACCTATAGCTTGGATATCCACTTTTAATTAACTTGAGCGTTCTTTAAGAAAATCCTTTTAAATCCCTAGCTACCCAACTTTAGCCATGCCAGATGACTCATATTTCTGGCTTTTGAACTTTACCAACAGTAACCTTACAGGTGAAACCAACAAGCCCCAAAAAGTTATGATTTAACTGCGAGTATACAAGGTATTTTCAAAGGGGTGGTAAGCAGTTTTTACAAAAACTAGAACGTCTAAGTGTAGCTCAGAGAAAGGAAGATTCACAAAAGAAAGCTAGAAGCTGTTCATGGAGCAGGAGAGAATCAGCAAATGGTAGAAGTCACACAGGTATTTGCCAGAAACTACTCATTCCCTAAGCCAGGATTGATCCCAGGCTGCCACCGTAAAATAGCGGAGACAAAAACAACATACTAGGCAGTTTGCCAGGCTGACTTGAATAGTGGGCTATGGGGTCCTAGGTCCTTATCCCATCCTAAGGTACTCCTCTTTCTGACAGAACCATATAGAAAGACATGCAGAGCACAACAGATTGGCTACAGCTTGAGACCAACCTCATAAATACTTTTTGATTAATCAAAACTTTACGGAGAATATATCCCTACCATTCCTTTTACTGGTTTGCACAGGGAGAGGGAGGCCAAAAGTCTGACTGTTAAAAAATATTTTATCTCTTTGCCAGCATGTCAGCCTTCTGGGTTCCCCTCCCCTGAGCTCAATTCTAAGCCAACCAGTTTAAGGGTTGAGAAATAAACTTTTCACAGTTTGAAGGATGCATCCGAGAGGAGTGTCCTGTAGTATGGAGACAGGATTAACCATCTGTGAAGAGAGGACCAAGGGGGACAAAGAAGGCATTTTTTTCAAAGGAGCCCCCCAGCTCAGAATGCATCTGTAAGGTGCACAGACTGAAGACGAATGGCTACTCATCTAGAAAGAGGAGCAAGGCATCCCTGGTTCCTTTCTCTTCCTATCGAATGCCCAGGGTACATGAGAGAGAGAAGGAAAAAGCTTCCTCTTTCCTTCTTTTATCCTTATATCCCTGAGGCCTGGTGACCACAACAGGGTGCCACCCATGGGTGTCAATGCAGCTTTCACTCATGTTAACAGTTGGGCCTAGGGGGTGGGATTATCCGCACTTCCCCGTGCACTCACTGCCTTTCCCCCTGCTATAAGTAGCCTTTGAGTTCCCTACACCTAATTTATGCCATGGATACTAGTATGACCTCTATCCATGATATGGGAGGCTTGGCTTAATCAGCAGGAATTAGTCATGCTCATCTGTGGTGTTTGCCTTTTAACTTCCATTGTTGTCTGCCTCTGGATCCCTAAGATCCAGTTTTCTTTCCTAGGGCTTCAACCCAAAGCTTGGAATTGAGTTTGGGACAAAAGAATTGCCTCCTTGTCATAAGCCAAATGCTAAGGTGAAGCTCTAAAATTGGGTCCTCTCAAACAAGGGAGAGAAAAGGGTGTCCTGTGAATTGGAGTCCTGGCCTAATAAAACACTTTTCAAGAAAAATCCTCTGGCATTGAGAAGCCCCCTGTACTCACAGGGCTGTGTTACTAGGTTGGTGCAAAATCAACTGTGGTCCCTGCCAATCTAGGTAATAGCAAAAACTGTAACTACCTTCACACCAATCCATCAACTCCTGACCTTGTGGAGAAAAAAAAAAAAAAAAGGCTTAAGCGTAGGGCAGGGAAATGCCTGGGGAAGAAACCTCTTGTTCTTATGCAAACAGAGAGAAACTTAATTGTTGTCCCACTGAGCTGGACTCCTTGGCCAAGGGAGGGGAAGACTGTATGGATGCATGGCGGGGAACGCTGGCCAGCTGTCTGCACGGGGCCTCTAGCCCCCAAGATTGCCCTGGGGCCTGGGCAGCAGCTGCGGCTCAGTCCCGCCCTGCATGGCTGTTGGATGCCGAAAGTACATACAGCAGACACGCAGACACACGGCCATGTGCCCCAGCACGGCGGGAACGTGGGGGAGGGCAGGGAGCCACCACTTCCGCATCTATCCTATGTGGCAGCAGTTGGGGTTGGGGTGGAACACTCCTGATATTGTAAAAGAAAAGATAGGTGCCATTACAGTCCTGGGAAAAAAAAGAAGAAAAATGCCATAGCAAAGACTGGGTTGGACTGAGGCCGACATTCCCAAACCCAAGAGTGACGCAAGGGGTGCAGTTTCCTCTGCCTTCAGAAAAAGTCTGAGGACTGGAAGGCCCAGAAACGAAAGTGAAAGAGATTCTTGGGTTCGCATTTTACTCGCTCTTCCTCATATCCCCATATAGGCCATCAAATGATGCAGGAATTTTTGCTTCTTAATTCAGCTAAATCTGGGTGCTTGTCTCATGATCAGGAAAAATTAAACATGCGGACACATTGAAGGGTAAAGAGGGTGGAAGTTATTAAGAGAAAGGAAAGCTCTCAACAAAGAGAGGGTCCTGCATTCGGGTTTCCACCTCACAAATTGAATACCAGGCCACCACACATGAGCTGAAGAGGCCAAGATTCTCCCCTGCATAGAGCATGAATTTCTGGTAGCTCCACCCCATTTTTCCAGTGCACATGTGAGCCCTTAGTCTGAGCCACCCCACACTGATTTATTTCCCTTACTGAGCATGTGTTATGGGACAGAATTTTTCACCATGGGCGTGTTTAGACAGGCCTCCTGTGCACAGTGACCTGGGCAGGTTGGAGGTTCTCCGGGGACCTTCCCTTACCTGCCTAGACATTTGTCTGTGTCCTGCCTCTATCGTTAGATATTAAAGTTCATTTTTCCTTTTGGTTGGTTATTTTTCTGGCTTTCATCGTTAAATTACAGGCAGCGATTTTAATGAGCATCGACATGGGTTCTGAAAGGCTCTGTAAAGAGCATACACTTGGGACTTGGCATATTTTTCCTTCAAAAGAGCAGATAAATTCTTTGCCCCTTATCAGTTAGGTGGTGAGTGGAAGTATTAGAATTTGAAACACAATTGCTTTATTCTGAACTCTTTGTTTTTGTTTGTTTTGTTTGTTTGTTATGTTACCAAGTTAAAGTCTTGGCTTGAAAGAGCTGTTTTAAGGTATAATTATGGTCCAAAAGCAGATCCAGAGAAAAACTTTCACCAATTTCTAGTCCTTTACTACTTCTGGAAGTTCACATTTTATTACCAGCTTTTAAAGCAGCAACAAGGACAACAATGAACCATGCATGGTTTGTTAAATGCATATGAAAACATGTGAAGTAATGTGGCTTTGAGGCTTCTTCTTCAAATATTGTTTCAAATTATGAATTTTTAAAATGGATATTCTTTACACAAAAATTTATTTAATTACATACAATGTTTACTATGTGCCAGATGTCATTCAGATGCTTTAAAAATAGTAAATAATATGTTCCTCCTAACAAATCAAGAAGTAGGTGCTATTATTCTAATTTTATAGATGAAGAAATTGAGGCACAGAGAGCTTAAATTGTCCACAGTGACACAGCTTGTGTTGGATTCAAGAGTTGATCCAGGTAGTCTGACTTCAAAGACCATGCCCCTTATCATCTGTTATGTTGCTAAACAAAATACTGATTATGGAAGACCTAGGAACAGAAGGAAGCGCTACCATAAGTAACTTTGCTTCTAACCACAATGCTTGTGAATATTTTCATCCCACAGACTTCCTGCAACTTTGCAATAAAATCAACTCCTGGTTCCTCATGGGCCTTCATACATGTTGAAGATTAGCTATCAATTTTGGTCACTCACCCAAATGAATGTGGAATACTTCTCTTTAATAGGTCATCTCTAAGGAGCTCTCTTAGTAAGAGTAGGTGTTCCTTTTCAAGGAAACTATTTGGATCCCATGTCTGACTGTTGGCCTAATCGCCATGTTTTTAAGTGTTGGCTGAATTCATTGTAGCAAATTGCTTTTTTGGAAGTACTTCTCCTACCTGAGGCTATTCTTCACATTTTTTATATTACTCAGAGTTTTTAGTTATATAGTTCACTCTACTACTAGAATTGACAATATTCTTTTTTTTTTTTTTTTTGAGACGGAGTCTCACTCTATCGCCAGGCCGGAGTGTAGTGGCACAATCTCAGCTGACTGCAACCTCCACCTCCCGGGCTAGAATTGACAATATTCTATGGTGGTGGTAGTAATTTATGAAATATAGAAGAAAATGAAGTCTTTTTACTGCCAGCAAAATAAATATCTGAAGTGTCCTTGTGAGAATCAATAAGCAAAGTGAAACTAAATAAAAAAGTTAGATTAAGGTATAGGCAGAATCTTGGGACTATTGATAAATAAAGTGTTTGGTTTTATTGCCTGAGATTCTATTAGGTAAAAAGCAAACATCGTATGTAAACTTAATTGGCACATGATCAAATCTATAAAAATTTACTATGTCTAATGATATTCCTGAATGTCACATTTAATATTAGGTTTGTCCCAAATAATACAATAATAAATTCGGTCAATCTCCATGTCTTTCCCCCAGTATTATTACATAGGAAAAACAAACTTTCTATTCCAAAGTTAATTTTATTCTTACCTGCCAGCAATGTGAACAAAACTAAGAGCATCAGCCAGCCAAATTTCCTCTTGCATCTCAGCACATTAAACTGGGTAAAAAAAAAAAAAAAAAAAAAAAAAAAAATTGGCCTTCAAGGGCTACCTATAAAGCCCATCCCTTGCACTCTCTTGATCTGGACATATGTGGCTTTATTCCAGCCTCTTCTCTGTAGGTCTTCTAGTCCTTTCAAATGCCCTACTGGATAGAACCCAAGACCACTCCACTGGCCTTCTCCTCCATGTGGTCTACATCTGTTTCCCAGAAAATACTCATGCACCATTGTTCCTGCAGTCCAAAACGAGGAGTTTTGGCCAACTTAAAATAGTACCATTTTCTTGCCTTTGTCCCCAAAGCACCCATGTGCTTGTCCTCAATTTCCTAGGCAGAGTCAAATCCTGGTGCACTGCCTTCATCTGCAAGGAGAAACCAAGCTCTTCACTATGGCTCCTGTGAAACGCTCTCATTAAGCTTGAGGTTGGAAGTTGTCTTCCATCACCATTTCCGCTAATGGGCATGGAGAACCTTAACACCACCACAATTCTCTCCAAATAAATGTCTAATCATTTATATAGTTCTGCAATGAGTATCAGAGAGTAAGATCTTAAAATATGTTTCTTTGGAAAGTCTGCGTATGAAGTTTTAGGTTTATCAATAGAGCTTGGCATTTAGTTGAAACATTAAGGTTAACCTCTTTTTACATTGTCAAAAGCGATAATCACCATTAGTGACAAGCAAAAAATATGGAAAATTCCTTTCTCTCTGAGTGCCTGCTGTGTTTATATGACTCTGTATTGGCTTGTTCACAGTGATCGCCTGATTTAATCACTGCAACAACTATGTGGGGTGGGATTATTATTCCCAGTTTAGAGAGGAGCAAACTAAGTTTCAAACAGTACATTTTTCAAGGCATTACAGATACTGTGGAAATAGAAATATCTAACTAGAAACTTCTTCCTCTTCCTGCTATGCCATCACAGGTAAGACAAACATATCCCATTGCCAGTGTTAGCCCAGGACGGCCCACCCTATTTCTCAAATAGGCACTTTCCATTTGTTAAACTTGGATATAAAAATGGTTTGAGGTCATTTCTACTTCTAATGATTTTGAACACAGCACAGAATTTTAACATTTGGTTGGATCTTAAAATACATGTTTACATTTTTTTTTTCCAGACAATAGATTTTGAAGGTTTCAAACTATTCATGAAGACATTCCTGGAAGCCGAGCTTCCTGATGATTTCACTGCACACCTTTTCATGTCATTTAGCAACAAGTTTCCTCATTCTAGTCCAATGGTAAAAAGTAAGCCTGCTCTCCTATCAGGCGGTAAGTTTACTTACTTTAAACATTTATATAGTACAAATTTCAAAGGCTAAATAAATATCTAGTTATCATAAAAGATGAATGATGATTTGCATAAAAATTGTTTTGTTACAGGGTTTAGACTTTTACAATAAGATTGTGTGACTCATTTAAAATGTTTCCAGTAAAATTATAGCTAATTAGAGAAAATATAATTTATCCTTATCTATCACTTGCTTTAGAATTCTATGTATAGGTAATAATTTGAAGACATATTTCCATCAAATTTGGAAAACTGCTCTTGTTAAATAACTAGATACGTATAGATTGCTGAGTATTTGAAAATGTGGTCACAAAGCAACTATATCTAAAAAGGTATAATATTTAATATCTATTTTGCTAATTGCCAATATACTTTCACATGTTTAGATTTGTAAGCTCAGAACAGAGATTTGATTTTTCTTTTAGATACTGTAAATTTGTGTCACCGTAGAGATGGTGATTCTCTCATTATGGGTAGCTTTTTAGAGATGCATACTTACATTAATACCTGTTGTATCAATCTCCCTCCAGTCAAGAAAACAGAGATTTCACTGTATTACCCAATGTAAAACAGTGTAATTGGTTAAGCTGTTTCAAAGGATTGAAAAAGCAAAAAGAGAAGACAGGTGATGTAGATAGACTCAAGGAAACATGTGCTGCCCTTAGATGGCAGTAATCACCACCTAGAAGCCCTGAGGAAAGGATTCCTTGGAGCTAGGATGAAATTCTGAGGTGAGGGGTTGCCTAGCAAACCTAGCCCTTGGACTTTTGTGGAAGTGATACTTCCTGGCTGCCTCTGGTAACTGGGGAATTCAAGACTAGTCTATAGCCCAGGAACTCAGACCTCTGAGGAGGGTGCATCACCGTGGCCTGTCCCAGATTGCTTAGCAGGGAGCTCATTGTGCTTTTGTTGGTGTGGACATGAGCTAGAGACTAGAGCCTACACTGCTTTAGAGTCTGCAGGTAGAGACAACATGCTACCGCCACCGGGCTGAAACGCTGCAGAGATTCAACAGGAGCAGCAGGTTCTCTTGCTGGGTCCAGCCCCTTCTCCCGCGACTCCCCACCCCACCGCCCCAACCCCTGTGCCTTCTCGTCTCTCTCTAGCGCCCTCTATGGATAGAACAGGAATCCACTGGCAATGAAGAAATGTCTTCAGCAGTGTTTCTCACTCTTTGATCACAGGACTCTGTGAACTCTTAAAAATTGAAGACCTGAAGGAACTTATGTTTATGTGGATGATATCTATTGATATTTGCCATATTAAAGATGGGACATTCCAAAAATAACAAGAATCAAACCACTACCTGTTAACAAAAAATAACCCATTATTATGAAAAATAACTATTTTCAAAAACAAACAAAAAATAGTAAGAAGGGTAGCATTGTTTTGCATAATTGCAAATCTCTTTAATGCCTGGCTTCATGGAAGACAGCTGGGTAAATTACATCTGGTGCTATGTTTCTGTTACTGGATCATATGTCATATAGCCTCTTGAAAACTTCACTGTACATTCAAAAGAGAATAAGAGTAAGAAAAGCAAATAATATCTTAATACCGTTATGAAAATTATTTTGACCTTAAAAATCTCCTGCAAGGAGCTCAGGGATCCCAGGAGAGCCACAAGTCTAGCGAGTCCCAGCTCTAGTATCACAAAGTAGAATATAGAATTGTTGGTATAGAGGCCGGACACGGTGGATCATGCCTGTAATCCCAGCACTTTCGGAGGCTGAGGTGGACAGATCACAAGGTCAGGAGTTTGAGACCAGCCTGGCCAACATGGTGAAACCCCGTCTCTACTAAAAATACAAAAAAAAAAATTAGCCGGGCATGGTGGCAGGCGCCTGTAATCCCAGCTACTTGGGAGGCTGAAACAGGAGAATCACTTGAACCCAGGAAGCAGAGGTTGCAGTAAGCCGAGATCGCATCACTGCACTCCAGGCTGGCAACAGAGCGAGACTCCATTTCACACACCACACACACACACACACACACACACACGTGTTGGTATAGAGATAAGTTCAATAATGGACATTCTGATAAATAAAAATGCAAGAACATGTAATTAAGAAATAGATGGTTGAGCCATAAATGAAACTTAGACAATATGATGAAGAGTCCATAATATTAAGCCTTATGTTGTACTGCTTCCCTTCCTTTCTTCCTTCCTTCTTTCCTTCCTTTCTTCCTTCCCTCCTTCCTTCCTTCCCTCCTTCCCTCCCTCTCTCCCTTCTTTCTTTCTTCCTTTCTTTCTTTCTTTCTTTCTTTCTTCTTTATTTCTTTCTTCTTTATTTCTTTCTCTTTCTCTCTTTCATTCTTTCGTTCTTTTGTTCTTTCTTTCTTTCTGACACAGGGTCTCAGGCTTGAGTGCAGTGGCATGATCTTGGCTCACTGCAACCTCTGCCTTCTGGATTCAAGAGATCCTCCTGCCCCAACCTCCCAAGTAGTTGGGAACTACAGGAGCATGCCAAAATGCCCAGCCAATTTTTGTATTTTTAGTAGAGATAGGGTTTTACCATGTTGACCAGGCTGGTCTCGAATGCCTGGCCTCAAGCAATCTGCCCGCCTCAGCCTCCCGAAGTGCTGAGATTACAGGCATGAGCCATGGCGTCTGGCCTTCCCATCTATTAATGATGTAACTTATTTTTCATAAAGTAATCACATGTTGATAGAAGCTTTTTTAAAGCAAGTGTACATATTCCACATGATAGCCCTTTAAGATGTATGGTGACTAATATGTTTATCATCATTTTTCTCTTCTTAGAAAATATTTTTAGATTCTTAAATAATTCTCTTTCAATCATGAATTGAGAGGCCTCACCGCACTTGCTGTTTTTCTCGGAATGAGTTTCAGTGGATCTATTCTTAATGTGTAGTATTACAGTTTAATAGTGTTTTGGGTTGGACATTTTAAAATGATTCTAGAAATTAAAACTTCCTTGTTCTCTGCTGCATGCTATAAATGTATCACACACATACCTTAAATTGAATTAAATAAGAAAGTTGTCCTGTATTTAATTCTATAAGATACAATATTGTCCTTGAGTTTTGAGAAAGAAGAGAAAATATTTCTGGATAATGTTGTCTGTCTAAATAACTGTATCACATATGGAAGAAAGAGAACAATTCTGATAAATTAGGTGATTTTGTAAGAAATTCAAACCTAAAACTTCCTTTTCTTCTAATAGCCTATATTATCTACTGAATAGAAGATGCCAGATTTATTAGGGGTAAAAATCAAATCAGGTTTCAAAATGGAAAAAAAAAGGAAAAACAGATTGTACTTGAATTTGGGAAAATTACGCATTCTACACAGACTACATGAAAGGAATATGGGCTATGTAGTCCTCATGCAGCAATGATTAATTAAACTCTGATTCCTTTTCAAAGCTTGGCCTCCACATTTTACAACTAAGTACATAGTGTCTTGTCCAGGACTATATCTAACCCTATTTTTTTTTCAGACCCACCTTTGATAGTTATTTTTTTTTTTCCTGAGGAAGAAGGAACAATAGACAACAATAAAATTTTCAAGGCTGAAGTAGCCTTGACTCAGAAACTGACAAAAGAAATGCCTTTCCATTCATAGAATCTTGCTTTGCAATAATCTGTTATCTAATGTATAACGAGGTGTTTTTGTGGCTGAAAAATAACAGACTTTTGAACAGAGAGGGGCTACAATCTGGTTTGGTTTATGCTGTTATAGTTCACCATATTTCATTACCACAGTTCCAGCAGGAATAGAGTAGGTAGTCTTTTACTCTATACAGCAACTAAAAAATAAGGGCTTCTCAAGAAAAAACAAAACTGAAAAGGAAAAAAAATTATGCTCACTACTGAATGATAATCAATTACAGGATACATAGTAAAAGCAAAACATTTAGTTTTTATAGAATAAAAATTTAAAAATAATTATAAATAGGCATAAAGGTTGTATGTATTTATACATATGCATATGTATAGCTGGGTTTTGTTTGACTGTAATATGTAATGATCCATTTGGCATTTCATGAAGAAGATGACTTATTTTTGTAATATAATTTGTTGTAATATAAGTGCCTCTTATCACCTATTTAAAAATGATGTCACTACTACTGTTTCCATATTTGACTTTTGATTTTTGAAGATATCGCTAATGCATTATCTCTCCAGCTTTTTCATACCACTTCTGTGTCATTGCAAATGTCAGGTCTCTAATCTCTCGTCTCTGCCAGTTCAATGACCAATTTCTGATATTGCTTCCATCCTTGGGGCCCACCATTTGTTAATTTCCTTCTTTATACACTTTTAAAATCAGTTGGAATCTTTCTTTTTCTACAACATGGTTGCAGAAAGATGGTTGAGGCTCACAACCTCAACCGTCAATCAAAATTGTCATCTCCCATATCAGTCCCTACAACTTGAACACTCAACATAACCTAAGAGAAATTTAATAAATATGCAGATATCTGTCACTATAAATTCCTACTACCCGATGTTTATATGACCTTAACACTTCTTCAGTTTTTTTAAAACAATGTAAAAATTATTTATTATTGGCACTGTATCCGAGATCAATTATGTTGATTTTTTAAACTTTTTAAAGTTTATCTAAATGTCTTCTCATTTCAACACATGACTTTTTTTGCATCATATAACAAATTGGCACTGTCAGACATAACGTACCTCAATTACTCCCCACACAACCTACACAGCTCACAAATAATATTTACGTACTGTATTTTAGATGGAACACTTTGTCTGGATGTCCAAATCTTTCAAACAGTTAGATACCAAACTAACTGTGTTTGAAAGTTCATTAATTAGATTCTGCACAAACCTGCTACTATTCCTACCTTCTATTTTGGTGAATAGCATCCAAGAATCTATCCACTTCCCAGTCCTAAAATACTGGAATCCTCCCACCTTCCGCTGCGTCACTTCCCATATTTAGTTAATCACAAAATACTCTCTAGTACTCATTGTAACTGCTTCTTCCCAAACGTTCTGCCAGTGTCATAGTTTAATTCATCATAAACTATCAATTAGCAGGCTCTCAGAGCAGGCCCTGACTTCCCATCTCCAAAACGTTCTTTCAAACAGAAGCCTGATTATATTACTCCTGGGTTTCTAAATTTCAGGCCTTCACTGTCAACTGTCAGAGCATTTTTTAATTAAACTTATTTTTCAAGCAAACTTAAATCCTCAATATGTAAAGCTAGCTAAAGCAGAGTTGCTTTAGTGAAGGGCATGGGTGCTGGAGATACATGAGTACATGGAGTTGCAGTCATCCCCACCTTTTGAGACATTCATTCCCACCTGAAGTAACCTTTATGAGACTCCAGGATCCAGAGTCACAGTGAAGAAGGTGATAAAATCAGAGTTCCATGGCCATGAAGCACCATGTCACGTAGGCTATAGCATCTGCCTACAGCCCTATTCGCTCCATCTCCCTGCCCTATGCACCCCATATCCAACTATTTGCTGTGACTTAAACCTGCTTTTCTCACTCAGGACTGAGTTTTCTTACATAATGTTTCTTTGCCCTTATCGCATGAAAACCCAATGCTTCCTTAAAGCCTCAGCTAAAGTGTCAGTCTTAATTAAATAGCACGCGGTGTGTTCCATACTAGGAATTCAATGATTAATAAGATGGCACACCTGGAGTGTGCAACTGGGAAGAAACCCTGGCACTCTGGTACTTTTACAAGACACCATTTGTCCCTTGTAGCATCCCTGTCCCTTCTCCATCGCCACCCATGCCAACTCCAACCATTTAGTATTCATTAACTGAATTAACTGCCTTCAGAGAAATTACCTTTCTTTACATATAAGATAGCAATCAACAGCAATTATTAGTAACTGTTAGTTTCTTTAATAATATAGTAATTAAAATAGGACGTAATATAGTATATTAACTCATTTAAACACTCATACTGTTTGTTTCTGTTGGACTACACAATGTCCAAAATGTTGCATCTGTAATAGAAAATGTCTGGTACTTGTTGCAGGTCAGCGTAACAGTTTTTGTTGTTGTTTCTTCCTAATTGTTTTATAAGAAAGAAAGAGAAGATTTTCCTAGCCCCCTTTAAATAATAATAGGCACTCAATTGATAGGTGTGCCATTTAGTAATTTATTTTATTCATTCATTAATTCATGCATCCTATCTATTTATTTAAACTCATTATATGCTAGAACTTCCACAGGAAAGCTGAGGATCCTTTAAAGTCAAGCAAAAAGATGAACAATTATGTGTTCAGTTATATTATAATAAAATAAATATTGTAAACCACTTTTGAACTGACTATGTGGAGAAAAGAGTGAGGTGCCTACAGGAGCCCAAATAAAACTAGAGGAAAAGAGGAGGTGAACCGTTGCAGGAGTCATCCAGTGTAAATTGGAGTTATCCAGGTAAAGTTGGAGAGGGGAGTAAGTAAGGGTGGGAAAGGATGTGAAAGGAGTTCCAAGGAGAGAAATCAACATACACATTTCTATTCAAAAATTTTTTAATGTCCCATCAAAGGGCAATGTATGAACTGTAAGACATTCAGTATTCATAGATTCAAAATTCATCACTTATAAATTGATATTTACTGTTCAAGTTGTTAGGGATACATCAGTGAGCAAAATGATGGCTCGTGCCTGTAATCCCAGCACTTTGGGAGGCCAAGGTGGGCGAATCACAAGGTCAGGAGATCGAGACCATCCTGGCTAACACGGTGAAACCTGGTCTCTACTAAAAATACAAAAAATTAGCCGGATGTGGTGGCAGGCGCCTGTAGTCCCAGCTACTCGGGAGGCTGAGGCGGGAGAATGGCGTGAACCCAGGAGGCGGAGCTTGCAGTGAGCCGAGATGGCGCCACTGCACTCCAGCCTGGGCAACAGAGTGAGACTCCATCAAAAAAAAAAAAAAAAAAAGAAAGAAAATGAAACCCGTTTCCATTCTAGTGGGGAGAGGCAGACATACAGAAAAGTAAATACGTGTACCATATCAGATGGTAGTAAGTAGTATTGGCAAAAATGTATACAAAAAGAGGCTGGAGCCTTGGCACAGTGGTTCATGCTTGTAATCCTAGCACTTTGGGAGGCTGAGGTGGGGGGATCACAAGGTCAGGAGTTTGAGACCAGCCTGGCCAACATAGTGAAACCCGTCTTTACTAAAAATACAAAAATCAGCTGGGCGTGGTGGTGCACACCTGTAATCCTAGTTACTCGGGAGGCTGAGGCAGGAGAATTGCTTGAGCCTGGGAGGCAGAGTTGCAGTGAGCTGAGATGGCGCCACTGCACTCCAGCCTGCACGACAGAGCGAGACTCCATCTCAGAGAAAAAAAAAAAAAAAGGAGGCTGGAAAGTGCAGCTTGAGGCTGAAGATGACTGGGAATGTGGGATCCTCATGATTCACTTAAACTAAGATAGGAGTTCAAAAAGGTCATTTCTGTTCATCCCAGAGCAGATGATGCTCATGACCTTGTAAGTATCGGGCATGGCCTGGAGTGGAATGAGGAAAGAGGGCCTGGCAAGGTCAAAGCCCCAAGGACCTTAGGAGACTGGAGGAAGATAGACTTGTTAGGAGCACTGAGAGGTCTGGATCTGGCCTGGACTCCAGTTGTGCTTCTGCAGAAGAGGCGAGAGAGGTAGCCAAGGCCAGGTGGGGAAGAGTTTTGCCTGTCATGCTAAGTTGTGAATTTTATCCAGAAGAAATCGGAAAGCCATTATGAGATTTTAAGCCAGAAAATAATTACACTGCTAGTGAGGTGGCAGCTATCATGAAGGAGAATGAGGCTGACGGTATAAAAGGGTCCAGAAGATATTTCAGATTGAGAGTAGTAACAGCTATCTCTGAAAAAAATTAGATGCCTTATCATTGGTCCCCAACTCTCCCATTGCTTGTTTGATGAGGCAATGGTTAATTTGCACTGTGATGCTACACATATCAATAAGCTATAATATCAATAGGAGGATTATGTCATTTTATGTTTTCTGTGCATTTGAGTCACGCCCCAAGTACTTATTTTAGATAGAAAAGGAAAATGTCTGTCAGGAAGTTAATCAATTAAGAACAGAAAATTGTACAATGAGAATGAGATACTTGAACCTTGGGAGAAATGTTCTTTCACCAAATAGACTTACTGAATGTTCTTGCTGAAAGGTATACTTCATTAATTGTGCTGAGAAGATATTTCTCTTATTAGGACTGTCTTGAGGATATTAAATATATATGTGTGTATGTGTATTTTTTATTACTGTGCTGTACCTTAACAGGTCTTTTATAACTGATCAGTTATTTCAGTTTCCACAATGCAAACAAGGAAAGTCAGGGTCCCCAAAACACAAACTGAACAGACTACATAGCTTGTGTGACTATGAGATAGGGGAATTCCTGACACATAGTAGATATTTAAAATATATTGGTGTATTTCTTAATGTCGATATACTTATTACTGTTGAGGTAATAAACTTACTGACACAGAAATGCTCCAGGAATACAGATGAAATAAATTCTGTCTACTGGCCAATTCATATTTATTTATATCAACCTTTACATTTGATGTACCTCTGTAGTATTGAATTCATACTTCTAATTATTGTCATTAGAAGTAATGATCCACAGATTATTTTACTTCAAAAAATATTTTATCCTGCCAACCTCTTCCTTGCAATAATTTTGTGGTCCTGTTTTTAACATAATTACTGCCAGTAAGGGATGATTTCTCTTCAAGTCTCTCCTTTAATCATTAAATGGTTTTTAATATGTTAGACTTGAATAATCAGGTTTCTTTTTTCTTCCATCTGAATATTCCAAGTAAAATTTGGTCCTCAAATTTTCCACCTTTACTTTATTATTAGATTTATTCACCCAACACACAGGAGTTTCTGTATTTTCATTTTCATCTTAATGGTTGCATACTAAATAATAGTGTTGTCTTAACATTTTTGTACTTTCATGTTCAAAAATATTTATTTACAGTTTGTAATATTCTAGCAAAAGGAAATAAGAGATTTAATACCCTGCAGAGGCCCAAATCCATCATAACATTATTTCACTCATAAAAACACCTAGTCATAGCTAGAAAATATGCAATGGTGTTGGACACTTGCTTTGATCCCCTGGAATGAAAGCTCTGTGGAAATGGGATTTTCCTGCTTTGTTCCATGCTTTATCCTCAGTACCTGGGGTCTGGTTTTACATGACTAATCTTAAGGGTCCTGAATATTTATTGTGTTTATGATTATAAAGGGCTAGTTGTATATCTATCAAAAACACAGATGAGCAATAAGAAAAATCATACGTAAAGATTTGGCAAATATATGTGCATGTTTACACATGCAAGCACACATATAAATACATGTTCACAAACATATTATGATGGATGGCCCAAGACATGGGCCAAATGGAAGATGAAAATTTAGAGTTCTTAGCTCTGGCTATGGTTTCTAATTTTCTTTCAAATGTTTATGATTTAATCAATGTATCCACCCTTAAGAGTCTTGAAAACCAGACTCTTAAAACAAAGGTCTTTTATTGAGAGGCAGAAGACAGTTTCCTCTGATTTATTTTTCTCTGTCCAGCCTCACAGAATCATGCTTAGAGTATAAAACTCCGATTCTGGCCGGGCACGGTGGCTCACGTCTGTAATCCCAGCACTTTGGGAGGCCATGGATCACCTGAGGTCAGGAGTTAGAAACCAGCCTGGCCAACATAAAAAAACCCCGTCTCTACTAAAAATACAAAAATTAGCTGGGTGTGGTGGCAGGTGCCTATAATCCCAGCTACCTGGGAGGCTGAGGCAGGAGAATCGCTTGAACCTGGGAGGCAGAGGTTGCCATGAGCCCAGATTGCGCCACTGCACTCCAGTCTGGGCGACAGAGTGAGACTCCATCTCAAAAATAAATAAATAAATAAATAAAAATAAATAAATAATAAAACTCCAATTCAGACTGCATTTTGAGTCGTACCTGTGCAACTTGTTCTCTCCTCTGTTTTCTTAGATGTAAAATGGGGATAATATGTGTATGTATTTTATTAACTATTGTGAGACTGAAGAAAAACAGGATACATGTACTTCATTTGAAATAGTATTGTGTACATTATAAATGCTTAATAAATGCCAGTCATTACCATTATTCATTAAATAAATTATGTTTCAATGTTTTGGTGTGCATACATAGCATAAAGTTCAATTTCAACATATTGGTTGCGCGTGGTTGCTCACCCCTGTAATCCCAGCACTTTGGGAGGCTGAGGTACAGAGATCACTTGAGGTCGGGAGTTTGAGACCAGCCTGGCCAACATGGTGAAACTCCGTCTCTACCAAAAAATACAAAAATTAGCTGGATGTGGTGGCTGACACCTGTAATTCCAGCTTCTTGGAGGCTGAGGTGGGAGAATCTCTTGAACCCTGGAGGTGGAGGTTGTAGTGAACATGCCACTGCACTCCAGCCTGGGCATCAGAGAGTGAGACCCTATCTCAAAAAAAAAAAAATCAACATATCCTTTTTGTTTTAAAGATATTATACATTCTGAACAATATCTGTACAGTGAAATTTAAGGAGATTATTGGAATTTCTTTTCATGTGATAAATACAGAAAATTTGGCATCATGGGCTCTTTTAATATGTGGTGGTTTAATTATTTTTGTCCCATACTTATATATATTCAAATTACTGAGAATAATTTAAATAACTTTCAATTATCCATCTGCATACAGTATAGAGCCTGCACAACCTGATATGGTAGCCACTAGCTATCCACTGCTATTTAAATTTAAATTCATTAATAATTTTGGTCAAATAGACATAGGTAGTTAATTTTATTGTATTGAAGAGTGCAGAAAGTTTTTTTGTTTTTTGTTTTCTGTTTTTTGTTTTCAAGAGACAGAATCTTGCTCTGTTTGTTGCCCAGACTGCAGTGGTGTGATCATAGCTTACTGTAACTTTGAATTGCTGGGCTCAAGTGATCCTCTTGCTCAGCCCCCTAGGTAGCTGGGACTACAAATGCATGCCACCCCAAATGGGTAATTAAAAATTTTTTTTTATAGAGATGAAGTTTCCCTATTTTGCCCAGGTTGGGCTCAAACTCCTGGACTCAAATGATCTTTTTGCCTTGGCCTCCCAAAACACTAGGATTACAGGTGTGAACCACTGAACTCAGCCTTCAGAAAATTTTATTGGATAACACTGGTGTAGACAGATCTCATTTTTACTGCTTTTAAAAAGAGTCCAAAGTTTGGAATGAGATGATTTGTCTTCACCTTTTTGCTCCGTTGACTGACTGGTATATGATCACGAACAGTTTACTTACTGACTTTCCACTTTCTCATCTTTAAAACAGAATTGTAGGGTCAAATAAGACCACTGTACAAAAGTATTGTTTGCACACAACCAGAGCTGTTATTAATGTTGTTCCTTCACAGAGGTTACTCTGCTCTTAAAACGTTATCCCCAAAGACCTATACTTTAAGTCCTTCTCCCTGTAATTGCTTGTTTGGGGTTTTTGCCAATGTCCAAACAGATGAAAACCAGAGTATGTTCTCAGAGAGGTTTGTCTGATCCCAGTTTCATATCAGGGACTGTATCTCACAGTCTGTCTTCTCTTTATAAGGAATCACCATCTCTATTACATTTCTTATTCACTGAAAATGCCATCTACCTAATTTTGCTGCCGGTTTGGGTAAACATAAAGAATGAAAGATAATTATAATATACTACAACAAGCATAGTTGAAAGATTAAGTGTAAAAATCATGAAATATATGACAATACTAATATCAACTATTTTTATTCTGATTATCTATGCTACTCATTATGACCAATAGTATGGATGTTGGAAATATAATTATACTATGTGATAAATAAATCTGATACGTTTCTGTAAATTGAACCAATATTTTAAAAGAAAAAGCTAAATTGCCAGTGTTGTATTGCCTTATAAATTTAGAAATGTGATCCATGTTATTGTTTTTGACTATTTCATTAAGAAATAGAGAAAATGTCACTGTTTACATTATATGAAATGCAAGTGTTTGAAAATGAAACAAACTGGACCAGAGGCACTAATTTAACAGCTACCCAAAACTTATCTGCTAATAATTGAACCTGAAGCTGGAATTAAAATTATCTATTAAATACAACTTTTGAGGTTATTGTTTCAAGAAATGAAGTGTCTAGATTGGAGTATAATGAAAATCATGTGCTTAGAAATGTGATAATCATAGGCAACATTCGATATGACTAATGCTAACTACTTTTTATAACTAAAGCTTTGAAGAAAAGAATGTGTATGTGTGTATGTATGTATGTGTATATATAATGAACTTATTTTAACAGAAATAAATGCTAAGTACAAGATAATTATTCCTAAAAGACTAATACGCTCTAATTACAATGCTTACTTTTCACTTTATTTTGTACTATTGTAGTATATACATACACATATATATGTGTGTGTATGTGTATATACACACACACACACATATATATACACACACACACATTTGCTTCACTTTTGTGATGAAATATTTAAAGTAGTATAGCCTAGGGCAAGTAGAAGAATCTGCAGATTATACTACTTTAAGTGTCAATTGCAATATTTACTCTGAAGCAATATTTAGCTCTGATCACTTGAGGCCAAAAAACAAACAAACCCTTTTGTTTTGCCCAGCTTTATGTTTCATTTTAGTTGTAAAGAGAGAATTTCACTGATGACTGGGTGTGTAAAATTGGCCTTTGTTAATTAAAAATAGAATTTTGAGCTTCCTCACCAGAGGCTATTGCTGCTAGAAAGGATCTCACTTACTATTTCATGTTATCATTTTACCATCTCAGCTGTAGTCAAGAAGTCAGGCTTGCAACTTTTTGGTTGCCGTACATGTTGTCTCCTAAGCTTCTGAATAACCATTAGATTAGTGCAAACTTCTTAAAAGGAAAAAGGACTTTTTTCAGGGTAGTGAACTGCAATCGAGGAAGATAAGTAGTGAGCTTCAGCCAGATTTAGGGAAAGGGCAAAAGAAAAAAAAATGAATAAATAAATAAATAAATAAATAAAGGGTAGAGTAGGGTGTAAAAATAACTCCTGTGGAGATAGATTGAGGACCAGGGTCTGCTTTCAGAAAACTAAATGAAAATATAATATAAAGAAACATTTAAAAAAAGTGGGCTGATCTTGGGGAGGTGGTAGGAGCAGGAATAAATCTGTGAGTTTTTTTATTTTTATTTATTTATTTATTTATTTTTGAGACAGTTTCACTCTGCCGCCCAGGCTGGAGTGCAGTGGCATGATCTTGGCTCACTGCAACCTCCACCTCCTGGGTTCCAGCGATTCTCCTGCCTCAACCTCCCAAGTATCTGGGACTACAAGCATGTACCACCGCGCCCAGCTAATTTTTGTATTTTTAGTAGAGACGAGGTTTCACCATGTTGGCCAGGATGTTCTCGATCTCTTCACCTTGTGATCCTCCCACCTCGGCTTCCCAAAGTGCTGGGATTGCAGGCATGAGTTCCGGTGCCTGGCCAAGCTTTTTTATTAATTAAACACCTCAAAATTTAATCAAGTTGATGAATGCATAAACTGTAGTACATCCAGACAATGCAATGTTATTCAGTGATAAAAAGAAATGAGCTATCAGGCCATAAGAAGACATGGAGGAAATGTAAATGCATATTAATAACAGAAAAAAGCCAGTCTAAATAGCCAGTCTGTATGATTTCAGCTCTATGACACTATGGGAAAGGCAAAATCCGGGAGAAAATGAAAGGTTCAGAGATTGTTGGGAGGGCAGAGATAAATAAACAGAGTAGAAATATTTTAGGGCAGTGAAACTTCTCTGAAAGACACTATAATGGTAGACACTTCATTATACACCTGTCCAAACTCATAGAATATACAACAAAAAGAGAACCCTAATGTATATTATAGAGATTGGATAGTAATGAGGTGTCAATGTAGTTTAACCAGTTGTAACTAACGTACTACTTTGGTGGAGAATGTTGGTAGTGGGGAGGAATATGCATGTGTAGTGGGTAATAACTTTATAAACAGAAGTAGAATTAATGTGAAACACAGAGAGATATTTGAAGTAAGCAAGACTTGAGTGAAGAAAATGAAGGAAAGATATAAAGCAGTGTTCAATCTCTGTACAGTCTCAATTTTGTTGTGAGCCTCAAACTTTTTAAAAAAGAATAGTTTTAAAGAATTAAGTCCTGTTCTACAATTTTCTTTTTATCAAGTAATAATAATAAAAGGTCTTTGACATTTTATCTTCTTCTTCAGTGCACTCTATAAATCATTCCAAAAATATATATTTTACCTCTCAAATTTGGCTGCTATTGGACTTAAGGAAGAGTTGATTAGTTCTTCAATGTATAGATTGAATATATGCCCATATTTCTTTTATATAAGCTTTAAGCTATTTAAATGTAAAACTGTGACACAATTAAATATGTGATACAGCTTTAATATTCAGTTAATAATATTTCATGGAAATAAATACATGATACAGCTTTAAATATTCATTTAACCGTATTCCATGTGATAAATACATGATACAGCTTTAAGTGTTCAGTTAACAATATTTCATGAAAAGAAAATGGAAAATATTACTCATTTTTCCAAACAAAAATAATTTTAGTACAGTAGCATATTCCTTCAAAAACGTGATGCTAAATACAAATTATATGTGTACATTCATACTCGATTTATACATTACATACAGAAAAGACAAAATTATGTGATCCTTACGTTCTCAATTGTTTGTGTTCAGTATGGTGAAAGCTGATAATTAAACACCATCTACCTTAGTTGTATAAGTACAAATGGTCATGCCATGTTCTAAATAAGTGAAGATCTATAATATATTTGGCTTTCTTTCAAATAAATGTCAGAGCATATTCTTTTCTTTCTTTTTTGTTTTGTTCTGAATTTTTCTATAAAGGAGTTAAATCAAGCTGATTAAATCATTTCAGTACCACAGGGGGAAACATTGGAAAAGAGGATTAGCTCATCAGCAGGATGAGTTAGGTCATAGCTTATCCGACCATAATTCAAGTGCTGTGTTCTCCAAGTCTGAAAGTTATGGTCATGTCAAGGGTCAGCGCCAAAATGTTTTTTATCATAAGTTGGAACTGCTTATTCCTGCAGCTGGCTAAGCTTTAGTTGGCTAGTTTCAATTATTCCGGTCTTTTTTTTTTTTTTTTTAAAGCTCAGGATTGTCTTCAATTCCCTGCCTTCTTTGGTTCATAAATAACTATTAGTTTGTATTAGACATACACTGATACTTCTATTAAAAAGGAAATTCCGTTTACAATATATGTCTCTGTTGATAACTTTATAAACAGAAGTAGAATTAATGTAAAACATAAAGCCACATTTGAAATAAATAAGACTTCATTTTAAAAAGAAAGGGGCCGGGCATGGTGGCTCACGCCTGTAATCCCAGCACTTTGGGAGGCCGACGTGGATGGATCATGAGGTCAGGAATTCGAGACCAGCCTGACCAACATGGTGAAACACCATCTCTACTAAACATACACACACACACACACACACACACACACACACACACACACACACAAATCAGCCGGGCGTGGTGTCCCGCACCAGTAATCCCAGCTACTCAGGAGGCTGAGGCAGGAGAATCACTTGAACCCAGGAGGCAGAGGTTGCAGTGAGCCAAGATCGCACCATTGCACTCCAGCCCCTGGGTTACAGAGCGAGACTCCATCTCAAAAAAATAAAAAAAATTAAAAATAAAAAAGGATGGAAAGACCCAAAGCCGTGTTTTTTCAGACTGTGATTTTTGATCCATTGGTGGCTAGTAAACTCAATTTAGATGGTGTTTGAGAAAAATTTTCAGAATAGGATAGAATATGAGTAGGTTAATATAGAAAAGAAAATATTTGGGCAATTATGAATCCCACTAATGTGTGTGTGCGTGTGTGTGCGTGCGTGCGTGTGTGTGTGCTGTGTTAAGATGTAAATTATTTTTCTTACACTTTTATGATTGGCCTTGAACAAAAATAGTTTGTAAGCTACCACTGTAGAAACAGGAAGATGGATTTGTCTTGCTGGTTATGAAACTCTGGGAAGTTAAAATCTGTAAGACGGTCCCTAATCTGTAAAGTGGGGAAAATGCACTCTACCTCACAGCGTTCACGTAAGAATAATGTGAGATAATATGTGTTAAAGCTACTACCATGATTTCAGCCACATATTAGGCACTCAGTAAATAGTTCCCTTTATTAGTGACAACATCACCAATGATAAAACTAACTTGGGACATATCACAACACATTGAATTATATGCCTGGGAATCTTGAGATGGCTTGACGAGGTGATAGGTATTCATGGAAAGTTACAAATTGAAAAACTAAAGTAGAGTGAGACATACGCAGTCAGGTAGATCTGTGCTAAGAACAGGGTTCTAGAACTGTGTTTGGTTCAAATTATTCCTTACAGTAGCTCCTGGTTGATTAGGAATCTAGTAGCCACTCAACCCATTAGTTATTTCTCCCAAATACCTCTAAAAATGCCATATATCCCTCAAGGGATAATTGCGGTTTATCTTCAGGCCTTGTCAGATACACACAATCTGACTTCAGTGGCTTCTGGGTAAGACAGAACTAACAAGTTACTGTGAACATATTTCGGTTAGATTATCACCAGACAGGTAATAAGCAACCTATATCCTTGTGATAGAACAGACACAGATAATGGGTTTCAGAAATAAAGTCAGAACCATTTAAAAACCAAACCACTCATATGTTTTTACCTCTCTAATATCCATCATGTTTATCCAGAGTTTTGCTTATGTTCTCTTTATTCTTACTCCTGGGCAAGTCCCTTGATGGTAAAAAAGGATGTCTTCTTCATGGTATTGGCAAATATTTGAAACAAATATATGACTTTATGAATGGATGATTACTTATTATGAATAGAGAAATTATATTGTGAAAGACTGACATTTTTTTCTTTAGTATTTTGTGAAAAAGTCCATTTTAAATATCTTCCCAAATGATTTATAGCTGTCACTACCTAAAGCACAGAAAAGTGGAATAGGGAAGTGGGTCTTCAAGCATTCAAATGTGTACCAACTCACCTAGGGTAATATTATTCTGACCCAAATACCATCCGTGGCTGATAGGGCAGTGCCATGTCTGTGGATCCCAAAGAACTCTCCTTCATCTACAACAGTCGTAGGCTATGTCTAGCTGCTGTACCGATCTTACAGAGAATTTGGTTATTCTATGCCTAAAAAATATAAATTTCTATGTAGCCTGTGTGTTCTCTATTTTCTTAATTTGTTTTCTGTTTGAGATCACTGTAAATAATTAACAAAATATAAAGACAATTTTTTTTCCAGGTCTGAGAATGAATAAAGGTGCCATCACCCCTCCCCGGACTACTTCTCCTGCAAATACGTGTTCCCCAGAAGTAATCCATCTGAAGGACATTGTCTGTTACCTGTCTCTGCTTGAAAGAGGAAGACCTGAGGATAAGCTTGAGTGTATGTGTTTCTTCATTTTGTTTACTTATCGTGATTGGGGGCAGGAGAAAGGACTGGATATTGATTAACTTAAAATTGCATTAGTATAGTTGTATAATTTTTGTTGAATAAAGTGATCCTGCTTAATAGTAAAAATTTCCTCCTGCTGAGGATCAGACAAAAGATATTAAGATCTATTAATTTCAGGTTCTTATTTATCAAGTTCCATTTACTACTGATTATTTCCTATGTTTGTCATATGACTTTAAAAAGCTGTTCCTCAGTTCTCTGGAGTTAACAAGATGCTATTAGAAAATAGCCTTTGTGTTGTTTTCATAAAGCATGTATTTCTAGTGTGTGAAGAAACCTTCCCATTAGTGAGTAAGAAAATTGCCTGTAAATATGCAACCTGCACCTTTTCCCCAGTGGAAATCTCCCTTGCAATCTTCAGCACTAACACTCTTGTTGGCAGAGACACATTATTCCTCAAATGCTAAACCTGAAAGTGTCATTTATAGTATTTGATTCTGGATATTATAAATCATTAAACAATAGCTTTGTTTCTTAAATTTAGGACATGGCGGATAGAGAATTTCTATTCAGTTGAAAGTAAATAATTACTGTCTTTAATAAAACATAGTGACTGAGCTCTCTCTGGTGGCTAACTATACTCATTGCAATATAAGAAAATATTTTTCAAGCATTTACTCTAAACCTGATCATTTGATCATCTATTCTATCTCTGAGGTTCTTTCTAAATATAGTCCTGGCAGCTTACTCAATAACCTGATAAATTTGATTATATAAGATATGGTAAATTTAATGAAAAATGCTTGCTACTAGAATGATAGTGAAGATAACAAATCTAAACTTTAACACTTCTGAAGCAAATGTAAATAATCATGACGTCTCAGAATTATTATTGGGGGGCATTTTTAGTTAAATTTAGTAGTAACTTTTTGATAATATTTCTTCTTCCCATAAAGGATTTACTGTAATGTGATTATTTAAGAGTCACACATGCTTAGGTTATGAATAAACCATATGAATATCATCTTTAAATATATATTTATTATTCATAAATGTTCAATATTTGCATTTCAAGATTTATTTTGTATTCCTAAGAACTTACAGAAATCTGTCTCATTCCAAAGTAAATATTAATGTTCAGTGAATTTCTATTGAAGTGACAGCCAGAGAGAAAGTTTGCTCAGGTGTTATCAGGAGCACATTTGGGATGATTATAAACATATAAAGACAAACATTTTTTCCACATCTGAAAATGAATAAAGGCCCCATCCATCCTCCCCAAGATGGTATTTAGTCTTGCTGTTTAACTATTTCTAGGTCAGCTGGATGTATATTGCTTTTTAGGTGGAATTCCTAAGAAGAATGCTTTTGAGTTTTCCATGTGCATCCTTGAACCCACATAGATTTTGTCTACAGTTGCAGATAGAATGTTGACTCACCACACTATTCAAAAAGACATGATGAATCTCATCCACTGACCTGCCATTTACTTTTCTTTAGTGTTCTCAACCCCCTTCTCTCTGTTTTTTTCTTTGAGTTTCCCAGCTTTTTTTCAAGCTTACACTAGATGCATTGCCTTTTCCTTTTGTTTTAAACCATTTCTTCAGACTCTTCTTATAGGCAGTCTTGTTATGGCCCAGAATTATCACTATCATTTTCACCAAACTCTTCAAAATACATGATGCCGTAGGTCTCTTTTCTCCTATCTTCTAATCTGGTGATTCTTACCCTGGCTATACATCAGAATCATCCGAAGTTTGGTTTTCTTTCTTTTTCTTTTTTAATGCCAATGCCTGGCTCTTTCCTGTGTCAATTAAATAACAATCAATCTTCCTCATCCACTTTCTTAACAATTTACCACATATGTTTACCCTTCTAAAATTGCATATGTAAAAGTTACTAACATGTATTATTTTACAGTTACAGATTTTTAAAAACAAATTGTCAGTAAGACTTCAAAAATTTGTGTTGATTGTTAGTTTAATAAATACTCCAAAAGGATTACAATTTACTAAATACAATATAGACCAGAAGAATGAAAATAAGAAAAAGCAATTATAATTAACACAGAAACAGATGTGAACAAGTACCTAAAATTAACTTTTGCAGGTCAATGTTGAATTTGGCTCATACTTCCAGGGTAGCTAAGCAGAAAGAAATTTGATTTAGGTTAGAGGTTCTCAAACTTTATCACACATCAGAGTCACCTGCAGGACTGGTATATCTGATTCAGCTGGCCTGGGGTGGGATCTGAAAATGTGCATTTCTAACAAGTTTCCAGGTGATGCGGATGCTATTGTTCTAGGGATCACATTTTGAGAAGCACTGGCTTATGCAATTCCTTCTGTCCAGTGAAAACACATATACACAAGGAATTCACCTGACACAACAGTTGTTTTTCCTGGAGTTGATGAATAGTGGCAGTATTTGTTAGGTATTTTACCTGGGTTATTAGATAAACGAATTACACTGTTGTCAATGTTTATATAAGTAATACTTTGTTTCCCCAAATATTTTTAAAATCTATTCAGTGCCTCCCGCCACTTTCCATTGCCTGTCTTTTCTGCCAGGTATTTACACCATGTTTATTATAAAGCTTATTCCGTTAAAGAATAACAAACAAAAGTTCCCAAATGTTTTACTGATTACAGGAAGTCCTCACTTAACATCCTCAATAGGGTTTTGGAAGCTGTGACTTGAAGTTGAGAAATGTATATAACAAAACCACTTTTTGCTTATCAATGTTATAACAAAATGTCATAGAAGGAAAGGGTGTTATTCGAGAACCCTCTGTACATTGTTTTGCTTGAAGTCACAGTTTCCCAGTATCTAGCAATCATATTGAGGACTTACCATATAAGCCATGTCTTCAGCTTTATTTCCTTTATGCAATCCTAATTCTTCTCTCTGAGGACCTTCCCGTCCCAAGGCTCTATCAGGTAGAAGGTGTTTGTTACCCTTGGATGTGTGCTTTTGCATGCATGCATACGTGCATGTGTGCCTGTGTGTGTTGGGGTTGTGGGGAATTCCATTTTTATCTCTCCTTGTTGGTACCAATTACCAACAGCCTCTGTGAATGAACAAGGACATGGTCTCAGGGCTGATTTGCCCTTCTAACTTCAAGTGCTCCATAGTACTTTAGGGAAAGTCAACAACCTCTCTTTTACCCTCAAATCCTGTGGCTTTGCCTCCATTTTCTTTCAGCCATTCACTTCTGTTACAATACTCCAAGCCTTGTAACTGTCGAGAACTGCTATTATTCCAAAACTAAACTGTCAATTTTACTTTGATCCCAGCCTATGTTCACTTAACTTCTCACTTTCCTACTTTTAATTTAATTATTGCATAGTACAATAATTAAAAACCTTGACTCTTGATTTATAATGATTGAATGCAAACCCTAGGTTGAGAATTCACTGTCTCAGTGATCTGAGTTCATTTTTAAAACTTCCTCAGGACTCAGTTTTCTCAACTGTAAAATTGAGATCATTAAATAGTCTCTGTCCCATGGGATAACTATGAGGATTAGATTAAACTAGTATTTGTTCACATACATTCCTTCACACTTATTACTTCCCATAAATGCATGTTAGGTGAAATAAAAGTAAATTAAAACTGTTTTACTCTTGCCCACTTTACTCCCTCTTGAATTTGCTTGCTGACTTTTGGTTGCCCATCCTTTCAAATTTAAACTGATCTCATAATCCATGATGTCAATTAGTTTTTCACACTTAATTTCAGACATTCAACTTATTTGCTCCTATACTATACTGAGTGGCAGAGACTTAGTGAAATAAAAATATAATTCTTTGGGTTATAGCTCTACTCAAAACCTCAGCTGGCCTTCAGTGCTCAGTGTTTCTCTTGTCTAGTTTTCTAGTTAAAAATTAATCCAGATAATGTTTTTTTTTCCAAACACCTACCTATTTAATCATCATCTTACTCATTAAGTGTATGTTCTTGCAACTTCCTTTCATCTTACTTAAAACCTTATCAACTAACATACTTATTTTTTTTCTGTTTCTCTTCTGATTCAGAGTGAAAAATCCCCTTTGATAGTTCCTGATTTCATAATGCGTAAAATTGAAACCCTTAACTTGGCGTGCATACACCGATCTGACTCCACAGTTTGACCCCAACCTACTCTGCCAGGCTTGCTTTGGCTGTGACCTGCACACATATGCACAAACCATGTCCTAGTCACAAGGGTTAACTTTTCTATCATCAGACAAACCCTGAACTTTTCCACTTTGATCCCTTTGATTACAATGTGCAATTGCTGGGTTTCAACCCCCTGCCTCCCCACAGTGTATATTTGATTGAGTCTAGTCCACATTTGAGGCTTACCCTGCATCATGAATCTTCTTGCCATCTCCTAATTGGATTTATTTTGCTCTCTTTTGTACCCTTGCACCTACATCAGTGTGTGTGTGTGTGTGTGTGTGTGTGTGTGTGTTTCAACAGGTATATGCTCAATAAATGATAGTTAAATGGAAGTGTATTAAAGTCAATGGGTAAAAATAAAGTCAATGAGTGCTTGAAAATATAAAAATAACATCAACTATTTAAGATATTGAATAATACTAACTTTATATTTTTGACTTTAAAATACATGATATTCACTTTTGAATTTGTGCTTATCAAGTTATCAATTATTTAACAAGAATTTTTTATATTATCTTACATTTCCTTAAAATGTATCACTAAAGAGAAAATCAATAGGGAATCAATATTCAGAAAGTAGATAACTGACATATGGAGACTGAATAGTAAGCTACATGTTAAAAGTTACTTCCCTGTGCAGTATTAACCTTAGAAACTATGAGATTTAATAATGAAGAGACCTTAAAGACCATCTAGTCAACTTTCCTATAGTTTGACAATGAAAAAAAAAAAAAGACCAAGAGAGGGTGGTTATTAATTACACCACCAGTTTATCTAGCTATTACTAAAATCCATAATTTCTGAGCTACTTTATAGGGCTCTTTTTATTTTGAAAAGCTGTCTTTTGTTGTTCTTATTGTTGTTTCTCTTATGAATAAAAGGCGAAAATCTCTCTCCATTAAACTGGATGTCAAACACACCTAAGCAGCTGATTTTTTTCACCTCTGCTTTTAAAGTTTATTAAATCAGTATCAAAATATACAAGAGTGGAAAAAAGTGAATTAAAGAAATTCCAGCTTAAGTGCCTTTTCTAAATATATTTTACATTGTTTATATTAATAACATATATCATATAATGCTCATATCAACAACACATAATGGCAAGTGCAAAACACCAGAGTGTGTATAGTAGGATATATTCATTATGAAAACAGATAGAAACTTGCAAATCTTTTGGAAGGAAAAAAAATTTGGATATAAAAAATTATCTTGCATAATATGCCTTTGCTCTGATCTTTTAACTAAATACGTGTGTGGGCATAATTGTTTCTATATAAAGTGAAATGACATGAGCATAAAAATAGGAAAAAATGTGGGTTAAACTAGTTTATAACATTGAAGCAGGTATACCCATATTTGGAAGCTGTCGTGTTGTCAGAATAATTTTAACATTGGGCTTTTTAAATTTTTGCAGCCAAACAGCTATATATTTATTTTGTTTTTAAAAATATGATCCTTTTGTTCAGTGATTCCCTTGACCTTTGGGCCTGACTTTACTTTTGAATACTAAGAAATAGTCTTACTATATAATTTGAAAATTCAATATTAATAATGTCTATATTATTTTTAAATATAGTTTTAAAAGAGAAAGGTTTTATAGGCTCACCAGGCCAAACAACTTTTATTTTCCATGGAGTTAATAATTGCCTTTTTTCTTACTTAATTATTTTTCTTTCTATTTATTTATTTATTTATTTTGAGACACAGTCTCACTCTGTTTCCCAGGCTGGAGTGCAGTGGCACAGTCTTGGCTCCCTGCAACCTCTGCCTCCTGGGTTCAAGTGATTCTCCTGCCTCAGCCTCCCTAGTAGCTGGGATTACAGGCATGTGTCACTATGCCTGGCTAATTTTTGTATTTTAGTAGAGATGGGGTTTCACCATGTTGGTCAGGCTGCTCTTGAACTCCTGACCTCAAATATCCGCCCGCCTCATTTTCTCTATTTCTATAACTAATCAATTCCCAAATTCTCCACCATAAATTTATGTTCATAAACTTGCGTTCTTCATTTGTTCTTGAATATTTTCATTGATAATCACTTTCACCCTTTATTTTAGTTGTTCTCTTTCTAGAACCAATATTATTTGGATGCTGAACATCCAAGACAGAACTCTGAATTACTATTTTTTCTTGCTTTTTCTATTTTCCATCTTCTTTTCTTTCTTCTTATGTTTTTCACTCCATATCTGGGACATCTTTTATACCTGGTGATGAGATTTTTCCCACTTTTTCCTTACATTTAACTTCACAGAGAATCCATTTTATTCTCAGCTTGATCCTTATGTGTTCCTATTTGTATTTCATGGATTGAAACTTTCCTTTTAGTTATAAGGTTTCCCCTCCTCCCTGCTTTGTTGTTTTCTTCCAAACTACTTGTGTTGAAAGAACTTTTCTGATGGTAGTAGTTGTATAGGTGAGTATCCATACGGATGGTATTGACTTACTGGGGATAAGGAAAAGGACTTATTCTCTCAATATTCGGTATATTCGCTTTCACATAATTACCTTGTTTTGGTATTGTATCCTTATACTCAGAATTCCTGAGTACCTTTAGCCCAGAATTCCTTTCATTTCACTTTTGCAGAACTCAAAGATCTAGTCTTCTGTTGGGGAAGAGAGCTTACATACTCCCCAGAGATCATCCTGTGAAGATAATCTGTTAATTTTCCAACTCACCACCCTTTCTAAGCAAATCTATGCTTCTTCTCCTCTGCCAGCTTACATTTATATTTCTAAGACCTCTAAGTCAATATACATGTGTACATATTTTCTCCAGCTCCTGAAAATTGTGTTAGTGTTTTCTCCTCTCATATTTTATTTCTGCTTATAGATTTATACCTATTTCATCTCTTACTGTTACTATAGTGGTACTTCAATAGAAAACCAAGGTAAATATGTGTGTTCAATACTTCATGTTTTGCATTACCTAGCTACAATTTTAAATTAGAAAAGTAGACTTATCACTGAAAATTAAAGTCCTTGAATTTCTCTTTCTTCTTCTGGATGAAAGAAAAGTTCTATCCTTGACCTTGACTTGGTAATATTTAGAGTATATGGTACTTGGTACTCAATATATGTATGATATTTTTATTATTGTTATTATATTAACTAGAGCTTAAAACTCTCCAAACTTTCTTCCTTGATGAATTAGACAGGATTTATAGAGCATTAACTCTTGTTAATGTGTTTAGGAATAAATTATTTAAAATATTAGTTTCTTCAGTCACTAGTGAAGTAGGGATTTTCAGACCAACCTTCCTACTGGAATCAACTGGAAAATTTGGAACGAATGTGTATTTTAAAAACCTGTTCAAAATTTTCAGGGAAGTATCAAAGCAACTTGGATTTTTAGGGCAAATATTTGGGAGAAGGAAGCATGGCTTTTTCCATTTAATTAAAGAAATTAAAGTACAAGCCATTCATATATTTTTCCAGATAACAAGCAGAAAGGAAACAAGATATTAGCAATCAAGTACAGTTATATATGTAAAGTAGCTAAAATAACATGTCCAGGTTCAATTTGGGATTATTACAGGCATTTAAATTTGACTTAACTTTAGAAAATGAAACAATGTATTATGCCACATTAAGAGAATAAAGAAGAAAATCATAAAAGTATTTTATCACATTCCATATGCATTCTATTCATGATTAAAAACAAAACAACTGTAATAGCAAAAATTCTTAGCGAAATAAAAGTAGTATAGAACTCCATTAATCTAATAATGTGTATATATAAGAAACACCCATCAAACTTTATATTTAAGAGTGAAATATTGAAGTTTCTCTCATTGATATTGGGAACAAGACAAGAATGGCCACTACTCTAAGTATAGTTCAACTTTCTGTTGGAGATCATTGCTCATGGCAATAAGGCAAGAAAAATCCATGAAGTTTATGAGAATGGGAAAGAAGAAATTGAAATTCATTGTTTATTATAGACTACCCAGTAATCTATAGATAGATCAAGTACTTGAATTAATAAGTGTGTTTAGCAAGATCTATGCCTACAAGGTAGAAATAAAAATCACTTGTATTTCTGTATGACATCAACTAATAATAGGTAAATAAAATTTAAGAAATTTTACCATTTATCAAATCAAAATTTTTAAATACCTGGAAATAAATCTTTAAAAACTATTTGAAAGGTCTCTATACAGAACAATATGAAATATTATTGAGAGAAATTAAAGCTCTAAATAAAGAAGAATATAATATGGTTGTAGATTTCAAGACTCAGCATTTTAAAGATTCTCCCCCAAACAGATCTATAGGTTCAGTACAATCTCATTAGAAATCCAGCAGTGTTATTTTGGTTTGTTTTTCATTTTGTTTTGTAATAGGAGAAGAAAAGATTGGCAAACATTTTCTTTTTTTTTTCTTTTCTTTTCTTTTTTTTTTTTAATTATACTTTAAGTTTTAGGGTACATGTGCACATTGTGCAGGTTAGTTACATATGTATACATGTGCCATGCTGGTGCGCTGCACCCACTAACTCCTCATCTAGCATTAGGTATATCTCCCAATGCTATCCCTCTCCCCTCCCCCCACCCCACCACAGTCCCCAGAGTGTGATATTCCCCTTCCTGTGTCCATGTGATCTCATTGTTCAATTCCCACCTCTGAGTGAGAATATGCGGTGTTTGGTTTTTTGTTCTTGCGATAGTTTACTGAGAATGATGATTTCCAATTTCATCCATGTCCCTACAAAGGACATGAACTCATCATTTTTTATGGCTGCATAGTGTTCCATGGTGTATATGTGCCACATTTTCTTAATCCAGTCTATCATTGTTGGACATTTGGGTTGGTTCCAAGTCTTTGCTATTGTGAATAATGCCGCAATAAACATACGTGTGCATGTGTCTTTATAGCAGCATGATTTATAGTCATTTGGGTATATACCCAGTAATGGGATGGCTGGGTCAAATGGTATTTCCAGTTCTAGATCCCTGAGGAATCGCCACACTGACTTCCACAATGGTTGAACTAGTTCACAGTCCCACCAACAGTGTAAAAGTGTTCCTATTTCTCCACATCCTCTCCAGCACCTGTTGTTTCCTGACTTTTTAATGACTGCCATTCTAACTGGTGTGAGATGGTATCTCATAGTGGTTTTGATTTGCATTTCTCTGATGGCCAGTGATGATGAGCATTTTTTCATGTGCCTGTTGGCTGCATAAATGTCTTCTTTTGAGAAGTGTCTGTTCATGTCCTTCGCCCACTTTTTGATGGGGTTGTTTGATTTTTTCTTGTAAATTTGTTTGAGTTCATTGTAGATTCTGGATATTAGCCCTTTGTCAGATGAGTAGGTTGCGAAAATCTTCTCCCATTTTGTAGGTTGCCTGTTCACTCTGATGGTAGTTTCTTTTGCTGTGCAGAAGCTCTTTAGTTTAATTAGATCCGATTTGTCAATTTTGGCTTTTGTTGCCATTGCTTTTGGTGTTTTGGACATGAAGTCCTTGCCCATGCCTATGTCCCGAATGGTAAAGCCTAGGTTTTCTTTTAGGGTTTTTATGGTTTTAGGTCTAACGTTTAAATCTTTAATCCATCTTGAATTGATTTTTGTATAAGGTGTAAGGAAGGGATCCAGTTTCAGCTTTCTACGTATGGCTAGCCAGTTTTCCCAGCACCATTTATTAAATAGGGAATCCTTTCCCCATTTCTTGTTTTTCTCAGGTTTGTCAAAGATCAGACAGTTGTAGGTATGCGGCGTTATTTCTGAGGGCTCTGTTCTGTTCCATTGATTTATATCTCTGTTTTGGTACCAGTACCATGCTGTTTTGGTTACTGTAGCCTTGTAGTATAGTTTGAAGTCAGGTAGTGTGATGCCTCCAGCTTTGTTCTTTTGGCTTAGGATTCACTTGGCGATGCCGTCTCTCTTTTGGTTCCATATGAACTTTAAAGTAGTTTTTTCCAATTCTGTGAAGAAAGTCATTGGTAGCTTGATGGGGATGGCATTGAATCTGTAAATTACCTTGGGCAGTATGGCCATTTTCACGATATTGATTCTTCCTACCCATGAGCATGGAATGTTCTTCCATTTGTTTGTATCCTCTTTTATTTCCTTGAGCAGTGGTTTGTAGTTCTCCTTGAAGAGGTCCTTCACATCCCTTGTAAGGTGGATTCCTAGGTATTTTATTCTCTTTGAAGCAGTTGTGAATGGGAGTTCACTCATGATTTGGCTCTCTGTCTGTTGTTGGTGTATAAGAATGCTTGTGATTTTTGTACATTGATTTTGTATCCTGAGACTTTGCTGAAGTTGCTTATCAGCTTAAGGAGATTTTGGGCTGAGACAATGGGGTTTTCTAGATATACAATCATGTCGTCTGCAAACAGGGACAATTTGACTTCCTCTTTTCCTAATTGAATACCCTTTATTTCCTTCTCCTGCCTAATTGCCCTGGCCAGAACTTCCAACACTATGTTGAATAGGAGTGGTGAGAGAGGGCATCCCTGTCTTGTGCCAGTTTTCAAAGGGAATGCTTCCAGTTTTTGCCCATTCAGTATGATATTGGCTGTGGGTTTGTCATAGATAGCTCTTATTATTTTGAAATACGTCCCATCGATACCTAATTTATTGAGAGTTTTTAGCATGAAGGGTTGTTGAATTTTGTCAAAGGCTTTTTCTGCATCTATTGAGATAATCATGTGGTTTTTGTCTTTGGCTCTGTTTATATGCTGGATTACATTTATTGATTTGCGTATATTGAACCAGCCTTGCATCCCAGGGATGAAGCCCACTTGATCATGGTGGATAAGCTTTTTGATGTGCTGCTGGATTCGGTTTGCCAGTATTTTATTGAGGATTTTTGCATCAATGTTCATCAAGGATATTGGTCTAAAATTCTCTTGTTTGGTTGTGTCTCTGCCCGGCTTTGGTATCAGAATGATGCTGGCCTCATCAAATGAGTTAGGGAGGATTCCCTCTTTTTCTATTGATTGGAATAGTTTCAGAAGGAATGGTACCAGTTCCTCCTTGTACCTCTGGTAGAATTCGGCTGTGAATCCATCTGGCCCTGGACTCTTTTTGGTTGGTAAACTATTGATTATTGCCACAATTTCAGCTCCTGTTATTGGTCTATTAAGAGATTCAACTTCTTCCTGGTTTAGTCTTGGGAGAGTGTATGTGTCGAGGAATTTATCCATTTCTTCTAGATTTTCTAGTTTATTTGCATAGAGGTGTTTGTAGTATTCTCTGATGGTAGTTTGTATTTCTGTGGAATCGGTGGTGATATCCCCTTTATCATTTTTTATTGCGTCTATTTGATTCTTCTCTCTTTTTTTCTTTATTAGTCTTGCTAGCGGTCTGTCAATTTTGTTGATCCTTTCAAAAAACCAGCTCCTGGATTCATTGACTTTTTGAAGGGTTTTTTGTGTCTCTATTTCCTTCAGTTCTGCTCTGATTTTAGTTATTTCTTGCCTTCTGCTAGCTTTTGAATGTGTTTGCTCTTGCTTTTCTAGTTCTTTTAATTGTGATGTTAGGCTGTCAATTTTGGATCTTTCCTGCTTTCTCTTGTGGGCATTTAGTGCTATAAATTTCCCTCTACACACTGCTTTGAATGCGTCCCAGAGATTCTGGTATGTTGTGTCTTTGTTCTCGTTGGTTTCAAAGAACATCTTTATTTCTGCCTTCATTTCGTTATGTACCCAGTAGTCATTCAGGAGCAGGTTGTTCAGTTTCCATGTAGTTGAGCGGCTTTGAGTGAGATTCTTAATCCTGAGTTCTAGTTTGATTGCACTGTGGTCTGAGAGATAGTTTGTTATAATTTCTGTTCTTTTACATTTGCTGAGGAGAGCTTTACTTCCAAGTATGTGGTCAATTTTGGAATAGGTGTGGTGTGGTGCTGAAAAAAATGTATATTCTGTTGATTTGGGGTGGAGAGTTCTGTAGATGTGTATTAGGTCCTCTTGGTGCAGAGCTGAGTTCAATTCCTGGGTATCCTTGTTGACTTTCTGTCTCGTTGATCTGTCTAATGTTGACAGTGGGGTGTTAAAGTCTCCCATTATTATTGTGTGGGAGTCTAAGTCTCTTTGTAGGTCACTCAGGACTTGCTTTATGAATCTGGGTGCTCCTGTATTGGGTGCATGTATATTTAGGATAGTTAGCTCTTCTTGTTGAATTGATCCCTTTACCATTATGTAATGGCCTTCTTTGTCTCTTTTGATCTTTGTTGGTTTAAAGTCTGTTTTATCAGAGACTAGGATTGCAACCCCTGCCTTTTTTTGTTTTCCATTTGCTTGGTAGATCTTCCTCCATCCTTTTATTTTGAGCCTATGTGTGTCTCTGCACGTGAGATGGGTTTCCTGAATACAGCACACTGATGGGTCTTGACTCTTTATCCAATTTGCCAGTCTGTGTCTTTTAATTGGAGCATTTAGTCCGTTTACATTTAAAGTTAATATTGTTATGTGTGAATTTGATCCTGTCATCATGATGTTAGCTGGTGATTTTGCTCGTTATTTGATGCAGTTTCTTCCTAGTCTCGATGGTCTTTACATTTTGGCATGATTTTGCAGTGGCTGGTACTGGTTGTTCCTTTCCATATTTAGCGCTTCCTTCAGGAGCTCTTTTAGGGCAGGTCTGGTGGTGACAAAATCTCTTAGCATTTGCTTGTCTGTAAAGTATTTTATTTCTCCTTCACTTATGAAGCTTAGTTTGGCTGGATATGAAATTCTGGGTTGAAAATTCTTTTCTTTAAGAATGTTGAATATTGGCCCCCACTCTCTTCTGGCTTGTGGGGTTTCTGCCGAGAGATCCGCTGTTAGTCTGATGGGCTTCCCTTTGAGGGGAACCCGACCTTTCTCTCTGGCTGCCCTTAACATTTTTTCCTTCATTTCAACTTTGGTGAATCTGACAATTATGTGTCTTGGAGTTGCTCTTCTCGAGTATCTTTGTGGCGTTCTCTGTATTTCCTGAATCTGAACGTTGGCCTGCCTTGCTAGATTGGGGAAGTTCTCCTGGATAATATCCTGCAGAGTGTTTTCCAACTTGGTTCCATTCTCCCCATCACTTTCAGGTACACCAATCAGACGTAGATTTGGTCTTTTCACATAGTCCCATATTTCTTGGAGGCTTTGCTCATTTCTTTTTATTCTTTTTTCTCTAAACTTCCCTTCTCGCTTCATTTCATTCATTTCATCTTCCATTGCTGACACCCTTTTTCCAGTTGATCGCATCGGCTCCTGAGGCTTCTGCATTCTTCACGTAGCTCTCGAGCCTTGGTTTTCAGCTCCATCAGCTCCTTTAAGCACTTCTCTGTATTGGTTATTCTAGTTATACATTCTTCTAAATTTTTTTCAAAGTTTTCAACTTCTTTGCCTTTGGTTTGAATGTCCTCCCGTAGCTCAGAGTAATTTGATCGTCTGAAGCCTTCTTCTCTCAGCTCGTCAAAGTCATTCTCCATCCAGCTTTGTTCCGTTGCTGGTGAGGAGCTGCGTTCCTTTGGAGGAGGAGAGGCGCTCTGATTTTTAGAGCTTCCAGTTTTTCTGTTCTGTTTTTTCCCCATCTTTGTGGTTTTATCTACTTTTGGTGTTTGATGATGGTGATGTACAGATGGGTTTTTGGTGTGGATGTCCTTTCTGTTTGTTAGTTTTCCTTCTAACAGACAGGACCCTCAGCTGCAGGTCTATTGGAATACCCTGCCGTGTGAGGTGTCAGTGTGCCCCTGCTGGAGGGTGCCTCCCAGTTAGGCTGCTCAGGGGTCAGGGGTTAGGGACCCACTTGAAGAGGCAGTCTGCCGGTTCTCAGATCTTCAGCTGCGTGCTGGGAGAACCACTGCTCCCTTCAAAGCTCAGATGGAAATGCAGAAATCACCCGTCTTCTGCGTCGGTCTCGCTGGGAGCTGTAGACCGGAGCTGTTCCTATTCGGCCATCTTGGCTCCTCCCCCTTTTTTTCTTTTTTCTTTTTTTTTTTTTTTTTGAGATGGAGTCTCGCTCTGTCGCCCAGGCTGGAGTGCAGTGGCGTGATCTCGGCTCACTGCAAGCTCCGCCTCCCTGGTTCGCGCCATTCTCCTGCCTCAGCCTCCCGCGTAGCTGGGACTACAGGCACCTGCCACCACACCCGGCTAATTTTTTTTTTTTTTTTTTTGTATTTTTAGTAGAGACGGGGTTTCACCGTGTTAGACAGGATGGTCTCGATCTCCTGACCTCGTGATCCACCTGCCTCGGCTTCCCAAAGTGGTGGGATTACAGGCATAAGCCACCGCGCCCGGCCGGCAAACATTTTCTAAATGTTATATTCAATTCAATTCAAAAGAAAAGATGTAGAAGTCAAGATAATGGGTGTCTTTGGAGAGAGAAGAAAAAATAATGATGGGGGAGGATGAAAGGGGTTCTGATTTGTTAGTAAGAATTCTATTTTTCGATTTAGAGGTAATAGTTACATTGGTGTGTACACTTTAATAAGGTGTTAAATAATACGTTTATCTGTAAGTGTAATATTACAATAGTAAGTTCATTTTTAAAACCAACGTTAAGTACACACTATCCTTGGGAAAGACATAGAAACGGGTTTATTTCAACTGGTTGTTTTTAATAAAGCATGTTATTATTTTTAAGCGATATTTAGGAGCATGCAGAATCACTGGGAGAGGTAGAGAACAAATTCTAGAGGCTGCCTTTTCAGGAACGATGACCAAATGAAGTATTAAATTGGGCTGGGATGGTTGCCTCGAAACACCCCTGACTCATCCAGAACCCTGGATATTCTCTCTGAAATCACTGCCGCCTCCCATCACCAGAAGGGATTCTGTGCAAGCTTCTTTTGCTTAGGTCACTAGCATCTGATTGATAACCTGGGACTGTGCTTCTGTGTGGTGGAGCCTGGGCCATGCACACAGTCTAGCTTCAAGTCAGGCTAGTAAAGAAAAGGTATCTAGAGTTTTCATTTTCTAATGCTCTTCATAAAGTGTGATTTTCAGAAAATAGGAAGAAGTTTCAGACACTGTCAGTAATGAATGCCCATTATCTATATATATCCTACCCATGTGTGTTTCTTTGAGTTCATGTTCCCATTAAGGTCAACAAATCAGAACAGGGTTTCCACAAATTTGAGCGACGTGAAATGGTCATTTTGCAGTCATTTACTCCAGTAAGGGTTAACAGAGTTATAAATGTCCCTCAATCTGAAATATATTTAGGCTTTTCTAGATATTTGCCTTATTCCTGGTAGTTAATCATTTCTCTGAGTAGTCCGTCAATTCTTGCCACTTACAAAGATATTTTTCACTATTTGCTGCTGCACTACAATCTCTTGAAATGCCTAGTATCCACAATGTTGTAAGTTGCTGTTTCCTTCTGCATTTTATTTATTGACTGTATGAGAAGGAATCATTACCATGATTTACAATACAGATATTTAAGTCTTTTAGCCAGTTTAGTATTATTGCCCTTAAGTCAATAGACAGACATTTGTTTTCTTACACTTTAACATCTTTAACATTTGTTTGCCTCTTACAATAAATATAATATTATAGTGACATGGCTAACTTTTTTTCTTTTTAGCAATATATAGACTAATTATGCATCTTATTAATAATAATATGTTAGAATTGGTGAAATGCAGTAACCATTAAATACAAAAATAATCACCTACAAATAGACCATCAGGGTCATTATATAATTATGCTGCTTAGTAATCAACATCTTTATTAATATTATAGACTTCAGACATCAAGATCATTCAGGAAATTATACAAACCCAAGACAAACCCGTACTTCCATTCTTCTATTTTTACAGCTGTGTCTGTCTTCTCTATTTATCTCAAAATGGCACCTGTGGCCTCCTCCACAGCCTCCTGGGGATGTGTGAATTATACAAGGGAATCCTCAGGCCCATCAGGGACCTCTGTCATCTGCTTTCCTGAACCCCCTAACAGAGACCCAATGTTCTCCTTTCCCTTACTTGATTAGTTCAAACATCAGTTACCCTCTGAAGCTCCACCTCAGATTTAAACAAATAAACCATGAGAGCCATGATCATAATGCAGTTTTTCTGTGCTGGCTTCCTCCATCAGAAAGAACCTGTTATTTTGCACTCCGCCTTCCTCGCCCATACTGCTTGGGGATCAATCCTAACAATGGCATCTATTTGTATCATGATCTATGGCTTACATTCACTTTTGTGTCTATCACCTCCCTTAACTTTCACAGTTAATATGTGTTATGGTAGAATGATTATTCTCACTTTACAGATAAAGAAAAGTTTTTGACCAAGCTCTTATAATTGTGAATAGTGGATTTCAAATTATAGTTGATTTCTAAATTTCACATTTGTTGTTTTTCCTTATGCACTCTGCTCTTTAATACCCAGGCTTTGAATATTTCAACTTCTTCTCTTTTAGTTTTGAGTTGACATTTAATGATCTTGTAATAAAGAGTTTAAACAAATAATAGTACTTTTTAGTGTCTTCTAGAAACAAACAAAATTTGATAGACTTTATGCTATCCAGTATTTCTATTAACTAATTAATTCATTTTCAATTTAGTTTGAGAAATAATCCCACAAATTAATTGTTTGGAGCAGGAGAGGAATTTAGTATTTGTTTTCAACACAAACTAAATTTTAATGAATATACTTTAAACTAACATTGATCTTATTTGCCTATAATCTTGTTTTCAACACCTCTTTCATTCTAGTTATGTTTCGCCTTTATGACACGGATGGGAATGGCTTCCTGGACAGCTCGGTAATTTTTTTCTTCAAAGTTTCTGTGAAAACTTCAAAGATTTTCTTCTGAAGAATGCAATGAATAAATTTGTAGTTATTACCACAGAAGGCACACTTAATGTAATTTACATCCACTCATATGGCATTTTTATCTTTTTGACTTTTTGCGAGAGAGTGATCTGAGGAAACTGTTGGGATTACAATTGTTCTACTGAATAGTTTTGCATACCACAGCATGACTTTTTTAATTTTATTTTTCCTGCACTGAAGTTAGGTAAAAAAAAGAAAGGCACCAGCCTTGTCTGAATAAAACATAAGATTAAGTTGAAACCATTGATTTAGAATGAGGGAAAAACTATCTGTAACATTTGGCATTAAGGAAACTTGAGACTATAAGTAGAATTTTAAGGATGTATAAAGTCAGTTTAATTATCTCATTATTTTCCCAGTTTTACATGGTATCTTTTGTCCTATATGCGGCTGAAATAGGTAAATGTATTTACAGATTGCTTTCACAAACTTTGCTTTTAAAATATCTCATCCAGTTTAATATTCATTTTACATTGTATAGTTATAGTCATAAAAAATAAGAAAATACCATCTTTATATGATTAACTGAAGGGAATAATTAAACGTTTATTTGTAATATATGGAAATCATTGCTAGCTTTCAGAGAAATAGAAAGTAGTTCTTAGTCTTAGTGCACAGATCAGTACCATGCATGAAATTCCATCTCAGGTTCTATCCAATAATCTACCTTATGTTTGGTAACATATTTTGCATATTATATTATTTCTTGTTCTATCAAGGAAATATAAGAATATTAATAGAATAAGTGTCATTTGGAAATTTTGAAGTGTACCATTTTTAATGTATTTAATATTATTAAAAACAAATGTTTTGATATATTTAATAATGACTGAAATAGACATGATCTCTGAAAATGAGTGAGTTTTTCTCGTCATCTGATAGACCACCCTATGGCAGCTAAAATAGACTTTTAAAAGCAAAGCAATGAGGTTGGAAGCCTATTTATGTAACTTTGAGTAGGATAATGGTACATTAGCTTCTCCAGAGAGAGATTAAAATATATAACTCCTACTCTAGGAAATGACCATCACTCTGAATTGATGCTGTGATTGTGGGATTTATTATCTGTAAGTCTCAGTAATTTTTCAAATGCTGGCTGGGTGTGGTGGCTTATGCCTGTAATCCCAGCATTTTGGGATGCCAAGACGGGCAGGCGATCACCTGAAGTCAGGAGTTTGAGACCAGCTGGCCAACATGGTGAAACCCCGTCTCTACTAAAAATACAAAAATTATCGAGGCGTGGTAGTGGGCACCTGTAATCCCAGCTACTTGGGAGGCTGAGGCAGGAGAACCGCTTGAACCCGGGAGGCGGAGGTTGCAGTGAGCCGAGATCGTGCCACTGCACTCCAGCCTGGGCGAGAGAGCAAGACTCCATCTCAAAAAAAAAAAAAAAAAAATTTTTTTTCAAATGCTATTATTTTTAAGTGCCTAGTGGTCTTCAGTTTCCCATTAGAAATACCAAGCTACATAATAAATTTGCTCATTTTATGGTGCCATTTCACGACTAGAAATTTTAATTTCTTCTAGATACTTTAATATGCTTAGTATAGCACTTGTGACTACACTAATGCAAATTCTATTTTCAAGGAGAGTTGTTTTATTTAATGTTTCTTTTTTAATTAAATTAAAATGATGATTCTTTACTAGGCTTTAGCCATGGGTTGGCAGTTGATTTGAAAATTCAGTCAAATAGTCCTTTTTTTTTTTGTCTCTGCCCATTTTTTGTTAGCATATACAGTAGACTACTAGCAATATTTAGAACTATAGTCCCAATATTAAACAATGAGTTGGGGATAAATATATTTAGTTTTGATTAAACTAGTCTCTATTTTTTTGTAATTAAAGGCCTGGATTTCATTTCTAGGGTTTTCTCCACAATAGCTACTACTCCAATATTTTTCCTTCGCTGTCAGGTTTAAATTGTACCTTCTGACATCATGTGTCTTGGTACCTTTAAGGTGTAGCAGTTCACCTACTGGAGGCAAAACAGAAAGAAAATGATAATTTGAAAATTGTCCACTATTTCTAATAATAATAGTTAAGATTTGTTGATCATTTGCAATACGGCAAACAACAAAATAAATGCCTTTTGTATAATAACATGTTTAACCTTTGAAGCAATTCTATGAAGGAGGTAAAGTTAGAGTAGCTATTTTACCAACGAGAAAACTGAGTCTTAGGTGGGGTGGCTTACCTAATATCACATGCCTACGTAACAGTCCACCAAAAATAGTTTCTGTTCTTAAAAGATATCCGGGAACTTTAACACTTCCAAACCATTAAGGCATATGTAAGCAAAGATGGAGTAGGTGAGAGATTAGTAATGCATGTGTGCATACACATGCACACTTTTAACCTATAATTCAAAGGGATTTATGTTTTAAAATTTGTTAATCTGTAATAAATACATTTATCTTTGTATTACTTCTGGGGCAGCCTGTCTTACTTAAGTAACATATTCATAATTATATTTTTTTTTTCTGGAGAGAGGGAGTATAGCTTTCATTAGTTCCTCGGAGGGAAACACGGCTTCCCAAAAGAGAATCTGTTTTATCGTATTTCTTCTCTATTCCATGAACATCGACTACATATATTAGATTAGAGATTTGAGTAGAATACTCTTTGACTATTGCACTTTCAAGCTTTATTCTTTTATACTTCTTACATTTTAAATCATACGGTAAAACACCACTTTTCAAATTATGTAATGTTTTCATGTGAAATTACAAGCATTTCACAAAGCCATGTTTAATCTTTTCTGTAGGTAGAGAAAAATTAAAACATTAGATAAATAGGCAGGAAAATGTTTTAATTAATTTAGCCAGGTCATCTGTATTAACTTGCAATTCTTCAAAGAGTTGATAATTGAGCAGAATAATATGGAAATTCAAACTAAAATTTCATCCTCTCACAAAATAAATGCTGCATATACTTGTCCTGCAAACCTTGGCCCTGAACACTCTTCTTTCAAGAGCAAATTATTCAATACATGACTAAAACAGTCAATGTATATTCTCAGTGTATCAAGATAAAAATAGACTTCTCAGTTGTCCTCAAATGATTTGTCCACCCTTTCACATCTATTTTCAAGCCAAAGGTTCAGGGAATTCAGTGTCTTAAAAATCACATGTGACAGTATGTATTTGGTCCTGCTTTCTTCAGACACTCTCTTTTAGTAGAAGAAAATGTATTTTTTGTAAAGTTGTGCCCTCTCCTGGTGAAAATTTCTAGACAATGTACAAGATAAATTTATATTCAGGATTCTTTTTTCTTTATATAGTTAATTAGACCTTTAAAAAGGATTATGTACATATATATATTCCCATAGAACTCATTTAACTTTTTTAGCTACACATTGAACAAAACAATTTCTGCAAGTGAAAGATTTAAAACTCACTAAGATCTTGTATTCATATTTTTTATCTCTCTTTCTCTTCCAGGAGCTAGAAAATATCATCAGTCAGATGATGCATGTTGCAGAATACCTTGAGTGGGATGTCACTGAACTTAATCCAGTAGGTATATGAATGATTTCACTATTGGCTAAATTCTGGAAGGCCTCTTTCTTTCTTTTCTTTCTTTCTTTCTTTCTCTTTCTTTCTTTCTTTCTTTTTTTCTTTCTCTCTCTCTTTCTTTCTTTCTTTCCTTCCTTCTATCTCCCTTTCTGTTTCTCTCCCTCTTTCTTTCTCTCTCTTCCTTCCTTCTCTCTTTCTCTTTCTTTCTCCCCTCCCTCCCTCCTACCTTCCTTCCTTCCTTCTCTCTCTCCCTTCCTTCCTTCTCTCTCTCTCCTTTCCTTTCTTTCTCTTTCTTCCTTCCTTCCTTTCTTTCTTTCTCTTTGTTTCTTTCTTTCTTTCTTTCTTTCTTTCCTCCTTCTTTCTTTCCTTCCTTCCTTTTCTTTCTTTCCTTCCTTCCTTCCTTCCTTCCTTTTCTTTTCTTTCTTTTTCTTTTTTTTTCTCTTGTCTGGGACCCTGATATATTCCTGTCATTTCATTTTATCTTTTGATAACTAAGTTACTATTTCTAATCAGAAGTCAAAGTGGATTCTGAATAAGATAACAAGGTATATGTGGGGTTCTGAAGCTGTTAACAGTAACTTTTGCTTTCTTCCTCGTGGAAGTTATTTTGAATGGTGGTCTTACATACATGTGGATAAGCAGAAGGTCCTGATAGACACTGCCAAGGCCATGCCATGCCATAAAAGAAGATGGTAGTTTTCCATGCACAGTGCATCATGTTACCTTGTGTATATGTTATATATTGCTTTCAACTCTCTGAGGTAGATACACTATTTTTTTTCCCTTTTGCAGAGAAGTAAATTGAGACCCAAATATGTTAAAATTACTTGCCCAAAGCTCTTCAGCTAGTCAGGAATTTTTAATTAAATTGTTTAGAGAAAGAGTATCTAAAAATGCTTTTAAGAATATAGAATTCTTATTTTGAATAAACATCAAAATTTCAACATTATTAAAATACATATTAAAATATACTTGACTTGAAACCATAACTTTGGCCACAAAAAATATTTTGGGGAAAGTTGATAAGAGATATTGAGTTTATATTATTTTTAAAACCTTTAGCAAAGTGTATATGAATAAAGCAATGCAAATAAATTTTATTTAAATGATTTTACATTTTATGCAAATTCAAGAAGTGTATATTTAACCTCTGTTCACATCTATGCGGTAAACAACAGGATAATGGCATGAGTATATGCTGCAAGAACTCTGATAGCATTTTCCTGTCTTACTGGGATTAGGATTTTTCCAGTTTTAAAGCAGCTATTGGGAAATGCATATGCTGTGCTTCTAGTGAGTGGCAGATGTCATTAACAGGTTGTCATTTGTATGTGGAATAATAAAGTAGATGGTAACATGTATTTAATTTATTGTTTGACTCACCTTAATATTTTCACTGAAAGCCAGGAATTTCTGATTATTTCTGTTGCCCTTGTAATCGACAACAGCTTTCTCCTCTCCTACTCACCTTTCTACCTGTGCAGATTAGTCATCTGTCAATCAAGCCAGCTTGTTATTAGATGGAGAGTGGGAGGGGGATTTGTTTTTCCATTCAGGTTTCTTTTTTTTTTTTTTTTTTTTTTTTTTTTTTTTGAGACGGAGTCTCGCTCTGTCGCCCAGGCCGGACTGCGGACTGCAGTGGCGCAATCTCGGCTCACTGCAAGCTCCGCCTCCCGGGTTCACTCCATTCTCCTGCCTCAGCCTCCCGAGTAGCTGGGACTACAGGCGCCCGCCACCGCGCCCGGCTAATTTTTTTTGTATTTTTAGTAGAGACGGGGTTTCACCGTGTTAGCCAGGATGGTCTCGATCTCCTGACCTCCTGATCCACCCGCCTCGGCCTCCCAAAGTGCTGGGATTACAGGCGTGAGCCACCGCGCCCGGCCTCCATTCAGGTTTCTAAACAGCGGGCACTAACACTTCTCAACAAAAGCATTTTTGGTGTGTGTGTTGGGGGGTGTGTTTGTAGATTTGAGAAAAAGGACATCAGGATGCTAGGAGGAAGGGGAAAGCTGGTGGCTGAGTAGTCTTTCTACAACAAATACCTAGTGTATTTGTCAGATTATTGAATGGAGAATACAAGTAATAAACTATAGCATTATTTGACATGTGTGTTACTGATAAGTCTGCTACTATTCCAGGGAGCTGAAATGGTACAAAGTTGTACATTATGTCTGCTGTCATGGGAACTGCCTTGTCATCTTGCCTAAGGCTTCAGTAGTTCTCATTGTAAACAAATGTACACATCAGCAGGCTTCTCATAGGTTTGCATATATAAATAAAGAGAAATGGGCCGGGCTCGGTGGCTCAAGCCTGTAATCCGAGCACTTTGGGAGGCCGAGGCAGGTGGATCATGAGGTCAGGAGATTGAGGCCAACCTGGCTAACATGGTGAAACCCTGTGTCTACTAAAAATACACACACAAAAAAAATCAGCCGGGCGTAGTGGCGGACGCCTGTAGTCCCAGCTACTCGGGAGGCTGAGGCAGGAGAATGGCGTGAACCCAGGAGGCGGAGCTTGCTATGAGCCCAGATTGCGCCACAGCACTCCAGCCTGGGCGACAGAGTGAGACTCCATCTCAAAAAAAAAAAAAAAAAAAAAAAGAGAGAGAGAGAGAGAAATGAACATTTGAGGTTGATTACAATAGTAGTAGGGAAGACTGGAGCGTCCCTAGAAGTTTTTATCAAATTAACTCAGGCTCTACACTCAGTTCAATCTTATTTTTTTATGAGGCCCATGGGATTTGAGACACGGTCAGAGGATGGCTTTAACATGAGATTTATTAGGTACAAAAAGGAAAGCATCACCCATCTGAAACAAATGTCATTGTTTTATTTCTCTTATGATTGATACATTTCTACTAATTCATCAGCAAGCTCTTGAGAGGCAAGAGGAGAAAAATAATCTAATTTTCAAATACAATACTTCCTGAGTGAAGACACCAAGCACAAGAGTGTCTAGGCAGACAATACTTCTACCAACAAATCAAATATTTCATGCATTGCATCTTTTCCAATCTCTGTTCCAATGCTCTCTGCATTTCTCTTTTTTCCAAATTGATTAACATTTTTGTATTATATAAAGACGTGAGTTCCTTTCTTCATTAGAATTCTTACCATGTTTGCCATCTTGACGCCATTAGATGGGAAGTACTTTGCTTTCCCAGCAACCAAGGGTAATATGTTTGGAACTTATATATAATTTCCATTAATAATAGCACAAACAACACTATATGACTCTGACTCTGTATGCCAGGGGCTCGTCTGCTTATAATACGTTAGCTTATTTAATCCTCACAACAGCCCTTCTAGGTAAGTACTGATATTGCCACCATACCACAGAGAGGTAAATGTATTGCAAACAAACACTGCAGAGAACATTTTAAGACATTACGTGCAAGTCATCTTTAGAAACGAAGTTTAATTAAACTTGATTTGATCCTTTAACTTCTCGACTCTATTAAATTCTGATAGGCAATTAAAAGCAACTAAATTCCTTCGCCCCTTACTACTTAGCAAAGAATTATATGAGCTCTTTGCCATGAAGTTAATTTGTTCAGACATTTTCTGGCATATATATGAATCTAAAAAATAATATGAAGAAAGTAATTAAAGACCACTTTCACACTTATTAAAGATTCTTCTTGTTTTAGCTGTGCTGTTCATGGGAAAAATATTGAAAAGTTAAGCACTTATTTCTAAAAAGTGATCAGTGTTAAGTGGCCAGGTTTAGAAATGCTAACAAAGTCGCTCTTCATCAGTAATAGAATTAATGTTGTACTGAGTTAGCAAGACAGTTATCCCAACTCTCCACTTAGCTGTTAGTCACAATTTCATATGTTGTAGCCTATGAAATTTATTTTATTGGTTGACCACCAATTTTCCCTTATCTCCTCTACTCCAGATCCTCCATGAAATGATGGAAGAAATTGACTATGATCATGATGGAACCGTGTCTCTGGAGGAATGGATTCAAGGAGGAATGACAACGATTCCACTTCTTGTGCTCCTGGGCTTAGAAAATGTAAGCATTTCCACAGAGGAGGGTGGCCTGGTGGTGAGTCAGTGGGGCTCTCTATTACACATTTTGATTACAGATTGATGTGACCATTTTCTACCATTAAGCATGCAGTGAGTGCCTGGAACTTTTAATAAGTATGCCACGGTGCAATTTGACAGTAACTCCTTGTGTAGTAATACTTGCCACACACATATTGATTCACTCCAGGTATTACTTCAGGATTAAAAATATATTCTCTCTCTTTTGTTTTCCTCTGTTGAAGGTGCAATCTAGTGTTTTTAAGTTACTGACCTCCTCATATTATCTAAAGCAAGAGGCTCTCCAGTATTATTGTATTTTGCAGTTCTTTTGGTGCTTCATTATTTCAATGTTCCTCCTACCTATAAAGGTAATCTATTTTATTGAAAACTGATACTTGGAGGAGGCAGTTAAATATCTCCAGTGGTTTAAAGATTAGTGGTGCCAAAAGTCATTGCGTTTTCTGCCATTACCTTTAATGGCAGAAAACGCAATGACTTTTGCACCAACTTAAATAAACGTAAGTTTTTCCTGTATCAGCAGGAGCCAGGTTCTTATTCTATCGCCTGTCAAAAGTTTTCTTGGAGTAGTTCCTCTAGTTGCAATTAAATACCATTGTGAAGGAATAAAATAAATCAACCTAAGATGAGAATGTAATATAATAATGACTTTGAAAGCAAATCTTGCTGACCCAGACTTGAAGCAGATTTCAGTTATTTTTATTCTAAAAATCTGATGAAATCTATAGTGTATGCCAGATTTTTAAATTCAGCATTAATAGTTATGCAATAATTAGATATACTATGTATAGAATAACATGTCTACTTAATTTCAAAGAACATTAGGGGTGGAAAGAACAATGAAATTGTAATATTTAGAGTTTTAAGGTGTAAGACCATAGTATTCACCACTTTGCTGCCAAACCCAAAACTCTTCATACTTCTTATTACCAGCTGAAATATTTTTACAGATTCAAGACTATATCATAGTTATTCAAGACACCAAATTTTTAAAAGTCATTTCTCAAGATAACTTACTGTCTGTGTTTGTGAAACATATGAGTATATATAAAAATATGTTGGCACATATGGGTTTAGGAATATATAAATGGGCTTTAGGAATATACAAATGAGCTGAGGGTTAAGGAATATGTATAAGTTTAGGAAAAAATAATAGGTTTCAAGAGATTACTATTTGTTTTCTTTTTTACCTGGGTCTTCAAATTTCTTCTAAACTCAGTTGAAGCTTACCTTTCATGAGGCCCATGGGATCCAAGACATGGTCAGAGGATGGAAAACAATAAAATACTAATAAGTGATATATGGAAAGTTACCCTTAAACTAATTTATTTAAACAAAATATAATATATATATTATTGTTAATAAGTATGTAGTTCTACACTTAAAAATTTTGTGAAATAGTATTTTCTTGTACCTGAATTTCTTATACTACACATAACTGAGTATTTTTTTATAATACCATATTTAGCTCTATATTATCAATATTTATTTAATTGTTCATGTACCTTATGACAAAAACCATTATGTAAATCAGACTACTGGGAGAAAACAAAAGAAAAATTGACAAAATGTTGACATTTTAAGGTTTAATGTATACTTTATCCTGAAAAATTGTCAGATAACTTTAGTCAGGAAATTCCAATAATAATGATTCCCGAGAAGGACATTTTATGTTTGTAAAGCTAAACTTTGTATATTCTAAGCATCTATGTAAATTCTAGGATGAGAGAAGGAGGGAAGATGCAGGAATGAGCAAGTAAATCATCTGGTAGTCGAGGGTGAGATAGAAAAGTGCAGAAAGGGACAGTCAGTTGCCCGTATTTTAAATGTCACAAGAGATTTTTTGAAATGATGATTTTTTTTGGAAACTACTGCTGATATATTATTTATTATTTAATTTATAAATATAGATATTTGTGAAGTTATAAAAATTATCACAGGTAATAGAGTCCACAAATCTATATGATTTAACTCAAAGTATTTTAAACCAATATAATACCTCATTAGTTTCTAGTGTAGTATTATTTCAATTGTAAGGCAATTCTATGCATTTAATGTGCACTCTATTAACTGTACATAATTTACTTTTTAATAGTATTTGTAAACTTATTTTTTATGTTTTTAGTAAAAGGGAGTGTCTGGAGCTAAATAGGAGAAATCTAAGGTTTTATTATAGCTATCAGAGCTGTGTTCCAGAGTTGTGTTACCAGTGACGGCCGCTAGATGGCAGAGGCACCTTATTTAATCTCAAGAGACCACCTTAAATCTGAGACTAAATTCCGCCCCCCACCCCATCTCTGTAAAGAACAACTTTAAAAGAAGAAATTTCCCTTTTCTTTCATTTTTGTGAAAAAAGTAAGCCACCTACATTTTAAGCTGTCTTTTAATAAAATGTATAAGCCATATAATCATGTGTAATGATCACAAAATACAGCATCTATTTGTTAGAAAGAGCTGTTGAATTCTAAGGCATGGTAATTGTTTTAAAAAGCAAGAATGACACCAAGACAACTGAGTGATGAGAACCTTTTTTAGCAATTGAGATTTATTTCCTTTCTGTAGGCAGTTAATGTGTTACATTATTACCTGTAGAGAATTTGATCCATGAATCTATCCCCTCACCTTTGCTTATTTAATTGAAAATCTAGATACTGCAGTTTGAAGTTGGCCATTTGTTGTGAAGCTTGTCTTGTTAGGTTGTCCTATATGTTATTGTCTATTGTCAATTATGAGCTCGGGGAGTAGGTTCTAATTGATGGTGCATGTAAAATACCACAGTGTATTTGAAAGTGACTGTGGTGTCCTAGTCAAATTACACAGAAAAGGAAGTAGTCCTGGGAGAGTAATCTTCACTTCTAATGTAAGGCACAACATTTACGATTTCAATGCAATTTATTTTTCTCCAGCAACAGCAGTTTAAAAACTAGTCTATTTTAAAGAATATCTATTTTGGTACCAAAATCAGAAATGGAGTTGATGGGGACCAGATTCTATACCAAATAGCAGAGAGCAAGAGCCATATCTTTTCTCTTACAAGAGGCTCTACAAACTTTACAAAATACAAGATGAATGGGTCAGAAATGGTATAGAGTGTTAGTGTCTCTTAGATTTGAAGGAAAATTGAGAATTTGGATGGCTTTGTGATTCTGATTACCACAATGAAAATTTATACCTGAGACTTATTCATTCTTCCTTCAGAATTCATCTCATTGGAGAATTGTTTTTTAAAAAAATCCAATGTAATTAAAACACTTTTTTTGTTGAATAACTTTATATAGAGGTAAACTCTGTTCCAGTGATTGGAAACTGTCTGCAGAGGGAGAGATATTAAGTAATTTTGGCTATGGGGCCATAAGGTCTCCGCCTTAACTGCTAAACTCTGCTGTTCCAGCACAAATGCAATCGCAGAAATTATGTAAATGAACCACAAAAGCTATGTTTTAATAAAACTGCATGTGCAAAAACAGGTTGCTGGCCAGGTTTGACTCAGTGCCATAGTTTGCCAACCGCTGATCTGTTCTATCACTCATTTCTCAGATTAAAAAACAGAAAAAGTTTTAATTTATTTTAATTCATTTGGAAGAAAGGAATCTAATACCTTTTACTTGGCACAATCGGACAACCACAGCAAGACATGAGGACTAATAGACAGAAAGCATAGGAGCAGTGAACGTCATCAAATTGATCAGATAACAGACCTTAGCTCTGTTATTAACTAACTAGGTCATTTTTATACCAGGCAGTTGCTGTCTCCGGAAAAACGAGAAGTTAGCCAAGAAGAGAAGTTAGTGTTTCCTAATACTCTTTCAGTTTGAACATTTCCTTTTCCTGCATGAACAAGATAATTAATAAGGCTTCAATTTCTGAAATCTCTAACTTTGGATCGTCATTTAATTTTTTCAAGGAAAATTCCTGAATTTATATTATAGGGAAAAGAGAAATGTACATTTAAGCAGTAGACTAGCTTGAAATAGCGATACCTTAACTTGTTATTGTGGATTGTTGTACCCACATCTAGCCTGCATGGTTTCTGGATGGTTTATACTTTGGTCTCACTATATGTGTGCCAAAAATCCTGGTCTTCAATTCTTATAGGTCATTTAAACTTTGCCTTTGACTGAGATTGTTTAAGACACATTTTTTTCTTGACTCTCAGTAAAGTAATATGCAGTGTGTTCTCTGATGAAATTCCTGAGTGATGGAGAATAGAAGACTATGTATTATATTTTGGGAGCTGATGTTCAGCACATCGATTTTTAAAAGTTTTTAATTTGGTTAAGAGTTTTTGTTCTGCTGTCTATACTTTGCTCAATGTAGAAAGCAGTTACAAAACTAGATGAATGCAAAAATTCTTGAGATTCCAGATTGTGTCATTTAAGAAAAATGACTACGTGGTGTAACCTGCTGTTGATTTTGCATTTGAGCCTCAGGAATGACAGGTGACCTTACAATGTGTGGTCTGGAGATGAACAGTTGATGACAGCTCCACTCAGAATTTTAAAACTTTTCTCTGCATTCTCTTTGCCCAGGCCTAATAGAGCTCATCTTTTTGTCTAAAAGAGAAGTTTCGGCCGGGCGCGGTGGCTCACGCCTGTAATCCCAGCACTTTGGGAGGCCGAGGCGGGCGGATCACGAGGTCAGGTGATACCATCCTGGCTAACACGGTGAAACCCCGTCTCTACTAAAAATACAAAAAATTAGCCGGGCGCAGTGGGTGAAGGCAGGAGAATGGCACGAACCCGGGAGGCGGAGCTTGCAGTGAGCCGAGATCGCGCCACTGCCCTCCAGCCTGGGCGACAGAGCGAGACTCCTCTCAAAAAAAAAAAAAAAAAAAAAAAAATAAGAGGAGTTTCTGTCACATTGTCATAATTTTTTTTTTGGAGACCTTGGACAAAAAGTAAGGTAATTTAATGTTCTTTGTTATTTAATGAGTTGGAAGTAATTATTTGTAACATTAGCTCCTCTCTCTCTCTATATAAGTTAAGTCAGTTGAAACATAACTAGGTGTGGGGAGAGAAGCATGTGGGTTAGGACATCAATGAAATTTCTCCTTGAGGTCTTCTGAAAAAAAATTATTTATAGTAGCCCTAGTTCACTTGAACATTTTATGTGATCTTGGAAGTATTTATGGAAAAACTAAAACTTTAGAATCACTAGGATAAAGATTTTTATTTATGGAAAAACTAAAACTTTAGAATCACTAGGATAATGATTTTTATTTATGGAAAAACTAAAACTTTAGAATCACTAGGATAATAGGTTTTAAAAGTTCTGAAGAGCATTATTTCCTTTGAAACATCCCTTTGCCTTGTAGGCAACTAAGAGTTGGGGAAAATGTAAAGTTCCTTCTCAGCATGGAGTAGCCTAGGATTCATTAAGCATTTATCTGTCATAAACACGGACCTGAACAGCTTCATTACAATACACAGTGTTATGTCTGGTGATGAAAAAAGAGCACATTTTAATGAAATAAAGTGAAATTTTAGGTATCTTTCTCAATTATTTTGACTGAAAAATTGGGATGTTACACAACACAACCCAATGAGGGTGATAATATTTGCTGTTTATATAACACCCGTCTTCTGAGAAACCAAATTAACTTCACAGGTGTTGTATAATGAAACCTCACACCACGGCCTGGAAAAGGGAAGTGGGTATTTTCCTTTCATTCGAGAGGAAAATAGGAAGAAATAGGAAGAAAGGTGAAATGGCTTATTCACATTTTCATAGTAGGCTAGGAATCAAGCCTTTCTGGATGCCCTGCTTATTTTTGTTTTATAAAAAATAAATTCCCTTTTTTGACAATAAATATATATTTGCAGTGGAAGGACTAATAGGAATGTGCTCTACTGGCTGATAGAAAGAAGGGACAGATTCTTTCCCTCCCCCATTAAGTTTACGATCTAAGTAAGATAAACAAGACAAGACATGAAAATAGAGAGTTGGAGTATAATTTGCACTGCTGAGAAGTAATTGGCTCCTGGTTTCAATTTCTTCTCTTAAAGAAGTCACATACATATTTCATCCCTTGCATATTTTGGCAATGTATCCAGCTAAGAGCTATAAAGCCATTTAATTTGTTTTTTGGTAAAGCATTTTATGCCTGGGTAATGGATTTGTACATCAGTTGCAGCCTGTAACACGGCTAAGTGTTCTGATTGACAGAACACCCACGTTCAGACTTGTTTATTTTTTGATAAGGAAAATGCCAGCTAACTTACTCCATATGTGCTCTTCAAAGGATGAAGCTTATTCACATGTAATGGACAATCATTTAAAAATAAAACGACAAGAATTACAAGAACAGTAATATATACGAAAATTAGCTTTTTGTCCTTTTTATTTAAAAATGTTTTTAAGCACTTAGCTACTACTTTTAATTTTTTAAATATTAATTTAGTTTTTTAAAAATTAACAACCCCATATTTAACCTTTCCACATAAGGATGTTTAAATATTATTTGAGGGGATATAAATTTTAAAATGTAGGCAGTTTTGAAAATATAGCAAAGTTAAATATATAAAGTATTCTATTCACGTGATAAAGCTACTAGAAATCTATGACTCACCGAAACCAAAATAGGAAATTCAGAAATTAATACAAAGCCTATTTCTTAGGTTTTGAAAGAAAATTAAAACACCTGTGTTTTCTGAAGTTTTCTGTATGACACCTGCGTAGCTGTATTTGTTGAGACTTTGTTAGCCCCTTGTCAGAAAGGTAAATCTGAGCAATGTCAAGAATTGTAAAGGGTCCAAAATTTACCCTATTGGAAGTTAATGTATTAGCTTGCCACAGTTTTATGGATGCTGCCAGAGGACATGAGACTCCTGAGTCAGAGACAATAGACTTTGTTATTCACAACAAAGAGAGCAACAGGAGCTTCACGTTTGAGTTCACCTTGCCTCCAAAATCTCATGGGAACGACAGAGTGGGACCCAATTGATGATTGTGCACAGCATCACGTTTTGGAAACCCTGACTTAAGAAAACTAAATGAATTATAATGTGTAGGAAACAAGCCCATTTCACCTTTGCCTACAAGGGAGTGATTATTTTTATTATACTGTAAGTATAGTAAGCAAACTGGCCCTCTCCTCTGGAGGGAGACATGTCTCTATTGTCCAAGGCTAGGCTGTTTGTTACTCAAACATCTTTGAAAAGATAGTCTTAAGAAGAAAAAAAAGAAAGAAAGAAAAAGAAAGGACAGTGCTTCTGTTTGCAAAACATGAAGAAATTCAAGAGACCCACCAAGAATTATCGCCCAGGAAGCATTTCATTAATGTTTCATGTTGTGAGGCAAATTTGACATTTCTGGTTCTAATGTAAGAATTAGTTACTGTAGATTTTCTCTAGTATTACAAATCTGGTGGTTTATCCCTTGACTGGGAATAGGAAAGGTAGTTAGGAGCATTATTATTAATATTTTATTATCAAGAGAAACAAGATGATCTGAATATATTTATATTGCCTCACTACCACAGGAGTAACGTTAATGCCCAAGCACTTAAAACATGCTCAGAAATTATTAGGTGAATGTGTTCCAAGAAATATGACAACTTGGACAACCTGGAAAGTTATGGCAAATAATGTTTTCAATAGAATACCAATAAATGTTAATCTGTTTGATATAATTTGATGATTAGACTACAAACAGTACATGTTAATGGAGAAAATGATGGTAGCAAAAGTAATAATATATAATAATTTCATTTAATATCTTGACCTTCTTGTAAGGAGTTCAAGAAATTCCTAAGCATCATATTATTTCATTTTATTTTAATCTTGAACAATGCAGCTGTGATTAAATACCTACAGGAGTAGCTATTATGATATAGAGAGTTTTACTGAGAAGAGAAAAAAATAAAGTGTTTTGCTAAAGTGGGAATTAATTTAAACCCAAGGTTGTATTGTGGCAAATAACCATAGTGATTGTTATAAATAAAAATATTAATACAGTTTTAATATTTTTACCATCTTTCTGTGAGATTAAAACTACTTATATTTTATAAGGGGGTAAACAAAATGGTAACATAATGAAATCCTTTAAAAAGTTTGCCTTTTAAAATATACTATTTGTGGCATACTCAATGTATTAATATAAATTGGAATATAGTATAAGGACTCCTCGAATGAAGCCCTAGTATGTCACCAATAACTTACCTTTTAGTATTAGTTTTCCATCCCATCCCATTCCTCTGCCACCTTACATGACCTGATCACCATCATGAATTTTGTATATTACTACTAGTAAGCAAGGGTTAATGACGTCTTTGCAGGTTTTTCTTTGTCAGGCTGTTCCACTGAAGGGTATTTTCTCTTTCTCTTTATTTATTTATTTGTTTATGGAATTGTGCTAAGGATAAAGTATTTAAAGAAGAGGCAATCACGTCCCTGATCCATTTGGCAGGTCATGACGATGGCTTGGGGTACGCTGTTGAGCTGTTAATATTAGACAAGGATTTGTGGGTTGCTATAGCATCGGTGATTTGTTAGCACTATCTCATTTCACTGGAGCACATGTGTTTTTCTAAAGGCTCTGCGGTGATCTTGGAGAAAGTCAGGGATGAAATAACAGATTGTCTTCACATGCTTCAGTCCAGCTCTGAATTTCATTGGCACTTACATCTTTCACTGTTTATTTCATTAAGTGAAATCTGTTTCTCTTACGTCCCATGCAGAACGTGAAGGATGATGGACAGCACGTGTGGCGACTGAAGCACTTTAACAAACCTGCCTATTGCAACCTTTGCCTGAACATGCTGATTGGCGTGGGGAAGCAGGGCCTCTGCTGTTCCTGTGAGTACATTTGCTCTGCCTGGACATCATCTCCTCAAGTGAGGAAAGGTTGATTTCATGGAATAGTCTTATTTGTAAATGGAGACCTAAGATCTGATCTGGACTGTCTCTGTACATGTGATTTATATTTTCCTGTAGTGTGTTTTTGAATATTTAGGTTACTCTAATTTCTTCAGTTTTGGAAAAACCTACCGTTGGAAAAAAATGAAGGACATTTTCCAAGTCTTCAGCAATTTTCTTTCCACTGTAGTTTAATTTATTCATGTTTCCCATTTCTTCAGGGATTATTTTGAATATTTCCACTAGTTTTTCATACTTACATCTTATTCATATTCATCCCCCCCTCCCCACATGTTAGTGACTTTATTCACATGAACATCTTATAATGAGTTGATTCCTTTGGGTATTTTGTTTAAGTTACATTAATTGATTAAAAATAGATTTGCATTAAAATTAGGAAATCGCAAGATATACGAACTAATTTTACACCTCAAGCCTATTATTTTCAATGCTAACAGAAAGAAAATCTTCATATATGGTTAATAGACATTGGAATGCAGAGCATTGATGATTAATGAGTCGTGGCCATTTTAAAAATTTCAGTTCACCCATCTTTGCAATTTTCATTTTATTCTGTTAACTCAGGTCTGCCAATTAGAATGTTCTTATAGTGTATATAACAGTTAGTTTATAAAATCACCTAAGTAATTTTAAATCTACAGCATATCTACCTGAGAAAATTTTACAATCCATGATAGTCCTGATAAAAAAGGGTAGATATTATAACCCCTTCATTTAAGTTCTCCATTAATCCATCAATTTATCTCTCCCCAACCTTTTCAGCTTGTACAGAATTACTGAAACTGTCAAGTTCATTAGATACATTCCATTGTTGTGCATTTCATTAAATCTAATTTCTTACTGGCTTCCAATACCATCCATGGTTTATAGGTTTTTTGTTTGTTTGTTTGTTTGTCGTTAGCTAGCAGCTTCTTTGGTAATATGTTTGAGAATTTCCTTTCTCTCAGCTGTGTTACTTGAAATTTAATACCATGTTTTAATGCCACATATGCATATGATTTCTGAACTATTTACGAATTTTAATAAAGTTACCTGAAATTTGCCATGTGTAACATAGTCTCTGACAGCTACGTTTGAAAGTTTAGTTACATGTTAGTTACACTAGAACATTCTCCCTATACAAAGGAAGTACTTTGTTTTTAAAGTTCTATTATATTTAAGAAAAGGAATTTTTATGGTACAGTCTGTTAACAAGAACACATAAAACAAAATGATAAGTCTCAAATAAGATGAGTGATATTATATGAGGAATGAGAATTTTGCTCATAAGTTTTTACTGATTAGTGTGGTGAATGCAATATTCAATATTATTTTTAATACGGAGGAGAAGAGAAAACATGTTTTCTCCCTCAATGTTGCCAAAGAAAATCACAGATATGAATATTTTGGGAGAGTTTTACTATATAAATATTATTTAGATTTAGTGTTTTTCATTTTAATTTGAGGCAGTGGTTAGTTTTTTGCTTTTGTTTTTATTGAGGAGGCTATATGTTTATTTTTAAGTACTGTTTTATATATTTATGCATTTAGAACCCTTAATCTGGAACCAACATTTTATTAAAAGAACACATGTAGTTGACCCTAAATCATATTCAGACTCAAACCATAAAGAATTTGAAGATGCCAAAAATGTATGTCTTGGTTTTCTGACACGTATTATATATATACATAGATACATATATTTGCTTATGTGTAGGTATACATTTGCATAGTGACATAAATTTTTCCATATGTATACAATATGCCGCCCAGCAAAGGCTGTTGCTTTTGGACAAACGATGCCATGATGGCAAGTGAAGGATGAATTTTCACCAAAGGCCTGGCATGTATGATGAAATCTCTTCTCTGGAAATAGACTAATCAGCCATTTAAGATTTAGATAAGAGACAAAATAACATAAACTCATGGGCTTTTATTCCCATACCCGCCAGCTGCTCTCATGCCTATACTTTGTAAAATATAGATCTCTTCCTTCTAGCAAATGACACCAAGCCATTTGGCAGTCATCAATTTGTCTTTAATATTTTTGTCATCTGGGAATTATTGTGAAAAATTTGAGTGAGGACTGATTTAATTAAGCATTTCCTGCTATGCCATGATAGAGGAGCCTTGGTTTTTCACATGCATAATATTTCCTGTACTAATTGGCCTTTTATATTCCATGGTAAAAACAGTCGACTTGGACTTCTCCTTGATGTGGCTGATTGGATTGATTAGGGAGCAGTGGATATGAAATGAGGTTCTGTTAATGTCATTCTTTCTCTATAAAATTACAACCAGGACCAGGATTAGCTCTGAATTTGTGTACCTGTTTCCTTTCAGTCTGCAAGTACACAGTCCATGAGCGCTGTGTGGCTCGAGCACCTCCCTCTTGCATCAAGACCTATGTGAAGTCCAAAAGGAACACTGATGTAAGTTTGTGTGCATGCTTGCTTTCTGAAGGTGGCCATTATGTAGTGTGTCCTCTTATCACAATGTTGTCATTCTGTTCTAGGTCATGCACCATTACTGGGTTGAAGGTAACTGCCCAACCAAGTGTGATAAGTGCCACAAAACTGTTAAATGTTACCAGGGCCTGACAGGACTGCATTGTGTTTGGTGTCAGATCACAGTGAGTAAAAATTGGAAAACAAATCCCAGCATTCACCCACACTGAAGACGTGTATATCATACTCTCTGAAAGTCCTACCCTAGAAGGGCTTCCTGAAACTGAGTGTAAGCATAAAACCATGGAAACTTCTCATTTCAGCTTGTTTGCAAAGAGATAGGCTCAGGGTCAGATTTGTCCCCATAGAGTCCTGAATTTTAGAGCTGGTGACAATCTAAGAGATGATACCATGGTATGGTTTTTAAACTGTGTTCCATGGAGTGTTAGAGGTTCCCAGGAAGGTAATCAGAGGCCATGGCTAGGAGTAAGCAATAAGAATAGGATACTGTTTGGGTAGAACTCAGCTCTCCCTTTACTCCACAACCCTGTTTAATAAGGGTTTTCTGGTTTGCTTATTGTAAACTTATTTTAGTCATAAAATCTATGGGCTTAAAAGGGTTAGAAAAATGAACAATGAGCTTCAATGATTTAAGTACATAGTGAAGACTAAGACCAAAAAAGTTAAGCAGATTGTCCTTGACCACGTGACTAGATAGAAGGGCAAGTAGACCGTGTTTTATTCAGGTCTTGATGCATCTAAAAATTCATCTTACGCTTCTTCCAACATATTGTTGCCTTCCTCTTTCAGTTAAATCATGCATTGGGGTATAAGAGAGACTGATGTAAATGCTTGTCTTGATGGTGTTCACAATTAAGTAAGAAGAGATAAATTGGTCTTTTCTGGGACACTTGGGAATTTCACCTGGTTTGAATGACTGTCAAATCTAGCTTGAAAAAATTTTTGGAATGAATGCAGTTGTTAGATGGTACTTCTACAGTTATATGTGTAATTTCTGTAAGTTAATTAGAATCACACATTTTCAATAATAGCTATTTTTGATAATGTAGTACAAAATATTTATGGGGCTGAGGTTTTGTTTCCCAGCTTAGAGTGAGTATTCGTGTTACAGGACTAAAGTTTTTACTTTTGTCAAAATAAAACAGTAGGAGGCACTGAATCAGTTAAGTAAATAACTGTCTCCACTGTGTCCCCAAGTGCCCCACCCTCAACCCAGGGCTTAAACAATTCTCTTAAATGCTCTCTTTTTCTCTCTCTCTCACACACACACATACACACACACTCACACACACATGCACACTCATACAGAATGATGAGAAAAACAACTGACTTACTTTTCAAAAATACAATTAAGTACTTTCCTTTAAATGAATACATTTTCTGCAATCATTTTCAGCTATTAGTTAAATTATGTTTACATTTGAAATTTTCTCATTATGAAAGATAGTTTTTTAAAAGTGTTTGGTTAGTATAATAAAATGTCTAACGATGATTCAAATTTTACACATGAATTACTCAAACATTGAATTCCCAGTTTTAAGAAGATCATAACTACTTCATTTTTAAAAACATTCATGTAGATTTTTAAAAACCAGTTTTTTTTTTTGCTAAGCATTTACAAACATATGTCATTTTTGTTTCAGACCTTGCAGGGAGCTTCCTCTTATTTTTTTCATATAGTGAATATTTCACTGGTTATATCTTAACTTTAACATAAGCTGAGATTAGATAATATTAGAAATAATTTCTTCTTTGTATCTCCAATTGTTTACCTATTCTTCATAAATTACAAACTTATTGTCTTAGGTTTATTATTCATATTTTCTTTTTTAGTTCTTAAAAAATCAATGTTTTTAAGTGTGTACTCAGTTTGAACCCTCTAAAAACATGCATTGCTGCCTTTTCTAATGGAAAAGCTTTCAAAGCTGTTAGAATTTTCTGTATTTGAATCCTCTCATTCTTTCTCTATTTAATCTCCATGAAGTCTGTCTTCTACCCTTTCCAGTCATGAGAACCACTGTCCTCAAAGTTACCATTGCTAGTGGTCTCTTACTGGTACACAAAGCATCTTAAAATTCTTCCTTTCCTTGTATTATATTCCATTTTGTTTTCCTCATGGTTTTGCTTTTTGTTTTTCTCATTGTTTTCCTTTTTGTTTTAATGGTTCTTCTTATCTGGTACTTCAGAATCCACACCTAGCCCTACCATTCACAAGTTATTCATTTTTCTTTGGTCTTGATCCTGACCCTAGCCTTACAGGAAAAGAGGCAGTTTCTTTTACAGGAAAAAGGATATCACTTTTCAATAGACTGTACTTTTAAAAATCTAAATATCATATGTCTCAAATCAGATAAGACAATATACCCTTAACATTTTATTCTTACACTAAATACCATTGAATAGCTGAATGTGATTTTGTTTGTCATTATGGCAAAGCACAACATAAACAGCAAATGTCTTAAATCCCCAAGTTCAAAATTATTAATAAATAAGTCAATTAATCAATCTCAAAGCTCTATTTAGGAAACAAGGCTAACCAGGGATCTCTGGTGGAGTTAAGGCAGAGTCAGAAAGAAAAAAAAAGGCTGCCCTCTTACTAAACTCTCTAAAGTCCTGAGACTTTTATCCATCCTCAGCCTTATTTTCTATAAACAATGAGCTTTAGGGGTCTTATGGGTATTAAGTTCATAAAACACAACTTGTGCAAATTTTTAAAAAGTTATCATATATCCAGGAGACTCTATCAGTTTCTCAAAAGTCACTTCAGCCTCCATCCAGTTCCGGATTTTTAATTTTAAGCAATTTTAGGGACACATTTACTTAATTATTGATTTTGTGCCTTGGTTAAACAGGATATATTTACCTCAGAACATTTATGTATTTAGTAGTATTTATAGTTTTCTATTGAACCATTGCATGAAAATTTCAGCATAAAATTGATCTGCTCTTGACTGATGAGTATCTACTACTACTGCTTGCCTTTAAACAACTGAATGTACTTTCTTTTGCTCTTACACTTTCCAGAAAGTACTATGGACATAACAAAGAGCTAGCAGAAGTTATGGGAGTAATGGGATATGGCACTGCCAGTGCTGGCTTCAGAAAGGCCTATCTGAAATTCGGGTTCCGTGAAGAATATATTGTAGAGAGAAACAGAAAGAATGATGCTTGGCTTTCTTTCAGGGTTTGTCCAAAAGCCATTACTTCCTTTTATATATGACTTTTGGAAATGATTTGACTGTTGCAACTCAGACCAACCAGATTCTTAAGATCGTCTCCTCACTTACTAGTTGTGCCATCTTGGGCCATTTATGTAACCAGTTTAGACAAATTTCCTAATGTGTCAAATGGAGTTAATGATACCTAAGTTATTAGATTATTATGAGGATTAAAGGGGCAAAAAATTCTCTGTAGATATGTTTAGGACAAGACCTCATACATATTAAGTGCTTAGTAAGTAACAATTATATTTGTGGGTATTATGAAATACATAAATACATTTGGGTGCACATAAACCAATCCCTGGTTTTCCAGAGGGCACTCCATGAAGAACACTTACGTCATTTCTCTCTCTCCTGTAGAAGGATGGATAGTTGTCCAGTCTGAGTCAGAACAGCACCTGCATGCACTCAAAAAAACATCCAGAATCCTGTGGTCCTGAATCTCACTAAATCCTAAGCCCAACTGACTGATTTTTATTCCCAAAGACTGTTACTACAACTCTCTCATTCTATCAGACCTGGTATTGTCATGCTTCCAGTCACTGGAAAAAAAGTTTGAAGTCAATTTTTTTTACTCTTGTCTTTTACCTTTATCTCTTGTACACAACCTGTCACTGAGTCTTGTCATTTCCTACTTAAAATATCTCTCTCAGATTTGAGGTTTTGTCTCCACATTCGCAGCCCTAGTGCAAGCTCTTAGCACCTCTTGACTAGATTAGAGTCAAAATCTCTTGGCTCATCTCCCTAACAGAAGGTACTTTTCCTATAATGCAGGCTGCATACCACCTCCAGAAAGATCTTCTGAAAATACTAGTTTGTTATATGCCTTCTTTAGCAATCTATAATAGTTCTGTGATAATAAATGCAGCCCTCAACACCCCTTGCATCAAGTTGGTTTTTAGTTCTTTAGAAATCAGAATCAAACCTAAACATAACTGTATATAATATTCCTCTTCTACACACACCCTCTGCCATAGCTGTGTATTTCTGTTGGCAGTCCCTTGGGGAGGCCATGTTTCCCTCATGCCTACTATTTTGTTCATCCCGGTCCCTTGAATGCACCTGTCTTAAATTCTAATCATACCTTAGGAAACAAGTTAGGTTACCTGTCTTCCTTGAAATTTTTCTTGACGCTAATATATCTTGATTCTGAATAGTTTCTGTACTTACATTCCACATCCAAAGGAAAAACTCAAATGCTCTCCATTGGTTTCACACCATAGTCTAACATCGTTTGCACTGTTAACTGTGGCCCGCTCCTGTTGCTTGTCCATGTCACACATTTTTTCCTAATCACCTGAAGTTCTTGACAAAGTACTGAGTGTAGAAAAGTCTTCAGTAAGATCACTTTAATCTCTGATATGCTATTCTTACAGTAGAATATTAAATTTCAAACATATGTACTATTTAAGTTTTGTTTTATAATATCATCCTGTAATACTCAAATCTCCATCAGATATGCAAGTAAACTTAAACAAATACTTAAGAATCAATTTTCACACCCATTTTTCAGTTCATACTTGCAGTTTCTTGATTTACTAGTTGGCTATCTTGTAGATATAAAGTTAGGCTCTTAGAATGAAATTTTCTGTTCATTTGTAAATCTAGCCACTTCAAAATTAAAAATACGAAAAGCTTAGGAAAGATCAGTGGAAAACTGCCTTCTGATAATTAGGCAACCAGTCTCTGTGTTTTATATTTCAATCCTCTGTGACAGGCAAAATATTCACCTCAGTTCTCTTTTCTGTCTTGATTACTAACATCCTTAATATCCCACTGCTTATACCTGTTCATTTCTTCTGAAACTGTGTTTTCTTGACCTTCGTTGTATAACATGTTGTGAATCATTGCTTGTCAAGGTAAGCTCTCACTGGTCAGGCAGGACTCACCAGGATGGGAAGTTGAGGGATTTTATTTAGGCTTGAAAAAATAACACCTATTTCATAAAAATGAATTACTAACTTTTGCTATGATATAGAGATAATATTGTTTATTAAGATACTAAATTCCTAACAGTAATGTTTAAAGGTTTCCAATGCCATGGAAACATTTCTGCTTCAGTAAATGCCAGTCTTAGGAAGTACCCCAAACTGCAAAATATTAGGGGCCAGTGTAACAGGTGAACCAGTAAATATGTGCCTCCAAATCAGGTCTTCAAATTTTTCTTTAGAAAAGTAGCTTATTTCTCTTCTTATTTTCCTCTAAATTCCTATGAACACTTATTTTCCATTTTTCCTCCTTTTGACTTCTCAGATCCCATTTTCTTCTCTGACCAGCGCAGCCACTCTTCCTAACTCCATCCATAGAACTATATGCTGGCACACATGCACACAGACATCCACACACTTTCTTTTTCTTTCTATCTTGAGACAGCTTTTTCTAATAAACATAGATCTGGCTCTAAATTAGGTGCTACTGGAAGTTGTCATAAACTCTGAAATTATTTCCAAGTGTTTAATTCACTTCCAGGAAAAGCTGGTTTCTATTATATGATTTTCCTACATATGGCACTGAATCCCTTAACATGAATGGGAATTTCTGGATGTATATTTAAAAATGAGCTAAGGATTTCTATGCCTTGGCTTGAAAAAAATACAAAGATAACTGAACAAAAATGTTTTTTTAAATTTTAAATAGTAAACATTTGATTTTCTCTGGTGCGCTATTGGTTATTTTACTAAAGAGGCAGCATCTTCAATGCTGTAGTTCATTTCTATTCTTGATGAGGACCCTGGTGTTTAGGATTTTGCTGATTTGGGATATAGGTTATCTTTAAAACAATAGTCAGCCTTCAGCATCTTATTTACACTGAGAAGGACCCAGCTGTGTCTTTTTCTTATATTCTTGTCCACGAAATATGATGATAAGTTTAAGCAACTTTCTATTGTTGATGATATTCACTTATTTAATTTTTTTATTTTTAATTTTGTGGGTACTTAGTAGGTATATACATTTATGAGGCACATGAGATGTTTTGATACAGGCATGCAATGTGAAATAAGCACATCATGGAGAATGGGGTATCCATCCTTTCAAGCATTTATCCTTTGAGTTGCAAACAATCCAATTACCTTCTTTTAGTTGTTTTAAAATGTACAATTAAATTATTACTGACTGTAGTCACCCTGTTGTGCTATCACATAGTAGGTCTTATTCATTCTTTCAAACTATAAAAAGCTTTTCATTGAAGGAAAGTGTACATACAGAAAGGCATTTATATCCAAAGGGCAGAGCCCAATGAATTTTCCCCACATGAATGTTCTGTAAGCAGTACCTGATCAGGAAACAAAATATTACCAGTATCTTAAAGAAAAAAAATTTGTAGCTTTTGAATTCTATTGTATAATTTTGTTGATTTTTGCTTTTTAAAATAGACTTTATGATTTAGAGCAATTTTAAGTTCACAGCAAAGATGATATTCACTTTTACACTTTATAGGTGGTCCTGAAAATGATACACATTTTTCACATTGGCTTTCACATTGTATATTTTTTCCTCAAGTATATCTCCAAGAAATATGATGCATAAACTAAACCTGTCATACAAATTTGATTCACGACTTGTAAAATGATCCGTACTCCTAACATGATGCCCTCAGTTTTAACACTCTTGGCTACAAACAACGTCATAATGTTGATGGTTAAGAAAATGTATTTATTAGCTGCCAGATTCTAGTCTTAATACAAGCATAAGGTATTCCTGCATATTATCAAATATAGACTTCTTGGTTAGGAGAATTTTCTTGCATTGTGTGACTCTGTTTAACAGATGATAGTATGGTTACTAAACTTATAGATCCTCCTATGTCTTGGGGAGTGCCTTACGACCGCCTAGACAAAACTCAGGACCACAGCGGCAATCAAACTGGGAAATCCCATACTAGATTTATTTGGCTCTGCAAAGACCAGAATTTCATGGAATCAACTGTCAGTACCTATGCTCTGAAACTCCCAAATCCCAATATACAGAGTTGCCCCTTCACACACACTCTGGTAAGCTCATCTATTGCATGATTCTATCTGAGTCTTCGATTCTTTCCTTCCTTCTGGGAAACTAGCCTAAATGCCCCCAAACTATCATCAAATTAATTTTATTTTTGTCATCCTTTCTTACATCAGTAACCCTCAAATAACTATACAGAGAGCTTAGTCGTCCTTTACCATGTCAGTTGCAAATTGTTGGAAACACATGGATGGAGGTGTGGAGGAGGCTGAGGCCTCTGACTGCATCTGTAGTCAGCGTTGGCATAAGACTCAGTATGTCCTGCCCCTGTGGCCTTCAGAGTCACGTGTTTAGCTTTACACTGTAATCAAGAATAATATTTCAACACTTTCTTGCTGTAAACACAAATAGGTTTTTATCTCAGATCTGTTTTTTGTAGAGGGTTCTTAGCGTCTGTTTTCTCAGTTTTAAGGAAGTTGCCCAAGATTAAAGAGCCAAAGCTCTTTCTCTGTGACATCCATAGTGCAGCAGAGTCTTAAGACCCATAATCTCTCTTTGGTTTTAGTGCCGTTTTCATAGTACTGGGTTTATTAGTTTCCTAGGGCTGCTGTAACAAAATGTCATATAATAGGTGCCTAAAACAACAAGAATGTATTCACTCATAGCTCTGGAGGCTAGAATTCCAAATGTCAGCAGGTCATCCTCCCTCTGAAGGCTTTCTGGAAGAATCCTTTTCTGCTTCTTCCTAGCTTCTGGTGGTTGCCAGCAATCCCTGGAATTCTTTGTCTTGTAGTGCATCACTCAGATATCGACCTATGTTATCAGAGGGACTTCTCCTCTCTGTGCCGTTGTCTCTCTGTCCAGATTCCCCTCTTCTTATAAGGACACCAGTCATTGGATTAGGGTCCAGCTAAACCAACATCTTAGCTTAAATACATCTAGAAAGACCGTATTTCCAATTAAGTTCACATTCAAAGGTCCCAGAAGTTAGGACTTCAGCATATCTTTTGGGAGAAATTGATCCATCCCAACACTTGCTAATCTGTTAACTCTAAATCCAAACATCCATGGCCATGGCAGATTCTAAGAAAGTTAATTACTAGGTCCAATAAATTAATAATACATTTTAAACAAGTCACTAATTTTATTTTGAGGAAACTATACCTTTTAATTTGCTCTGAGTATCAGTTTATTTAGTTCTATTGTGCATTCAGCTGCTTCTCTATCTTCAACACTTCTTGCCTCTTGACAAAGACCAGTAGTGCCTAATACAATTAAATCACTTTTTTATAGAGAAGTTTATATGCCCCTGAGAAGCAGAGCTGCTAATTATGGATGAACATGGAAAGATACGTTTATTTCATGTAATGTAACCTAATGGGCATTAATTACAGTACAAGTCATCTTAACTCCAATGCAGGGAGTTAGCATGACAGCAGTGTTAGATTCTAGGACCGCAGAAATACCTCTTTGATACTGTTCTATTACTAAAAATAAATCAACTCTCATTAGACTCCTATGCTTAGTTGATAATTAACTGCTCACAAAGGTATGTATGTTGTGGAAATTAATGCAGCCAAGGCTTAAATGAGGTAGCTTTTGATTCAAAATGGAAAAATAATGTGGCTCTTTTTTGTTTTGAACATAACATGTTATCTTATTGAAATGTATATTTTTTTCTAAAGTATGAAGAGTTCATATCAAATTAATGCATAGTGCAGGAGGGAGAAATCTCTAGATGCCCTCAAGCAAGTATTATTTTACCAAATCTGTGTAATTCTTTAAAAAACTACCATCTCAGTTTTAAAACATCACTATTTAAAACACCACGTTGTAACACCTTAATGTAAACTTATGACCAGGTTAATAAAAATATTAGTTTGGGCTCATACATATTAAAAAATAAATAGGACATTGTATGATTATATACTAACTTAACGTTGAGCTGATAAATACAATATACAGATAAATTTTTATAATCATAATCATCTTCTTTTATTTATATCCTGCTCCTACTGAGATGAATCTCTGGTTACATTTACATATTGAATTACAAAGTTAAAACTAATGATGGGATCAATTATGCCCCATACTGAGCTGTGCACTTTGGAATGACTTTGAGAAAACAGGAGGGTCAAAAAAAAAAAAAAAAAGCATACACAGGCACAGTGGTTTCAAGATTATGCTAACAGATAAGCAAAGGAAGAACTGTAATGGACAATAATTTGTGTTTGTCAAAGAAATCAGGGTTCTTTGGTGTAAAACCTAAAGTACATTTTTAATATAAACATTTCTGAGAATTATAAAATGTATAGAATGGGTCACAGAAGCTGCTAGATGGTTTATTTAGGGTTCATATATAAGGACAAATGTATTATGAATTCCTTTATGACTCTGTTTATTTGTTCTTATAATTTCTTTATTGTACTTTTAATGTGTTTGCTGTATCTCGATTGAAATATAATCTCCCCCATGTTAGGCGTTGTCATGTAGAATTTGATACTATCCCCCTTTCTGTTTTTCTAGCTGCATAATAAATGTGCTTCTCATCTAAAACCTGAATGTGACTGTGGACCTTTGAAGGACCATATTTTACCACCCACAACAATCTGTCCAGTGGTACTGGTGAGTTTTTCCTTATCATTCTACTATAACTTAGGATTGCTGTGACTTATCAGTATCGTATACCATTAAAAGCTTCTAGAGATAATTTTTCATCAATCAAGGTAGAAGTATATAGATCTAAAATACGTCGTTACTCTGAAACAGAACACCTTTGTCCACTATATTTCCTTTTTCCTTCTGTCAAAATACGCTTTCTAGAACGATATGCTTGAAATGACGCTGACTCAGGTTTTATCACTTAGTCGTGCTGCTACTTACCAGGAATTGTAAAGGCAGAAGACTTCAACATTTTATATATTTTATAGATCTAGCTTCCCAGAATAATGAAGTTATTCTTATGGGCAATTTTGCTGGAGATGCACATTATATATCTGCAATGTTGAGGGCTCTCATCTAGGTTAGAGGCTACCTAAAATGATGACACATCCATGAAGAAAGTTATGCACTGCTATTAGCTGTTTTTTAAAAAAAAAATTTTATTGAACAATAAATTTAACTACCTGCAAAATAATTACTTAATTCAATAAGTATAGAAATGAAAATGCATGAGTAAAGTAACTATGAAAAGAACGAACCTTGGTAGGAAGAGAAGCAGATATTCAAACAATATTCATATTCAAAACCCAAATTACTTTGAAAATTAAAGTTATTTTAAAAAACAAACTATTTTATATCCATGATGCACTTCTCATTTTGAAAAACAACATGGAAATTAAATGGCTGGAACTTCCATTTGATATAATAAAATTATAACAACTAAGAAATGATAGAAAAATACTTTTCTAAAGGTCAACCTAGAAATTAATCATATTACTCATTTTGTACCACTTATGATTCTAATTATCTGTAAAATACTGGTTGTATTTTAAATGCCTTTATTTCACAAAATTATTAAAAATGCTTCATTTTCTCAAACTACAAAAATAGAGGAAAAGAAAATACCTCCATATTGCTGAGTATAGCAATAACTAATTCTAAATTTCCTTTCTTCATGTAAGGTTTATTAGACATCCTATGGTAAATAAGATTAATTAAATAAAATGAGAGCCATATAAAAATACTTTACATTTTAGGTTAATTTAAATGTTGTTTTTATTCATTTAAGTGTTGTCTTGAAGACTTCTAGAATTTTTGTATTATTTATATTCTTATTTTGAAATATGGCAATTTTACTGGTTTAGATGCATTTTTGATCTCAGATTTTAACTCTAAGATGAGATCTATGATTTCTTCCTACTACCCATCTGTCTGTGCAAGACCCCACTCAATTCAGTGAGCCTGGGGTCTGCCTCCTTGGCCCACTTATGTCAACCTCTAGTTATATAAATTCAAACATAAGGTGTATTCTTTTTATTATGCTATCACTTCTTTTTTTGAGAGAATCAAATGTAAAGAGCGTGTGTTACGTGAATTTTCTTGTCTTTGAACAATCTTGAAAAATCTTTCATTGCTGTTTTTAGACAGTTTTTATTCTGAAGATTCATCTCTAATCATTAAATATCCCCACAGTTTTAATAATTTATATCTCAGCATTTGTTGTTTACCATTTTTGTGGTACTATCTACTCTGAAGCGTGTGATGACTATTGAGCATTTCGTCCTTCCAAAATGTCTACCTTTCATTGACTTCCATTATACCTCACTCCTGGTCCTTTCTCTGTTTCTCTGGATACTTGCTTTCAGTATCTTTCCTGGGTTCACAATGTCGACATGCCCATGTCGGTGCATCCCTGGATTCTACCCTCCTATGTCATGGCATTCCTCTCTTAGTATTCTTCTCAATGAGATCTTGTTTATTCAGTTGATTGCATTACCATGTTAATTTATGTTCAGCTCATTATCCTAAATTCCAAACCTAGAACTGCCACCTGCAGGACCCATATTATTTTAAGTGCATATACCCGATATATTATTATTTACTACTGCAATAATTATAGCTCTTTTGATTGAGCATATATGCTATCCCAGAGACTATGCTAAAATATTATTTAATTTATTCAGTAAATATTCATTGCATGCCTAGTATGTGCCAAACAGTATTATAGGTAGGAAAGAAAACATTAAAACAAAGACAAATCTTTGCTTTTATGGAGTTTACATTCCAGCAGGGGTAATGTAGACAATAAACAATAAAACTAAATAAATTATTTAGTACCTGGTTGTACTAAAATACATAAACAGAGTAGAATGTTGATCCCTGAAGATATGAAGAGGGGAGGAGTGGGGAGATGTTGGTCAAAGAGTACAAAGTTGCAGTTACATAAGATGAATAATTGTAGAAATCCAATGTACAGTATGATGACTATAGCTAATATTGTACAACATGGCTGGGCATGGTGGCTCACGCCTGTAATCCCTGCATTTTGGGGGGTCGAGGTGGGTGGATCACTTGAGGTCAGGAGTTCAAGACCCCCCCTGGCCAACATGGTGAAACCCCATCTCAACTAAACATACAAAAATTTAGCTGTACGTGGTGGCAGGCACCTGTAATCCCAGCTACTGAGGAGGCTGAGGCAGGGGAATCGCTTGAACCCTGGAGGCGGAGGTTGCAGTGAGCCAAGATTGCATCACTGCACTCCAGACTGAGTGACAGAGTGAGACTCTGTCTCAAAAAAAAATGTGTGTGTGTATATATATATATATATAGTATAACATACTGAAAATCTGCCAAGAGACTAGGTGCTCTTAACACACATACACACACACACATGCACACACACAAGGGTAACTATATGAGGAGATGTGAGGAGATGGTTATGTTAATTTGCTTAACTATAATAATTATTTCACTATGAATATTTACACTATTGAAAACAAAATAACAACACATTTATTTATAGATCAAATAGGCCTTTATTCATGAATTAGGACAGCATCTATTCTACAGAGTAGAATGAGAGCTCCCACTAGACATAGAACAGTGGATTTTGTAAGGTGGGAACAAGAAAACACAATAATACAAAACAAAAGCTGATTGTTTAACATCATGTTACTTCAGGTTACTCTTTGGGTAAAGAGTTAAAGGAGAGGTTACATCCTTATTATCCCAAGTCAGGTAGACTTGAATTTCACATTTTTAGAAACAACTGATGTGTTCTGGGATTCAGTTTGCTTCCTTAAAATTTCAGCTTGATTATGTGACACTTTAGTACAAGTTGTTTGTACTAAAGTTTGGTTTCCATTTTGGTTTGGTCTGGTCTGGTCTGTTGGGGCCTCCTGTAGGAGCTCAGTCCAAAACAATGGACTTTGATAATTTTTGTTTAACAATATCAAAACATTAATTGTACAGTAATCATATGCCTTAAATATACACAATAAATAAGTACTGGTTTTGTTTTCAATGTCAAGGGAAAAATTAAAGCAGAGAAAGAAGAAATGTTGGGGCTGCAGTGATAAAAGAGGCTGTCAAGATGTTCACTGAAGAGACAGTTGAGTAGAGTTGAGTGATTTGAGGGAGTCACCTCTGTGGCTATCTGGGGACAGAACTTCACCAACAGATTCTGAGGCAGTAGACACTTGACAGATCTCAAAGGCACTGGGGGGATTAGTGGCTAGCCCTGAGTGTATAGGAGGAAAAATAGAAGTTCAAAGATATCATACGATTTTTATATTGGGTGGGACAATTTAGGTCGTTGTAAAATCTTTGGCCTTTACTCTGAATAAAATAGGAAGCCATTAGAGGATTCCGACCAGAACCAGAAATTATCTGACTTATATTTTAAAAGGAACAATCTGTGTAGTGTTGAGGGGCAACAATGGCAAAAAGATATAATACTTCTGTTTTCTCAAAGAAATAGAAACCTGGGTCATTAGCTAGAGTGAGGATGGTGCAAGATGTGTAAGAAGCCTGTGTCACCTAGGAAAGTGGGAACAAAATTGTTCAAAGAAACTGTGATTTTCAAGGAGAAAAGAGCAGCTACCTCTAGTTAATAATCATCCATTTAGTATATAATTCCAGTCGGCTTGGATGAATATATTTCTTTACTCACATTCAGTCATATTTATCTAGTTACATTCCAGCTTTATGAATGGAATAGGCACAGCCCAGTCTTCATGTGACCGTGTCTTTTGGCAAATGTGATGTACAGAGAGGGCAGCCAGAGAGTTGAGAATATATGCAAAGGAGTAATTGTAAGGCTTAATCGTGGAATTTGAGCTGGAAGTGAGGGAAGTAAGAACATTAAATATGAGGTACAGTAATAGATTTTAGAAATAGTACATTGTAAATTACAGTGAAGTCAAAGGTTGTTGGAATCAAGGTAAATGGTGTCAGGTTGAGAGTGAGTGAGGTAGGAATTGAGATTATGAAGGGGTATGGTTATAAGTAACACAATATATAAATTCATTTTGTTTTCAAAGTGACAACATAAGATAAATATTATAATTGTTCCCATTTTACATATGAGGAAACTGAGAAACAAAGAGGTTAAGTAAATTTCCCAGTGTCCCATGAATAGTACATGGCAATTTAGAAGTGGAGCCCGAGTGGTTATCACTCCAGAGCTGTGCTCTGAGATTTTCTCCAAATCCCAATAGAGAGATTTTATCTGTTGTATCTCAGCTACTGAAACCTTCACACCCCAACTTTCCCAAACTAGAAACCTAAGTAGCATTTTTTATTTCTCATCTGGAATATAATATTACTCAATTCTATTCTAATGTTCTTAATCCTGTCTCTTTACTTCAGCCCAACTGTGACTGTCTTGTATACCAGCCTCACAAATTTTATTCTAGGATTGTCCCAGTAGCATCCTTGTGAACTACCTCCTTTCTGTACACCCCAACCTGCTTCCTGGGTCAACTTTCAAAAAATGCAAATATTATAAGTCCCTCTCACTCTTAAAATATTTTTGGTGATTCCCTATTTGAATCCCAAACACTCTATTACAGTAAACAAGGGTCTTTAACTGGATCAACCTACTCATTCTCTCATATAGTACCTTATCCACTAGAAATCAAGGATAATTGAACTGCTTGTAATTCTTTAAGTGCACTTGTTGTGTCAAGCCCTTCGGGTCTCGTATGTGTTAATAAATCAATTTAAATCACTTTGCTTTAAAATTTTGCCCACCTAGCTAAGTCCGAATTAAAAGGTTACTTTCTTGTCACGGAATAAAAATATTGACTGTTGTACACATTAACTATTTAAGTGATCATACTTCAAACAAATTAATGAAACTGTTCTGCCCACAAAATTGCTTAATCAGCTCCAGCTGATAGGCTCTGAGCCTTTTCAGTCTGCGAACTTTCAGTAACTTTCCAGGAATAATTTCACACTGCATGACCTGTAGCCCTTCATTTAAAGCAAATCGTTAGTCCTCACATATATCATGTTGTTTTGGTTTTTATTATTTAGTACCAGTTTCCTCTTTAAGAAATTGTATGCCCCAGTTTCTTTGGCTAATCTTCTCTAAGAGGAGCAGATGAGGTTCAGACTCAGTTAATACAAAGTGGATATTGATATTATCTCTATCACATTATAAAAAATATTAGAGAACTTAAGATGTCTAGTTTTATTTTTTCCTTAGTCGTTGACTCTGTAGTTAGGAATTGGTTATTGAATGACCTCTATAAATACAGCGTGGATCCTTAATTTCTGGTTGAAGCTCACATAGCCTTGTATCTTAATGACATACCACAAGGTCAAGATCCATAGCCATTGTCTTCTCATATTTTAGAACACCTTCTCCAGGGTCATTAAAAAAAATTTGTACCACCCTTCTCAGCCTTCCCATTCCTCCCCAATCGTTGTTATAAGCTGTAGGTTAATGATTCAGTAGATATATGCTCACCATTTCCAGAGATTAGCAAGGTAAGCATCTCCTCTGCACTGATGAAATGCTTTTTATAAGCATGCATTACAAACGGCTTTCACAGATAATTGGCCTTGATAATGGCTGTTGCCATAAAAATGGGTTAAAATCAACTACTCTGAAATTAAAATTATTATCATATGGTGTTTTCATTCAAATAAAAATTAAACAATGATTCCCTACATCAGATATAATTAGTTTTCTGAGGTTGCAATTGGCATCCAGTATCTTTTGAAAGTACTATCAAAAATCTATATTACTTAAAATTTATTTAATGTGTGATTTAGTCAAGATTTTCCCATGACTGTGTTTAGGTACTTAGAATGCTTTTTTTTAAGAAAAAAAATGTTCTGGTAACAATTATAGCTATAGTTCATTTACTGCCATATTGAAGAGAGGTCAGAAACTGTTTACAAAGGTAGATTTCCTTAAATCCTCCCCTTATTTTACTTCCAAAAAAATGTAGGATGAATCCCAACTCATCGAGACTCATGATAAGCTGCTTAATTTATAAAAGGCCATTAACCCTTCCCAACTGATTGTCAAAACAGATGTTCTGCCTTTAATAGAATCTATTAAAAAATGCATTCTTGGTTCTTGCTGCAGATAACACACTGAAATCTCAGCTGGCCAATCCAAAACAAAGTGACATTGCAAATAAATTTTAATAATCTCATATGGAATATGGCCTAATGAGGCCATATGCAAGCCACTCACTCTTCTATGTTCTAATTTACCCCTAACTCAAGACAGATGTAGTCTATGTTGTTTTAGCCCTTCTCAGTTTCTCTTAAATTAAATTGGGCTTCAGCAATTATGTCATCAGCCTGCATTGAAAGGGAGTTTTAAAAATTAATCATATAAAACTCCCTATTTTAACAAAAAAAGATATGTTGGAAATGTCCTTCATTACCTGACAAAAGTTCTTCTCAGTTCTGTTTATCATGATGTTATCTCTTAGACTTCATGTGTCGTTGCCATCATGCTTTTATTTTTGGTACTTAAGAAGCTTATAATTAAATTTATACTAACATTGAACTATGATGTTGGAATATAAGTTGTTTATTTTTATGTGTTTATATATACCTTTATCACTATTCTATTCATAAATTTCTCTTCTGTTTCTCTGCAATGGCTTAAGTCCATACTTTTGAAATTATTTTGGGTAGTACATAAATTTGTGAGGTCACAGAAATCGATAAAATAGGCCTATAGAATCCCTTTGATTTTAGAGTAATCTCATATAGGAGGCTACAAATCTGATCAATTTCTCTAGAATTATATTTTAGTTTTACATTCATTCTAAGTTTTATATAATTTTTATGATGAGGTAAAGTGGCTCTTTAAGAGTGCACATATTTATGTAATTATTTTTCAGTTTTGGAGGGGCTTTTATTCAATTAATTCTGCCACCATCAACAAAAGAAGACTTGAGATATCTCATGAGAAAATCACATTTTAAACTTTGAAGAGTAAAATCAAGCAGATTATCACAAAAATCATTTCTGTTGTATTCACCTCCATGATTTAGTTTTGTTTTCTGTATGTACACATTTTGTGTTATAATTTAGAAACAATATTCCTTATTTTAATTTAACTTTTAGGTTCAAGGGTCCATGTACAGGTTTATTATATAGGTAAGCTTGTGTCACGGGGGCTTGTTGTACAGATTATTTCATCACCCAGGTACTAAGCCTACTATGCATTACTTATTTTTCCTCATCCTCTTCCTCCTCCCACCCTCCACCCTCTGTCGTTGTTGCCCTCTATCTGTCCATGTGTTCTCATCATCGAGCTCTCATTTATAAGTGAGAACATGTGGTATTTGGTTTTCTGTTCCTACATTAGTTTCCTAAGGAAAATGGCCTTTAGCTCCATCCATGCTCTTGCCAAGAACACGATCGATCTTGAAGAGCAAGGTTCTTAATTCTCTAACAAAGGGGTTAATTACCTAGCCTTTTTTTCATATCAATATCAATATTTTATATTGATAAATTGGAATTATGAATGACATAGTGTTAATATGCTGATTATTTAAAGTTGAAGTTGTATGATACATAAGTAACCATTGTTTTATATGAATTGTTATTTTTATTTCTTAAAGGTACCTTTAAGATCATTGCATTATTTTTATACACAATATCTGCAGTGCTCGCTTTCTACTGTTTATTTTTCCTCTCTTTCCTCTTTTCTTCCTGCCTTCTTTCCTTCCTTCTTTCTTTTCTTCCTTTTTCTTCCCCTTAATTTTTACTAAAGACAATGGAGCTAAAAATCCAGATAAGAGCAGTTGTCTTCTTTCCTGCAATTCAGAGTAAATTAGATGAAGCATCCAAAGAGGTTAAATATTAGGGTGTGATACATACTCACTTACAGGGGCTCTAGAGGTGGGAATCTTAATCCATCCCAAGGGAAAACAGTAAATTAAACTTTTTCTTAAAGAAATGATGTCTGAGCATAAATAGGTATTTTGAAGGAAAATGTAAAGTGATGTTTATATAAATAGTCTCAGTGACAAGAGAGTACATAGTGTGATCATGAAACTCCAAAATATTTTTTAAAGGGCATGTGTAAGGGTGAGGCTGGAGAGGGAGAAAATACAAGGTCCAAGATAATGGCTTCCTGGCCTGTCTTGTCAAGGAGATCGGCTTTATCCAATATAAATATGAGCTTAAATGATTAACTTTGTGTTGTAGAAAGACAGCTTTGCTAGCAGTGTGGTGTAAAAGAAATGTAAAGCAGGGAGCAGAAGAGATATGAGAGTATCACTAGGAGACTGCAATGTGAATAGTCAAGAGACACCAACAGAGAAAGAAAATTAGGCAACCAGGAGAGAAAACTGTAGCAGAGAGTAGAACATTAGGATTTGATGTGATTTCAAAATAGATTATTTTCAGATGATGGTAAGATCCAATATGCAGCCATGAATCTGGGTGGCTCAACTGATGTGCAGGGGAAGTTCATTAGATGTTAGAAAGTAAGGGAACTCTGAGAATGACTTATTGGATATTATCCTTAAAACCATCCAGGATAGTTGCAGAGTTTTAAAAATAGTTATTACTTGACAGTAATGAATAAGGGTAGAGGAGAACTATTAGATTTCATGAACCTCAAGTGTAAAGATTTCATGAACCTCAAGTCCAGCTTTGTAGCTGGACAAATGGTAATTTTGATGGAAGGCCAAGAGATTGCCCTTAAAACTATAGCAGTTGTAAGGATTGAGAGAGTGAGCTGCCTCTTTTCAGAAGTGTTATTAGCAAAAGTGGCAATCATTTAGAAAGGAAAAGGATAATTTGTTTTTTTTTGCACACTGGTTCCAGGGAGCCCAGTTAAAAGTTTTAGAAAAGAGGAGAAGTGTGGAAGATTTATGAGACAGAGAGAGAAAGGAAGGGAGGAAAGAAGGAAGGAAGGAAGGAAGTGAGGGAAGGGAGGGGAGTGGAGGGGAGGGGAGCGGGAAGGAGGGAAGGAGGGAAGGAAGGAAGGGAGGAAGGGAGGAAGGGAGGAAGGGAAAAGAAAAGAAAGAAGAGAAGGAAAGAAAAGGAAGAAGAGAAAGAAGGAAGAGAGAATAATGATAGCCAGAAAGTGTGGAAGACTAGAGTCCAGAGTTCTTACATGAACTCCTGATCTGTGGGCAAGTCGTTTCCATCCAGTAGTTTCAAAATGGTGGCAAATGACTTGTATGTGAAATATAAAAAGAATTGATATAGATCAATAATAAACAAACAATTCAGTTGAAAAGGGCAAGAGACCTAAACAGGCATTTGAACTAAGTCTATTGATAAACCACCTATAAACATATGAATATGCACTCACCATCATTACTTATCAAGAAAATTGATGTTAAGTATCAGGAGATAACACCAGACACTGAAGAGAATGATACAAGCACGTTAAAAAGCCTAAGCTTTGTTAAGATTCAGCCAAATTGTTCATCCATTGCAGGTGAGAGAGTAAATTGGTTCAGTTACCTTAGAACTCTGGCAGTATACCATTTGTATTTTAATCCTGGGTTTTTCACTAGTTTTGTGATATGAAGCGAGCTATTAACATTTTGTCCCTCTGTATTCCATTTGTAAATAAAATCAAATGAGTTAATTCATGAAAATTGCTTATAACTATGCATAGCTGATGGTGAGTGCTAAGATGATATCATCTAATATTACTATTATAAGTGTTATGCTGTAATTTGAAAAGTGAATTTTAACATTTTATCATACCATAACTATGTAATCATACAAAATTTTAAAATAATAAAGAAAAAGAATTTAAACATTTAAAAACCTGTGATACAGTTATATAAGAAGAATTACAATTAATATATAAATAGAAACACTATTAAAATTACCTTCCTGATTTTTAGGTTTTTTTTTCACCTTTTTAAAGTTAACCTGAATATACCATGTGGCATTATATTTTAACACTTAACTTGATATCCTTAAATTTTTATGTATTTCCATATACTATGGGACATCACTGTTAATGCCTGTGTAATCTCATTAAGTAAAGAAGTCATATTTTAGTTGAAACTGTTTTTGTCTAGCATCTTTTCAATTCCTCATTTTGTTATTATAAGTAACATGATAGTGAACATCTTTATGAAGAATGGTTTCTTCTGGCTGTTCTCTACTCAGAAGTGCAAAGGATCATTTTCCCCATACTGTGTTATTTTGTCCTACAAATGAGTCCGCTTTTATGGTTGTTTAATTCTTTCTGTACTATAAACCCATTCCTAATGAAGAAAATAATGATTAAATATTTCCTAAAACAGAACATTTGTCTTAGAATAGAAAATTATTTAAAATTTTAAAATCATTTTTAGATGATTATTTATCTCACTTTTTTTTTAAACTGGATTTCTAGCCCCTGCCAACTCTCATATCTCTTTTTTTATTTTTATTTTTATTTTTTTTAATTATTATACTTTAAGTTTTAGGGTACATGTGCACAACATGCAGGTTAGTTACATATGTATACATGTGCCATGCTGGTGCGCTGCACCCACTAACTCGTCATCTAGCATTAGGTATATCTCCCATTGATATCCCTCTCCCCTAACCCCACCCCACAACGGGCCCCAGAGTGTGATGTTCCCCTTCCTGTGTCCATGTGTTCTCATTGTTCATTTCCCACCTATGAGTGAGAATATGCGGTGTTTGGTTTTTTGTTCTTGAGATAGTTTACTGAGAATGATGCTTTCCAATTTCATCCATGTCCCTACAAAGGACGTGAACTCATCATTTTTTATGGCTGCATAGTATTCCATGGTGTATATGCGCCACATTTTCTTAATCCAGTCTATCATTGTGGGACATTTGGGTTGGTTCCAAGTCTTTGCTATTGTGAATAATGCCGCAATAAACATACGTGTGCATGTGTCTTTATAGCAGCATGATTTATAGTCCTTTGGGTATATACCCGGTAATGGGATGGCTGGGTCAAATGGTATTTCTAGTTCTAGATCCCTGAGGAATCGCCACACTGACTTCCACAATGGCTGAACTAGTTTACAGTCCTACCAGCAGTGTAAAAGTGTTCCTATTTCTCCACATCCTCTCCAGCACCTGTTGTTTCCTGACTTTTTAATGATTGCCATTCTAACTGGTGTGAGATGGTATCTCATTGTGGTTTTGATTAGCATTTCTCTGATGGCCAGTGACGGTGAGCATTTTTTCATGTGTTTTTTGGCTGCATAAATGTCTTCTTTTGAGAAGTGTCTGTTCATGTCCTTCGCCCACTTTTTGATGGGGTTGTTTGTTTTTTTCTTGTAAATTTGTTTGAGTTCATTGTAGATTCTGGATATTAGCCCTTTGTCAGATGAGTAGGTTGTGAAAATTTTCTCCCATTCTGTAGGTTGCCTGTTCACTCAGATGGTAGCTTCTTTTGCTGTGCAGAAGCTCTTTAGTTTAATTAGATCCCATTTGTCAATTTTGGCTTTTGTTGCCATTGCTTTTGGTGTTTTAGACACGAAGTCCTTGCCCATGCCTATGTCCCGAATGGTAAAGCCTAGGTTTTCTTCTAGGGTCTTTGTGGTTTTAGGTCTAACATTTAAGTCTTTAATCCATCTTGAATTGATTTTTGTATAAGGTGTAAGGAAGGGATCCAGTTTCAGCTTTCTAAATATGGCTAGCCAGTTTTCCCAGCACCATTTATTAAATAGGGAATCCTTTCCCCATTGCTTGTTTTTCTCAGGTTTGTCAAAGATCAGATAGTTGTAGATATGTGGCATTATTTCTGAGGGTTCTGTTCTGTTCCATTGATCTATATCTCTGTTTTGGTACCAGTAGCATGCTGTTTGGGTTACTGTAGCCTTGTAGTATAGTTTGAAGTCAGGTAGTGTGATGCCTCCAGCTTTGTTCTTTTGGCTCAGGATTGACTTGGCGATGCGGGCTCTTTTTTGGTTCCATATGAACTTTAAAGTAGTTTTTTCCAATTCTGTGAAGAAAGTCGTTGGTAGCTTGATGGGGATGGCATCAAAATTGATAAACCGCTAGCAAGACTAATAAAGAAAAAAAGAGAGAAGAATCAAATAGACGCAATAAAAATGATAAAGGGGATATCACCACCGATCCCACAGAAATACAAACTACCATCAGAGAATACTGCAAACACCTCTACGCAAATAAACTAGAAAATCTAGAAGAAATGGATAAATTCCTCGACACATACAGTCTCCTAAGACTAAACCAGGAAGAATAGACCAATAACAGGATCTGAAATTGTGGCAATAATCAATAGCTTACCAACCAAAAAGAGTCCAGGACCAGATGGATTCACAGCCGAATTCTACCAGAGGTACAAGGAGGAACTGGTACCATTCCTTCTGAAACTATTCCAATCAATAGAAAAAGAGGGAATCCTCCCTAACTCATTTGATGAGGCCAGCATCATCCTGATACCAAAGCCGGGCAGAGACACAACCAAAAAAGAGAATTTTAGACCAATATCCTTGAGGAACATTGATGCAAATATCCTCAATAAAATACTGGCAAAACAAATCCAGCAGCACATCAAAAAGCTTATCCACCATGATCATGTGGGCTTCATCCCTGGGATGCAAGGCTGGTTCAATACACGCAAATCAATAAATGTAATCCAGCATATAAACAGAGCCAAAGACAAAAACCACATGATTATCTCAATAGATGCAGAAAAGGCCTTTGACAAAATTCAACAACCCTTCATGCTAAAAACTCTCAATAAATTAGGTATTGATGGGACGTATTTCAAAATAGTTAGAGCTATCTATGACAAACCCACAGCCAATATCATACTGAATGGGCAAAAACTGGAAGCATTCCCTTTGAAAACTGGCACAAGACAGGGATGCCCTCTCTCACCACTCCTACTCAACATAGTGTTGGAAGTTCTGGCCAGGGCAGTTAGGCAGGAGAAGGAAATAAAGGGTATTCAATTAGGAAAAGAGGAAGTCAAATTGTCCCTGTTTGCAGACGACATGATTGTATATCTAGAAAACCCCATTGTCTCAGCCCAAAATCTCCTTAAGCTGATAAGCAACTTCAGCAAAGTCTCAGGATACAAAATCAATGTACAAAAATCACAAGCATTCTTATACACCAATAACAGACAAACAGAGAGCCAAATCATGAGTGAACTCCCATTCACAACTGCTTCAAGGAGAATAAAATACCTAGGAATCCACCTTACAAGGGATGTGAAGGACCTCTTCAAGGAGAACTACAAACTACTGCTCAAGGAAATAAAAGAGGATACAAACAAATGGAAGAACATTCCATGCTCATGGGTAGGAAGAATCAATATCGTGAAAATTGCCATACTGCCCAGGGTAATTTATCTCACTTTTGAACTTAACCATATTATTACTGTCCATTAGCAGGAAATGATAGGATGTGAAACAATGAATATGTTCAGCACCATAGCCCTTTAGACCAGTTATGGTGTGTTCTTCCTGGAATACACTCTCTTGTTATAATATCTGATGAGCCTTTAAGAATAGAGTTAATACAATGAGAACACATGGGCACAGGGAAGGGAACATCACACACCAGGGCCTGTCGAGTGGTAGGGGGTTAGGGGAGGGAGAACATTAGGACAAATACCTAATGCATGTGGGGCTTGAAACCTAGATGATGGGTTGATAGGTGCAGCAAACCACCATGGCACATGTATACCTGTGGAACAAACCTGCACATTCTGCGCATGTATCCCAGAACTTTAAAGTAAAGTTTAAAAAAGAAGAATAGAGTTAATAAAAATACCATCAAGATAAATTATGAAGCTTGTTAGTTCACAGAAAGGACAACAAAACTATTTGAAAAATGTATATTTAAAAAATATTCTTTAGTATTAAAATTAATTAATCCTGTTTTATAAACGTAATTTTTAAATCATATTTATTAAAATTATAAATATAAAATATGAATTTTATTCTGTATTGATATATAATATTTGTACATGTTTATGGGGTACATGTAATATTTTGTTACATGCATAAAATGTGTAATGATCAGGTCAGGGTATTTAGGGTATACATCACCTTGAGTATTTCATTATTTCTTTATGTTGGGAAGTCCTCTCTTCCAGCTATTTTGAAACATACAATGTGTGAAACTATCGTCATTCTACTCTACTATTGAACATTAAAATTTATTTCTTCTATCTAACCTCGTGTTTGTATCCATTAACCAACCTCTCTTTATCCCCCTACTCCACAAACATGCAAACTCTTCCCATCCTCTGATAACCATCATTCTACTCTCTACCCGCATGGAATTAACTTTTTAACTCCCACATATGAATGAGAACATGTAATATTAATCTTTCTGTGCTTGGCTTATTTCACCTATCATATTGACCTCCAGTTCCATCTATGTTGCTGAAACTTAAAATGGTCCCAGTTCTGCATCTCTTTTTTCTTCACTGTAACTCTGAAAACTTGGCTAAGTTGTGATGTTGCTGAAGCAGCAATCTACGTATCTCTACCTATAACACCCTCAGAAAACCATATGTCATATTAACTTCTCCTCTTCTTCCGATCTTGCTTGCTCTTCCACAATTTTAAGAATTCTACTAAATTATGCATTGTAAATATGGTGATTAAGTCTTAAATAGCATAGAGTATGTTAAATCTTTCCTTAGAGCATGTGTTGAACTAAGTCATTATTTCTCAGCAATGTCAGAAAGTTTGTTAGGAAGTAGAAGTATGGTGTGTGTCTCTTTCTCACAGCTCCAGTAGTATGGAAACTTTCTGTAGATTTTTTCATCTGACTTTTATCGGCAAGAGTTAATAATGACAATCCCAATGCTACACATCAGCTAATTCAAGGAGGGTGGGAGATATTCAAATCTTCTGTGATTCTGAAATTTGAATTTTGAATTCTCTGTAATATTATTCCTAGGCTAGTTATAAAACTTCCAGAAATGCAGAGTCTGGTGGGGAGGTGTGAACATATAACTAACTAAGGATGTGTCTTGCTGCACTGAGCTTCAGCTTTTATTTCACATCATTATGGCTGTTTCACCCTTCTTTTAAATTTACCTCTTTAACCTTTAAGCAAAGTTACTGAAGTCATCTATTTCCTTGAAATCCTATGTCATCTACCAAAGGTTTGTGCCTATGCAACGTTCTTTTTTGTTGAAAGAGCAGGGATAAAGCATATTGTCAGCTCTCAATAAATGTTTCATCAGTGTCATTACTTAATATTCATTTAATTAATATTCATTATAGATCAATTCATAATTGTCATCATAGTAATGATAGGCAAAAAGAAACCTCATTTTTCCATATTTTGGAAATCTAACTCAGACTCAATTTCATGGTATTATTCATAAAGGATAGCTGCCTTTTATTTATTTAATTTTTTAAATGTGTAGGATTACATTCTCACTATTCAAATTCTGATGAGGAACACATTAAGAACTAGGGTGCTATAATATTTATAAAACATGTGTACATCCATTTTGGTTTAAAATATTCTTCATGTACATGTATTTTAAAGAGTCATAGCATGTCCGTGTATTTCTTCATGTACATATATTTTAAAGAGACATAGCATAAGAAAACTGGAAGGGACCCAGCCTCACTAAGTGATTTCATAATCTTACCCTTGGGAGGTTAACCAACCATTTATCTGTTACATTGTCTCAGATTGGCTGTGTGCTGTTGCTTTCTGACAAACTGTCTTTACATTGAACTAGTTTATATTATGTAGAACGTGTATAATTATAAACAGGGTCTAGTCTAAAAGAAAAAGTTCAAGTGTTGTAGACAATTGTTTTTGTTTCTACCTAAATGCATAAGGTAGAGTTGTATACTTAAAGGGATTTTTTAAACAGGGATATGTATATATATACCATATATATAGGATATGTGTGTGTGTGTGTGTGTATATATCCTATATATATACTGTATATATATCCTATATGTATAACTGTACCCAGGGTAAGCAATAATAATTTTTTTCAAAAATCAAACTTGTGCCACATTTGGTTTGCCATGATTTATGGAAAAGCCAAACAAAAGCCCCATAAGACATGAATTGGAAGTTCAGCTAAGAAGAAATCTGATGAAAATCTTTTAGTTTAATATATGAACAATTGGGAAGTTAATATATTCAGGATGCAGTGTCCTATGGATTGACTCTTGACACACAGGAGTTCACTGTCAAGAAGATTAATTAGGCCATCATTCCTATATTAATTTAAAATGTCAATTTTCTTCGCTGACCTCAAACCTAGAAAAAAAAACCAAAATTTAAATATCCAAAAACCTATTATAGGTAGAAATCTTCTAAAACTTTAAGTTCAGATCATAGGTGTCTATATAATATCTAGAAGGTACATTGAAATTGCTGTGAAATATATAGTCCCACAAATCAAAAATAATAATGAAGTCATAAAAATTCTTTAAAAATTGTATTTACATGATTTTGGTTGGTTTTTTGCATTTTTTGTTTCCTTCACTTTATCTATAGTTACCATAATAATTTTACATATTTATAGGATGCAGAATGATATTTTGATGCCTGTATGAAATATGCAGTGATTAAATCAGAGTAATTAGTATAACCATCACCTAAAACATTTATCATTTCTTCGTATTGGAAATATTCATAATTCTCCAGTCTAGCTTTTTGAACATACACAATAAATTATTGTTAGCTCTATTCACATTATAGTGCTATAGAACATAACTTATTTATTATGTCTAGCTGTAATTTTGTATCAGTTAACCAACTTCTCTCTTTGCCTTTCTCATCCCTAACTTCTCAGCCTCTGAAAACCACAATTCTACCCTTTTATTTCATGAGCTCAATTTTTTAGATCCCATATATAAGTAAGAATGTGGTATTGATCTTTCTGTGCTTGACTAATTTAACATAATGCCCTTCAGGTTCATCCATGTTGCAAAAAATGACAACGTCCCATTTCTTTTTATGGTTGAATAGTATTCCATTGTGCATATATACCATAATTATTTTATCTACTCATCTATTGATGGACATTTAGGTTGATATCACATCTTGGCTATAGTGAATAGTGCTGTTATAAACATGGGGGTGAAGATGTCACTTTGATACACAAGTTTCCTTTCCTTTGGCTAAATACCCAATAACAGGATTGCTGGATTATATGATATTTCTATTTTTAGTTTTTTAAGGAACCTCCATACTGTTTTTCATAATAGTTGTACTAACTATAATTCCTTCCAACAATGTATGAATTCCCTTTTCTCTGCATCCTAGCCAGTATTTCTTATTTTTTGTCTTTTTGATAATAGCCATTCTAACTGGGGTGAGGTGATATCTTATGGTGGTTTTGATTTGCATTTCCCTGATGATTAGTGATGCTGAACATTTTTTATATACTTTTTGGCCATTTGTATTTCTTCTTCTGAGAAATGTCTTTCAGATTCTTTTCCACCTCTTAATGGGATTATTACCATTATTATTATTGCTGTTAAGTTGTTTGAGTTCCTTGTATATTCTAGGTAAAAGGCCCTTGTCAGGTAAATAGTTTGTAGATATTTTCTCCCAATATACAGATTGTCTGTTCACTCTGTGATTGTTTCCTTCGCTGAGCAAAAGCTCTTTAAAAGTTTCATATAGTCTTGTTTGTCCATTTTTCTTTTTGGTACCTGTGCCTTTGTAACCTTATCCATAAAAATCTTTGCTCAGACCAGAGTCCCAAAGAAATCCCCCTCTGTTTTTTTCTAGTAGTTTTATAGTTTTGGGTCTTACATTTAAGTTGTTAATATATTTTGTGTCAATTTTTGGTTCTGGTGAAAGATGGGGATCTGGTTTTATTCCTCTGCATATGAATATCCAGTTTTCTCAACACCATTTATTATAGAGGGTGTCTTTTCCCCAGTGTATGTTCTTAGAGCCTATGTCAAAAGTGAGTTGACTGTAAAATACATAGATTTGTTTCAGTGTTCTCTATACTGTTCTATTTGTCTGTGTGTCAGTTTTTATAGCAATGCTATGCTGTTTTGGTTACTATTGCTTTGTGATATACTTGGAAGTCACATAGTGTTATTCCTCCCTTTGCTCAGTATTACTTTGACTACTTGTATTTGTTTGGGTTCAATACAAATTTTAGGATTTTTCCCTATTTATTTGAAGAAAAATGTAATTGCAATTTTTAATAGGGATTACATTGAATCTATAAATTGCTTTGGGTTGTATGGTCATTTTGACAATATTAACTGTTCTAATCCATGAGCATGGCATGTCTTTTGATTTTTATGCCCTCTTCAATTTTTTTCATCAGTGTTTTGCAGTTTTAATTGTAGAGATTATTTACCTCCTTGGTTAAATTTATTCCTAAGTATTTTATTATTTTATTTAAGCTATTATAAATGGGATTTCCTTCTCCAGTTCCTTTTCAGCTAGCTTGTTTTTGGTAAATAGGAATGCTACTGATTTTTTTGTATGTTAATTTTTATATCCTGCAACTTTATTAAACTCATTTCTTAGTCATAAGAGTTTTTTGTGAAGTCTTCAGGTTTTTCTATATGTAAGATTATCTCATTTACAAGGAGGGATAAGTTGACATCCTCTTTTCCAATTTGGATGCCCTTTATTTCATCCTGTTGCCAAACTGCTCTGCCTAGGTCTGCTAGTAGTATGTTGAATAAGAGTGGTAAAAGTAGGCATACTTGTCCTATTCCAGTTCTTGTAGAAAATGCTTTAAGCTTTTCTCTGTTCAGTGTACTGTTAGTTGTGGGTTTGTCATAAATGGCCTTTATTGTGTAGGGGTATATCTAATTCTATGTCCAATTTTTGAGAGACTTTATGATGAAGAAATTTTAGGATGAAGATTTATGAATTGCTTTGTTTTGGTTTCTATTATGATGATCGTAAGACTTTTTCCTTTATTCTATTGATGTATTATATCACATTTATTGATTTGCATATATGAACCATCTTTGCAACCCTGGGATAACTCCTACTTGATCATGGTGAATTATCTTTTTTTTTTTAAATTATACTTTAAGTTTTAGAGTACATGTGCACATTGTGCAGGTTAGTTACATATGCATACATGTGCCATGCTGGTGCGCTGAACCCACTAACTCGTCATCTAGCATTAGGTATATCTCCCGATGCTATCCCTCCCCCCTACCCCCACCCCACAACAGTCCCCAGAGTGTGATATTCTCCTTCCTGTGTCCATGTGATCTCATTGTTCAATTCCCACCTATGAGTGAGAATATGCGGTGTTTGGTTTTTTGTTCTTGCAGTAGTTTACTGAGAATGATGATTTCCAATTTCATCCATGTCCCTACAAAGGACGTGAACTCATCATTTTTTATGGCTGCATAGTATTCCATGGTGTATATGCGCCACATTTTCTTAATCCAGTCTATCATTGTGGGACATTTGGGTTGGTTCCAAGTCTTTGCTGTTGTGAATAATGCCGCAATAAACATACGTGTGCATGTGTCTTTATAGCAGCATGATTTATAGTCCTTTGGGTATATACCCAGTAATGGGATGGCTGGGTCAAATGGTATTTCCAGTTCTAGATCCCTGAGGAATCGCCACACTGACTTCCACAATGGTTGAACTAGTTTACAGTCCCACCAACAGTGTAAAAGTGTTCCTATTTCTCCACATCCACTCCAGCACCTGTTGTTTCCTGACTTTTTAATGATTGCCATTCTAACTGGTGTGAGATGGTATCTCATTATGGTTTTGATTTGCATTTCTCTGATGGCCAGTGATGATGAGCATTTTTTCATGTGTTTTTTTGGCTGCATAAATGTCTTCTTTTGAGAAGTGTCTGTTCATATACTTTGCCCACTTTTTGATGGGGTTGTTTGTTTTTTTCTTGTGAATTTGTTTGAGTTCATTGTAGATTCTGGATATTATTAGCCCTTTGTCAGATGAGTAGATTGCGAAAATTTTCTCCCATTCTGTAGGTTGCCTGTTCACTCTGATGGTAGTTTCTTTTGCTGTGCAGAAGCTCTTTACTTTAATTAGATCCCATTTGTCAATTTTGGCTTTTGTTGCCATTGCTTTTGGTGTTTTAGACAGGAAGTCCTTGCCCATGCCTATGTCCCGAATGGTAAAGCCTAGGTTTTCTTCTAGGGTTTTTATGGTTTTAGGTCTAACGTTTAAGTCTTTAATCCATCTTGAATTGATTTTTGAATAAGGTGTAAGGAAGGGATCCAGTTTCAGCTTTCTACATATGGCTTGCCAGTTTTCCCAGCACCATTTATTAAACAGGGAATCCTTTCCCCATTGCTTGTTTTTCTCAAGTTTGTCAAAGATCGGATAGTTGTAGATATGCGGCGTTATTTCTGAGGGCTCTGTTCTGTTCCATTAATCTATATCTCTGTTTTGGTACCAGTACCGTGCTGTTTGGGTTACTGTAGACTTGTAGTATAGTTTGAAGTCAGGTAGTGTGATGCCTCCAGCTTTGTTCTTTTGGCTTAGGATTGACTTGGTGATGTGGGCTCTTTTTTGGTTCCATATGAACTTTAAAGTAGTTTTTTCCAATTCTGTGAAGAAAGTCATTGGTAGCTTGATGGGGATGGCATTGAATCTGTAAATTACCTTGGGCAGTATGGCCATTTTCACGATATTGATTCTTCCTACCCATGAGCATGGAATGTTCTTCCATTTGTTTGTATCCTCTTTTATTTCCTTGAGCAGTGGTTTGTAGTTCTCCTTGAAGAGGTCCTTCACATCCCTTGTAAGGTGGATTCCTAGGTATTTTATTCTCTTTGAAGCAATTGTGAATGGGAGTTCACTCATGATTTGGCTCTCTGTTTGTCTGTTATTGGTGTATAAGAATGCTTGTGATTTTTGTACATTGATTTTGTATCCTGAGACTTTGCTGAAGTTGCTTATCAGCTTAAGGAGATTTTGGGCTGAGACAATGGGGTTTTCTGGATATACAATCATGTCGTCTGCAAACAGGGACAATTTGACTTCCTCTTTTCCTAATTGAATACCCTTTATTTCCTTCTCCTGCCTAATTGCCCTGGCCAGAACTTCCAACACTATGTTGAATAGGAGTGGTGAGAGAGCGCATCCCTGTCTTGTGCCAGTTTTCAAAGGGAATGCTTCCAGTTTTTGCCCATTCAGTATGATATTGGCTGTGGGTTTGTCATAGATAGCTCTTATTATTTTGAGATACGTCCCATCAATACCTAATTTATTGAGAGTTTTTAGCATGAAGGGTTGTTGAATTTTGTCAAAGGCCTTTTCTGCATCTATTGAGATATTCATGTGGTTTTTGTCTTTGGCTCTGTTTATATGCTGGATTACATTTATTGATTTGCGTGTATTGAACCAGCCTTGCATCCCAGGGATGAAGCCCACTTGATCATGGTGGATAAGCTTTTTGATGTGCTGCTGGATTCGGTTTGCCAGTATTTTATTGAGGATTTTTTGCATCAATGTTCATCAAGGATATTGGTCTAAAATTCTCTTTTTTTGTTGTGTCTCTGCCTGGCTTTGGTATCAGAATGATGCTGGCCTCATCAAATGAGTTAGGGAGGATTCCCTCTTTTTCTATTGATTGGAATAGTTTCAGAAGGAATGGTACCAGCTCCTCCTTGTACCTCTGGTAGAATTCGGCTGTGAATCCATCTGGTGCTGGACTCTTTTTGGTTGGTAAGCTATTGATTATTGCCACAGTTTCAGCTCCTGTTATTGGTCTATTAAGAGATTCAACTTCTTCCTGGTTTAGTCTTGGGAGAGTGTATGTGTCGAGGAGTTTATCCATTTCTTCTAGATTTTCTAGTTTATTTGCGTAGAGGTGTTTGTATTATTCTCTGATGGTAGTTTGTATTTCTGTGGGATCTGTGGTGATATCCCCTTTATCATTTTTTATTGCGTCTATTTGATCCTTCTCTCTTTTTTTCTTTATTAGTCTTGCTAGCGGTCTATCAATTTTGTTGATCCTTTCAAAAAACCAGCTCTTGGATTCATTAATTTTTTGAAGGGTTTTTTGTGTCTCTATTTCCTTCAGTTCTGCTCTGATTTTAGTTATTTCTTGCCTTCTGCTAGCTTTTGAATGTGTTTGCTCTTGCTTTTCTAGTTCTTTTAATTGTGATGTTAGGCTGTCAATTTTGGATCTTTCCTGCTTTCTCTTGTGGGCATTTAGTGCTATAAATTTCCCTCTACACACTGCTTTGAATGCATCCCAGAGATTCTGGTATGTTGTGTCTTTGTTCTCGTTGGTTTCAAAGAACATCTTTATTTCTGCCTTCATTTCGTTATGTACCCAGTAGTCATTCAGGAGCAGGTTGTTCAGTTTCCATGTAGTTGAGCGGCTTTGAGTGAGATTCTTAATCCTGAGTTCTAGTTTGATTGCACTGTGGTCTGAGAGATAGTTTGTTATAATTTCTGTTCTTTTACATTTGCTGAGGAGAGCTTTACTTCCAAGTATGTGGTCAATTTTGGAATAGGTGTGGTGTGGTGCTGAAAAAAATGTATATTCTGTTGATTTGGGGTGGAGAGTTCTGTAGATGTCTATTAGGTCCACTTGGTGCAGAGCTGAGTTCAATTCCTGGGTATCCTTGTTGACTTTCTGTCTCGTTGATCTGTCCAATGTTGACAGTGGGGTGTTAAAGTCTCCCTTTATTAATGCGTGGGAGTCTAAGTCTCTTTGTAGGTCACTCAGGACTTGCTTTATGAATCTGGGTGCTCCTGTATTGGGTGCATATATATTTAGGATAGTTAGCTCTTCTAGTTGAATTGATCCCTTTACCATTATGTAATGGCCTTCTTTGTCTCTTTTGATCTTTGTTGGTTTAAAGTCTGTTTTATCAGAGACTAGGATTGCAACCCCTGCCTTTTTTTGTTTTCCATTTGCTTGGTAGATCTTCCTCCATCCTTTTATTTTGAGCCTATGTGTGTCTCTGCACATGAGATGGGTTTCCTGAATACAGCACACTGATGGGTCTTGACTCTTTATCCAATTTGCCAGTCTGTGTCTTTTAATTGGAGCATTTTGTCCATTTACATTTAAAGTTAATAGTGTTATGTGTGAATTTGATCCTGTCATTATGATGTTAGCTGGTGATTTTGCTCGTTAGTTGATGCAGTTTCTTCCTAGTGTTGATGGTCTTTACATTTTGTCATGATTTTGCAGCAACTGGTACCGGTTGTTCCTTTCCATGTTTAGTGCTTCCTTCAGGAGCTCTTGTAAGGCAGGCCTGGTGGTGACAAAATCTCTCAGCATTTGCTTGTCTGTAAAGTATTTTATTTCTCCTTCACTTATGAAGCTTAGTTTGGCTGGATATGAAATTCTGGGTTGAAAATTCTTTTCTTTAAGAATGTTGAATATTGGTCCCCACTGTCTTCTGGCTTGTGGGGTTTCTGCCGAGAGATCCGCTGTTAGTCTGATGGGCTTCCCTTTGAGGGGAACCCGACCTTTCTCTCTGGCTGCCCTTAACATTTTTTCCTTCATTTCAACTTTGGTGAATCTGACAATTATGTGTCTTACAGTTGCCCTTCTCGAGGAGTATCTTTGTGGCGTTCTCTGTATTTCCTGAATCTGAACGTTGGCCTGCCTTGCTAGATTGGGGAAGTTCTCCTGGATAATATCCTGCAGCATGTTTTCCAACTTGGTTCCATTCTCCCCATCACTTTCAGGTACACCAATGAGACGTAGATTTGGTCTTTTCACATAGTCCCATATTTCTTGGAGGCTTTGCTCATTTCTTTTTATTCTTTTTTCTCTAAACTTCCCTTCTCGCTTCATTTCATTCATTTCATCTTCCATTGCTGATACCCTTTCTTCCAGTTGATCGCATCAGCTCCTGAGGCTTCTGCATTCTTCATGTAGCTCTCGAGCCTTGGTTTTCAGCTCCATCAGCTCCTTTAAGCACTTCTCTGTATTGGTTATTCTAGTTATACATTCTTCTAAATTTTTTTCAAGGTTTTCAACTTCTTTGCCTTTGGTTAGAATGTCCTCCCGTAGCTCAGAGTAATTTGATCGACTGAAGCCTTCTTCTCTCAGCTCGTCAAAGTCATTCTCCATCCAGCTTTGTTCCGTTGCTGGTGAGGAACTGCATTCCTTTGGAGGAGGAGAGGCGCTCTGCTTTTTAGAGTTTCCAGTTTTCCTGTTCTGTTTTTTCCCCATCTTTGTGGTTTTATCTACTTTTGGTGTTTGATGATGGTGATGTACAGATGGGTTTTTGGTGTGGATGTCCTTTCTGTTTGTTAGTTTTCCGTCTAACAGAGAGGACCCTCAGCTGCAGGTCTGTTGGAGTACCCTGCCCTGTGAGGTGTGAGTGTGCCCCTGCTGGGGGGTGCCTCCCAGTTAGGCTGCTCGGGGGTCAGGGGTCAGGGACCCACTTGAGGAGGCAGTCTGCCCGTTCTCAGATCTCCAGCTGCATGCTGGGAGAACTACTGCTCTCTTCAAAGCTGTCAGACAGGGACATTTAAGTCTGCAGAGGTTACTGCTGTCTTTTTGTTTGTCTGTGCCTTGCCCCCAGAGGTGGAGCCTACAGAGGCAGGCAGGCCTCCTTGAGCTGTGGTGGGCTCCACCCAGTTCCAGCTTCCTGGCAGCTTTGTTTACCTAATCAAGCCTGGGCAATGGTGGGCGCCCCTCCCCCAGCCTCGCTGCCGCCTTGCAGTTTGATCTCAGACTGCTGTGCTAGCAATCAGCGAGACTCCGTGGGCGTAGGACCCTCTGAGCCAGGTGCAGGATATAATCTCATGGTGCGCCATTTTTTAAGCCCGTCAGAAAAGCACAGTATTCTGGTGGGAGTGACCCGATTTTCCAGGTGCTGTCCGTCACCCCTTTCTTTGACTCAGAAAGGGAACTCCCTGACCCCTTGCGCTTCCCAAGTGAGGCAATGCCTCGCCCTGCTTCGGCTCGCGCATGGTGCGCGCGACCACTGACCTGCGCCCACTGTCTGGCACTCCCTAGTGAGATGAACCCGGTACCTCAGATGGAAATGCAGAAATCACCCGTCTTCTGCGTCGTTCATGCTGGGAGCTGTAGACCCGAGCTGTTACTATTCGGCCATCTTGGCTCCTCCCCCATGAATTATCTTTTTGATGTGATGTTGAATTTGCTTTGCTATTATTTGGTAGAGGATTTTTACACCCATATTCATCAGGGATATTGGCCTGTAGTTTGTTGTTGTTTTGTGTCTGTGTTTCGTTTTGTTATCAGGGTGATGCTGTACTTATAAAGTGAATTAAGAAGTATGGTCTATTTTTTTGTTTTTGGAGTAATTTAAAAATAATTGGTTTCGTTTGTCTTTAAAAGTTTGGTTGAATTCAGCAGTAAAACTCTCTGTCCTGGGCCTTGTTGTTGTTGTTGTTGTTGTTGTTTTCTTTTTGGGAGACTTTTTATTTCTGATTCAGTCTTGTTACTTGTAATTGGTCTGTTCAGATTTTCTATTTCTTCTTGGTTCAATTTTGGCAGGTTGTAAGTTTTCCAGGAATTTATATGTTTCCTCTAGATTACCCAGTGTGGTAGTGTATAGTTGTTCATAACAGTTTCTAATGATCCTTTGTATTTATGTGGTATCAGTTGTAATGTCTCCTTTTTTGTTTCTGGTTTTATTTATTGAGGTTTTCTTTATTATTTCTTAGTCTAATTGTCGTTTTAGTTTATCTTTTCAGAAAACTAACTTTTCATTTTGTTGACTGTTTGTAATTTTTTAGTCTCTATTTTGTTTAGTTCTGCTTTGATCTTTATTATTTTTTTCTTCCATAAATTTTGAATTTAGTTTGTTCTTGCTTTTCTAGTTTCTTGAGGTGTATTGTTAGGTTGTTTATTTTAAATATTTTAATTTTTTATATAGGTGTTCATTGGTGTAATCTTCCCTCTTAGCACTTCTTTTGCTCTATCCCATAGGTATTTCTATTTTCATGTCTTCAAGAATTTTTTTTACTTTCTTCTTAATTTCCTTATTGACCTGTTTGTCATTCAGGAGCATGTTGTTTAATTTCCATGTATTTGTACAATTTCCAAAGTTCTTCTTAATATTGATTCTGATTTTATTTTATTGTGTTCTGAGAAGATGCTTGAGAGAATTTTGATGTTTTAAAATGTTTGAGATTTATATTGAGGCCTAAGATACAGTCTATCCTTGCAAATGTCCCATGTCCTGAGGAGAATAATGTGTGTTCTGCAGCTATTGGATGAAATACTCTGTAAATATCTATTGGGTTCATTTGGTCTATAGTGCAGTGTAAGTCCAATATTTTACAATTTATTATCCTTTTAGATTATCTGTCTAATACTCAATGTGGGGCATTGAAGTTCCTAGCTATTATTGTATTATGGTCTCCAATGTTGAGTGTGTATATATATGTTTATTTACTTTTCTATAATTGTTATATCCTCTTACTGAATTGACCACTTAATTTTTATCTAATGACCTTCTTTGTCTGTTTTTATGTTTTTTGACTTAAAGTCTACTTTGTCTGATACAAATATAGATAATCCTGCCTACTTTTCGTTTCAGTTTGCATTGGAATATCTTTTTCTATTCCTTTGCTTTCAGTCTATGAGTGTCTTTGCAAGTGAAGTGAGATTTTTGTAGGCAGCATATAGTTGGATCTTGTTGTTTTTTAATCCATTCAGCCAAATCTCTATCTTTTAATTGGTGAATTAAACCTCTTCATAGTTGTTGATAGGTGAAGACTAACTACCCATTGGTATTTGTTTTCTGATTGTTTTGTATTTGTTTTGTTTCTCTCTTTCTCTCTTAAGTTATTTTTTGCAGTTTGCTTGTTTTCTGTAGAAATAACATTTCATTCCTTGTCTTTCTCATTTGTTATCATAATGGCAGATATCATCCTTTTGCCTTCAGATGTTGAACTCCCTTATTTCTTGTATATCCAGTCTGGTGATGATGAATTCCCTCAGTTTTTGCTTGTCTGAGAAAACTTTACTCTTTATTTCTTTAAGATAGCTTTGCTGGGTATTGTATTCTTGGCTGACAGGTTTTTTTTTTTCTTTTAGCATTTTGAATATATCATCTCATGCTCTTCTGACCATATGGTTTCTTCTGAGAAGTGTGTTGTTAGTCTAATGGGGACTCCCTTGTATGTGACTTGATTCTTTTCTCTTGTTATCATTGACTGTTGACTGTTTGACTATAATGTGCCTCAGATAGTGTTGTGGCTTTTTCGCTTCCACAGTTCAGTGAGTGAGAGAAAGGGCACCCAGTGGCTCTTTGCTGCCATTGTTCAGCAAGCAGGAGAAGGTGGCACCCAGTGGGTTTTTCTGTCCTGTTGTTCGGCGAGCGGCAGAGAATATTACCACTCTTTTATTCTCACCACCTATAGCTCAGCAAGCAGGAACATTACAGCTCTTTTGCTCCTGCAGTTCAAGGATTTCCAGTTTCTTGTCCGTGACCAAAAGGATCAAGGTATGTGCACACCAGAAAGTGAGTAAGATATAGTAGAATTGTATTGAGTCACTGAAGGAAAGCTCTCGGCAATGAGAGAGGACCCCTAAACAGGTAGCCATTTGTGAGTCTGAGTCTGGGGTTTTTATGGGCTTAGAATCGGGGAATGCATGCTGATGGGTCCATGGTTGGTCTTGAAAAAAATATCATTTGATTAGTTAAAAGGCATCATTCAGAAGGAACCAATCAAGACTGAGTGGGTGAGATGGAGATAGAAGTTCTCATGCCAGTTGTGGAGTCTATCTGGAACTGGCAGCTTGGTTTTCAGGCTTTAAACTGTCCTTTGCTGGAAGGTTGGGTTTCACTGGAGACCCATCCCTGTCTGCCTAGGAATTTGTCTGTCCCCTGTCGCCATCGATAGGACCTTTTTAATTTAAGTCTATTTGAGGATTATTGAGTGTCCTGTATCTGGATGTCTATTTATCTCCCAAGACATAGGATATTTTCAAGTATTATTTTATTCAATAGGTTTCCATGTCTTTCCCCATCTTTTCTTTTTGGAACTCCCAGAATTTAAAAATGTGTTTGCTTAAAGTTCTCCTGTATGTACATAGAGTTTCTTCACTCTTTTTAAAAATTCTTTTTCTCTTTTTTTTGTGTGTGACTAGGATACTTCAAAAGATCTGTCTTTAAGCTCGGAAATTATTTCTTCTGTAATTGTTGAAGCTCTCAACTGTACTTTTTATATTTTCATTGAATTCTTCAGTTCTATGATTTCTGTTGGACATCTTTGTTGAATTTCTCATTCAGATCATGAATTCTTTTCTTGATATCACGGTATTGCCTATCTGTGTTCTCTTGTATTTCACTGAATTTTTGAAAGATAATTATTTTGAATTCCCTTTCAAGTAGTTTATAGATTTTCTTTTATTTGTGGTCTGTTACTGCAGAATAATTATTTTCCTTTAGAGGTGTTATGTTTTATTGGTTTGTCATGTTTCCTGCATCCCTACACTGATATCTACATCTCTGATATAGCTGTCACTTCTTTGAATTTTCTGAAGTAGCTTTCATAGGGTAACACTTTTTTTCCTGTAGATGTATCTATAGAGTCAGTTAGGTAGAGTGCTTTGGTTTTAGTTCTAGGTAGGTACAGTAATGTATTCTCCATATGATTTTTTTTTTTTTTGCCTGTAATCAAATCAGTAGCATATGTGATTTTCTCAGTAGTTTAGGCTGTAGTTGTTTGTGGAGGCTCTGTCATAACTTTCTTTGGGAGAGCCCAGGTAGGCCAGTCTTCAGGATCCTGGGGGATATTTGTAGGCATGGGTGTTGGTGGCAGTAGACCCTGGTTGGTCCACTCCTCTGGCTCCTAAATGGTGTGCAAAGGTGCGCAGCAGCCCCACTATTGGAGAGGTCAGTTTTTTGGGCTTGAAGTGGTAGCAATTCCTGAGGAGGATGGCCTCGGGCTCCTGGATGGCACACATTGGGGCACTGGCAGTGGACCCCAGTTAAACTGGTTTGCAGGTTATTGACATTGCACATGGACATGTGGTGGCCCCACTGCTAGAGGGGGAGAGGTCACTGTTGGTGACGGCAGATAAGACAGGTGGCTCTCAAGCTTTGGTGTGCACATGCTTCAGCTACCTGTGTCCTGGAGGCAGACTTCCTAAGGGTTTAGATCACCTATTTTCTGGAGTACAGGGAGCTACATGGGCTCAGATGCTGGGAACACAGTTGTACCACCAGTTCCAGTTGGTTTCATGAGACTGTAGCCTTCTCAGTGGATGTAGGGGAATATCAGTGGAATACTATGGATGTGGAGATACAGGGGCTATTTGGCCCAAGTCAGAATGTATTCTGGTGATGGTTCTTCCCTCAAAATAATGCCATGATGCATCAGCTTTGGTCCCAGGAGTGTAGGGCACCCAGTTTGATTTTCCTCTCTGGAACAATACAGTCATGTGAACTCCAGGAAACTCTCTGCACTAGGCTCGGGGTCTGTGAGGGCAGAGGGGCTTTTCTCTCCCTAGGATTCCAGACATCTCTGATGGGAATGTAGATGGCTGGGGAATCTCCCACCTACCTTTTTCCTGCAATGGAGAGTCTCTCCTGCCTCTATGCTGATCCTGGCTAGCTGCTTTGCTTTTATTTTTATTGTGCCATCAGGAGTTTCCATGTCTTAGAAGGGCTTCATCATTTTCTTGCTGAATTTGTGTTCTCCCTTAGATGCTCCATTTGATTTGTGGTTATTTATTTGCTGTTGTGGCCCTTCTTTGTTTAAGAGATGAGTGCTAGGTTCCTCTAGTCAGCCATCTTGATGGTGTCGGGAAATCTTAAACATATAGCCATACATGAGCATTATCCAAAGAGAGATTACAATGTATTAAAAGCTAAATTTTAAAAATAGACTTAAAACAAAGAGTATTATATATGTCTGATTCTAAAGTGAGGATGGGAAATTATGTATTCATGAATGATTTAAATTATTCTACAAGTTATTGCTAACAGTATTCAAAACAGCTTATGTAATATACCATATGCAGCAAAATAAAATGTAGTAAGTTTGTGCCAAAATTAAGTTAAAACTCAAATTTATTTCACAATACCATTCAAAGTTAACAGAGGTAATTTTTCAGAATTTCCCTGAGTTTCTTGGTAGCCTTAGCAAAAATAAATATTATAGGCTTGATTGTATTCAATTAGAGAAAATATTTTTTATTATTTTGTGGTTACTGAGACCTTAGATTAATTTTTCTGTGTGAAGTTGTTTCTGTATTGGACAGTACCTAAACAATATTGCAATAATCGGTGTAGTTGTATTTGTTTCCTTTGACTTTTCTATCAACTGCCAATGCAGACTGATGGTTTATGACCCAAGTGCCTTTTGGTATTAAAGAGTCTACCTGTTGCCAAATAAAATACTAATAGTTATGCAACTCAAAAATAAAGAAAAAGGATGGCAGATAAAAGTTAGATGAATGCCATACATAAAGTTTTATTGCATCAAACAGAAGAAGACATCAATAGCAATAGTTTTAGATGGTCAAGAATACTAAAGAAAACATTTACTTTATAATGCACTGACTTGAAAGAAACAAAAGAATTAAGAAAGAGTATAGAAAAAAATAATGTTTTAGCAGAAACTAACTATATCTGTATTAGAATAAGGCAAAAATCAACACTGAGGACAACAAAATAAGTAATCTGGAGAAGAGGATTACGAAAATCTCCTTTTACTACTGTAGAGAATGGCAACAAATTGAAAAGAGATCATGCTATCCCTAAGCAAAACAGACAGACAAACAAACAAAAAACTAAATTGTTCTCTTAAGTGTAAAGAAAATTAAACTGAATGAAAAAGAACCTACGTCACTTCAAATTAATTTATCTACTTGGTGCAATTTGCATGCAATTTTTTGGCTGGACAAAATGATTTCTAATTTTGTCTGGAAGAATAAATGTACATAAACATTATAAAATCTTAAAAACGAAGAGTAATAAAAAAATGCTTATTCTAACAAAAAGTCTTAAAAATATGTTTGTTAAATTTTCAGTGATCAAAATAATATGGCTCTAAAAGTTGTAAAGATGTGATAGAAAGTCTAAAGACATATTGAACTATATGTAATTATATAGTCTATAATAAAAGTCACAAATGAAATCTGGTGGAGCATCAAAGGCGTCAGGATTATTGTATAACCACGTGAAAATAAAGTAAGGTAAATTCTACATTACATCTATTACAAAAAAATCAAACATGAATTCAGGGTTTAATTTTTGCCTAGGCACAGCCTTTTTTTTTTTTCCAAAATGAGAAAGATAAAATGTTAACTGCCTTGAGCAATGAAAATTTATTTTAAAGAAAATGCTAAATCCCAAAACTTACAAATCAAGTTAAAGATAAGGATCATAATAACAGTAACAACAGCAACAACAAATCTTTGTATTGTAAAATGCAATCCCTATATTGTAAACCAAATCCCTATATTGTAAACCAAATCCCTATATTGTAAACCAAATCCCTATATTGTAAACCAAATCCCTATATTGTAAACCAAATCCCTATATTGTAAAAAGTAATGAAGAAATATAAATTAAAACAATGAGATTTAATTTTTCTATCCATTTTGGAAAATATTTTTAAAATGATAATACCCAGTGTTGGCAAGAATGTGCAAAATTTGCTATTCTCATTAAACACTGGTGAAACTAAATTGCCACAAACTATGGCATAAAAGCTCCCAAATATGTGAACTTCTATGTTGATATTTCTGCTTTCACCTTTCAAAGAAATTTGGGGTTGGGGCAAGGCATATATCTAGAGCTAATAGCATTAGAGTAGAGACAAATGCTTTATATCATTTTTATCTTTTAATTTTTACATTTTGAATGCAGTCAAAACCAGACATTCTTAACCACCACTAGACATTAAGGGATAAATTCCACCTTGCAAAGGTAATCTGTAGTTTTAATGATTCCTGCTGAAACAGTGGTGATCAGAAAGTATTTATGTACATGACTTTCTCTGTTTTACTATTAAATATGGCTTGTTTATTCTCAACTTTTACTTGAAACCTGGTGAAGAATTAAGTCACATATAACTTTTGGTCCACACATCAATTTTGTAAATACTACCATGATCTCTGTCTCATTGCCTGTCTTTGTTCCCTAGTTCAACCCATGTTCCCCTTTATGTGGAATAAGGATAGTTCTCGAGCTTTCCATGACCACTCCTTGCTGTCCAGTCCAGTTGATAAAAATCTATCAGTTGAAATTCTGTTGCTAATACTCTAAAGAGCTTTGACTTATTCAACCTCATTTGCCCAAGGAAACCCAAACCCTGGAAGATTACGGCTCTGTACCTAGTGATCTATTCTTCATTACATTACTCTCATTTTATCTTGACCACAAATATTTTTAAATTACTTCCTTTGATTATCATTTCTTCAACATCCTTGAGCCACCCAATGCGTATATTCTTTCAGATTTCTTTCATTCTAGTATTCTCTGCCTTAATTCTCCTGGAATTCCACATTTTTCTCCTTTCATGGCATTTGTCACAGATCTTTAATAAAATATCAATTTCCTAATTTACAATAGGAAAAACCCAGACAAGGTATAATCCAGCACACTTATGTAATTTAGTACTAAACAGCATCATGATTTGAGTCCAGTAGGTGAATATTGTTTTTACTATTAGTGTGTTGTAGAACTCATTCCAGTGAAAGGGCTGTTTGTCCTTCTCCTGTGCAATTCTATTTCCTGTATTTGCATGCTGACTCTTGTCTGGCTCTTCACATAACCATAAGTATGTTTGTGCAGGTGTGTAGATAACACCCACTGTGTCACATTCCTCTCTTCCTTCTCAACCCACTTTAGTGTAACTTCTGACTGTAACATGGATATGAAATTGTTCTTGCTATCCTTACTAAATCGAATTGCACTCTTTTAGGTGGGTTCCTAAGGAGTAGAGCATTAAGCCAAGATTTGGCTTTGTGTGATTTATGGAGGGAGAAAAAGTTCTTTAGAAAAAAACAAAAACAAAAACAAAACAACCTATAATGAAGGGAGGGAGGCAGAAAAAGGAAGAGGCAAGCTCTAAGCAAGAATGTTGATCATAGTGATAGTTTAGCCTTGGCCCGTACCTTTAGGGCTTTGCAGCAAAAATCCAATCATAGGATTGTTCCTAACTTAAGGCAAGAAGGCTGGCCTTTCCTCACCTATGTGTCAGTCATTATCTAGGGCCTCCTGGCACAGCCTATTTCTGTGGATAAAGGTTAATTCTTAGGGACGGCTGCAAGCTTTCAGAAGTTAACACTCATAGCAGCTGGTGATAGTTGCTCTGGCAAGGTAGCAAAGGATCTGCTTTGAGCTACCAACAGCATCTACTGGAAACCCTTTCCAAGTATAATCTGTTTTGAATGCTCTACAGTGTTTGACACTGAGATGCTTACCTTTGATAGCCTCTAACACTCATCCAGTGCATTTCCACTAGGTTTTCTTTTACCTTTTAAGCCACACTTTGTCAATATTACTAAATCCCTAGTCTTCCTTTCATTCTTTAATATGTGTAAAACTTCAGTTTTTTCTTCAATTCTCATCTTATTACACCCACACTTTATAAATTATGTTATCCAGTTCCAGAGCTACAGCTACCATGTTTGCATGTGTCTGTATGAGCCCATTCTCCCCACATACATCTAGATCGAAATGCTCACTTCGTGTTTTTTTTAATTTAATAAATAAACTTATTTATTTATTTTTGAGATGGAGTTTCACTCTTGTTGCCCAGGCTGCAGTGCAGTGGCGTGATCTCAGCTCACTGCAACCTCCACCTCCCGGGTTCAAGCGATTCTCCTGGGTCAGCCTCCTGAGTAGCCATGATTACAAGAGCAAGCCACCATGCCGGGATAATTTTTGTATTTTTTTAGTAGAGATGGGTTTCACCATATTGGCCAGGCTGGTCTCAAACTCCTCAGATGATCCACTTGCCTCAGCCTCCCAAAGTGCCAGGATTACAGGCATGAGCCACTGCACCCGGCCCTCACTTCATGTTTTAAGTTTCCTCTCAGATATATCCCACAGAAGCTTAAAGTCAACATAGCAGGAATTGAACTTGAAACATTTCTTGTGAAACTGTCCCTTATGCTCATTGACTAGCACCCCCATTATTCTTATCACTCCCAGCAAAAGGGTGTATCTCTTTATGTCTAGTGCCTAATTTGATTTGGTCATAGACTAGATGCTTAACAAATATTTGCTGAGTGAATGAATAGCATTCAGTCAGCTTTTGAAAATTCCCATCATTTATCACTCTTTTCCCTGAGTCAAGAAAAAATATATCAGACAGTAACATATATATCAAGTAAAAATTAAAACAAATATATAACAAGGAGGCTTGGTTTTAAAAAATCATTGGTAACTCATAATTAAATCATTTTGTTAGAAGCTAATAAAATTGAGTTTAAAGTGTGTGATGATGAGGAAATGTTAGTGGATACCAAAGTAGCATTGTATTTAGTTTCCGGAATGGCTCTTGCAGCTTCTTATAGTTACTACTAAATTTCGAAAAGCTGGTGAGTTTTATGTGTTGTAGTTATATAAAATATCCAATAGATGGTACTGTAAAATGCCTCACATGTAAAATGAGGAGTTACAGCAGGTAGAGAATATAAAGGGAACATTTTCAGAATTCTGAGGAGAATTGAGATGTTTTTCTCTGGATATTAAATTGTATTTAAAAATCTGATTTTTAAATATAATTTAAGCAATATAGTTTTCCATGTAAAATATAATAAATAATCATTCTTCTTTGTGTTCAGAAAATGAAAATTGATGTTTATTATAGAATGGAACTTCAAAAATATTCACATTCTCTTGTTTAGAAATTGTGGCTTTTTGGTAGTAATTACTCTTAGTTAATGTGGCATTTTAGTGAATGTTACTCCAATAGAATATTTTCAGCAGGCAACTGTAGCTACATGTATTTATTACTGAAATTCTAAAAAAATTTTAGGTTAAGAATAAAGCAAACCTTTGTGAGACAATCTTCATTTGCTTAGCAGAGTGGAACCATTATTTCTCTCACTTTTGGTCTCCACCAAGATGAGTTTAGTGTCTGAATAGAATATTATACCAGAATGTGATTACAACATGCATATATATATATGTATATATGTGTATATACACATATATAGGTATATAAAACATATTTTTGAATGTTGTAATCACAAGTATATACATGTATACACACATGTATATATATATACACACATATATATATAATCTTATAGAGTTAAACATTCTTGTAAAAAAGACTAATAATTTAAAACTGCTTGAAGTTTGCTCCTAAAGAGCATATAAAAAGTATACATTTGTAGATAGCCTAGTTTATCTTAATACTCATGCAGAATTTCCATTACAAAGTGGTGCATGTCTACTTATAAAAGTGAATGCCAAATTTTTATTACCAGAACTATGTTTTATAAAACCTTTTTCTGTATCTAAAATTTTCTGAGGAATATATAATAACACTGAAAGCTTGAAAATATGTATATATCTTAGTTTATTACATGCAGCTCTGAAATTTTTATGTTAACAGTTCATGGCATTGTTTCTGACTAATGCTGAGTATTCCTTTGTACACGGGTTATTTATTTAGCAAAGTTTTATTGAATATAACTATACACCTGGAGAAATAAAGATGAATAGCTCTTAGGTAGAATGTTACTGTTTGAATCCGCAGCTTCTTGTGCGCTATGTATCATGTGTCCCTCAGCTTCTTTGTGCATTTACTATTTTTAAATGTGTTTTATATAATCAGAATGTGTGGTATGATGTATTATTTATTCTCTTAAAAAGAAGCTATTCTTAGCTGTATTTGAATGTGCTGCTTAAAGAAAATATGCTACTGTAATAACTTGAGCTAGCTTAAGGAATTCAGGTTATTTTATAAAGACAAAAATAATTAGTGTTTTCACAAATCTGGGCTTTTCGAATTGTTGTCTCCTAAGCAATTTTGGGACAAATATTTTCAGATTTGTAATATAAGGTTGTGGGTTAAACCAATAATTGCTTAGGTAGTTTGAGTTAAAATGATTTTTGCCCGCCAGGTAGATTCTATCTGATGATGACATATTTATGGAATAATGGGGCTCTTAGATTCCTACCCAATTCTTAAAGATTCTATAGTTATCGTATCTTGTACTCTTTTCAAAAATGATGACACACACCGATGTATGTACTCAGATTTCCTAGTACACTGGATGTATATAACATTACATAGCAAAGTTTCTATTTCGGCTAAAAGGATTTAAATATAAACTGTGCATGCAGATCTCTAGTGATAGACTCTTAATAGATGTCAGATACTCTTTATCGCTACCCTCTTTTATTTCAGTAACATTTTAATTAATTCACACTGATTGAATAAGTGTACATTGAGACTTGTTTCCTAATGAGGGCGCATTTAGAGGAAAGGTTCTGCATCATTCTGATATCCTGTGGGTAATTATATTCTAATTATATGGTCGGGGGAAAAGAGTCTATAACTCAGAACTGATATTGTTCGTTGGACCCAATTAATTACATGCACATAATGAAAGTTCATGATAAGGTTGACTGGCAGTCAGTGTAAAATTTTAACTCAATTGAATCTTAGCCTAACGTGAGTACAGAATTGGACTTTAACCTGGTTAGAAAATACTTTGGCATGAGATCAATGGATATTTAAAGGAGCAAAAGACAAGAACAAATTCCATTATAACCTCTTTGTTTTTTAATTCAAGATCTTTTTCAAGGATGGTGAAAAGGAGACCTAGGCTTTAATTCTAAATATTATTATCAATATACTTTCATTACCTATAGTGCTATATTTGTATTCTGGAAAGCAGCAATACGCTAACTATACAATGATATATTTCTAGAACTGGCTCTCGTTTTTATAGGGAGATAAAATAGGCATAACAGGAAATATTATAGATTAATTTTATGAACATAAAATTTGTATGTATCAGTCTATTATACTGAGTTCTTTGAAGGGGGTGATTTTTTCAAGTTACCAACTTCCCTCAGATCCCTGTCCCAAACATACACAAACATAATCACATATACATATACACATTCATAAATAGGTATCTATTAATGAATTATATGTAAATTAAGAGTTCTGAAGAATAATCTGAAAAAATAGTCAATAGGATGTGCATGTTTCATTTTGAAATGTGTTTTGAAGATGGGTGCTCTAAATATCAGCTCCCCTCTTTCTCCTCCTCGATTTCATAGTTTTCTTTGCTCAGTCTTTGGAAAGAACAGTTTCTATAATTGAGGAAAACAACAGAGAGAGAATTTTGTTCTTTCTTTCTTCTAAGAGCTTCCTCTGTCTCCATTTTTCTCCATTGCTTTCTATCTTTGATATGTTTTCTACCCTCCTCCATAATTTCTTCTGTGTCTCTAATAGCCCCCAAATACATGTTTTTATTTTTTAAAATTCTGTTGGTTCCCTTCTTGTCAATAGCCTCCAGACAAAACTCTACAAATAGACATAAACAATCATATTTACTAAGTAAGAATGGAATATTTTGTGAGCAATTACAGTTGAAGGGTAGTGAAGTAACCACAGTTAAAAATATATTTTACCATTAAATTTCTGTTAATGCAAACTTTAAAATTTGAGTCAGGTGAGAAGTAGTCAAGGGACCCTGGATAAGATTACAATATGTGTAGCTTTTAAAATGTTTTATTTTTATAGTTACATCTTAATTAGACATATCAGAATTTTTGTGGAAAAGAAAAATAATTTATGTTTCTTTTCAGTGTCTTGCTTGTATTATGACTGAAATAATCTCTTACTAAAGGTTTTAATAAAGACAACAATAGTATTAAAATCATTTTTATCTCACGTCCTTTTTAAAACTTGCATTGTATTCATATGTGTGAGTGTACACAATTAAGGACCTCAAGAATTATAAAGTTTAAACAAATTATATGAAACTGAAATATAAAAAAAACATGGAAGCCAAAAATATATGTAATTTTTATATCCTAGAGATAATACACTTTATTATCTTGTTTGAGAGAACAACTTTACCTGTCCAGCTAAGACAAAGTGTCATTTTATGAAGACAATTTTTCTTTATCTTACCCTAGTTTTTTTTCTCTGTCTCTTACTACTTTTTTGATGCCAGAGATATCCAATTGTATATTTGGAACACTTTAACTACTACACTGGAAGTTATTGTGTTAAATTAATTCACATTATTCAAGCCAGTTTTTCAGGCAAAACAAGTGTGTGTGTGTGTGTGTGTGTGTGTGTGTGTGTGTATCACTTTGTAGATATAGTGATTTCTAAATATTTTTCATTCTTCATCAATATTTTAAAATAATTTTATTTCCAAACCACTTAAAAAATGAAGGCAAGGCTAAAAATAGTAATTTTAAAAAGTCTCCTCTTGCAACTACTGTTATTTGAATAAATAGAGCCTGGGTTAGGGAAGCAATATTCTGTCACTAACTTTGTTTTCCTGGGTTAGGCATCTAAGCTCTCTGATTTTCAGCTTCCTAACCTGAAAGATAAAGTATCTTGTTTCAGTGGGAGTATTAAATGAGGCAAGATAGCAAACATGAAAAATATATAAATGTAAAATATATATATAAAAATATAAATGTTCTTATGTAGGTATAAGGTATCATTTTTAAAGTTTTCCTTTAGCCTGAAATAACTAATGACCCTTTTAATGTGAGTACTGTGCTCTCATTATATCTTAACTAAGTCAAACCTCCAATAATCTCCACCAAAGATTTTTCTTTGTCCTATGACAATTTGGATTAAATTGTCAATTTAAAATGATTACACATTAGAAAATATGAAGACAAGAGATATCCTAATACTTAAGAATAATAGAATTTTAAAAAATTCTTTGATATTAAATTGAACTTAATGAGTGCCCTGAAGGCAAATGCATCTTTTAAACTAATTATCTGTACTGTGTATTCTATTTAATATTAAAAAGATACTGATCAAATAAAATCAATCACATTCCTCTGTAGTCACACCTCACATTGGATTAAATAAAAATATACAGTTTCTGTATTAATTCTGATTAAAAATATATTACATTTAGAATCATGCACTCATGATGATTTTCAAAAAAACCAAAACATTTACTCTGCTCATCTTTGATATTTAAAAATTAAGTACAGGAGAGTAAAAAAAGAAGTGATACGATAGCTAAATTTATTTTCTAATAAGTTTCTACTTTTCTTTTAGATCTAAGTACCATGGTTTGCTCATTGTAACAGGAATAAACTACTGATGGGCATGTACATTTAATATATAACTCTTTACACATTTTGATTGTAAATGAGGTTAGATATATGTTGGTTTTGTCACTCTTATTCTTGGAGTAAATTTCTAGTGTTGCTCTCAGAAGGCTGAGTGTTGCATAAGAAAATTCTTAGGGCTGGTGGCTTTCTCTCTTACATATTTAAAACTTCTAGCTCCAGCTGGGTCATCAGTTTTGGTTGATCCTGCTACTCATCCTTAGCAAACTGCTTTTTTATTTTCAGAAAAGAAGTGACAAACCTCTGTTTCATTACCTTTTTCATTGTACCACCTCTCTGCCAACCTCACTTGCTCTCTATCAGTAGATATCTCATACCCCTGCTGCTCTGAGAAAGAGGAAGACTTCAAGTATGTTATCCATGAATTGCCAATTAATTGCAAAGTGGTAGCTAGGTTTCAATTTCATACCACAGTGTCTTTTCTTTTTCTTTTTTGGATAACTTCAAATGGGAGGATTATTATCCAGCATGGCACAGTCTTTACCTTTGCAACATCGGACCTGTTTTACCTATTTGTATTATCTTTTGGCCGCTGTGGGTTTCTGCATTTGAGACCCAAAAGGAACACATTTGGAAAAGTGCGATGCCTGTCAATAAGGGCTTCTGCTCTAATTGAAATATTGCTTTTTTCTAAAAAGCCTTGTTTTTCATTTATCTTTAACAGTTCCCCCTCTTTCTCTGTTCCTCTTTCCCAGCAGCCTAGAAACTTACCTCTATTTACTCATCTTAAATGAGAACTCTGTTTCCATGAAAATAGTGCTCCTTATTTCTCTCCCACCCACTCCTATGACTTCTCTCCCAACCTTCTAGCAACTTCATAGTTTTCACTGAGATAATGTACATATTTTTATTTCATTGTAGAAACATTTTTACACACTTTTAGGCGTTAAAGGATATAATGAAGAGGTAGAAAGAACTTTCTTCTCTCAAATTTTATTAGAAAATATTCACTAACAATAAAAAAATCCAATATATTTTCCACATATATTCAATAATTGCTATTGTGTTGCCATAATTTCTTTATATATACTTCTTTACATATAAATATATATGTATGTGTATATATATATATAAAGCTGAAGCTTTTGAAAGTAAGCTGCACATAGCCTAACACCACATCACTAAATATTTCAGCAAGCACCTTCTAAGACTAAGGACAATTTTCTACCTAATGACATTATTATACTCTCACCTAAGAAAATTAACAATGATTCCATAATATCAGTCATTATCTTGTCCATATTCAAATGTCTACAGTTATCCCCAAAATGCCTTCTGTTGCTTTTATTTATTTACTTTTTGGGCATGGTAAAAGTGAAAGTGGACCAGGATCTATCTGAAGCTCTTGAATTGCATTTGGTTGTTATTCTGAACCATTTAGACAGCCATAATCTTTTCACTTGGCTTTCCAGTGCCTGCTCTCTGCAAATGTATGCATGGTAAGCATACACTCTTCTAAGGTAAAAGGCATCTCTGACTCAGGCTCTGGAGGCTGATTGAAGTCTCTTATTTTGGTTGCTTGAGAGTCTCTGAGAGTTTCCTGGGTCCATGGCACAGAATGGGATAAGGATCCATAGGATTACATTCCTGACCTGAATTTGAAGAACAAACTTGTATATATTATGATAAAGATGGAAGGACTATATCCATGTCTTGCAATTTTATTCAGACCTTAAGCTTCAACCCGAAGCTAAGAAAGAATGATAATAAGGTTGGCAAATATCTTTGAACTGACCCAGAGAGAAACTAGCACAAATATTCGTTGTCCCTGGTGTTATGTAGACTGATTTGGACTCAGAAGTCAAGAATGTTACTGAAATCAGGAAGTTTTCAGTAAAGGCTCTACCAAACCTACTGTCAATTCATCTTCAAAACAACAATAATTACTTCCATTAGATTCTCCTGTGGAATGGATAGTTGGCCAGAGCTCATACTCTTCCACTTCGTGGCTTCTTTTGACTAGAAATCTGCAGCTACAGTACTTTCTACTTATATTATGGAAATATCTTCCAAATAGAGCTGTATTCCTGAACACCTTAATTTTCTGTGGGGCTGTGCTAGACCTCTTCTTCTCCTTCTGTGTCACTTTTGAGTGCACTGAATGCTTTTAGTCCATCTCTATTCTGCACAGCTGTGAGGGTGTCAGGTTTTACCTATCTCAGATTCAGCTATTTTTTTCTTTTTTTTTTTTTTTTTTTGGTTCTTGCTGCCTTTCTAAAGTTCTCCTGGGTAAGGGACTATAATAATATCTGGACTATCAGATTTTTCATACCCATCTTGGTGATCTAGCACTGCCCAGACCCTCCCTCAGATAGCTCGTATCTAGGGAGGAAAAGGGAATTCTGACTACCTCCTTCTTTTCAGGGACACAAATATCTAAGAACTGGCATCCCATCCAACTTTTCTTCTCCCGTTCCAGCATGGGGAAACTTTATCTAGTATTGTGTGTGTGATTTGTCAACTAATTATCCAAATTTGTATTTTATGTTCTCATTTCCATAGAATGCAGGCTTTTGGAATTCAGTGACCTTTTATCATTTCTTGTCAAAAAAAAAAAGGCTTTCCAATATGAACTACAAAGTGGGTAGTAGTGGTAGATAATGGAAAACACAGTTGTGAAGACTAATGTCAATGTATTTAACCCCATCTTAAAAAAATTACTCTCAAGTAAAATTCTTGCTACTTATTTAATTATAGTTTTTATTCTTTTACTGGTATTAATGGAATATGTTTTCTTATTTCCAGAGTATCACAAAACAAAATGAACATCATAAGCTATGTCTGTGTTCAAAAGACACAGTATTTTTAGGAAAGAATGAGAGTTGGACTTCAAAATGAAAATTGGGATGGGTAAAGGGGCAAATTAAAAAAACTTAGTGGAAATTATTTATTAAAGAGAATGGAACTTGGAGCTAAAGCTGACCAAAGATGTTGATCAGCATGCTTTGGGTAGATGAAGTTGTGTTTTGGATAAATAATTTCACAACCTAACCCACTCTGTGTTAGATAATTTCTTATTCAATGAAAAGATATTTAATTATTTAATTCAAGGAAGCAGTAAAATTATACCAAGGAAATGTATTTTTAATTTACTCATTTATTTCACAGGCATGTAATGATATGAGAAACTTCACTGATTTGTTTTGAGTTTGACTCTTTTTCAGCTTTCATATGAACTTCTCTTTTTCAGCAGACTCTGCCCACTTCAGGAGTTTCAGTTCCTGAGGTGCGTAAGCAAAAACAGGTTTTCACACTTAAAATTATAGGTCATTATACATCTTGTATTGCTGTAAAGAACATTTTGTGCTGGCTCAGTGACATTCGAATACCAGCATGTTATATTTTATTTTTTTCATATTCTGCTAATTGGAAGTGGTGGTTTTCATATTTTCAGTGATGGGATAGACTTGAAGAATTTTCCATCTATATTTGTGATAAGCATTAAGAAAACAAGAAGTTATGTGACCTAGACTTCACAGAGAAAAATAAAGGTTACTTTACAAAGAGTTTTTACTACATAGAAAAATAGTGCCACTCCCATTTTTTCACGTTAAAATGTAGATACATTGCTGGAAATCCAAAAGAATTTATTCTTTGAGCCATCAAAATATAAGTTTCAATGGCAGTATGTTGAGAGACTCTTGCTTACTTTGAAGTGCCCATCACTTTCAAATGAATGCAGCATTAATCACCTAGCCCATGCCATTGTATAGAGAAACATCAGAATAAAATATAGTCAGAATAAATGGCTTTTGTTTTGAAAACAAATGTAAGCATTGCCACAACATTATTTTCAGTAACATTTTTGCTTTACCTTTGCATTGATGATGCAAAGCCTCCACATTGTTCTGTGACAGTATCCAATTCAATTGTTATTATCTCTATAGGAAATGCCCAAATGGTATTGTTTCCCTAAAATTGTAATTAAAATCTGCTTATTTTAGAAAGTATTGCTTATATGAATGCTACATAAGATTATGAATTTATTTAGAGGATAACATGTTTGTAAAAAAGTGTCATAACTGCTCTTTTCTCCCCACCAAAAATGGCTTTTTAATCAGTGTAGACCTCTTCGTTAAATTAAAAAAAAAGTTCTCATTTTTAACCAGAGACATACTCAAAAATACTTGGACATACACTTAAATATAATGTTTCTAATCTAAGAAAATGTTAAACTGATTTTATATTCTTTAAGTGAGTTGGTGACATTATTATCACAATTATTATTATAAAATAGAGATGCTAAATTACACACTCAAGTGACAAAAGTATTAGGACAGTTTATTATTTCATTGGGTTATTTAAGTGTGAGAGAATTAATTTTGCATCCTCAGGTTCTTGAGTTTGTTTCTGCCCCGATTACCAGCCCAATCAAGCAAATATAGGCATTGCATTTGAGATCTAAACTTTTCTCTTTAGATCTGTTAATCTCCAAAGCATCCCCATGCATTCAGTTATATAATTTGTGTCATATAGATTGAGTAAATAGATCCAAATTTTTGTTTTTATATATTTTTTTAATTTTCAGGAAAAAAGTCTTTATTTTGATATGAAGTTTTTAAAAGTCTTCCTATAGTTATTTTTTTCTGGCACTATATATTGGTTTACATTAACTTAAACTTTCCAGTATCCCTCAAAGTCATTATATAAGATTTTTCAACTTTGTTGTTCCAAAAATTTCCTTAAGCCCATGCATGGATATATGCATGGCTGAGTGTGTGAATACACATATATACACACAGAAAGACAAGAAACCTTATGTTCTGCCATCAGGAACAGTTGCTCCTTGGTTAACGGAAAATGTGGTTAAAGTATATGTGGGAGAACATATAGAAAGATATATACATACATTAAATGTTTAACTTAAAATATGTACATTTATATTCATTGGCTATATTTTTGAAGATTAAGGGCTTTTCTATGAGGACAGATCTTCTAATTGGAAATGGTATCTTGCCTTTCTTGTATATATCACAATCTTATCACTTATAATAGTTTCAATTCTTTTAAAGTATAGCAAAAACTCAAGAACATCTGTGAAGAAATCTGAGTGTAAAAATACTATTTTTATTATTAATACCCAAAGCTTGCACAGTTGTTCTCTCTAAACTTAACTTGACCACTCCTCATACACACCACACACACACACACACATAACTTGTGTTATTTTGTCTTTCTAAAGCTTGCAGGTTATTTTTTATAAAGATGACTCTTTCATTTTGTATTCAAAATTCAATGATTTGAGTAATAATTAAATTACACAGTTACAATTACAAGGTAAGTTTTACTTAGAACTGGCATAAACAGATTGAGGGCTAATAAGTCACTGTGTTGAGCATTTAGCTTAGGTGGTAGAAAGAGACAATGAGTGTGAGCATAAGAGAGCTGCCTCCTGGTACTTACTTTCAGTTTACTGTGGATGACAGTCAGTATGGTTTACAAAGGGATTGGAGAAAGAGGAATGTTGAGGTTGGTTACAAAGTCTGGTTTTTTTTGTTGTTTTTTTTTTTTGTTTTTTTGAGACAAGGTCTCACTCTGTCTCCCAGGCTGGAGTACAGTGGCATGATCTCGGCTCACTGCAGCCTCTGCCTCACGGGTTCAAGCGATTCTCCTGCTTCAGCCGCCAAAGTAGCTGGGATCATAGGCGCACGTGACCACGCCCGGCTAATTTTTTGTATTTTTAGTAGAGATGAGGTTTCACCATGTTGGCCAGGCTGGTCTCGAACTCCTGACCTCGTGATCTGCCCTCCTCAGCCTCCCAAAGTGCTGAGATTACAGGTGTGAGCCACCGCGCCTAGCCCAAAGTCTTCTTTTGTATATAAAGTATACACATACATATATGTGTATGTATACTACACACACACACACACACACAGACACAGACATACACACATTATTTTATAATGGTGCTGCCATGTACTAGCACATAGCCAAAATTGAATTATTTTGGCATAGACCCTCTTATTCCTAAATTTCATTCCCTCCAATAAGAATTTCCTTAACAGAAATCTTGTAAGTGGTTTATACCCAGGATAAAATCATCCTAGGAGAAAATATGAACTTCATGTGTAATGTGTGAAAACCGGGACTTATGGATCAAGTCACCAAGTGTACCTTCAAGTGTAGGAAGTGACTAACACCCCCAGGTACTTTAAGACCAGTTGTCATTTTGTCTGTTTTGTTGTCCCCCGTCTCCCAAAAAGACACCACCCAAATCACCACAGCAATTATTCTCAGCTATGGTGACTTAGTGGGCAAATAAAGTACAGGATGTTAAATAAATCATACTTCTTACAACACTTACCTTTTACTGCTATGACCAAGCAGTATACCTGTGATTAACTTAATAATAAAATAAATAAAATTTTTTATCTATACTTTAAAATCATTGCCATTTACTGAGTGCCTGTTTTATGTCAGTACTTTTGTCTAAATTTTCTTACTTTTTTCTAACATAAGCTTTCCAATTTATAGTTAAAATAAGTGGTAACATAGCAATGGTAAATAACTTGCCCAAGCTTACACAGAAATAAAAGACAAAGCTGCAATTTGGCTTCTAAACTCATACTTTTGCCTTTACAAAAAGTTGTTTTTGCCTTTTTTAAAAGTACTTACTTAACTAAGTTTAAAAGAAATAAAAATCTTTAGACCTTATATCGTTTATTATATTTATCTTTAAAACTTTATAATTAAAAACAATCAAAACTGTTTTTTCTAGTCAGCAAATAGTTTTGCTGCAATTTCCAAAGATTACTAATAGATTTAGAGCCTTCATCATTTTTGAAATGAATTTGTTTCCTTCAACCATTAAAATGTTCAAATCCCACGTTCAGTCCATATTGATTAAAGGTGCAGCTTTGCAGTTTGTTAGTAAGTTGGTGTCTCAGACCGAACCTTCGTAAGCCCTGCTGAATGTGGTAACATTTCTGCATCAGAGAGATCTTAACTGCTGTGAATCTATATGATACCTTGGGTTAAAAACTCTAGGGTTTCTGGAAAATTCATGTGGCCTAGCTCCAGTGGCAGAAAGGACTAAATCTCCATTCAGGCAAGTTGTGCAGTAGTAGCAGGGAAAGTAAGTTCTACGATACAAGTGATGGATGCTGTTGGCAGGAAAGCACTCGCCTTTGTAGCTTTGTACCAGTGGAGGTGCTTTGCTGCTGCCAGTTTCTCATGCTGAGATTGGACAAAAAGAAGAAAACCCTGTTCTTGAGGTAATCATCACTTGCTGCTTGCAGTTTGCCAGCGATCGATAACAGCAGGCTTAAGTATTGTGGTAAACAACCCTTTTGTGAAAGCAGTTTTCACCAGTGTACAAATACTCTACCTCTGAGAATCAGCATGATGTAGACAAAGATTTTTTTTTTAGAGCACATATTTAAAGTGAGGTCTTTTTATTTTATTCATTTCACCTTTCTATTTTCTGTGAATGGTCTTTTTGGCTTTTCTTCTCTGTTTATGATGATGATTATTCTTTTGGAATTCTAATACAATATATTCCCCAGTTAAGATCTGTTGTGCTACTTGTGGAGTCTACGGATCACAAAACACTGAATTCTATATTTAAAATGTCTACATAGCAAACACAAATGGTTGATATTTGAAAATGCTCAAATATCAATAACTGTATTTTATATTTTGTAGTTATATGTTCTATTTTCTTTCATGACTTTTTTTTAGTTAGAGTAGCTCTTTTCAGTGTTTGAATAATTTCTATTGATTAAAGCAACAATTTTCCAACTCTTTGTATATCTAGGATGATTTATCTGGCAGAAGGAAATTTGCCTTAATTACAACAATGTAATTTATTTTGTGGTTTAGAGCCCCAAAACTTAAAGAAAGAAACTGAAGGTTAAATGGCAAACTTTGTCCCCTATTATCAGAGAGCAATTTTATCCTGAATGATTGTGCAACCTAAGATTGGTGAGCTCTTTCTGAAACTTTCAATAACTTCAACATTGGTAATTAACTCTCATAAATATCATAATAGAGGTCTGCCAGTCAGGGTCAATTTACCTTCCCAAAAAAGCTAGTGAAACCTGGTGGACAGGAAATTTTTTGAGGATACAGTTGCCTCCCCCTTCCTGTCCCTCATATAAAAAGGAGAGACAATTTTCTCAATGGAAATAGAAGAAAAATTAAATAGTGATGAGGCTCTCCTGTTTTTAAGATTTTAGACTGGATTAATTGCACAAATTCCACACATTTGCATTTTTCCCCAAAGAAATCACTTGGTTTTCTTGATGCGTGTGTCTGTGTGTTTGTGTTTAAATGAATGCTTACCATTTTAGTATTAGATACTATAATAAAATACACAGACAGATGGATACACTGAGGATTTAAAAATTAACTTGTTATATACCTCTTTCTCATAATTCTGGATTTCATAAATGAAATCTCATAAGTTGAAAACTCAACTTAGGGTTTTAAAATTTGTTTTTATTTATATATTTATTTATTTATTGAGACAGAGTCTCACTCTGTCTCTCAGGATGGAGTTCAGTGGTACAATCTTGGCTCACTGCAACCTCCATCCCCAGACTCCAGTGATCCTCCCACTTCAGCTTCCAGAGTAACTGGGACCACAGGTGTCCACCACCATGCCCGACTATATTTTTGCGTTTTTAGTAGCGACAGGGGCTCACCATGTTGCCCAAGCTGGTCTTGAACTCCTGGGCTCCAGCGATCTGCCTGCTTCAGCCTCCCAAAATGCTGGGATTACAGGTGTGAGCCACCACATGCAGCCTGTTTGTATTATTTCTGATTGTTTACACTAAAGCAATTGTTTAGTCTCCTGCCCAACTTACTTAGGGGGGTGACTACTTGGAGGGACATGATGCCATTTAATCAACTGCTATCTCTGCCATTTGGAGGTTCTTAGAACACAAGAACTTCCCTAGCTATACGTGTGGCCAAAAGTAAAGTCATATTAATAGATGGTTTCATAGCTCTTTAAAAACATATACTTGCATGTCTTAAATTTCCATTAAAACATAAATATATAATCTGGTGCAAATTCCCAGTTCCATTGTAACTAATCAAATTGAATTTTATTTAATTCTTCAAGTGTAAGCATTTTATAAATTGAATGCCAAACAACAATTGTTGGATAATTAGGAAGAATAACTGTATTAAGGTATATCTTTCACATTGCAGATTTTTACAAAATATTGATGCCATGTTTTATATATATGCATGCAAGAATGCTGGAGTAAATTATTTCCACACTCACCAACAGCATTAAGTTTTTGAACAGCTAACACAAGCTATGCATTTTCAAATATAAGCGTTGAACTTTTAAATTTTAAATATGTTCCTGACGTAACCACTGAATGTTTTTTCATACACACACACATTTGGAAATATAAAAACAATGTTGATGAGTACCCAAAAAGGCAACCACAACTATTTTACATCATTCATAGTAACTGTTATATTGAATACATACTTTAATGTAGTGACAATATTACAGACTATACATTTTATATTAAACCTTACACAACTCTGAGAAATAGGTATCACTATCTCCATTTTGCCAAAGCATAAACCCTCTAGGTTACATAATACTTAGGTAGTAGAGATGAGATTCAACTCAGGCATTCTGATTCGAGACCTCATCTAATAATTCACTCCTATATACATTATGCCATTTAACTATCTATGAATAAAATTATAATTTGCAAACTTAAAAAGAAGGAACTTTCTTTTAAAAATCAATATTTTTGCCAGAAATTATGCTTATATGAAAGCACATCACTTTCCAAACGACTTGAATTTCAGGAATCCTATTATGGCATCCATTTTCAGCCACACACAAAATATATTCAGTGTTTTTGCACCATGGAATTGCAAGGTAAATGGACTATATTGATTAGCATTATTTTAGTCAGAGACGATTTCTGATCCATCTAGCCCTAATATATTTAAAAACAGCTTTACTTTCAAAGCTATTTAAAAATGTCTTTCTAGGAATAAATTCAATGCTTGATAGCAGAGAAGGGTGATTATACTTAATAAATGTATTGTACTTGGGCAATGATCACTCTAAATACCCTTTACATGTAAAACATTTCTCAGTTACCCCATACATTTGCACAAATAAAATCCGATCTTTCTAAATTATAGAAATTGAAATGGTACTCTAACAAGCAAATATAGGAACTAGGAAATATATATAGCTGAGTAAGTGATAGGAAATGTGTGGCACTAAAGCACTTAAGCACCCATGGCATGCATTGCCAATCAATTAGGACAATTTTTCACATCAAGCCTAAAATCCCTAAGAATCCTTCTCAACAGTTGCTTCAAGAACTTAGAAAACTTTTCAAAAAAGTTTTCATTTATTTCTTGATTTATCCTGACTTTTGTTAGTCACTGATTTAGGATCTGATATAGACCAGTGACACAAAGAAAGTTCTTTTGCTTATGGAACTTTGATTAAGATGAAAGAATGCAGACAATTAAACAAATCAGATAAATAATACTTTAGGTTGTAATAATTGATGTTTTAAAAGGAGGCTCAAGGGACTAGAGAAACTTCTCTGACATTTGACCACATCCTGAAGTCAGGACCAAGGCCCACAAATGTGCAGTGGCAAGTTTTCCAGCAGACTGCAGAATGATTGCAAGAGCTCTGAATTTAAAGCATGATTGTTATGATCAAGGAACAATGAGGAAGCCAGTGCAGCTGGAGTAGGGTAAAAAAAAGGGATGAGTTTGGCTTTTGTGTAGAGAACTGAGTGTAGGGAGACAAAAATGGAAGTAGAATGATTCATTAGGTGATAGTTACAATAATCCAAGCACAAAAAGATAATGGATGTTTAAGCCATGTAATGAGGCAGGTGGTGAGTTGTCATCCAGTTTGAGATTTATTTTCTAGGGACAGAGTAGGCAGGAAATTTTAAAACTAATCTTGGACATTTTACAATGTTGTGCTTTAGGCCTTCATGTGGACATACAGAAACAGCATCTGCATGTGGAAATTAAGGCTCAGGTAGAAATCAGAACAAGAATTATACATTTAGAAATCTTCATAAAAATGAAATTGAAAGTTGTGGGAATGAATGAAGTTACCTAGGGAGTGAGGGTAGATAGAGATGATGAGAGGTCCAAGGAAGAGGCTGAGTCTTACAGGTGGCAAAGCTGGAGAAGCAATGGGCAAAAGAGACTATGAGGGCGAAGTTGTGAAGGAAGAAGAGAGCTCAGAGAAAGAAGTGTCCTGGAAGCCACGTGAGGCAAGTTTTCAAAGAGTAAGAAGAGATCAATTCTGTCAGATGCTGCTGAAAGATTTGAGAAGATGAAGACTGATCATTAGATGTGAAACTGAGACGGTCATTGGTGATTTTAGTAAAAGATAGTTTGGTGGAGTAATGGTGATACAAGTTGATTGGGTTGTGTTAAGAGAGAGTGAAAAGAGAGGAAATAGAAACAGGGAGCAGGCAACTCCTAAAAGAAATTTTTTTACTATGAGGAACAAAGTAATTAGCTGGGATGGAATGTCAGTTTTAAGATATATGCTATTTTTGATATAAATAGTAGCTTAAAAGTCCATCATGCAATTAAAAATAATTTTCAATATTGCATGTATTTATAAGCTTTTCTTAGTACTCAATACCACATTCTTTAAATTATAATCCTGTACCCTTTATCTGTATCATTACATATGAAAATAATCAACTTCAGTAATCGTTAGTAACTTTTGATAAAGAGTCATAATTGGGCACATAGGGATAATACAATTTGGTATTCTTTCTCATTATTTCTTTAAATGGTGGTTCGATCATGAAGCTATCATATATATTGAGCCAGTTGAAAACAACAGCTTTCATATTATTCACTAGGAACTTCAAATTAGAAAGTTGAGCCTGTGTTTGTAACCATGAAACTCTTCTATTAGTAAAAACAACTTAACATTTTATTATGTTATTTTCCTAATTTTTATTTTTATCAAAATTTTCTTTTTTACAGGAAAGACAATCAACAGTGAAAAAGGAAAAGAGTGGTTCCCAGCAGCCAAACAAAGTGATTGACAAGAATAAAATGCAAAGAGCCAACTCTGTTACTGTAGATGGACAAGGCCTGCAGGTATGATTTTTTAAATCAAAATTTTAGTAGGTTTCATATTTGATACTTCTAGGCTCTAAAGGGGCATATGTTCAGCTATCAACACATTTGTTTAATCTGCATATTAGCTTAGTAGACTCTTTCAGAAAGATCTTTATTAATTTATCAAGATGTCAGTCTTACGGTTGATTGACAGAGTAACATTCTGGTTAAATTAATCATTTATGATTTTATCTCCATTTAAACTCAAATTGGCAAGAGATCTTTTGAAAGATTTGAAAATTATTGCTAAATATACACACTTATTAAATACATATGTGTTATTTATTTACAGGTATACTTTATATCTCTCTATATATTTATATTTAGTATGGGTATGATATGAAGAGTCACTCTGATAGCAAAAAAGACTTTAGGAAAGAAGAAAATGAACTCTGAATGCATTTTTTTCTAAATAAATATTTTTAATAATAAAGAATGTATTGTAATATATTTCTAGCTTTCAAATTTTTAAGTCAAAATTTTAAGTCAAAATTTAAACCTCAAATATATATCTAGGTTAAATAAACACAGGTAGTCATTTTTTAATACTATTATATAAAAACGTGTAAGTTATCTTTACCGCCTGTGGCATCAAGAATAGCATTTTAAGACATTGTATGGGGTGAATGTATAACATTTACTTACCTCTATTTTTTACCTGTGTTTCTTACTTCAACAGAAAAATGGTCAATAACGTTGGCTTAATTTATGAAATTGTGGATTTAAGTATGTTTTTCTACTTATGTTTTTGTGTTCCAACTGCCTATACTTCAAGTTTCACATTCTCTGGGAATATTTACCAACAATTTAACATACAAACAGTATGTCACACACTTGCATTCATTATATTTGATTTTCTATCATCTTTTTTTATTTCTTATTTTATTTCTGATACTATAGATTATGTCTTTTGTATTTTTTCAATATGAGAGCACAGTTCAGGGCACAGAGAAGATGCCTAAATGCTTGCTTCTTTATCATCTTGAATGTCATTAAAATTTAATAATAATTTATTAAATATTGATAACTAAGTTACTGTTTGTTTTTTATCTAAAAATCCATTGTGAATAGAAAATTTTTCATAAATTATTAAACTCAAATATAAAAGGAGGGAATTCTGAATAATAAAATTATTATATATTAGAGAACAGAAAATTTAATTTTAAAAAAGTAAATCAAGATGTACATTTTGGAACTCATATCCATATGTTTAGAAATTTCATAGGAGCTGTCAAATATAAAATCTATCCACAATTTTATTAGCAAAAAAATTAATTAAATTATCCTATAAAATTTTTATTGAAAAAAATCAACATTTTAATTCAATACGTGGATGCCTAATATTGATAAGTTTAAATCTTCAGCTACTCTGGGTTCCTGGAATGAAATTAATGAAAGGGAAGCCTAATTCTGAAATCTAATTGTATTTCACATGACTAGGCACATACTTCTCATCACAGATGGGAAGCATATATCATTTGTTAAATAGGATAGCTTAAGCATTATGATGGTATTTTATACATATTAGCTTGTTTAATTCTCTCAATAAACATATGAGATCAATACCATTATTATCATCATTTTCAAAATCATGTTGATGTTCAGAAGTGAGATAACTTCCCCAAGGGCACAGTCAGTGGTAAAACCAAGGTTTGAATGAAGACCATCTGACTAGAGTTTATGTGTTTCACTCCCAAGACACCCTGTCTCTTTGCTTAAAATTTTTTAACATGTATGTAACTGCTAAACTTCTGAACATCTTGTTCTTCTGTGTGCTTTTATATTGCTGCAGGCTTTGAGATACAATTTATGTATGCAACAGAATTTTAACTCCTCTAATCTCAGTTTTCCAAGATTTTCATAATCATACCTCAATTTGCCCGGACATCAAAACCAAAATTAAATAGTACATGCAGTGTTTTAAAGGTTTTAAACCTACATAGTAATATGTTTGATTTTATTTTCTATTTTAAAATAATCTGAAATATTCGACCTTATTACAGCTAAATTAGTCACATTAAAAATCTTAGATGATTAACATTCTTTGTGGAAGTGTTTCATCTCTCTAACCAGATAATAACTTTTTATAACTTTCTTTGACATATAAAAGTGTCAGCTAAAATTGTGAGTGGGACAAGTATAGAAATCAGCCCTAAAAAAACACCAGTTAAAAAAATACCATATGTGTAGTAATAATTTTTTGAATTAAAAAAAGTTGGTATATAATCATGTGCAAAAGCCTGTTGTACCTCAGCAGAAAGGACCAAAATAGAATACACATATATAGCCACATAGTTTTGGAGAAAAAAAATAAAAGAATAAAGTTCTGGATAGCTATTATATGCAAAATGAAAAAATAGTAATTTTGTGTTGTATTTATCAATTTTAAAATACCAAAATGTTTGTTTATTATCAAGAAAGGTAAAAAGATCTACCATAAAGTTAATTTTTTCCATGAGCTTTAAAAAGTATGTATCATTAAAAAGCATTGAGTTGCAGCCCAGTTTGCATATAACTTCAGTGACAGAAGAGATCTACACTGCTTAAAGAAGACTATTAATCATAGTTAAGCACATTCATCTTATTTCTTTCCAGCTAACCAGCATAATGATCAGGATTATTATTTCTAATTAGAGGAAGTAATAGATCATGTATAACCTTAGGATGAGTCTCATTAATTAACCCAAGTCCTAGGGGACTTCAAATAGAGGTGGTTAGGCACTCTGTCTTTGTCATCGCTCACACCATAGGTTTACACTTAATACATATGATCAAATGTAATTGAAACTGCGACTTCTTACCATGCAAGAGATATAAAATTACAGATGGCTCTCCCACATGTGAAGAAATAAGGAGAAAAACAGAACAATTGTTTTAAACTGTGTTTATGTTGAAGTTACCTTGTTCCTAAATATTCTTTGAGAAACATTTCCAAATAAAAGGGTCATTTAAGAAGTAACGAATCTAGTTTGTAACACTTTTAGCACGAGAAAGAAAGGGGGACCTTTATGATTAAATATCTAAAACTGAACCAGTGTCTTTCCTCACAAAACTGCCTCTTTATTTTATCTTCCTTATTTGTAATATCTTATTCTTGTAATCACCAAGACTGTAAACCATGCACCCATGCACTAAATGTAAGTGTATAGTATATATGTATATTAAATTAATTATCTCTATATAATCAATTCACTTTCTTTGATGTATGTGTGTGTACGTGTGTGTGTGTGTGTGTGTATGTCCTTTGCTCATTTTAGAATTCTTAACCCTGTTGACTGTTTCATACTTAGCACTTCATTGACATTCTAACTCTCAATGTAAACCCAGAATTGTTACTCTATAGTTTTGAGCATTATAGCAACCTTTAAACTGAGTATCTCCATATACATAAAATGGTAGATAATAAATGATGTAAAAATAGAGCTGAGTAAGATAAGAAAGATCAGGGCTAAGAGTCAGAATTGTCTATAATTTTAAGAACAATGGCTAGTTTAGGCCCCATTAATAAAGTGATATTTGGGTAAAGACTTAAAAGAGATGAAGCAGTTGGTCATTTGGATATATGGGGAATGGACAACCCTAAGGTAAGTATATGCCTAGGGTCAGTAAGAACTGTAGTTGGAGTAGGGTGGGCAAGATGGAAAGTGGTAGCAAGTAATTCAGAGAAGTAACAGGGGCTAGAATTTTTAAAGGCTTGAAGGCTTCAATAAAGACTGACTTTTGATCTGAGTGTGATGAGAAGATATTGGTGGGAAAGATAAGCAGAGGAGTGACATGATTGAATGGTATTTTAAAAGGCTTACTCTTATAAAGATTAGATTGTTGGGGAGCCAAGAGTCCAGTAGATTACTGTTGAAGTTATTCAGGGGTTATAAGACGTAGGCTTGTTAGGATGGAGCAGTGGAAGTAGAGAGATGTGATGGGATTCTACATATATTTTGAGGAATGAGCAAAAGATATGCTGATGAATTGACTACAGGGTTTATGAGAAAAGTGAGGAATCAGGAACTTCTCCAAGATATTAATAGTTTGGACCATGCAACTGAAATGATGAAATTGCCATTGACTGAGATAGGGGAGCATCTGTATGAATGTTTAGAGGGAAATTTCTGCTGCTGTTAGATATCCAAATAAAAATATCAAGTAGGTAGACCAATATGTGAACCTAGAAATTAGAAGAAAAGGCAGACATGAATTTGGGAGTGAAAGGCATTGATGGCAGCCATCAGATAAGATGAGATCATTAAAGGACAGAGTGTGTATATAGAGAGAAGTGATTGAACTGGGATCCAAAACCAGTCTAACTCTAAAATCATGCTCTTTAAATGTACTGTTTTTAACTGCCCCTTTATGTGATTAAGTAAGATTTTACATGATGAATTCTATTCAGTATGGTGGAGAATCCAGTGTGAACAGTCTCCTGGAATACCCTGCACATCAAATTTATAACCATTCTTCAAGATTTCAACTACCACAGATGCTATAAAATCTTTCCTAGACACTTTCTCTCTTCATCAGTATTTTTGTGTGTGTGAAACCGTATTACTGTATCTCAAGTATTGTTTAACTGTTTTGAAAAGACACAGGGCTCTGTAGAGAGAGCCTCAAGCACAATGGAAGAGTCATGGGAGATTGAGAGCAGGTTGAGGGTTCTTTCATCCTTTAAACAAATCAACTAGGAAGTCATCTGTTCTATATGCTGTTCTACTTCAGATGATCTCAAATGCTGTATAAATATATGTACTTCAAAGAATGAATAGTTTTCAGCTGACAGAATTTTTGACATAGTTGTGTTTTTATCTTTCACCTCCTACTCCACCAAAATCTATAACAAAAAGGACACAATATTTTAGGATTGCAGCAAATGTATTTTCAGAATAATTGAATTTTACATATTATTTCACAATTGTTTTGTGAAAGTAAAAATTCTAAATTCATAGACAGATTGGATACAATCCAAAAGAGAATTAGTAAGCTTGAATATAACGTTGGTACCTAACTACATTGGTACCTCATATCCCATTTAGGTTTCATCAGTTGTCCCAATAATAGTTTTTTTCCACAAAACTAGTCCAAAATCATATTAGTTTTCTGTTATTGATGGTTGTATTGTGTGTATATATATATATGTATATATGTATATTATATATATGTATATATATGTATATACGAGAGAATGTTTTTATATGTAGGAAATACTAATGTAAATGGGAGTGGTAGTGATGGAGTAGAATTTTGGCAACTTACTCTCAAGTGGTTGAGGGAAAAAGTTAATTGAGAGTCATTGCAACTTTTCTGTAAATTTGAGAGTTTTTCAAAAAAATAAAAATATTACTGTAAAATTTAAAAAATATTAATGTAAGATATTTCCATAAAACTTTATTCACCAAAATCAGATATACTGAGTTTCAGAAACTAAGAAAACTATTTATATTCATTTTGTCAGTAGACATGTTTTGCATTGCAATACAATGCAAAGATAGTTCTTATTTGATGGACCTCTCTGAAAACCAGAATCTGGAATCAAACAGATCAAATTAACTAATTGAAAGACTACATGTGATAATATCCACAATTTTACTTATCTCATACTTTATATGTTAGGACTGTCTGAAAATGAACTCATACTCAATAATGAGAGAAGTATTATGTAAAATAATGGTTGCTAATTGATTGATATTATTCCTGTATATCCATATTGGATATTCAACTTTTGCCACTTGTGGAATATCATCATTGCTCTAAATTCTTTAAATTCTCTGATTTTTCTAATACATTTAATCTGTTTCTCCATTTAACTACCCCTAAAAATTACATCAAGATTTTGTATTTTATTTTGAAATTCCTTACAGACTATAATCTATTCCAGTGGGATATTTATTTGTTCATAACAGTATATAACTTAAAATACAATTTTAATTCCCCTTTACTTGACAATTTATAGTGATGTCTATAAATATTCTCACAATTAAATATCTCTGAGAGACATTTCAAAACATAGTTTGAAAATAATTCCATATATTGGACTCAGCATGAATTTTTGTATAATCTCATATAGTTATAAAATGAATGTTGACTTTAGGGAGAAAAGGAAAACTCATCCTAATGAGTATTTGGGTTCAGAGTTAATACTTTGCTCATGCTTAAAAATCTGTTTACTTTGAGATTCCCATTTCTACTTAAAAACCAGTAGAAACAGTTCAAATTGACTAAAAAGTCAACTAAAATCTACATCTATTTATTATTGCTATTTGCTTATGAAAACGTTAGGAGTTTCAATTTGTAATAGGATGAGAAATAAAGAAAATCGAACACAGGTTTTTAGATATAGTTGTTTGTTTGATTTTAGTTTTTAATGGGAGGAAGGGGTACCCATTGCAATCCGCAGCCACCATGGCTTAAAGATAATAGACACTTTATGTACATTAATTGATTGCACACATTTGGTTCAGGGGAGACCTGGGAAGTTAGTGCATAAGTTTTTCCTGCTCATCCTTCTCCCAGCTGAATTGGAGACAAATTAGGAAGAAAGAAACTTTGTCCTCTTTGCAATGGAAAGTAAAATAGAAACAGACACAGTAAATTATAATGAGAGCTAGTTGGATATGAATAGAAAAATTACGAGTATCTCAGTCAATCTTCCCACTTCGGTAATGTGGAGATTTTAACATTTCCCCATTGCCTATTCTCATTAGAAAAATGCCATTTTACTAAAGAAGTGGAGGAAAATATGTTAGTAGAATATTTTAACTTATATTGTTAAACAGGAAGGAAGGGCATGATATGGTAAAATGAGTGTTTTTAATTGTCTCATTAAACATTTAAGACTACTTTCTAGGGGAGAAATAACACTGCAGTAAAGATAATTTGAATGTACTTTCAAAAAAGCAGATTGATCCAAAACTGTTCAACTTAGTATTTAGAGGACACAATTAGCTGAATACTTTTGTTATTAAATTTTTTTCATCAAACTGTATTTAGATGGGAGTTACATAGGGTTACATTGAATAGGAATACTTTTATTTTAAAAAGTCTGTTATTTAACATTGGAATCAGGTAAGAGACAACACTTGTCCTTTCCCACACTACGTAAAACAACTCTACCCACAAAAATACGTGCTATCACCTTACCTGCTTTATTTCCCATCGTGGCATGTTTCATTGCTAAATATGTATTTGTTTATTGTATATTTCTCCACTATAATATAAGCTCCATTAGGACAGAAACTTTGTCTTTCTTGTTCAACTGAGAGCTGAGTTGTGATGAAAGCAGTAGCACATGACGTATAGTCGAGTCAATTCGTGTTACCTGAAAGAGAGATCAATAGTTAATGGACTCTACTTAGCAAATATACTTGATTAACTAGCAACCTATTCAGCAAGGAGGAAAAGAAAGCACTGAACAAATTGTGTAGATAAGGACTCTTAGGCCAAAAGGGACCTCAAAGGATCTTATTGAGTTTCTTTCCAGTTCACAGGTGGTTGGGAAGATGGATTCCACACATGCCTCGAAACTCTCAATTAGGACTCCTGCGTAAAAGGAGGCCTCTCTATAAGTTGATCTCTTTCTTTGCTTCTCATCCCTTTTTCCTCAAATTCTGCTGTATTCTGGCTTGTTCACTTACTGTCTGAAAATCGTAATTTTTTTTTTTATCTTACAGGAATTACAAATGTTATTCCCTCTTCCTGACTGCCTTCCCCTCGGCCCTCTATCTAGATAGGCATGCCTTTCTTTGTGGAGGAGGTTTTCCTGTTGAACACACCACACACACATACACACGCACACACACGCACACACTCACACACACATGCACACACACACATTGTGGAAAGTAATATTATTGAAATTGCGTATTGGTATTTTATAATTTAGAAATAACAAGGAGTCTTCTTCATATATAATGGGCCTAATAATTTTTCCATGTATATAACTTTTCTTATAGGTCACTCCTGTGCCTGGTACTCACCCACTTTTAGTTTTTGTGAACCCCAAAAGTGGTGGAAAACAAGGAGAACGGTATGTTTTTTGATTGATTTTAGTGTCTATGTCATGTATATGTAAAAAAATAGACAAAACTATGATGTAAAAATGCTTAAAAACAATTATTCCTCTCTGCTAATTTTAATGCAAAATAAATGATGCTAGCATTTAATATGTTTATATGATCTTGTTTTTAGGATTGAAATTTTAATACAATGGCCTTTTGTAACTATTTTTACTATTATAGCTCAGGTGTTTGAATTCTCTCTACCCCACCTATCACCCCTATCCCCTAACAAAGAGTCTGGCTTCATAAATACTGTTGAATGAAAATTGGTTCTCTAAATGGTTAACAAGATGAATCCACATAAATCATAATTCAGTACTGAGGAACCGAATTTATACCCAACATCTAGGCAAAATATATTATAATGATTTTCTGCATGTGCATTTTGGAGAACATGATGCCATATTTCCTGGAGAAGTACAATATATTTAATCTGAATAATAATGAGCTGCATTATCAGGTATTTCAGCATTCTGGCTGATAACATTTTATTTTGTAATGAATGAATGATTAAATCATATTATTTAATACAAATATGAAAATCACTACATTGAAGAGTAAATCTTATGTCTTCCTAAAGATGACAGTCATAAACAAAAATGCATTTATACCTGCCTTAATGCTTTTTAGATAACTCTCCTAATCTCAACCAAAAATAAGCAAGCAGATGAAAGCACTCATAACAAACATGATAACAGTATAACAAATTTCCTTTGTGGCTCACCAAATAGCAAAGTTGAAATGTTTCCATGAATAAAGTAATTTTTTTCTACCATTTAACTTTCCAGCTTTCTTTCCATGAAATGAAGAATGCTTTTCATTATTGAATCAACAAAACATTTTTGCTTTAAAGAGTGTAAGATTATTATCCTAGCACTTTGGGAGGCTGAGGTGGGCAGACCATGAGGTCAGGAATTTGAGACCAGCCTGGCCAACATAGTGAAACCCCGTCTCTACTAAAATACGAAAAAATTAGCGAGGCATGGTCGTGGGCACCTGTAATCCCAGCTACTTGGGAGGCTGAGGCAAGGAGAATCACTTGAACCTGGGAGGTTGCAGTAAGCCAAGATCGTGCCACTGCACTCCAGCCCAGGTGACCGTGTGAGACTCTGTCTCAAATAAATAAAATAAAATAAAATAAAATAAAATAAAATGAGTATAAGATTTTTTCTTTTCATCAGTATATAGTTATGTTTTACTCCTCTAAACATGATAGAAATTATTTTAAATAATGTTTTAATAATTAAAAATATTCCTAATGCTTTATTAAAGGGAATAGTTTTACTCATAAAATAATCATTAAATAATAATGCTGAAATTACTTTCTTCTTTACTATTTACAGTCAGTTAGCTGTATATGTTATTGATAGTTTAACAAAAAAAGAAAACTTTCCACAAAGGATTAGATGAGACTTAAATCCACATTGGAAATTACAGAATATTGAAGTTTGAAGAGAAAAAAAATAGTATTTTCAAAGGAAAATAATTTTTCTCCAATTAAGATAATATGAATCATGTAGAATGACCCTTAGTTGAATATTTGCCTTCCCTTTCTACCAGTACATATAAATAATTTTCCCTAAATTAAAAATATACATATATATATATATAGTTACACTAAAATGTTAAGTAAATTAAATTTACTGGGGGCTTCAACTTCGAGCTCTTCTATATACACATCCACGTGTGTTTTGTTCTTTATTCATTGACTGGGACCACGCGAAGTCAAATGAAATGTAAATATGTTTTAAAGGTGATCTGTTTTCAATGCAAACATAATTTTTCTGCCTGCATAAGAGGCACCTTTCACAAGGTGATCCCGTTCAGTGTTTTCCTTTCCAAATTTTTTGGCTTTTTTGACTTTGATATGTTAGATAAGTTGCAAAAGGTCACAGAATCATAAATCCACATAAACTTTTCCATATCAATCAATAAGTCTGAAAATGTTCACATATGTGTTCAGACAGCAATGCCTAGTTGAATCCAAACTCTACTAGTGACTGGGAATAAGAGGCATAATACACAGTCGTGCAGAGAGGCAGGGACATAAATAGATCTGTTGCAATACCATATATTACAGGTTGAAGTAGAAATGTTTAAGATAAAAGTGCTATCAAAGTTCAGAGAAGGAGATAACTATCTCTGAAGACCAAGAAGTCTTTAGAGAAGAAGGAGCTTCTTTATAGGTTATTATATGGTAGATGTTTGCCCAATGAAAGAAGGAGAAAGGCAGACTTGTGAAATGGCAGGGTGTCAACCAAGAGGAATTTACCGGGATGACAATGTAAGGAAAAAGAGGGGAAAGATGAGAGAGAAACTGTGGCTGAATTGTGAAGATGTCTTAATTTTATATTGTGAATAACTGGACACTGGCATAAACTTTGCATCATGGATAAGGCATGGCTGTACTTAGACAACAGTATAGAGGAAGGCTGGATTGCCAAGAAATTTATAAAGCTGGTGAAAGAACTTGAAGACCTTAAGTAAGGCAGTGGGATAGAATAGCCAGGTTTGATAGGCATTTTTTTTAAGTTTGTTGCCAAGGACAACGTCAGATAGGGTATTTCCTAGGTTTTCTTTTAGGAAGGCACAGAGTTGTCCACTAGTAGGTTCAGGTGCCAGGGAAAAGAGGGTATTGAGAACAACTCTAGGTGATATGAGCAGATATTACATACTGAATTTGGAGAGTTTTATCAGTAAATATCATAAGAATTTGTTTATAAAATAATCATATTTTCACATGTATATAAAACCAATTTAGGTTTAAATATATCCCTTAACTTTAAAAAAATCTTTTTAATTTCAACTTTTACTTTAGATACAGGAGGTACATGTGCAGGTTTGTTACATGAGTATATTATGCTCAGGTAGCAAGCGTAGTACCCAACAGGTAGTTTTTTTCATATCTTCCTCCACTTCTTCCTTCCCCACTCTGGTAGTCCCCCATGTCTACTGTTCCCATGTTTAAGTGTGTGTGTTCTCAATGTTTAGCTGCTGCTTAACATTTCGTGCAGTACATGCAGTATTTGGTTTTCTGTTTCTGTGTTAATTCTCTTAGGGAAATGGCCTCCATCTCCATCCATATTGCTGCAAAGGACATGATTTCATTCTTTTGTAATGGCTGTGTAGTATTCCATGCTATATATGTACCGCATTTTCTTTATCCAGCCCAGCATTGATGGATACCTAGGTTGATTCCATGTCTTTGCTCTTGTGAATACAGCAGGGATGCAAATAAAAGTGCATGTATCTTTTTGGTATATGGTATGTTTTCCTTCGAGTTTACACCCACTAATGGGATTGCTGGGTTGAATGGTAGATCTGTTTGAAGTTCTTAAAAAAATATTCAAGCCATTTTCTACAATGGCTGAACTAATTTACATTCACAACAACAGCATAGAGGCATTTCCTTTTCTTTGCAGCCTTGCCAGCATCCACTGGTTTTTGACTTTTTAATAATAGCCATTCTGATTGGCGTGAGATGGTGTTTTATTGTGGTTTTAATTTGCATTTCCATGATTATTAGTGATGATAAGCATGTTTTCATATGTTTGTTTCCTGCTTGTATGACTTTCAAGAAGTGTCTGTTCATGTATTTTGCTCATGTTTAATGGGGTTATTTGTTGTTGTTTTTTTCCCATTGATTTAAGTTCTTATAGATTCTGGATATTACACCTTTGTTGGATGAATAGTTTGCAAATATTTTCTCCCATTCTGCAGATTGTCACTTTACTCTGTTGATGGTTTCTTTTGCTGTGCAGAAGCTCTGTAGCTTAATTGTCAATTTCTGTTTTTGTTGCAATTTGAGGACTTAATAAAAAATGTGTTGCCAAAGCCATTGTCACGTGGGGTATTTCCTAGGTTTTCTTTTAGAAATATAGCTTGGGATCTTACATTTAAATTTTTAATCCATGTTGAGTTAATTTTTGTATGTGGTGAAAGAAAAGAGTCCAGTTTCATTTTTCTGCATATGGCTAGCCAGCTATTCCAGTAACATGTATTGAATAGGAAGTCCTTTCGCTATTGTTTTGTATTTGTTGGCCTTGTTGAAGATCAGATGAAGGTTTGCAGCTTTATTTCTGAGTTTTCTACTCTGTTCCATTGGCCTGAGTGTCTGGTTTTATACCAGTACCATGCAGTTTTTGTTACTGTAGCCTTATGGTGTGATTCTTCCATCTTTGTTCTTTTTAGCTTAGGCTTGCTTTGGCTATCCAGGCTGTTTTTTGGTTAAACATGAATTTTAGAAGAGTTTTCTTCTAAGTCTTTGAAGAACGACATTGGTAGTTTCATAGAAATAGTGTTAAATCTATAAATTGCTTTGGGCAGAATAGCCATTTAACGATAGTGATTCTTCCATGAGCATGGATTTTTTTTCATTTGTTTGTGTCACCTCTGATTTCTTTCAGCAGTGCTTTGTGGTTCTCCTTGTAGAGCACTTTCACCTCCTTCCTTAGTTGTATTCCGAGGTATTTCATTTTTTGTGTGTGACTCTTGTAAATGATATTGTATTCTTGACTTGACTCTGGCTGGATGTTATTGAACTGCTATTGATTTTTATACATTTATTTTGTGTCCTGAAACCTTGCTAAAATTCTTCAGTTCTAACAGCCTTTTGGTGGAATTTTGACAGTTTTCTGAGTATAGAATCATTATCAATGAAGAGAGAGAGCTTGATTTATTTTCTTGTTTGGATACCTTTTATTTCTTTCTCTTGTCTAATTGCTCTGATTAGAACTTCCAGAACTATGTTGAATAGGAGTGGTGAGAGTGGGCATGTTTTGTTCCAGTTTTGAAGGGGAATTCTTCCAGCTTTTGCTCATTCAGTGTGCTGTTGGCTGTGGGTTTGTCATAGATGGCTTTTATTATTTTGAGTTATGTTCCTTTGATGTCTAGTCTGTTGAAGATTTTTTTTCATGACAGGATTTTGTATTTTATTAAATGCTTTTTCTGCATCTATTGAGATAATTATATGGATTTGGCTTTTAATTCTATTTATGTGGTGAATCACATTTATTGATTTGTGTATGTTGAACCAACTTTTTATCCCAGGAATAATGCCTAACTGATTGTGGTAAATTAACTTTTTGATGTACTATTTATCTCTTTACTTTTAGTATTTGTCTAAGAATTAAAACAGTGTGAGATATGTGCATGCATAGAAACATTTCTATTGCATTTATTTATAAAGATTGTTTTCTTTCAGAAAAAAAGAATTATTTGTCATATGCTGCTAAGACAGTTTAGCAATTTTGTGAGATGACTGGTCAAGATCTTGTTTATGTGAAATGATTAGGCCAGATGAGGCTACATTCTTTGCTTACATGTACACATATACAATGTACAGTCCCGTTTCATATAGGGGATAGATAATTTTCAGATCTATCAGAGATCTATAGAGGACAAATTATTCACAAGGATTTACTGAGAGAAGATATTTAGGCAATTTTATACTGAAATATTAAAAAAATACATTTATTTGAAATCTAGTTAGCTAAATAATGTTCAAAAGCGGGTTAGAGAATATCCTAAATGTATGTGCATATTAAGGATCCAAGCAATATTTCTAACTTATGAACTATATTGCCTTAATAGTGGCTACTAAGCCTTTTAAAAAACCATTAATTCCTATTGAGCTGTTGGACTTCTGATATTGATTCAAAATTTATTAAATTGATAGAAATTTTTTATTAAATTATATAATTAATTGCAACTATATATATTTTATAACACTGAGAGACATTACTTATTTTAAAAGTATTGAATATTATTAAATTTTTTCCCCACATTTTCACCTTTATAGAATTTACAGAAAATTCCAGTATCTATTAAATCCTCGTCAGGTTTACAGTCTTTCTGGAAATGGACCAATGCCAGGGTAAGTCCAAGGATAATATTATTACCATTAACTCAGTTAATGTTAATTAATTAAATAAGCTGCCTGACATATGTAGAAATAATGTTATTTGAACACAGCAGCATATTAGTACATAAAAATGAAATATCAACTACGTAAGAGAAATGAGTGCAAATACTGGTTTTCCAAAATAGTCCATTTCTAGCAGATTTTTCTTCTTTCTAAATATTGTGAAGTAATGCTCCTTATTGTACTAATGATGATATTAATCTCACACACACACACACACACACACACGACAAACTAGCTGAATGCCAGTTTGAACACTGCCAAACCATGTATTTGAAGAACGATTCTCTTTTATTGTACTTCTTATATTTAAAATATCTGCTAAAAGTAAAGAGAAAGCTAGTTAGTCCATTTATGCCTAGTGTTCCATTATTGGAACACTAAGCATGTAGGAGTTATTTATATTCTACAGCTTAAGGTCATTGCCAAGGTCTTATTTTTAAATTCAAGTTAAATTTTAAAAATTGCAACCTCCAGCATAAATGGGTTAATGAAAAAAATCATACGATTTCATTTACTACTTACCAAATCTAATCAATATCACTCTCTTATACTTCATTGTTAACAGGTAAGATCTAGTAAAATAAATTTTTAACATAAACTGTATACTTTTGAAGTTACTGATATGCACCTAAACAAATCACCATTAATTTGGCTTAGTTAAATAATTAATGTCATTTTATTTCATTGACCTCTTTTCTTTCTGTCAACATGAGGGTAAACATTAGACCACATGAAGTGGACAGAAGCTCTATAAGCTTTATGCATGCTTCATTTTTTTTTTTTAAAAAAAAGGCAGTTGATTTAAAATTAGTCTTACTTCTCATTCTCAGGAACCAGAAACCAAGTATTTAAATAGTACTCTTTTAAAAACTCAGAATAAAATTTGTACCATAGTGTCTTACCCAAAAAATACATTCATAAAGTATAATTAATTAGCATAGTCTTTCAGCATTATATTCAGCTCTTTCTTCTACTGCCTTGCTGCCTGCTGTCTGGGATCAGTTTCCCAATGCTGAGCAGTGATCTGCAGAACCTCCTTCCTGTGGAAGACAGGCTCATCACAGGAATTTAGTTCAGAACAATGTCTTTGTCAAGCTTCACAATCCAGAATCTAGAGGATCATGATCAGACTGTTGGCTAAGTGAGCTAGCTACATGCAGGAAGTCCCCAAGTAGATAAAGCCAAGCAAAAGTAAAGTATTGTAAACTCAAGCTCAGTCAGGATGGCTCTTTTTCTTGTCCTTTAATATTCTCTGGACTTCAAAAAAGTAGCTCTTCTTTGAATTAGGATATTGTGCATTCAAAACTGTTGCCATTCTAAGACCCCTGTAAGTTGAATCAAACCAAGTTAATCCAGGATTTTCCTGTATTTCATAGTTAAACAAGAGGTCAATTGGCTCTGCTAATTACAAGCCTTACAGTTTCACCTCTGTGTGGCTTCATTATCTTATCTGTAAAATGAGGATTTCTGCCTGCCTTATAGGATAGTTGTGAAGTTAAATGGGATAATGCCTATGAAGCAAATAACAATGTACTTACTGCATAGCATGTCCTCAGTGAATGTGGTTTATTATCCGTATTATTTGTACAAATATGAATTAATAATTAATAAAAACATGACTGTTTTGTAGCACTATGTAAATATATTGGAATAAATTTGATTTTAGCCCTGTTCTCTCATCTCACTTTTTTCCTACTACACTTTAAATATGTACTACATGTTTCCTTCTACTCTTTCAGTTCTAGGCATCCTGTTATCCTCTGCTCTATCTTAACATGTTTAAAAAATGAAAGTAATGTATGTAACTGTAAAAAGTCTACACTACAATGAATATTATTTAGAAAAAAATTTAAAGGTCCCACTTTGAGCACTACTACTCCTCAGAAATTATTATTGTGGTTGTTTGCTGTAGCTTCCCAATCTAATACACACATATAAATGAGCATATTCCCCTCTATCTATAACGTATTCATACACACACACACACACACACATATATAGGTGTATATATATATAGTATATATATATGAAATATATATATGAAATATAGGTAGATAGTTTTTTACGTAACAGAATATAGATTTTATATTATCTTGCAACTTGCTTTCTGCACTCTAAAGCAGGTGATACACATTGTTCCGTTTCAGTAGACATTGATCAGTTTCATTTTTCTAACTGCTGCATGATATTCCATAATCATGTGAGCCATCCCATTACTGATGAATATTTATATTGCCTGTGTTTTACAATTATTACCAAATATGCTACGTCAATATCTATCAATTTATCTGCATATTCTTGAAAGTGTGTTCAAATATTTTTATGGTATCAGTGGCTATGAGTAGAATTGCCTGGCTGAAAATATTCAATGTCAAAAGTTTGTTTTAAAAAATGATTAAATATAATTGTGTTGAACTTTTAGCTTCATCTTGATCAACATGAGAATGTCCTGTTTGCCTCTGATACTGATGCCCACACTGCATCCCTAGTGTCAGACTCAGACTTCTGTTAGAGAGCTAGTCTTTGTTTATCCTAAAGGCAAATGCCACAGGTAGTTGCTCAGAACGGGGACTCTGGCCAGGCTATGATGTTGCCCTTTCTCTGAACTCAATGACTGATCTGCTCACTTGTGAATCCTCCCAGCCCTGTTTTCTAGCTGTATTGCCCCTGATCATGCTAAGAGTGTCCTATTGCAGTGATTCCCTTTTAATGTATGGCGTTAGAAGTTGCTCTGTTTCATAAGGTCTCCCTATTACTCTGATACCCTTGGTGATTTATACATTTTAGTTTTATCACCATTTCTAGTTTATTACTTTTCCAATGCTAACAATAGGTTTTTGAATGCATACTCTTGAAAGTATAGTATGCATTTTTTCTGCTACTTTAAACCTGTGGTTATGCATTCTTCCAAATTCTTTTTTAAAAATATTTTCCTCTTTACCACACCAGATTGATGTATTCTTTTGGTATACAACTCTTCTTTTATCCCAACTTTATTTTTTTTCAAAAACTATGTTTATAAGAGGAAATAACTTTCTTGAACTAAAACTATTCCTAATCTAAATTATCTGGCAAATACTAAAACTCACTGGGCATTTCATTTTTTATCTTTAATTGTTTTTAAAACAGAAATGGGTGTGTATTATGTGTTTCCATTCTATCTCTTTATATAAATCATCTCTCCCTGATCCTGATTATTCTGTTTCAAGGTGTCTGAAACAATAGTCTCTTTCAAATAAGTTGTTTCTTTCCTAATGGAACATGTTGTGATATAATTGAATAAATTATTTGGAGGTATAGGTTAGTTAGAAGAGATGAAATATAAAATATAAATTACTCTTGGGCTTTATATAACAATATGTTTTCCTTCACTACATTAAAATAAGTATGTATAGCTCTAGCTGTACACCAACTTCACATGTTAATGTGACTTATGAAAAGTTCATATCAAGTTTTTTGTATACTTGTGACATTACTTTTCCCCTTCTGAATCTAATCTTCATGAAAATACAGATGGTTTATTCTCACATTATTTCTAAAATTTTAAGTGAGAAATAGGAAGCACTTAATGAATTGAAATAAAATACAAGATAACTTTAAAATATGTAAATTATTTTTCAGATTGATCAGGATAATTAAGAATAATTAATTGTGTGTGAGAAAGCTGCTCTTAGAAATCTTTGCTTCCATCTACCTGAACTAAATGCAAACGACACATAATTTTAAAAATATAATGCAACAGTCAACCTACAGATTTACATATTTCAAATATGCATATTTCATAGTGAAACTTTGGAATATATTCTCCTATTAAAATAAATGTATAATTTAGAAAATGCATAACAGATTTCACAGATTTCATTATCTTCTTAATTTAAAATATCATTTTATATAACCAAATTTCTACCATATTTTATTTAAGGAAAATCAGAGCTTATGACCTTTTACATATGCCTCTTGTTATGAAATTATGACACAGAAATGAACAGAATCCTCAAAAGGCTAAGGAAATGTTCATCAAAATTTAATTGAGCTCTGTTGCAAATTTCAAAAATAAAAAATTTTCTTTACTAATATAAAAGTGAAGCACTCAACTCTATCCTTCTCATGATTAATCATAAAATAAAATGCAGATGATTCGGCAAGCTCTCCCCCAATTAAATGTGTAAGCATAATTCTGATTCTGCCTTGGTCACTGGAGTGATGGAGTATGAAAATTGATTCATGCTTCTAAAATTAAAGATCTATGGATTAATAAAAGTAACAAAAATATGTTACCACAATGAATAAGGTCACATAATTGCTTGCCTTTCACACAAATTTCCCCCTTTGAGTCATTGTAGGCCTTTAGTCACCTTTTACATGCATCCACAAATGCACTATGATTTTAAAGATGTTGAAAAGTCTAGCTTTTATTATCTATCTCACCAACAAAGGCCAAATAGCAATTAGACTAGAGATCTGTGTGTCACTGTTTAAAGATTATTGCCTATCAAAATTGCTGAAACACTCTAAAGAAACAAACATGTTCTGAATTGGCCATTTGAAATGACCGTTTCGTATTTGTGTGTGTGCTTTAACTTGTGTTTTATTCTGTTCTGGCTGCTATAACAAAATCCCTTAGACTGGCTAATTACAAACAACATAAATTTATTTCTCACAGTTCTAGAAGCTGAGAAGTCCAAGGTCCAGGGGCCAGGAGATTTGGTATCTGCTGATGGCTCACTTTTTGTTTCCAAGGTGGTGTCTTCTTGCTGTATCCTCTGGAGAGAATGAATGCTGAGTCTCCACATGGCAGAAGAGCAGAAAAACAGCTGGCTGGTTTCCTCAAGCCCCTTTACAAATTCACTAATCCCATTCGTAAGCGTAGAGTCCTCATGACCTAATCACATCCTCAGTACCCCACCTCCCAATACTATTGCTTTGGGCACTAATTTTAAGCATTAATTTTGGAGACACATGAAAGTTCAAACCATAGCATTCTGGATTGGGTCCCCCAAAATTCGTGTTCTTCTTACATACAGATACATTACATTCATTCCATCCCAATAGTCTCAAAGTCTTAATTTGTTTTAATACCAACTCAAAAATCTAAAACCCAGAGTCTCATCTAAATATCTTCTAAATCAGATATGGATGAGACTCAAGGTATGATCCATCCTGGGCTAAATTGCTCTTCTGCTGTACCCCTGTGATATCAAAACATTTCTGTTGTTTATAAATTACCCTTTATAGACTTTTAGACTTTACAGACTAAAGTAGTTTGTTATAGCTGCTAGAATGGACTAAGACAGAATTGGTACTAAGGAGTGAGGTGCTAATGTAACAAATTCCTAAAAACGTAGAAGGTGCTATGTGGACTGGGGAGAGGCTGCAATATGGAGGATGAGGAGGAGGAGAAAGAGGAGGAGGAAGAGGAGGTAGAGGAGGAGGAGGAGAGGTGGGGGATAGAAGAAGAAAGAAAGAAGACCATAGAGAGAGGTTCAGTCTTAGAGATTATCTACATGGTTGCGAACAAAATGTTGCTAGAAATATGGATAAGAAAGGCCATTGTAATGAGGTTTCATACGAAAATGGGGAACAAGTTATTTGCAACCAGAGGAAAGGCAATCCTTGTTATGAAGTGGCAAAGAACTTTGTCGAATTGTATCCATGTCCTACTATTTTGTGGGAGGTTGAATTTTAGAGTGATGAAATACCATGGAGTGATACTTGGTAAAAGAAATCTCTAAGCAAAGTGTTGAGGGTGTGGCATGGCTTCCCTTGACTGCTTATAGTAAGATGTAATAAGAGAGAAATGAATTAGTGACAGAATTTGTCATCAAAAGGGAAGCAAAAATTAAGGATTTGACAAATTCTCAGACTGGCCAATTGGTAAAGAAAGAGAAATGTGTTTATGATAAAACACCAAGGGTGTTACCAATGAAAGTTTGGGTAGATTAGTATGTCTAGAAGGAATCTAGAATGCTATTCATCAAGACAATGGAAGAGTGGCCCTGAAAACGTTTCAGAGATCTTCAAGGCTGCCACTCCCATCACAGGCCCACAGTGTCAGGGCCTTGAGGACAGAAAGACTTCAAAGAGGGATTCAGAGCACCTGTGGGATCTCAGGGCTCACTTCCCAGAGCTGCCTCAAGTTTCTGCTCAATGCATTCTAGTGCAGCACTCCTGGGCCACTCCATCTGTGGCTCCAGTGAGCCTCAGTGCAACCAGAGCCACCCTTCAGGAGACAGAGGTGGCAAAGGTTTGCAGCATCCAGCTGGTGCTAACTCTGCAGGCACAGAGTGCAAAAGCTGTGAAGGCATGCCTACCTCTGCCTAGATTTCAAAGGATGGAGAGGTCCTTGAGATCCCCAGACCCCAGACAGAGAACTGCTACATGGTTCAGGCCCCTGCAGAGAGCCTCCACTAGGACAATGCCTAGTGGAGCTATGGGGGCTGGGCCACCTCTGAGACTCCAGGCTAGTAAAGCCAGCCTGAGAGAGCTGTTGGCATTCAACTCTAACAAGTGAGAAATGCAGTGTGGGCTGCACACAGCACAGCCATGGAAGGAATGGGGGTTTCGGAGCCTTAGGGGCTTAAACTCTGCACAGTGTGTTCAGAAGGCAGGACACATCGTCAAAGAGGGTTTTTTGGTTTTTGTTATTCCCAGCTTCAAGAGTTAATGTTGTTTGCCTTGTTGGGTGTTGGACTTACTTGGGACTTGTTACTCCTTTCTTCTTTCCTATTTATCCCTTTTCAATGGTATTGTCCATTCTATCGTACACCATTGTACTTTGGAAGGACCTAACTTGCTTGATTTCACAGGCCCACAGCTGGTGGGGAATTTTCCTCAAAATAAATTGTACCTGGAGTGGTAACTCTGTATTATTTAGATGACGGTTAGAGGAGACTCTGGACTTTAGACTTTTTAGTTGATGCTGGAAATTGTTAAAACTTTTGGGGCTCCTGGGATAGAATGGATGTATTTTACTTATCAGAAGAACATAAATTTTGGGAGAGCAGAGGCAGAATGCTATGGTTTGAATACTTGTGTCTCTCCAAAATTTATATTGAACCTTAATCACCAATGCAATCATATTAAGAGGTGGAGCAATGAGCAAATGATTAGGTTATGAGGGCTCTACCCTCATGAGTTGGATCAATGCCCTTATAAAATGGCTCAAGGGAACTAGCTCTCGCCTTTCCCCTTCTACTGCCATGTGAAGATACAGCATTCATCCCTCTGCCATGAGTGGATGCATCAAGAACGTGCCATCCTTGAAGCAGATAATAAGCCTTACCAGACAACAAATCTGTTGATGTCTTGACCTTGGACTTCCCAGCCTCCAGAAATGTGAGAAATAAATACCTGTCATTTATAAATTATCCAGTTTCAGTTATTTTCATATAGCAGCACAAATGAACTAAAGTAATCTGTTTCTGATTTTTTTTCTATAGGAGTTAAGTTTTTAATAAATAACATATTTTACTTAAATATCCTCCCATTTACTGTTATGTAAGTGTACATAGTAAAATTACTGGCTCAAATTCACCTCCAGCCCCAGGCAGTTAACTGATGATAGCTTACCAATAAGTAAAAATAAGAAAACCCATAGCAGATGAATTGGTTCAAAACATTTATTCAATGGCTACCAGATGCCAGGAACAATCTCATCACTGCCAATCCACTCTGAACAAAACGGATAATAACTCTTGCCCTCACAGCCTTATATTTTAGTGATGGAAAACATATATTAAACTAATAAACAGGTGAAATATACATATATTAGCAGGGAATGTAAACAAGGAGTGTGCATTGTTGGTGAGGGTTTCGTGGTTGTTCTTTTAAATGAGGTGGAGAAGAACTGGCTGAGTATAGATGTGAAGATGAGGAGGTAGCTCATTGTCATCTTGTACAAGAGCTTTTAAGGCAGAGAGAGCAGCAAGCATAAAAGCATAATGATTGGAAAATATTGTGTAAGTTTGGGAAACATTAGCAAGAAGCCCAGGGAGACTAGAACAGAGTGAAGGGCAGTCGGATGTCAGAAAGCTACTAAGGGCTAGTTCACAGAGGGTTTTAGGATTATTGTGACCATAATAATTAGGTTTACCTAAGATTCTTCAGGTTGTTTCTGGTGTCCTAGCATCTGGCCCAATTTAGCATTTGCCCAGGACTGTATTGTATTTTAAGTATTGCTATTAATAAGTGCATTGCAATGAAGAATGATGATGATGTGTTTGGCAGCCCTCCAATTTCTAAATCCAGCTTTTGCTGTGTTATCCTCTTGTAATGTGTAAGACACACGTCCAAGGAAGAGAGATCTGACTTTAATAGTAATCATTATACCTAAAACGTGACCAAAAATAAACTATTTTCCAATGTTCTTTAAACACAAAAACAAGTGACAACTTTTGAAGAATTGGTATCCCTTTTATGCCAGCCCATTATGCTGTGGCCTGGACCTCACAGCTCCCTGAGAGTTGCAAAGGGTCACAAATATACCAATCAGAAATGCCTGTGGAGATATTGACAAATCATAGGTTAGATGTTCATGAAATGTATGTGAGAAAAAGAGCATGAGCAGTTTTACCAAGAATGTATAGTGAATGGCTTGAATATACTTCCTCAATGTTTTATTTTTCATTAAATATATAGTTTATAAATATTTACTTTATAATAGATTTTTATTTTGCAATAACACTTTTCAGCAAAAGATAGCTTAAAAATAAAATGTCTTTTAAATAAAAATAATCTGAATTTCAAAACAAAAAATAGTTCTGAATTTCTGTTTCTTAAAGAGTTGATGAATACATAATCTGTGTGAAATATTTATGAACATTTACCATCTGCAATGAGAGCTCCAGTGATATCATTGACTATGCAGAAATCAGTAAACACAACTATGCTGAAGAAACATGAGCATCTGCTTTAAAATTAATAGTTAATTCTCTGCCCCAAAGCAATCATTTAGTATGCAGAAAGTCCCTTTGCATATCACTCTTTGAAGCATGACTTTTCGTTTAGATCAAATGACTTTTCAAAATTAGTGTTAATTTTCAATTCCAAGTTTCTTTATGTGTATTATTAATGAAGTTATAGCTGTTAATATCTTGACTCCATTAGCAGAATAACTTTTCCAAAAGATCAAGTAATGCCATTTTTATATCAGAGTGATCAGAATGTTTTAAATGAAACATCTGTTTGTTGCAAAGATGATTTGAATTCATTCAATTCATGCACTCTAAATAAAGTTTTTTGGAAGTTCATTTGGATGAAGGTGAGACATTAGATATTAGTGATAATGCTATCATAAAATCAGTATAAACGTTTAGCACTACTGATACAATAATTTCCTTCTGTGGGAATAATTTGAATGTAGATTCTGGTGAAGCATGCCATCATGGCAAAAACGTGATTTCTAATACAGTAATGAATTGATTGATAAAAAAGATTGTGCTTTAAATTGATTGCTCACATAAATTATAATCACATCCCAAGAAATTTTAATATTCTAATAATTAAAATAAAAGCCATAATTATATTGCTTGTACACATGCATGCACACACACACACATGTAAATTATTCAGTTATTCTCCTACTGATTCAGTAGTCACCCAGGAACCTTCTGGACCAAAATAATAATAATAATAAGACTCAAGTCTTAGGTGACTCAAGTAATAAAACCCTGTAAAAATCTCTCTGGACAACAGTCCTTCAGCCAGTCTTTTCCTGATTATACATACCCTCCTCTTCTATTTAAAATCTGCAACTCAAGGAGCATGAAAATTTAAGGTAATTTAATATAGAGGTTATCAGCATATAGAAATCTACAACTTGAATTATATTATTGGGTAACAGTGTTCTTCGTAATCAAGACAAGTTTAGCCTAATAAACACACTCCGAAAAGCAGATAATTGGATTTGGAATATAATACATTTGATAAAATTGATACAAATTATATTTACAACTATTAAAATCATAAATATCTTGGTGTCTAAGATACTAATCTTCAATTATGTACATATCATTTCCTGAAAATGGCAGATGTTTGTTGAATTCATAATGTTTTATTCTCCAATTACATTATTTACTTTTACTTATCTCTTCTTGATGAGTCATGTATTTTTCATTTAGTTACCTTTATGCCTATAGTTAGAATTCTGTGTAATTAAATTATTCATGGTTTTTTTTGAGACGGAGTCTTGCTCTGTCGCCCAGGCTGGAATGCAGTGGCAGGATCTCGGCTCACTGCAAGCTCCGCCTCCTGGGTTCACGCCATTCTCCTGCCTCAGCCTCCCGAGTAGCTGTCATATTTTAAATTATGGTCTCTGACCAGTATTATGCTATAGTAAGATGTGTGCCCAGAAGCAGATGCTCTTGAAGGCAATGAATCTTCAACTTCAGTGTCTCTCACTTGCAAGGACTCCTTTCAAGACTATAGGAAGGATCTTAGCAATGTGGTTGTATTGCCTTTCTCATTTGAGTTTTTGATATTTTAAAAAGAGGGTATTTTAACTACAAGAATTTTTATGAACAATGTTAGTTAAGCCAGCTCAGTAGTAATGCATAGAGAGGCAAATATATCAATGGAAGATAATTAAGAGCCCTCCCCCATGCCCTGTATATGTATTGGTATTAACCAGAAAAATTGGGCATCTATATGGAAAAATAAAACAGTAAAAAACAAAAAAGACTTTTGTCTCCATTCCAACTCCTTTTTCATCACACTTTACCTAGTGACTAGTAGCATTGGAATGAGCATGAGCATTTTAGGATCTGACTAAAAGAGGATGAGGTCCAATTACATGATTGAACCCTGAGACTTATAATATGTGGTTCATGGATATTTTTGTGTATGGTTGTTATTGCTAGTTCTCCTGGTGTAAAAATGACTTCCAGGCATATCCCCATTGCTCAGTGTGACTTTACACTGGTTTTCTGACATAAATTTAAAGAGCCAGAAGACATGTCTTGATAAAAATGGTCCAGAGCCTGCCTGGTAACAGAATATGTGTATAGTAGGGGAGAAATGAGGTTTGAAATGTACAAAGTTCAAAGCTTATCCTTGGAAAATTCTTCTAATCATCCCATTCAGTTCTCTTTAATGTGTCATCAAAACAGAAGCGTTATTCTTCCAGGAATACAGTTAACAATGCAGTATAAACAATTTTAAATTTTTATTATTGATGAAAGTTACATGATATTAAATGTATCATTATTCCTGTGCTTGTAGAGCACAGCCTATATCAGCTCTACAACAAGCAGGCATGTTTATGTGTAAAGTACATGTTTTATAAATCTCTATGAAATATCGCCATCAATGAAGATACCTAAAACTCACAATATGTCATGTTATTAACGTAACAATGGTTAATGTATATCATGAATTCAAACAGTACTTAAGGTTAGTCATTGAACAAAAAATTGAAATGCCTGCAAGTCTTACAGCTTGGCTATGACCAAAAACCCAATATTGATTTTCACGTATTTAACAATAATACTAAAAATTTACTTTATCAATGATGACTTGTGAAGCTAAGTGGAACATTCCTAATAAATCATCAATTTAAACATATCTTAATAAATCATTCTAGAGGAAAAGAAAATTATCTTTTAACCTCAGTACAAATATTATTTTAAATTACCATATAAAAATGTAAAAACGAAGCATTAAGCAGTTTACTAATTTATAAAACTATGTTATTTGAAATCCTATGATGTAATGTTTGTAAGCTATCTTAAATTTACAATCTAATGTGATTTTTTATTATAGATAAGTATTTATTTATACATATTTATATATATACATCACTTTTATAAAAGTTTGTACACATTTATTTTGCATATTTTTTCTTAAAGGGGGGCCTCAATTTTTATAAACATCAGGCCCTACATAATCAGGATTCACTCTCCTGCTCCTTATTTATCAAAGAGAGATCATAAGGAGGAAATTAACTTATTATGTTCAATAGTCCATGAACACAAGTTCCATGAGTATCTCAAATTCTACATGTCTATTACTAAACTAGTTTTCTCCCTTTTTCCCGAATTTACACACTGTTTTTATTCTCTAACTTGATGAATAAAAAGACCATTCACTAAAGAACCGCTTTCTCATTCCCACTGACAGTATGTCACTTCAGGCTTTCAAGATTTGTCATCTAACCACTCTCCTAGGATCTATATTTACCCTCCTTCTTACATAACAACCCTTCACTCAATTTCTCCTCACTTCTGTCCCCCAATTCATCAGCTAATTAACTTTACCTAAGCTTCGAGATTCAACTCATATGTCTCCAAGTTTATTAAGCCACCCCTCATCCCTACCTAGTCCACATTAACTGCCCTCAAAGAGCATCTTATAGTGACCTGAACTGTGTGTTTTCTTGTCTGCCTTCTCAGTTAAGCCAGTGAGATACTCAAAGGCAAGAATTCTACCTTGTTTTGAATCTCTGGAATCTATCTCAGTTCCTAGTACATAGTTGCAGTTACTACATTTAAATTAAATAAGTGGATAGATACAGGTGCCATTTCATTTATAAAGTATTTAGAGCTATTCTTTTGTATTTGACCCTAAGCAAAGTCTTTTTTCCCTATAGAAGTCTAGATTTATTTCCTTTCAAAATACATTCTTACTTCACACTCTAAGCTAACTCCATGGAATGATCTGATGTGTACAGAATAAAACCTCATTCTAATTATTAATATTAAAATCATTCACACGACAGAATGGATTTCAGTAAATTTGTCAAACAGTCTTCAGCAACCTAATCACTTGTGCTGCTACATTTTAGGGGTTAATTTTATAGATGATGAATTTGGACCATAAAATATATGTGCTTTCCAATTAGAAGTAATAAGAATGAATTATTCCATTTTAACTTCTTTCAAATATCAGGAAGACTGTGTAACTTCTGTTTTAATTGACACTCTTTATCGTATTTTTCCCTTCATTTTCAACTTACTACATCAGAATTGTCTGTCAATTCTCTATGTTTAGTCATGTAACTTACAAGAAATATTTTAACCTGCATTTCCAAACATATATATATGCATATCAGTACACACATAACTTATGCATATTCATTAATACCTTAAGAGATGGACTTTCATGTAGCATGACCATAAATTTTACTGCGTATTTGTAGCAGTAAATACAGTATGAAAATACTAAGTTCAATTAAATCCCTCCCTTTCTAATGTAAAAAACACACTTACAGATGAGAGAAAATGGCGTTTTAAAAGGTGTTTTGTGTTCTTCAGTGTTAAAAAACAAAATTACAACAAAGTTAGTTTAAAGATCTCATTGGCTTATATTTGCAATTCTAGAATTGGGTAACACCTAATTCTATAGAATAGTATGAGTGTTCCAATGAACTGAGCACAGGAGTTTGGCTTTATAAGCAGAAGAGGGCTGAAGAAAGCAGAAATAAGGCATGAAAGGCAGATTGGTCATTTCAAAGTTACTTTTCTTACAGGGTCAAAACCGAAAGGACTTCCTTATCATGCTAGCTCTGGTGAACTGGGCCCCTTCTGATTGGATGCTGCAAATCTCCTGTGTTGTTTTTTTCTTTTTTTAACTGGACCATTTTAAAGTTCAATTTGATTACATGGCACTTAGCACAAGTGACTCCATTCTGGTTTGTTCTGGTCTGTTGGGGCCTAGTGCAGAAGCTCAGTCTAAAATAATGACCACTCATAATTTTTGTTTAACATCGGTTACTTGGTTTTTGAATATTAATTTATGTACTTTAAAAATATCCTTCAAGGGTTATAATTTTCCATGCAATAGAAAAAATTTATATTTTAACAAATATATTTACAAAAGTGTTTTACTTATACTAATAAAATTATAAATATTTTCTATATGATGGCAAGGATATTTCAACTAAATATTAGTGTTTCTATTCACTCAGAAATGACATTAAAAATTTGATGTTTCTGCCAATATTAATTTTTAAAGAAACATGTACATTAGTGAAGAAAGGAAAAATATTTAGGCTACATCATAGAACCTGTCATTTACTGACCTTTCATTTCTAACTCACTTTATATTAGAAGGAATATTAAAGTTATTTAATGAGATAACATTATAGGTTCCCCAGGAATAAATATTCTCTCATTTTCTGTGTCTCATGCTCTCTTTTGTCATTTCAGTCTGTGTTTTTCCCTTTCTCTGTCCCTCTCTCCTTCACTTTTAACACACATAAGCATAAAAGATTTGTTTGAGATTTCCAGAAATAATGAAATAAATGTTTCAGTTATTAATGGCCCACTGGAATATGTATATTTTTCAAATACTCTAAAACTTATTTCTGGTTATTATGGTAACATAATTATTTACACTGGGTTTATAAAGATTAATTCAAATTAATTTTTTATAACTATCCCACTTAGCCACATGGAATGTCTTCCCAAAACAGTGTAAATTCAGCTTCCACACAATATCTCAAAACTCTAAACGAATTTGTTGAAACAGGTGCATTTCCTAGTTTAACTAAATTTTATAATGTATTGTTGAACTAAAGTACATAAGATATTAGATTGGAGGATATTATTATAATTAATTTTACTTTAAATTAAAATGTTGAGAGAGTCACATTAAATTGATAAAACATCGAAACCCACAGAGAAAAACATGAAATAACCTTTCCCCCATTTTGTAATATATATAATAGAGTGAAACTTTAGGGAGCATAAATAATTCATGCATGGATTTTTAAAAGATATTACACCAGCAATAATAATAATATCAATGATACCAAGGTATGTACAGATACAGTTTGGGTATTAATAAATAAGCTGAAAGTTATTAAAAATTGGTTTTCTAGACCATAAATATTGTTTCAAAAACAACGGTAACATCACAAATCAGAAAATTCAGCCAGATTTTACTAAGGCAATTTTGAATCCATCTAATCTTGTAACTTTAAGAATAATATAGTATGTAACTGTGTACATGCAAGTATAAATATGAATTGAATAGAATAATCAGAGATAAGTATGCTTCTTTCTGTCTCTAAATGCTTAAATCAAAATGCAGACCTTTCGTAAGGAAAGCTCTTGAAATTATTTTTTCTAAACAAGAACGAGGAAAAAGAGAATTGATGACATATGGTAAAGTCATTTTGGATCCTTCAGCCTTGTGTTTCTTTAATACAAAGAGATGTAAATATGTATAATTAAAGCGAGCATTCACCATGTATAGATATGCTGAAAATATTTATGACTCTCACACTGATTTCCTCTAAGTATCAAAAATATTATTTTATGATTTATAATATATATACTACTTAGAGCCATATATTTATTTATTTTATATACTTAATCTATTTCTAACCCATACAGCCACATTGTATGTAAGCGATAGTATTTTTTAATAATAAAATATAAGATTGGAATAAAAAGTAATATTTACGTATTGATGTTAAGAATTCTGATTTATGACACTTTCCAAGATTCTGGAATCAGTACTACAATTTTCTTTTCTTTTAAAAAAGGTTTTCCTGGTGTGCTTTGTACCTAATAACAATTAGGTACAAGTGAAAATTTACTGCCTTTTCTGTATCAATTTTATCTTAACACAAAGTAAGCCTCTGAATCTTAGATGAAATTTTCTGGATTTGTTTTTAGTAATATTAAGCATCACAATTTCACCACCTGCTCTTTTGTTGTGGTTGTGGTAAGAACAATTAACATTAGATCTACATTCTTAAAAACTTTTTAAATGTACAAAAAAGTGTCGTTAACTATAGGAACAGTGTTGTGCAGTGGATCTTAGAATTTATTCATCTTGCATAACTGAAACTTTATGGAATGTTATAGTGGTGATTATAGAGCAAATATGATAAAAAAAGAAGTGTCTGACAGAGGGCTGCTAAACCCAAATAATAGGCTTGCTTTCAAATATAGCTATTGGAGATACATAGGAAACTCTCTAGGTGAATCAATGCTATAAAGGCCAACATTGGAAACTCATCATCATTCATTTTCTTCATACATCATTTGAATTTTTAATTTCAAAAAAATTAATAAAATGGTGCAAATAAATTCAGGACCCAAGCATGATTTCATTGCAAAATGTTCATGCTTATTCATTCTTCACATGGAACACTGTGGAACTGATAGGTAAAAAGTACAATACGCAGTACAAAAGTTTCCCCAGAGTGAAATCCTTCCTGACACTCCCCATTTTCTCACTTCTCCCCATTGGAAGGATGACCTGTAATGTGGAAGCCTCACAGCTGCTCCTCATCACAGCCTTCCTGGGTGAAAAGTCAGTGCCATGCAGGACCCTGCATTTTGGCTCTTGCTGAGACTCTTCAGTTTACTTGTCTTCTATCACAGCTGTTTTCCTCTGTACCTTGTGTCTCCAGTGCTGTAGGCAGGTCTCCCAATTGTCCGCTAGCTACAGTTTCAGATTGCATGCAGAAAAACTCTCCTTACTGCTTGTTAGAAAATTGTGACTATTCTGCCAGAACAGTGCAGGCGGAGGAGGTGGGGAAATAGAGGAGTGGCACTCTGACCTAAAACATACCTATACTACTTTTAATAAAGAAAAAAATATAATTAAATCAGTAATAACATGTGAATAGTAAGGTGTATTTACATACACATTTTCTTTATGTGTATATAAAGAGCCCAACAAACCACGTGGTGTTAATTCTATTCTAAAGTTATGGAAACTGAGGGTCAGAATCACTAAATAAATCCCAAGGATATTAATGAATGAATGTAGTAAGGAATGAATGAGTTTCTAGGGAAAACTGCATGGATTGAATGGATCAAGAAATTGAGATAAAGAGAGGTCAAATTTTCCGATTAGCAATCAATTTACAGAGAGTAAGCTGGTCTGACAGTCACATGGGGTTTATGTTTGGGGGTAGGATGCTGCTGAAGAACCAATGATGACAATTTTTAAAGAAAACAAGAATGAATAACAGATGAAACATCATCATGGAATAGAAGAACAATGGTGAGTCAACTGGATGGTTAGGCTTTCACCAGAAACAGTTAGCTCGGTGGGAAATGTTGCAGCTACTGCCGTGTTTTACAAAGTTTTCTTAAGCTTCAGTGCCAATGTTTGAAAATCTAGGAGGGAGAATCAAATTGCTACAGAAGTATAGCTGGAAAAAAGCTGACTTAAGGAGAATTTAAAATCATAAATTTTAAGAATAGTTACTAAAGTAATTTAAACAATGATGTAAGACTTTTCTCTTTAATGTTTTTTTTTTTATTATTATACTTTAAGTTTTAGGGTACATGTGCACATTGTGCAGGTTAGTTACATATGTATACATGTGCCATGCTGGTGCGCTGCACCCACTAACGTGTCATCTAGCATTAGGTATATCTCCCAGTGCTATCCCTCCCCCCTCCCCCGACCCGACATTTAGGTTTTATATGCAAGTGCTACCAGTTTTCAAAGAACTTCAATAATTATACAAATTCTTCCACAAAAAATCGTAAAATGGGGAATACTCTGCAACATATTTTATGAGGCGGTATAATTTTAATTTTAAAAAGTAGACAAAAGTGGTATGAGGAAGAAAAATAGGTCAATTTGTTCATAAAGATTGATGCAAAATTTCTAAACAAAATATTAGCAAAGAAACTCAATTATCTTAAAAATATTAATACACAAGAATCAATTTGGGTGCCTGAAAGGATTTCAAGAATGATTAATAATGCAGAAATATATAAATGTTTATTCTCACACTAACCGATTAAAGGACAGAGACCTTGTCAAATCTCAAAAATGCAGAAAAACTTAATATTTTTATATAGTAAAAATTCTTATGATAGGAGTAGAAGAGAAACTTGTTAACCTCATAAAAAATCTCCATCAAAAAGAAGGAAAGTAAAAAGAAAGAAAAATAAAATCTCAATAACAGATATCCTAAATGGGCAGATTCCAAAAGTAATTCTTATCTTCAGGAACAAGATATGGATATTCACTATGAATACTCCTATTCAACAATATGTTGGAATTCTGTCAAGGAAAAAGACTCAGGGAAAGAAATAACAATTATAAAGACTAGAGATTACTAATAATACCATTGCTAGTAGCAAATGCCACAATTACATACATAGAAATCCAAATGTATCCACAAACAAAATGTAAGCAATAGAAAAACAGTGATAATATGATTATTTATAAAATCAATGTATAACACTCAAATATGTTTATATATGCCAGCAACAAAAATATTAATATTAATAAACATAATTTTTAAATGTTTAAAATACCAACAAAAACCACAAAACAACGAAGAATAAATCTAACAAAATATATGCAAGACCTGTTAGTAGAAAATTTATATCTTTGTTGAAGGATATTAAAGAATATGTAAATAAATCGAGCAATACTACATTCATGAATAAGGAAACTTAATTCATATTATACGTGTGTTATTTCTCCCAAAATTAATATATAGTTTTAATGCAACTTCAGTCAAAATCATGATTGGTTTTTCTTACTATTATTTTAGTTTTGGTGAAATATGATGAGTTTAAATGTACATGAAAAAAAGAAGAAATAATTGGTAAGATTCTTCATGCCCTGAGATATGGACTTACTGGAAAGCTGTAGTAATTGCGAGAGTATGGTACTAGTGCAGAGATGGACAAAGTCGTGAGTAAAACACAATAGAGAATAGAAATAGAAATGTACCCATATGTGGAAATAATACTTATCATGGACTTTGCATAGTAGAAAGTTGAATTATTCAATAAATGAAAAGATGGATAAAAAATAAATAGAAAAAAAGTGCTCCACTACAGCCAAAAGGAAGGATGAAAGGGAGTAAGAAAGGAAGAGAGGGAGGGCCGGAGGCCAGGATAAAGGGGAGATGGGAGAAAGTGGGGAGAGAAGAAAAGAAAGTACTTCACACCACAACAAACTAAGAATTTCTATGTCAAAAGTAAAACTGACATTTTAAGAGAGTGTATGTGAATTCTGAGCTCTGAGTAAGGAAGCTTGTCTTACAGAAGACTAGTTAAGGTACTGACTACTTATCAAAGGGATGATGAAATTGAATATTAAAACTAGGTTCTTATTCATTAAAATACACATTAATGAAAGTAAAAGAAAAAACTTTAAATTTGTAGAAGATATTTGAAAAAAAAGTTATTCAAAAAGGACTAAAATCAAAGACGTGTAAAATTTTTTTGCAAACCAACAAGGTGAAAAGGAATAGATAATGGAAACCAAAAGGATAAATAGGCATTTCACAAAAATAAGAAATAAAATGAAAAAGCGTGACAAGTGTTAAAGAGAATGGATTCAATAGAGCACATCCATTGTACATTGGTGCACCTTCTTTGCGAAAAACATTGATGTTATCTGGTAAAGTTGCATATTAATATGCATTACTCTAAAGTGGCCACTACCCTTAAGCACTAGGAAGTACGTACAGGCATACCTTGGAGACATTGTGGATTTGGTTCCACACCACCACAATAAAGTGAATATCACAATAAAGTGAATCACACAAATTTTTTCGTTTCCCAGTACATATAAAAGTTATGTTTATACTGTTGTCTATTAAATGTGCAATAGCATTGTGGTTTAAAAAATGTATATACCTTAATTTAAAAATAATTCATTGCGAAAAATTAGTAACAATCATGTGAGCCTCCAGGGAGTCATAATGTTTTTTCTGGTAGAGAGTTTAGCCTTGATTTTAATGGGAACCAAATGATCAGAGTGGTGGTTGCTGAAGGTGGAGGTGGCTCTAGTAGTTTCTTAAAATAAGACAACAATGAAGTTTGACCCATTGATGGACACTTACTTTTATGAAAGATTTCTCTCTAGCATGTGATGCTGTTTGCTAGCATCTTATACACAGTAGAACTTCCCTCAGAATTTGAGTCAGTCTTCTCAAATCCTGCTGCTGCCTTGTCAATTAAATTTATGTAATAATCTAAATCCTTTGTTACCATTTCGACAGTGTTCACAGCATCTTTACTAGGAGTAGATTCCATTTCAAGAAACCCTCTTTTTTTGCTTATCTCTAAAAGTCAATTCCTCATCCTTTCAAATTCAATTCTCATCAAATATGATGAGATTGCGGCAATTCAGTCACATGCAGCCTCCACTTACAATTCTACTTTTTGCTGTTTTTATGACATCTGCAGCGACTTCCTCCACTGAAGTCTTGAACCCTTTAAAGTCATCCATGAGACTTGGCATCAACTTCTTCCAAACTCTTGTTAATGCTGATATTTTGACCTCTGTCCATGAATTATGAATGTTCTTAATGACACCTAGATTATTAAATCCTTTACAGAGGTTGTCAATTAACTTTGCCCAGATCCCCAAAATGAATCACTGTCTGTGGCACCTATAGCCATATGAAATGTATTTTTTAAATAAGACTTGAAAGTTGAATTACTCCTTGATCGACGAGCTGCAGAATGTATGCTGTGTTTGCAGGCATGAAAACAACATTCATCTTTCTGCACATCTCCATCAGAATATTGGGTGACCAGGTACATTGTCAATGAAAATAATATTTTGAAAGGAATCTTTTTTTTTTTTTGAGAAATATGTCTCAGTCGTGGACTTAAAATACTCAGTAAACCATGCTGTAAAGAAATGCGATATCCCTCACGCTTTGTTCCACCATTTATAGTGCACAGGTAGAGTAAGTTTGGCATAATTCTTAGGGGCCCTAGGATTTTCATAATGGCAAATGAGCATTGGCTTCAACTTAAAGTCATCAGCCTCATTAGCCCCTAACAGGAGAGTCAGCCTGTTCTTTGAAGCTTTGAGGCCAGGCATTGACTTCTCCTTTGTAGCTATCAAAGTGCTAGATGGCATCTTCTTCCATTAGAAGGCTATGTTGTCTACATTGAAAAATTGTTGTTTAGCGTACCACCTTTATCAATAATTGTAGCTAGATCTTCTGGATAATTTGCTGCCACTTCTTCCTCAGCACTTGCTGTTTATACAGCTTCTTTCCTTAAGCTTCAAGAACCAACATCTGCTTGCATCAAACTATTTTTCAGCTTCCTCACATCTCTCAGCCTTCATACAATTGAATAGAGTTAGGGGCTTGCTCTGGACTTGGCTTTAGCTTAAGGGAATGTTGTGGCTCCTTTGATCTTCTGTCTAGACCACTAAAACATTCTCCCTATCAGCAATAAGGCTGTTTCGCCTTCTTGTTGTTTGTGTGTTCGCTGGAGTAACACTTTTAATTTCCTTCAATAACTTTGCCTTCGCTTTTACAGCTTGGCTTACTGGCACAAAATGGCTAGCTTTTGGCCTGCCTGTGCTTTTGACATGCTTTACTCACTCAGCTTAATAATTTCTAGCTTTTGATTGAAAGAGAAATGCAACTCTTCCTTTCACTTGAACACTTAGAGGACATTGTAGGGTTGTTAATTTCCCTAATTTCAATACTGTTGTGTCTAAGGGAATTAAGAGGCCTGAGGACACAAAGAGAGACAGGAGAACCGCTGGTGGGTGGAGCAGTCAGAACACACACAACATTCACAATTATGTTCTCTGTCTTACATGGGCGTGGTTCATGGCACCTCAAAGCAATTACTATAATAACTGATCAGAGATCACCATAACAGATATAATAATAATGAAAAAGCTTGAAATATTGCGATAATTACAAAAATGTGACACAGACACCAAGTGAGCATGTGCTGTTGGAAAACATGGCACTGATAGACTTGCTAGAAGCAGAGTTGCCACAGACATTCAAGTTGTAAAAAATGCAGTATCTGCTAAACTCAATAAAGAGTAATACAATGAGGTATGCCTGTACAAGAATGCACTTTTTGCAAGAATGTAAAGCAAACCAGTTGAAATGCCCATTGACATGGATTTTAAAAGACATGTAAGTGGTATTTAACACAGCAGTAGAAGTAGAAAGAACTTCAGCTACACGTGGGAAAAGCTTCAGCTACAACATGAATGAATCTGAGTACCAATGTAAGTGGGAAAAGTAGAAAGACACATGTTGATTATGTCAGACACGTGGTAACTCAGTATTCAGAGTAGTGCTCACCTTTGTAAATTAGAAAGGGCAGTGCTATAGGGAAAGAAAACAGAGAAATATGTAAGTTATTAGAAATGTTCTACTTCCTGGAATGGGCAACTGGTACATATGTGTTTATTATATTGTATATATATTAGTATAAGCAAAACAATGAGTATTAGAACCGAATAAAATATTTGCAACATGTCTCACAAAGGTTAAATATCCACAATATAATAAATGAGAAAATGCATGAAAGTTTCCTGTTCTAAATATCCATGGATATTATAATCAGATGATGGGTTTTAGTAATTTTTATACATATTTTATTATATTTATGCAGTGTTGGTATTACCTTGACAAAATTTTTTTAAATGATGCAAATTTAAATGCGAAGATTGCTGTAATATGCAAAGAGTTTTAAAGTATTATTAAAAGACATCTCGCCCGGCAAGGTGGCTCACACCTGTAATCCCAGCACTTTGGGAGGCCAAGGAGAATGGATCACCTGAGGTCAACAGTATGAGACCAGCCTGGCCAACATGGTGAAACCCTGTCTCTACTAAAAATACAAAAATTAGCCAGGCGTGGTGGCAGGCACCTGTAATCCCAGCTTACTTGGGAGGCTGAGGCAGGAGAATCCCTTGAACCCAGGAGGAGGAGGTTGCAGTGAGTCGAGATTGCACCATTGCACTCCATATTGGGCGACAAAAGTGAAACTCCATCTCAAAAAAAAAATAAAAATAAAAAATAAAAAGGCAATTCAATAGAAAGAAAGGCACATCTTTGAGTGTTCTTTTCATAGGACAGGTTACGCATCTCCAGGAAATGTATAAAAATATGCTGAACTCACTAGTAAACAGGGAAGTGTGATTTTACAACAAATAAAAAGACATTGGCTTTCACTTATTATTAAAGACATATCATAAAGTTGTTCATATGTAGTGTTTTGTGGTTGCAAGGAAATGAATCCTTGCATATTTGACAGTGGGAGCCATTCAGAGGGATATAATGATGTAATGGAATATTTTTCTCTAGAGTAGCCTTCAAAACACATGCGCACATTTACACAAATGTTCTTCAACTAATGTTAAATACAATACTTTTTTGTAGTAATGAGACACAGGAAATAGCTTAAAAATTCATAAAAAGAGATCATTCATTTTATCTTGTAGTACATGAACTTATTATAAAACATGATGCAGTGCTTAAAAATAATAATCTGACAGAATGCAACACATGACATATGCATATGTTATATACTGATACACAAAGTTCTCTTAGACATATTTGAAGTTAAAATAAAACCACACAAGTTAATGAACAGTATGTATAGCACAGTTTTATTCGTGTTGAAAATATGTGTGTAATAAAGATTTATGTACGAAAATTTGTATACGTAAGTACGTAGAAAAATTCCTTGGATAGTTGCATATTATATCACTATCAGTTGTTATGTTTGGGACAAGGGAGGTGAAGAGACACATAACATACCAAAATTTCTGTCCTGTTTCAATTTTTTTATTGCAATAAAATAGGCTATGACTGTATAGCTGGCTGCATTACCTGCCTTTGTGACTTTTCCCAAGGTAGGTTGCATTATTAAGCACCCTGCATGCAGTAACAGCAGAAGCAGTGGGTATTTATGGCAGCTGACCCAGCAATTAGGCTAGAGTGTTCCTGGGTGGAAAACACTGTCAACCAGGTCAAAATACAAGGTGAAGCCTGCCTCCTATTTGCAGATTCTCAGTCAAAAGGAAAGTTGGCTAGAACCCCAGTTGCAGTCTGATCAATTTCTCCCAGTAATGGAGAAAGTAGAACATTGTTAAAGACATATTTACTGACATAACTGTCACATTTATATATTCACTCAAAAGATAATTTTGGATTGATGAAATTTATTAAATGAAATAATGTAGTATATGTCATTCTGGGTTATGCGAACTGCAAATCACATCTGGGAGAATATCAATGAAAATTATTATAATTTACTAATTTTATCCTTAAAATTTTAGAGTTTATTAAAGAAAAAGAGTATATTCATTATGGAATCTAGAATATGTAATTACAAAATATTTTTAAATTATAGAATCTTGAATATATAATTATAAAATAGGATTAAAGGATATGTAAGTTATCACTGAGATATTTTACAGTTTTTATAAAATAAAAACGTATTTCATCGGGTAAAATGTTAATGATACAAAACTGAAAACATCTTATTTTTAAACTATTAATCATGTGCCATAACATGCTTATTTTTCAGGTTAAACTTTTTCCGTGATGTTCCTGACTTCAGAGTGTTAGCCTGTGGTGGAGATGGAACCGTGGGCTGGGTTTTGGATTGCATAGGTAATGCAGACACATACTTAATATGGCTGGGGAGAGAGCAATAGCTTTAAATCCTGTTTCATCTATGTGTCTATTGCTTGTATCATTATCTTTGGAAGCAGTGATATAATTGGACATCTGGAAGGTTGCACACTGGTTTAACTTATTATTCTGTAGTTCAAAAATTCAACTGGCAAAATAGTTTAGAAGTACATAGAAGTCCTTCCTTTCTAATCCACTTCTTACAGTGTTTACCAAATTTTCAGAGTTGTTTTCAGGGGCTCTAGGAAATCAGATTGTTTGTGTGCCCCAGACAAGGAACTGAAGGAGCAGTCTTAGTATTTGTGATAAAGTCTGTGCGAAATTGATGTGCTTACGTTTTTAAAACATGGACCCTCAAAACCTTACCCTCTGTATACATTTGTATCGTTATCATCCATCATCATCATCATCATCATAGCTAATTTTTATTCATCATGTTATCTTGTTTATTCCTCACAACTCTATGATACAGATAGTATTAATAATCCCATGTAGAGATAGGGAACCTAAAACTTGGAAAAAAGTAAATAACTACAACAAAGTCTTATAGCTGTGAACTGAGAGAGCTGAGATTAGAATGCACAGTTAAGCCTTATTCTATATTGCCTCTCTATTTAAACTGAAAACGCTCGATTTTTATGAGCAAATAATACAGGAACATCACTGAGGATATAAGGTAAGTATGCAGCACAAGAAAAAGTATAAATTCAGGAAAATTATTTGCTTTTTCAGATCTAGTCAGTTGTTGGAACTGGTTACTAGTTAGAAAAAGAGACCATGAATTGGCCTTTATGAGGAAATAAATCCAAAACAAATATTGACTCTTTTTGGTCTCATTTCAGTTACCGCATTGATCAATTCTTTGTTTAAAACAGGCCCTTTCATAAAACGAATTGATTCAAAAGAAGTTTTACCTTCTGTATAAATTGAAACAGACACCTATTTAGTCAATGCAGAAAACATTCTGTCTATGCATACACTAAAAATATTCAAAATAAGAAAAATACATGTTGGCAACACTTTTGATAAGGATCTAACAGCTTTAATCTACTAATATTTGATTTAAAAAGAAACAGTGAAAATTCTGATCTGGCCTTCCATTAAACAATGTAAATCATATTTATATGTTTTATCTGAGAAGACAACCAGAATTCAAGAATTACAAAAGTTAATGAGTTAGCTGGAAAAGTATCTGAGGACTTGTAAGGATTTTAGAGGAAAAACAGCAGGAATTCTTAGCTTGTTTTAGCCCTCAAAAATCTTATTGTCGGCTATTTCATTGTGACATTTCCCTACATTATCTATCCCCTCTATCCCTACACACATATGTACACTGATTTTGAGGGGCTAAGGAGGAAGAAACAAATAAAAGAAAGTGATATACATTTGTGAGATTAATTCAAGGCATGCAATGATTCAAACCAAAGCATATGGGATGTCAGCGGCAGAGATCTTTACTGCTCTGAACCCAAAGCATTATGTGATGTAAAGATTAATCTCATGGAAAACCTGCTGATCTCGTTGTATTCCAGCTGTTAACGTTGTGTTCCATTTGCTCTGACACAAAGCAGCACCATGGGTGGGAAAAAGTCAAGGACATTGTTAGCAATTTACTCACTTTTATAATTCAACAGTTTTCAAATATTTTATTCCTTTAAGTAAAATGTACCTAGAATTGATGTTGCAAAAGGACTTTATGTAGGAACCTACCCATCCATCCTAGTTGTGTCTCTGTATTGTAATCTTATGCTGTATATAATAATATCCCTGAGGATTGTAGTGGAGATAAGACACACCACAATTTTTAGCTGAGTTAAGATATTTAAAAAGCTTTCCTCTTGCCTGAGTTTTGAAAATTCCATCATTCCGTGAATAATAGTATTTGTGTCTTATCAATTGCTACAAATGTATACAAATTATCCATAATTCATTATTGTGTATATCTAAAACTACAATTATGTTTTGTTTATGAGTACCTATTGGAATTCCTTCATTTAATGTCATCAGGCTATCTTTTTATTTCCGTCGTTTTATCTGAACTTAAAATTTTCTTTATTTGTATTTTTTTTTATTCTGCAGAAAAGGCCAATGTAGGCAAGCATCCTCCAGTTGCGATTCTGCCTCTTGGGACTGGCAATGATCTAGCAAGATGCCTGCGATGGGGAGGAGGTAAAGCAGCTGCAACAACAAAAGCAGAAACAGTACACAACACCCCTTTCCCTTGCAAAACAAAAAGAAAAGAAAAGAAACAAAAACGATATGATTTCAGTGAAGATAACTGATGTGGTATATATAATATATGATTTTGAACAATAGTCTTGGATAGAAGAACAAATAGTGGAAAAAAGAGACCATGGGTATTGGGTTTTAATGTGATATTAAATAGAGACTTAAACTAAAGGAGGTCAAGTTTCCAAACATCTCTGGTTTTGGTTTTTGATTTTTTTGTTTAGAAAATAAGGTACACATGGATGCACTTCAAGGTAATTTTTATACTTTTCATTTATAAGTTGGGAGGTAAAATCACAAACAAAGGAAAGATGAAAGGCTAATGAATTAGTTTCCCAGGAGTGAATACGTTAAATAATACTCAGTTTTGAGACTCACTCTATGCTAGCCAGCTGTGCTCTGCACTTTGGATACAGAGTTGACAAAAGAAAAACAAAAGTACCTTGATTTCTAGTGGCACATAAAATCATATGTGAGACCTTACACTAACAAGTAAACAGATGATCATTATAGGGAAAGACCTCACTGAGGATATGACATAGAAGAAAAAACTGCTAGCTAGATAATGACACAGCCATGTAAAGCTGGGTGTGAACTTCATAGGCGGAGGGAACATTGAGTTCAAAGGCCCAGAGGTGGGAAGGCACTTGACATATTCAAGGAACTGAAACTGAAATAGTGTCGATGGAGTAGGGTAAGCAAAGAGAGAATATTTGGAGATGAGGTCTTAAAACATTTTGCAGAGTCACTAATAGGCTATATTTATCTGAAGATCACTGAACACCACTAGGTAAGATCACTAAACACCATCAGACTTTGGTAAAGAAGCAGGACTTGAATGCTAAATATTTTTAGCATCAAAGCTCACTTAGAGAAGTTTGAAAAGTGTCTACTAAGACAAGGTGAACAGAGTCCCTGGGGCACTTGTTAAAAATACAGTGGCCTGACCCCACCCCAGACATGCTGAATGGAAATATCTGGAATTGGGACCTGAGCAGATGATTTTTTTTTTTAAACAAACTCCCTAAGTAACTCTGATTTACGGCAAAGTTGGAGAATAATTCCATGAATATCTGACCAACTAGCTCTAAGCTGTATACGTGCTTGACTAAGTCAAGAGCTTAGTATGTAGTCTATTTGGGATGTTCAGTAAGAATATACTTCAGGAGTATTTTCATGAGTTGCATTAGAGTTCATGCAATCTAAAGAAATGAATAAAGACATCACCATTTCTGATAAGATACTTGTATTTGCCAGTGTTCATACAAGTGCATAGATTAAAAAGAAGGAAAATATGTGAGTCTTCTTGCCATGTTCTCCTGGAACATATATTTGATGTATATGAAAATTAATAATTTTATTTTTGCTTCCAGATTAACAAATGGCCTAAATCTCAAATTTGTTAAAGAAGTCCATATTTGGCATACTCTAATAATTCTTGTGAAACCACATACAAAGCACTAACAATGGACAAAGGCAAGGACTGTAGCATGTGTCAAAGAATCTATTAGTGATGAATTCCCTTTGAGTGTCTGATATGTGTTGGCACTGTTCTAGGTGCTAAATATACAGTGAGGAAATAAACAAATGGCTTCTATCCTTCTGGAGATTACATTTTCGTTGAGTATAATTGAAAATAAATTGAACAATAATGAAATATATAATTATAAAATATCAAAGAATCAGAAGAATGAATAATAGAGATGAACTATCTAGCTAGATGGCCAAGAAGGTCTCTCTGAGGAGGTAACATTAAAACTGGACCTAAAATATAAGAAGGAGGAGAAATAGCTCCCTGTGTTTCAAGGACTGAAGGAAGGAATGCAGGTGGGGTTGCTGAAGCAGCAGTGCATGGTGGGCAATTAGGGATAGTGAGTACTATGACTTTGGAAAGACAATTGGGAGCCAGATAATGCAGGAACCTATTTGTCATTGTGAGAGTTTTACTTGATTGAATTTGTCATGCAAAGTGAAGCTTCGAAAGTCTCAGAAGCAGAGTAACACACTGACACATTTTCAAAAACAGATTAATTTGGGGGTAGAAAATAAACTGGTCAGAAAATGTGAAAACATGCAGAACTATAGTTCTCCAAATGAGAACTTCTATTATAGTTGTCCCAATTGCATAATAAAGTGAGCAGACTAGAGCTTACATGATTTAAATCAGGCAAGTAGCCAAACTGGAGGTACATTTTCAGGCTTAGCTTAATTGTACTTACCAGTGGATTGGTTAGGAATTTTAGGGAAAGCAAGGTATCAAGATGCCCAAGTTGAGCAATTAGGGAAATGGAGAAGCCATTTGCTAGAGATTATTAACAAAGAAATATGCTTTACGGTGGGATTATTTCTTGACAGGTGTGTAACTTTGAGCAAGTTACTTAACAATTGTGTGCTGTAGATTCCTCATCAGAATTTGAAGAAAATAACAGTGCCTTGTAGGTTCTCGTGCTAAACCGATAACTTGTTTGCACAGTGTTTGTATTAGTTTGTTCTCACACTGCTATAAAGACATACCCAAGACTCGGTAATTTATAAAGAAAGGTTTAATTGACTCCCACTTCCAAATGGCTGGGGAGGCCTCAGGAAACTTACAATCGTGAAGGTGAAGGAGAAGCAAAGGCATTTTTTACATGGCAGCAGGTGAGAGAAGCAAATGAGCAAAGGGGAAATAGTCCCTGATAAAACCATCAGATCTCATGAGAACTCACTCACCACCACCAGAACTGCATGGAGGAAACAACCCTCATGATCTAATCACCTCCCACCAGGTCCCTCCCTTGACACGTGGGGATTATGGGGATTACAACTAAAAATGAGATTTGAGTGGGGACACAGAGCCAAACCATATCAATGTTTGTGTTAAGTACTTTATGCAGTTGCAGTAATTATTATTATGCTTAATATTTGTAGAAGAAAGTACTTCATTCAACCAATAATCATTTGGTTCACTTAAGATTCAGGGAATCTATTGACTTGAAGCCTCTTTTTTATAGGAATATATTTTCATATTTTGGAAAAGTTGACACTGTAAGAATGTAGGATATTCTAGCTTAATTAGCATTCTTTTTGTAAATTTCTGGCAATCATTAGTCTCTCTTAACAAAAATTTAATTGCAAGGAAAATCTTGTTTGTGTAGAATAAGGAGGCAAGTAATAGTTGTAAATTGGACACACTTTTTTTTTTTGAGACGGAGTCTCACTCTTTGGCCCAGGCTGGAGTGCAGTGGCGCAATCTCAGCTCACTGCAGGCTCCGCCCCCCGGGTTCACGCCATTCTCCTGCCTCAGCCTCCCGAGTAGCTGGTACTACGGGCGCCCGCCACCTTGCCAGGCTAATTTTTTGTACTTTTAGTAGAGACAGGGTTTCACCGTGTTAGCCAGAATGGTCTTGATCTCCTGACCTCGTGATCCACCCGCCTTGACCTCCCAAAGTGCTGGGATTATAGACATGAGCCACCGCACCTGGCCTGAACACACTTTTATACAGATTTGTTGTTGCATTTCTTTATGTGATTTTCATTTGCAAAAATTTCTATGACTTTTTAGATTCAGTCATTATAACATAATATCATTAAATATAAAATAAATATTAATCATGTTTTCATTTTGTTTCTTAGCCTGGATTGATTACAGGCTTTAAACCAAAATAATGAAAGTAAAATAGCATTATTCTTTTCTGTAAAAATCTTTTGCTGGCATATTTAGTGGATTTGATTTGTCTTTTTTAAAATCATGATCTTCTTGGGTACAGGAACCCTATTAATAGTTACTTATCATTATTTAACAATCTTGGGCATAGATACATACAAGAAGTAGGGAAAAGATATTTGTTAAATGGGGGACTACAGTTCAGAGTTTATCTATGTGAATCACTTCTGAATTGCAGATGTTGTAATTCTCAAGATTTATTTATTGCCTCTTTCTACTTTTGCTTGGCTAGAAGACAGATTTAAACCAGCCTTTTTCATGTTTAGTCATAAAAATCCCTACACACATATCCAGTGGTAAAGATTTTAAGCTGCGTGACCCTGCTACAATCTAGATGTGGTAATTGATTTTCACTACATTCATTCCTATCATGTTCTCTCCCGGTTAGGTTGCTGTTCCTACATTGTTCCAGTGTTATGTTGGACGGTGCTGCTATTAACCTGAGACATGACTGAGAAAAAATTCAACCTTTTTGAAAGCATTATTATTTACTAGTATTTCTGCTAATTGTATATATGTATACACATACACACACACGATACTCCTATATTATAATATATAATTATATGCAAATTAATTTATGCCTAGAGACTATCAAGCTTATTCTGACATGAAAGCAGAATTTGGAAAATAGATGAATATATTTAAGTGTTTTTTACTTAATTCAGTAGGTAAAATAATATATATATGTATATAATTTATTTGGGGAGCTATTACTTATACTTCTTAAAAGAAATTAACAATTAGAAATTAATTAAACATTTAAAATAAGGTAGCACTATTAAGAAACATGAAATGTTAGTAAATATAATTATTGTAATCTTGCAGTTTAAGCCATTCAGTGTTTTGCCACTGAGTACAGTTATATGCATATTATTAATACTTAACAGCTTCAAATTATACTGTAAAATATATGATAGCTTTTTAAATAGTATTTAGTCTATGGCCATACCACCCTGAATAGACCCAATCTCTTCTGAAATAATATTTAATATTTTCAATGTTTATGTAATCGTTACTTATTGTACCCTTTACTGTATGTATTAAGTAGCGAGTAATTACTTTTTAAACCTGTGTAAGGTAAGAAGTGATGATGAGCTCCAGAAGAGGTATTTCTAGTTTCTGGTGGCTTTCACCTTCTAATAGTTAATTGAACAGATACACCTTAAGTGTAACGTATTCCTCTTTAGGGAATTTTGGTATATGAGAGTGCCTGTTTTCTTTTAACCCAATGAGTTTATTCAATGATATGTATGCTAATAGCTCTAATGAGGACTCATAGCCTCTGGCATTTCCTTGTTCAACAATTAAATAATGAACAGAAAAAAATAAAAACTGAAAATGTTGTTCCGACTCAAAATAATCATTTTAGGACTATGTGTGTGCTTTTGTGTGGGTGAAAAGAGAGATGATTTAACTTAGTACAATATTTCAAATTCTGATGGTATCATCATCAGTAGTAAAATATTACTGAGAACTTTTTATTCTCTGTTTTAGGACTCATGTACTGAGAACTTTTTAGGCATTATCTTGCTTAATCTTCACAAGAACCCTAAGGTTTTTACAGGGAAGGAAACTAATGTTGAGGAAGATTCAGAAACAAAAACAGTAACTCTGTCAGGGTTAGGCTGCAGTGATAACTATAATGTTATCTACCTACAAATAAATTGAATATTGAGAATGTAATATTGACAAGACTTTTATTTTCAGGTCATGTTGACCGTCTATCATATATTCATTAAAAAATTGATTTGTTGAGCATTTACTCTATTGCAGGCTGGGTTAAGAGGGACCTGTAGTGAGAAAAACACAAGTAATGACAATGTGGTGTACTAGTTCTAAGATAGGGCTAGTTTTGAGAACTGCGTATAGCGGACTGTGAGAGGGGCATCTGAGCCATTATTTTGAAAGGGTGCTTTCCAGAAAGAAGTGTTAGCAAATTTATTAGTTTTATTTAATTTTATTGTTTTAAACAGGGAATATTACTCTGTCACCCAGGCTGGGATACAGTGGTGCAATCATAGCTCACTGCAGCCTGGAACTCCTGGCCTCAAGTAGTCCTCCCGCCTCAGCCTCCTGAGTAGCTGAGACTACAGGCATAAGCAGCAGCACTGGGAAGTAGTATTAGCAAATATAAAACAATGCCAAAGAAATAGATGCAAACCAGCCAAAAAGAAAAGGGACACCCTGAGTAGACAGAATAAGAAACGAAATTTTAAAGCTTACAAAAAGTAGGACCTTTTACTTAAATTGAAAGTTTTATATCACTAGACGGGAAAAGGTGAGGGTAAGAGAGTGATGGAAAGGGAAAAGTCTAAAATGTCATCCACGTTTCTGACTTTAGCAGCTGGGTAGAGGATGGTGTCTTTGTGAAGTCAGCTGCCCAGGAGGAAGATATGGAAGCAGAGAATTCATTCAGTTTTGAATCTATTGGTATAAAGTTTTGTGGGGAATACAGTAGAAATGTTCACTTGGCAGTTGTATATGCTGAGAATTTGCACCACAAAAAGAGAAATACAGTACATGTTACCAATTAAAGTTAAGAATTAAATGTGGGTATGAGTATAATCTTATAATTAATTCTTCATTTGGTGGCAGAATGTGCTTCAAAATCATTATTTACCTTTAGAATATTACATATGCATAAGCACACTGAAACATAAAAATACAGCTTTTTTATTTGGTTAGAGTTCTTTTCTCAAGGTATTTTTTTTTCCCACTAGGTTACGAAGGTGAGAATCTGATGAAAATTCTAAAAGACATTGAAAACAGCACAGAAATCATGTTGGACAGGTGGAAGTTTGAAGTCATACCTAATGACAAAGATGAGAAAGGAGACCCAGTGCCTTACAGTATCATCAATAATTACTTTTCCATTGGCGTGGTAAGATTCTCCACTAAATTTTACCTTTGTACCTGTACTGTATAATCACAGTGAGAAAACTTTTAAACTATGAAAATTTACTGATTATAAATAACTTATTTTACCTTTTGTGCCATCAAAACATCTCTTCTAATAGGCAATTATTATTGCTCTAATGACTATCATTATTATCATCGCTTACCAATTTGAAGTCAGAGTATCAGCAATTGACATATTTTTCATGTCTTAAGCAAAGGAAAAAAACTATATTCTTTGTAATTGGTTTATTTGTGTTACTAAAATGAAGCTTAGAATGATTTAATATACTTACAAGTTTTAGAGTATAAGCTAAAACTCCATATTATTGAAAATGTGAAAATATTGCGTTAAATTTTATCTTACTTTGAGATGCATTTTATAAAATCATTATAACTTACTAAAAATCTATGAAAAGTCTACAAAAAATCCTGCTACTATTCTCAAGTGATTAATAAGTCAGAAGGCTGGCTTTTCATTTCATTTCTTTTAGAATCTTACACAGAGTAAAATATTATATGGCAGTTGAAATAGTTATTAAAATTTTAATCCTAAAGGAATAATTTTAATAGTGATTTTATATATATTTTTAGCCAATGATTATGAAATCTAAAAATATAGAAAATAAAGCATTACATTAAATTTAATGTATGTCATCCCATGCTAATTTTATGTCATGTCACATCTCATACACACACACACACACACACACACACACACACACACACAGAGATAGATTATAAAAAGGCTAGTAGAATATAGAAAGCATTGGTTGAGTCCATGAACTTAAGAGGTAAGCTACCTGGGTAAAAGTCTTTAAGCAAATTATTTAATCTCAGTATCTATTTATTTATCTGTGCCATGCTGGTTATTATTTCCTCTCTCATAGAGTTACAAATATGATTGTACATTTAAAGAATCTCATAGAGTGGTACATGATGAAGGCTAAATATACAATGGTTACTAATACTGTAATGACTATTATTATTTGAAAGAAAAATGCAATGTGTCTTGATCCAGAGAAGCCCTCCTATTCACGTTGGTATAAAAACAGTATTTTTAACAGCTTTCTTAGTGTATCACTTACACACAACCTAATTCATTCATTGTAAGTGTACTTTTTAATGATTTTAGTAAATTAATCCAATTTTAGAACATTTTTATTACGCAAATCAGAACCCTCATGCCCATTTTTATTCAATCTTGGCTCTTTTTCCCAGTTTCAGGAAGGAATTGATTGGCTTTCTGCCTCTAAGATTTGTCTTTTATGGACATTCTATATTTAAAAATATCTAAAATCTCACAAAGGACTTACTCATGTAACCAAATACCACTGTACCCCAAAAACTTATGGGAAAATAATTTTTAAAATCACACAATATAGGAGTTTTGCATCTGGAGTCCTTCACCTAGCATGAAGTTTTTGAGTTCACTCATATGAACTGTATAAATATTGTTTCCCTTTTTGCTGTTGAATAGGATTCTGTGGCATGGAGGTATCAAATATTGGTTATCCCTTCACCAATTGGTGGACATATTGATTGTTTCCAATCTTTAGATATTAATGATGCCTGTCTCTTAAGTCTCTTAGGATTTTTTGTTTGTTTTGGTTACCAGACTTTTTAACTCCAGAATTTCTACTTGGTTCTTTTGTTTATAATTTTGTATCTTTAATTAACGTTTTCTATTTGGAGAGTCATTGTTACTATACTTTATACTTTATTCTTTTTTTTTTCTTTTTTTTTGAGATGGTGTCTCGCTCTGTCACCCAGGCTGGAGTGCAGTGGCACGATCTCGGCTCACTGCAAACTCCACCTCCTGGGTTCACGACATTCTCCTGCCTCAGCCTCCCGAGTAGCTGGGACTACAGGCACCCGCCACCATGCCCGGCTAATTTTTTTTTTTTTTTGTATTTTTAGTAGATACGGGGTTAGCCAGGATGGTCTGGATCTCCTGACCTCATGATCCGCCCACCTCGGCCTCCCAAAGTGCTGGGATTACAGGCATGAGCTACCGCGCCCGGCCTATACTTTATTCTTTAAATGGTGTTTCTTTTCATTCTTTTGACATATTTATAATATCTGTTTGGAAGTATTTGTCTGTGAAGTCAAATATCTGTGCCCCATCAGAGACCTTGTTTGTTTGCTTGTTATTTCCCTAAATGTGTGACACACTTTCCTATTCCTTTGCATATCTCCTCGTTTTTTGTTGAATACTGAAAATTGTTTATATCTTTAATTCTCTGGATTTTTATCTGCCCACAGTGGTTATCATTGTTCCTATGTTTGTCTATTTAGTGACTTACCTGTGGAGCCTTTCTTTCTTATGGTGTATACTGCTTTCCTAGAGATCACCCCTGTGTCAAAATGGTTGTCTAGAGATTGCGCTCAAACACTTTGAGCCAGTAAGTCTTCTTTTCTTTGTCATCGCATCCATATGGTCACTGAAGAATACATTCAAAGTTCAGGCAATTAGAAATCACTTCGGCTTTTAATATAATCTGGCCTTTCTTTCGTCTCTTCCGCTCATGTACAAAACCTCTCATTTAACCAAGGATGTGTAGATAACTAGGATCCTCTTTTGTCTCTTCTGAGCATTTGTGTAGCCTTGCAAATCCATACAGATTTTCAGACAGCCAGGAATATATAGAAGTTTATCACAGCCCATATGAAAGTTTGATTCCGAGATCTCTTGTTAAATCTCTGGCCAATCTGCTGGTTAGCTGCTGGCCCTAAAGTCAGTTTCACAAACTCAGGCTAGCTATGACACTGGCTCTCCCTGTTCATTTGCCACAGATATCACTACTGTAAGTGTAAGTTGTAAAACAATGTTCTAGGCCATAGAGATTTTCTGGCTTCCATTTCAAATCAAGTCAGTTCCACTGACAATGAATCTACTTGTTTTCTTAGCTTATTCCACTCTGATAGAACTACAGCACCCAGGGAGCTGAAGGCTAATGAAGCAACCCAAATCTGAAATATCACTAATTAGAGAGTTCTTATCTGAGGCTCAGTAGTTTTTCCTAAATAAACATTTCTCATTTTTTTTATATGCTTTGGTCAATTTCCAGTGGTTCTCAACAGAGGAGAATTTTGCCTCTTCCTGGAAGACATTTGGCAATGTCTGCTTGATTGTCATGACTAAAGCAGGGTTTTTTTGCTAACTAGTAGGTAAAGTTAGGAATGCTGCTAAATACGCTTACTGCATGGGACAACACCTCAAATACAAAGTAAAGAATTATACAGCTATACAGCTCAAAATGTCAATAGTGTCGAGGTTGTAAAACCCTTATATTAGGAAACAGAAATACACTTGACCTTTGAACAACACAGGTTTGAACGGCACTGGTCAACTTATCGATTTTTTTTTCAATAAAAGTTATACCCAGTGTAATTTGCCTCCCCTTTTACCTTCTCCACCTATTTTGCCTCTGCCACCTCTGGGAGAGCAAGATCAACCCCTTCTCTTCTTCCTCCCCTTTAACTTACTCAATCTGAAGATGATGAAGATAAAGACCTTTATGATGATCAACTTCCAGTTAATGAATAGTATATATATTTTCTCTTTCTTATAATTTTCTTAACATTTTCTTTTCTTTAGCTGACTTTCTGGTAAGAATACAGTATATAATATGCATAACATACAAAATATATATTAATTGGCTTTATGTTATTGGTAAGGCTTCCAGTCAACAGTAGAGTATTAGTTGTTAAGTTTCTGGGTAGTCAAATGTTATGCTCCAATTTTTTTGTCTGCAAGAGTGGTCAGCACCCCTAACTCCCATGTTGTTCAGGGGTCAATTGTATTTAAATACAAAAAGTCAAGGTGTTTGAAAAAGAGAAATGATACAAAACCAAAAAACTTGAAAAGGAAAGCTATAATAGAAATGAGACAGAAAATGGCAGAGAGTAACAACAACAACAAAAATTCGTAATGTTAGCAAAACTGAAAGCTGCATTATTGAGAAAAGTTAATCAGACCTATTGAAAAATTGACTTTGCAAAAATACTCTATAGAGAATTATAAGTAAACAACATATGGTGAAAAACAAAAAATTTAAAAAAGTAATAAAAATAATGATAAATATATATTTATATATATTCCAATTGAAAAAATATATACCTAATTGAAAATATATTATGACTAGTATGAGATTATAGCAAATTTGCCAAATATAAAATCAACTTAAATATTCACTAGTATATGCTTATATTAGCAATAATCAATGACTTTCCAGAAACAATAACAAAAAAATTGAAAGTATCTAAGAATTAATAAAAAATACACATGACCTATATAAAGAAAATGTTAAAACTCTCTGCAAAGACACACAAGATCAGAATAAATGGAGACATTTTCTATTCTTATATGAGATTTCTTGATATAATATTCAATTAATTTATACATTTAATATATAACTATGCAAGATTGGAGCTGGATTTTATAACAAACTTATTTAAAATATGTATGACAAAATAGCTAAGTCAATTTTAACAATAAGGAGAGAAATAAATTTGTTTTACTAAATTATACATGCTACAATTGAATTGGATAATTATAACAGAATGGTCCTATGAAATAATAGATGAATGAACCAATGAGGAAGTACAGAGACACATATTGGAACTTAGTATAGGGATGGCACAAAAATTCACTGAGGAAATGGCAGATTACTTAGTTGATAATGTTCAAACCTAGCTTCCTAGAAAGAAAAAACTTTTGTTAGAACTCTACCTCATATTATATAAGTACACGCCAGACTTATTAAAGATCTAAATTTAAAAGATGACATTTAGAAACTAATAAAAACTATGTGATAGAATGTTTATGATTTTAAGGCAGATCAGAACTAATTAAACAAATAAGGTGGCTTTGACTGAGTTTTCTTTTAAAGGGTCTTGTTTCCTTTGACTTGGGCCTCCTTTACCTGAGCATAATATGGGGATTAGGGGGATAAAGAGAGGAGGCATTCCTCCCTGAAAGATTTATTCCTGCCCCAGGGACACAAAATCTCAATGCTCAGGGACATAATCAGAGCAATAGATCTTCTACCTTGAATGTCATTCAACAAAGTCATCTACTCAGCAGCTTACATTCCTCTTCCTCAATCAATGAATCTAGAATATAATGAAATAAAATAAATTGTCTCAAATCATTCCTGAATATATAACAAATAGTGGAGTTGAAGGATTTAAAGCATATGGGATGCATCTCAACTTTATGCTATAACAGCATGAAAAAGCTTCAGATGAGCACGTAGTTTGTACTTGAAATTGTCTTTAGGAACCCTTCTGCTGTCTAGTTACAAAGTGATTTCCAAGTTTGATTCTAATCTCAGTATTGTTTTCATTATTTCAACTATCGTCCCTTATTTACTGACAGCTAGCGCTGTACAATATACAAAGAACCTTGCCTCCAATTTTTAGAAAGCCCGAGGTCAGAAATATGTAGCTATATCACCTTCATATTCATTGTTATAGACCCTTTGTATTATTCAGAATGGGTTGACTGCTGGTACAAATTATCCGTGGTCTGACAATGAATAAAAATCAGTTTTTCCTCACGTGACAGGTCAGGATAGGTTAAAAATTGGGGAGAGGCTCTGCTCTATGTTGTCAATCGGTGACCCAGGCTCCTTCCATCTTGACAGATAACCTTCTCTATTCAACAACTGAATGGCTAAAGAAAGTGGATTTTTTTTAGTGGGCCCATACCTGGAAGATGTAGCATCATTTCCACTCATAACTCACTGGCCAGATCTCAATCACTTGCCTGCACATAATTGTAAGAAAGCTGAGGAAATAAATTTTGTCTGCCTAGGTAGAAAGGGAAATTGATCAATAACTAGACACTATGGCAATTCCTTCTTTTTAATGCTTTTCCAATTTAGCCAGAACTATCGGAAATGATCCTGAAATCATAATTAACTCTAAAAATAGATATTCTTCCACAGTGATGGTCCATCAATAAAAGCATATTTATTTAGTACCTTCTATGTACCAGGTACTGTTTGAGGATTAGCAATGAAAATGATAGAAGTCTGTATAGTCACTAAGCTTACATGGCAGTGAGGTGAAAGAAGATTGTCATGAGATGCTAGACAGATGGACATTAGAAGCAAAAGCCAACTACAGATATCTTTAAATATCCCAGGAATAAAACTTTCTACCCCATTAGTTTAATTTCCATAGTTGTTTCTTCATTCACTTGTTTAATTAAACAAAAAAACTAAGCACTTATTTTTTTCAGGCTCTAGGGTTATGGGAGTAAATTAAAGACACAGGTCATCTGGCTGGGTGCTGTGGCTCACGCCTTTAATCCCAGCACTTTGGGAGGCCAAGGAAGGCAGATCACCTGAAGTCAGGAGTTCAAGGCCAGCCTGGTCAACATGGTAAAACCGCACCTCTACTAAAAATACAAAAATTAGCTGGGCATGGAGGCACATGCCTGTAGTCCCAGCTACTTGGGAGGCTGAGGCAGGACAAGTGCTTGAACCTGAGAGGCAGAGGTTGCAGTGAGCCGAGATCGCACCACTGCACTGCAGCCTGCACAACGGAGTGAGACTCCATCTCAATAAAAAAGATATATATATATATATATATCTTTATTTATAATTGGATAATTATATATAATTATCCAATATATAATTATATATAATTATATATAATTATAATATATAAATATATAATTATATAATTATATATAATATATAAATATATATAATATATAAATATATAATTATATATAATATATAATATAATTATATATATAATATATAAATATATAATATATATAATATAATTATATATATAATATATAAATATATAATATATATAATATAATTATATATATAATATATAAATATATAATATATATAATATAATTATATATAATATATAAATATATTATATATATAATATAATTATATATATAATATATAAATATATAATATATATAATATAATTATATATATTATATATAAATATATAATATATATAATATATAAATATATAATTATATATAATATATATAAATATAATTGTATATTATATATATAAACATATAATTATATATTTATATAATATATATAAACATATATATAAATGGATAATTTTTTATATATATATATACAGGTCATCTCATTATTAGAACTTGGAGTTTAATGATGCAAGGAGATATTTTTAAAAAGCAAAAAACCAATGCACAAATACAACATTTTTGAAAATTATGATAAATGCTGTGAAAGAAAACAAAAGCTACCATGAAGGACATCAACCGTAGATCTGAGAGTCAGGAAAGGCTTATATAAAGAGGATGCATTTAAGAAGAGATCTGAAGAATATACATAAGTGAGCTGGACACCAAAGAGATGTCATGAGCATACCAGGCAAGTATAACTGTATGTGAAAGACTTGAGGTAAGAAAGAGCTTAGTGCCTTCAAAGCTCTGCTAGGTCAATGTGCCTGGAGCATGGAGAGGGATAGGGGGAGTGAGTAACATGAAAGGCTGCTGTTAACACAGCTGCCACCATGTCTCGAAGTCTCCTGTAGGACTATGGTGTGATATTTGCCTTTTAAGTGGTAGGTCACTGAATAATTAAATAATTATCATTAGGGAATGAGGTAACCCGATCCATTTGCAGCAGAAATTCTTCTACTAAAGGTGATAGTTGGATATTAATTGAAAAATAAAACAATTGTCATAAAAATGACACAAACAACTTTAAATGTTTTCTTTCTACCTAAAATCTATAAATATAATTGAATTGGCCATCTTCCCTCATAAACCCAGCCAATGTCTTATTTTTGAATGTCAGTCACTGAGATTCTATAAACTCTGCCTTGTGTAAACCACAGTCCATAATAAACCATCTATTATTTTCAGTTTCAGTTTATTTAGAGTAAAAACTCAGAAGACACTTGTGAAGCCATATGAGTAAAATCCTTCTAGATACTTAAAATTGTTTTTAAAAATCTTTTATAATTATTACCCTTACATATAATTATACAGCAAAGTTTCAGCATTACATTTATATTACATCTTCCTAAAGCATTTGATTTAGTTTCTATAAAATGATTCTTTTTAAAATTATACTTTCCAATTATATGTGATTAAATTATATAAGTATAATGGAAAGTAAAACAGGCATAAACAGGTTTGGAAACAACACAAGCGACTCTTGGTCATCATAAACCTCAAAAACTAAAAAGAAAAATGTGCAGATTTGCTAGACAATAGTCTGTTAACAATATTCAGATTCAATATAATTTATGAAGAAAAAATATTAATCTGGCTGCTCACTTAAAGGAAGCTCAGTTTTTAAAAAAATTACTATATTAAAAATCATTCTGGTGGTCACATGGCGAATGACATGGAAGTTTTCAAGAATGGAAGCAAAGAGACCATCCTAGAATATCTTCTAGTAAAATAAGAGACAGATGAGTACACTAAGAGCCATGGATACTGAAAAAAACTGGAAAGACTTAAGAAATATTTTGAAAATAAAATCGACAGTGTCCAGGGGATGGAAGGAAATAAAATATCCTGAGGTTTTAAGTTTAACAACTAGGTGGTCTCATTTACTGAGATGGGCTTAATTATTTATGATTCAGGTTTAGTGGAGGATATAAAGACATGCTCAGTTTGAGGTGCATGTCATAGTGGAAATTTCAGGGCTATGGTTGGATATTTAAGTTGGAAGCTTAGAAGACTATCTCACTTAGGGAGAATTTGGAGTCATTGACATATTTATTTCTATATGGCTTTATGAATCACCTTCCTAAAATTCAGTGGCTTAATATGCTAACCATTTTATTATTCACAAGTCTGTGTGTCAACTGGGTGGTTGTGCCTTTAGTGGAAGATTACCTGGAGCTATTCTATGCTGGTCTCCCTCATATATCTGGCAGTTGGTTCTAGCTGTTAGTAGGCTGATGATGATAATGGGCCATATGACTCCCAGCATCCAACAGGTTAAGCCAGACTTTGTTACATAATGGTGGAAAAATTTTCAGTAGAAAAAGAGGGTAAAGCCCAATGCAAACCTCTTGATGCAAACCTCTGTTTGCATCCAGCTTGCTAATGTGTCATTAGCCAAAGAATATCACATAACTAAGCTTATATTCAAGGAGAGAAGATATAGAATCTACCTCTTGACGGAAGACAGTTACATTGCAAGGGGACATTCAGGAATGGGAGAAAGTTTATCCATTATTTTCCATCTACCTAAACATATACTTAAATCAGTGTGGACTGACGAGATTAATAGGGAGAGCTCAAAAAGAGAAGAAATGGAACTTTAGGATAAAGCCTTGAGGTTTACTAATACCTAGAGTCTACTAGAAGAAGATGGCATGGGAAATGCCCTGGAAAACAATGGCCAATGAAGCAGGAGGAAAACAAAAAGTATATAATGTTCAGGTAAGCAAAAAAGAAAAAAAAAGATTAAGAAAAGAATGGCCGACTAAATAGAAAGCTGCTAAGAAGTCTGGTAAAAACAGGACAAAACTGAAGAAATTGGGCCAGTGAAGATGCATCTATAAAGACTATATAGTAACAGAGATAAGAAATTTTCAAGAGGAATTTTTAAATTCCATTTAATATTAAAATACAAATAACCAGAGTGATATCAGCAACATGGCAGACTAGGAAGACCTACATCTTCTTCCCCTGACAAACATATAGCTTCAGAAATCTTTTACAGACTAATTCCCTTTGTGAGAAATCTGAAAATCTTTGAAATGCTACTGTACCCTGGGATAATGCAAAACCAGACTCATTTAAGTTGGTAGGGAGAATTGGGTTACCCTCTCACTGAAGACCAGGCCCAGGCACAGCATCACATGATCAGTAAGAAAACCCTCAACCCCCAGCTTTACTTAGAGGAAGGAAGAGGTTAGTTTGAATGTCCAGCACTTCCACTTTTCCAAGGTATCTCCCTGGAAGACTAGTTTCTGTCTTTCCAGGTGGAACACTAATGGCTTCAGCAAAACCAGCCACCTAGGGGAGAATACAGGCAGTGGCTTAACTAATGGATACCATTGATCCTTCCCCTTGCTCAGCACAGAGCAAGCAGACAAAAATTTTCAGCTCTCAGCTTCTGCCTGCTTAAATAAAAAGTAGCTCCATGAGTTCATCACACAAATTTCTCCAGGGCTGCCCAAAGAGCTAGCATTTGTCTTACCAGTCTTGAAACTCTGATGGGTCTAACACAGAGCTGCCTTTAGGAGAACAGAAATGGTGGCTTGTGCTAGCAGAAACCATAGCTTTTTCATTCCCCTGGCTGAGCACAGAGTGAGCAGGAAAACTACAGCAGCTTGCTTTTCTCTGAGGAAGGAAAACTTGGTGAAGACCCCAGAATATTTCACCTGGCTAGTTGTTGGGGGTCTTTTCCATACAAGGCTAGTCTGTGAAGACAGGGAGAGGTGAATGTTTTGTCTAATGTGCAGATTACATAAACATAGAGAATCAAGAAAAATGAAAAAGTAGACAAGGATATTCCCAACAGTGGACCAATTAAACCACCAAGAACCAACTTAAAAAAAAAAAAAAAACAGAGTTGTATGATTTATCTGACAGATAATTTAAAATAACTCTTATAAAGATACTCATTGAGGTCAAGAAAATAACGCATAAACAAAGTGAGAATTTCAACAAAAAGATAGAAAATATTAAAAGGTACCAAATAGAAATCATGGAATGGAAGAAAACAATAATTGAACTAAAAAATTCACTCAATTCTGTCAACTCATTAACAGACAAAATGGCACTTACCACTTTGAAGATTTCAAGAATTTTAGAAGTTTTTTGTCAAGAAACAGGGAAAACCAAATATATATTTCATTACAAGAGTTAATCTCCAAAGTATAAGTAATTTCCACAAGTAAATAGTAAAAAAATGAATAACCTAGTGAATTACTCTGTTCTCATGCCGCTAATAAAGACAGACCCAAGACTACGTAATTTATAAAGAAAAATAGGTTTAGTGGACTCACAGTTTCACATGGCTGGGGAGGCCTCCCAATCATGGCAGAAGGCAGAAGAGGAACAAAGGCGTGCCTTACATGGTGGCAGGCAAGAGAGCGTGTACAGCAGAATTCCCCTTCATAAAACCATCAGCTCTCCTGACACTTATTCACTATCACAAGAACAGCATGGGAAAGACCTGCCCCTGTGATTCAGTTACCTCTCACTGGGTCCCTCCCACAACACATGGCCATTATTACAATTTAAGGTGAGATTTGGGTGGGGACACAGCCAAACCATATCTTCCCACTATTGGTCCCTCCCAAATCTCCTATCCTCACATTTCAAAACACAATCATGCCTTTTCAACAGTCCCCCAAAGTATTAACCCATTTCAGCATTAACTCAAAAGTCCATAGTCCAAAGTCTAATCTAAAACAAGGCAAGTCCCTTCTGCCTATGAGCCTGTAAAATCAAAGGCAAGTTAATTGCTTCCTAGATACAATGGGGGTACAGACATTGGGTAAATACACTCATTCCAAATGGGAGAAATCGTCCAAAACAAAAGGGAAGTCCAAAATCAAATAGGGCAGTCATTAAACCTTCGAGTTCCAAAATGATCTCCTTTTACTCCATGTCTCACATCCAGGTCACACTGATGCAAAAGATAGGCTTCCATGGCCTTGGACAGCTCCACCTCTGTGTCTTTGCAGGGTACATCTTCCCTCCTGGCTGCTTTCACAGGCTGGCATTGAGTGTCTGCAACTTTTCCAGTGCAAGGTGCAAGCTGCCAGTGGATCTGCCATTCTGGGGTGTGGAGGATGGTGGCCCTCTTCTCACAGCTCCACTAGGCAGTGTCCCAGTGGGGACTCTGTGTAGGGGCTCCAACCCCACATTTCCCTTATGCACTTCTGCATGCTAGCAGAGGTTCTACATGAGGTCCCCACCCCTGTAGCAAACTTCTTCCTGGATATCCAGATGTTTCCATACATCCTCTGAAATCTAGGTGGAGGTTTCCAAACCTCAATTCTTGACTTCTATGTACCTGCAGGCTCAACACCATGTGGAAGCTGCCAAGGCTTAGAGCTTGCTGCCAAGGCTTGGGGCTTGCACCCTCTGGAACCACATTCTGAGCTGTACCTTGGTCCCTTTTAACCACAGCTGGAGTAGCTGAGACATGGGGTACCAAGTCTATAGGCTGCACACATGAGGGGGGCCCTGGGCCCAGCCCATAAAACCATTTTTTCCTCCAAGGCCCCCAGGCCTGTGATGAGGGGGGCTGCCACAATGTCTCTCGCATGCTCTGGAGACAGTTTCCCCATTTCTTGGTGAATAACATTGGGCTCCTTGTTACTTATGCAGATTTCTGCAGCAGGCTTGAATTTCTCCCCCGAAAATGGATTTTTATTTTCTATTGCATTGTCAGGCTGCAAATTTTCCAAACTTTTATGCTCTGCTTCCTCTTGAATGCTTTGCCACTTAGAAATTTCTTTCCTCAGATATCCTAAATCATCTCTCTCAAGTTCAAAGCCCCACAGATCTCTAGGGCAGGGGCAAAATGCCACCAATCTCTTTGTATAGCAAGAGTTACCATTGCTCCAGTTCCCAAGTTTCTCATCTCCATCTGAGACTACCTCAGCCTGGATCTTATTGTCCATATCACTATCTTCTGAGCCCTCCAAGTCTCTAGGAAGTTCCAAACTTTGCAACATTTTTCTGTCTTTTTCTGAGCCCTCCAAACTGTTCCATCTTCTGCCTGTCACTCTATTCCAAAGTCACGTCTCCATTTTGGGGTATCTTTAAAACAGCACGCCACTCTTGGTACCAATTTACTGTATTCATCTGTTTCCATGATGCTAATAAAGACATACCTGAGACTGTGTAATTTATAAAGAAAAATAGGGTTAATAAACTCACAGATTCACATGGCTGGAGAGGCCTCACTATCATGGCAGAAAGAAAAGGAGGAACAAAGCCACATCTTACATGGTGTCAGGCAAGAGAGTGTGTGCAGGGGAACTCTCCATTATACAACCATCAGCTTTCCTGAGACTTATTCACTATCATGAGAAGAGGACGGGAAAGACCTGCTCCCATAATTCAGTTACCTTCCACTGGGTCCCTCCAATGACATGTGGGGATTATTAAAATTCAAGGTGAGATTTGGATGGGGACACAGCCATACCGTATCACCTAGCTACAAAATGGGTAGAAAATTGAACAAACTTTTCTCCAAAGAAGACATTCAAATAATGAACCAGTATATATTTCTAAATGCTCAATATTATTAATCATCAGGGAAATTCACATCAAAAGCACAACGAGATATCATCTCATACCTGCTAGAATGGCTATTGTCAGAAACAACAGGTGATTGTGAAGATTTGGAGAAATTGGGACTCCTGCATAATGTTGGGATGCAAAATGGTATAGCCACTATGCAATACAATGTGGAGGTTTCTCAAAAAATGAAAAATAGAACTGTTGTATAATTCAGCAATTCCACTCCTGACTATCTAAAAGGATTGAAATCAGGATCTTGAAGAGAGATGTTCACACTGTCATGTATATTGCAGCACACTTTGCTATAGCCAAGATATAGAAGCAATATAACTGCTCAACCACAGATGAATGGATAAAGAAGATGTGGTCTATACATACAACTGAATGTTATTCAGTTTTTTAAAAAAGAAAGTTTTGCAATATGCAACTAAAAGGATGAACCTTGAGGACATTATCCTAGATGAAATAAACCCACCACAGAAAGACAACTACTTCATAATTGCATTTATATGAGGTATATAAAATGGTCAAATTCATAAAACTGAAGAGTGGAATTGTGGCTACCAGGGCTAGGAAGAGGGGGAAATGGAAAATTATTAATCAACGGACATAAATAAAGTTTCAGTAAAGCTAGAGGGATAAACTCTAGTGATATGTTGTAAAACATTGTACCTATACTCAACAATAATGTATTTTATACTTTGTTAAGAAGGTAGATCTCATGTTAAGTCCTAAGTTCTGATGTTGTGTTCTTACAACAATAAAAAAAGAGAGGAGAAAGTAAAAAAGAAAAAGAGGAGAAAGACTAAATATAAATATTTCACTACATCACAAGGGTTAATCGCCAAAATATGTAATTAGCACAATTAAACAGTAAAAAAAAAATCTAATAACCTAGTTACAAAATGGGCAGAAGATTGAATAAATGTTTCTCCACACTTAAATGAAAGAAAAAGAGAGGAAGGCAAAAAGGAAGGGAGGGAGAAAGGGAGGGAAGAAGAGAGGAAGAGAGGAAGGGAGGAAGGAAGGAAGGAGAAACAAAAGAAAAGAGAAGAGAAAAGAAAAGTAAAAAAAAGAAAAGAAAAGAAAAAAGAAATAATTTGAAGATGCTTAAGTTAGAAATAGCCCAGTGCCCAGAGGGGCCAAGTGACATCCTGGAGTTTCACTAAATAGCTGCTATCACAACTCTGTTCACAAATGTTTGAGATCCAAGGCTTTGACATCTCAGTGACTTTAGTATTGTGATTAGGCAACTGCTAAATATTTTATTTTCAATGCATCAAGTTTTTGAAATAATTTAATAAATTCATGATGTAACAAAAAATTCAATTGACAATAGTAGTTGAGTTTTCTAAAAATAAATTGTATAGTATAAACCCCATTACCTCTAAGGGGCATATGCTGTAGGTAATAGAAGGTTGCATAAGATTATTGCTTTTACCCCAGAACTAAGGCCCAACCTGAATGCATACTAAAGAGACTGCCTGTATTTTAGGTCAGCTACCTTTACAGAGGGTTTTTTGAGGGATTTCAGTTCAGAATGAGCAGACCATTACCCTCTACGCTGTGCCCCCTTCCTCCAAAATGATGTAGGAGGACTGCAGAGCAAAAAGTAACTGGGACTTTAGAGACATAACATGATATAGTGCATAGGGAGAGATTCTTCAATAAACTTGGTATATGTAATTGATAAAACTGCAAGGAAAAATAATTGATTTTATAGGTTATTCTAGCCTAAAGTACTACAGAAATTTAGAGATAGAAAAAGTCTATATGCTAAGAAAATTGATGTAATTACAGAGTATTTCTACATTTTTGAAAAAAGTCACCATTATGTTGGACATGGTGTTAGGTCATGTTGGTCACAGGGAACACATCCTAGCACATTTCACACACACCTGTGGGCTTTCCCAGGGGAATATTTGGAGGCTTCTAAGAAAATAGGGACATGCAGGTGATCTGCTTTGTTCAATTGCTTCAACTCTCCTGATTCAAATGGATGCTGGAGACCAGGGGCAGCTGGGAGCTAGTATGTTTTGGCTTTGTTAGAGCCTTAGCTGAGGTACTTCAGGCAGGGATTTCTCCCCAAGTGGGTTGAGTAAGCAAATGGAGTCCTAGGTGTAAGGACTGGAAAGCAGCAGATCTGAGGCACACAAGAGCCAAACATACTGAACCTACAGGAGTGTTCTGGTCTCCAACAGCCATAAAATTGCTGAGCAGGTGAGTAGAGTTTCTCACTTAGACATCTGGATACAGCCTCTTGGTTTTTCTTAGCGGCTTGGTGGATTTTCAAAAGATACCAAGAAATTTACATCTTTAGGGAATATGTGTGTTTTCTGGAATATCCATGAACAATTTATTAAAATCAATTACACATGTGGCCACAAGGAAAATCAGTTTTTTTTAAAAAAGCAGAAATCTTAAAGGCAAATTGATCTCATATAATTCAGTCATATTACAAGTACGCAAAAAGTTGGTCTAAAAATCTTAACATTTGAAAATTGTAAAACATTTCTGGTTAATTATTGGATCAAAGTTGAAATAAAAAGGAAAAATGGCAAACTATACAGGAAATATACAATTCTAATGTAAAATTGTGAAAGGCATCCTCAGAAGAAGATTTATAAACTTTCATTTCTAGAACAAAAAAAGAATTTAATATTTATAGCAGAAATTTAGATACAAAGATAATATAAACTAAGAGAAAATTCATTACTAACAATGCTGTAATTATGATATAGTCATCCTCTATACAGAAGGTATACATATGTATATATATCTAAATTATTTACATATTATATAGATATTTATCATAAATATATAAATGGCAATTATATATAATAACCATATAGATATATATAAAGAGACAGATAAAAATGTGGAGATGTGTTTCCCGATAAGACCAATAATGGATGCATCTAGAAAGAATTTCTTGAAAAAGAGCTATGAAAAAGAACATCTTAGAAATTTGATTACAGCAAACAAGTAAAAGAACAAAATAGTAAACATTAAGAATGATAAATGAGATAAAATAATCAACCAATGTTGCAGGAAAATAATTTTAAGAATTTTTGTATACCATAATAAATAATAAATATGTAAGGAGTCTAAATGATAATTTCCTTGATGACAATGAAATAAATTTGGAAATAAAAATAAACCAAGTAACACCAAAAAATTAAGAAATTTAAGAATTTCCATAAGCATCATTTAAATTTTTTTTTAGGTAAAATGGAAATAAAAATGGAAAAAGTATTATTTACAAGTTAACAAATATATGAAGATTTTCTATCAAAAGCCAATATGCATATGGGCAAAACTGTATATGGAGGACAAAATTATAGCCATGAAGATGTTATTTTTTTAAAAAGATAAAAATAAGCAATAGTCAAATTAAGAAAGAACTAGGAAAAAGCTACAAGACAAATAGAAAGTTAAGATGCAATTGACAAAAAGAAAACAACTTGGAAAAAAAGAGCGGAAGTATAATGACAGACAAAGCCCAAAGCTTTTTTCTCCCCTAAAAAAATGACAAATAGAATACACATAGACCGGCACAAATATTTTTTTAACAGAAAGAAATAAATACACAGCATAATAAATTTAAAGACATAGCCACAGCTATGGAAAATATTTAAATAAGTATATCATCTGTGTTTATATGGCAATAATTTTTTATATAGAAGAAATGGAACATTTTGCATCCAAATATAAATAGCTAAAATTTGCTGAAGAGCAAGCGGTAGCACATCTAAGATAGTGGTTCTTAAATTTAAGCATGAATTCGAATCACCTAAGGGGCTTGTTAAAATGCAGATTACTGGTCTCTACACCTGGGTTTTCTGTTTGGTAGGTCTGAGATTGGGGACGGGGGCTGAGAATTTGCATTTCCAACAAGCTTCCAGGTGATCCTAATGTTGCTTGTCCAGTATCCTATTTTGAGAACCACTGCTTTCAGTTAGCCAAAGGGGGAAAATGTAGAAAGGTAGTAAGAGAACTACTAAACTTGGTGGCAATTCCATTTACTCTTAAGAGCACAAGTAGTTTTTATATTTTAACAAAATTTCAGAATGCAGATTAAAAGGGAAAGTTTCTCCAATTCATTTTACATAGATTGAAAACCTCAATATCAATACCTCATAACCATAGCTTCCAAAATAAAATTTACATGTGAATATAAATGCAACAATAGCAGACAAAAATAATAGGAAATAAATTCAAGTAGTATGTCTAAGGACAAAAATCTATTGACCCAATAGGGTTTATTTCAAGAAAGCCAAAACGGGTCAATATTACTACAATTATTTGTTTTAAATAAAAACAAGAGTTGCTGTTTTTTGTGATTAAAAACTAATTGAAAAAAATTTAAGCTTTTTTAATAAATCAAAATACACGTATAGGGGCATAGGGGATGCATTCCAAATAAAATGAGGAGGAAGACCATAATTCTTCTCTCACTATGTCAGTCAACAAATTTTTAAAAGTGAACTAATTTAATAATGAAAAATTAAATGTTTATGTAGAGAAATCAGCTATTAATATTTGAAGGTGATTATATATGTAATAAATATTCATCAACTAGAAATGAAACTAGTAAAGCAATGTAATAAATACTAAATATATATTTTTTAAACCTCTAACTTTCCTTTTTAATATTACCAGTTATTATGTTAATATGAATAAAATTTTGTTAACAATACCAGCAAAACTAAAAATATGCCAAGGTTTACATTTAGTTAAAAAACCACTCAGCATATATGAGGAAATCTAAATAATTTTATGCAAAGTTATAAAATAAGGCTTGAATATTAAGAATTTGTCTTGTATTCCTGTTACCGGAAAGGAGTCCCAATCCAGACCCCAAGAGATCATTCTTGAATCTCCTGCAAGAAATAATTAATTAGAAAAATTACTAATTTCACTACAAAGTGAAAGCAAGTTTATTAAGAAAGCAAAGGAATGAAAGAATGGCTACTCCATAGACAGAGCAGCCCCAAGGGCTGCTGGTTGCCCATTTTTATGGTTATTTGTTATTGTATGCTAAACTAGGGGTGGATAATTCATGCCTCCCCTTTTTAGACCCTTCAAAGTAACTTCCTGATGTTGCCATGGCATTTGTCAACTGTAATGGTGCTGGCGGGTGTGTAGCAGTGAGGACGACCAGAGATCACTCTTGTGACCATCTTGGTTTTGGTGGGTTTTGGCCGGCTTCTTTACTACAACCTGTTTATCAGCAAGGTCTTTATGACCTGTATCTTGTACCAACCTTGTATCTCATTCTGTGACTTAGAATTTCTTAACTGTCTGAGAATGCAGCCCAGTAGGTTTCAGCCTTATTTTACCTTACTCCTATTCTAGATGGAGTTGCTCTGGTTCAAATGCCTCTGACATTCCTTCATGGACAGATTCAGTATTATTAAGAGATCAAGTCTGCCCAAATTAATTTATATATTAATTCCTTGATTCTGAGAATTCTGATAGGGTCACTGGGGATTGTTTTTGATTCAATGTAATTTGCAGTTGAACAAAAATGCCATTAAAATATTCTGAAATAATGTCCTACAATGGTCAATTTCCTTGCCGTGTACTAAATGCTACCAAATTTCTGCAACTAAAATACGGTGGCACAAAAATAGATTAATAGAATTGAATATAAAGTTAGACAAAAACAAAGTGCAGAGATACAGAATATTTAATATTTGTTAGATGTTGAAGTATCAAATCATTGGAGAGGGATAAAATGCACAATACATAATAAATGAAGTGACAGAATTGGTTATTCATTTAAATAAAAACAAATTCATATTTCTACTTCAAAGCCATGTGAAATATACATCAAATAGATTAAAAATACAAATGGAAGCAATACACTTATATTAGAAGAAAATATAGAAGTAAATTGCTATCATCCGGAACAGGAAAACTTGTCAGAGACCAGCAAGAAATCTAGAATCTAAAAGGTAATTATGGTTGTGTTTTCTTGATCTTTCATTTTAAAAATATATATTAAAACTCATTAACTTTTAAATTTCAAAAAATGTTTTCAACAAAAATAATAAAGATAGGGTGAATAAACTTAAATATTGAATTCCAGTTTAAAAAATAAGCATGTAATAGAAAAATACTGAATAGCCAGATGAAAAAAATCCCTAATATTTTTAGTTAACAATGAACGATAAAATTATGCAATAGGTTACCATATTTTGCCTTTCAAATTGTTCAAAATTACAAAGACTGATGATCTCTATCAGTCAATAAATCAGTAAGTATGATGCTGTCATACTTATTGACATGATGATGTAAATAGAAAAATCACCACATCCATATTGTGTAATGGGCTTATAAATTAAAATATTTTATTATGTGATAGTATCTATTAAAATTTAAAAATGTGCATACCCTTTGATCCATCCATCTCATTTCTAAAAATCTATTCCACAGGGAAAAGAGTACAAAAGTGTAAGCTGCACAAAGCATATTTAAAGACATAATAGTTGGGAAACCTAAAAATTTATCAATTTGAAAATAATGTACAACTAGAAAAGAGGTCCCCAAAATTTAACATTAAATTACAAAAACAAATTGTCCATAAATAACATTATTTCTCATATCCTACTTTTGTGAAGGAAGACAATACAGAAACTATCTTAAGGAGTTGTTCGGGACTTTTAAAGCTCTTACAACACTCAACAGTAGTGCTCAAGAAATGTTAGGGAACACAGTGGTGATCAAACATAAATGTCTTTACCTAGCTGTCTCCTAAAACATGTAAAGGAAGGCCGGGTGTGGTGGCTCACACCTGTAATCCCAGCACTTTGGGAGGCCGAGGTGGGCAGATCACGAGGTCAGGAGATCGAGATCATCCTGGCTAACACAGTGAAACCCCGTCTCTACTAAAAAATACAAAAATTAGCCGGGCGTGGTGACGGTTGCCTGTAGTCCCAGCTACTCGGGAGGCTGAGGCAGGAGAATGGCGTGAACCCGGGAGGCGGAGCTTGCAGTGAGCCGAGATCCCGCCACTGCACTCCAGCCTGGGCGACAGAGCGAGACTCCGTCTCAAAAAAAAAAAAAAAAAAAAAAAAAGCATGTAAAGGAGCACACAAATATATATATCAAAATATGTATATGAAAACATATAAATTAATCTGCAAATATATATACCTCCAGCATGTGAGGAGACAGAGAGAAATAAAACTTCTTAATGTAAATTTAAAATGTGGTGGGACTGTGGGTAATCTTTAAAGTTTCATAGCATTATTCAATGTATTTAAACGTTTGTAAACCCATACATACCATGATGCTAACATTCCCATTCAAATATTCACTTTCAACCTGTTCTACAGTGCTGCCTTTTATTGAATTGTTTTAATAATGATTTGCGATTGGATGTGGTTTTATTTGCTTAGATCACATTTTAACTGGATAGATATAACTATAGCTGCTGTTCTACTGATTCTTTTTCATTTCACACACTCTTGTGTCTTTTCCTTTCCTTCACTTACTTATATAGCAATTTTGTTTATTTATGTGACTAATCACTATGTGCTGGATACTCTTCAGAGCACTAGAAGATAAACGGAATTAGTATTGGAGAACACAAGAGGGAAAACCAGTTCTCATTTAGTCTACATTTTCTTAGGAATGGGACACAATAAACAAGTGAATTTCAAACAGCCCTCAGTATTTTGAAGGAAAAGATACAGGGTACTATAAAGGAAAGTGACAAAGCATGTGCATATGTTATGGGGTCTTTATTTCACTGTTAGATGGAAAATAATTTTTGCCTTGCAATACATTATTAGATTCATTTTGTAGAATGAATTCATCTGTGCTGAGCTGCTTGAGCTGACCGTGGCAAATTCTTCTGGTTCATGTATTGTTCTTCCCATTTGCTTCTTAACATTTGACTTTATCTTTGATTTCCCCTTTGGGGATTAGGCCTTAAGCATCCCAAAGATCTCAAAGCCGTCACTATCAGCCTTAAGACCACTGGCTCTTTAATTTGACTTTCTAGGTTTCTGGTTTATTGATAGCTGTGGCTTTCCCGGTCCATAACAACGCTGACCCTGCCTTATCATGTTCTTGTCCTTGTGGCTTTGAGCTACAGGATCAATTTCTGGTTAACATGTTGGTAGAAAGTCCACACATCTGAGAACTATAGAATCCATATTTTGTGATAGCTCCCTATTGGAAAACATTTAATTTTTCCTAGTGGAGAGAAAGGAAAACAGATTCCTTACTTAATGTGCTAAAAGTGTAGTCAAATTCATGGTAGCTGCCCCGGAAAACAATTATTTTAAGTCTTTTTAAACCTGATAGCTTTTCGTGTTTAAAAACATAAAAAACATGGTGACATATTCCTTATCCAAGCAACATGTGCAACAATGAAATAGGGAGAGTATCATGAGACAGGGAGGGAGGAGGGTTAGCACACAATATTATTCCCAGTGGATAATCCAGTTAAACAGATTTGCAAAATATACTCTTTATGGGTCACTTACTGGGCTTTACAAATGGCATTGTTGAATAAACATTTCTTAACTACTTCTGACAGTGTACTTACATTAGTATAAAAATCTAAAATATTGAGTTATCATGGGCATTTAGCATTTAGCTCCTTGATATTTTAATCACAGAGAAGTTCATTTATTAGTTTATTCCACAAATGCGTATTGTCTAATTGCTGACATAGACATTATAGTGGATACAAAGATGAACATGTTGCCAGAAAGAAGTGTGAATTCTAGTATATTGGAGGTAAAACATTACACACAAGCATATTCCCTTGCATGTGGCTAGAGGTGATACAAATAAGTAAGGGCTCAGGGAATTGTTTATTACCTTTTAAACTGTTAGCATATTTATCCTGTTGTTTAATATTAAATATAATATTATAAAGCATATTTAGCCCTCCAAAAAGAGATACAAAAGATTTTTAGGTCATATGTTAGTGACCACCTTATGGTTCTGTAATTAGAACATTAGGGCTTAATAAACCAAATCCACAAACATCTGTATTATCTTTCAATTTAATTTGTGAAGAAAAAAAATTTAAGACTCACTGTGAGACAGATTGCAGTAACAATAGTAATATGACTTAGTGTTTCAACCATAATAAATGTTAAAATAATGAAAGATTTAAGCAAACCCATTTCTTACTGAGTATAACAGTGATCATCTTTGCAACTGAGAATATGCATAATTATGCACAATTAAGACCTATGAATTATCTTCCCCACCTCTTATGTCTCTGAGGCCAAGTCTGAAAAGCTCTTGTATTATATCCATGGAAATGCTTCCACCAAGATAAATTGTATTTGGCTTGCTGACATCAACAGATATTCAGCCACAAAATAGTGCTCATGTAAGACTATCTTAGCCCAATTCTGTTTTCCCTACATAGAGTATTGATTTTGTAGCAGCTGTTAATCATCCCAGTAAGTTCCAATTTGGACACTCTTCAACACAGAAGTCAGCACTGCGAGAAGAAACAAGCAAGGCAATAAGAATTGTAAAGGCTTCTGGAAAGGTCCTCCAGTTTTTGTAGAACATATCCAGAAACAAATTAGTATCACATGCTGTGTAAAAAGTGAAAGCCAACATGAAAATGAAAACCTTATCCACATTAGTTCTTCTGAAATCAGAATTGGGTCTATGTTAACTGTAGAAATCTTCTAAGTCTGGAAGAAATCTGACAAAGACAAGTGGACTTTTACTACACATATATATTACCACCCAAATGTCCTATCAAATAGATATTTGCATGGTTGTGATTTAATATCCTTCAGCCTTAGTCAGTCACTAAGAGCCTCTTATTCTGCCAGTGTAGGAAAAATATGACTACTTAATTCTCATAACCATAAATTTCAAGTTAGTGGAAATAGTTAACAGAATTTCTCCAGTTTTCAGCCCTTTGTAACACATTCTCCTATATCTTTACTGAAAACACAAAGGAAATATTTTAACCAAAGAAATTTAGCAATGCTCACAGACTGATTAAAAAGGAAGAATTTTTTGTCTAGTCGTGAGATGAATATAATTGGGCTTTGAAAATGATCAAAGTCTTTTTTAAATTTCATTTTCTTTTATTTCTACATTATCTACCTCTTTAGTGAAACTGTGATATAATTTTAGAAGCTGTCATTTTTTATTAGTTTGATTTATATTTGGTTTGATAAAATTCTGTTGGTCTGCAGATAATTCCGTCATCATGTTCATGACAATCATTGTTATTTGGTTCTTAAGTGAGATTGGAGTTTACATTTGAGAAATTGACAAGTTATGGATGATCATAGCAACCAAATGAAGACTATAAAGCACATGAAAGAAAGAAAATGTCCTCAGTTGTATTTTTTATTGTTTTGTGACATAAAGAAATTTTTAATGATGTTAATGCTATACTGCTGTAATGTTTTTCTTGGAAAATCAACTTCATATCCTTTTGGAAGATGCTTTCTAATAGGACATTGGCTTCTGAAACAGGTTATTTATCTCCAGAATGACTTAGATTAGTTGAGTAAATTACCAATCACAAAAAGATTCTTAATCTCAAATATTTGATAATTTTACCTCAGAGCAATTTATTTTACTCATAAAATTTCATTGCAAATGTAATTTCAGCTATTTTCTTTCAATTACATTTTGTTTCTGTTTTATTAAGTAAGTCACACTAAACTCCTTAGTAAATAAGTATTTTAGAAAAAAATTAACCTAATCTCTAATGAATGATAAATAAGTTGTATGTTAAGCAGCAAATTGAATATAATAGGATTTTTTCAAAACAGATCCATAATATAATAACCAATAATGAATAATTTGTTTTTATCTGTAATACTTAAAACCCCAAACTAGAATTTTAAATGACAGAATAAAACAAAATTACTGTTTTAGTTTTATTAATAAATTTTCAAAAATTGCTTGTTCATTAAGCAACTAATGGCTAAAGTTTTTTGTTTTTTTTTTTTAGACAGTCTAGCTCTGTCAGCAGGCTAGAGTGCAGTGGCGTGATCTTGGCTCACTGCAACCTCCACCTCCCAGGGTTCAAGTGATTCTCCTCCCTCAGCCTCTCAACCAGCTGGGACTACAGGCACACGCCACCACGCCCAGCTAATTTTTATATTTTTTAGTAGAGACGGGGTTTCACTATGTTGGCCAGGATGGTCTCGATCTCTTGACCTTGTGATCCACCCACCTTGGCCTCCCAAAGTGCTGGGATTACAGGCGTGAGCCACCATGTCCAGCCAGCTAGAGATTTTAATCGTCTTTCCTTTCACCAGATAACTTTTCTGTGTTTTTAAATGTTCAGACTTAAATATAATTTTCAGTGTTATTGTTCCCTGCATTCTCTTTATCGCTCAACAAAGTTTAAAATGGGTTTTGAATACTGAACCAGAATTTCTGATTTCTGAAGAATAGTAAATGTTGTATTTAATATAAAGTATTCTAAAAAATACAAAGTATTAAATAGAATATTTTAAAATAACTATATAGGTTATTTGGTGAAAGAAGAAAACAGAAAATATATATCAATTTTTTAAAAAAAAATATTTATTCCTAGGTAATTTCTGGGGGTAAAACAACTTCTTTTATGTTACCACTTCACCATTTGCAGAACCAGTGCAAACTGGTTTCTCAGACTTACTTGTACCCCTATCACATGCCTAAAACTTCTTTGGCTATGGTCACCCTTGATGTCACATTAACCAGTTCAATAGTACCATCTTTCTGAGTGTTTTGCAGCACTTGACTCACTTTCTGTTTTTTGAAATGTTTTTCTTACTTCCTTGGGCATCCATGACCTTACACTCTCTCAAGTCTTATAATTCTCTGACCACCTTGCTGGTTTTATGTCACTTTCAAGAGATTTTCTAACTTTACTTTTCCTTTAATTGCTGATGATCACCAGGATTGTTTTTCTGTTCTACTCTTTCCTCTCTGCATTGCCCTGGGTTATTTCACTCCTCCTCATTGATTTCAACCACCATCTGTGCAGAAGACAGCATGCCCTAGATCACTCATCTAGAACTGATCTTAGCATTTCACAAATCCCCACTACTGACCAAGAAATCCTGTCATTTTATCATTCAATCTTCTCTAAATCTTTTCTGTTTTTATTTATATAGTCCCCTGGGTATCTGGAACTCTCATTACCTCTTACTGTTGCAATCACCGTGCCTCCTAATTGCTCTCTCTGCTTCCAGTCTTGATTTCTCAAACCCATGCTCCCCATAGCTAGTCATGGCTCCAGTGGCCCTGCTGTTGCATACAGATGAATTCCAAGCTTCCTATCATGTTCTGGGCCTGCCTCAATCTCCAATCTCATCTCCAGAAACTGCCTGTAGTTTCTAAGATGCTTTTACTTTACTCTATTCCTTTGCTCCTATCATCAATTCTGTTTGGATGAAACTGACCATTCCCATCTCCTTCCTCCAATTTCCTCTTTACATCCACCTTTTCCTCATTCAGGAGTTACAAGGCTAGCTCCTGTCCATTTTTGAATAATTAGTGGAAGCCTCTCTTCCCTCCAAAAGCCTTTTCTGACCTACCAAACTGGGCTTGCCACTCATTTGGGGCACTCCGTATTAACTGTTGCATATCTTTATGTAATCTTAATCACATTTTACACATTGTTTCTCAGTTGCACCTGTTGGTCTATTTTCCCCTATAATCTGAGCTCCTCCAGGTGAAGGAATGTAAGTTATTCAAGTGTGCCTAATCTGCACATACATTGACACGTAGTTCTCAAACAGATGTTAAATGATCACTCACATGTAAATAAATATTCTACAGTATTCAAAGCTAGACAGACTTCTTTAGCTCTTTCTCATGTTCACAATTAAGGACATGACCATCATTAGGTAAAAGCAAATGGTATAAATTTCCCATCATAATTTAAATAATACTTTCTAGGTATAGATAAAGGTAACGATGTTATTCTTTTAAATACTTCTAACAATTATAGAAAATGGGAATAGTAAAAAGCTGTGTAATGTGTGCTGAAGAATTTAGAATGTGGCAAACATTTTTCATACCCATATTTCAAAGCAAGGGATCTTCTAAAAAATGCTCCAGGATGTAGATGAAGCCTCTGTCTGACATGAATGATTTTAACAGAATTTTTATTTTCTTTCAGTCATTTAATTTCTAGGACATGAACTTTCTCAATGTTCCATAGCTAATTTAATCTTACCTGCTTTTAGCTGTCATGTGTTTTTAATGACTAAACTTGCAAAATGTATCACAGCTAAGGAATTTTTTTAACATTAAAAAAAAGTTCTACACTCTTGCTAAGAGCTATAATGCTCCAAGTGACAATGATAAATGAGAGTGTATTCCTGAAGATGTAATTAATCTGCAACAGGGTCAGAACAGCTCCTTAGGTAAATGAAACTAAATCAGCTGTGTAGTCTATAATTAACTTACAAAACCATATTAGCCCAAGTGTAATATTATTCATTATATATGTAAGGTATTATTTTCTCCATATGAAAGTTGTAATTTGCTAAGTAATGATTAACAATTCATCTTAATACTTTAGTCATATTATCATAATATAATTGTCATACATTTTCATTTTATTCCATTTACTTACTATTGGAAAGACAGAAGTAACTATATCCTTTATGTGGTATGTACAGAAATTAAAAATTTGAAAATAAAGCTGATTTCTTATTATTAGATTAGTTATCCCTGGCACAGGATGTAGCAGGTTTATTTTGTTTTCTTTGAGGATGTGGAGGTGTACGTAATCAATATTGAGCCAAAAGCAGAGGCATAGCTCTGAGTAACATTAAGTATAAAAAAACTCAAAAGAAAAGGAGAAAAGGATTTTGACCTTTAAAACACATATCAACAATTTTAATTTCATATTGCTCATTCTGTATTGAGCAGTGAATTTATGGCAAGCTTAATGATTCCTTTTAATATGAGTTAACTAAGAAAGAGCCTATTTTGTGCAAAGTATGGTGGTTTTAGGCATATTCAAGAATAGTTTTGGAAAGTTGGGAAAAATATTAGACTAAGTACAGAAAGAAAATGTGTTTTGATCAGGATTGCTTGGGATTCAAATGGCCAGAATCCCACTTATGTAACTTTAAACTGAAATGAGACTATATTCACTCATTTCACTGGTCCAGGAGTGTTTCTGGCATCAGGCTGGATTTAGAAACTTAACAACATCATTAATGCCATATCACTTGTTGCATCTTTCAGGTCAGTTGAGTCCATTCTTTTCTAGCTGGGTCCCAACAGTATGGTCTGGATTCAATTTCTCTTTCCACTTTTGGATCTGCTTGCCTCAGATGCTCCCGACCTAGTGGAAATTTGCTGCCTGAAATTCCAGATCCGTAGTGGAAAGACACAATCTTACCTTCCAGTTCCACCAGAAAAACCTAGGGGGATGTTTAAAATGCAGTAGTTGAGCATTAAATTGTGAGGAGGCCCTGCTGAAGGCTAAGACCTGCACTGCACCAGTTCCATGCCCATGAAGCCAGCCCTGCATGTACTCAAGTCTCAGTTGTTTCAGAAATGGCCTGAGTTACAGTCACGCGAAAGAAGAGGAGAGATAATGTTGATGAGGATATTTCTACTTGAGCCACAGGGAATATGTTCTGCATAGTAAAGAGAGTTCTGTGTTGCTTGACAGGCAAAGTCAAGAAGTTCTTCACTAGAACTTACTCAAAAACTTGGGCAGTCATTTGAGAAAAAAAAAATTAAAAAAGAAATTCAAATGAAATTAAATTGGGATTGGTTGGGTTCCATATTTATGCAAGGAATTTTCCTTGGTGATGTGAATCACATAAGTATCATAATAAATAATATTTCCTCCAAAGATGTTTGCAATGTAACTGAAAAGATTTGACAAATCATTAGAAGAAAAACCAGATTATTGGAGATTGGAGAACATGTCTAATGATTATCAGTCAGCTCCTTTGCTTAGAAAACATTCAGTTTAATCTCTACACGACAGCCAATACTCTCGTTCCCTTAACAAGATTGTTAACTTTAAAGTCCCTGTGAGTTCTGTGCAGACTGGTCAAAGTCCAGATGCTCTGGCCTCATGATAATTGTCTCTTCTTCAAGAGGTGATAAAAGTGGTCTACTTTAGTTCTTCATATGGCCTTTCTAGAGGTAGAGACCTAGAATCAAAAATAACAAGTTTCCTGCCCTCTTTCTCACCCAGTATACGATGTCAGATCAGGAACAAGTTAACAAAAATAAACGTTCCCAGAAAGGGAAGAGTGGGCATTGCCCAGCAGATCCCAGTGTAGCAATTCTTAAATCCTGCTGAGCAGCTATTGTGAGGATTCCAAGTGTGAGATTTGTGGCGGAAGCTGATTAAGCCTTTAGTCTGGGCTCCATGGTCACTTGTTCTTCATAGTTCCTTTGCTCTAGTCTGTTTTATTATCCTCTTTGGCCACATCTGATGTAGACATCTCGTAATACATGTCATTTTTGAGAGATGTTTTCTCAGTATGCTTTCTGCTCACAGACTGTTGAGGTTTCATGGCTTATTGCAAGTCTGAAAGAGTCCCAATCTCTTTGCGTCCATGCTTTTGGCAATATATTTCACAAACTTCATTGGATTCTTACCTGTTTGATTTCAGTCAGGAACATGGTCGAACACTCATACTCATAGTTAATTGTATCTGAGGTTACTTTCATCATATAGACTTCAGTGGGAGTCTCTCACCCTTAATCATTTTTCCCCCGAGTTGTCTTTTGCAACTGAAAAAATGTACTGTGTATCATGTTATTAGCCTAACATTTTTTTAGGGTGCCTTAATCGTTATCACAGCATAGATGCATAGAAATGAGTAGAAAAAGAAAACAAAATTTTAGAAAAAAATTGACAAAGAGATAAAACATAAAAAGGGAGGCTGAAGACAGTGATAGAAAAGAGGATATGGTAGCAAGTATAAAGAAAATGGGAATGTTTAAAATCTGTTTTTTAAAAAAAAAAACATTTTGGCATCAACGTGAAGAAGCATCTGACAGTAAAAATACAAGTGGGAGTGAGTAAAGGGGAAAATTGACATTTGGGAGAAAGCCTAGAAAGCAGAGATAGAGGAAGAACTGACTTACAGGGGAAAAACACAGTGTGATGGGCCTGGAAAGCAAAGATGGAGATCTATAAAAGAGAAAAAGACACTCCTAAGGAATTTAACACCCTGTCCTAGAAGACTTTTCCTGTCAAAAAACAACATGTCAAGTTTTTATTATCATTACTATTATCCAGACTCCAATGTTTTTGACTAGCCATGTAATTATAAATGTGACTAATATAATTGAGAATTTTTTCTTTGAAAAATAATAACCTAAATTGTTTTCCATTAGACACTGAAGTTTGACTTGTGTATCAGCAATGTTAGAAACCCTGTGAGAATAAAAGGAGATGTCATTGACATTTTTATATACAAAAATGAGTGAATTTATAAATATGTAACTTAATAAGTAATTTAAGTTAAATGAGATTTAAATTTCTATAGCACAGGTTTTTCATTATTTGAATGAAACTGTATTTTACATTTATTCACTTTGTTCTACAAGCAGTGTGTCCTTTGATTAAAACATCTTCAAGGCTAATACAAACCACTACTTTTCTACTAAGAATCTGCAAACAAAATGTCAGAGAAATTCACACTGTGTAATTCCTATTAGATGGCTTAGTCAGTTCATATTTCCAATAACTGCATCTACTTCATTTTTAAAGGCCTACAAAAGCGAGAACATTTTTCTTCCTTTATCTTATAAACAGAACAATGACAACAGCTTTATTGTGATGTTCTGCTGAGGTTTTCTAAATATATGCAATTTTTGCATATCAAATGATTGTCTTATATCTATAACTCAAGGAATATTTTCAGTTATCTCCTGATTTGGATTCTCAGAAATAATCCCTTAATTCTACGGAAATAAAAATCATATACTAATAGCAATACAATTTATTTAATAAGACATGAAAATGAAATTTTAGTGCACCTATTCATGTGTTATCACAAATTTATTCTTAAATGCACATTATATACTTCATTTTAAAAATACTCTACCTGTCCCTTGTTATATTATATTATCATTCTGCTCCTTTTGAAATCCCTGTGGTGTATGCAGGTGTCTGGAAAAGATTTTTGGAGCTTTCTCTGTAAGAATTATAACCAATCAGTACCTTCTGAGCTAGCAGTGTCTTGATTTTTAAATTTGTGGCCATAACAAAATTTCTGGCTATTATTTATTGAGTTTCTATGTGTGAGAGTAACATTGTGCTAAATTCTTTACAAATAGTTTTTAATTTAATTATCTGCACACTACTGTGAGCAAGTTACTATTATTGTCTCATTCCACTGAAGAGAAGTGAAGTTCAGGGAGATTTTCTCAAGTTCGTGCAGCTGGTATTGAGAGGGCACTATCAAAATGCAAACAGTGTTTTATTTTCATTCTTTCAGATAGAACTTCTAACTCTATTGTATTTAGGTCTTTCTTTCTTTTTTTTTGTTTTTGTTTTTTTTGAGATGGGGTGTCACTCTGTCGTCCACGCTGGAGTGCAGTGGTGCAATTATGGCTTACCACAGCCTCAACCTCCCTAAGTTCAGGTGATCCTCCCACCTTAGCCTCCTGAGTAGCTGGGACCATAGGCGCATGCCACCATGCCTGGCTAATTTTTCTATTTTTTGTAGAGATGGGGTCTTGCCATGTTGCCCAGGCTGGTCTCCAACTCCTGGCCTCAAGCGATCCTCCCACCTCCGAAAGTGTGGGGATTACAGGTGTGAGCCACTATGCCTGGCCATGGTCTTTCTTGACAAACATATCCTTTTCATATACTGTAGTATTAATAAAATGGACACTTGCTTATCATTGTGTATACATTATTTCAATTTCTAACAGTTTTCAGATAGAATGAAAAATGACATGGACAAGTAATATGTTACAACCCAGAGTGTAACACTAGCTCACACACTGACATATCCATATCTTTCCCTTTATCTCAAAATCCTTAATTGGCCTAAATGAACCCATCTCCGTTTTTCAAAATCATCACAGCAAAGTCAGCTGAAGCAACACTCCCTGGGATCTCCGTAAACACAGATTTGAGAGCAGTGTGGCTTTAGATAGAGATAGGGCATTTTATTTGAGTAACAACAGATAAAATCTCCAAAAGTCCTCTGGATGCGATTGCTAAGTGAGTGGCAATCTGCCGGGACAGGAGACACATGGTTAAAAATCTCAGGCAGATATTCCTTCTTGAAACCCTTAGCATCAGAGACCCTTGAATTCTGTGCTTGGACCCCTGGAAAGCAGAAATATTATACTTAACGTTTGAATGTCTGAATCTTTTGCCTCTGCTGGGGAGTGGCAGCTACAGGATGGTTCAGGTGACCAGGCAAAGCAGTGAAATGCAAAACTAGTGAAATTATATAGAAAATCTTCTTCTCTAGGATCATGTAAGGGAGTGTAGGGATTAAATAGGAAAATCTAATGTGTGAGAGTTTTCTGGACAAGAAGAATGTTGTGAGTAAAGCTTTAAAGTAGAGAATACGGGTAGTACAAGTCATGTTTAGGGAAGGTGACTGTTGTGGCTTAACAGAAGATAAGTAGATGCAGAGGAGAAGGAGATGATCCTAAAAGTTAGGAAAAAGCAGCAGGGAGCACCTGGCTTGCACCAGCACTTTGGAAAGACGAGACAGGATGATGTGATCACTTGAGGCCAAGAGTTTGAGACCAGCCTGGGCAACTAGCAAGACTGTGTTTCTACAAATAATAATAATAATGATAATAAATAGATATATTAATTTATTTAAAAAGAGTGTGGAGGTTAAGAATGGCCCATGAGGAACCATTGTAGAATTTTGTAAAGGCAATTGATCACTTAAAAGGAATGGTGTTTTAAGAAGAGTACTCTGACTGCAGACAAAAAATCTATTTACATTTGACAAAAATGAAGGCAGGGAGGCCAATAACAAGTATGGAGTCTAGCACAATCACAATGCTATGAGATGATATGTAAGGAAATTGGGTAGGATAACTGGGATGGAAATACTAGAAATCTAAATGTGCTGAGAACAAAAGAGACTATTGATAGCATCTGGTAATGAATTTGGCATTGAAATTGAAATCTCTATTAAAATATTATTACATTACAACATTGTCTGACTTACTGACGTCAAATTGGGAATGCAGGTCTGGAACATGGAAGAAAGGGTTTCAGCAGTAAAAATTAAGGAGTAGATTGATGTGGATGTGATTGCTCAGAAAAGCCTATAGAAGGTACAATGGCATAGCCTAGGACATAGTGAATTAGTCACAATATGCTTTGGGAAGGTTTTGGATTAGGTTGCTTCTATGTGGTTCTCTAAAAATAACTATCAATCTATTGTTTCTAAATATGACCTATGTATGTGATCCAATATAAACAGAGAAATTAACTTTTAGATGTGCTGTTCTATACAGGTGTTTGTGGTGGCATTTCAGTGATATTTTATCTGTTTATGACTTGCTTATTCTCAATAGGCTCAGTTCATTCCTGTTCCATTTGCTGTGCTACGTGAGAGCAGGCTGTATCAACTACAAAACCACTTTTTCTTTTTGGTTCTTTCGCATTGCCAAATATTTTCATGCAGTTTAGAAGCACTTCAGTGTGCTCACAAATGAAGTGATATTGATAGCTGACCTAATGTTTGTAAATGATGTTTATTTTCATTTTTATTAGTGTAGCATCATTTGTATAACCATAATACTACAGCTGCCACTTGCTTGGGCTATTCTCTGCTCCCACTAGTGAAGGAATCCCACAGATCTTTGGACATGGCATCACTTGTCATATGAATGTGTCTAGAAAAAAAAAAAAGGAGACCAACAATATTCTTAATGCAGTGTTTCTCAAGGTGTCAACTACCTGCTACTAGTGGATCATTGTGGTCTATCAAGAAGGAGTCTGGTGGCTTCAGATGCAGCCACAATGAAATAGTTGCATTCATATACATTGCATACATTTGAAAAGGAAGATTACCATTTTCATAGATATCCTACCATACTATAAATCATTGAATTCAAAAGGTTCTATCAAGGCTAAAAAGAAGACAGTGTTGATCAGTTTGTCTCAGAACATGTTCAGCTAACAGGCTACATTTCCCCTCAGCCAATATATTCATATCATTTGCCTGTTACTGCTTATGTGTTTTAAATATGTAGTTGGCATTGTTACTATTACGTTGAGTTCTTTCCACAATTTGTAGAAAATGAAACAAAACTTGAAATAAATCACTGCAATAGGAAAGTAATGAAAAAATAAAACCACTCATAAATTTGTAACTCAAATAGTAAACTAAACTATATTACCAATGTAGAAGGTAAATCTGTATATTCTCAGATAAACGAATTAGCAACTGTGATGACTTTGCACAAGCAGTCAAAACAGAAAAGTATGATAGGAATTATGAAGATAAAAGTCTTTTAAAATGAGATTTAATTGGATTGATGATTTTTTTAACTTACCCCAGAGCTTTTTAGGTTAGACATCCCTGCCAATTTGGGCCATGAACTTTTGTTTAATTTTCAAACAAAGCACAATCACCTCTCTGGTAAACCAATTGAGTTATGTCAGAACATACATAATACAATGTTTACAATATAAATTATTATTATTTTTGCCAAAGGCAAGGAAAAGACCAGCGCTTCCAAGGCATCATTAAAATTGCATCTTTATAGTAAATATGTCACATGTTTGCTGATAGTATTATAGCAACAATTGCAAAGTTAATAACAAATATTATACCTCCCAAAATGATGTATGGGAATGTTCCTTTATTAAATGATACTATTGATTCTGGCATAATATCATTAGCTTCTTCCTTGGAAGACTAAGTACAGGGTCTGTGCATGTTAATAAATATTTTACTTAAGTGAAATATTAAATAAATGATGTGATAAGTCCACAAATGAGTAGTATATAAATGAGAAAAACATGCTCAATGATGTTTTTCTGCATATCACATGAAAATTCATGCTACACGAGATTAATTAAAATTATTTTTCAAATTATTATAGAGAATAAAAAAGGTATATTGTGATCAGTAATAAAAACCTGAGTATTATACCCTGAAGTGGTTACCCCTGGAAGTCAGTCCACATACTATGAATATTTAGTTTGTGATAAAATACACACCTCTGGATTTTGATTAAGAATTAAAGCAAATCAACAATGTGAAGGTGAGCAAAGGTCATATACTAAGTGTAAGCCTTTATAGTGTGCTGTCTGAGGAACTGAATAGCCATTCTAGGACTGTGCTTTTCATTACTGAGTTAACATGGCTATCAAGAAGACTGTATGTTATGTAAGATTTGAAATTACAAATGAGATTTTTAAAAACCCTTGCTTAACTTTCATGTTTCAGCATTAAAACAGGGTTAGGAAATATAATTTGCATACCACATGATTAACCCATTCTAGGGGTGAAGTTTATTGATGTTTTTAGTAAATTTATGAAGTTATACAATCACTTTTATGAATGCTATTTTATTTTTGCCATATTGATTAAGCTTTATTCATCTTTACAATACTTCATGTATCTTATTTCATGTATTAGTGCAAGGAAAACATGACAGTGTGGGATTTGGTTCATTATTTTTCCCCAGCTTTGAGGAATAATTGGTATACAAAAATATGAAACCACACATAATTAATGAAATTTGGTGAGTTTAGACATATGTATACATTCTCACTACTATCACCATAATCAAGGTAACAAACATATACATTACATCCAAAAGTTCCCTGGTGTCCCTTTGTTTTGTTTTTGTTTTGGAGTAAGAACAATTAACAGGATATCTACTCTGATCAATTTTTAAGTGTGAGTAATTTATTATTAACTATGAGCACCATAGTGCTCAATTTTGTAATTGGTCCAATTACAAAATGATTTACTCATTTTGTATAACAAACTTTACACTCACTAAGCAACAGCTCCCCATATCCCACCTCCACCGTTGCTTGGTAACTACCATTTTACTATCTATTTCTATACATGAGACTGTTTCAGATGCATCATGTAAGAGGAATCATGCAGTGTTTGTCCTTCTGTGACTGGCTTATTTCACTTAGTATAATGTCCAGGTCCATCCGTGTTGTCACAAATGCTAGGATTTCCATCTTTTTAAAGGGTGAATAACCTTCCAATGCATAAAATGCCAAATTTTCTTTATCCATTCATCTGCTGATGAAGATTTGGGTTGTTTTCATGTCTTGGCTATTGTGAATAATGCTGCAATAAACATGGTGTTAAGATATGTCTTTGACATTCTGATTTCCATTATTTCAGATACATATTCAAAAGTGGGATCACTAGAACATATGGTAGTTCAATTTTTTTTTTGAGGAATCTCTATACTATTTTATCATAGTGGCTGCAACATTTTCATTCTTACCAAAAGTATACAAGCATTCCGATTTCTCCATAACTTTACCAACAGTTATTATCTTATGTTTTTGGGTGATAGCCATCCTGACAGGAATAAGGCGATATCTCATTGTGGCTTTGATTTGCATTTCCTTGAGGGTTAGCAATATTGAGCATCTTTTTATACAACTGTTGAGCATCATTGTATCTTTTTTGGAAAAATGTCTGTTCAAGTCCTTTCCCCATTTTGTAACTGGGTTATTTTGTTGTTTTTTGTTTATTTTGTTTTGTTTTGCTATTGAGGTGTAGGAGTTCCTTATATATTTTGGAAATTAACCACTTTTCAAATACATGGTTTGCAAATGTTTTCTCCCACTGCATAGAGTACCATTTCATTTTGTTGCTTGTTTCTTTGTTGTGCAGAAGCTTTTTGGTTTGATGTAGTCCCATTTTTTTTTTTTTTTTTTTTTTTTTTGAGACAGAGATTTGCTCTTGTTGCCCAGACTGGAGCTTCCAGCAAACGCATGATCTCAGCTCACCACAAACTCCGCCTTCTAGGTTCAAGGGATTCTCCTGCCTCAGCCTCCTGAGTAGCTGGTATTACAGGCATGCGCCGCCACGCCTGGCTAATTTTGTATTATTAGTAGAGACGGGGTTTCTCCATGTTGGTCAGCCTGGTCTCAAACTTCCAACCTCAGGTGATCCACCCGCCTTGGCCTCCCAAAGTGCTGGGATTACAGGCGTGAGCCACCGCGCCCAGCCCAGTCCCACGTATTTATTTTTGTTTTTGTTGCCTGTGCTTTTGGTGCCACATCGAAGTAATCATTGTCAAGATCAATGTTAACAAGGTTTTTACCTATGTTTTCTTCTGAAAGTTTTGTTTTGTTGTTGTTGTTTCAAATTGTGCATTTAAGTCTTTAATCCGTTTTGAGTTAATTTTTGTCTATGGGATAAGTGTCTGATTTCATTCTTTTGGAGGGGGATATCTAATTTTACAAACACCATGTATTGAAGATACTCTCTTTACTCTGTTGTGTATTCTTGGCATCTTCATCAAATATCAGTTGACTGTATATTTGTGGCTTCACTTCTGGGCTCTCTATTGTGTTCCATTGCTCTATAGATCTGTCTTTATGTCAGTACTAGACTATCGTGATTACTGTAGGAAGTGTGATTCCTTCAGCTTTGTTCAAAATTGCTCTGGCTATTTGTGGTCTTTTGTGGTTCTGTATGAATTTTAGAATTATTTTTCTATTTCTGTATAAAAATATCTTTGATATTTTGATAGGGATTGCACTGAATATATAGATGAATTTTAGCTAGAATGAATATTTTAATAATATTAAATTTTCCAATCCATACTCAAGGATCACTATCCATTTGTTTGTGTCTTGTTTTATTTCTTTTATGAGGGTTTTAAATTTTTCAACTTACTAGTCTTTCACCTTCTTGGTTATATTTATTCTTGGGTGTATTTTTCTTTTTGGTGATATTGTAAATGGGACGGTATTTCTGATTTCATTTTGGGATAGTTCATAGTTTGTGGATAGAAATGCAACTGCTTTTTCTGTGTTTACTACCTATCTTGTAACTTGATTCATTTTGATTTTTAATTCCCTCAGTTTTGAGGTTTTTACAGTTTTCTTATATAATGCCACCAGCAAACAGATATTATTTTATTTCTTCTTATCTAATTTGGATGCCTTGTTGTTGTTTTTTTCCTTTCTTAATTGCTCTTGCTGGCACTTCCAGGACTATGCTGAATAGAAGTGGTGAGAATGAGCATCCTTGCCTTCTTTCACATCTTAGAGGAAAAGCTTTCAGCATTTCTCTGTTGAGTATGATTTTAGTTGTAGGATATTCATATGTGACCATTATTGTGTTGAGACAGCTTCCTTCTATATCTAATATATAACTAATTTGTTGAGTGGTTTAGCATGAGAGAGTGTTGAATTTTATCAAATGCTTTTCCAACATCTTTTGAGATTGTTTTGTGGTTATTCTCCTTCTTTTGTTTGCTAAGGTCATGTATCCCATTAATTGATTTGCATGTGTTAAATTGTCCTTGCATCCCAGAGATAAATATCACTTGGTCATGGTACAAAATTGTTTTAATATGCTGTTGAACTTGATTTGCTAAATATTTTATTGATGATTTTTGCATCCAGGTTAATTAGGGATATTGCATTCATGTTCATCAGGGATATGATTTTCTTTTCTTGTAGTGTCATTACTTTGTTATCAAGGTGATGCTGACCTCATATGAGTTTGGAAGTATTCCTTATCCCTTCTATATTTTTGGAAGACTTTTAAAAGGATTGGTATTAATTCTTTTTTAAATGTTTGGTAAAATTCACCTGTGAAGCCATCTGGTCCTGAGATTTTCTTTATTGATAGGTTTTTATTGCTAATTGGAACTCTTTATTCATTACCGATCTTTAAAGTGTTTCTATTTCTTCTTTCTGTCTTAGTAGCTTGTATATTCCTATGGATTTATTCATTTCTTGATTGTCCAATTTGTTAGCATATAATTGTTCATAACAGTCCTTTTTGTTATTTTTATTTCTGTGGCGTTGGTTGTATTCACTCCTGTTTCATTATTTGGGTCTTCTCTCTTTTTTTCTTAGTACGTCTATCGATAAGAATTCATCAATTTTGTTTATCTTAAAAAAAACAGGCCAGGTGCAGTGGCTCATGCCTATAATCCCAGTACGATGGGAGGCTGAGGGGGGTGGATCACGAGGGCAAGAGTTCGAGACCATCCTGCCAACATGGTGAAACCCCGTCTCTACTAAAAATATTAAAATCAGCTGGGCGTGGTGGCGGGTGCCTGTAATCCCAGTTACTCAGGAGGCTGAGGCAGGAGAATTGCTTGAACATGGGAGGCGGAGGTTGCAGTAAGCTGAGATCACACCATTGCACGCCAGCCTGGGTGACAGAGCAAGACTCCGTCTCCAAATGAATTTTAAAAAATAAATAAAAAGCAACTCTTAGTTTTGTTGATCATTTTCTATTCTTTATTTCATTTTTTTCTGTTCTAATCTTCAGCATTTTCTTTCTTCTGCTAACTATGGCTTTAGCGTGTTCTTTTTGTAGTTACTTGAGGTATAAAGTTAGGTTGTTGATTTGAGATACTTCTTCTTTTTAATTTTTCTTTCTTTCTTTCTTTTTTTTTTTTTTTTCTTTTTTTAAGAGACAGGGCCTTACTCTGTCACCCAGGCCAGAGTTTTATGGCACATTCATAGCTTGCTACTGCCTTGAACTCCTAGGCTCAAGCAATCCTGCTGCCTCAGCCTCCTGAGTAGCTGGAACTACAGACTCACACGATCATGCCTGGCTAATTATTTTGTTTTTTTGTTGAGACAGTTCTCACTGTGTTGACAAGGCTAATCTTGAACTCCTTGTCTTAACAATCCTGCTACTTTGGCCTTCCAAAATTTTGGGATTACAAGTGTGAGCCACTGTGCCTTGCCATTTATTCTTTTTAAAAGAGATATTTATTGCCATAAACTTCCCTCTTCATACTGCTTTTGCTGTATCCCATAAGCTTTGATATGTTGTTTTCATTTTTGTCTCATGATATTCTCTAATTTCCTTTTTGATTTCTTTTCTCACCCAGTGACTTTTCGAGAGTTTATTTTATTCACATGCATTTGTGATTGTTCAGTTTTCTTTCTGCAATTGATTTCTATATTTGTTCCTTTATGGTCAGGAAACATACTTGAAATAATCAATCTTCTTAAATTTTCAGATTTGTTTCGTGACTAATATGTGCTTTATCCCAGAGAATATTCTGTGTGTGCTTTAAAAGAAAATGTATTCTACTTTTTGTCTCTTGTATTTTTTCTTTTTTTTACTTTGTCTATTTTTGTCTAAGTATAGTCATCCCAACTCTTTTGGTTTCCATTTCCAAGATTATCTTTCTTCTATTGATTCACTTTCAGCCTATGTGTGTCTTCAAATCTAAGGTGAGTCTCTTATAGAGAGAATCTAGTTGGGTCCTGTTTTGGGAGAAAGCATCTAGTTGGTTCTTTGTTTTTGTCCATTCATCTACTCTATGTCTTTTGATTAAACCGTTTAATTCATTTACATTTAAAGTGAATATTGTTGGCTAAGGTTTTACTGTTCCCACTTTGTCCATTGTTTTTTGTCTGTTTTGTAGTTATATTGTTCCCCTCCTCTTCTCCTGGCTTTCTTTGTGGTTTGGTAATTTTATTGTAGTGGTATGCTTTGATTTTTTCCTCTTTGTCTTTTGCATATCTACTACCTTTGTTTATTTTATAGTTACCATAAGCCTGGACTAACCTCTTGTAATTATAACAGTCTACTTTTAGCTGATAACAACTTTTCTTTAACTGTATATGAGCCCTCTATACTTTTATTCTCCTCCACGTGTAGTTTGTTATTGTTATCAGAGTTTACTTATTATTTTTCTATTGTTTATTTATTAAACAAAATTTGTGGTGATAGTTATAAGTAATAATTTTGTCTCTTAATTTTTTACTAGTATTTAAAATGATTTATATAACATTTCAGTATTAGAACATTGTATATTTGCCTACATATTTACCTTTACAAGTGAGATTTGTACTATCATAGGCTTTCATGTTGCTGAATAGCATGTATTCATTTGAACTTGAAGAACTTCCTTAGTACTTCTTGCAGGATATATCTAGTGATAAGGATTTCCCTTAGTTATTGTTTATCTGGGAAATTATCTATCTTTGATTTTTGAAGGACAGTTTTGCTGAGTACTTTTGGTTGACAATTTTTTGCTTTCAGTACTTTGAATGTATCACTCCACCCGCTCCTGGACTGAAACATTTCTGCTGAGAAATCTGCTGATAGTTTATAGGTGTTGCCTTTTTTCTGTGATGAGTTATTGCTTTCAAAATTCTCTCTTTGTCTTTGCCTTTTCACAATTTAATTATAATGTTTCTCATTGTAGACTTCTTTAGGTTTAAAACTATTTCGGTTACTTGTGGATCATGAATCTGGATGTCCATTTCCATTCCCAGAATTAGAAAGTTTTTAGCTATTATTTTTTTAAATAATAACTTTTAAAAATAATAACTTTTAAATAAGTTTTCTTCCCTTTTCTTATCTCTTCTCATTTTGAAACTTATATAATGCATATATTGTTTCACACGGTGGTATCTCAAAAGTCTTGTAAGCTTTATTCAGTCTATTTATTCTTGTTCTTTTTGCTTTTATGATCGGAGAATTTCAAATGACCTGTTTTCAAGTTCATTCATTCACCTGATTAATTGAATCTACTGTTCTTTGTTCTGATTGAATCTACTATTGACTGAGTCTACTATAGAGGCTGTCTGTTGAAAGTTTTAGTTGACTTATTGTCTTCTTCAGCTGTAGGATTTCTATATTTTATGGTTTATGTTTATTTGCTGAACTTTCTGTTTATAGTCAGTTGTTTAGTTGTCTATCTGTGTTCTCTTTTAGTTCACTGAGTTTATTAAAGATAATTAGTTTGAATTCTTTGACAGGTACTTTGTAGACTTTCATTTCGTTAGAGTTGGTTATGGGAATTTTATTAGTTTCCTTTAGTAGTGTCATGTAACCCTTATTCTTTGTGATCCTTTTATTCTTGCAATGGTGTCTGCCCATTTGCAGAATAGTTTACAGACTGACTTTGTCAAGGAAAGACTTTCACTTATAATTTTAATTGCCTAATATATTTTATTTCCTTGGTAATATTCTATGGACACTCTAAAACAGCATGTAGCTCCTGTTGGTAGGTGGGGTGTTCTATGTCAGTTCTAGTGTATATGCTTGATAATGTTTAGGACTCCATGTCTTTACCGATTTTCTAACGGTCTTATCAAATATTAAGAGAATGGCATTTATACATCTGCATATGTGTTAAATTGTCTATTTTTCATTTCAATTTTGTCACTTTTCACTTCATGCATTTTGGTGATTTATTGCTATATGTATATACATTTATTATTATTATGTATTTCTTATATATTCACTGTTTTATCAATATGAAACATAACTGTGCATCTCTAACACTATTTTTACTTAAAGTTTATTTTCTCATATATTAATAAATCCACTCCAGCTCTCTTAGTTTTACTATTTATGTGGAATAGCTGTTTTCCAGTCTTTCACACTTAATCCATATATATATTTGGTTCTAAAGCATAATTCTTGTAGACAGTATGTATAGTTAGATCTTGTTTTGTATCCTAGCTGACAATCTCTGACATTTGATTCATGTGTTAGTCCATTCATATTTATGAAATTATTGATATGGTTGGTTTTCCATCTACCATTTTGTCTTTTTTTTTTTGTAGGTCTCATGACATTTTAGGTTTCTTGTTGTTCCTTGTGAAGTTTAATTTATTTTTCTGAGCTATTCTTTTGGTGTTATATCTGGGAACATTTTCCCTAACCCAAAGGTCGTGAAGAATTTCTCCTATATTTTATTCTAAAAGTACTACAGTGTTCTGAGTTATGAGAACGATATGGATATAGTTCTGAGAACATGATCCATTTATTTGGATGTAGGATTCATTGCAATTTTTGTATATGGTTTAAAGGGAAGGCCTAACTTCATTTTTTTTTTGCATATTGGTATCTAATTATCTCACTAGCATGATAAAAGTTCTATTATTTTCTCTATTGAATTGTTTGATGCCCTTCTCAAAAATCTATTGACCATAAATATTGAGTATTTTTTCTTTAATTTTTCATTTATTTATATGCCTATTCTTATACCAATACCACAATCCTGATTTCTATAGCTTCTGTAGAAAGTTTCTAAATCAGATAGTGTAACTTTTCCAATTTTCTTCTTCCTTTTCAAAATCTTTTGGCTTTTCTGGGTTCTTTCTCTCCACATAGAATCATCTTGTTGATTTCTCAAAAAAAAAATCTGCTGTCATTTTGATAAGGATTTTATTACATTTATTTTTCACAATTACTATCTTGGCATTTTTATTTTCCAATCTATGAACATAAACTGTCTCTTACTTCATTTAGTCCTTCTTCAATACTCGCAGCAACGTTTCTTAGTTCTTATAATGCAAGTTTCCATTCTTTGGTTAAATGCATTTCTAAATATTTTAGTCTTAGAAACTACCATACGTGGAATAATTTTTTGACTTTACTGTATGATTATTACTTGCTAGTATATAGAAATAGTTAATTTTTCTGTATTGATTTTGAATCTTGTGCCCTTGCCAAACTTATTTATAAATTCCAGTGATGTTTTTGTTGGGCTCTAAAATTGGAATATTCTACACACAAGATCATTTTTGTCTTCAAAGAAAACATTGTTTTTTTTCTTCTCTTTCAATTTAGATACTTTCAGTTTATTTCTCTTTTTCTTTATTGCTTTAGTTATAGCGTCCAATGAAATAGCCTCTACTGAAAGACTGATTATATGTGGTAAAAGTCAGCATTCCCTTTGGTGTACCAGATTTTTAAGGAATAGATAAGTGTATTTGGAGAAACAAGCTGCACTTTATGTGTATTTTCTAATATAGAAATGTAGAAGTAATTATAACATGTCTGTGACAATATTTGGAGATGATATTAAATGGTCTAAAGTTATCATGGTATTTCATATTTTATAGATTTTTTTGGTTTAAATTTAAGTTATTTGATTACATTGTATATATTCTGAAGTTATTTTGTAAAGAAAATAGCCTAGATAAAATGAACCGGGAAATAAAGTTTGTATTCATTCATGACATTTTCTGCTAGCATCTTTGTCTTATAGAAAATGACATTCTATACAAGAACAACGAATTAGTGGGAGAAATGAGAGACAAAGGAAAGATTTAGTCTAATTGTAAGTTACATGAATTATTCTTTGTGAGATTGGCAAGAAGTCAGTTTGAACTACCTTGCTATATCTTGTATATGGCACATATCTCCTCAGGAATTCGATATAATGGGTAGCTTTATCTCATCTGTATTTTCATGGAAATCCCAATATCGTATGGTAAACTCAATTAAAACATTGTTTCATGTTTAATATATGTGATCCAATTTTCAAGCCTCACCTCTTTATAAAGGAGGTATAAATTTTAAATTGAAGGTTATATAAGTTAAGAAGAAATCAAGGGAGGCATGTAAAACTATTTATAGGTCAATCATACTTCCATACAGGGTTTTTTTCTGAAAAGGGATCAAGGGAGAAGGCAATTTGAGATGAGTTATTGTATATACAGAATGACAAGCCTTGTTAATTACTTATTAACTCCTTTTCTCAGGATGACCAAAGGCATAACTCAGAACATGATAGTTTTTCATTATTTTCTCTTTTTGTATGCTTCGTAAAACAGTGTATATAATTTTTTTAAAAAAATTAGGACTGTAAATTTTATTTTTTGAAAAGCAATTGTAAATAATTTTAAGTTATTACTTTAAAAAACACAGCCTTAATAAAATGGCATTTCCATTTTAGAAGCATTATTGACATTTTGATGTAAAGCAGACACCTTTAATGAGCTCTCAATCAAAGGAAATACTTCAGTAATGATACATGAATTAATCGATCCTGATCAAATAAATCTACTCCAGTCCATTTTGATTTCACTTTATGAGTAGCTGCTCAGGTCAAAAGAGTAACAACTTTATAAGTTACTACTTATAGCATTTCACTTGACTAAGTATTTGTATCTAACTAATTGGACAAGAGAATATTTGAGAAGATTTCATACTTTATTATAGTGTAGAATTCCAAAGAGAAGGAACATACCAGGCAAACAATGTAAATTGACAATCCAAAATAAGCCATGCAACAATACTCAAAAGTGTATTTTGTTTCATGGACCTGTTGGAGAAAGTAGAAAATCACTAAAAAATTATGATATTAACACTATGTCAAATAATCAGAATTTGAAAGTAATCAAGTTTAGTTTTGAGAGCATTATCATTTCTTTAGATGTGGTCAAATTATTCATATTCCTTAGGTAAGGGATTTATAACTATTGCTCCAATACATTTTTCATGTAGAGTGATATATTTTTCATGTAGAATCCATTTTTCATTTTAGAGTTCCATACCTTTATTATGTACAAAATATTATTATAATTACTTCATGATGGAATCAACATGATCTTTATTTCAGGGCTCATATTAATGTTTTTAATCATATTACCAAGAAAAAAGTAGTTATTTATTTAAATAGACTTTAAAGATTAAAGGTTACTCATTTTTAGCATCACTGCTCAACAAAATAGTTGATTTTCAACTTTTATAACAAACACATGTTAAGCCATAGTTTCTCCAAACCCTTCTCTTCTTGCCCATCTTCAAAACTCCACCATTTCTGTATTTCTTCAGGAAATTTCTACATTCAGCCTACATCAAATGAATTCTTAGGGGAAACTTCTTTATTATCTCCTTTTCTAATTTAAAGTAGAAGCTTTTAAAATATTTTAGGTAAATATTTTTAGTGTGTTTCAGAATCATTGTAAATACTTACCCATATACTTCTCATGTTACTTCATTATTTTAGGAAGAAAATGTTGAGGGTTTGTAAACGACTCCAACTTGGGTCCCAGTAATTGCTAATGAAGTTAAACTACCCCCTTGATTGGGTTTAGCCACTGAATCCCAGTGCAGTAGACCAAATTCTGAACTCCATCTTTTTTGACCTTCCTTTTATCTGTCCGTGCCCAAGTTATTTGTCATATCACAGCAATTTTTTAAAGAAATATGCAACGGAATTTTATAAGAACTATTAAAAGGCACAGTGGCACTTCTGTATTTTATAGAGAAACCATAGAAATTCTAATTTAAGGTACCAATTACCTGTCTTGCGAAAGATATATCCCATTCATATATTGCTCTAATGAATCATGTAATATTTTGGTTAACATATTTATGCTCTATTAGCATAATGTCTTGATAGTTTTTTTTCTGTTTTCACTCCATAGAATGTGTATTACCATATAACTACTCTTCAATTACTGTCCAGGAGTACGACAATACAAATACATTTTCTACAGATTACTTCATAATTCTGCTGCAAGTTACTATGTAGTTCAATGACTAATCACCATGTTACTTGCAATTTTTATATCTTATAAGCCCACAGTTTAAAAGACAGAAATAATCAGATAATTAGTCTTTGATTACATAGTCACCCTGTTCTTAAATGTACTTAAATGGTCAATAATTACCATGTAATTACAGAGCAATTATTGTAGACATTCACACCACCATATGTAAGGCATCGTGGGTGATTTCGTCTCTGTGTTTAGGGATTCATGACTCAGTTATAGAAAGGTCACTGCAGTCTGCATCAGGGCAAAAACTCCATGAGAGAATGGGCTATTTTATAAAGGTGAGAGCAGCTGTCAGTGCAGTGGAAAGACCTGTTAGATGGAGGTTGTGGTGACTGGCTTTTAAGATTTTTGACTTGGCAAATGAATACAAAATATGTATAAAAACAGAAGATCCAGAGCTTACATTGACTGTTGAAATTTTATGAAATTCATCAACTTGTACTTTTCAGCAAGTTATTTTTCTCTAAGGTATTTATTTCACTTTACCCAAAGATGCTTTTTTGGGTACTAACAAACCATTTAAAATTACATGGTATAGGGTTCACACACTAAAAATTTCCATCTTACTTCCATATAGCAGAAGTTTTTAGTGCCAGTACTCGGCACCTCCACAAAAGATCATAGTTAGCGCGTTTTCTTTTTATTGAGTTGTTGCATGGCAAGAATTGATAGTTTTTTACTCTGGGAGTTAAATAAAAGTTGCTGCTTTAGAAATCATTTTTCTGTGATTCTATTTTCCTACTAAAATATGTAATTTCATTCTACAATGTTGTATTTTATAAACATTATAATTCTATTTCATTAAAAAATTGGAAGTATTCATGTTAACAGGGAAAAATAGATCTTAAACCCGACAAAAATTATAGCTCTTCAGGATAATCTTATCCTACACTTCTTTTGAACCTTCCAAAAATGATTTATATAGAGTCAAGTATGCATAAGGATCTGGAGAATATTTTCAGTTGAAATCCATTCTAACTCTAATGTTCTTGGTGTGTTCTTCAGTATAATAATTGCAGAATTGCTATTATGCCAGAAATTTGGATGTTTATTCTATTTTTCTCCTTTTTTCACCAGTGAATGAGAAAAATAATACCCACAGCTTTTGATAGAGCTACCAAAATGACCACAAAACAGAGGAAAGCTCAATATAAGTTTTCAAATATTTATCTAGGTTTACTAAACAAATTACTAAATAAATTCCCAATTCTGTTCTGTATACAGTGGATAATGCCAACCCATGAACTGTTTCCAATAAAAGATTATCTGTCATTGGACTAATGATTGGATACATATCCTTGGCAAATCATTTAAGTAACTTGCTTTAATGACTTTTCAATTATAGGCATAACACTTAATAGTAGGCAAGACCTGGTGACCCAACTGGACTAACTATGCAGTTGCAGAGATGAAAGAAAGCAACCAGAAATCGATGCTGAAATATGACAGTAAATTCAAAGTAGTGTTACACCACCATTGAATATAAATGCTGAGGATATTTAGCATAAAATAGAGGTTCCTGAAAGCTAAATAAATGAATTAAACATATTACTAGTAGGATTTGTAAGCATATAGGTGTAAACCCAATTAGATCTTCACACAACCAGATTTAACATGAAGATTTGATGGAAAATGGTGGCCGAAATAGGTGAACTGCTAAGTTCACACACTCACATCAATGTGTGTGTGTCTGTGTGTGGCGTGTGTGTAATTTTGGTTTGTATGTATGGAGGTTTAGAATTCATTCTTTCTCTATTACGAACTGCATTAGATGCACAGATCAAAATCAGTCTGATGAAAATGCATTGTTTGATATCCTATCATGTCCACGATTTTGTAAGCAACTTGAGTTTTTAAATATCAGTTCACTATGGCACTCTCTTACATATCTTTACATTAACCACATATTATTTTTTAAAATATTTACTCTTAAAGGTGTTTTTATTTGGAAAAGCTATCTCTTATCACAATGCCTTTCTCAAAATCTTTTATTTCTTTTTATTTGTTGACTCTTCCCATTGTTTGAGCTGTAATCTTTTGGAAAGTAATTAAAATTTAGGCAGATGTAATACAGAACTCATTGCTTTGAAACACAGGTTCTCAGTGGAGTTGATTTCGCCCCCAGGGAGATCTCTGGCAATGTTCAGAGACATTTTTTATTGTCACAACTTGAGGGTGGGAGTGCTACTGGTATCTTATGAGTACAGACCAGGGATATTGCCAAACATCTTGTAATGTGCAATACTGTATAGCCCCCCACAACAACGAAGAATCCGGCTCAGACTGTCCATTGCAGTGAGGTTTTAAAAAACCTGATTTAAATGAATGAGTGCACACTGAATTGACCTTGATAGTATATAATTAATCACATGGAATTCCAGTAGAATGTTCATTTTTTTCCTTGAAATTATTTAAACCACAGACAAGTGAAGAAAATACTCTTTTGGGAAAATATTTACATGTGATTGAATTTGAAAAACTAATGTTACATAAAATATAATATAGAAATTAGTTTGTTTAGCTTTTTGAGAATGTGCACATATTTTTCAGCATATGTAAAATGTCATACTAAATCATTACTGACTTAAAAATTTTAAGCCTTCCATTTCCAATGCTATATTTCTTCAAATATTGTTCCTTTACTTCACAATTTAACTTTGTGGGTCCAATGTAATGATGACAACGCATTAATAAGTACTGGAAAATATTTTGAATTTCTAGTTACCCGAACAAATAATAAAAAAGACCAAAACAAAATTTTTCTATTACACAAATAAAACTTTTACTTTTTCTACTTTTTTTTTATTGTCAATGTAACTGGCATCATATCTTGACTACTTGTCAAGTATTTAATTGTCAGTAACTGGATCATCATATCTTGACTACTGTCAACAGTGTTATGTCTCTAATTTAAAGGTCATTAGAGCAAGTTACTTAAGTGACCTGCTAAGGACATGTACCCAATCATTAGTCTAACAAGAGAGAATCCCTTGTTGGGCAGAATGATTCTTTCCTTGCTGCTTAGTGGGGACAACTTGATAACACTCTTTTCAAGATGGTATAAATATGACAAAAGAGTATAATTTCCAGAACAGTCATTCTTGTTTCCAGAAAAGTCTAACTCAAACTAAGAATATTTCATTTTTAATCTGCAACTAAGGTCACATATGCATCTTTCAGCTTCCCTGGGACAAATGAAGATGAAGTTTGGGATCATGCACAAAGAAGTTTTCAACTGGAATAGGGAGAGCATTGTTCAGATCAGGGCTACAGAATGGATAAAAGAGAAAACAGTGACTTACTTATCGTAGAAATGGTTGTTCCATTTGGGTTCATGACAGGGTTACCAAACCAGAGATCATAATTAAAAATAATTTATCAAAGGGGTTCAAAGTACCAATAGTTCAAAAAAAAATCCCAAACTTTTTATTATGGAAGCCTTCAATGATGCCACAAGATGGAGAGAAATCTAGGATGACTACATGTACTCATCACACAGCTTCAATCATGATCAACAGTGTGTCAATTTTATTCTTCCCACCCCAAGTTTTTATATATATTGCAGAAATTAGGCCATTTTTCCTACAAATATTTTAGTGTGTATGTATTTCAGTGATGGGGCTTTTTATTCATTATACATGATATATGACCATCTTTCATCATATCTCACAAAATTAACAGTAATTTTTTAGTATTTTCGTGGTCTTATCAGGAAAGAGATGGCACATTTAAATTAGAATCTTTTTTTTTTTTTTTTTGAGACAGAGTCTTCACTCTGTCATCCATGCTGGAGTGCAGTGGTGCGATCTCCACTCACTGCAACTTCTGCCTCCCAGGCTCAAGAGATTCTACCACCTCAGCCTCCCGAATGGCTGGGACTACAGGCACATACCACCATGCCCAGCTGACTTTTCTATTTTTAGTAGGGACAGGGTTTTGTCATATTGTTCAGGCTGGTCTCAAACTCCTGACCTCAGGTGCTCCACCCGCCTTGGCCTCCCAAAGTCCTGGGATTACAGGCATGAGCCACTGCGCCTGGCCTGAATTAGGATTATTTAAAGAATAGTTTAATGAACAGACTATGTCTCAAGGTGTAAGCAGGGTTTGAAGATAGCCCAAGAGACGGGGGATAGTTCAGTAGCCTGGCAAGTATCTAGGAAAAGGTATTCTTCTACCACTCTATTGATCTGAAGCAAGGAATGGTAGCAGTTACCTAATCCCGGAGAGAGAAAGAAGCTGAAACCAATTCCTTATGAATACTCTTTTCCAGGAGCAGTAGATTTTTTTTTCAAATTTAAACTCTTGGTGTATCATCTAAGAAATTTTTAGAATATGAAATATGTCTTATATTCTGAATATAACACAATAAATATAAAATACAAACATTAGACAATGAGTTTCTCAGTATTCGTTAAATATATGTTAAACAAACATTTCTAAAACATCAGTTGGAGAAGATCCAAAATTATCAGCTGATTTGATATGCCCGTGTGTCTCGATCCAGAGCTGGGAAATGCACAGCAATGAGCAGTATTAGCACTGGTCTATAGGTCAGATTGGTGTTCTCTATATAGTATAACCATTTAGTCATTGCAGAAACATAACACTGTAACCCCTCAATAAGATGACTAGGGTTTAGCAAAGAGAGAGTAAATAACATTAAATCACATAGCTATTAAGTAATAGAGTTAGGATTCAAACACTGATATGTCTGACTCTAAAACTTAAGCTCTTTCTACTACAACACACAATGTTCCCCATGAAACATATTCAGCAGCAATTTGATTCCATATACCTCATTATTGTTTACAGATAATATTATATTTATAATAGAATACATTGTATTATATACGTTTGTATTATATAACAATTTCCAAACAAGATAATATATGACTATTTTATTGATATTATTCAGATTATGTTACAATATAAAAGCATTTATGTTTTATGTGTGGCCTTGATTGGAGTATAATTTTAGCACAAATATCCTGAGATCCTGAGCTTACTGTATGGAAGACTATACTGTAGGCTGTTGACTGAACTATAAGAAGGAAACAGTTCTTCAATGTAGAGCACTGACCTATTTTTCAGCCAGTTAAGAAGGCTGCACCTGAGGGAGCATGCATGGCTATGGCTCATACCAGCTATTGGAAATAATGTAGTCATTTCATTTTGAAACAGCTTTCATGAACAAGGAAAAGGTAGTCTCTTTTCATAGGTGGTCTCCATGATGCCTTCTTCAAAGGAGATGGTGTCAAAATAAAGTGGTTTTTAGATAAATTATGACTGCCGAGAAAAGTTTTCACTTTTAAATATGCTTTCAAAGAGAAGTTATTATTTAGGAAGGAAATCTACTTAAAACCATAGTTTAAAAATATATCTAACATCCATTTAATCTTGGTTCACAGCTTCCTGTTATTAATATTTACCTTTTATTTTATAACCAACAGCTATGAACTGTGAAGTATACTTTTGAATCCTCTGGCCTCAGAAAATATCAGGCCATAGATAATATGGGACTGTTAATCAAAAAGTTGGGTTTACATTCAACTTGGTCATTAACTTTTAGTGAAAAACTAGGCCAATTCCGTATGCTTTCTTGTCTCAGTTCTTTTATCTGTATAAGAATACCATATATTTCTCTATCTAAACTTTTGTTATTTTTAAATAATTTTGTATAAATCAAGCAGTCGAAAGTCAATGGAAGGCATGACAAAGTGAGAAGCTGACAAATTCTTTCCCCAAAAAACTGTAAAGCTGGACAAACTTGTCAAAAACAAGTAATTCTTTGCTCCAGAATTCAACCAAAGGCATAAAACCAACTAAGTGTTTATGAATAAAATGCATGAACTTCAGTTGTAAGACCATGGCATTTTTTCCTGGGCATGCTCCCATCCACCCCCTTTCCAGTTGTGTCAATATGGTAGTTCAACCAGGACAGGGCAGGGCTTGCTGCCACTGCCGAAAGGGCTCGTTTGATTTGGAGTATCACCAGTTTAAGTGGCCATCTCAGTTGCAAGAGAACAGGAAGGGTGGCAATTTCGTTAGTATGAGTGTGCACATTTATATGGTGCATTCAGTGCATCAGTGGACTAGCCAAGGATTTGACAGACATTTTTGGGAGGTTGGACAGTCAAAGATGGCTTGATAAACGCCGCATATATCTCAGGTTGACTGGAGTTTATGTGCATGAACAACAGAGAACACAACAGGCCCAAGCTACCCACACCTCCTGGGCCTTTAAAGCCTATCTATGCATGTGCGACAAAGATGTCAGAAAGCCTTATGTAAAGTAAAAGCCTGGAAAAACTTCAAATGTAATCTAAAATGTAAATGTTCTGTTTAGGCCACATATATATCTATCAGCAAAAAATGAAACACTTAATAACCAAGGTGGTAAGCACAACTCTGACCAATCTTTGGGTGAACGCTAAGCTATGTGTAACAGCAACACACTACCACACCCTTAGGACGCAAAGCTTAAAAATAAAGAATAAGAAAAAGCAAAAGTAGAAGAGGTCTGCATTGCAGGTCATACACAGTGAAAAGGCAGACTTCACAGATTTAGTCCAGGCAAAATTACAAAATAAATAACAAGCCAAAAAAAATATACATCTTAAGAAGAGAAAGTAAAAATCAAGAGTTGTTATGTTGCATAAAAAGTTCAATATTCAACAGAAAATTATGAGATATGCAAAGAAATAAGAACGTGTGACTCATACTGAGGAACAAAAGCAGTCAGTATAAATAGTTTCTGAATTTTCCCAGATGTTAAAACATAGATGTTGTTATCAAAACAGTCATTATAAATGTGTTTTAAAAATAAAAATTGTTCAAAGAATTAAAGGGATCCATGAAAATAACTCACTGAAGAGATAATTTCAAAAAAGATATAACAATTACTTTAAATTAAACAACTGGGAATTATGGAAATGAAAAAGTACAATAACGGAAAAATATAAAAATTCACTAGAGTGGCTCAACAGCAGGTCTGCGGTGTCAGAAAAAAAGAATATAATGTTTGAAAGTTTCTCAAACTTGATGTAATACATTAATCTACAGCACTCTAAAATCAACCAACCACAAATAAGATAAATATCAAGTGATCTGCACCAGGATACGCTGAGTCAAACTGTGGAAAGACAAAGAGAAAGTGAAAATGGCTAGCCAGTTATTCCAGCACCATTTTTTGAATAGTGAGTTGTTTCTCTATTGCTTGTTTTTGTCAATTTTTGTAAAGGTCAAATGGTTGTAGGTGTGCAGCCTTACTTCTGGGCTCTCTATTCTGTTCCATTGGTCTATGCTTCTATTTTTGTACCAGTACATTGTTTTAATGTGCATTTGGCAAATGTTGTTAAACGAAAATATTACATACAACACACAGAGTTTGAAGGCAGCAACATAAAAATAACTCTTTACATACAGGTAAAGGACAATACAAAAAAATTCCTGACATCTAATCAGAAACAACAAAGGCCAAAAGATAGTGGAATAACATATTCAAAGGGCTGAAAGAAAAAACCCCTCTCATATAGGAATAGTATGTTCAGCAATATTATGGTCTAATGATGATGAAATTGGATGAACATAATAGTGTGGTCATCAATAGAATCATTTAATAATGAAGATCTCTGAGGACAGACCTTCCCAGATTAAAAAATGACAAATATTCCATTGCTGGCATTTATCGACTTCTATTAAACACCCTACCAAATGAATGCAGAACGCACATTCTGTTCAAGCACTTGTGGAACATTTTCTATTAGAAACCATTTACTGTTTCACAAAACAAGTCTCAATGAATATAAAAAGACTGACATCATACTAGGTGTTGCTCTGACCATGACAAAATTTTATTAAAAATTCACAACAGAAAAAAATCTGGGAAAACAACAAAGAGTAAAAATTAAATAAATATACTTTGAATCTCTCATGGATCAAAAAAAACCACAAAGAAGAATAAAACATATTTTTACCTGAATGAAAATTTAACTCTAACATACAAAACTTTATGCAAGGTAGCTAAAGCAGGGTTTAGAGGAACATTTATAGATGTAAATGCCTGTAGTAGAAGAGAAAAAAAGGCCTTAGTAACCTAAGTTTATACCTTAAAAATCATAAAAAGAAAAGCAAACTAAATCTAAAGCAGAAGGAAGAAAATAATAAACATTAGAACACAAATCAATGAAATATAAAGTTGAAAAATAGTAGAGAAAATGAATGAAACCAAAGACTAGTTTTTTTATAAGATAAGAAAACCGACAAAATCCAGTTAGGCTGCCTCCTGCAAAAAAAAAAAAAAAATAGGAAAAAAGATAAAAGTCAATAATACTAATAAGTTCTAAAACTATAACACTTCTGGAAAAAATATGAGGAAATCTTTTGTGTCTTTGGGTTAGGCGGGGTGTCTTTAGACATTATATTGAAAGACCCATAAATAAAAAATAAGATAAATTGGAATCTGATAAAATTAAAACTATTTGTTCTTTAAAAGATACCATTAAGAAAATGGAAAGATAAGCCAGAGTGGAAAAGTATTTGTAAATCATATATCTGATAAAGGACTTGAACCCAGATTATATAAATATCTCTCTCCAATAATAATAATGAGAAACAATCCAATTTAAAAAGTAGACTAATTACTTAAACAGACATTTCACAAAAGATTTTTTATAAATGCTAATAAGAAAATGAAGATGTGATCAACATTATTAATAATTAAAGAAATGCAAATTAAAATTACAAAGATATATCACTACATGCCCACTGAGAAGGCTGTAATCAAAAAACCATACAGTACCCAGTGTTGGTGAGTATGTCCAATACCTGGAACCTCCACTAGTTTCCAGTAGATAAAATGAAACAACTACTTTAGCAGTTTGGAAGTTTCTTAAGAAGTTAATTCTACACCTAGAAATATACCTCCCAAAAATGAAAATTTATGCTCATTGAAATAGTTGTATGTAATATTCATATCGACATTATTCTTTATAGCCAAAAACTGGGAAAATTCATAAGCCCATAAACTGGTGAATGGACAAACAAAATGCAGTTTACCTGTAAAATTTAGTTTGCAGTTAAAAGAAACAAAATATTGCTATGTGCTATAACATGGTAGAACCTCACAAGCATCATAGTAAGTGAAGGAAGCTGGATGGAAAGATTGCATGTATGTTCCATTTATGTAAAACAAAGCAGAACAAACCCATTTATACAGAAAAAAATTTATATCAGAGGTTGCCTGAGGCTGGTGGTCAGAGGAGAGATTGATTGCAAACAGATTTGGAAAAAAAATTGTAGCTCTGAATTTTAGCTCTAAAATGGAATTTTGGTATAGTTACACAACTCTATAAAATATTTACCAAAAAATATTGAATTGTGTATTTTCAATGAGTGAATTTTATGATACATACATTAACATCAATAAAATTGTTTAAAAAGTTAATAGTGGCTCATAATTTATTCCTTTTATTTAAATGAAAAAACTCCGTGTGTAGGGTTTTTCAAATTATGACCAAAGTGGGTCAGTGATTCTCAAAGTATGGCCCCTGGAACAGCAGCATCACAATCACCTGGGAACTTGGAAATGCAAATTCTCTGACCCTATCCCATACCTACTGAATCCAAATGTCAAGGAAAGGACCCAAAGAATCTGTATTTTAACAAGCTCTGGGTGATTGTGGTATGTGCTAAAATTGAAGAGCCACATTCCTATAAATTCCTATAGTAATAGAATTCTCTCTGTTCTTGGGAACAATTCTTATCTCCTGAGTCCCCAGGAGCCAAATGCCCTGGGTGATGGAGGTATATGCTAAAATTTAAGAGCCACATTCCTATAAATTCCTATAGTAGTAGAATTCTCTCTTTTCTGGGGAACAACTCTTATCTCCTGAGTCCTCAGAAGCCAAAAACTTATTTTTTAATGTGAGATTGGCAAATATTTTTAAATAGAAGTATTATATATTACACACAAAGTTTTAAAGTTCACGTATCTCTTAAAGAATCACAAGATGTGGCAGTACTCCTCTCATCTTTTTTTTTTAACTTTTAGGTTCAGGGGTACATGGGCAGGTTTGCTATATAGGTAAATTATGTGTTGTGTGTCATGGGGGTTTGATATACAGATTATTTTGCTACCCAGGTAATAAGCACAGTACCCAATAGGTAGTTTTGCGATCCTTACCCTCCTCTTAATCTTCACCCTCAAAGAGTTCCCAGTGTCTGTTATTCTTTTCTCTGTGTTCATACGTACTTGATGTTTAGTCCCACTTATAAGTGAAAACAAGCATTATTTTGTTTTCTGGTCATGTGTTAGTTTGCTGAGGATAATGGCCTCTAGTTCCATCCATGCTGCTGCAAAGGACATAATCCCATTCTTTTTTATGGCTGCATAGTATTCCATAGTGTATATGTACCACATTTTGTTTACCCAGACTACCACTGATAGGCATTTAGGTTGATTCCATGTCTTTGCTATTGTGAATAGTGCTGTAATGAACATATGCGTGCATGTGTCTTTATGGCAGAATTATTAATATCCCTTTGGGCGTATACCCCAGAATGGGATTGCTGGGTCAAGTGATAATTCTGCTTTAAGTTCTTTTAGAAATTGCCAAACTGCTTTCCACAATGGCTGAACTCATTTACATTCCCACCTGCAGTGTATAAGTGTTCCCTTTTCTCCACAACCTCGCCAGCATCTGTTACTTTTTTTTACTTTTTAATGATAGCCATTCTGACTGGTATGGGATGGTATCTCATTGTGATTTTGATTTTCATTTCTTTAATGATTATTGATTTTGGGCCTTTTTTATATGCTTGTTGGCTGTGTGTATGTCTTCTTTTGCAGTGTCCATTCATGTTTTTTGCCCACTTTTTAATGAGGTGTTTTGTTTTTTCCTTGTAAATTTGTTTAAATTTCTGGTAGATTCTGGAAATTAGACTTTTTTCAGATGCATAGTTTACAAAAGCTTTTTCCAATCTGTAGGTTGTTACTCTATTGATAGTTTCTTTTGCTGTGCAGAAGCTCTTTAGTTTGATTAGGTCCCATTTGTTAATTTTTGGGTTTTTTTTTTCTTTTTGCAATTGCTTGTGGTGTCTTCGTTGTGAAATCTTTGCCAAATCTTATGTCCAGAATGGTATTCCCTAGGCTGTCTTCCATGGTTTTTATAGTTTTAGGTTTTGCATTTAAGTCTTTAATCTATCTTGAGTTGATTTTTGTATGTGGTATAAGGAAAGGGTCCAGTTTCGATCTTCTGCATATGGCTAGTCAGTTATTCCAGCACCATTTATTGAATGGGGAATTCTTTCCCTATCGCTTGTTTTTGTCAGCTTTGTTGAAGATCAGACGGTTGTAGGTGCATGGCCTTATTTCTGAGATCTCTATTTTCATTCCATTTCTATATGTGTTCGTTTTTGTAGCAGTACCATGCGGATTGGGTTACTGTGGCTTTGTAGAATAGTTTAAAGTTGGGTAATGTGACACCTCCAGCTTTGTTCCTTTTGCTTAGGATCAACTTGACTATTAAGGTTCTTTTTTGGTTCTGTATGAATTTAAAATTTTTTTTTTCTAATTCCATGAAGAATTCATAGTTAGTTTGATAGGAATAGTATTGAATCTGTAAGTTGCTTTGGGCAGTATGGCCATCTGAACAATATTGTCTCTTCCTGTCCATGAGCATGGATGTGTTATCTCTGATTTCTTTGAGCAGTATTGTGTGATTTCCATTGCATAGTCTCTGCCTAAAAGCTCCTTGATCTGATATACTACTTCGGCTAAGTTTCAGGATACAAAATCAATGTATAAAAATTAGTAGCATTCCCATACACCAACAACGTTCAAGCTGAAGCCAAATCAAGAATGCAATCCCATTCATAATGGCCACAAAAAGAATAAAATGCCTAGAAATATAACTTCCCTCACATCTTTCTTGCATGGCAGTGTTGAACTGAAGCAGGGCACCAGATTTCCCTTGAGAGAGGATGGGCTCTTCTTCAGTGTGCCTCTGAACCACACAGCTTTCTTCACTCATCTTTACTATGTGAATGGCTTATTCCAGATCAGATCTTCAACTTAATTCCAAATTATGAATGCAAATTACAGATTTTGGAAAGTACATTGAACCCTTCAACTAGGCAAGAAAGTATTAACAGTATTGTTACAAATGGCACTGGGAGAGAGTGGATATTTGATTTTTATAGACATATTTTTTGTCTTTGTTCAATGACTTTGTTTAAATATGTACTTCTTTAAAGTTTACTTTTTTGTTTCATTTGCTGAGAATTCCAACAACATATTACTCATAACTAGAGTAATACATTGTTTAGTTTACTTGAGATATGAAAAATTGTTTTTCTTTAAAAATATGGCTGAGCACAGTGGCTCATGCCTGTAATCCTAGCACTTTGGGAGGCCAAGGTGGGCAGATTGCTTGAGCTCAGGAGTATGAGACCAGCCTGGGCAACATGGCAAAACCCCATCCCCCCAAAAATAAACAAATTAGCCAGGTGGTGGTGGTGGTACATACCTGTAGTTCCAGCTACTGAAGAGGCTGAGGCAGGAGGATCGCTTGAGCTTAGGAGGTCAAGGCTGCAGAGAGTCATGAGCTTGCCACTGCACTCCAGCCTAGGCAACAGAGCAAGACCTTTCTCTCAAAAAATAAATAAAATCTAACTCTTCTAAAGTAGCAATTTGGAATGAGAAGTCCTCTTATAGTTCTGTAATAACTACATTATTTACGTATAATCCAAGTAGTTTTAAGAAAAATAGTCAAGGTGATTATTCAAATAATTTAGTGATGAAGGTTCTATTTCTAGATGACAAAGACAGAAGGTTGAGTTTGTCAGATTACAACAGTGCTGAATAAATACTTTGGTATTGAACACTTAAAATGTGAAATTTATTGATTTTTTCTTTTCCTTGATTTATACATTTTTGGATGAGGTGCCTAAATCTCTTTTTGAAATCTGTTGATATCCAACTTTAGTAGGCAAATGAAAACGTAGTTTAATATATTTTAATTATTAAACATGTTAGATTGTTTGATTCAGTTTCTGACTTATTTGTAACAGCAGGGAAAAAGTGTTTGGTCTGCCAGTCAAGGACATCAGAGATACAATCCATCTCAATGCAAACAACTTTTTTCCTTATTATGAGATCTCAAATACAGTTATCACTGATTTCATGTTTTCCTGGCAAATAATCACAGAATCTGCCATAATCCATTTCCTCAGAGATATTGTGTAATTTTTCTACAATTGCTAATTTAGGAAAAATAATGAAATAATATATTGATGTCATAATGTGTTTCTACTTTTTATTTTTATTTGATTTTGATATTTGTTAATCAACTCTTTCTAACCCTCTAAACCTAACAATTGTTAGTTAAGAAATATGCATTATTCAGAGAACGTCTCAGCTCTGAGTTGGAGATCTTGAGGCCACTAACCCTTAGTTTCCTTTTCTTTTATTTGTTATTTGTTTTTGTTTTTGTTTTGAGACAGGTTCTCACTCTGTCATGCAGGCTCACTATAGCCTTGACCTCCTGGGTTCAAGTGATCCTCCCACCTCAGGCTCCTGAGTAACTAGGACTGCGGACTACCACTGGCCAATTTCTTTTTTTCCCTAGAGTTGTGGTCTCCCTATGTTGCTCAGGCTGATCTTAAACTCCTGGGCTCAAGCAGTCCTCCTGTCTCAGCCTCCCAATGTGTTGAGATTACAGGTGTGAGCCACTGTACCTGGCCTCCTTTTTTTAAAATGGGACACTAATGGCATCTTTCTCATAAGGTTGTTGAAACAATTAATTGAGAACATTCATTTTATTACTATATTTGATACAAGATAAAAATAAAAATATCTGTATTTGATACAAATAAGATCTCAATATATGTGATTCTGATGAGCATCTGTCTTAATAACAGAAATATTTAATTCCATGCTGGTTTTATAATTAAGTTACCCATCCATATTAAATTATATATTCAAATCTGTCAATAAACAATTATTTGCAGTTACAATAAAATTCTATTGGGTGCAAGTAAAAGTAAAAGCTGAAAATATCTACATATTGTCCAAATAATGCAACTGATTATTCTAGAGTTCTACTTGTAAGTAGCTTTGAGGAAAGTCAAGTTAATATCCTATTTTTCAAAAGATTATTTCAAGGTGGAAAAATGATCCTCATATATATGCTTTCATTGTCAATTCTGAACTAAATGTTTAATTTTGAAGACAGCAGTCTATTCAACTTTTTATGTATTTTGGGGGGAAATGTATCATCATGGTTCAACAAGAAAATCAAATATTTTTAAAAATGTATATCACAATTTAGAAAGAGATTATAAAAATAATTTCATTGGATAGAACTATAAAAGCCTTGTGATTTAAGTGGTACCCAAAATCAAATCAGTTCTCAAGTTAATTAGTAGGGTTTCCATTGGCATTTTATAGATGTTTAACATTTATCATTTATCTTATGGATTTTAAGATTTTAATTTACATTGATAAAAAAAGTAACATGTTAAAAAAGAATCAGATTGCTTTTGTGGTAATTAAATGCTAGAAATGTCAGTAGACCAAAAGCAATACCAGCAAATTTTGGTATAAAATAAAAGGTAGAACATTTTAACTAGTTAGTAACTAGTAGAACATTACAACTAGATAAAACATTTTTATATTTAGAAAACAATCCATATGCTCATTATTTTAATTTAATTCTACACTTTTTAACTTTCTGCTTTAACTAAACATTATTCTACATCCTAGGGAGTATACAAAGATGAACAACATATAGTTCCTACATATAAAGACATTCACAATCTAGTAATAAAATATTGTTTTATTTATATTTTAGTGTAAAATTTGACACTGCTCTTGTTTAAAAATGACCTTCAACTATAGTGCCCAAAATGCAATAGATGTATTAAAAAATTTTGTTTTAATAAAATCATTCTGTTGACATAGTATGAAAATATAGGTAATAATTATCTGAGTGCTAATTGCTCCCAGAATGAGACTGTTTGACTGTCTTAAAGTTGAATGAATAAACTCTCAAAGGTATTATGTGATTGAGCTCACATAACTAAGTCATTTTAATTTGATGAGAAAGTGCAAAATACACAACAAATTTACACTCAGAAAAGGCAAGTTAAGCTGTTTACATAAATATGATAGCTTAAAATAGGCACAGCCATCTACTGTGTCCCATATGGATTAAAAAAAGAGAACTTTTAGCTTTATTCTTAATTATATGTAATACACCTGAATATGGTCAAACCTACTTAATACATGTAGAAGATAGAATAATAAAGTATGGGTTCTGTCTTAATCACTCTTCTCTTTTAAATATTAAAAGGCTGTTATTAATAGCACTTTTATAATGGATGTCATTTTCTACCTTGAATGAAAACCTCATCTCCTTTCACGTATTCATTACAGAAATTATATAATCTTTTCAATTCTGAACCTTGTACCAAGGAGGAATTTTCTTTTGGCTACATGCCATATCTTCTTTGTATCTGCCCCAGTTCTTGACATGTAGTAAATTTTCAACAATTACTTGGTGAATGAATAAATGACCACATGATTGAAGGAAGGAAGGAATATAGAAGAGAGTAAAATGAATGATCATAAAGCAAAACCTCCTCGTTTAGTTCAAATAAGCTCTTTCAGGTTTTGGTGTGTAAACTTTGTCTGAGGGAGATTTTATAATTTCTGGTGTTTCAAAACCTGTATAATAATAAGCTGTGTTATAATTGAGTTCTATAATATATAAGGGACAGGGAGCCTTCTAATCACATTTAGTAGAGAAAAAAAGGTGTTAAAATTTTTATATGTACACCTTAATTATAATTTGAGAAAACCATACACTACCATACTAGTTTCTTTGTTTTCTCAATGGCTGGAAGTCAGATTCTAAAACCTGAGACGTCTATAGGAATGATTTAAGAAAAATTAAAAAAGAAAATAAAAGACTGAGTTGTCAGGAAGAGATTATAGAAAGAGCATTCCAGCAAGCTAATGACATTTTAATCTATCTGATGTACAAGTTGAACTTTAAGAGTAAGGCTATCTCTTAACATGTTAATATACTACAAGAAAAACATAGTTCTGATAGAGAAAATTCTACTCTTTGGATAGTCATTGATTATGTATAACTTATTAAAATCCTTCTTGGTAATCAAATGAAACCCAATAATTCCATCTTGTAAAGAAGGTAAAAATAACGTGGATTTCTCAAACATCAGCTTCTATGATTGTGTTTCATGTTTTGCAAACATAAGTATGCTGGTGTTGTTCTGAAGTACAAGCATACCTCATTTTATTGTGCTCTGCTTTATTGCACTTTACAGACACTGTGCTTTTTATAAATTGAAGGTCTATGGCAACCCTATTTTGAGCAAATCTATCAGCACCATTTTTTTAAATGCATGTGATCACTTTATGTTTCTGTCACTTTTTGGTAATTCTTGCAATATTTCAAATATTTTCATTATTATATCTGCTTTGGTGATTTGTGATAAGTAATCTTTGATGTTACTGTTGTCATTGTTTGGGAATACCACAAATGCACCCATAAAAGAGAGTGAACCTCATCAATTCTGCATTCTGACTTCTTCGCTGACTGCTGATGGAGAAGCTGCAGCCATTCCTCTGTTTCGCCTTCTTCTCGGGCCTCCCTGTTCCCTGAGACACAATATTGAAATTAGGCTATTAATAACCCTACCGTGGCCTCTAAGTATTCAAGTGAAAGGAAGAGTTGCATATCTGTCACTTTCTATCAAAAGCTAAAAATGATTAAGCTGAGTGAGGAAGGCATTTTGAAAGCCAAGAGATACTGAAAGCTAAGCCGCTTGAGCCAAACAGTTATTCAAGTTGTGAATGAAAAGGAAATGTTCTTGAAAGGAATTAAAAGGGTTACTCCCATGAACTATGAAGTGAAAGTGAAACAGCCTTATTACTGATATGGAGCAAGTTTTAGTGGTCTGGACAGAAGATCAAACTAGCTACATTTCCTTAAGTCAAATCCTAATTCAGAGCAAGACCCTAACTCTCTTCAGTTCTATGAAGGCTAAGAGAGGTGAGGAAGCTGCAGAAGAAAAGTTGGAAGCTAGCATAGGTTGGTTCTTGAGTTTTAAGGAAAGAAGCCATCTCCAGAGCTTTAAAGTACAAGGTGACACAGCAAGCAAGTGCTGACAGAGAAGCTGCAGCAAGTTATCCAGAAGATTTGGCGATTTAGCTAAATTGATGAAGGTGTACACTAAGCAACAGATTTTCAATGTAGACAAAACAGACTTTTACTGAAGAAGATGCTATCTAGGACTTTCATGGCTAGAGAAAAGAGGCCAGTACATGGCTTCAAAGCTTCAAAGGACTGGCTGACTTTTGTTAGGAGCTAATGCAGTTGGTGACTTTAAGATGAAGCCAGTGCTCATTGACCATTCTGAAGATCCTAGGACCCTTAATAATCATCTCAAAATCTACTCTAACTGTGCAATATAAATGGAATAACAAAGCCAGAATAGAAGCACGTTTGTTTACAGCATTGTTTACTGAATATTTTCATCCTACTGTTGAGACCTACTGCTCAGAAAATAAGATTCCTTTCAAAATATTATGATTCATTTGCAATGTACCTAGTTACCCAAGAGCTCTGATGGAGGTATACAAGGAGATTAATGTTTTTATGCCTGCTAACACAACATTCATTCTGCAAGCCATGGATCAAGGAGTAATTTTACTTTCACATCTTATTATTTAAGAAATACATTTTGTAAGGCTATAGCTGTCATAGATAGTGATTCATCAAATGGACCTGGGAAAAGTACACCTTTCTGGAAAGGATTTGCCATTCTAGATGCTATTAAGGACATTTATGATTCTTGGGAGGAGGTCAAAATACTGACAGTAACAGGAGTTTGTAAGAAGTTGATGCCAACCCTCATGTATGACTCTGAGGGGCTCAAGACTTCAGTGGAGGAAGTAACTGCATACGTGGTAGAAATAGCAAGAATAAGAAATGGAGCCTGAAGATGTGACTGAATAACTGCAATGTCATGAAAAAATGAATGAATGGGGAGTTGGTTCTTATGGATGAGCCAAAAAAAGTGGTTTCTTGGGATGGAATGCACTCCTAGTAAAGATACTGTGAACATTGTTGAAATGCCAACAAAGGATGTAGACTATTACGAAAACTTAGTTGGTAAAGCAGCAGCAAGATTTAAGAAGACTGACCCCAGTTTTGAAAGATCTCCTGTGGATAAAATGCTATCACACAGCATCAAATGCTGCAGAGAAATCATTTTTGAAAGGAGGTGGCAATGGATGTGGCAAACTTGATTGTTGTCTTACTTTAAGAAATTGCCACAGCCACCCCAGCCTTCAGCAACCACCACCCTGATTGGTCAACAGCCTCAGCATTGAGACAAGATCCCCGCCTCAGCCTCCCGAGTAGCTGGGACTACAGGCGCCCGCCGCCACGCCGGGCTAATTTTTTCTATTTTTTAGTAGAGACGGGGTTTCACCGTGTCAGCCAGGATGGTCTCCATCTCCTGACCTCATGACCAGCCCGCCTCGGCCTCCCAATGTGCGGGGATTATAGGCGAGCCACCATGCCTGGCCAAGTGATTATAACTTTTATTTGCAGTGGGAAATAGAAAATTTTGTGTGACTCACTTTCCTACTGGATTTGTTGGGGAAACCAGCCCCACACCACCCAGCAGGTACCCCGAGTCTGGCGGAGACAAAGGAGTTAGAAAGAGACAGAATAAGCTTTTAAAAGGCGGGTCCAGGGGACCAGAGCGTCGGAGGCTTGCTCACGGCCCAGAGCTCTCGGGCTCTGCCCGATTTATTGGTTTATAAGCCCTTTGTTCTTAGGGCAGATGAGAGGGGGAGGAACCGATGAGGAAAAGGATTAATATGTGAAGGAGAACTCGTGAGTCATTCAATAAGATGTATAGCAGTGGCGGTTTCTGTGAATTTCCTTGAGCAAAGGCATGTGTCTAAACTACTTAAGATCTTTAACTTATCAGGACTGAAATGGGTGGGAGTGGGTTTCAGGAGGAGCCAAGATGTTTGATTATACTCCACTGCTTCAAGGGAGTGTTATCTCCCTGAGCAACCTGTGGCATGCCGCTGAGTGGTTATTCTCTCCGGGCATAAAGACATGAAGGCAATAGGGAGACTTTTCTCTTCAGAGGCCACCCATGGCTCCCCATGGGTGTCTCACACAGGGGAGACCAACTCAACTGGCACCCCAGAAACTCTCTTTCCCACAGTATTAGCTTTATTGTGGTGTTCTAGAACTGAACCCTCAATATCTCTGAGGTATTCCTATATGCCTTCAGTGTTTGGTATACAAGCTATACCTGTAGGCAATAGACATAAATTGACCAGGAATCAAAACATAAATGGCAGTATGGTGTCCAATCAAAAGAGAGACCAAATGTCATGTGTACTAAATGCTGGAATTTAAGTAATTTCTGGAAATGTGGCAGGATGTAAAGACTCACTTTTGAAAGGGCAAATTGTTTTCTTCATGCTAGATTAAAATTCTAAATTTATATGACATTGTTCATAAAATACTCACTTGAAGAATGAATGTGATGTTCCTACATATACCTTAAACTGAAAATGCTTATATAAATGAACCAATTCAATTCTGTAAAACGTCAGAATGATAGTATAGTAACAAAAACACTAGATCTGGGGTCAAGAGACATGACTAAATTATATGACTCATTGAGAAACATATTAAATAGGTCATCTATACCACAAATTAATTTTCAAAGTATTTTCAACCTTACCTCTAGAAGTTCAGTATCAACTTATCTAACAGATGCTCTCCCTAAAACTGATTTAATAGGAATTGTCCTTATTAAAGCTCAAAAGTAAGGTGTAGAGATTCTGGGAGCCTTTTACAGTAGTTGCTAAGGAGCATTTACTGCAATGATTAAACTTCATCCTACCTATATATTCAAAACCTAATTTTATTCTTTTCTCAATAAAATGTTTTCCTTCTAAAATCAACACCTTCAGGAGATACAATAGCTTAACCTAAGTGGCAATAATTTGAGACATTTCAGGCAAACTGCCAAAACAGCAGAAAATGGGTTATTTAAATGAATGAGCCTTTTAAAGATCTTCAAATCAGGTACTATTCATTTTATGCGTTCACAGATCCAGTCCTGATAATGAAGTTTACTAGTTTATAAAACACAATAAATTTTTTTGATCAAGCAGGCAGAAGAGGTCAAGGAAGAATATTTAATAGAGCCACAATTTGAGCCCTACTGTGCTAACAGTATTTAGTCTCAGTGTATAGTGTCTTAATATTTTTCTTGTGTTTTAATTATATAGTTTATATAAATAAAGACAAGATGCACGTTTCTCCTTTATTCATAACTAATATAGGTAGAAATAATTGTTTAAATATGCCGCCTGATTGTCTATTGAGAAGTCATCTGGGTAAAGACGAAAGACTAAACACCAACCTTTGTTGAATCATTGCCTTGTTGTTACCCACAGTAGCCAAAAGTAGATTTAAAATATTTTAAATAATTGATCTAACTCAGTGCTAGATTATTGTTGACAAATCTGTGTCTCTGTAAGTATGTACTATAAGCTTAGGATGGACAAGTGTTTGGACCTGCATTTCTGGGAATTTTGCCATCAGTACCCACAGTTGACTCACGTGTTTTTTTGGCTCTTTCCCCTCCTGCCATCTGCATGTTTGGCATTGTGCCTACTTGCAAGTTGGTCAGACCTGTGCCAACATAGTGGAATTTCGATAGATAGTACATAGAATGCTGCAAGACGTAGCATACTAATGAGGAAAGCCTGCTTCAGGGGGTATCACATTGGTTCAACATATGGCCCTCCCTGGATACCTGAAAAGAAAGGGTGAAAGAAGAAATGGAAATCACAGATACCTCCTAACAGCAGTAAAAAATGAGAACACTGTGAAATTTTCTGTGCAAAGTGTAATACAAAATGAAAATATCTTCATATACTTTATGGTTTGACATATTTAATTATTAACTAGTATGTGTATTTTCCATTATAATGTTGATTAGTAAGAGACCATTGAGACTTTCACACGGCACATTAAAGAATTTTTGGAGCATTTCTGACAGTATGCTCAGGGGAGTTAAGTATTTCATTAAAACTGGCAATATGCCCTATAGAAAATATCAGAATCTAAATACTAATTTTAATTTATGATGCCCAGTGAATAAGATACTAGATTCTGAATTGCCATAAAAAGCATCAAAAAATACATTGCTCTTAATTTTAGATGTCATTGAGTGAGGTTTATAATAATATATAGTTGTTTGAGTTAAGCACACTAGGCTAGGTTATGCTGCAACAACAAGCAGGCCTTCAAATCTCTATGGCTTAACACAATAGAAGTTATTGTGTTATATCTTGTCTATCAGTCAGGCTGCTCTCTTTTAAATAACCCAGACATCAGGCACTTGCAGCTAGTGCCTCTGCCATATTTGTCCTCACAATGTGAATACAAATTTGTATGTCACCTTGGCATCATCCAGCCTGCACATGGAATAGAAAAGAGGGCAAAAAATGGAACTCTTGATACATAACTACTGTGGGCCAGAATTGATATATATGACTTCTACTTACAATCCACTGGCCAGAGCTAATCAATGGTCAACTTGCTGGAAAAGACAGCAAATTACAGGGTATCAAGGAGTACCAGCAGCCTTAGCCATAGCAGAGAATATCAGCAGTCATTGTTCTTTTTTGTGTGGAAAATTCCAAGGAATGATATCTCTATTCACCCACTTATAGTATCCTGGACTGGCAGGGACTCTAGGGATTCCAGGTATGCTGCCCTCAGAGGTTAGTGCGTGGCTCTCCAATTTTCCAGTGCCTTGCTGAATCTATGGCACATCTTTGTTTTGTGAATGAATGAATGAATTCATGAAATCAAAACTCTTATTTTGCTTATCAAATCAAGAGAGATTAAATGACTTGCTTGAGTTCCCAGAGTTAGCCAGGCCGTCTAAATCCTGGTACAGTTCTCTGCCAGTGTACAGAAACTTTATTTGCATATTGTCTACCTTTTTTTAATAAATGTTTTATAGCTACATAGTCTATTTTTTTCTCTTTAAGAAGTTTAAAACATGATTAAGCAAAAGTTTTTAACTGTAGGAATTTTCCATTTTGCCTTACAAAAACTTTTACATCATATGAAGGTCTGGACTTGCACTAAGCTTGCTCTGTTGAGTCAAGACAACATCCTTTATGTGGGTGAGTTTACATCTATTGATTTGTGGGAGGCATGAAATTTTATACTCTAATCAGAAAATTTTGCCAAAATCTTTATTCTGAGTTACCAGGAAGAGTGGTTAGTCATCGTGTCTAGTGAAGTGTTTTGTTGTAGTCTTTGGCCATTTGCACTAGAAACAGCTGGAATCCACAACTGGATTATTTTTTGTGGTTCACATTGTGAGCTAGAGAGTATACATTTAACAATGAATGCCATAGGCCTGCTTTGTATTACTTACACTTGACGATATTAGGCAGAATTATAAAAAAAAATCTGGGTATGAATAAAAATGAGAACATTTTTTATTACACTACTGACAATGGAAGAATGTTGCCCTGCCTTTGGAATCCACAGGAAAGAGACCTGGAAAGTAAGCAAGTGTCCTGTAGATCAAGGAAAGGGAAAGAGAATTTACACATGAGGACATGGTAAAGAAGCAAATTACTGGCGTTTGAGCGTCATTCACATTTTGTATTGCTCTAGCATTTTCTACTTCCATATCTTCTTGAGGAAGGTCTGCTAACTTTTTATTTTTCTAGTTCACAAAGAGCCTAAAGGTGTCATCATAGTCTAAGGCAGATAATTATACACACACACAGTCAGGAGGCAATTTTACATTGGTCTTTGGAGGCAAAACATGGGTAGCATGGATCCAGTGTTTTCAAAACCTTCACAAGGCAGCAAAGTTGTGAAAGGTAGAAGTGAGTCTGTAATGACAATGAGTGGGGAAGTAAGTTTGAATTTATTTTTTCTTTTTCTTTTTTTTTTTTTCGAGACGGAGTCTCACTCTGTCTCCCAGACTGGGCTGCAGTGGCACAATCTCTGCTCACTGCAACCTCTGCCTCCTGGGCTCAACCAATTCTCTGGCCTCAGCCTCCTGAGTAGCTGGGATTAGCATGTGTGCCAACACGCCCAGCTAATTTTTGTATTTTTAGTAGAGATGGGGTTTCACTGTGTTGGCCAGGCTAGTCTCAAACTCCTGATTTCAGTTGATCTGCCAGCCTTGGCCTACCAAAGTGGTAGGATTACAGGTGTAAGCCACTGCAGCTGGCCAAGTTTAGTCTATTCTTGAAACAAGACAAAACATGTTCTTAAGAACACAAACTGCATAGGATATGAGGACAAGGAATGGAACATTATATCTAAGCTCTATGCCTTCAGTGAGGCCAGGGGTTAAGAGATAGCACCGTAGAGCTTTATCAACATGAAGGCTTATTCTTCACTTCTGACCCAACAGGTGTTGATTTCTGGCTCTTGTTCCTTTGAGGATTTGGAAAAGTGTTAGCATGTTCAAGAGATGACTATCGAATTAACAAAATTACCAGTGACTATTCTTATCTATCCAATTTGCTTGGTTAAAAGAAATCATCTAGTATTTAGTGGCATGTTGACTAGTGTAGATGCAGTCAACTCTTAGAAATTATCCAGTAAAATACCTATAAGAATATTTAAAATAAAAATCAACCTCAAGTTATAAACTTTTTGTGCAAATCATACCTTCTTTTTATTTGTTTTAAAGAAAAATAGTACTTTCTGATTGTTCTTTGTGTTTTCATATACTGACAACTTATTGATGCCTGTGACTACTTGCTTCAGAACATTCATTCACTTTGAAAATTATAAGCAGAAGAGTGCTTAAAATTTTACAGTGCATTAGTAATCATGCATCTCAAGCAGATGAATGACATTCTGTGAATCACAAAGCAAAAGCTATAGGGAAAAAATAGTCAACAAGTTCATTTCTACATGCCTCTTAGTTGTAAACCTCCAGCCACTATTTGTCAATACTAAACTTTAATGAGTCCGGATAAGAAGCTAGTCAATGGATATCCATTTAGCTAGTGACAATCTGAACTCCAGCTGATTGTCCTAGCAGCTGTGTGACTTCATTACCATTAGAAAGGCGCACAGCCAAGCCAGCTGGTATCCAAACCAGCTACTCCATACACAGAGCCTCTCTGTTTGTTGGTTTACACATCAGAATTACACAAGGCTCCATGAAAAGTTTGGAGTATAAAATAGAATCTGCATAAAGATTTAATTTAAAGGGCTTATCATTACTATGCCAAGTACAGCTAGTCTGTTTTGTTTCTACTATGATATAGTGTATTGTGGTTGTTTTCAGTTCTTCCATAAATGCAGCCTACATGCAAAATTTGCATTTAGATACCAAACATAACTGCACATCATAATTTCCCAGTTAAGAAAACATCTTTTTGGTTGTGTTTGTTTTAGTGCTTACACAGTACATTTTCATTTTCTAAGGCAGCTTTAATAGAAAACAGTTTCAGGAACTTGTTAATAGCTAGTTTAGCTTCCATCTGTCCCCTCCTTTCTATTGCTAATGCTTCTGTGTAGATCAGCCCTCTCCTGATATCTTCTCTGGACTTCTGCAAAGGTTTTCTAACTGGACTCTGCCCTTTAGTCACTCGCTGCCTTACATTACTATAGGAAATTGTCTTAAATCACATCCCTATTGTCTAAAGCAGCATTTTGTTGTATAGTCTTTGGCCATCTGCACCAGAAACAATTGGAATCCTAAAGTAAGTGAAATGCAGATTCTTAGCCTCATCTCAGACCCATAGAATAAATCTCGGAGTTAATCTTATTTATACTATTTGTTGAAAACCACCTTTTTATTTCTACAATTTTTTAAAACCACTTCCATAAAAAGATAAGAATCTATTATTGCCTCAAGGGTACTCCCAATATAATTAAATGATTAACATTTTATATTAAGTAAAGATGAGTCAAAATATAGATCATGATATAAATTTAAAATAGGTAAAAAATAAGGTAATAGAAGTAATTCATGCAGTGTTATAGAAGAGAGAAAGCAGTCTGTTCAAATGACCATCTCCTCTTTGGGAAAATGTGATAGGCAGGGATTGACTAGTCTTGGAGATGACAGACACACAAATGTGGAGTTAGTTTTTCAAAAGAGTTTTAAGAATAACGTCTTACCAAACTGTCTAAAAACTTACAAACTTAAAGCTTTATTGTCTCTGTAAGAAAAATTAATATCAGGTAGATTCAGCAGTAGATCTTACACACATGTTGAAATAGGTAAGAAACATATTTTTTGAGCAATTGAGCAACAAAAAATGGTAGAAGCACAAGCACGCAGATATTTTACAGAAATTAGATTCTGGAGAGGCATAAATCACAAGGGAGAAAAACAGTTACTGGAGTGAAGGCAGAAAGTCAAAGAAAGAGCTAGTCCTCTCAAATGTTAAGCTGTCTAGTGGTTCTTTTGTTGATTCCAGTTTTCTGTAAGTAAACTGATCCTTTAGGGGAAGATTGGAAAGTGTTGAAGATGAGAGGAGTAGGTGAATGGGAAAGGAATGTTGAAAGCCAGAATCCTAGCTATGTTTATTTCAAAGGAGATAGAAATTGTGATGGGATTTGAATGATCAGTGCATACAGCAAGAGTGCTTTTGCAGTTGGGGTGCTCTGTGAAGAGAATAGTGTTATATAGATTACATCATATTTTTAAGGATTATGCATATAGATACTTTATGTATAATCTAAATCAGGCCTCAATTTAAGTTTCCAATCTAATGTCAAAATTTGCGATCTCTATATTTCTATCAACTACATTTAAGACTCCAACTTGTAAACATAATATTTTCCCACCAGAAAACTAATTATTGCCAAAAGTACTTCAGAATTATAAATGAATCCTGAAATGATAGTATAGTTGTGTTTGGTTTACTTAAGAGTTGTATATTGTGTAACATGTGACTTCAAAGTGTAATGGCTTTAAACAGCCATTTTATTTTACTCACAATTTTGTAGGGGGAGAATTTGGAAAGTGCATAGCTGGATGTTTTTTTCTTTGATTCATGGGCATTAGCTCTGGCAGCTGGGGTTGGGGATAAAATTCTAAAATATTTTCTTAACTCACATGCCTAGTACCTTGGTTCTACCTGACTTCTCTCTCTCCAGGAGAAGGCTTCTTTCTCATCTCAAAACATGAAGGTAACAGATTAGTTGGACTTCTTATGTGAAAGCTGGTTTTTTCCAAAACAAGCTTTCCAAGAGAAACAGGTGAAAGCTTCAATGCCTAGAATGTCACTTTCATCACATTCTGTTAGTCAAGCCCACATCCAAGACATTAAGATAAATAGACTTCCTCTTTCACTGGGGTATGACATGTGTGAACAAGTAGGGAAAAAAATAATGGCAGCTACTATTGAGACAAGCTACAATGTCCACCCTCTTAACCCAAAAATATATTGCAATCCCACATGCAAAATATACTCACCATCTTCCAAGACCCTCAAAAACCTCATCCCATTATGGTATTTGTTCGAAGTCCAGACCCCATTATTTAAATCGGGTCAGGATATAGATGGGGTTCCTGAGTGTACTTCCTCAGGTACAGCTCCTTGAATATAGTTCATCTTGAAATAAAAACCTATTAACTAAAGAAACAAATTATCTGCACCCCATATATACATCCAACATAAAATGACATAGGATAATGGCAATAGACACTCCCATTCGAAAAGTAAGGAAACACAAAATACACAGCAGTCATTTGTTCATAGCAATTATGAAATCCAGCAGAACACGTATTGCCAGTTTCTTGTTTTTAACTCAGTTCAGCTTCCTGGAGATGATTCTCTGAGCTCTTGATTCTTCTGTTTGAGTCATTACCTCTTTTCCAGAGACACATATTTGTGTTTTTCATTAAGCAAGTTTCTCCACCTGCTGCCTTCTCACAGTAGGTTGGAGGTTCAACAACCTCTTTTCATTTTGTACTGTTTCTATCACTTTTAGCCAAACTATAAGCATTCCTTTAAAAACTTTGTATGTTTCTTATGTATTAAATTATAAGTTGCTCAATCAGACAAAAGCCATAACCATATACCTCCTCCTGATGATATTTCTTTAACTTGAGATGCTACTTTGGGACACTGTCCTTAAGAAGATCCCTATTAATTGAATCCGTCTATAAAGCATTCTCTTAAGAGTTCTAGAAGCCTTCCTGGGCAGGCCCTTAAATATTTTTAAGGTTTTAACAAAAATCATACAGTCACAACCTTGTGATTCCTATAACCCTAGATCCCACCATGTTATTGGTAGTACACTGGATTTGATTTTTTCCCTGAAGCCAATTCTTATCTTGAGAATATTTTTTCTGGGAGTATCTCAGGATGAGAAATAGTTTTATCCTCAAACTCATCAAGCTTATTAATATTTTCTGTAAATTTTGCCTTAAAACTTTAAATTCCTTTATTCTTGTCCCGTTTATTATTATATGCAGCTAGAATATGTCTGAACACTTTTCTACATTTTGCCTAGAAATGTTTACAGCCGTTGTCATATTTATAGATATCTTTTATATTTTTCATGTAAAAAGAAGCAAGAATGTTGCTAAATATTTCACCGCTATACAACAGTTGTCCTGTTTCTTCTAGCCCTCGATAACACTTTTCTCACTGTCCTTCAAATCTTCACCAGTAGACTCCATAAGGTCCTTTGAGCTTCTATCAATCACCTAGTACCGAATCCAATTTCACACCCAACTACCAGGCACCATGCTTAAAACACCACGAGACTGCTTACCTGTAGGAGTAATACCTGTAGGTATTATTTACTTTTTATTTTTTATGGTTAATAATAATAGTGAAATTAAAAACATGGAGGTAGAAAGATTTTTACCAAATATATGGAAATGCTACTTGAAATAAACTTGTACTCTTGATTGTACTATTTTAGGAAAGATGATAGCAAAAAAAAAAATAAAGAAACTTTTTAGTTTGGTTCATTTTCTTATCTTAAACCCTTACTCCAGTACTAAACATAGAATAAGGGTTCAATGAATAAACAAATTCATAATAAAAAATACCTATTTTTAAATGCTGATAAAGGTAAAATAATTTTATTTAAAAGGCTGATCAATAAAAATAATTTGAAAACACTTTGTTCTTTTATCAAAAAGGTGAAGTTTAAGAAAACTTATAGTCTGGATCAATACAGTTAAAGGGCAAAGATGTTAATAAAATTTAGACTACGAGAAAAGGAGGATATTGTTTTATTTTTAAAAGTTAGCATGGATTTACAGCAAATAAAATATTTAAAAGTTTTAAAATGTTATGGAGCATATAAAATTAGGGAACATAAAAATATGTAAAGTATTGAAAAAGGCCAGAACGAATTTGTGAATATTAACTCCACAAGGGAAAATAACCTGTTTAGGTTATAGTAGTCCTGGTTCAACTTATTTGAATTTCTAACATTTGAAGTTGACCTGTGGGAAAAGAAATGTATTCTCTTCTCAAAGCCAATGCCTAAAAGAAAACGCTGGGATGAGCCACGGGTCTGATTCACTATGACAGTTCTTATGTTTTTTGTTTCCACATTTGGAAAATATTTAATCATTCTTTCCTTTATCTTACTACACTAGGCTATGCTTTGAGCAATTTCTGTCATTTACGTTTCAGAAGAATATTTGATTTCTCCACTACTTGATATTAACGTTAGTTTATGTAGTATAAAGGTTATGTACTAGGAATCATGAGCCATAGCTCTGCCACCAGCTCATTATTTGTAAATCATTCCATTTAAGGTGTTGCCTCAGTTTCCTTGCTTGTAAAAAGAATTTTCAAACAAGATGATCTGTGAGGCTCCACCTTTGTGATTTTATGATTATGATAATCTATCACTGATCTGCCATGTCTTCCTTCTAACTTTTGGTATTCAAGAAGACTTAAGCCAGAAGGGAGAGAAATCAAACCAAAACTAATCTTTCGGGGGTGATAGCCAATAATGTTTTTGTGGATCATGCTAGCAAATACTCACCCATATTTCTTTTGAAGAATTATTCTGAATGAGCAAAACATACTGCAAAATTAACCATATTTTTCAAATCAAATGAAGACTTGCTTCCTGCCAAAGTTGTTAAGTCTCAGCCTCAAGCAATAATAATAAATGATATTAACTCCTAGATACCAGCCCAGAACAAACTTAGTTATCTTTCTGGGCAAAAAGCAGTAAAAGGGGCAGAAAATAATTTTAAACATATAGAAGTTTGGGACTATTTGCTACATTTTACTACTCAAGCAACCAGTGCAAAATTTATCATTTATAAAATAATAATAATAACTCAAAAACCGAACCACAGAGTTATCTTTTTAGAATGATGCCCATCTCTAAGAAACACCTTTTCTCTACCTCTGTTCAAGAATTTTTAATTCAGAGGACTAAACTTCCCAATGAAATGAAATTAAAACTCTTTACCTTCATACTTTCAAAATCCTTCATGTTTACACACAATGTCTTTTCTTCATCCTCAAAACCCAGTTTCCAGCCCATCTCCAAGTGATTCCTCTCTCTTGACCTTCCTTACCAAATATAATCTATTTCCCTTATGTGAGCAATTGGTAAACTTACCGCAAGTAAATAAACTATATTGCTGTATAAGGTAATTGGTAATTTTGACATTGTTATTCTGTTGGAATTAATATTTACTCATTGCAAAATACAAATTAGTTGGATTCTCTTTTCCTTCCTAACAAAAAGTGTACTACTACTACTGGATACATTATAGCATGCTTTGACAGAATGCTGTAAACTTCAAGGCAAAAAAATCAACTAAATTAGCAATTCCCCAAAATTACCTTCAATTGACTTTAATTCTGATGATTAATCATAAAATCGAAAAGGATGCCTGCATTTTAATTCAGAACACTTTAGTTCTACTCCTGTTCAGCATTAACATTTAGACAGGTTATTTTATTCTCTGAATCTCTGGTCTTGACTTTCTACAGATCACTCAAGTTTTTAAAATTTGATGACTTTTTACCTATTCCATTTTCCTTTTAAATTTGTATCATTATGATTGTATAATACTTTGTGTTAATTAAGTTGACTGTATTAATGTATCCTTAGCAGAGCAATTTTAAAAATGGAGCACTTGTTTGTGAATATATTTTAATGAGATTTAAACAGATTTGAGCAAGGTAAGCATCTTCAACAAATCAACAAATGCTATTAAGGAGAATGTGTAAGGTGGCAAATTTGCTTCACTAGGACAATTATTGTTTGCTTTAAAAGATTGTTTTCACAAATTAAGCAGAAATAGATATAAATTACATACCTTTTTAAGTGAAAAATATTTCTATACTTAAAACTCTCAGATACAATAAAGCATGGATATTCCCCATGTATTATAACAGTTAAGAATCTAACTCAAAAATGGAACATAATCCATAAATAAGAATATATTAAATGCATCTTTGTGTCAATAAAGTTAAATGTACAACAAAACGTATGCTTTGAGTGCTAGAAAATGAGCTGTCCTTCCATGAGTGTCACTTGGTTATATAAAGGAATTTTTTTCAATATTCAGTGGGTATTGTGGAAATAAGATAACAAGCCATCTCCTAGAACAGAAGGAAGCAATTGAGCTGTGTTCAAATACCAGCTGAACCCACCTATTGGTTTTGCAGTATTGCACAAATTATCTAGCATTGCTGAATGTCAGTTTGTTCACTCTCTGCATAATAACATACAACATTCAATAACTTAGTGAATTATTGTTATTTGGGGTGATGCAGCAAAGTTCGAATTCTTGTCTGCTAGCTCCAGGCCATTTGGTGCTCTGGATTATGCAGCAGAGGCTATTTATGGTCATTTATGCCTGGCTGAAAGCACACTGAGGAATATAGGGACATGATTGTTTAATACCATTAGGAGAGCCTAGGAACATAGAGCTAAGGAAGGCATCTTATGATATGGGGGGATGGACTTCATAGTTCTTTGTAAAGTCATCCCAAAAGTATAACACAGTCTCAATATAGAGGGCTACTGTAGAAACCAAAGATGTTCACTTTTCTTTTTTTAAAACATTTCTTATGTTTTATTTTAAAATTTTTATTTTAATCTCTTTAGAAGTACAAGTAGTTTTTCGTTATGTGGGTGAATTGTACAGTGGTGAAGTCTAGGATTTTAGTGCACCCATCACCCTAATAGTTTACATCATATGCAATAGGCATTTTTTCATTCCTTTTCCCCCTTTCTTTCTCCCCGCTTCTGAGTCTCCAATGTCCAATATACTACTCTGTATGCCTTTGTGTACCCATAGCTTACCTCCCACTTATAAATAAGAACATGCGTATTTGGTTTTTGATTTCTGAGTTACTTCACTTAGAATAGTGGCCTGCAGTTCCATCCAAGTTGCTGCAAAAGACATTATTTCATTTGTTTATGGCTGAGTAGTATTCCATTGTATATATTATACCACATTTTAAAGATGTGCACTTTTCTTACCACTTCCCCACCTCCTTCAATATAGACCTTGAAGCACCCTCACATAATTTTTAGAAATATATCCTTATTAGCTGTAGTGACTTTGGATACCTTACCTAGAAATAGGACTACATAATCACTGACATAATTTTTTAGTCATCAAATTATTATAAATATCTGAAGCAGCTTTATTTATCCTCTGTTTTCATCTTTGTAGCAAAAGTTATTGCTTCTGTTTTCAAAAACTTTAGAATAATGTTTCTGCCTCTTTGTCACTGATGCATTTCCAATAAGTTTCAAAGAAAAATGAGTAGTTAAGGGAAGAAGAGATTTACAAATATTATTTGCCTAACAGAAGTTCTATGTTTTATTTAATTTTTGTCTTTTCAGAACCTAGCACAGTGTTTGGCATACAATAGGTGCTCAATAAATATTCTGAAAATGACTTTGCAGGTTATTTTGATGAAAATGTTGCTTTTGTGCAAAATATTATATTGTACCCTTATACCACTCATTTTTGCTTGATCATTCTGATATGAATAAAAGAACCCAAAAGGCACCATTTTTGTAAAGCATAGCCATTTGTAACTGAGAAACAAATACCCATCCATCTATCTTACCACCTTTTAAACTTTTATATTTTTAATATGCCACTGAGGTTTATCTTCATAAAAACCCAAGAACAAATTGCTTCAGGCAATTATTATAAGTTTGACCATATGGGCATTACTTCTACAATCTACATTTGAAATTCAAAAACAAATCTTATGCACATGTTTGATGAAACATGAACTATTTATTTGTTAAAGGTAAGGCAAAAGAAAAAGCTACTTCCGTAAATTTTTTAAAAATGCAAGTCAGTATGTTAATTATTAATTTGAATGTCTACAATAATGGGTACCTCTGATATTTAAGGAAGTCATTATTCCACTGTGTAGTCAAAAAGTATATTGATTAGAATTAATTCACTACAAGAAGCCTCCAATAATTTTTAACATAAGTTTTTCCTCTTTAACAGTAGCCTGAAGCTTGTCTCTTTTTTTTGTGTGGTCAATTTAGCAACAAATTTGCAATTAATCATTTACTGATTGCAATGAATGTTCTGTCAATAATACGCAACTCACATTGCTAAAAGGGTTATACTAAGCTTTATTGTTTTCGTTTTGTCTTGGGAATCTTTGTCTAGCTAGGCTTCCTAGAATGGATTTTGAATAGTTGTTTTGAAGTAAACCATGCCAGTTTTAAAGAGACACTACAGGCAGCTCTGAGGGTATTAATCAAGATATGCCCTAACTTTCTTTTGGCATTACAATATTTGGACATCTGTTCTGACTCCTTATATGTGAAATAAAACTCATACCAGATAGTAGAATAAATGAAGGGTTTCATTATCTTAAATGTCATAACATTTGTTTGAATTATCATGTGTAGATTTTAAATGCTGAAATTGTCATCTTGGTTTTGTTTCGTCTATTTTGCTGTCCTTTCAAAAGACTATAAGCCTGAAAACTTCTTTTTTCAATTGCATTAATAATTTAAAAAGAAATAATTTACAATTTTGTGTAATAACAGTGAAATTGTTGTGCAGGGGCTATATAGTCTGGTAATTTCTAAAAGCATAAATATTTTACTGAGAAACATACCCTTTTAAAGCACAAAAGGTTTCTTGTTATAATGGCAGTGTATTTAGTGACAAATAATGCATTTTAAAAGAGCCATTTGTTGACCATTATTCTCTTTGTGCAATAGTATTATAGATTCTTATGTGTTCACTTATTAAAGTATTTTCCATTGTGTGTATCAGGAAGGATTTGTCTCTGAATTCAGTGGTGCCACTGATTAGTGGGGACTACATCTAGAGAATCATGGGTCAACTTGAAATACAATAGGAATATATTTGTACTTTTCATTTAAGCAACAGAAAATAAATAATTTGATTCTGCTGGATATCAACAATACTATCAAATTTAGCCTATTAAACCTTTGTCTTTCTTGAAGACATTTAAAAAATAGTATTACTAATCTTGTGAAGATAGTTTACTGTTTTATCATGAAGCCATATAACATGCAGATCCACGTGGATTGTATATATTAGTAGGACTAGATACTGGTCAAGTGTATGTATTTTTTTAAATTTCACGTTAGAGTGAAACAAAGACATACAATTTGAAATACATAAAATGATTTAACTAAATCATGGAAGCAAAGCAGTGTTTTACAAATGTGTAATTTTGAATACCTTTAAAAAGTCATAGGCGCTTTCAACCTTCTATTCACTTTGCATATTTGATGTCAGAGAATGAGTGATGTTTTTGCCTGGCAAAACATTGCAATACAAGGTGTCCCATAATATTTTGTTTGTGAGACTAATTTAAGGTGGTTATCATTCTTAATAAGTGAATGCCATATTAAGCCATAAGTGTGGTTAACCCATAAATACTGCTTATTTGAAAAGATGAAAAATGGTAGGCTAAATTTGTATTCTTATATTTGCAAAGACTGCTTTTTATTTCTTTTGGTGGGTAGGGTCACAAATTAAGATTAGCACAATACAGAAAAAAGTGTCCCGTTTGAATCACTAAGTGTAGATTGTCTCAAGATGCTTATACATTTTGTTAGGCATCTAAAATCTCATTTTATAAAATTCTAAAATTAAAATACTATATGAATATAAAAGATAAAATGCTAGATAAGAAATGAACTAATACTAATACTTGACTACTAAGTTAATATCATAGAAAATATACTCTTTTAAGGAATACTTCCATAAGACAATATATTTTGATTATGTACTTTCCTGAACAAGGGGGCCTTTAAAAGAATTTAATATGCAGAGCATTTTCATATATTTTAAACCTTCAAAGAGCTTGAAACATTGAAGCTAATACATCGGTGCCAAAATAACGTGGAGCATTTTGGCCATACATGTAATTATAGATTTTATATTGGATATGGCATATGATTAACATCACATTTCAGTTTAATTGCTATGATGTGTACATAGATGTGTGTGTGTGTGTGTGTGTGTGTGTGTGTGTGTGTATGATACCATGATAGCCATGGTATTTTATGATGACTTTTTTATATGTGAGAAGTTTACATGCTGGATAAGTCCAGAAATGTAGAATGCTTAATATTACAGTAGTCCCCTTTATCTGTGGTTGTGCTTTCCACGGTTTCAGTTACTGCAGTCAACCATAGTCTGAAATATTAATCAAATATTCCAGAAATAAACAATTTATATGTTTTAAATTGCACACTGTTCTAGTAGCATGATGAAATCTTGGACCGTCCCTGGACCTCCCCACCCAGGTCTTGAATCATCCCTTTGTCCAGGGAATCCACGTTGAATATGCTACCTGCCACTTAGGTCACTCGTAGCCTAATGCTACATTCACAGTGCCTATTCACTTCACTTTGTCTCATCCTGTAAGCTTCATATCATCTTGTTTCATCCCAAGAAGTAGGGTGACTACAGTACAAGAAAATATTTTGGGAGAGATAAACACCACATTCACGTAACTTTTATTACAGTATATGTGATAATTGTTCTATTTTATTATTAGTTATTGTTATTATTTACTGTACCTAATTTCTAATTTAAACTTTATCATAGGTATGTACATATGTAAGGGAAAACCATATATATACTTATATACACGGTTCTGTACTATCTGCAGTTTCAGGCATCTACTGAGAGTCTTAGAATGTATACCCTGTAGATAAGGGGAAAACATGGTATTAGCATCCATTGTTTCATCAAGCATCACCATCTCTTCCTTTTAGTCTTCAAATAGCAGAGTAGAACATAAAACTCCATTTTCAATCCATAGTTTATTCAAATAAACATAATTGACCACATATACTTGCCTAATTAGAGAACCATTTTGCTGGAAACTAACATAAAACTATTTTATCAGAAATACTAACACTAGGCAAATATGCCTCTGAAAGTTTGCATAGATTAAGCATTCAAAGTAGATGTATTGAAAAATGGTTATGTCTATGTAAGCATACAGGGATAGTTCCATGTTTGCAAAATTTGACTATGGCTATTACTATTTATGACAGCCTACAAACAGTATAATTAAAATATTTCTTTCAATCCATTAAAGTTTAACCCTTTTTTGTCATGTACTTTAAATGTGTAATTGTATTGAGTTGTTATTGCTATTGAATGTAAGCTATCAAAAGGATTTAAATTTCTTGGCCCTTATTATTTTTGAGGTGAACCATGTCTTTTATTTTTAGAGGTGTTTGTTAAATTACTTTATGGTGGCATAAAGGTCAGACCTAGAAATACATCAGGTCTAGAACTGTAGAAACCCATCATGGCGGGGGTTCATGATTTGCAGAAAACAGAGATTAAAGTATTACATCTAATACCCATTAATTCTGTGAATCCCTGTAAGCTGTACCTCACTAACAAATGTGTCAATTGTATTTTCTTTTCTTCAAACAATCCAAAATATGGATAATTTTCCTTGCATGAAGACTAGACCTTTGTTTTTAGGTTGGAAAAACATGAGCAAATATTTTAAGTGCCACCAATGCAATATCTTATATATGTTCTTTTATTGGTATTTTTAAATTTTCCCTCAGGGCTTTCAACTCCAGCCATCACCCCCCACCCTAGACAATAGCTACCTCCTCACTCCCTCAACAAGATTTGATCCTTCTGCAGTACATAAAACCTGTTCACATTATTGTTCCTTTCTCTACTGCCCATAGGAAAGTCCTCAATAGACTAGTTATAGCCCTGTTTTGGGGTAATAAAAGCAAAGATTAACAGGAGCAATTTCCCCTTATAGGTTTTATGTCTAGAATTTTTTTCTAGATACACAATAGATTTTAATTTTTATATTACATTATAAACAAAACACTTTTATCTCTGTAAACTTTTATGAATTAAAAATTAATCATTTATAAGGATAATGTAATAGGCCTATATTCTCTTTCAAATACTAGTTTAGTGTTATGGGAGTTCTGCAGTCACTTTTTACAATGTTCTTTGTAGCACTGAGGTATGAGATATTTTTGCTGAGGGATGTTGGACTCAATTTTTCTAACAAGTTAGATAAATTATGAGTCTCTCATGGTTTTAAGCTATTAATTTACTGATTTGATTCTCTTTAATTACTATGATTACAATAAAGGACAGTTAAAATAATATTATTCTTGAGAACAAAGAATGAGGACAAATGTTATTTATCATTTAAAAAGAATCAATCAACGATATTTTGTTTTTTAACATCCTCCAGGAACTAAATCGTTAATTAAATAAAACCTACCATTATGTTAAGAATAGAATTATGGACACAAGCAGCCTCTAAATTTCTGAATAATATGTGTTCTTTTAGGAAATATTGGATGCTAATGGCATTAGCAACAATAAATGATGAAATACCTTAGAGAAAAGCAGAAGTGGTTCTTCATGAAAATTAACATCAAGTGAATTATCCAGTAATCCATATTGCTTGACAAGATGGGTATTAGTCCATTTCCATGCTGCAAATAAAGACATACCTGAGACTGGGTAATTTATAAAGAAAAAGAGATTTAATGGATTCACAGTTCCACGTGCCTGGGAAGATCTCACAATCATGACAGAAGGTAAAAGGCACATCTTACATGGCAGCAGACAAGAGAGAGAATATGAGAGCCAAGTGAAAGGAGTTTCCCCTTAAAAAACCATCAGATCTCATGAGATTTATTCACTACATGAGGACAATATAGGGGAAAAAGCCCCCATGATTAAATTATCTCCCATCTGCTCCCTCTCATAACACATGGGAATTATGGGAACTAAAATTCAGGATGAGATTTGGGTGGGGACACAGCCAAACCATATCAATATGGAAGTAGCACCATGAGTCATGGATTGAGAGTTTAAAGACTAAACTCATTCTCACTTCTAGGGAGCTGCATAATCTCTAGAAAGCCCCTTAAACTCAGATCTATTCTTTCTAAAGGGCAAACATTAGCATCTCTCCTGTTTCTGCATTAAAAAAAAAAAATTACCACAATTAATCAGGTCAAAATGAATAATTTACCAGAAAATCCTTTGGAAATCACACAGCTCTATATAAATACAAAGTTTTGTCATTTTGTCTCTAAAGAAAAATAATTGAGTGAAATATTTTGTAGAAATCGCCATTACAGAATTCACTGACTCCCTAATTTTATGTTCTCACAGGAATGAAGCGCTGAATAAATGATTACCTTTGTTTCAATTAGGATCGTAATTGGCTTTATGGAACAATAACAAAGTTCTAAGTCATAGGCTTCTTTTCCCAGGACAACTGGAAGAAGTTAGTTCAAAGCCAGTAGGACAGCTTCAAGTTGTTTTAAAGGACTGGACTCCTTTTTGTCCCCCTTTTCAACTTTCAGGAATTAAATCCACATTTCTGTGAGTAAGGTGGTGGTAATGAAGGGTGGAATGGACCTCTGTCTAGATAACCATTTCTAGTTACAAAGGTACCCAGGAAAATCAGAATGTATTTGTTTATTAGCTGGGCACGTGGCTGCCTAGATGAAATGAGATGCAAATAAATAAACTATGCTGTCACTTTGAGATATCTAATTGAAATTAACCAAATTATTAAGATAATTGTCTTTCAGGTATAAAGAAAATAATTATATTTTGGAAATTATTCTTATAATAAAGCTTGATTCTCTTTGGAATTCATAAGCTAAAGCCTTTTGAGATAGTAGACTATGTAACTATGTGCTATTTACATATAGTTACATATATTCTGGTTTAAGTTTTGGCTACCTTAACTTGATTTTTGCTGAGTTATGTAAACCAATTAAGTTTCAGCTTTTTCTCTAGAACAATATTTACCTCATTGACTCACTAAGGAAATTAAATGGGATTAAAAACTATATAATTGTACTTTGCACTCTGTTCTTGGTGCAGCATCGATACTGTTGGCGTTCTTGAGTTAATGAATGTTATAGAGAACCTTACTTTCAGACTTTTGCCGTGAAAGTTATATTATTTCTAGTTCTGGTTCCACCACACTATCCAGCTCCCTTCTCTCTGTCCCAGTATAATTCTCAAGGGACCCCTTAGCCTCAATTGCAGGCTTATATCCTCCCGCGCCTTTGAGATCTATTCTCATTCCTACTTGTAGATAGTAAACATGATTTTTCTTCTATCTCATTTCCCCTCCTCCTTTGTGTCCACTTCAGGCTCCACTGCTGCCTGTATCCCTACCTCTTACTCTCCCATCTCATCCCAAGTTACTGGTGACCACTCATACCGCTTTGGTCATTCCCCACTTCAGTTTAATGATTGCAAACGCACATGAGGTTTTGACTTGGATTTATTTTGCAAAATTAAGTATTATGCTGTCACATTTCAAACCCTTGGGTATTCAAAGATGATAAGTCTTTCTTTGCAGATTTTCGGAAATTATATCAAATCACTGAACACATTTGCAGCTTTTATCAGATTGAATGAATACTGTAATGACCAATCAACCTGAGACATATAAATGTAATTGATGGATACAACCTTTGTGCCTTAACTGAGAAAGATATCTTGATTATTGAAAATAATATATATCAGCAAAAACACTTAGGGTTTCCAGAAACTAAAACAGAGTTAAATATCTAATTTACTGTGAAATGAACAGTTTTAAATATATTACATTGACTTGATTTCTCAATTCAAAATCTCAATCAAATGATTATAGTAAATATCTTAGCTATATAAGTTTATATACCTGTCATTGTTTTCTAATTGGGAAAGAGGAATGGAAACTATGAAATAAGGATTCTATTAGAGGGAGACCAAAACACACTGGAACCCTACATTATTCAATAGATACAGGCAGAGTTTGTGAAATATTCTAGGCCTATGATCATCTTAGTAAAGATTTTTGTTAAGTATTTTCTTGTCAGGTGACACTTAGGGAAGTAGATTAATTCTATGTTAAGACACAGATGATTTGTTTCTTCAGTGACATGTTGGATTACACTTTTAATTCAGTTGCTGATTGTATGCTCTTTACAATTTTCTTCATTTTAGATTTCTAGACCTAATTTTTGTTGTTTAGATTTCTAGAAAATAATTTTTGTTGTTGTTGTTGTTGTTGTTGGGTTTTTTTTGTTTTTTTTTGTTTTTTTTTGGAGACGGAGTCTTGCTCTGTCACCCCGTTTGGATGGAGTGCAGTGGCGCAGTCTCGGCTCACTGCAATCTCCTCCTCCTGAGTTCAAGCGATTCTCCTGCCTCAGCCTCCCGAGTAGCTGGGACTACAGGTGCGTGCCACCACACCGAGCTAATTTTATATATATACTTTTTTTTTTTTTTTTAGTGGAAATGGGGCTTCACCATGTTGGTCTCGAACTCCTGACCTCAGGTGATCTGCCCACCTCAGCCTCCCAAAGTGCTGGGATAACAGGCGTGAGCCACTGCACCTGGCCTAAATCTAGAGATTTAAAATAAACGCCTTGAGAGAAATTCCATCTCTTTAATCCATTAAAAATGAGTCTGGAATTTGCTTGGTAGAAGAAACTTTGTATTTAAGGGAGCATTTTAATCACAGAAATGATATATCTGTGGTTATAGTAAGTGTATAGTAAGTTTATTCTTTCTACAAGTTTGTTTCTGAAGCTTACAGTTAATTATGTGAAAAGACCATTACAGACGTTTTCTGGCATTGCTAATGCTACATATTGTACGCAGGAAAGAGCAAGAGTGGGATTTATAATTTATATTCTCTTCTTGGAAGTTGTCTCTAGATTCTCTGAGGTCAATTTTTTTCATATTTTGAATTAGTCTGCCCAATTTCATGAACTCTTCTGTATGAAATATTTGTAACCTAGAGAAATTCTCAGTAAGATTATTAAAACTTAATTAAAATCTCTTCATCTGGTTCCCTAGCTGTAGTCATGGGTTTCTGTTTTGGAATTGAGACTCATAGTAATCATTTGTACATTTGCTTTCAATCCTGTCATATTCCATTACAATGTTCATAAGTTTTTATTTACAGCAGATGAGAAATATATTTTATTTCCAATAATAATTGATTTGTCAAAGGTCATTTTTGCCAGGCACATTGCCTCACACCTGTTAATTCCAACACTTTTGGAGGCTGAAGTAGGAGAATCACTTGAGGCCAGGAGTTGGAGAGTAGCCTGGACAACATAGCTTGACCTCATCTCTCATCTCTAAAGAAAAAAAAAAAAAAGTTAGTCAGGCATGATAGCTAATGCCTGTAATCCCAGCTTACTCGAGGGGTCAAGGCAAGAGGATCACTGGAGCCCAGGAGTTCAAGGCTGCAGTGAGCTATTGCACTGCACTGCAGCCAATGTCACCACTGCACTCCAGCCTTGGTGACAGGGAGAGATTCTGTCTCCAAAAAAAAAAAAAAAAAAGGAATTTTCTTAAGAACTTTGACTTTTTGGAGTAAAATGGAAATCTAGGCAGTAGGCATAATTAAATATTTAGAAATAGTTACAATGATTAACTTAAAGTTCACATAGAAAATTACTAACATTCACTTATGGTAGAAGTCCACAGAGATTTAATCCAGCTCCTTTTATGCTTATTGGTCCTATTCTAGATTCATCTTGGCTTTTTTAAAACCACTTTACTAGTCTAACCTATGAGCATTATTTAAGGTCAATTCTAAATTTAAAATTCTAAGGTTTCATTTCTTTTCAACACATGAAAATTAAAATCAAGCAAACCGGAGGAAACTGCTAGGGACAGGCGTGTTGTTTGCAGCATGTTAGAATTTAACATATTAGAATGTTAACAGTCTAATGTGGTGGAAGAGGAAATAAGTTAAAAATCCAGAAACGATTACAAGGCACAACTACCACTCGGCAGTCTGGAGTCATTTCATGGAAAGTGAATAGCCCTACACACTCTGCCCACCACGGTACGTGGCATGTGTTACTTAACAAGATGACTCTTGCCATTATGAAAAGGTTAAAGGTGATGCTACGTATCAATTTTAATAAGACAAAAGATTAATCTTTTACTTCAGTTAAATTAAATCTATAGATTTAATGAAATATTTTTAATCTAAATTGTTGAAGTTTAAATGTAAATGTTTAATGCATAATGTATAGTGGAAAATATAAAACAATTTATACTGATACTCCGGTGGTCACCTTAATTAATAATTGTCAATACTTTACCATAGATTTGGTACTGGTGCTTTTTAGACTTCTGTGCACACACAGCTCTCCATTCTACCATAAGCATTGAATCTCAAGGACTGTGGTCCCTGTGTTCTGGGTGCTTCTGTTTGCCTCTCTAGATATTCTCTCTGCCCTTGTTCGTTCTGCTGTCTGCCTGAGAAATGTCCTGTATAGAAGACAGCAAAGTTCCCTTGCCCTCTTTCTTCTAGTGGAGTTGGCCAGTTGAGATCCCCACAGTAGATGAGAGGATATAAAGCAGGGTTCAGGTTCTTACGTTCCTGGATACCTCGGTGAAAATGTCACCTGGGGCTGGATGTCTTTTCCTCCCAAGGCCGTTTTCTCTATATAACTCTTTCCCTCTGGGTCTGGTAACTAGCTCCTCACATTGTCCCTTTGGACATACGAGTGTTTTACCTACCCCAGTATTCTGCATGATCCTATGTGGTTTCCCACAGACTTTTTGGTAGTCATTTAAAAAGAGTAAACTTTCCTCCAATTACAATAGGGCACTTCTTCAGATTAGAGGCCACCATCTGTTTTTGATGGAACAATGATGCTGCCCCTTCTCCCAGTGTATAGCTACTACTTTCCCAAGGGGCCCTTCCTGAATGGGAGGGACAATGGGAAAATGCTGAAGTAAGGCAGGCCTTATCTCACAGATAACCCAGGTATCACTGCCCTCTGCAACATAATCACAAGAGTGATATGACCATGTCCAACTTTATGGAATAATTATTTTTTAAAAAAAAGAATGAAGTGGATTGTAAAGTTTGAGATTAATAACTTGAACTGGATTCTAATTATAAATTTTGCCATCACCTAATATCAAATACCCAAGAAATTAAATAATTCACTTGGAACCTGCTCACGGGTGCAGCCACCTTCATACAAAGGTGTCCCTATTTTTTTTTTTTTTTTGAGATGGAGTTTTATTCTTGTTACCCAGGCCAGAGTGCAATGGCGCAGTCTTAGCCCACTGCAACCTCCGCCTCCTGGGTTCAAATGATTCTCCTGCCTCAGCCTCCCAGTAGCTGGGATTACAGGTGCCCACTACCATGCCCGGGTATTTTTTTTTTTCTGTATTTTTAGTAGAGATGGGGTTTCACCATGTTGGCCAGGCTGGTCTCAAGTGATCTGCCTGTCTCAGTCTCCCAAAGTGCTGGGATTACAGGCGTGAGCCACCGCACCCGGCCAGGTGTCCCTATTTAAAATCTGCTTTTGAATTTTCATGTACCATTCAGCAAATCCTATATCCTACTCTAGGGATTTGCTTTATTCTAAATCCCATTAACTTGCTCTCAATCATGTATTTCTCCAAGTCTCTAAGTTATTTCATTCTAGAAAAATGCCCTGGTTGTTCCAGCAGTGTAATCCAAAACTAAGTAACAGAAATCTACAATGGGTTCCATCTGAAGTATTCACAGCAGGCAAAATTGCAGATGTGCATCATAATGCATCTGAGTTCCTGTCGAATCACACACACACACACACACACACACACACACACACCTCATGAGCATTAGTTCTAAAAGACAAAAAATGCAATCTAGCAGAGTAAAGTCCAGGTGCTGCTACCTGTGCTCGCATTTAGAAGAGCTTGTATCATTCCTCAGACACTGTAACATCAACTCCCTAAATCTTTGTAACTCAGGATAGTGTGTATCTCCACTGATTGTGTGTGTGTGTGTGTGTGTGTGTGTGTGTGTGTGTGTGGTGTGTGTGTGTCTTTCAGTAATTATCATTTTTCCCCATAGGACTCAGATTAACAGACTTTTTACCTATATATTTATAATTACTTTTGCCATTGTAAATGGTATTATTTTTCTGTTACTTTGTTTTAATGTTGTCAATTCCACTAATTGTTATATACTACTCCTATATCTGGGAAACTTTAAACTCTTCTCCCAATTTATGTGGATTTCAGTTTATTTCTTTGAATTTGCTGTATATAACATTATATCATGTATAAATAATGATAGCCTTTCTTTTTCTTTATGATACATGTAACTTTTATTGTCTAATTCTTGATGTGTTATATTTCTAAAGATCGCACATACAATCTTAAATAGATACTCAGCAGTGCTATCTGGGGTGTGTTAGGCCATTCTTGCTTGCTGTAAAGAAACACCTGAGGCTGGGTAATTTCTAAGAAAAGAGATTTAATTGGCTCAAGGTTCTGCAGACTGTACAGCAAGCATAGCACCAGCTTAAGCTTCTGTTGAAGCCTGAGGAAGCTTACAATCATGGCGGAAAGCAAAGGGGCAACAGGTGCCTCACATGGCAATAGCAGGAGCAAGAGGTGGGGGGAGATGCCACACACTTTAGGAAGCCAGATCTCATGAGAACTCACCCATTGTGGCAACACCAAGGAGACGGTGCTGAAGCACTCATAAGAAATCTGCCCCCATGATCTAATTTCCTCCCACGAGGCCCCACCTCCAACACTGGGTACCACAATTCAACATGATGTTCAGAGGGGAAAACATCTACACTATATTGTCGCGTTAAAATAAATCCTTCTTTTCAAAACAACAATTTTTACCTCTAGAGTTTTACTGTTTGGTTGTTGTGTGTCAACTTTGTGGAGTTGACATATATATAGGCTTTGCTATGCCTATTCTAATGTGCTCTTATGCCTTTTTGCTAAGTTATAGATTCTAAACTGTGTGTTAAATACAAAAATAATGCAAATTCAAATTAAGAGGATCAAAATAACCATGGATTCAAGAAAGAATTAAAATATTATAGAATAATGTTTTTCTCAAAAAAAAAAAAACCCTACATGAACAGATGAAGTATAAGTTTCCCATGCCTGCTGTAACAAATTACCACAAACCTGTTGACTTATAACAACAGAAATGTATTGTCTCACAGTTCAAGAGATGATAAATCCAAATTTAATATCCTTGGACTAAAATCGAGGTGCTCCTAGGTTTATGCTCCCTCCAGAGGTGATGGAGAACAAAACATTTCTTGTGGCTCTTGGCTTCTGGTGGCTTTCAGCATTCTTTAAGTTGTGGCTGCACCACTCCAATGTCTGCCTTTGTAGTCGCATCGTCTCCTCCTGTCTAATCTCTGTCTCTCTCTCATAAGGAAATTGTGAAGGGAATTACGTCCCACCTGGATAATCTTCTCATCACCAAATTATTAATCATATTTTCAAAAACCTTTACCATCAAAGGTAACATTTCAAGGTTCTAGAGATTAGGACCTGATATGTTTAGGGATCACAGTCATCCCACTGCTAACTGTCCTCTGGCCCCCAAAGATTCATGTCTGTGTGCAAAATACATTTACCTCTTCTTGATATCCCCAAATGGCTCAGTCCTTTACGTCATCAACTTAAGTAGAAAATCTGATCTAAATATCTTCAGCTCCAAGTCTCAAAGCTCATCATGTAAATAACCTAAATCAGATACAGATGACACTTAGTATCATCCATCTTCAGGTAAAATATCTCTCCATTTGTGGACATGTTAAAGTAGAAAACAAGTTATGTGCTTTCAAAATACAGTGGCAAAAAAGCATAGTATCACAGTTGTACGCATTCCTATTCCCGCAAAAAGAAAGTGCAATGTAGAGAGGGGTCACTGGTTCCAATCGATATCAATCATCAACTTGGTCACTTCTGTAAAAAAAGTTACCAGGTTCCAGTTATTAGGATCTGATATCTTTTTGGGGGGCACCATTGAGCCCACTACAGATGATGTAATAAAAAACATAATTTATGAAGAGATAGAAAAACTAATATAGCAGAGAAATTAAGAAAACCAAAACGTTAACTTCTCCAAAAAAAAAAATGCCAGGCCAACATTTCACAGATGATTAAAGAACAAATAATTCCCATGCATTATTAACTATTCTGCAGCATAAAGAAGAAAACCTTCTGGCTCTATTTAATCAACCCAGCACTACAGATATCAATATCTGATACAGTCTGCCTGGGAAATAATCCCACTTGTGGCTATTATTGTAATTTTCTTTAAAAATATTAACAGGTGAAAATAGTGCCTTATATACATAGTATATTCAGGTAATGATTGTCAGGAGAGCATAGTACATTCAGGTAAACACTATCAGGAGAGCAAACATTGTTTTATTCCAGATGGGAAATACAGAACCACAATCTCTTACCTAAAAGCTCAATCTAACAAAGCTTTGAAAACCCAGATTTTTATAGTTTCTTAGTGAGAACTATAACCTGAACTAAGCTGCTCTTTGTGGTATTACAAAGTGTAGTGTTTCTAGTATAACTGTAATTACAGTTAGCTCTATCTCACATTGTTAATTTATCTTTCCTTGAGTTAATATTCATATGTACTAGTGCAGAAATATTTATGTGAAGTTTAAGTATAGTGTGATATTCCTCACCCTTTTGAGTTTGTTAGATAATTTATCATATATGAATGCATAACCCAAAAAATTCTGAATACCAAAGCAAAAATTTCCTCATATACTTCATCTTAAAGATTATGCAATTTATTTAATTAACCATCTCAATAAACCAAAGGAGAAGGTATTATGAATCTCAAAATCATGAATATTTTTCAGTAATAGTAATAGTTAACATTTATTTTCTTGCTTTCTATACACCAGGCACAATTCTAGTTATCTTCCAGGTATTAGAACACCAGATCTTCAAAGCAAGGCAGGTATTATTAAAATTATTCTTATTTTAATATAGGAAAATGACAATAATGAAAATCTAAGCAAACTTTTCAAAGTAAAATATTCAGTAAAATTTAGAGCTGGGTCTTGAACCCAGTCAATTTAATATACAGAGATAAATGGACACAGACTTCAATATGTAGTCCACATAAGAAGAAATATGAATGAACAAAAGCATAGGAAAAGATTGTTGTTATTGTGTACCTTTGACAAAACTTTTTGAAGTATACACTTAAAATTGGCAATTTTCTTGTTTGCAGTAACACTCCAAAAATATTACTGGAAATCTTTAACAAAATATTCAACAAATACAGCACCGAAAACCAGCTTTTGAAACTTTTTAGTAAATTACAATTTTTGAGAAAAAGAAAAGTTTGCACACAGGGAGAGATTGGAATTCATTCCTCCAAAAACAAGGAAGAACTAAATTATTTCAACAATAAAAACCCATATAGTATGCAAGATTACTTTTAATTCTAAAATTAGATTTTGGAATAACTCTTGATGACACTCATTTCTAATTGGCTAAATTTATATTCTATTCTAAAATGGAAAAAAATTGAAAAGATATTTAATGTGGTGCAATGGTCAAATCATCAAAAATGAACAATTTACTCGACAAATTTTAGAAACTATTTGTGAGAGAAAGATTATTTAAACAGAATAAAAGATAATATTGATGACAATATTTGGGTACCTCTATTTTACATTTTATAAAGACAATATTCTCCTCAGCAGAATTTGCTATAGGCTCTGGGATCTCAATACATATAGAACATTCTCTCAATTGAAAATGTTATGATCCATAGAAAATATTCAGCTTTTCAAATTAATATCATAAAATGCAAATTTGGAGATTTAGGGCAATTTTACTTAAAACATAAATAAGCCTATACAGAAAAAGGAAAAATACATTTCAGAAAAATACTAGTGATCAAGTATTTGAGACACATATGGCTAATAAGCTGATTATTCTATATACATATATTTGCATATACTTATATATGTACACGTAGCAAGAAAAGTTGCTAATTACATTTTTACTGTTTGAATAACACAATGAGGTTTAAATTTGTTTTGCTTTAATAAGATTGACTTATTTTCATTTCTTAGATTTTTTTAATTAATTAAAAATAAAGCTATATAGGTTAAGGAAATAATAAAAAGCAATGTAAGTCTTTAAAAATATATTTCAAAAATATGTCATTTAACCATATTTAGCATTCTCATTTAACTTTAAGAAAATACTGGTTTGTATATAAGATGTATGAAAATATGAGCTATATAGAATACTGTTCCAATTGCTATAGAGAATGATATTAAATCTCCACCAAGGTACTTTGAAGGGATGTCAGTATCCTCTTTTAAAGATAAGGAAGTTGTGGTTCTCAATGAATAAATAATTTGTTTGAAGTCACAAGGCTTGGAAGTAGAAAGTCTGAATTCAGAGTTTGTGCCTTCTAGGAAGCGGAAGTAATGCTGATTTATTTCTGTTGTCTAAAAACTGTAATGCATTCAGACAGAAATGGTAAAATTTATTTTAAAATGGCATTTTAGCTTTTTCTTATTTGGCTGTCTTTAGAGAACCTTTGGTGTCTCTTGAAAAATGGCTGCTGGATAGTGTTGCAGATTTTGGCAGTACTCTATCAAGCCCTTTGGGGTTATGCCAAAGGGACAGGGTCCCATGTGAATTGGATCTGAATTCTCATCCAAATGAACACCTGCTGTCATTGTTCCTTATCAATCCTGTAGTTGGCAATGCCAGTTCTCTTTTTATGGTGGAACCTATTCAACACAAGGAAAAGACCTGCTAGTGTTTGACACTAAGTTTTATTTTTTCCCCTCTTAACTAAATGATCCATTGCCCAAGTATCTTGAAGATAAATAAGCTAATATTAGTTCTATCTTTGGCTATGTAGTCCTGTGTTTCTAGGAGTTTACCCAATTATAGTCTAGTCTACTTAAATGGTCTTTTGCTGTCTCTCCCCTCTCTTCTCCCTCCTGTCTTCTTGCCTCTCTCCCTTTCTCTATTCTGTTTATGTTGCTTTGTAAAGGAAGAAATTTGTCATTACAAAAATATACACCTGTAAAAAAAATTGTACTACACAATCTATTTTTAAAAGTCTCAGTCTCCCCAACTTAGCAGAAACAATTCAAGCAGAAGTAAATTCAATGATACTCTCCCTATGGGAAGCAATATTGATTATTCATTCTTAGTGTTTGATTCATATTCCTTTGCTTTGTTTAACTAGTCTGCTGAATGTATGCCTTTAATTGGAAGGTATTCCAAGTTGATTTTGTACCAGATTAGGGATAAAGTAAAAGTAAGTGCATTTCAAAATTAATTAATTGATCATGCTACATATACCATAAATAGCCCAGTTCAGGTGTTTTTCCTGTAATCTCATACCACAGTAAGACAACTTCATATTATAAAGTATAATATGTTTATGACTTAATAGAATTAAATTTATAAAAAGGAACTCTGTGACTAGATTAGAGAGTTATCGTTGGACGAATAAAAGTGAACCATCTTGATATTTGTACTTCCTAGCAAACCAGGAAGTTGGCCATGTATATATAACAAAATAACGTCTTAAATATTAAACCGTAGAGGGGGATTTTTGTAACCTTTATTATAAGCATTGTTTCTATACACCTCTATCTATATGTCTGGGTGATTTTCATTCATGGATTCATTCAATTACTTGACAAATTTTAGGGTATCAAATGTTTATACAGAAAAAAAATTACAGTTAGCTGTATCCTGCAACTCTCTGCCATCTGCAGTGGGCATTGGTCCCTCTCTTTTTGTGCTTCATGCTTTGTTATGCATGAGTAAGCACATTAGCCTTTCATTTCATTCATTAGACTTTTAATCCTTGATTAGTGTTTTCAAGATTCTCTCAAATACACAACTTCTTTATTTCCTTGAGTTTGGTTTTCTTTTTCTTTTATCTCCACTTTGAAACAAAATTAACAGTGAATGTCAACAATAGCCCTTTTCTGTTGAGATGACTGGTAAATATATTAGTTCCTCATTTGAGTGATTAATCATGTGTGGTTGAAGAATGGGAAAATATCTCCACACTTGGAATAACAGAGATAATTGTTTAGAGTCAGTTGGAGCAGTCCGTGCTTGAAAAGCTTGGATAGCAGTATTTCAGCAGTCTCACACATTGAGTATGATTTCTATCTCATGGAAAAATTCTGTATTTGCTAAAAGTAAGAAACATCCATTAGGGTCAGAACCGATGCACTTGGGGTCTCAGAAACAAATTGTATTTGTCACCAATTCCCCAAAAATAAATGTTTCTCTTTGTTGTTGTTTTTTTTTTCTATTCAACGAGCTATGCCAGAAAGTTGCTTGTGGTCCAAACTGTTATTAATTACACATCAAGACAACCTGAGCAAATTCTGAAGTCAAGTATTGCACTTATCTTTACTAGACATGCACACTCACACCATCCTTTTACTCATAATTATCTCAAATAATTAGGAGCCTCTGTACTGATCATTTCTCCACTTAGGGCATCCTTCTAACTCTTGTTTAACAGTATTTTCCATTACTATTTGACATTTACACTCATATGTGCTATCTTCAACATACGTTGAACATGAGGCCAAAGCCAGTCATTAAAGGAGATATAGAAATTAAATAGCAATAAAGTCTTAGATGTAAATGTAACAAATAATCAATTGTGAAATTATTACGTAAATCACTTCTGCATAGAATTACATAAATCACTTCTGCATATGGATCACACATTTTTGCCTAATTTTACATAACCTTCTTGGCAATAATATTGTAAATAAAAGTTCATTTTGAAATGTTATTTTTTTATTTAGTCTACATTTTCATAAAATAATAGGATCATAAACCATCCTGTTTTTGTTTTCTATTTTCTCCCCTTAGGATGCCTCCATTGCACACAGATTCCACATCATGAGAGAAAAACACCCAGAGAAATTCAACAGTAGGTAAGGTGACAAAAGAGATGAAATTATAGATATAGTTGCTGAATTTTGCCATAAAAAGATCACTAGATGGTACAGAATATTTTATAATCTACTGGCTTTATGAGGCTTTGTGTGCGTGTGTGTGTGTGTGTGTGTAAATATTAAGATGGTAGGATAAATGAATTAAATTTTTCTTAGGTTGTGATGAAACTATAATGAGGAATGCAATGGGTCATCTCTATTTCATTCTCATGTATTATAAAGAAAGATTTCAAGTAAAACATGAAATTAATAGTTTTAAGACACACTGGAAGTTTTCATGACGTATATGAACAGCAATCAACCTTGATCCCAAGGAAAAACACAGGGTTCTGATTTGATAATGCTAAGTGTATATTACATAGGGATTATATATCTTTGGACTATCAGCTTCAAATTGGCCTAAACTAAATCAAAAGAAATTATAGTAATATCAATACCAATATAAATTATTTTTAGAGACATTTCTTCAAGGAGAAAAGACTTGACGAACAAAATTTCTTTCCTCATAAGAGCAATAGGCAAACATTTTTTCTTCAAAAATGTAGACATTGACCTTCACAGTTACTCAGGGAAACAGGAAAGCCTTGGTTCCGTATCTTCCCCATTTCTAGAAGGAAATATGGCTCTCTCCACCTCACTCCCCTAGAAAAGTGGGGCAGAAGAAGTGAATTATCTTTTGCTTCAATTATACTCATTTCCACTCTATTCAGCTCACAAAGCTACAAAACCATAACTAGCATTTCTGTATAGATATTTAAGTGACTTTATCTATTAATATTCAAAGCCAAGGGCTTTATTGTCGCTGCATTTGGCTGACATCTTGCCATAAATGTTATAGACCATTTATTAGATACCTGCACCTGGACATTCTTAAATTTATTTCAGTTTTGTCACTCATGAGTACATTGATGTAATCTTCTCCCATGTAGGTTCACAATAAATAAAATGCTGTTAAAAACTATTTCAAAATTGTTTTATAGTTTTCTAAATATTAAAATTGCACTACTTTATGCATAAATCATCACAGCAAATGTTTCATGAGTTTGTATCTAATTTTTCCTTAAATTTACCTATTGAGATCTTTTTAGTAGGCCGGGCACGGTGGCTCACGCCTGTAATCCCAGCACTTTGGGAGGCCAAGGCGGGCAGATCATGAGGTCGGGAGTTCGAGACCAGCCTGACCAACATGAGGAAACCATGTCTCTACTAAAAATACAAAAATGAGGGCGTGGTGGTGGGTGCCTGTAACCCAAGCTACTCAAGAGGCTGAGGCAGGAGAATCGTTTGAACCCTGGAGGCGGAGGTTGCAGTGAGCTGAGATTGCACCATTGCACTCCAGCCTGGGCAACAGAGTGAGATTCCGTCTCAAAAAAAAAAAAAAAAATGTTTTTAGTAACTAAAAACATAATCTAATACCTATGTTGGGTATTTCCTTGATTTGTTTTTTACCCTACAAATAAATCATGACCTTATGATTTGCTTTTTTCTTATAGTTCAGAAAACTATACTTTTTATCGTAAAGAAAATGAAATAAATGCATATATGGATATATATGTGTACATATATTTTCAGAATAATTCACACAAATTTTATAACTCTGGTTGCTTCTGGAGATGGGAACAAAGTGGTTGTGGTGACAACTGTATTTTTCTTTATTGTACTGTTTGAATTTTTCTCCAGGTGCATTTCAAAATTAAATCAAAGTAATCTAATTAAAATTTTGCACTATAAGTTGCCTTTGTACCTAGAATAGACATTTTTATTTTACAAGATTTAGTTTCAGTTCATGAAACACATGTAAAAATAAATTGACATAACAGTGAAAGTATATGTACTGTATAGATTTCAGCACTTGATTATACACCTCAAATATCCTGGAAATGAATATAGCTATTAATGTGTACAAAACATATTATAAGATAGAGTAGTCTATGCTTTCCCACATGTCATTCTATGAAGCATTCATATTTATATTCATATATATTATTTAAGTTATATTCATAAAGAAGTTTATATTCATATATTAAAATAGGTTTCAAGCAAAAAACGAAAGTGTGTTTGGATAATACCTTTTGGAGTGTACCTCTTAGAGAGTTTAACATAAAAAAGTTCATTAAAGGCTTTATAGAGAGATATATCAATATATTTATGTGCTAATCATATTTGACAACCTATGTGTAAGAATGCCAATATTTATTACCCTCTCTCAAGCATCAGAGGCTAATGAATTTCTTTCTGCAGAATAATTTTTAAGTCTTCTTACTCATAAAGACTCCTATTATTCACATATCTATTTAATCTTTTATTACTAATAGCTCTACTAATTTGTGACATTCCTCACTGCTCAGTATGTGATTAGATGCCATTTATAACAATGTGTTTGTAAACTTCAATGTTTTTTATAAGATGTAAAACTAACTGTATTAAAACTTCTTTGCAAATTTGAGTCATGAATGAACCTCGCTTATAAATAGCTTATAGGGAGTCTTTGCTAGAGATAATAACATAGAAAATGCTCTCTAAAATGACACAAAGTCACAGGTTTCTATTGCGAGTTCAAGAACCAGGTATAGAGTAGATGTTCAATGTATTATTGGCCAAATATTTTTTAAGATAATGATCAGCCACAGAATTCCATATATTACCACGTCAATTAGGCATGTATGTTTCAATCTATACATTTGCAGATTAAGTCTACAGTTATCATTTCAAGCATTTAGGCAATTCCCTAAACCATAATGTGATATATTCAGGATATGAACATTTTCTGATGAATTTCTGTGAGGAAGACATATTGTACCCAAGCAATTTCATACTTACAATGGCAGATAGTTCAGATTTCAACATTGCGACAGGCTCAGCCATAGCACACTTTCATATTTTCAGGAATTTGCAAATGGATTTTTTTAAGTACTCCTAATAATGGTATTTCAGATCAGATCTCTTGTCACAATAAATCACATGCCATTAATATTATCCTCTAGCATGCTCACCTTGAAATTCATTTATATTTTAAAGAACATGATGTTTCTAACATTATCTTAAGGAAATTAATTACCACAATATATAGTTCTGTTCTCTATGCTTCTTATGACAGAAATTGAAAGAACAGGGAAAGGTAATGATTTTTCCGTTGCTTAAGAGAGTGCTAGTTGAAAGGTTTATATCATATTCTTTCCAAATTTCTATATAAATCTAAGTTAACTGTTAAAAGAAAGCATGCTGTTTAACTTTCTAAACTTTAAGATATTCTTCCAACAAACGGAATTTGAATAAAAACTTCCAGTCCTTTAGACTCAAGAAAAAAAAAAACTAAATATTTATGCTACTAGAATTTTAAACTATTTATTACATAATATTGGTATTTAAAATATTTATATAAATTGTCAATTAGTATTCATAAACATATTTACATTCATAATTCACATACATAATACTTCTCATGGTGCTATTTAGAGAGATGACTTTAAATACTTCCTTTTTTGAAAAAAAGGATATTAATAATTATTTATTACCATACTAAAATAAGCAACATTAAAAAGGGCAATTATAAAGGCGTATAATGATTTTAGAAAAACATGCAAAGCAGTGTGGAATTCCTTGTGTAAAACTATGTAACATTGAAAAGGACTTCCAAGTAACTTGCAAAATGGAACCAGTTATAGGAAAAGTATTGGCAGTGTATTACTCTGTTTTCACGCTGCTGATAAAGACATATCTGAGACTGGACAATTTACAAAAGAAAGGTTTATTGGACTTACAGTTCCACATGGCTGAGAAGGCCTCACAATCATGGCAGAAGGCAAGGAGGAGCAAGTCACATCTTATGTGGATGGCAGCAGGCAAAGAGAGAGAGAGCTTGTGCAGGGAAACTCCCCCGTGTAGAACCATCAGATCTCATGAGACTTACTCACTATCATAAGAACAGCATGGGAAAAACTTACCCCCATGATCCAATTACCACCCACCAGGTCCTTCCCACAACAAATGGAAATTCAAGATGATATTTGAGTGGGAATATGGCCAAACCATATCATTCTGCCCATGGCCCCTCCCAAATCTCATGTCCTCATATTTCAAAACCAATCATGCCTTCCCAATAGTCCCCCAAAGTCTTAATTCATTTCAGCATTAACTCAAAAGTCCACAGTCCAAAGTCTCATTTGAGACAAGGCAAGTCCCTTTTGCCTATGAGCCTACAAAATCAAAAGCAAGTTAGTTACTTCCTAGATACAATGGGAGTACAGACATTGAGTAAATACAGCCATTCCAAATGGGAGACATTGGCCAAAACAAAGGGGCTACATGCCCCCACACAACTGCAAAATCCAGTGGGGCAGTAAAATCTTAAAGCCCCAAAATGATCTCCTTTTGACTCTATGTCTCACATCCAGGTCAAGCTGATGCAAGAAGTAGGCTTCCATGACCTTGAGCAGCTCTGCCCCTGTGGCTTTGCAGGGTATAGTCCCCCATCCTGGCTGCTTTCACGGGCTGGCATTGAGTGTCTGGGGCTTCTCCAGGTACATGGTGCAAGCTGTCGGTGGATCTATCATTCTGGGGTCTGGAGGATGGTGGCCCTCTTCTCACAGCTCCACTAGGTGGTGCCCCAGTAGGGATGCATTGTGGGGGTTCTGACCCCACATTTCCCTTCCTCATTGCCCTAGCAGAGGTTCTCTGTGAGAGTCCTGCCCCTGCAGCAAACTGCTTCCTGGGCATCCAGGCGTTTCCATACATACTTTGAAATCCAGGCAGAGGTTCTCAAACCCCAGTTCTTTACTGCTATGCACTCTCAGGCTCAACACCATGTGGGAGCTGCTGAGGCTTGAGCCTTGCACCCTCTGAAGCTATGGTTTGAGCTCTATGTTGGCCCCTTTCAGCCATGGATGGTGCAGCTGGGACACAGGACACCAAGTCCCTTGGCTTCACGCAGCATGGGCACCCTGGGCTTGGCTCACAAAACCATTTTTTCCTCTTATGCCTCTGGGCCTATCATGGGAGGGCCTACTGCAAAGGTCTCTGACATGCCCTGGAGACATTTTCCCCCATTGTCTTGGGGATTAACGTTTGACTCCTCATTACTTATGCAAACTTCTGCAGCCTGCTTGAATTTCTCCTCAGAAAATGGGATTTTCTTTTCTATAGCATTGCCAGGCTGCAAATTTTCCGAACTTTTATGTTCTACTTCCCTTATAAAACTGAATGCCTTTAACAGCACCCAAGTCACCTCTTGAATGGTTTGCTGTTTAGAAATTTCTTCCTCCAGATACCCTAAATCATCTCTCTTGAGTTCCACAAATCTCTAGGGCAGGGACAAAGTGCCACCAGTCTCTTTGCTAAAACATAACAAGTCATCTTTGCTCCAGTTCCCAACCAGTTCCTCATCTCCACCTGAGACCACCTCAGCCTGGATATCATTGTCCGTATCAATATCAGCATTTTGGTCAAAGCCATTCAACAAGTCTCTAGATAGCTCCAAACTTTCCCTCATTTTCCTGCCTTCTTTTGAGTCCTCCAAAGTGTTCCAACCTCTGCCTGTTACCCAGTTCCAAAGTTGCTCTCACATTTTTGGGTATCTTTTCAGCAGTGCCCCATTCTACTGGTACCAATTTATTGCATTAGTCCGTTTTCATGCTGCTGATAGACATTAATTAGAGATTGGACAATTTACAAAAGAAAGGTTTATTGGACTTACAGTTCCACATGGCTGGGAAAGCCTCACAATCATGGTGGAAGGCAAGGAGGAACAAGTCACATTGTACGTGGATGGTGGCAGGCAATGAGAGAGCTAGCTTGTGCAGGGAAACTCCTCCTTACAGAACTATCCGATCTTGTGAGGCTTATTCATTATCATGAGAACAGCATGGGAAAGACCTGCCTCCATGATTCAGTTACTTCCCACTGGGTACCTCACACAACATGTGGAAATTCAAGATGAGATTTGGTGGGGAAACAGCCAAACCGTATCAGGTGGTCTTACAAAGATTTCTTAAAAATCTAGTCATAGCATGATTTCAGTGATTCAATTCAAATTCTTAATGTGTAACACCTAAAACCATTTTACTAGAATAAACTAAAAGAAGTTAGCTAGTAAGCACTTATGGCCAGCGATCACAATAATACTGTTTAAATCCACGCAGCTTATTTCAAAGTATCTGGTCTCTAATTTTTGGAATGAAACAAAGATAGGTTCTCAGCCCCCTGGTCAGAAGTATGTGATTTATTTCTGTACTACTTTCTGCTTTTTCTTTCTTGGGCTTTAGTAACTACACAGTTTGTGGAACATACTGTGTACTCAATAGGTATTTATTCTGTAAGTTATTTACTATTTCATGGTATATTTATCTTCTCTATATTTTTCTATATATCTTACTACCTTTATAGTTTATGCTTTTATAGTGCAAAAAATGCAATAAAGATTGAACTGTGATATGTAGAGTGAGTCTTCATTCTACATAACTATTATTTGAGGTATTAATACCTTTTAGTTTTCTCAGCCTTTACGTACATAACCTTCAAGAACCAGCAATGCAAAACAAACAAAAATTCTTTAACATAAATCCCTGAGCACTGTGTCCTACAAATAAATAATATGAGATTACTTATAGATTAGTTTGTGCTTCTTCTTATCAATTTATATGTCAGCAGTATACAATTTTCAAATTATTATTCTTTATGTGTTGATGGTATTGAACTGAAGACTAAATATAAAATATCACTCTCCTTATACATATATGTATGCTTATACATATATGTGTGTGTATATATGTATGTATACACATATATTCCATACATATATGTATGTATACACATATATTCCATACATATATGTATGTATACACATATATTCCATACATATATGTATGTATACACATATATTCCATACACATATATGTATGTATACATATATTCCATACATATATATGTATATATACATATATTCCATACATATATGTATATATACATATATTCCATATATATGGAAAATTATCATTTCTAAGAATAGAAAAATCAAACCTGTGTATTTTTTTTCTATTTTGCTATAGAGACAAAGAAAAGCCCACAGACTAGAGTAATAGAACACAAAATTGCCATTTGTTATCTAGAGATAAAAATTCCATTAAAGTTCTAGAATATAATGAGAAGTTAAAAATATAATATTTCAGTAGTGACAGAAAAATGCTATATCAAAGCCAAATATTTTTACTTACCATATAAAGTACCATTGAGAAATTATTTCTGTGAATTCAACAAAATGCTTTTGAAGTTCCAGAGCAATTCAAATTGTCTTACATCATGATGATATATTCTGTTGATGTATTCATATTTATAATTTTCTTGATCTTCTGTAAGAATCTTTAATGTACAAATGAAAAAAGCCAATTGAAAATTGGCATCCAATCAATTTCATGAGATATTCTCTTAAATGTGTATCTTACATATATTTTTGAGTCAGGTATGACATAGCAAATAGAATATAGGAGATATTTGTATTTATTTTCCTCTGAAGGCTTTTAACATGTATCTTTGTAGAATCACATTTGTAGGAATTCATGTTTTCTTTCACTTTAAACTTTTAGGAATTAAACTGTTATTTCAGGAGTACAATTGATTTTTAAATTACTGACATTCACAATCTATTAAAAACAGTGAAAGTAAAGAAAGGATGAAGTATATCACAATGTCATCATTCAGGTATTTGACCTCACTTTTGCCTCAGTCAAGACAAGTTCATTATTGTAGACTGAATTTTTTTCATTTAAAAATGTAAATTATTATCATGTTTTAAGGCACACTTCTACCTTGTGTATATGTCACTATCTTTTATTAGCCAACTAGGTAAACAGGACTACTGAAATTAAAAGTTAAATGTTTGTCATTTTTAGTGTTTTGAATAAAATCAGTTTTATTAGAAATAGTGGTGTTGTGCAGGGACCTTTTGAAGAGAATCATATCTTCATGAGAGTTTCATGTCCTAAAGCACTTTTATGTCTTTAGTTTCTGTGTACTAGAATGAATTGATGTGTTTTTAAAGAAGAAACATACTCATTTTTCATTCTAACTTAGAATACTTTGCTATATCATTTAAATGAAATTTTTGAAATTTGTGTGTGTAAGCATTATCATGAGGCCAGTTTTTCCATATGACTAAATTACGGTTTGCCTATAAACCATATAGTGTACAGATAAATAGGTAAATATATAGATGTATATATGTGTATACATATATGTATTTGTGATGCATCGATTTATATATTTGTATACATATATATTTGCTAAGAGTTTTCATTTTATCATATTTATATAAATCTCTTACAATTATATGTGCTCTTCTATGTGTGTATTCCTAATGTAAAGCTTTTAAAATAATTTACTATGCTCCTCGATTCATATATTTTTATTTGTATGTTGAGACTTGCTTAAATACTTTGTTGGATCTGAGCAGGTAGAAATGAGAATGGTTAAATGAGTCAGGACTGTGTGTGTTCTCATGCAGGGGGTTTCAATTCACCTGAAGCTTCCTGCATCATTTCTTGGCACCATTAATAAAACCAGAACACTTACTTCTGTATCCAGGCTGTTTAAAATCATGTTTGTAAGATGGCTCTTTGGAATAGAGTGAGTGAGGACTGGAGGATGAATAAAGAAGGGAATAACTTTTCTCCCTTCCTTTTTTGCCCCTCACTCTCTTTCTTCTTTCACACCACATTTTTTATTCTCCTGTTCATTTTTTATTTTTGCCACTGCAGTGAAGTAACAAAAAATATTAATAAAGTTTCTGAAGCTTGGATAAAATACTGCTTATCTGCTATTGATTTGGTTGTTTCCTTTGTCTGCAAACATTTACTAAGGAGCCCTGTTTGTTTGATGGGCATTCAGCTAAGGCCTAGATTTTTAGAATCTAAGATAAATGAAGAAATGGAACTTGGGATCAGAGAGAGCTTAGATAATCGTAAATTCCACAGAAGAATATAAACCAGAGAAAAATTCTACTTTGTAACTTTACAGAGGGAAGATATTTCCTGGGGCTCCCAAATTAAGGTGACCATTGAGCTCTAACAGATACATGCTGAAGTAAGGCTTGATTGTATATGCTCTAATTTAAATAAAACAGAAATATTTATTTCTAGTTTCTGTTTGCAAGACACTTACATTTTATTATTATCATTTCCATGCAAATATTTTAAATATTTTCCCCTTGATTTTGCCTTTCGATTCCTAGGGTTTGTATTATTACTTTACATGAATTTGCATGTGGTCTATGCAAAAATTTTATATACACACACATACAAATACTTCTAGGATAACAAATAAAGAAACAAGATTTGTAAAGTAACAGTAATTAATTCAGAGATGTCCACAAGATTACAAGAATAATTCAAGTTTAAGTATTTTCTTATAGGGAAGAGTATTAAACAGTAAAAAACCACTTTTAGAAAAAATTTCTACTCATTGTTGTAGCTTGTATGCCTACACGCAAACTTTCAGGAAGTATTTGTTAAATTAAAACACAAAGAAAATTATTTATTGTTCCTTATAAGCTGACAACAATATATATATGTAACAGATATATTACATAGATAATATTATATATAATAATTTTAATTAGTCCATAATAAGTAAACTATCAATTTAGTTTAAAGGGAAGAAACTGCAGATAAGCTTGGACAACAGTTAAATCTATTATTTCCAAAATCCCTATCCTCAATTTATCTCGTGTTTTATGGTGAAAACACTGAAGCTTCTGTTCCCTTGTGTTCAGCCCTGCCACCTAGGTTAGCATCAGCCTCTCCAACTGCAACAAAATTCAATTGTGTGCTGGAGACAGAAGAGACCCTCTAAACTAATTAGACAATGGACAGTCTACTTTTGGAAATAAGCCTGTGACGTTAACCAATATCAATGATAGAATTTTCTTCCCCTTTGATGTTCATAGATAGCCGATAGATCTGTATTTGGAATTGACTAGAGTTCAATTGCTGTTTTGTTAGTATAAATAAAATCCGTGCCATATAATTTAGTTAATTTGATATGAAATTTAAATACTTAATTTCTAATATATAGATGTGTTAGGATTCATTCTATCAATAATATAATAAGAATGCTTTTTGATTCTTCTGGAATAGAATCAATTGATTCTTGGTGGCAATTATCCCAGGGAACAATTGTGAGGACCCTCGTTGTAACACTTCTTTACAGGACATATTAAGTAGAAGGTAAGCCTGGCTTGAACTTTTTCCAAAGAGGTTAATCACCTCATTATAGGTAATCTTACCTAGAAAGTAATCCCCTGGCATGGCTAATTGGAACTAATTATATCCTCTGCGTTGCTTCTCCCTCCACATAAGCATTAGTTACTCATGCATTTCTTTTGGAATACATGTAGTTATGTGAAAATGTTCAACATTATTTTCTGACTGAACAAAGTTAATTCTAAAATATTACCCTTGAATGATTTATTTTTTAAAAAATGGTTCACTCATAAACATTGCTCTTTGAAGAGAAAAATAATATTCTCACATATGCAGCATTTTGAAATTTGTATTTTCTGCATTAACAGTGTTTTCATATTGGGATATGTAATGCCATGGTTCCCAAACTTCAGTCAGCATAATAATTACATCATACAGAATTAAAAATGTGTGTTATGTTTTATATAAGTATATATATAATATGCGTACATATATTTGTCTGTTACTTATATTTTATATTTTATTTTTATTAAAAACATAAGTTGTATTTAGTTATGATGTTCAATAGGATTCTTTGATGTTTGTATACATTGTGGAATGGCTAAATCAAGATATTTCACACATGCATTAACTCATATACTTTTGTGGAATTAACATTTAAAATTTCTTTTAGAAAATTTCTAGCAATTTTATATAAATAATATAGTTAATAGTTATATAAATAAGTATGTAATAAAATATTTAAAAACAGTAAGTAATAAAATAATTATATAAATAAATATATTTATGACAATTAGCTTATATAAACATATAATAGTTATATACATAACATACAAAAACTCATTAAGCATAAATATGGTACATGTATATACAACTTTCTGTCCTTTTATGCTTTGATTTAATTGGTTCAAGGCATAGTCCAGAAATTTTCATTTTTGACCATGTCCTCCAGAAACTCTGATGGACATAGTCCAAGAAATGTGCTTTGACAAGCACAGCTCCACATCACTCCCTAGATAGGAACTTTAGTAGCTTGACTGGTCAAAATAAGAGACTGACAAAGTCATCAGGCTGAATCCATCTAGCCTCTCTATATAAACGCCATCGTTATTAATGTTGCTATTTATTTATTTTGAGACGAGTCTTGCTCTGTCGCCAGGCTGCAGTGCAGTGGCGCGATCTCAGCTCACTGCAACCTCCGCCTCCCAGGTTCAAGCGATTCTATTGCCTCAGCCTCCTAAGTAGCTGGGACTACAGATGTGCACCACCATGCCCAGCTAATTTTTGTGTTTTTTTTTTTTTTTGGTTTATTCATTCAACAAAGATTTATTGAATGTATTTATGGAACACTGAGGATACAGTAGTAAACAAGAAACCCTCCTTGTGATTAGTAAATTACACTCTAGTGAATCTTGGTCCAAGGTTCTTGCCCCTATTTTGCAGTGTTGACTGGCTGCAACTGTTTAGGCCTGTCACTGTGTTTAAAAAACATTTCTAAGGTGTTAACTGGTCTTGCTGGTACTAAAATCGACTTTAACTTTCTTTGGTACATTTTTAACAGGACAGGGTTTCACCATGTTAGCCAGGATTGTCTCGATCTCTTGACCTCGTGATCCACCTGCCTTGGCCTCCCAAAGTGCTGGGATTACAGGCATGAGCCACCACACCTGGCCTTAATGTTGCTATTTTAAGTATGGTCCAAAGCTCTGTTGATCAAAGCTTGTTGAGTGCTCCTAGGCACTCAATGAGCGCTTGTTCGTATTTTTCAATGAAAGATAAGACCAGTTTGATTACCTCATTCCTGTTTCATAGTCACCAAACCACTGACAACTCCTGCCTTATTTAACCTTTTTATGTTTATGATCCCTGGAAGTAGATGTACACTTGAAATGTTTAGGATTTATATGATAATTCCCCCTCCCTGTTGATGGCTCATTTCTGTTCTTAGGCCAGCTTGTGTGCACATGCAAACGTCTACTTCCAACTCATGCAAATCCGATGGATAATGCATCACAGAAAGTCTCAATAATTGTGTACACCAGCAGCTAGGAGTAAGGCTCACACTACATATATCACATGTGAGCAAGTGTGACCTATGGGCCATACTTCACTATGAAGAATTAAGACAACGCTAATAAGCAGGGGATGTTATTGCGGAGTCATGCTTGGGTCTCCTCAATTTACCTCTTCTTTCCCCCAGATATTTATAATGTGCTAGTTAGGGCTCCCTGGCTTCAAATAGTGGCTCTTCCACCTCCTAACTGTGTGACTTTAGGAAAATTTCTCCTCTCTCCATGCCCCAATTTTCTAATCAGTGTAATGAGGATTGATACTAATGGCATCAACCTGGGGGCTGTGTTGCAAAACTAAATTAACACTGGATGAAGAACATTTTAACAGTGTCTAGCAAATATTGTGTTCCCCCAAATACTAGCAATTATGATTGATCATCTTATCACTTATTGCCTCCAAGTCTCACCATCTGGCATTTCCTTGGATTCATTCTATACCTATTCCCAGGACATTCTGACTCTCTTCCAAGCTTTCCTCATTTTGCCTTGATTGTTCTTTCAAAGTCAGAATTCATCATCAGGATCATACCTGCAGACTCTTATGTTTTCTTTTCGTTATTTTGTATAGCTTGAGAAATATTTATTATAGTTCTATAATGTGAAAGTACTTGGAGAATGAGTAATGTTAATATGAAATATCCTCTCTGCTCTTGTAAAGCCTTTGGGCCTACAGGGAAGACAAAAGCCAAACATGGAATCACAGTAACATGTGGTAAAGACTATCAGTGAGGTAAATGCAAAATGGAGTACGATATGCTACCAGGAGGAGGTGCCTCTTTCTGTCTGAGGACTGGAGAAGACATCCCCAAAAAGTATTCTTCTCATACCCATGTCCAATGCCCACAGCATCTTCACCAAGTTTTTCCACTGAGAGTCGCCCCTGTCGCTGCTACTCATATCACAACTTAGTGACCTAGCCACCCTTAAAGGCAAGAGCTCAGGAAAATGTGATCTCTGGCAGGGGCATGGTGGTGTCATGTGCTCACATAAAGTCTGAGAGGTTCTTGTGTACACAGGAAGAAAGAAAAATGAATAACGGGTCAAAAAGCATTCTCTGCCAAAACCTTCATATATTTTAAAAATGAGTTGGGCTTTGCAAAGACTTTGGGTTTGGCAGTTCATTTCTCAGCTTTAAGGAGGTCACTTAAATCTGAATTTCTATGATCCTCATCTTCTACTGAAACTTTTTAATGATGTGATAAAAATACTAACAAGTACACGGAGAAATCCTGATGTAACAAAACCATTTGCTGTGCAAGCAAGCATCTCTACATTTATATGCTTTTAAAGAATAAATCTTTACATGTACATTTATGTCTATGCAGAGCACATGCCACTATGCACTCTTCTTACTTACTGATGTTTAGTAGTCACTGTGATGTCATAATTTGTTTGGTTTTTAATATGTAGACACAGTTTGTTCTTTATACATATTCTTTTAATATTTTGTTTACTTACTTTTCATCTTACTTTTACTAACTTTGTCTTATTTAATTCATTTTGCTTTAATCTTTAAGGCATATTTAAATTACAAAAGTCATTTGGAATTTTGGCAATAACTTCTAAAATACCAGAAAGTTTCATGTACTGTGATTCATGTAGTTTGCAAATTTATGAATATAAAATTCATTTATGTTCAAATTCAATTACTTTAATTATTTTGGCTGTTTTACATTTCAACCTGGATGCTTTAGCCTGTTTTCTACTCACCTAATGATAAAAATTATTTTCAAATATAACTAAAGTAATTTAAAGTATCATATGACATACAGAAAAGAACACAAAGTTACAAAAAAATTCTATTGCTTTTTCTAGATCTATACATCTTACTAGGGGAAAAAAAAAAAAGCTTGGTTACCATGAAAACTTAAGCTAATATCACTAATCGTTAGTCCCAATCTTATTTTTATTCTCAGTTATTATAGCCTAATAAACAGTTGTAAACCTAACGTGTAAGTTGTGTGTCCTTGTGGCAATAGACTACAATAAAACTCATCATTTATATTTCTTAAAGGCTGGGGTATGTTCCAGATACTCTACTAAATGATTTTTCTGGATTATTTTATTTAATCCACACACAATCTTAGGAGATAGTTACAATTATTATTTTTACTTCACATATTAGAAAACAAATTCAGAAGTATAACTTGCTCTAGTTTACATATGTAGCAATTTACTAAACATTCTGTCTAGATAAATACTCATTTGATGCAAGGCTAATATGTTCCAGAAAAGACTTCTTTTGCTCAGGGTAGAAGATGAGTTTAACACCATTCCAACCACTTAGAGTTTATAGCTTAGTGGGGAAAAGATACATGCAAACACATATATAATACTGTAAGATGAGTGCAGTGGTTGGAGTATCATACACAGAGGATGCAAAGGAGAAAATACTTCTTATGCAGTGATGGGATAGTGCTGATTAGGAAGGTTTTGCATAAAACCTGATACATTATTTTAAAAGATAAAGAGAAGTTTTACAAATGACTTTGGAGCCAATCTGGGGTACATGTGCAGAACATGTAGTTTTGTTACATAGGTATACATGTGCCACGGTAGTTTGCTGCACCCATCGATCCGTCACCTACATTAGGTATTATGCCCAGTGCTATCCCTTCCCTAGGCCCCCCACCCCCTGACAGGCCCCAATATGTGATGTTCCCCTCCCTGTTTCCATGTCTTCTCATTGTTCAACTCCCACTTATGAGTGAGAACATGCGGTGTTTGGTTTTCTGTTCTTGTATTAGTTTGCTGAGAATGATGGTTTCCAGCTTTAATCCATCCTGAGTTAATTTTTGTATAAAGTGTAAGGTAGGGGTCCAGTTTCAGTTTCCTGCATATGGCTGGCCAGTTTTCCCAACACCTTTTTTTAAATAGGGAATCCTTTCCCCATTGCTTGTTTTTGTCAAGTTTGTCAAAGATCAGATGGTTGTAAATGTGTGGCATTATTCCTGAGGCCTATGTTCTGTTCCATTGGTTTATATATCTGTTTTGGTACCAGTACCATGCTGTTTTGGTTACTGTAGCCTTGTCATATAGTTTGCAGTCAGGTAGCATGATGCCTCCAGCTTTGTTCTTTTGGCTTAGGATTGTCTTGGCTATACAGCCTCCTTTTTGGCTCCATATGAAATTTAAAGTAGTTTTTTCTAATTCTGTGAGAAAAGTCAATGGTTGCTTGATGGGGATAGCATTGAATCTCTAAATTACTTTGGGCAGTATGGCCATTTTCATGATATTGATTCTTCCTGTCCAAGAGCATGGAATGTTTTTCCATTTGTTGGTGTCCTCTCCTATTTCCCTGAGCAGTTCTCCTTGAAGAGGTCCTTCACATCCCTTGTAAGTTGTATTCCTAGGTATTTTATTCTTTTTGTAGCAGTTGTGAATGGGAGTTCACTCATGACTTGGCTCTTGGTCTATTATTGGTGTATAGGAATGCTTGTGATTTTTGCACATTGATTTTTTTCTCCTGAGACTGCTGAAGTTGCTTATCAGCTTAAGGAGATTTGGGGCTGAGATGATGGGGTTTTCTAAATATACAGTCATGTCATCTGCAAACAGAGACAATTTGACTTCCTCTCTTCCTATTTGAATACCCTTTATTTCTTTCTCTTGCCTGATTGCCCTGGCCAGAACTTCCAATACTATATTGAATAGGAGTGGTGAGAGAGGGCATCCTTGTCTTGTGCCAGTTTTCAAAGGGAATAGTTCCAGCTTTTGCCCATTCAGTAGGATATTGGCTGTGGGTTTGTCATAAATAGCTCTTATTATTTTGAGATACATTCCATCAATACCCAGTTTATTGAGAGTTTTTAGCGTGAAGGGCTGTTGAATTTTATCAAAGGCCTTTTCTGCATCTATTGAGATAATCATGTGGGTTTTGTCCTTGGTTCTGTTTATGTGATGGATTACAGTTACTGATTTGCATATGTTGAACCAGCCTTGCATCCCAGGGATGAGGTCAAGGTGATCGTTGCAGATAAGCTTTTTGACGTCCTGCTGGATTTGCTTTGCCAGTATTTTACTGAGGATTTTTTCATCAGTGTTCATCAGGGATATTGGCCTGAAATTTTCTTTTTTTGTTGTGTCTCTGCCAGGTTTTGGTATCAGGATGATGCTGGCCTCATAAAATGAGTTAGGGAGGAGTCCCTTTTTTTCTATCACCTGGAATAGTTTCAGAAGGCATGATACCAACTCCTCTTCATACCTCTGGTAGAATTCGGCTGTGAATCTGTCTGGTCCTAGGCTTTTTTTTGGTTTGTAGGCTATTAATTACAGCCTCAGTTACAGAACTTGTTATTGGTCTATTCAGGGATTCGACTTCTTCCTGGTTTAGTCTTGGGAGGGTGTATGTGTCCAGGAATTTATCCGTTTCTTCTAGATTTTCTAGTTTATTTACATAGTGGTATTTATAGTATTCTCTGATGGTAGTTTGTATTTCTGTGAGATCAGTGCTGATATCCCCTTTACCATTTTTTACTCTGTCTATTTGATTCTTCTCTCTTTTCTTTATTCATCTGGCTAGTGGTCTATTTTGTTTATCTTTAAAAAAAAAAAACAGCTCCTGGATTCATTGATTTTTTGAAGGGTTTTTGTGTATGTGTGTCTCTATCTCCTTCAGTTCTGCTCTCATCTTAGCTATTTCTTGTCTTCTGCTAGCTTTTGAATGTGTTTGCTCTTGCTGCTCCAGTGCTTTTAATTGTGATGTTAGGGTGTTGATTTTAGACCTTTCCTGCTCTTTCCTGTGGGCATTCAGTGCTATAAGTTTCCCTGTAAACAATGCTTTAGCTGAGTCCCAGAAATTCTGGTACATTGTGTCTTTGTTCTAATTGATTTCAAAGAAATTATTTATTTCTGCCTTAATTTGCTTTTTTACCCCGTACTCATTCAGGATCTGGTTGTTCAATTTCCCTGTAGTTGTGTAGTTTTGGGTGAGTTTCTTAATCATGAGTTTTAATTTGATTGCACTGTGGTCTGAGAGACTGTTATGATTTCCGTTCTTTTGCATGTGCTGAGGAATGTTTTACTTCCAATTATGTGGTCAGTTTTAGAATAAGTGTGATGTGGTGCTGAGAAGAATGTATTTCTGTTGATTTGGGGTGGAGAATTCTGTAGATGTCTATTAGGTCCACTTGGTCTGGAGCTGAGTTCAAGTCCTGAATACTCTTGTTAATTTCCTGTCTTGTTGATCTGTCTGATATTGACAGTGGGGTGTTCAAGTCTCCCATTATTATTGTGTGGGAGTCTAAGTCTCTTTGTAGGTCTCTAAGAGCTTGCTTTATGAATCTGCGTCCCCCTGTATTGGATGCATATATATTTAGGAGAGTTAGCTCTTCTTGGTGGATTGATTCCTTTACCATTATGTCATGCCCTTCTTTGTCTTTTTTTATCTTTGTTGATTTAAAGTCTGTTTTATCAGAGACTAGGATTGCAATCCCTGGTTTTTTTTTTCTTTGCTTTCCATTTGCTTGGTAAATCTTCCTCCATCCCTTTATTTTGAGCCTATGTGTGTCTTTGCATGTGAGGTGGGTCTCCTGAATACAGCACACCAATGGGTCTTGACTCTTTATCCAATTTGCCAGCCTGTGTCTTTTGATTAGGGCATTTCCCCCATTTACATTTAAGGTTAATATTGTTATGTGTGAATTTGATCCTGTCATGATAATGCTAGCTTGATATTTTGCCTGTTAGTTGATGCAGTTTCTTCATAGCATTGATGGTCTTTACAATTTGGTATGCTTTTGCATTGGCTGGTACCAGTTTTTCCTTTCCATATTTAGTGCTTTCTTCAGGAGCTCTTATAAGGCAGGCCTGGTGGTGACAAAATCTCTCAGCATTTGCTTGCCTGTAAAGTATTTTATTTCTCCTTCCCTTACGAAGCTTAGTTTGCCTGGATATGGAATTCTGGGTTGAAAATTCATTTCTTTAAGAATGTTGATTATTGGCCCCCCTCTCTCTTCTGGCTTGTAGGGTTTCTGCAGAGAGATCTGCTGTTAGTCTGATAGGGTTCCCTTTGTGGGTAACCTCACCTGTCTCTCTGGCTGCCCTTAACATTTTTTCCTTCATTTCAACCTTGGTGAATCTGAAGATTATGTGTCTTGGGGTTGCTCTTCTCAACGAGTATCTTTGTGGTGTTCTCCGTATTTCCTGAATTTGAATGTTGGCCTGTCTTGCTAGGTTGGTGAAGTTCTTCTGGATAATATCCTGAAGAGTGTTTTTCAACTTGGTCTCCCTGTCACTTTCATGTACACCATTCAAACGTAGGTTTGGTCTTTTTACATAGTCCCGCATTTCTTGGAGGCTTTGTTCATTCCTTTTCATTCTTTTTTCTCTAATCTTGTCTTCATGCTTTCTTTTGTTAAGTTGATCTTCAGTCTCTGATATCCTTTCTTCCACTTGATCAGTTCAACTACTGATACTTGCGTATGCTTCACGAAGTTCTTGTGCTGTGTTTTTCAGCTCCATCAGGTCATTTATGTTCTTCTCTAAACTGGTTATTTTAGTTAGCAATTCATCTAACCTTTTTTCAAGGTTCTTTGCTTCCTTGCATTGGGTTAGAACATGCTCTTCAGAGCCAGCAAGCAGGAAGGTTTAAGTTGCTGAAGCTGCACCCACAGCTACCCCTTCCCCCGGGTGCTCTGCTCCAGGGAGATTGGAGTTTTATCTACAAGCCTCTGACTAGGGCTGCTGCCTTTCTTTCAGAGATGCCTTGCCCAGAGAGGAGGAATTGAGAGAGGCAGTCTGGCTACAGCGGCTTTGCCAAGCTGCGGTGGGCTCTGTCCAGTTTGAACTTCCCAGTGGCTTTGTTTACACTGTGAGGGTAAAACCGCCTACTCAAGCTTCAGTAATGGCGGACGCCCCTCCCCCCACCAAGCTGGAGCATCCCAGGTTGACTTCAGACTGCTGTGCTGACAGCGAGAATTTCAAGCCAGTGGATCTTAGCTTGCTGGGCTCTGTGGGGATGGGATCCCCTGAGCTAAACCACTTGGCTCCCTGGCTTCAGCTCCCTTTCCAGGAGAGTGAACGGTTCTGTCTTGCTGGTATTCCAGGCGCCACCAGGGTATGAAAACAAATCCTGCAGCTAGCTCGTTGTCTGCCCAAACAAATGGCAGCCCAATTTTGTACTTGAAACCCATGGCCCTGGTGGTGTAGGCACTGGAGTGAATATCCTGGTGTGCAGGTTGCAAAGACTGTGGGAAAAGCTTAGTATCTGGGCCGGGATGCACCATCCCTCATGGCACAGTCCCTCAGGGCTTCCCTTGGCTATGGGAGGGAGTTCTCTGACCCCTTGTGCTTCCTGGGTGAGGCAACGCCCTACCCTGCTTCGGCTCACCCTCTGTGGGCTGCACCCACTGTCTAACCAGTCCAAATGAGAGGAGCTGGGTGCCTCAGTTGGAAATGCAGAAATCACCCACCTTCTGCATTGATTTCGCTGGGAGCTGCAGACAGGAGCTGTTCCTACTCAGCCATCTTGCCAGCCACCGCTGGGCACACTATATTATTAACGATTAGTTTTATCAGAGGTATTTATTCAGAATTTATTTAAATTTAAATTATTTAACTTATTTTATTTATTGTTACACTATTTTATCAGATGGTTCACTTATTATGTAGTCATAAGAATTTATTAAATTTTTAATTTAAATTTTAAAAGAAATTTGGGGATCTAATTTTATTGTGATCCTCACATAAATATTCAGGTGGTTAGAATACCTGAAATCGAATTAAAATTTAAATTTTTAGAAGGCTTCCCATAGATTCCTAATTCCAGAAAGAGAAAGAATCTTTAGAGCATCGTTTTTTTTAATCAAGGCTTGAAGATTCTTGATTTAAAGACGTTGAAGAATCTAACCAGCAGAGGGCGCTAGCCCACATGCACTCAGCCTTGCCGCACTTCCCGCAATCCAGAGAACACTGGATGAGTCCTTCCCTATTAAGCATACTGGCAAAGTCATTGTTTTGATTTGTGTTGCGTTGCCGGGACTTAGATTTTTTACACCAGTAGTCCTTCTCATGTAGATGTATACAATTCTTTTAACCAAGTGTAATTTGAGTTATATTTGAATGTCAGCCGGCATACTTGAGAGTCTGTTGTAAATGCTAAAATGTTAGCAATCTGTCATAGGAGGTCAAAGGGCATCTGTGTACCTTAGTCCAGCCTACTAATTAAGGAGCTTTTGATCCCATTTGATGAACAAGACAAGTTTTAATCTCACGTGGAAGGGACTTTGCTTCAGACCAACTAAAAGTCAAAGTGTTGATGTTCTTTCTTAATTGCAGCATTGGAAATTAAATAAATGCAAAATGTCTGAAATAATTTGCTAGTTGGAACTGAGATCAGTCTTTAAAAAAATCTTTTTTATTTATAAGTAATTCAGTTTAGAAATAATAGCTTTAATATAGCAATTAATAGCAAGAATATTATTTTTTAAAGTTTCCAAAATGCAAGCAATACTATATTTACTTTAAGAGCATTTTAACAAATCTTGTGTATTTTAGGTGCCTTTATTACCGTAATTTTAATAACTTTACCCAGTTAGATAAGAAAATAAGGAAACCAGTTTTAGCATGTGCCAGCTCTTTATTGTACAGAAATTAATGGCAGGTGTCCATTTTAGGTAATTACTTAATAATATCAACTAATTGTTAATAACGCAGTCCTTTTTACATACCCTCTTTACTAGTGCACTATGATATCATATTATTTTAACATGCGGCATACTTTTTAACTTGTGTACAATTAAATATATGATGTATCTGTGTGGTGACTGAAGACTTTATTTGACAAAGCTGATATGAAATATATTTGCTTCTTATCTCTTGAAAAGCAGTTAATGCTGTCATTTCTACTTTATGATTCAGCACAGTGAAAGTGTAGGAAACTGTTGAAAAACCTGTGGGAAGTTAATTTTAATGTGTAATAGTATGAGAGGGGTCCTATCTCTTTTCTTCATTCTGTAAAGCTTATAACAAAGATGATGATTATTTAAGCAAGTGACAAACTGTCCCACTGATAGGATACATTAATTTGCCTGCAAAGCTGTTCCTTGTCCTCTATAAGAAGGTGATAATTAGGTTTTCAGGTTAGAAAAAAATCATGTCAATTATGTAGATGCTTGTTAAAATATATTTAATTCTTTATATAAACTTGAAACAATTACAAATGGTAAAATATTTTTGTGTAAACTTTTAAGTGAATACAGCTAATATATCAAATTAATATTAAGTTAGCACAACTCTTGGGAAGACAAACAATTGGAAAAATAATGTAAGAAGTGATTAACTTCTCAGGTAAAGCATTAGGTTTTGCTAGAACATCTACCTAATAAAACATCACTTATTCATAGCATGATTTAATTTCTTCATTTGACCACACTGAGTGCAATTTCATCTTTGAAAAGTCACATAGGATTGTTTTGTGCAGGTATATTAACATCCTCAAATTCTAATGATGTTGAAAGCTTGAGTTACCACTAGGTACTGCCAATGATTATGTTTTTTAGCTTATATTATACAGAATTAACTTCACTCTACATCTGAGTGCCTAAAAGAGTACTACAGGTTCAGCAGCTCTTATGTGAAATGCTTGGGATCCTAACTATTTCAGATTTCAGACTTTTTTATATTTTGGGATATTTCCATATACATAATGAGGTATTTTGGTGATATGACCCAAGTCTATCACAAAACACAAAACTCACTTATGTTTCATATATACCTTATACACATAACCTGAAAATAATTTCATGCAATATTCTTAATAATATTGTGCATGGAACAGAGTTTGAGTTAAGTACTTACGTGTTGAATTTTCCACATGTGGCATCCCGTTGGCCCTCAAAAATTTTAGATTTTGTAACATTTCGGATTTTGGATTTTTGGATTAGAAATGCTAAACCTGTATACGGTGTATACATTTTAAATAGTGAAGGCACAAATTCAACAGTGAAGGCACAAATTTATAAACACAAAACACTAGTGACTTTTTAAAGGAAGACGCTTTCATTGCCTTGGAGTTGATTTTAGCCCGTTGTCTTAAAGTTCTTAAACCCAATCTTTTCTAGCTTTAAATAACCAAAGGTAATTTCCTCTTCTTAAAAATTTCAGGGTATTAAAAACTTTCTTATATCTATTTCCTGAACCAAGTTGAAGAATGTTCAGTGCACATTCATTTAAAATACCTTTAAATGTTCCGACTCAATTACTTTTAATAGAGTGGAGAATGTTTGCTGTTTCTCAGAGTGCACAGCCAGAAAGGTTGGGTTTTAGTTAGAAAACATAGAAAATTACTTCCTGTGCAAAGGTACTCTCTAGAGAAATATAAGTAACCAGAAAACCCTACTGAAGACCAGTATATGTACTGGAAATGTCATGTAATTTCTTTGCACTTGTTGTGAACAGAATAATGGCATAAATAATGTTATGGTAAGACATTGACAAGATAAAATAAAAAGAGATTTTTGTTGATAATATGCAAAAATGCCACATCTGTTTTTATTCATTCTGCACTTATTTCTTTGAGGGAGCATTTCTACAGCTGTGAAAACCTAGGGAGTTTTTTACAAAACAATTTTAACAAATGTTCATGATTCCACACCAATGAAATGCATTTTAATTCCATTCAGAATGTTCCAAGCTCTCTAGCAGATAACCAGTAATAAAATTCATATTGAAGTTATGTCTGTGATTTTTAACTTCACTGCTCAAATGGTATAAGCAAGTTTTCCTGGTTGTCATAAAGAAATACAGAGAATTCTAAACAGAGTTTATAGAAAATTAAAAAGTATATTGATGGTTGGGAAGTTCAAACGTGATATTGGGTTCCATAGATAACCAGGAGACACTTCTGATGTCATATGAAAAAGACAAACCTTCGGTTCTATCTGTGTCTGAATTCTACTTCTGCCTCTTACCAGTTCTGAAGCCTAGGGTAAATTATTTAGAATTTAGTAGCATCCATTTCATCACCTATGAGAGTAGAATAGTGATTCTTAGTTCTCAGGATTGTTATACTATTAAATTAAATTGAATAATACATGTCATGTTAGCTAGAGTAATACCATTTCTTTTGTTTTTATTCCCATCAGAATTTACTATCAAAACTATCATGTGACTCAAGTGTATGCAGGATATTGATGCTATAATGCAGGGGTCCAGTAACTCTCTGGGATTTACAAAGATGTGTCAGAAATATTAGGTGATTCTTAGAAAGTGAAAAATGGAGTTGAAAGTTCATTGAAAGCTTTATTATTTAAAAGTTAACGTGCATCTGATAGCAATCATATATGATTTCTATATAATGCAAAGATCGTGTCACATAATCACAAGAGCACAAAATTTAGATTTAAAAGCCATATTATAATTCCTGAACGTGGAAGCTACCTTTGTAAATTGGAATGGTTTTCTTAAGACAATCTCACAGAGTTACTGCAACTATTGAACATGAATGTTTGTAAAAACATAGGCTACTAAATAATTGCCTTAAAATGTGTTTGCAGTCAAAATCCTAGTCAATAAAAGAACATAGGTCTGCTAGAGACATACAGGAAATACCATAGAATTAAGTGATTTTTTAAAATAGGGAAGTATTTTCAAATTAGAAGTGGATCAATGGGTACAAAAATATACTTAGATAGATGGAATAAGTTGTAGTATTCAATACTACAGTAGGAAAAGTATAGTTAACAATAATGTGTGGTATATTTCAAAACAGGTAGAAGAGAAGAAGTGTAATGTTCTAACACTAGAAAAGTTGAATGTTTGAGGTGATGGATATTCCAATTAGGCTGACTTGATCATTACACATTATATACATGTCTCAAAATAGCACATGTATCTGCAATGTGTGTAACTATGATATATCAATAAGATATAATACAAAAATAATATTAATGAAACACTTCCAAGAAAACCCTTAATTGTACTCCCTTCAAAAAAGACAAAGCAAGATATACATACTTCCCACTGATAAGTAATAAGACAGATCAGGGGTCAGCAAACTATGGCCCATATGCCAGTTCTGGCCCTCTGCTTACTTTATAAAAGGAATGTTTTGTGGAACACAACCAAGGTCACTTGTTTTTCTGCTATCTTTGGCTGCATTTGAACTACAAGGGCAGAGCTGAGTTGTGACAGAGACCATATGATCCATATAGCCTAAATTATTTACTATCTGGGCCTTTACAAAGAAAGTTTACTACTCCTGTGATAGATGAAAAACTGTAGCTCTGAGAGAAAGTGTTCGAAAAATTACAGATAAATTTCAGAACAGATAAAAGGAGTAAAAACTTCATGTTCTGTCATACAGAGAACGATACAATGGAGATGGTTAGAAATGCAGTGAATGGGGAACTTAAGGAGACTTATTTTAAGTAGCATGGGAATTTTGAGCCTTGGTGGAGAAACTGAGATTCTCTGCAAAGTGTAATGCTTTCTAGTCCAGAACCATATGTGCTACACAAAATGCATGGAATAGAGACTCTGGAGCAAACTAGTCCCTTATCTGTGTCGATTTTGCTTATTTCTTTATTAGAAAAGGCAATATCTACCAGAACCACGTAACCGGATGCTTGAAATGGCTGTGGTGGTGACAAGAAATGACTGTGGTGGCTCTGGAACCTGACAACCCATGTCCAAATCCAGGCTCCTCCACTTAGTAACTGGGTGACCCTGAACAAGCAGCTTAACCCTTTCTGTGCCTCACTTTCCTCCTCTGTAAAATGACCCAATAATGGTTCTTACTCCATAGAGTACAAAAGAGTAAATGAGTTAATGCATCTAAAGCACTAAGAACAGTGCCTGGAGCGTAGTAATCACTATATGTGTAAGCCATTGCTATTTCCATTTCCATGCACACGCATGCAGTCATGGACCACGTTACAATGTTTAAGCCAGTGATGGAACACATACGTTCTGTAAGATTTAATGGAGCCTTTATAGAAACTTAATATAGGGCATGTGATATTGGTTTTGCAAATCAAGTAGAGGAAATGATTGATATTCAGTAATGGTGCTGGGACACTTGGTTTTCCATATAATATATATAAATAAAAATATCTAGGTTTGTGTAAGTACACTCTATGATATTTGCACAATAACAAAATTTCCAAACAATGCATTTCTCAGAAGGTATTTCTGTAAAGTGACACATGATTGTAAATTAGCTTATATTAGTTGTTTCCTTTTTGCATTCTACCTATGATTTTTATTATATAATATAAATTCAGTCAGTTTCACTTGACCCATTTTTGTCTTTATAGTCTTCTGAGTTAAATTCACATTCAGGTGACTCTTATTAAAAATTTCAGTAAGAAATGCCCTTATCAAGTTACACTATGAAATGATTTGCCAGGAGTAGTTATCCAAATGTTAGCTGCTATCCACATATTTTTTCAGAGACTTAATAGATGAAATGAAGCATAAATATTTCATTCTAAATGATACAATTTGCAATTCTAGGATCTCAGGTATTTTTCTCAATTGCAAAGTAAATATTATTTTAAAATATATTTTCAAATAATTTGGAATTTATATGAGAATAAGGTTGTTAATAGATTCTAGGTAATTACCCTGGTTGTTTTACATTCTGAGAAACCTATTGATCCGTATTATTATTGCTTCAGTAATAAAATAACATATGCTTACTGATTTATAGTTTTAAATAATTGCTTTTGTATAAATTATTTTATTTGCTCTTGAGATATTTAAGCCCACATATGTATGTCATGCATGTTCTTTTCTATTGGGCAGGAAATATTGCAAGCATATCGATGGTGATAATTAATATTTTCTAAACAGTCAAAAACAGGTGTACCTTTCCAAATAAATCTAAATAAAATTCAAAACAAACTTGTTGAATGACTTCAGAAAAGAGTCAAAAATTCTCTTGATGGGCTTCAGATTAGGAATATGTTAGCAATAACAACTTTAATACAAGCAGTAAAATATTAAACAATCATAAGTCTGACTGTGCAAAAGAGTGAGTTTCATTAATTTCTTTAATTGATCCCATTTTGTTTTTGAGTGGCCACTCTTACTGGTGAAGTAAGAGTTTGGGGCATCTCACTGATTAAGTAAATAGCTGATCTTGTTCATTAAAAGCAGTTCAGTCTTCTCTGGTTTAACACATTTTCTCATTGATGTAACTACCCAGTTGTTCTGGGTATCTTTCTCAACTCACTGGCTTTGACTTTACTTTCCTCTTTCTCAGAACAATGTTTAAGTACAAAGGGCATAGCACAGTTTCTTATAACATAGGAGTATTTTAGCGTATTCCAGAGAAACAGAACTAATTGGAGATTAGATGGAGAGAGAGAGAGAGAGAGAGAGAGAGAGACAGATAGAGAGATTTATTATAAGGAATTGGCTCACATGATTGTGGAGGCTAAGAAGCTGCAAGATCCACAGTCAGTAAGCTGGAGATCAAGGAGAGCTGATGCTATAGTTCCAGTCTGAGTCCAATAGCCTGAGAAGTAGGACAGGGTAACGGTTTTAGTGGAGTCCAAACCTGAAGGCAGAAAACCAATCTCCCAGCTTAAATGTATCAGTCAGAGAGAAAAAATTCTCCTTTACCCAGCCTTTTTGCTCTATTTAGACATTCAACACATTAGATGAGTCCTACCCATATTGTGAAGGGCAATCTGCTTTACTCTGTCTACCAATTCAAATGGTGATCTCATTCATAGACACCTTCACAGGCACACACAGAGTAATGTTTAACCAAATATCTGGGTACCTCATGGCTCAGCCAAGTTGACATATAATATTAATAGTCACAATAGGGGAAGATTCTGTCTCCCAGATGGCAGATGGTCTCTACTTCTGCTGAAAGGTAGCAGAAGCCACCTGGTCTCTGGGCATCTTACACTGGTATCCGCTGTGGAGACCCATCTGATATTTTGGGCATCTGACTGATAGCTATTCCTGATGGTTGTAGACTGTGTAATTACCTTCATTCTCAACATCCCACCAACTACTTGTCCTGACCTCTGTTTCCTCCTAGTTCATTCTCTCAGCATTTTTGAGTCCACATTGTTCAAGAGTCTTGTCATTCTAAGGTGCTTTTTTCCTCCAACCTAATAAGGTCTATGTGACTTGGCGAGGACTTTCCTCAGATCCACTTGATAGGACACCTCCTTCTGCTCTTTGCTACTTTCTACTTCCATGCAGTCCATGGCACAGAATGATGAAAATGGGCATCATTCTTCTCAGTCACAGAAGGATCTCCCAAGATTACCCCTAGGATTCTTTGATTGCCATATTTTACTTAGGAATTTTTTTTCTACTCTTAGGTGTTGACCTGAAGAATAAGGGGACCAATCCTGATATCCAATCTCTTGTCTCTCTAATCCCATGATTTGGGCTTTGCCACCCACCTCCTCCACTCAGCCACTGTAGGGCTTTGCCCTCTTAGTTTGGCAGAAATCTCCCACTGTGCCTTCTTATTATATAACTTTGGCATATTAATTATTTTGTCCTCAGTCCTCTGGGACTTGTCTGTTGATCTGAAATCTCTGCTGTGGAAATACAAAGAAAAACGCTTTATCATTTAGCAAGGCCTAACACTTGCAAGAGTAAAAGATACATGTCTTTAGATTATTACCTGGACAGTGGCATCCCTATGAAGATATTCATGTTGTTGACATAATTGGTAGGAGATTCACAGGCATTCAGGAATTTGGTGTTAACCAGCATGGCAATATATGGACTTACAATTTCAAAAATTAAAAAGAAATTGTCTTGGTTTCATCTATTTTGCATATTGATAAATTGTGTTCTTGTCATAGCTTATTTTTTTTTAATCCCAGGGAACAATTTATCCAAAATATCATAAAATCAAAATTAGTTCCTGTCGCCTAGCAAGTAATACATAATGAACTTTGAGAAGCAAAGTACACTAATTTAAAAACAATTCACTACTTTGTTTACTTTCCACACTATCATATGTTCATAAAGAACTAATTAGATAGTGTCACTCAACATTCTCCGTGAGAGTTTGGCATTAAATCCTAATCAGAATACCTAACTGGGTTGGCTGAACATTTTGATACAAGAGACAATGTTAATGCTCTTATTCTTTTAAAGCTGATATTTCTTTAATCTGTCATGGCAGAAATCTTTGCAAGAATATACTACTACTCTAAAGGAATGTAGATGTTGGAGAGGAGGTTACATATCTCTGCAAGATATTTAGAAATTATCTTGTCTTATGGATTTTATAATGGTAAAAGATGTAAGCAGTGTTCAGGAAAGTGAATGCAGATATTATAGGCAATTGAAAGTAGTAGGTGGTTATTGTAGCTGGAATGCCTCCCAGAGCAGATGGTTTTTTAGGAGTTTTTGAAGGAGAAGAGCAAGGTGGCCTGCATGGCGTATATTAATTGGGTGCCTGTTCCAAGTGTAGGGGGTGTTTGGAAGAATGTGTGATGTCTTGAGTGGGCGAATGATACAAACAGGCATAACTTCAAAATAACCTGGAATTTATATCCCAGAAGGCTTACAGACAATTCTCAAAGACACAGTTTCGTCTGTAGGGAATCAGTAAAATGCAAAGGTACACAAACAGAAAGTTAACACCACGTAAAACAGAACATGACAAACCATAGTCAATGTTTTCCACATTTAACACTCGGCTATTGCTCATCAACAAAAAATAATAATTCCCTAATTAGGAAAAATTACTTACTAAAATTACTTGCTGAGTTTGTATGTAAAAAGAACAGATCTTATCAAGCATTTAAAATATGTGATTATTAAGTTCTAATATTTTCTATGTATATTTGGTAGACATAGATTCTTTGAGAAATGACATGGTTTAACTTACTCTGTAGTTTTTATATGTAGTTGTGAGTTCCTAAGGACACTTGTATCTATTGCACCCATCCGTTTCCTACAGCCACCACTCTGGTTTAAATAACATTATCTCATGCTCATACTGCTGAAAATTCTTCTTATTGAATTCTGTTCTTAGTCTTTCCAGTTCTTTGAACACACCCATATTTGCACTCAAATTAATCTTAAAATCTGACTCGGTTCCCTCACTTTGATAGTGTAATAGTTAATAACACAGAATTTGAAACAGACTTGTCTGGATTTGAATCCCAGCTCTACCACTTCCTAATTGTGACCTTAAGCAACTTACTTAACGTATCCGTTTTTTAGTTCTCCAAGTATGAAATACCTGGATAATAAAACTAAGCATCTTAGAAAGTTGTTATGAAAAGTAAATTACTTGTTTTTTGCAAAAGTATTTTAAACAGTGTACATCACAAGTGCATTTGTAAGTGTTTAACTTACAATGTCATGGTCATACTCAGGAATATTTAGGATTCCCTGTTGCATAACACAGCATTCAGAATTCTTAGCCAGACATTCAAGGTCTTTACTACCATCTGCCTTCCACTTTCCAGTCTTATCAAAACTACAGGCAGACATTCTAATCAGTGTTCAGTGCATGTTGTGTTTTCTTGCTTGTATCTTTTAACCTGTAGTTTTCCTCAAACTAGGATGCTGATTATCTTCCCAACACCACACCCATCTCTACCCCCAAATTACACATGAGATCAACCACAACTTTCAGCATCCTTCTTTAATTCCACTTTCTGCATAATGCTTTCTTTCTCCACCCCATTTTCCTAAGTATCTTTCTCTTCCAAATGTTCCCAGTACTCATAGAGGAGGCTGTAACAGCATTATGTGGCTCTTCTATTATTTTTGTAATTCATAATCTCTCTCCCACTATATTGTTAAATTCCTGGAAAACATCACACCAGCACTCAGCATACTGTCTTGCACACAAAACTGCTCAATAAATTTATGGAGAATGAGAAAACTAATGAGCAGATTAGTGAATGCATGCATAAACTGGAGTATTCAACAAAGAGATTTATTGTGTTTTAAAGAGATTGAAATGTCTAAGTTTCTTGGCATTTAAATGTCACTCTGTGAGTTTTTAGATAGTTTTATTTTGACCAAGCACCGTCTAAAAATCAGATTAAATCATCTAAAATTCCCAGTGAACTGCGGAAATTAGGATTTCCCGACACCGTCAAAGTCAAGAAAAAGCTTCTGATACACAAAAGGAGCTTAGAAAAAGTCAGTGGTTATAACCAGTAAGTGTGCTGTGACAACTTGGCTGTGATACACTGTATGATTATTATCACAGGTATTTTGGTATCTAGAAGTGTTTTGAACATTTTCATCTGTGAGATCCGGACATGTTCCTAGCTCTACTTTTAGGATGCAATGATGGAGAAAATTTAAAAAATGATAAAACGATGCAAACTAAACATGAATATACCATGCTTTAAATTAAATTTATCTTATAATCTAACTTAAAAATAAATATCTTCACAAATTATCAGTGTATATCAACACAAAGCTATTTCTATACATAAGTAACTCTGCATATGTGAATTTTCAGACCCATATCAATAAATTAATGTACCCTATTCCTGATCCACATGTGGAAGCTATTGTTGCTGTCTCCTTATTCTTTAGTTTAGTGAGGTCCAAGTTATTGTCCTATGACCAAGAAGAATAAGGCACACAGACACCAGAAAATGAGTAAGACAGAGTAGGATTTATTAAGCAACAGAAAAGCTCTCAGCAGTAGAGGGGCCCCAAAAGAGGGCTGCCAGTAAGGGGCTGAGTTCTATTTCTTTCATGTGGCAAAAACAAGGAAGTCTTCTGTGGGTTCCACCCTGATGGGGGAGCTAAAGTTCCCCCTAGGGGTGATGCATCCGTGCATACCTGGGGTTGGCCATAGTGACTCCACCTTGGTTACTACCCTAAGTGAAACCCACAGGGTTTGCCAAAACTACAATGATAATGATATTACAATTAGCAGTGGGTCAAGTTAAGGAAACATAGTTAATTTATTGTGCCTGTGCCTAAGTTGGGACAGTCCCTTCTGAGCAGACATCCTGGTATAAGAGGAAGTTCTTAACCACATTTCCACCTGCTAGTTACACCACAGGGGCGATACAGGTGCATTCCCATAGGCACCGTCTCTCTCTTGAAACTCTCCCTCTCTATCTGCCTAGCCAGCCTCTAACTGCCTCCTCTCTCACTATTGGATTAGAGCATGGCATTAATGAGGCCAAGTTTATGAATTTGTTTTTATATGAGCCTCTATGTGTCCCTGGACAAAAGTCTTTTTGACAGAACCCTGTACCAGGTACTTTAAACACTTCTTTTCATACAAATTGAGCAAATATTGAGCTAAGTAAGAGGAAAACTTAGAGAAAGCTCAGAAAACATGGCTTATAAAGTTGAGTTTTATTGTATTTTGTTGAGTACATTACCATTCAAAAATGTGATCATAAGTCAAGGTTTAGTTGAATTGTTTTTTAAGTTGCCATTAATGATCCCACTGAGTGTCTGTCTGTATGTCATGTGCCTAAGTAATATATGAAAGGTGGTAAAAATTAACAAGGTGAATTTCTGTTTAACTGCTCTTTGCCCTATTGTATCACTCCTAAAGAGTAAACAGAGCAATTGATGAAAGACTAAGTAAATCAATTTACCTAAATTCTCAGGAAGCTTTGATGAGGATCTCAGAAGAGATTTTAAGGATGTGCACATAACTATCCAAGAAAAGAACCACTTTCGATTGAATGAAACATTGGTTAAGTAGCTGCTTTTTAAAACACAGTAAGTTTGTCTGGCTCTTGGGTCTACTATCGCCCGGATTTTCTCTTAAGTCTTTTAGAGGACAAATTGACTTCAAAGGGAATTGCCTTCATGAAGTACCTAATACATTGACTAAACAAGAGATTGCAAGAAGTATTTGGAGAAAGTTTTAGTTGGGATATGTGTGAAAGGGGAACTAGATATTCAATTAAGTCAAGAAAGCACGGGTTTTCCTTATGTTATAAATTATAGTTAGTGAAATTTAATTTAAAAGTAAAAAATATCTGTGAGCCCTTCAGTGTAGATATTCACTTTTGGTAGAACTTCTAGTTATTTCCTACAGCATAAACAAGTAGACTTTCATGGAAGGCAACTTTACGTCTATGTTTCAGAATATCAAAATTATTAAAGAAGGATATAGCATTTTCATAAGATGCTGATGGCTTATAAAAAACATGAAACTTATACCCGTGTTTAATGGATATAAGTTATTAGGGACACTATTTTTTGATATACAGATTTTACTTTATGATCCTTGGGAAAAATTTCTACCTGTTAAGATCAGAAACTGTAATCATTATTGAGCAGTTCCTTCAATTTATCTTATAATCACTGTTGATTAAATGCAAATTGTGACCATGTACACAGAACTTCAGATTATGCATTTTACCTTCGTGTTATTACCTCTTCATTATCTCCTTTCTGCTGTTTCTTCTTCTTTAAATACATTTCTGAATTTTATATCCTGGTAAAACATTTTGAAATAATTTAGGCAAATAAAAAGAAACATGGCTGACAAATAAAGAAAGGGGCTATTGCAAAGTTTGGGGGATAGTTCTATTTGGATTTTTTCCTCAATATCAATTGACTTTTGCTTGGTAATAATTACAAGTTTCCTCTTCCACATAATAAATCAAAGCAATGTAGCAGCTCTTGGATTATATATTTAAAATATATAGTGGGAAAAGGGAAATCAAGAAATTAGAAACTTCACTCTTCCATTTCCTTCAGGGTTTGTCATCCTAGAAGACTTGAAAGTTTTTACTCTATACATTATGGTGAGGAGCTACAAAGAAAAGAAAGAGCAAGAATAAAGGAACAAGAGAGAGAAAAGATGAAAGTCTTTACAACTATTTTCTCAAAGAAAGAATGAGAATATATAAGTGACCGAGGTGGGAACAATAGTGGTACAGGTAGAGAATCTGAAATACTTTAAGAATTAATGCCATATTTCTATTACTTAGCAACTGAAAAAATGGCACTTTGAACTAGTAACTAAATAGTTATAATATTTCTCAAATATACTTACTGCAAGGAATTAACAGAAATACTTATTAGTGGCCCAGTGAATCTTGGTTTTGACAGTATATTATTTATATTTTATGCTCTTTTATACCACTCTTAATAATACAATATTCATGAGTTCAGAAATTGAAGGGTTGTAAACATAATAATAACCATTATTTGTCGGAGAATTTATAATGTAATAGGCAATATGCTAAAAGCTTTACATGCATTACATATATTTGTAAAGTGGGGATAGTAATAGGACTACCATCATATTCTCCTTTGAGGATAAAAATGTCTGACTGATATCAAAGGCTTAGTGTAATTTTCAATAAACATCAGATGTTATTTATATTGTTACTATTTTATATTTTAGCATTTAATGCTACCAATTTACTATCCAAATATTCTAGATTAGGAAACTGAAGTTTAGAGAAATCAAATAAGTTACAAAACTTGTAACTGTTGGAGACCGCATATGAATTCTTATTCATCCACCTGAAAAGTCTGTACACTTGTCAACTATTATATAATGTTTCTAATGAACACATAGTTTATCATTTTGTCATACAGGATATTGCTATAATATTAAGTGAAAATTTACTAAGAAAAAAACTCATATATACAATTATCAATAAGATAAAATAATGCATGTAGGTACCAACTGAATAAAACTAAGATAATAACTATCATATACAATGTCAAAATTGTACACAAAAATGTTAGAATTTTTAGGGAAGGAAAATAAAAATGTTGCAGTTGTAGATATAAAGAGGATTTATAAAACTCAGGTGATATTATACCAATATTTTTGACAAGGTCTCACTATTGTTTACAAAACCAATTTATTTGAAAAACAAGCCAAATTCAATGTATATAAATGTAAAATATGAATATTTAAATTAGAAAAAATCCACAATAGAGGACTGATAAATATTAAACACAGCTAAAAGGAGTATTAATGAAACAGAAGATAGAGTAAAACATGAGGGAAAGAGCTTTAAAAAATGAAAAGAAATTAAATATTAAGTAGAGAAGCATGCGATTAGAATCCAGAAGTAAATGATAAATAGAAGGTGAGAGAGCTAATATTTAAAGTAACAGTGCATAAAAAATGTTGCTGAATTTACAAAGAACACAAATTTTGAATCCAGGGATCATAATAAATCCTATGCAGAATCACACCACCTCAAAAACTACAACAACAACAAACACTCAAACAAGCCAACAAAATTTTCAAATTTGTCTTAGTAAAGCTACAAAGTGGAGAGAAAAAGAGAGAATGAGAGAACCTTTAAAGTTCCAGAGGGAAAGGACAAATTATCTTCCAAGGAACACAACTAAAGTGACAACTGATTATTCAACATCGACAATAGAAGTCAGAGTACAGGAGAATAATATTTTTAAAGTTCTGAAACAAATAATTGTCAACCCATGATTTGAAAATAAGCTAACCTATCATTTGGAGGCCAAATAGGAAATGAAAATATGTTTCTACACAAAGCAAGAGAGCTTATTTCTAATTAATTTTCACTTAAGGAAGTGCTAAAATTTATTTTTGCCCAGAATAAAAGGTTTTGCTTACGAGAAGAAAAGCAGCTTGTATAAAAGTAGGTAAATCAAAATAAATTGGCTGAATAAATTAATGGTGTCTGATTGAGAGGTCAACAACAAAGTAAAATTCGAACGTGTAACTTTGGAGAGAAGTGATGGGATCTGATGGTTCTAAGGTTACTCTATTCTTCCAAACCGGTAAAAGGAAAACATGAGGAAGCAAATCTCAAGTAATGCAAAAGAAATAAGAAAATATTTGTAAAAATGCTTAGAAAAGGCAATAAAAATAGAGAAGACAAAATAAGTACACATCCAACATATTATTATGCAGTAAACTAGACAGTTATAAAACAATTATAAAACAAGATTGGCAGTTTGGATTTATAAAATTTATGTAAGTGATGCTATGTTTCAAGAATTATCAGGTAAACCACATTTTTGCATGAAAGGTAATGTTAAGGTGAATTTTTAGCAACTACAGAAAGAAAATATGTAAAAAGATGTTTACTTAGACATTCAAAATCATATGTACATTATAGATTTAAAAAATCATATGGCATAGAGTGGGGCACAGTGGCACATACCTGAAATCCCAGACACATGGGAGGCAGAGGCAGGAGGATGGCTTCAGCCAGGGAGTTTGAGTCCAGCCTGGGCACCATAGCATGATCTTATCCCAAAAAAGAAAGAATCATATTGGACATTAGAAAAAAGTTAGAAATAATATGTGGTAAAATATTACATATTAAAACTCTTACAACAGAATTATTATAGAAATTTACAGGAAATTTATATCTGCAAACAATTTATTTTGTGGGAGGAAGACCAAAAAATTAATGACCAAATTATCAACTTTAAAGCCAGGATGAACTCCAAAAATTTGAGGAGAGTTAAACACATTTGTAAGAGATGATATTAAAGTTATAGAATAAAAACCTAGAGAGAGTAAACAAAATTAGATATTTGTTTACTGAAAGACAAATATTCTACCAATACAGGTTGAAACAACAAAAGTGATCATGAAGAATTTTAAGAATCAATATTAAGAATATCAAGAATTAAAATATAGAAACCCAAGTAACAAAAAAAGAATATTATAAAGAAATTTATTTCAGTGTACTTGAAAACTAGAACAAATAGAGAAATGCTATTTACAAAACTGATAACAAAAGAAATGAAAACCTTAAAAGAAAAAACCCATGAAGGAAATTCAGTCAGTAATTAAGAATCAGTTCACCCCTTCATTCATTGATATTTTCAAAAGCAATTTTAGCAAATATTCTGAAGCATACTTACAAATTTAAATTTGTTACAAAGTAAAGAAGTTACAAAGAAAGGAACTGTTTCCCACTCATTTTATGACATTTGAATCTAAGACAGAATGAGGAAGGAAATTAAAAGCTAATATCAAGTACTAGCATAGATGTAAAATTATAAGCAAATACTAGGAAATCATATCCTGATATGTATGTATATCTACTGCATTATGACAAAGTTGTATGATATCTCAAATATACAAGGATGACTCAATATCAGGATATTTATAATAGAATAAATCTATCAAAGGAGAACATATATAAAAATAATTTGTTAAATGTGTCATTAAAAGCAAAAAATAAAGGCAGTTGATAAGAGAGCAAAAAACATATAACAGTACAAAAAAACTTTAGCAAACCAGACACATAATGATGAAAATTAGAACCATTCCTTTGATTCAGGAATGATCCAAAATGCTCACAATTATTATTTCTGTAAATTACACAAAATAATTTGTACTGCATTCAAGATCTAAATGTAATAAACAAAATTTTAACACTTTTACAAAAATATATAGGAGAACAATTTATGAGTCCAGAGTAAAAAATAATGTCTTAAGCAAGACAAAATCATAAATATTTTCATAGTTAAAAAATTTTTTGACTTTATCAAAATTGATAATTGTGCATCAAACAAACACAAAATGAAAGACTAAAGATAAACTTTATTGAGAAAGTTCAAGGTCTATAATTGACAAATGATTATTATTTGGAATATGAAAAGAACTTCTGTGAATATGAAGAGGAAGACAAGCCAATCTGCAGTCTGATAGGCAAAAGATATGGGTCGGGCGTGGTGGCTCATGCCTGTAATCCCAGCACTTCGGGAGGCTGAGATGGGCAGATCAGTTGAGTTCAGTTCAAGACCAGCCTAGCCAACATGGTGAAACCCCGCCTCTACTAAAAATACAAAAAATTAGCTGGGTGTGTTTGTGCACACCTGTAATCCCAGCCGCTAGAGAGTCTGAGGTAGGAGAATCACTTGAACTCTGGAGGTGGAGGTTGCAGGATCATGCCGCTGTACTCCAGCCTGGGCGACAGAGCAAGACTCTGTCAAAAGAAAAAAAAGAATTCTAAAAGAAGAAAAATGAATGCTCAATAAACAGAAGGAAAACTATTCAACTGGTTTCAATTAGGAAAAATCATATAAAAATAAGAGCTGATACTTCACAGCTATCAGAATACTAAAAATGGTATCTTACCATACCAAGTGTTGGCATGAATCAGGTAGCAAAAGCAAATGTTAAACAATGCCCATTTGTATATACATTGATGTAAACACTTTGAAGAGCAACTTGTCAGTAGACATAAATTTAAAGACATGCTCATGCCAACACTCAGCAATTTCCTTCGTAGGTATGTATAAGGATACTTGTTTAAGAGTGTTAAACATTATTTGCATTACTTATATAAAATTTATTGGAGCCACCTACTGTACTATCAACAGTGGATGAGTAAGTAGACTGTGTTAGCAAATTCAAGCAATAGAATATCAGTCAGCAGTGACAATGAAGGAATTTGAGTTACCTTTATCAATCTGAATGTATCTCACAGACCCACATTTTGGCTTTTAAAAGAACAGACTACAAAATAAATACATACCTTTATTTATTGAAGGCCGAAAGAATGAGGGTCATGATCAACTCAGTATATCACTGGAGGCTACATGAGTGAGTCGTGATCAACTCAGTATATCACTGGAGGCTACATGAGTGAGGGTCCTGATCAACTCAGTAAATCACTGGAGGCTACATTAGTAAACAGCAAACTGTTCTCATGAAAGCAGGATGTTGGCAAATTGACAAACTGCATCTGCTGCCAAGAAGGAATGCTGAGGGCAGTCAGAACCCAGGCACAAGTGTTTCTTGTGATTAGGCAAATCTGAAGCCTGTTAGTGATAATGTTAACCTGTGATCAATCAAGCAGCTGACCAATCGTTACCTCCTCCTCCCTGCTCTTTCTACCCAACAAATATGAAGGGCTGTAGAAGCTCAGGGCTGCTGCCTTTGCTCACTAGAAGCAGGGAGCTATCTTCTTCTTCCCTGGACCCTTTTTTGAAAACAGTTTCTTTTGTTTTTTGTTAGCATCTCTGCATTCCTCCTCCTTCATTCAGTCTTGTAATGATGGTCTCAAGTAGTAACAGTAGTAACTGTTGTAGTGACAATCTCAAGTAGTAACTGTGGCAGTCTGCCACATTTATTCATTACTTTTTTTTTTTTTTTTTTTGGAAACAGAGTCTCACTCTGTCGTCCAGGCTGGAGTGCAGTGGCATGATCTCAGGCTCACTGAAACTTCTGTCTCCCAGGCTCAAGCAATTCTCCTGCCTCAGCTTCCCAAGTAGCTGGGATTACAGGCACCTGCCACCATGCCTGGCTATTTTTTGCACTTTTAGTAGAGATGGGGTTTCATCATGTTGGCAAGGCTGGTCTCAAACTCCTGACCTCAAATGATCCATCCACTTCGGCCTCCCAAAGTGCTGGAATTACAGGCATGAGCCACTGTGCCTCTAATGTTTATGTTTTAGAGACCTATACATACATAAAGAAAGCATAAATTCATGGACATGATGAATGCCAGACTGAAGAAAGTGGTTATCTATGAGGAGAGAGGATGGGAGAGGAAGTAAGGAGGCCAATACAGGGAGCTTCACTTGTTATTTGTGGCATTTCATTTCATCAAGGGGTGAAGAGAACACAGGTCTTTTTGTGTATTATTTCTATTCATCGTTATTCAAGCAAAGACTTTAGATACTTTAGAAATATTTCTATTTGTATTTCCTTTACTGTATATTGAGAATTTGCCTAAACAAAGATTTAAAAGTATCTTGAGAAGATACATTTTCTTCTCTACTGAAATAGAAGTTAACACTGATGACATTAGCTAATACCAGGAATGAGGCCACTGTCAAATGTAAAGGGGAGAGTTTGGGGATTAGTACGTGTAATGAAAGTAACTCCTCCTTTAAAAATCCAAACCCCCTTAATGTACTTTTGTTTGTCTGTTTTGTAAAGACACTTTAGTTGGAGATATTTCATCTGGCTATGTTGTTTCCAGTGAAATACAAGAAACTTGGAAAAAACTTGAACTAAAAGAAAAAAAAAAGGAGGCTTCCCCCATTATAATATAATTTTCCCACATATAGGATTTGAAATGTTAAAAAAAAAAAGTCTTAGAAATTTAAAGGTTAGGGAGTATATTCAGGTCACTACATTTTTTCCCCTTATTACTTTGATTTTAAAACATGAAAGTGTTAACCTTTCAAAAGATATAGGGAAGATAATTAGGTGATACTTAATTATCTGCTTCTTTTAGAAATGTATTGTTGGATTGAAACCTATTCTTGCTGCCAACACTTACTAAGATTGCTAGAAGGACATCTTGCTTCACAATGTCTGGGTCTAATTTGAGATAAAATATTGCATCTAACTATGCTGTTATCTATAGTTCCTGGCCACTCATAAATGTAGTTCATTGAAATCTCACCCACGCTCCAACCTCTGTCACTCCAGGAAGCAAGATTCATAGCACTTTTCTTTCTGTTTGTATCTAAATTATTGTGTTAACTGTATAGGGGCTTTGGGCAGTAAATTGTTCTCAGTTAACACATAATCAAACTCAGGCTTGACAATATCTCTTTAATGAGAGAGTCTGTGTTTGATCCTTTTTAAATAATGTTTAGAACATGAGTACAAAATTAACAAAATGTTTTCGGTGGATTCTGTGCTGAGTCCTCCAAATGTGACGTGCTTGGTAGCACTGTTAAAAAACTGACTAGCTTTGCTCTCTTGACCTACTAATTCGACTCCATCAGCCTCACTAAGAAGCAGTAACAATATAGAACCTGATAACGAGGCAGAGAGCTTGAGCCCCATTTTCTTAATCCTAACTATTCTAGTGTTACACTAACAACTGGGGTCAGAAATCTGTCAAGTTTGAATTAATTTCTCCTAGTATCCCTGAGTTTTTATTTGATTTAGATAGATACTTGTTCTGGGGGTTGTGGTGTGGGGAGACTTGCTTGGAAACTTCAGAATTTCTCAAACTTCAGTATAGCAGTGTAGATAATAAGGCTTTGTCATTTATGTACTATAACATTATTCTTGTCATTCTGTAACGCAGCAATGAAAGAATTTTTGTAATTTTATCTATCCTATGCTAAAGAAAAAATATTGAACTCTGAGCTTCTATTTCTTTGACGTGTTTTTCAGTTATGTAAAGACCAATAAGTCCTGTCTTTAAAAAGCTTTCTCTAGAATTCTCTAAGGCACAATCTTATAGTCATTTCCTAAGAAGGGCTTACGAGATAACCCTAGGGAGAACTTCGGGGGTTATAGAGTAAGTAGGGAATTAATGTTTAAAAATTATATCATAAATTGTTGAAAAAATATATTTTTAATTCACCAGAGATTACCTTGAAGACAATTCTCTGTCTTGAAAGATTCCCTTTCAAGATGCAAATTAACACAATTATCTTAGTTGAAAACATATTTAGGAGGTATGCAATCAAAATATTAAATCAGTTAAATAAAGCCGACATGTGCAATCACATTTGGTAAGTAAATAATTTTTAATTAGAAACTTTAAAAAATATATTTAGCATACTTTTAAGAGTGGAGCATATTTTCCGCACAGTCAGTACTGCTCCTCAATTTGTGTTTAACTTTATTTTTCTAATCCAGAAACCAATGAGCTGGTAAGTGTGTAGAAAACTAAAATACAAAAGCACGGATAGTTTTAGAATTATCAAAGAGATTTAATGTTAATTCTGCATTACTGAATAAAGAAAAAGTTGTTCTCTATTCTTATGGACTTGGTTACTAAATTAATAAACTCTACCTTAATTTTTAATTAGAACCACTTTTTCTGGGACTGATATAAAGTTTTTTCTTATTGTTGTTGTTCTTGCAGATCCTCTATATATTTAAAAATAAAATACCTCTCCATAAATCGTTAAGTCGTGGCTCCCAGGAAAATATTTTGTGTTCCAAAAATAAAATTTATAGTTTGCTGAGGTTGCAGTTCTTTACTGCTAAAACACATAAATAAGCAGAAAGAAACCCAAGAAAGAGGAAAAAATGCCAAATGCCAATGGAGTTATGTTCATTAAGAAAGGTGAAATTAATTGTGTTAATTAATGGATACTAGGAAAGCATTTTAACTATAATATAGTTTTTAATAATTCACCTAGCTAATTTTACTCTGGGGTTCATTAAAATATTTTTGAGGATGATTCTCACTTTTTTTGGTTCCAGTACTTTTAATAATTTAATATTGCCACTTCATTAATTAAAACAAAGGTCAAACTCTTAAAATTTGAGCTAAGGCTAGACTATCTGTAATGAGTTTTGTGGTAGAAACATGTGTACCTCTTGCAAATGAACCACTGGAAAATCACTAAGAGTGAAATAAAAAATCAAAGCAATTTACTTACATCTAATAGCATTTAAATATCTAATTACTGAATTTAGGTTAAAAACAAAATGCTGCATTTTGGAAAGAAGGGTGTTGATCTGCTTTTTCTAGGGAAAGAGGCCAGAGAGTGGTCACAACTATAGCAACTTGTCCCCAAGTGGACAGCATACCAAAATAAATGTCCAGGGGGTCAGAAATGCTTACGAAGAGAGAGGGCAGGAATTCTCAGTCTCAGCCATGGCCCAGAGGAAAAACAACACCCATAGTGTTGGCAAGTCAATCAAAGTCTTGTTAAATATGACTTTGATGAAGTTAGTATTTGCCTGTATTTATTTAATAATGCTATTTGGTCAAAGAGCTAAACATTCAATACTATTAAAAATAAATAGACAATAATCTTTGGTATGGGAAATTAATTTTTAAAGTTCTCTGATTTATTTTCTTTTACTGTAGTATAACACTTAACATGAGATCCAGTGTATTAACAACATTTTAAATGTACACTACAGTATTTTTAATTACAGAGACAATGTTATGCAGCAGATCTCTCAAATTTTTTTATCTGGCATAATCAAGACTTTATGCCAATTGTAAAAGTCTATAGTATCTAAGTTAATATGCCAACACATACAATGGGAAAAATTAGGCATTAGATTCCATTTGAAATATTTTGTGCCAAAAAGACTGATAATTTCTATTGAATTTCCCTTTGATATTATTCTAAGTCATAGTCTATTAGAATATCTACGTGCCATAGACATCCAGGAAAGAATATTACAATAATAGGTGCCAAAATTCAAGTTATAGACAGTTGTTGGAAGCTCAGAACATATTTCCAAAAATAGTTTTGTAAATAATAAACTTGCTTTCTAACATAATTTATAATAGAAATTTAAATATAATTTTCAAAAACAAAGTTTCAAGTTGATAAAACCAACTATTCAATTTCACTTTTTTCTTGATTATTGTTGCATGAAGAACAGACTATAAATTAGAAGAGTATGTGGACATGGGCACAAAAGCCATCAAAGATAACATGGCATTGAATATAATGTTGGGAGCTTTTTCAGGACAATATTTATTAATGTCAATGGTTCTTGTAGTAAAAATAATAACATTTATTTGAAGTTTATTATCTGTTATCTTGCTAGAGTACTTTATGATCATTTACTATACTCACATAACTCTGTTGGGTCAGTATAGCCCATCTTTCATAGGGGATAAAGTGTGATTTAGACATTTAAATAATTTCCTTGACATGAGATACTGACCAATTGGAGGAGCAGGAACTGAACTGGAGCCTGTGTGATTTTAATTAGTCCTCTACATACTGCGTTCTTCTCCTGAACTCTGTATTTTGTTCAAATCACATAAAAACTCAGGGATTCCCTTTCTTCTATTTTGATGAATCAATGGATGTTTAGTTGTGATTATAGTCTTTCCTTGTGATACAAATAAACTATGACAACAAAACAAGTGAGAGCAATGCTTATTTCTGGAGAAATAGTAGGAAAAAAGTTAATTTAGGTAGAGGTTGAGAGATAAAAATCCAGATCAAGAGCTAGTTTGAATTAACAGAGTGTTAATATTAAGCAAAATAAGGTGAGCAGTAGGCAAAAATAAGGAAAGAAAGTTTTCAGCTATTTCTCAATGTGATGGGAAATATAACTTTTCTGGTTATGGATGCAATTGAAAGGAAATGGGGAAGAGAAGGTGCATCTTAGAAGGTCAAGAGATGGTACTGGCAAAACAAGCTTAGTGTGAAAGAAACATATTGTAAACATACGATCAACCATTGGTATATGCCAAATATATTTTATTCCAATGATTAACGTCATACTCTTACTGGTTTCCCATCTTGTTCCCTTTCTTTCCACGTGGTTGAGGCTCTTTGGTCGCTAGACACGGCCTACTGGTTGATAACTTTTCCATGAGTTATGAAAAGTGTACTCATTTTATATTTCTGCTGTAATAAATCAATTAAAATTTAGTAACTTAAAACAACATACACATTTGTTAAATGTATTATCTTATGGTTCTATAGGTCAGATATTCAACACAGGTCTCACTGAACAAGAATCAAAGTGTCCAATGAGCTGCTTTCCTTTCTGGGGCTCTATGGGAGGAGCTACTTTTGTATGTTTTCCAGCATGGCTCCTTTTCTTCTATCTGCAAAGCCAGCAACGCCAGGCTGAACTCATCTCACATTGCATAACTCTAACCTCTTTTGTAGTCATCTCTCTCTCTAATTCTCTTCTGCCTCTCATTTTTGAGGACCCTTGTGATTACATTTGGCTCACCTGGAAAATTCAGAATAATCCCTCCCCAAATCCTAAAATTTAATCGCATCTTCAAAGCCCACTTTACTATATAGGGAAACATATTTATAGGTTGTAGAGATTGAGACGTGGACATAGTTGGGACAGAGAAGGACTTTCTGCCTAACACAAAGGGTTTAATAGGTTCAAGTCAAAATAAAGATAACTCAGCAGTGGCAAACAGTTTGCTTGTCCATCTTAATTTGTCTTCATCCCATTAAAGTAACTGAAAAATCTCTTTGATTCTAAGATAACTATCTTATACTCCAAAAATGAAAGAGATTGACCATCACTAATCTTAAACTCTGAAGTGCTAAATGTTCCAAAATCCAAAATTTTCTGAGCACTGATGTAACTCCACAAGTGGAAATTTTCACACCTAACCTCATGTGACAAGTCATAGTAAAAATACAGTCAAGACTTTGTTGCATGCACAAAATCATTAAAATATTTTATAAAATTATCTTTGGGCTATGAGTGTAAGGTGTATATAAGACATAAATTCATTTCATGTTTAGACTTGGGTCCCATCCCCAAGATATCTCATTGTATATATGCAAATATTACAAAGGCAGAAAAAAATGTGAAATCCAAAACACTTCCAGTCCCAAACGTTTTAGATAAGGAATACTCTACCCTTAATTAGATCCTTAATTGACTATTTTGCTTGGTTTCCTTCTTGTTTTCCTCAATCTGTCCAAAGTTAAAAGGGGGGAACAAAAAATGTATTAAGTGTCTACTCTGCAAAACAGTAACTGCTTTAAATATATGATTTAATCTTTCACTTATGTAGTGGTTTTTTTCAGGGAATTATGTTGTACAACTTCAAGGATGTCACCACCGTAGAATACTTCCGCTTTCTTATTACCCATTTTTGCCTATAGAGAAAATAAACCCCAAAGTAACACAGCTAGCAAGTAAAAGTGCAGTTGAATTCAAACCCAGATCTCTCTGACCCCCAAAGCCTATTATTTCTGGTCAAGTTTATTAGATAAAAGATTCTGATATGGAAATTTGCATGCAAGAATTTTGTTGAGATCAATACCTGCAAAGCAGTGGAGGAAATTGGATTGAGAAGAGTTGAACTGCAATGAAGTCTCAAAAAAAGGCATCAGCTAATCTCATGGGGAGCTCTAGAATTGGAATGACTCTTGACAGTAATCCCTGAAGCAAAGGAACCAAGTCTTTTATCTTCCTGCTAGCCAGTCAATAGATACGACGTGCTCCCAGGGAGAGTGTGTGACCTCAGACAAGGAGGCTCCCCTTGCCCAGCTGTTGTCTGTTGTCAGCATTTACAGCAGCTGGGAAGAATGAATACTTTAGTCTTTAAGGGAGGGGATCTGGGAATATCACCAAAGCATCCACTCCACCATGCTCTTACCATGTGTGTTTATTACAATTCCTTCCATTCATTGCATTTGATTTTCTTCCCTAGGTTTCTAGGCCTTCATATTTCCTCATTCCTCCCAGGTGATACCTTTGGAGCGTGTTACTTGACATTAAAATAAAAAGGTTCTGGAGCATTTAAATAGCGGAAAGAAAGACAAGGGAAAGAGAGAGAAGCATGAAATGAGGGAAATAGAGGAGATAAAATAAAAACTGAAATAAAGCTAAAGAAATCTAAACTAAGGCACAGGATGAAGGCCAACATGGAAACCACATCTCAAATTGTTCTCCTTTTGGGATTATGGTTGATGGATCCACTCTTAGAGATCAATTCCTGTCTATAAATTTTAAAAAGTAGTTGCAAGCCAGAAAACCTTGTGGATACAATTCAAGCCAGAGGCCATGAAGACTAACTGACAGTCACTATTTAGAGAGGGGAGAACTAAATCTGAGGAAGTAGAAGTAGGATAATAAATGAGAAACAGAGTGAAGAGCTAAAAGTAGTTTGAGCTGGAATTAATTTAGGAGTATATCCTGAAAGAATAAAGACATGTGGAAAAGTGCTACAGACATGGATGGTGTTTACAGCCTATTGTTTTGCACGGAGGGAGTGATGATGGGGCTTGAGTACATAGCTCTTAGAAGGGTTATGTCTACTCCTCATTTTTGCCTGTTTTGCAAATTGCTCAATTCTTACTCAAGGTAAAAAATCCCTTTATAGCGATGATAGGGCAACAGCAAGTACAGACAGTTACAAAGGGAAATATTTCTGATTTGACAGTAGCAACTTCTATACTTTGCAGTGAGAAACCAATAATTGTTTGCAGAAGATTTTGTAAATCAGGAATTTATTCTGTATAGATGCTGTTACACTGAAGTCTATTTTATCAACAGAAATAAAAATGTAAATATTAGGAGACGAGACAACATTGTTTTTATATTTCTGGGCAAGCACTTTCATTTTCCCCTGAAACATACCTGGCATAGTCTTTCACAGCTAACAAATGTCAAGACATTGCAAAATGTACATTTATAAATAACATATGTAAACATAGATGTGAAGATTATAATAAGGACATGATCTCTTATACCATAGCTACAATATAAATCCATGTGGCTTTCCCATTATTGCATATGAGGGGCTATTTTTCTTTAATATATTTTTTATGAAAAATCTCATATGAATCAATATATACATCTTTCTCAAGAATGTATCAGTTCTATAATAACATAGATAAAACTTAATTTGATTATTGGATTAAGTGCAAAACTAGTTAAAATATTGTCAGAAAATTTGCTCCTTAATGACTTACCACAATAAAATATAATTTTAAAAGTACTTTTTATAGATAAAATTTATTCATTAAGGCACCTAGAGTATTGCCTTTAGAAAGTAAACAGTGTTGTTTGATGATACTTAGTCTATTATGTAAGAGCTACTAAATTGTTTCTTTGGTTCGTGACATGGTGTCAGAGCTTTGAAGTAGAGGAGTTTGAATTTCTGAACATTTTCAGCAGCACAGTTTATGTTTACACTTAATATTAGGTTGATCCAATTAAATTGCTAATATTCAACTTTTCACTTAAAAAAGCAGAAAAAATGTCTGTTGTAAATGAATATTACAAGTTTTAATATTACTGCTTAAAGTTATATCACAGTCTCAGTAGATAAAAATGTGAGGTTTAAGGAACCCTAAAAGGTGTTAAAAGTTACACTGCAGAATGGCTGATGGTTCAGCGGTCAGGTAAGTGGTCATGATGATCCAGCTTCCAAAACAGGAGATCAGGGAAGAAAGTCAATCAGTCATGCAGAAGGAAGGCTTACACACATAACAATGAAAGAGAAAACCCGGAGGCAACACAAGGGAGAAGAGGCCTTTTTATGTTGGGAGGTCAGAGACTCAGGAGAGCAACTATAGCCAGGAAAGTCACATCGCCTGAAAGATCAAAACAAGAAGGCAAGAAAACAGGCCACAGGAAAATGATACTTCAGAGGGAAATTCCTCTCTGAGGTAGGCTCTTCTAGGTAGATATGTCTATGCAGAATAGAACAAATCTAGAGGTAGAATTGTTGGCAGGATGGTTATAATTAGATAATAAAGGTAGATTCTTAGATAGCTATGGTACGATATGAAAATCAAAGTAAATATTATTTTCACCAAATCATAAAGTACTTCTGTAACACATAAAAATGTGCCAATGAAATTACTCAGAAATGTGAAAGTAGTTATATATAAAATGTGGATATCTGAATAAATTCACTTGGACAGTTGGCCCAAATATACAACAAATATTCAACTAATAAATCAATTTATATTGTATTCATCTAAAATGAAACTTTATTGGCATCTTAGCACTGAACATAATTTAAGAAACATTTACGGAATCAATGTGTTAGAGATGTGGCATGAGGGATTCTGTAGTTTATTAGTCATAGAAATTTGAAATTTTAAATCTTAAAACTATGTATGTAGCTTCCAATAACTTTTTCCTGGATAAAATTAATGGACCAACTTCACATGTTAACCAATCATGATTTTGGATCCAGATGTCATTGAAAAGAATGACAAATTGGCAGATTGTGACTTATATCTCAACAGCCAGTGAAATATTTTAATGATATGAAAATATAGATATAAGTCACATGGATCTCAAAAATTAACAATCTAACAAGCATTGTTAGTCTTTCAAGACAAAGAACTTTGATGAAATATTTTTAAAAGACCATCTCATAGCATCATCTAAAGGCGTATATCTTGGTCCAAGTCTGACTTCATTTTCTTTTGAATGTTGCCACGAGTGTGTGAAAGTGCAAGGAAGCCATCAGCCACTTGCTAGGACCCAAAACGGGCCACAGAGAAACACTATGTACTTTAATAACAACAAGTCAAACATATTTCCTGTGAAAGAATGTAACTAAAAAGTCTAGAAAGAGCAAACAATCAGTAAAAAGCAATCATTTCCCAAGTGAAGCCACACCAATACTTGCTAAGACTAGTATGCTTGCAGGAATTTCCCCGAAATACATTTTGCCTTTTTTTTGGGGGGGGGGACAGAGTCTCACTCTGTAGCCCAGGCTGGAGTCCAGTGGCCTGATCTCAGCTCACTACAACCTCCGCCTTCCGGGTCCTGGTTCAAGCAATTCTCCTGCCTCAGGCTTCCGAGTAGCTGGGATTACAGGCACACACCACCATGCCCAGCTAATTTTTGTATTTTTAGTAGAGACAGGGTTTTGCCATGTTGGCCAGGCTGGTCTTGAACTCCTGACCTCGTGATCTGCCCACCTTGGCCTCTCAAAGTGCTGGGATTACAGGCATGAACCACCGTGCCTGGCCCCCAAAATACATTTTCATGTGCATCCACTATAAAGTGGAAAGGGCGCAGAGTGAAGAGGAGATCAGACTCTTCAGATATATCTTCCATGTGACTACCAGAACTAAAGGCACCTAAAAGTGATCATGAATGTCTTAGCTCAGAGTGCTGTATTAAATTTCCATAGGTTGAGTGGCTTAAACAACAAACATTTATTACTCACAGTTCTGGAGGCTTGGAAGTCCAAGATCATGATGTCTGCACATTTGGTTCTGGTGAGGACCCTTTTTCTAATTCACAGATGTACATCTTCTCCTTGTATCCTCACAAGGTAGAAAAAAAGAGAAAGAGAGAGCAAGTTATCTCCTCTCTTCTTATGGCACCACTAATCCCATCATGAGGGCTCCATCCTCAAGACCTAATTATCTCCTAAAGGCCACATTTCCTAACACCATCACACGGGAGATTAGGATTTTAACATTTTGGGGGGACTCAAACATTCAGTCTATGAAAATAAATAGTATTTTCTCAGTAACAAAAATATGTCTAATCCTTCTGTCAAAATAGAATCTTCTGTTTTCAATATGCCTTCTGTGTTTAGTAATCTCTGAGGGCCTTTGGCTACAGAGTTTAATTTCTATGAAAATTAAAAATCTACATTATTCTAGTCCTGTATTATTAAACCACCAACTTTTATATAGAAATATAAAATGGTCATTTGTTCAGATAAAAAATTTATATTTTTTATATTACAAAGAGTCCTTAGTAAAATAGGGGCTTGGGGAATGTTCTCTGCTCTTTTCAGCCTGTTTTCCTAGCATCTGAATGAGCATGGGTTTTTTTGTTCTCAGATCTTGCCATTAGCTGAATCAGTGAGTGGCAAAATTAAAGGGAGAGGGGTATACAATGTAATGCAAAAACATACACACTTACACAATCACATGTGCACCTATTTTTAATCCTAAGAAACTTCCCATTAATTAGAGGAAACCTCTGATACTCTGCACTTAACAGTCCCAATTTTTGTTGTACTCACTTCATTTAAGAGCAATAATGAAGAAAATGAACAAGTATAGGCTCTATACAATAATGTGGGAAAACAAAAAGAGAAAAAGAAAGGGAGGAAGGAGCAGGCTGAGAAAAGCAACAAGAAAAATATTGGTATGAGCAGAAGGAAATCACACTGTTTTATTTTATGAACCTCTCACTTCCTCATACCCCCAAACAACCTCGATGCAAAACAACAAATCAGTATTTCAATACCTCAGAATGTATAGTGACACAAAGATAAAACCCAAACCAGGAGAGACTAAGGAAGATGTTAAAGGTAAATATAAAGCAGTTACAGAAGTGAAAGTCAAAATAGAAGCAGTAAAAAGTCACTGATGAGAGTAATAAGGGGCTCAGAGAACAGAACTGATAAAGTAAGCAAAATGAGTCAAAATGAAAGAATATTGGAAGATGATTGTAAAGAAAATTATATATATATATCACAGAAAAAGTTATGAAACAAAGTATAGAACACTGTCTAGCATACAATAGGCATTAAATAATTGCCTATTATTTCTGATTGCCAGAATCAGAATATTTTTTATTGAATATTCAATAAAATTTTCAATATTGAAAATATTGAAAAATAAATGAACCATCAATAGAAAATTGATGTGCTGGTAGAAACAAACTGTATAAACAGGAAAATTTAAAACATAGAGAAAGATATAATTTAAGAAAACTTTTGAGAAATTATTGTAGACTTGAATCTACAGTTTTATAGGGCCAAATGTATTCTAAAACATTGTGGTATGGTTGTGTCCCCACCCAAATCTCACCTTGAATTCCCACATGTTGTGGGAGAGACCTGGTGGGAGGTAACTGAATCATGGGGGCAGTTCTTTCCTGTGCTGTTCTCATGATAGTGAATAAGTCTCACAAGATCTGATGGTTTTAAAAACGGGAATTTCCCCGCACAAGCTCTCTTCTCTTGTCTGCCACCATGTGAGATGTGCCTTTCACCTTCTGCCATGATTGTGAGTCCTCCCCAGCCATGTGGAACTGTAAAGAAAACTCTTTCTTTTGTAAATCACCCTGTCTCAGATATGTCTCTATCAGCAGCGTGAAAATGGACTAATACAGTAAATTAGTACCAGTAGAGTGGGTCACTGCTGAAAAGATACCCAAAAATGTGGAAGCAACTTTGGAACTGGGTAACTGGGCAGAGGTTGGAACGGTTTGGAGGGCTCAGAAGAAGACAGGAAAATGTGAGACAATTTGGAACTCCCTAGAGACTTGTTGAATGGCTTTGACCAAACTGCTGATAGTGATATGGGCAATGAAATTGAGGCTGAGGCTGATGGAGATGAAGAACTTGTTGGGAAGTGAAGCATAGGTGACTCTTGTTGCATTTTAGCAAAATGACTGGTGGCATTTTGCCCCTGTTCAGGACGTACAGGTTTGTTACATACGTAAACATGTGCCATGGTGGTTTGCTGCTCCTATCAACCTATTACCTAGGTATTAAGCCCCATATGCATTAGCTATTTATCCTGATGCTCTCCCACCCCCCACTCCCTGACAGGCCCCAGTGTGTGTTCCCCCTTGTATTTTTTGAGAGTGTTTCACTCTGTCACCCAGGCTGGAGTGCAGTGACACTATCTTGGCTCACTGTAACCTCCGTCTCCTGGGTTCAGGTGATTTTCATGCCTCAGCCTCTTAAGTAGCTGGGATTACAGGCACACTCCACCGTGCCTGGCTAATGTTTGTATTTTTTTTTTAGTAGAGATGGGGTTTCCTCATGTTGGCCAGGCTGGTCTCAAACCCCTGACCTCAAGTGATCCACCTGCCTTGGCCTCCCAAAGTGCTTGGATTACAGGCATGAGCTGCCACGCTTGGCCCATAGTGGAATTTCTTAATAATACAGAGTCAGTGGAACTAAGTACACAAATTCAACAAATTTTAAATTGAAGGCCCCACAATAGCTTCCATCAGTATGTCTAGCCTGTTAAATAGTTCGCCTTTTCTGAACTCATAATTTTAGCATGGTTGCCTAGGATACTTCATTCTCAACAAATCACTCAGATCCCAGTAGGCAAATAGGTAGCAGTGGGACAGCATTAAAGCTGTTTTAGTCTGGTCACTTTATAAAGACTTGTTATTTCCAGCTGTACCCCCTAACTATTGTGGTACATGACTTTATTGTGCTATGAAGCCACTCCATCCATTCATGCATCCATTCAGCAAACATTTGCTGATCCCCCTTGGTAGGCTAAGCACACATGAATGCTACTTCCTCACAAATAAAGCTTAAGGGTTTGATTCTTGTGTCTCACATGTACGCTGCATGGCTTTAAATCACTTAGCTTAATTTACAGATTTCTAAGTCCAATCTTATCCTTTATACATAAATAGCAAATTTTCAGTGCAATGAGCCAGCATCTCCAATAGTAGACAGAGCCACTGTCTTCCAGGCCTGTAGGTAATCTGAGTCCAATAATTCATAAAACTTTGAATTGACTACACATGAAACTAGCTTGTGTTATGTTTCTCTTAGAAGTAAATCTTTCATTTTCTGTTAATTCATATATAGCTATTAGCGGTAGCCACAATAGTGGTTTAAATCTGGATTCAAAAAATACAGGAGTTTCAGGTTAATTAGATAAAATTTGAATTTCAACACTCTAAATACTTGTGGCATTTTCTTTCAAACTGTTACCAACAAAAATTGAATGAAAATATTGTTATTTTGTTTGAGATGGCTTTGAGGGAAAAGGAACATAACGATTTTACTGCTGTAATACTGACTTAAAGTGATCTAAAATACTCATTTTTGTATATGCTATGAGACTGCACTGATTAGGCACCAAAGAAGATACTATTAATCATCTTTAATGCAAGTCTAATTATAAGATAATGTCAATGACATACTGCAGGATGTTGTCACAAGATAACTTGTCTTCTCTCTCCTGCTGTTACATAAATGCTGAGACAAAACTGAAATGTTTATTCTCAAAGCAGGAGACATTGCTCTTGTAATCAAGCTCTATTTCAGTCACTTTATGTCTAATACTGACTATCAGATTAATGCTTGTATTGATTCTTTCTGTATGTTGGATATAGGTGTTCCAGTAGTAGCTTGAGGTATCTTTGCATAAATTTTTAAATTTATGACCTTTATGTCAGGATTATATTTGATTTCAGTATGAAAATGGCATTTTTTTTCACCTGTGACAATTAGTAAATTCAATTAGATATGTACAGGCTGATTTCTATATAAAGCAACTATATGGTTCAGTTGATCTTATTCTTTCACCAAGTATACAGACAAGTGAGAATTTTTATTATGGCCTTAGTATAATGGTACATTGCAAAGATTCTAAATGAATATGTTTTATATTATGGATACATATATTTGAGATATGTCCTACTTATTATTTTAGAGGGATTTTAATTCAATGATCAAGCATGGACATTGAACAAAGCAAAGTTTAGCAGTATGTTGTTGAGAGGATAGAATATTAGCAAATAAAAGAAGAAAAAAATCAATGAAAATCATATAAATTTCAATTCTTAATTATATAATTTCTGGGATAATGTCAATATTGTTAATGTTCTATATCATATGTGCACTTTTCTTATATTTCTACATCAACCAAGTTATAGATCTAAGATGAATATGTATTTATGTGAGACTTGAGTAAGTAAGCAAAAATAAAGCCCAGAAGAATGGAGAGTGAACTCATCTTATCTATCTTTGGCTGGCAATTGGCAATAAGGATATGACCTTGTCCACAGGAAGGCAGTGTGGTGCAGGGGAGTAAACATCAGATTTGATCAACCTACATTTGAATTCCTGTTCTACTACTTACTTGCTGTGTGATCTGGGCAATTATTTCAAACCCTTGAGCCTCACATTCCCTATTTGTTAAATTGGGAGAGTTTTGAAGCATAAATGGGATTATGCAGTTCATGGAGAACAAGGACTGAGGAATCCGGAGACCCGGTTTGAAGCTTAACCATACCTTTAGTGTTTTATTTAAATTTTATTCAGTTATTTAAGAGAAATAATAAAACCTACCTCTCAGTAGTGTCTTGAAGATTATGAAATAGCAGATATAATACATTTAGCAGAATGCCTAGAATATAAGGGATGGTTATTATTAATATAAAAAAGCTTCCAGAGAGTGATAGACCTAACTCTTTTATATAGGGTGGTCAGAGAAGGCTTTTTGCTAAATGGTATTTGAGCACAGACTTAAAAAAAAAAGATGAAGAAAATGGGACAGGTGGAAATCTGGAGGAAGAATATTTTGAACAGGGAGGAAAATAGTCACGAAGCATCAAGGACAGATCCACATTAGGTGTACTCAAGGAAAGACCAATGTAGCAAGAGCTGAGTGATTGAAACAAATAAATAAACAAACAAAACTGGGCAGGGAGAATGAGGACAGAAAAAGAGCAGAGGTTCAGGCCACACATGACCCCAGAGATAGTGATGATGATTTGGTTTTACTGAATGGTAGGATTTGGCTAGATGAACAGTGACCAATCCTGGTTTTTGCATGGAAGACGTAGAGAGTAAGGATTTAAATGGTGAAACCAGTTAGGAACCTATTGCCCAAGACCAGGTAGGGAGTAATACTGGTTGAACTAAGGTGATGGTGTTGAAAGTGATGAAATATGGCTGCATTCTGGATATATTTTGAAGTTGACATTAATGAGTTTTACTGGTTGATTTAAATGACATGTAGAAGACAACTAAATGATAAAGATTTGGGCCTGAGCAACTACAAGAATAGAGTTACCATTTACAAAGAGGAAAAGACCAGGGGAGAAATAGATTGATGAGAAAGCAATTAAGAGTTTTAGATTCAATATATTGCCATATACCAAATTCAAGGGTTAGAGCAGTTATGAATGTTAAATGTGTGTCAATGATTTTAATGCAGTCATCATTGAGTGAAATATCAATTATCTCTGTTAACTTCGTAAAAGAAGTTCTGTTCTGAATTTTAGTCCAACTTTATACTGAATCACTTTTGCATGAGTTAAAAGTTGCAAAGTTATTGTAAAGGCTCTCAAAATATATCAAAACCAATTTTATGAACTACTAATCAGTAATTACACAGTTAAATAAAAATGTACGTGCACTTAGATTCACTGGCTTTTATGTATTAATTATAAACCAGATGATATTTGAACACTCATTTTGTAAAATCTAAAAGTATAATAGTTAGGAGACCGTTTAAAACCTCTTAAACGTCAGACAATTTTACTAATTTTCAAGTAATTAATATTGCTAACTTCAAAGATAAATAACACCATTCTTTTTGACATTTATTTTAAAGAAGAGCCATTTTTTAAATCTTACATTTTGCAATTGAATAGCAAGGTATGTAGTAAGTTTAAAGACTAGTTCCTAGGATGGCAAAAATATTTATGAATTTTTAATAATAGTGATATTATGCTGACTATTGTCTAGCAATCCAGCTATCTTACCGTATAGTTTTCCATCTATAATTTGGGTCAGCTATTTCCTTCTTGTTAGAGCATCTAATTTAACCAAATCATACTGATTTTCTTCTAAAGTAGAAAGAGTGGTAGAACTTGATTATTAAACACAGGCTTCATCTTCAGAATGTAATTTGAGTCCCAGCACTGCCAATAGTTAGCTATATAATATTGCGTTAGTGATTTCATTCCTTACAGCCTAGTTTCCCTAGCAAAACAGGCGCTGATCTCGTAGATTTAATTGGGGAATAATGTATGTAAAGAACTTAACCGCATACCAGTGAGGTGGAAAGTACTCAAAAAGAATGTTTGCTGTTAGTATTCTTTGTATTGTTGTTATTTCTTATTACTACTACTATTATTATTATCATGCTCATTATATTGTGAAAAATCTATTCACTATTCTACCTTCCACCTTGTTAATGAACCAGTCTCATGCATGACAACCATAGGATTAAGTACTAAAATGTTTTAATTGGGAAACTTTTTAGCTAACTGCTAAAACAAACAAAAAACCTATGAGAGAAATAGAACTTTAAGACTTCACTATCAAATAAAATAATATAAAGGTATTTTCTTCTCAAGACAGTTTTGGGTATTTGAAATTAATAAAGCCTGGAATGATTTTGTGTCCTCTGCTGCGGTATGTGAGTAATTGTGGAAAAATTACATGATCTTCTGCCAAAATAAAATGTACATGGGTTTAAGTCTTTCTGATTCTAAAGAAATAATCAAAAAGTACACATGTATTTATAAGTGTCTCTGTTTCTTTATTCGCAGAGTTTTTGACTGTACACAATGTTTGCAACAGAAAAATCTCAACAATAACAACAAAAAAGTTAACTTCAGAAAAATAAACAAGTATTTACTCCATTAAAAGTTATTACCCCTTCCTTGGCTTTTTAGAGGCCAGCAGGCAAATTCTGAAGTACAGCGATACTTTGTTGACACCAGATTAATCATATTTAGAAACAATTGAAAGGAGACTAAATTTAATTGTATTTTTCCTTTTAGGTTAATGGAACTGAAGAAGGTAATATGATTCAGCAAATTGATAAAGGAGATTAGTTGTCACAAGTGCATTTTTAAAAATAGGTAAACATATCAATATTTTTATATATACCTTCTATAAATATGCTTATTATTTTCCCAGAAGGCTGTAATAGCTTTTTTGGATACTAAGGAGTGCCTGAAGTGAATTTTTATGGCCCAGTTATAAACTCCTAAAAGAAGGGTTTATAATGGAAACATGGTGAGATATTTAATATTGGCACTTAAATAGATACTTCTGAGCCCCATATTTGTTTGAAAATAGTAACAGCAGTTACATTTTCTCCCAGAGGTATATTTTCTTTAGCTACATGTCTAAGTATCTCTAATTACATCAGTGCTCTTTGTGCCTATTCAAAGTTGATACTAAATATTGCTTTCCATTATCATCACTTTCTTATTTTAGAGCTTTTTAAAAGTACTCTACCCAATAAAATATCTGTGGAAATTGCATTTTGAGACTGAGTGAAATGTTTTCCATTGATAAAGATTGAAAGGCAAAACATTTCCTTTTCTTAAAATCAAAACTTCTAGAGGCAATTGACATTTGAATAAGACAAAGGGCAAAAGACATTTGAATAACTTGTTTTAGAATAGATATTATCTACTTTGATTAGAAAAAGATAAGGATGACAACAATAACTCATTTATTACATATTAGTTTACAGTTTACTATGCACTTTATAAACATACATTATTTTATTCAAAAAGTTATTTTAAAAATTAAAATGAGCATATATGTTTGTAAAGTGTTACTAGATAAAGGGTTCTGATCGTGAGTCATCTAGGCTCTTGATGTATTGAACAAGGATTTGAACAGCATGCATGAACAAGCAACAAAAGCATAGATTTATTGACACAAAAGGCAACAGAAACATAGATTTATTAAGGTGAAAATACCCTCTACAGAATTGGAGCGGGCTCAAGCAAGCAGCTCAGGAGCCCTGGTTACAAAATATTCTGGGGTTTAAGTACCCTTTAAAGATTTCCCATTGCTTATACGCTATGTAATAAAGGATGGAAGTGGAGGTTTGACTCTGGCCAATCAGAGGCTGAAATGGATTGGCACCTTATGCAAATGAAGGATTGGCCCACGCTTGGCCCACGTCCAATCAGAGGTACTTTCCATTTTCCATCTGTGACGCAGTGGAAGGGGGTGGGGGTTGTGGAAGGAGTAGCATTTGATCCTTTGTCACTTGGGCATGGAGAGGTGGGGTTTTCCTTTTGATCCAGTTCTAGGACGTCAGCATGAATTGACCTTAGCTTCCCTGCCTCCAGACCCTATTCTCCTGCTTCATGTGGGCTACTCTTTCTTTCTCATCAGCCAGATAAGGATTTAGTTAGTTAATATTTGAATTGAACTGAATCAGCATCTCAGCCACATATAGGTGAAACTTCAATTAGAAGTTTAAGGTAAATGAAACTTCATGCAGTAGTCCGTGTCTATAATAATTTCCAAAGAAACTGAAGCTTCTGAGTTCATATCACAAATGGGATAGATTTAGGACAATAGCAGCCACTTTCACTTTTAAGTCTACTCTGATGATTTATTTTTCACTTCAGAAGTACAGAGAAAAAATAGATTCTGAAATATATTTATTAATATAAATAGGATAGATACTGCTCCCCACCCAAATCTGCTCAGTTTGTAATAAGGTAGATATTTTACCAAAACTTACTCTAAATGTGATTTTCTAGCAGTTATATTGGCAAATGAATTAAAATTGAAATCTGAAAACCCTCTTGCAGATTAGCTTTAGGAGCCTAAGGATCAATGAGACAAGAGAACTTCACAAAATGTAAACATATTTTTGAGCCATATCACAATGAAAATATTACCACTTGAATTCATCTTTAATACAGAGTAAATGTATTATAATACAAAATATAAACAGAATACATATATAAACAAAAAATTTTGTTTATATAAAATATAAACAATGTATATATATTGTTTAGAATAAGACTATTTCTTTTAAACACCAGTTTTCTATGCCCAGGGCTGCATTTTAGTTAGAACTTCTAAAAAAAGTTAAAATAATCAATAATATTGATGTTTGTTCTTGAAGTTTCAGTTTGGATGTATTCAAAGCCTCACACATATCTGTCCAATAAAAGCACAGCAGTATAAGTTGACATTATTTAAGAAATTAGATGTCGCTCTTCCATGTCCCAAATACCAGCCAGACACAATGTCTATTTTGCTTTTTGATCTGTTCAAGCATATTCCTCTTTGGAAATCCATGGACCATATGGAACACAAGGACTTTGAGACTGTTCTTATCTTCATGAAACAAGCCAGTGCTTTGGTATTTTACACTCATTTGTCACATAGTTTATATCTTGATTGTAAAGGCCATTCAGAGCTAACTGAGAGCCTGTATGTCTCTATGTCTCGTAAGATTGTTCACTGTTTCCTGCTCATGATTTCTTTCAACTTTCCTGGAACACTATCAGTTCCAGTCCAACATTTTTTTTTTTTTCAAATTAAGTGCATTTATCTTCAATCATTTCAACACAACTTTAAGGATAATGTGGAAGCTGGTAACGATCACCAAACCCTCACTAAGTAACATTTTTCATATTGTCTTTTGCCACACAGCAAATATAAACAAATAGATAATCATAATTTCCTTAATTGTAACTAAAAGCCCAAAAGGAGTAATGATCTGAGTTTTGCAAAGTTTATATCTCCAAAACTCAGCAGTTTTACAGTTGACTGAGAATTGGACAAAGAAATATTCAGAAGTATCTTTACATGTGTATTTCCTAGTACAATTTTGATTACAGCATAGCTTTATTTATAGTTTCTACTCTAAATTTAAAAATGTGTTATATATCATATTAACAGTTGAATTCACTCAATTACTTTCTCACTCCTTTTCTTTTTCCCATAGTATAGATAATTTTGCAGAGGTTTATTTTCTTCATACGTAATTACAGTGAATTTATTTTTTGAATAAAATAAATTATAATTGTGTAAAGAATTTTTTTAATAGGACAAACATTCCGCTGTCCCAGAGTAAGGATTCTATTATTCTCCTTTCTCTGCTCTCTCAATCACAATAATCATATTCAATGACAGGTTTCTTAATAGTGAGTCTTGTCTCCCTAATGTGCTATGCAGAACCTATGGCCTGGAATATTGTGAATGTTTATAAATGTTTATATTTTAGAAGCAACCTTATTTCCTGATTTCAGATTCAGTTAACCCTTACTGAATGCCTTCTGTGTGACAGTTTTGTGATAATGAATTTCTCACCTTTTTGTCACATCTATTTTTAAACTGCTACTCATAACGAATCTGCAAGATAACCATTATTGTCCTGCTTTTAAAATCTAAGACAACAAGCTTAAGGGTAACAATGCTAATGAAATTAACCTAGCTATGAAGCAACATATCCAGGATTAAACCTAGATGTTTTGACTGCAAGCCTAACCCATTTTTCAACATAGTCCAAGATTGTTTGTTATTTATGTTTGCATCAGAATGATAGCCTGTTAAAAAGAAATAAATGGACTGATACAAACCATCAGGGTTTCAATAGCTATTTAATAGTACTAATGACAGCTAACATTTGTAGGATAGTTACTTTGTAGGAGACACTATGGTTCACTTTGTATTGTATGCTGTATTATTATAATTAGAAGGAATTGCTATTTTACACTCTGCCATAAAGGAAATATGTATACTCACATGAATATATGTGTGTGTGTATATATATATATATATATATACACACACACATATATATGTGAATATATGTGTGTGTATATATATACATATATACATACATATATACATACATATATGTATATATACACACATATATAAAATATATATACATATATAATATATACACACATATATAAAATATATGTACATATATAATATATACATTTATAAATATAAAATTTTTTATATTTATATTTATAAAATATAAAATATAAAAATATAAATTTATATATAAAATATATATTTTTAAAAACTCTAACTCTAGAAGCATTATAATCAGAGGCTGTGTAATGCAGCAATATAGAGATGTACAGAGTCCTACAAACACCAGTGAGATACAGAAAGCTGCATTTATTAATAAGCAAATGATGACCAGGCATCAGCAAACTCAAGTTTACTTATGTTTATAACTCTGACATTTTTTGAAAGAAGCAAATTAGTGTATAATGAATTCTAGAAGGTTTCCATCCAAACTAGGTAAAAGTTTTTTGTTTTATTTTCTCTCCTTTTTTACTGCAAGGTATAAACCCTCAAATATCCTGAAGACCTTGCTGTTTAAACTATCCTTCTCATCCAAAATATTACAGCAGAAAGCTTTACAGAGGTTTATATTTAATTATTTACTAGCAGTCATAGTTAAATAAATGTATACTGTACAAGTTAAAAAAAAAAGTAAAAAATCACCAGAAGCAATTTATTTTACTTTCCAATTTTCACATGTCCATGCAAAAACTTAACCAAAATTGAGCTGCAGATTATTATTTAGGGAGTTTCTTAAATTGGGTGAATGATTTTTAATCATTTTAAATGTCATTTATCAAACTTCTCTGTTGAGGTTCAAGAATAATTTTTCCCAGTTGAGATAAAAAAGAAAATTATTCATAAAGTATATCTCAAATTTAATATTCTGAATTAGTGGATACCTCATAATTCTAACAGCTCTTACCATTCAAAAATTTTATAGCTTAGTTCACTGAGCCAGGATAACTCCACTTTTTGTTATATTTCTTGAAGTCTTATATGTGAACATTAAAGTTGCTAGTTATTTCACAGTTTTTATTTTGTTCTAATACAGCATCTGCATATAACAATCTCAGAACAAGTTTACACTAAATCTTTGAAATTGTGAAATTAATCATAATTATAATATATTTAAAAATGTAGAAGCCTAAAACTTTAGAGGAAATGTAATCTTGGAAAACACCTAATCATTATGGAAACCAGCAGGGTGCAGAGAACTTAAGTGTCGTTCTGAAGGTCACAAGTTAATTTATTAGAAACAATAAAATACCAAATCTGTTCCTATGGTCCTAGTTCTTTCCATTAAATATGTGTATCTTTATAATCAAGAACATGTACAGTAACTGTGAGAATATTTCATTGTTGGATTGCTTACACTAAGGAAGAAATTGCCCGGTCAGTGATGCCTGGGGAGCAGACGACAATCTTGTTCATTGAAGGCAATGGTTACAATTCGAAAAAGTTTTCGAATGGATTGCCAGACAAAGGGAGCGTTGAGTAAAATTACCTGTGCATGTAGAAACTAACTAATTTAAACCCAGTAAAAAGGGACTTGTATTAGTCCGTTTTCACACTGCTGATAAAGACATACCCGAGACTTGGTAATTTATAAAGAAAAAGAGGTTTAATGGACTCACAGTTCCACGGGGCTGGGAAGGCCTTACGTGGCAGCACACAAGAAAGAATGAGAGCCAAGTGAAAGGTGTTTCCCCTTAAAAAACAATCAGATCTCGTGAGACTTATTTACTACCATGAGAACAGTATGGGGGAAACCACCCCCATGATTCAATTACCTCCCACTGGGTCCCTCCCACACCACGTGGGAATTATGGGAGCTACAATTCAAGATGAGATTTGGGTGGGGATGCAGCCAAACCGTACCAGGACTTGAGGCCAAAGGTAAGATTTTGGTCATAACCCATAATATAAATCAATTTGAAGGGTATATATGTTTTTAAACAGCATACATTTTACAAAGTTCTTAGCAATGAGTAAGAGTGGGAGGGACATCCTCTTACCTTCCAAAATTTCAGAAGTTATCCTGATTCTATGAAACATAACTGAAAAAAACATAGAAATTTTTCTTAAATATATTGACATCAAAAGCTAAACCCTATATAAAAATATATGCAACCTACAGAATGGGAGAAAATGTTTGCCACCTACTCATCTGACAAAGGGCTAATATCCAGAATCTACAATGAACTCAAACAAATTTACAAGAAAAAAACAAACAACCCCATCAAAAAGTGGGCGAAGTATATGAACAGACACTTCTCAAAAGAAGACATTTATGCAGCCAAAAAACACATGAAAAAATGCTCATCATCACTGGCCATCAGAGAAATGCAAATCAAAACCACAATGAGATACCATCTCACACCAGTTAGAATGACAATCATTAAAAAGTCAGGAAACAACAGGTGCTGGAGAGGATGTGGAGAAATAGGAACACTTTTACACTGTAGGTGGGACTGTAAACTAGTTCAACCATTGTGGAAGTCAGTGTGGCGATTCCTCAGGGATCTAGAACTAGAAATATCATTTGACCCAGCCATCCCATTACTGGGTATATACCCAAAGGATTATAAATCATGCTGCTATAAAGACACATGCACATGTAGGTTTATTGCAGCACCATTCACCATAGCAAAGACTTGGAACCAACCCAAATGTCCAATAATGATAGACTGGATTAAGAAAATGTGGCACATATACACCATGGAATACTATGCAGCCATAAAAAAGGATGAGTTCATGTCCTTTGTAGGGACATGGATGAAGCTGGAAACCATCATTCTCAGCAAACTATCGCAAGAACAAAAAACCAAACACCGCATGTTCTCACTCATAGGTGGGAATTGAACAATGAGAACACATGGACACAGGAAGGGGAACATCACACACTGGGGCCTGTTGTGGGGTGGGGGGAGTGGGGAGGGATAGCATTAGGAGATATACCTAATGCTAAATGACGAGTTAATGGGTGCAGCACACCAACATGGCACATGTATACATATGTAACAAACCTGCACGTTGTGCACATGTACACTAAAGCTTTTAAAGTATAATAATACTAAAATTTAAAAATATGTATATATATGAATGTCATTTGACTCAATGTTAATCATTAATTTGATACATAAAACTAAGCTAATCTTAATATTCACCAGAAAATAGTCAAATTCCAAAAAGGAATAGAAATATATTTATATGTAATCACTTTATATAATATGTATTATATATTCATTATTTCATATGCTTATATAATGTATTTACTTTTAGAAATACATATTTTAACTTTTAAACCTGTACTCTGGTGAGACTCTATAGGAGGGTTTTTTTTTATTTTTTGTTTGTTTGTTTCAACATAGATCACATCAGAAAGTCTTGAAATGACTAGGTGCTTTCTTCAGAGTATTTAAATTTTATGTAGTTGTTAAAAATTATGTTCACAACAGATAAAATTTTAATGGATAAGTTACACAGGGAATAATGTCAAATGACTCAGCTTGTCAGAAATGTTAAGTGCCCTTCACACATCCCTAAGACTGGAGAATGTCATTTCACACCCGTGTCAACCTATTTAGAATGAAGTCAAGGACTGTGTGGAGCTTTTATTCTCACTTACACAGGACCTACAAAAAAAGTTTGATAATGTTATGCTCTAGAGACACTTAAGTTTACCTCAATGTATATATTTTTTTCTTACAGCATACCTATTCTGTTAGTTACAGAGACAAAGAATTTTAATGTTGTAAGAAACTTACAGAAAATGTAGGGAAACTCTTTAAATACACAGGTTAAGAAACTAAAGCTCTGATTAATTAAATGACTTCTCCAAGCTACTGCCTTTTATTATTGACACAGACAAAACCAAACCCGGTGCCTGGCTTCTAGGGAAGGGCTGTTCTGCAGCTGTACCACACTATGCCATCTCCAAAACAATTTGTATGTCATATAATATTGAAATAACCTTCTTACTATCACAGGAGTCTTTTCAACTCTCATTTTTAGTTGCTCGAGCAAGTTTTAAAATCTTCCCAGAGCCTGCTCTGTTTTACTTTTGGAGGGTAAATTTTCCTGACCCCCTCTAGATTCTTTATACTCACTTATCTCGAACTTGTTCTATCCCAGTCTCTCACACTGATTGTTCACCTTCTAAGCTCCAGACATTTGTAAAGGGTATATAGATCCCTCTAATTCATCTACTTTATATTTTTATTGATATATTTTGAAACTTTACATCTTTTGCTGTAATCTATTTAATATTTCTTTTCTTGAATTATCTGTATAATATCACAACTTGTAAACTTAAAAAATGTACAACAATTTGTTAAAACCGCATAAATATTGAATAAAAGGACTTAGTGTGGATTTAGCCTTTAACTTCCAAGAGCAAATCTCTACTCTTAATGTGCTCAAATCTCTCCCATTAAGAAGCAAATTCTATACTAATTTGCCTTGCACATGTCTTTCTGGTGAATATCCTTTGTTGTTCCTCCTCTTTATAGCCAAAATACTGAAGATGTTTTTCATATTTTCTATTTTCACAGCTCAAGTCTGATCCAATACTGTCTACACATTCATCACTCTTGCCCTGGGTGCCAATGACTTCCATCTCTCTTTCTTCAGGGAGATTTCTGTTATCTGCATCTTAAATGAGTTCTTAGCAAGATGTATTACAGTTAGATACCTGAAACCCCCTTTTTCCCTTGGTTTCTGTGACATTATATCTCCTACTCTATCCCGCTTCAGGCTTCTTCTCCTTTACCTGGAATACCTCAAGACTTGTTACTAGGCCCTTTCACCTTTAGCTTTATTGACCACATATGTAACCTCGTAACTTTTATATACAACCCAGACCTCTCCTCTGAGATCCAGGCTCATTTTCCCAACTACCACATTGGCATCTCCTCTTGAATATTTTGAAAATAATTTAAATTTTTACATGTAAAACTGAATTTATGACTGTCCCCCTCAAAATTAATAGTGTTCCCTATCTCCCATCTCCATGAATGGCAATGCTATCCATTTTGTTATGCAAGTAAAAGTTCTATGTCATCTTCATCAGCTGCTTCTCACTCAACATCAGTCTGTTTCTGTGCCTGGCCCCATCTGGGATGCTGAAATGGCGTATTGTTTTTTTCATTCTCATGTCCTTGTGTGGTTGATATTATTATTTTCTCCATGTTGCACTCTCCATATCCAATCCATTGCTATATCACTTTAGTTTTGCCCTGTAAGTAGCTCCTAAATCCATCACTTCATTCCATTTCACTCCATCCTAGTCCAGGCTGCTGTCATCTCTCACTTGAATTACTCAAATGACTTCACGGTACTCCTCATCTCACTGACTTTTTTTTTTTTTTGAGCTGGAGTCTTGCTCTGTCACCTGGGCTGCAGTGCAATGGCATGATCTCAGTTCACTGCAACCTCTGCCTCCTGGGTTCAAGCGATTCTCCTGTCTCAGCCTCCTGAGTAGCTGGGATTACAGGCACGCACCATCACGCCTTCTAATTTTTGTACTTTTAGTAGAGATGGGGTTTTGCTGTGTTGGCCAGGCTGGTCTCGAACTCCTGACCTCAGGTGATCCACTTCCCTCAGCTTCTCAAAGTTCTGGGATTACAGGCGTGAGCCACCGTGCCTGGCCTTCCTCGCTGACTTTTGCTCTCCCTCAGTCTATAGTTAAAGTGATGTTTTCCTAACAGATCTCTGATCATTTTTCTTATACGATCACCTCCTCAACTCTCCTTAACAGTGTATTTTAAACCTGGTTTGATCTGTCACCTGCCTTTCCAGACTCCCTGAGCCTCAGGCTCATCTATTAAAGCCACACCAAATTCCTTTGCTCCTTTCCCCGGGCTCTCTTTCCTCCCCTTTTTGCTATGTATGTCTTGCACTTTTTGCAGATTTCAGTTCAACTGGGTCTTGAGCAGGGAATTCTGACCTGCTTTCAAAAGTCAATGTGCCTGTTACATTCTTCCACATCACATTGTCCCTTTGTAGCATTATCCCAATCAGAATTTGAAATCTATTTTAGAGATTATTCTAACAACATCTAGCTTCCCAATATATTGTTTGCTGTACAAATTTGTGTTTGTCTTCTCTTACTTTTTATCACCAGAAGTTAGTATGGTATCTGCTTTATAGCAGCAATTCAGCAAATTTTTTCTGAATAGGTGAATGTTTATAGACTTCTGGTCTTTCTCTGTGCCTATGCATACACATACACAATCACACATGCATATACATCATATCATGCTCATGCATGACCCATACACAGAAATACCTGCCCTTTATAAGGGCATAACCACACAAGTAAACAAAATTGTGATAATAAAACACTTATTACTTATACAACTTGATTTTCTGGTATATCAATATCACTTAAGCATTTTACTAAACAATCTCATTAATTTTTCTATAACATGGTTTAAATGGTCACATATTATTCTACTATATTAATATGACATAATGTATTAAACCAATGCCCCTATATTTTACTGTTAGAGATGATACTTTGGTTAACATCTTTGTATACAGAGCTTTCTTTGTATCTATAATTATTTCCAGAAAAAAAAGAAAGAGGTAGGGGAGAAAGATGAGAAACTATTAGGATAGAAGTTTTTGTCTGAAGAACAGTTATCATTGTCAGAAAATGTGTTAAGATGTGTGTATTATACTGTTTATCTTACAGCCACCTTGAAAGATGGTTGTTATGATCCTATTATGCAGGAATTTAAGCTAAAACTCATGGAGTAAAATAAATTACTGAGATTACATAGCAACCAAGTGGTAGACCAACAATTTGAACCCAGAACTCTGATTACCATAAGACTTGTTAAATAATACACTTTAAATATTTTGATGTTTGTTGTCAGACATTCTCCAGAGATTTTATATTAATTTATAGTTCTTTACTCCCGTATCTGGGCCATTACCAACTTATTAAAGAAAAATATTTTGGCCATTAGAAGATACAAATGCTCCTTGACTTACAATGGGTTTACGTCCTGACAAATCCATTGTAACTTGAAAACTACAACAAAATGTCAAATAAATAAACAGTGCACTTAATACATCGAACTGACCAAACATTATAGGTTAGTCTAGCCTAACTTAGACGCACTCAGAACACTTACATTAACAGTTGGGAAAATCATCGAACACAAAGCTTATTTTATAACGGTGTTGAATATCTCATGCAATATATTGAATACCATACACTGTAGACTACAGTACTGGTTGTTTACCCTCCCGATGGTGTGGCTGACTGGGAGCTGCAGAAACCTGCCACTGCGCAGCATCTCAGGGGTATTGCATATCACTAACCCGGGAGAAGAGCAAAATTCAAGACTTCAAGTAAGGTTTCTATTGAATGTGTATCACCTTCACACCATTGTAAAGTCAAAACAATCATTTTAAGTCAAACGAGCATAGGTTGGGACCATCTGTAGAGGCATTCACTTTAATAAAATTGTATATATTTATATTTCAATAGAAATTCAACACATTTTCATTTTTCTGTGGGTTATCTAGTCTTATCTTTTATCATTTTGATTTGATACAATTTTTAAAATATCATTGATTCCTCAGAGCTCTTTTTATCTTAAAGATATTTATGTAGCTCAGATGTGGTAACTATTTACTCATTTTGTCAAATTTCTTTTAATTTTATTTGTGGGATACGTATGTGCACATATATGTGTACTTTTAGTGTTACAGTCATTTTAACGTTTTTATGTAGCCAGATTTATTCAGTCATACCTTTTGTCATATACAAGATTTGACATTTGAAAACATATTAACAATGGATAAATGTTAAATAATTCTTGAAAGAAATGTGCTTGGAAATATAAATACGTTTGGTTATATAAGTGAATGCAGATAAAATCTATTTTAGATGTGTCTTGCTGAATAAAAATGTCTTAGAGATAGGAATAGCAAAAGGTTTAGAAATAGAATGAATATACACATGAGATGAATTTGGAGAAAAATGAATAGAAAGTTACACAGAACCAGACTTTATAAAAATATACAACTATATTAAAATTTTAAAATGTGTTAAGCTTATCTGAAGGAAGATTATAAAAAGAGTATATATATACATGTGTGCATGTATATGTATATATATGTGTATATATATATATTTAGTGTAATTAAAAGGTCAGAAAAATTGATGGAAGAATACCTGAGACATTTGAGTGTGAATACAGATTTTGTTAGTTGTGGTATCAGAGTGTTTTGGCTTATAGTTGACCCTTCAACATTGCAAGAGTTAGGGATACCAACTTCCTACACAGTCAAAAATCTATCTTTAACTTTTGAATCCCTCCCAAATTTAACTGTTAATAGCCTGTTGTTAAGTAGAAGCCTTACTGATAACATAAACAGTTGATTTACACATATTTTGTATGTTGTGTGTACTACTACACTGTTTTCTTACAACAAGGTAAGCTAGAGAAAAGATAGTGTTATTAAGAAAATCATAAGGAGGAGAAAATACATTTACAGTACTTGTCTGTTTATAAGATGAATCGTTTTTGTCTGAAATGGGGACAAACACAACTGCAGACTTCAATCTACGGTACATATCAAACAATTCAACTTTTTTTTTTTTTTTTTTTTTTTTTTTTGAGACGGAGTCTCGCTCTGTCGCCCAGGCCAGACTGCGGACTGCAGTGGCGCAATCTCGGCTCACTGCAAGCTCCGCTTCCCGGGTTCACGCCATTCTCCTGCCTCAGCCTCCCGAGTAGCTGGGACTACAGGCGCCCGCCACAGCGCCCGGCTAATTTTTTGTATTTTTAGTAGAGACGGGGTTTCACCTTGTTAGCCAGGATGGTCTCGATCTCCTGACCTCATGATCCACCCGCCTCGGCCTCCCAAAGTGCTGGGATTACAGGCGTGAGCCACCGCGCCCGGCCTCAACTTTTTCTTTAATGTCGTGACATTTTTCTGCTTCTCAGGAACACATCAAGCATCCTTAGTAGCATTTCATGTGGGTCTCATGATATTATTCAAGGTTTATGGTATTGCGCTAAACACGATGAAAAGTACACAAGGACTGAGAATGATGGCTTTTTACTGTGCTACGGAATTTACTAGAGAAAGGAACTGCTCCCTCGGGATGATTAGCATCACGTGGAGTTTTAAGCAGATACTCACAACACTTGAGCCCACCACAATGGCAATAAGAGATAGTGACAAAATTATTTCAGTAGTACCTTATGTACTACAGTTAATTTTATGCAAGTCCGATTTGCTACTGGATCTTTATGTTTGTTTACATTTCTCTCAGCTGCAAATGGTGCCATGTATTGTTTGCAAGTGTTCGTGTGTGTATGTTTCAATACATTTTCACTTTTAATAATAAATGTATGTATACTTTATGGTAGTAAATGATAAACTAAACTAGCATCTACATATCTTTTATGCGCTCATGACATATCTAACTTTTTCTTCATGTTTTTCCATATTTCTAGGTTATAGGGCTCATCTGTGAGTTTTTTCAAATTGTCCCAAATCTTCAATAAGTTTTACAATATATTTGTTGAAAAAAAATCCACGTACAAGTAGACCCATGCAGTTCAACCTCATGTTGTTCAAGGGCCAACTGTATTTACTCATTTTTTAGCTTGTTTTTAAAGCTTGGATTCATTATCAAGTAAAGAACCAAAAATATGAAATTTAAAATACTATATTTGAAATTTAGAAGAATCAGTGAGCTAGAAGAATAGGATTATAACATAACTTAGAAATGGCAATTGTTCTATGTATTTGGAAGGTTGTTAAATGTATCCTCCAATGGCATTTTGCCTGCACCTCAATATATAAATTATTCAGACTTTTCCAGTTCAGCCTACAATCAGGTAGCATTAATATTGTGGTTAATTTTACCCTGTGAAAATGATTGCTTTGTCTTACAAGCCTTCTGTATTCCCCATATTGCTAGAACCATACCGGTCACATAAACAATTGCTTATTGATTTCAGAAATGTCCTTATTCTGTTCTTACTCCCTCCAAGACAAAAATCCGAAGTACTTCCATGATAATTAACCAGGCTATGGGCGTTTTTCCTGCCTCCAACACCTAGGGTTTATTAATGACAAGTTCTATAAAATCCCAATCAATCACACTTACTCTGATATCCTCAGAGACCAAAACTTCAACTGAGTAATTGATCATTAAACCGTGAAAGAGGGATGTGCCTACTTTGTCAGGAGCCACCATGTTTTTTCTTCATAACTGTGTTTGATAAAATATGTTTTGTCTTCTTACAGTGTGTGTTCCACAGTTAGCTTCTAATGACTAGTAATTATCAGTATGCCCCCACAACCTGCTATTTATGGTTTGTGAGGATTGGGGGAGGGTAGTTTCTGTTTTTCACTGCCTTATGCCCTATCCAGACTGTTATTCTTCTAAGGTCTTCTGTGTAGGGGCATGGAGAGGATCATGGTTTTTTTTGAACATTAGTCCCTAGTTCTGTCTATTCTATCTCTCTTGTTGCTGATCTCTGTTGACTTCCATTCACTTGCCAAGAGTCTCAAAGTCCACTGAAGCACATGATTTACAGCATTTGTCTTCATTCTTATTGCATCTTCATTTGAAATATTTACTCTGTCTTAACCAAAGATTTTGCCGTATGATTTTATAATACAACTCATTAGAAAAGAAAAACCTCTTATTAATTTCAGTTTTCAGTTTATTTTAATAAAACATGAATTGTTTTGGCCAACGAAATTTTAGCAGCTATGAAGTGAGTTGAGGTTTTAATTTGCTTGTGTGGTTAGGCTTTTGCCTCCTGTACTGTCACTCTCAATAAGAAGAGCATACCCAGGTAGCTTCTTCTCCATCAGCCTGCCCTCTAAAATAAACACACATAGAAAAGACTGAAATCCTGGAGCAAAGTTCTCCAGTCTCACACCGTGGAGCAACATGGTCCAGCCTAGATCAACTGAAAATAGTCAAACCACAGTCTGATAAGCACGAGACACAATGTTATTGGAAGCCGATAGGATTTTTGAGGTTGTTTGTTACTCAGCAACGTTGAACAATAGACATAATAGCACTAACTACATTTGATGAATAAATTAAGGACAAATTTCAAATCCATGTGGGCAACTTTCTAACTCCCTAACATGGCAGTTCCTGGAACCGTTGAACTAGAACTATCACTTCCATTCTCTTCAGCTGCTCCCTGTCACATTCATGCACTAGAATGCCTCATTGCCCTCACTTTCTGACTTCTACTTTACATCCTTTAGCTCTCACACTTCTTCACTCCTTCTTAACTACTGTTTGACCTTCTATAGACCTCATGTACTTGATCCTGAATTTTCTTTCATAACTATAAGCATCTTCTTGGACTAAATTATCTGCTCAATACAGAACCCATAATCACTTGATTATATTCTCAACCAATCTGTTCTTCTTTCATTTCTATGTCTTCTCTGAAAACCCCAAACATAGATCAAGCCCTCAATTTATTCTCTTCACTCCTACATCCAGACTAGCAATAGCACTTGAGAAAATTGTATATAACTTGAGTAATTCCATAAGATGAGATGCAATATGGTCATATCTCATATTGTACAAATAAATTGTTCAACATGCTAGTTAGCTTAAAAGCGGAGAGTTTAGCATCTTCTAAAGGTTTTTCTCATTCTCTGCATTTTACAAGATCCCTAGGGATAGATAGTCCTAAAGTGGGTCAGTCTACTTGAACCTAAGAGCATGTTTTTTTAAATAGAAACAAGGATCACCAATGATTGTTTTATGGTTTTCCATATAACAGCCACTTTTCAGGAAGTTAACCATTTAGAGCCTGTAAGTGCTGTCGTGATCAGTAGTACCTGGACATGTAGAGCCAACACTTTTTTCTAATATCTTCATTTCTTTATATCAGGGTCAGGCAGGATTTTTCTTTATATACCTAAAATATGACATTTTAAAATTCATCCTCTTTCCCTGCATAGTGGGATTATTTTCCCAAAGTATTAAAGTAGTTGACCCTTAATGAATTTAAGGGTCTACTGTTCTGAGCCAACTTGCTCTCAAGTCAATTTCTTACCCTTTGCTCTTTCTACTGGGTGTGTTGGAGATTGAATTCTTAGACTGCATTTGCTAGGCTATTGTGTCATCTGGCATCTGATTTGGTTCAGTCACTGGAAGTCATTGGTGATATAACGAATGGAGGGATTAAGGGAAATTTTCAAGGTATCTCTCCTTCTCCCTCTGGGGCAGCATCTCTAATAATGGCTGTATCTCTTCTTTGGATCCAACTTCTCTTGAATATACCAACTAAGATTCTATGTTATGCTGGGTCACTCCACCCCTGGGCTCTGGTAATACAACCTCCTCCTTTTTCTCCTTCAAGCTAAAGATAGTAGCAACTCCCTGCTGTTGCGAATCTTGTGTTGCTTCATTAGCCCAAGATTGGATTCTCATCTATTCCTAAAAGACACCAAACTCTTTCCTGCCTCGGTTCCTTTGTCCTTCCTGATGTCTCTCGCTTAGAATGGGCTTTTCTTATATTTTTGCATGGAGAGCTCCTTCTTCTTTAGGTCCCATTCTAGACATCATCTCTTAAAAGCTGTGCCTGGTTTCCATTACTCTCTCACATACAAAGTCCTTTTGTTTCATGAGGCACAACCTATATAGCTTGAATGATTATTGTTTACTTGCATGCTGACTTTTTTCTCCAACTTGGTTATAGCTCAAGGGTGGCTAGAACCTTGTCTGTCTTGATTGTTTCTGCATCCTCAACACCTAGAATGAAACATGTTAGATTCATTATACAGATTTCTTAAATGAGTAAAAGAAAAAATGAATGCATAAAATCTGATTATATCCTTTAAGAAGCCTATCTCATTTAATTCTTACTACAAGCTGATTTCATAATGGCTATTATTATCCAAATTTAACAGTTGAGGGAACTGACATTTATAGAGATTAAGTAGCTTGTCATGAATTATTTCAGAAGTCATAAGATTAAGTAACTTATTAAAAAGCTAATAACATGGTAGATTCTGTATTTAAAAAGCAGGTTCTTGTGATTCCCCAGCTGATACTCTTTACTGTAATTTATTTTTTTAAAAAATCATGAGAATGATACTGACAAGGTTATGTAGAAGAATATTACCCATTCTTCTGTTGACTAGATTATGTCTCAGTTATCCACATATGCAACACTGTACACAATTTCTAGTCTTGAGAAACTTGAGGCAGAATAATTTGAAATGTGGAAATCAAGAATTTCAATTTAGATATATTAAATATGAGCTCTAAATGGTGGAATCTAGTATCCTATTGGAGTTTGAAATTTTAGATATAAATCTGGAAATGATCAAGTTCTATGTGATGCTTTCAGCAGTAGCACTATATGAGATTACCCAGAGATTAACCAGGGAGAGGATGGGGACACAGCACTGGTCTGAAGCTTGGGTTTCATTAGTGTTTAATGGCTGAGGTGAGAAGTGGGAGTGACTAAGGAAGTAGAAGAAGAGCAGCCAACGAAAGACAAGGAAAAGCAGAGAGTGTAGGTTCCCAGACATGAGCAGGAGGAGCAATTCAAGAAGACACAGTGGTGAAGGCCCAGTAAGACAAGCAGAGCAGAAAAGAACACTTCTGGTATAGAGGAGGGGACTGAAGGGAGGGATTGAGTGAGAAGCAAGATGAGGTGATGCAGAAAGTGACTAGAGACCATGGCCTTGGGAAGTTTTGTTTCAAAACGAGGCTGCAGCTCTATTTCCATAATTAGGCTTAGATTCTGGCACAGAGTGGCTACTCGGTAAATGTTAATTTCATGCAACTGGATTAAATGGGATGCTGAGTTATAATTTGTTTTAAGGAACAGTGTATAGCAGGGTAGGCAGTTGAGTGTGCATCTAATTTGCTGTTGGGTAGAATGGACAATGAGAGAAAGTCCACTTGTAGATTTGTTCTTCTAAGCATTTGACTCCCACGAGAGTTGGAAAGGTGTGTATGTAACAGCATAATATTCAATAAAAAAAAGGTCATGATAACATTTCTTGTTTCAGAGGTTGAAAGAAATAAAAGGGCATTGCATCTAAATTGAATAGGAGGTTAAATGGGGATATCCGAGACATATGTATGATTCATCTCAAAATATCAGCATCCAACAGTTTCTCACATTCTGTTACTTTTCATCTAGTATCCATCTATGTTTGATTATTAGAAGAAAGTAGATATCCAACCTCACTAAATAAGTAAGCTTAATTTTGCACCTTACACTAAGCATGCCTTTGGCCTGAAAGTGACCCACTTCTCTTTGATGTGATAAAATGCCTTGACTTTTTGAAGACTACTTTCCTCAAAGAACTTTTTACTTCTGTTTTGCTAAGAGGTTTTATTCTGGTGCCTAAGGAATTATAATAATTATTTAAGTGGGGTATCATTATAATCTTACTTTTACATAAGAGAAAAGTGAGGGACATCATCCTTAGGTGAATTAACAAAGCTTAGATGAGTATCACAGGTTCTGATTTTAGGTGTCTTTGTCTAGCCAGATTCCATGACTCATGTAGGGTTTAGTGGTTTCAATAACAGTCCTCATCAAAGGATTTTTGAAAAAAGCAAGCTAGTGTGGTGGTTGATAAATGGCAAAGCAGTCACATGTAAATAGTTTCCGAGGTTTTTACATAAGAAGTTTACTTCCTTATTGAAAACTAATGGATACAATGGGACACTAATTAGGGTTCCCTAAGAGTTCTCCAACAGGAGTTGCATTGGAGTTGATGCGAATTGGCAGAAAGCAGCATGAATTGATTTGATCACTAAAAGGCCTTGCATTTGGGGTTTTTTTTAAAATGGAAAATGGTTCCCCAAAGAAAACATATATCATAGGAGAATGAGAGGAAGAGAAGATAAAGAAAATTGAATGTTCGTTGCTGATCAATTATTCAGAATCAATTATGGTTTGCTAGGGAAAGCATACTGTGCCAAAGCCAAACTAAACTCCAATAAGCATGAGGATTAATTACTCTCATGCCTGTATAAGCTAGAGGAAGGAGGGGCTGGTATCTACTGGCAGAACTTGACTGCTGTCTAGGAGCAGAAACTGATTCTGATACAGAGAGAACATCCTGTTCCAGAATATCAGGCTTTTTTTTTTAAATTAAAAGAGAGAGTCTGTGTTCAATTTATGGGAGGGGTATGTATATATATGTAATTTCTTCTAACAAACACTGTATTAGTATTCTCCAGAGAAGCAGAACCAATAGAATGTGTGTGTATCTATGTATGTATATACATATACAGATAGATGGGGTTGAGAATGATACACAGAGAGAGAAAGAAGGCAAGGTTTATTTTAAGGAATTGGATCATGCTATTGTGGAGCTGAAATGTCCGAAAACTGCAGGGCAAGACAGCTGGCTAGAAATTCCTCTAAGAATTGATGTTGCAGTGCATAGTCCAAAGGCTAGGAACTCAGACAGAATTTTCAGGTTACAGTCTGGAGCCTTTGATCTCTTTTCTTAAGGCTTTCACCTGATTAGATGAAGGCCCGCCTATGTTAGGGAGGATTATCTGCTTTATTCAAAATCTACTGATTTACATGTTAATCATATCTATAAAACATCTTCACAGCAACATCTAGACTGGTATGTGGCCAAACTGGGTATCATACCCTTACCAAATTGACACATAAAATTAATGATCACTCTTATAGTACCTACTTATGGTTCAGGTCAGTGCTATAGATAATAACTTTTCACATTTTGATAGCTATTTTTACATACTGTCATACTCATAAATTTCATATTGTCATAACAGTATTGCAGGTTAAACAGAGTAGCAAATTTGACTCTAATGACATAAGTGAGGAAACTGAGTCATTTTTAAAATATGCAATTCCTAAATTGTAGACTAGAGCGCACACCCAGTGTCATAAAGAATTGTATTAGCAGTCAATAAGGAAAAAAAAGCAAAAGCAATGTTAGTAAGAAACTATGTTCCTGGAATTAAAATTAGGCATTGATATGGGTAGGAGTATCATCTTTATCATTAAATTAGAATTATTCTGTGAATTTGAAATTGCAGGGAACTTTCATTTAGCTTGAAATATTTTCACTTACAGAAATAGCTAAGCTGTGATAAGACAGTTTAATGGTAAGAATGATGCAATCTTCCTTCTTTCTTTTAAAAAATAAGGATTGAGTGTCATATATGAAATGAAATAGATCTATCTCATATAATCTATTTCTATATATAGAAATAAATAATTAAAAAGAGAATGGTAATTATTAGCCCCTGCCCAAGAATCTGTAGTACCCCACAGCCCTCTCATTGAGCAAGATTTAAAAGGGAGAGGGCAATGATTCATCATAGCTGAATAGCGGGTGTGTGTGTGTGTGTGTGTGTGTACAAATTATTGTGTTTTATTTTTTTCTTGAGATAGATTTCCTCCTCTATGGAGGCTTTCTTTATTCACAGGTATCATACATAAAGGAATAAAACATCCTATCCGTATTAAAAAGTCTTCCCCAGTGAGACAGTATTTTCCTTTCATATTTGACTGCCATTGAGTGGTCTTTTGAGTTGAGAGAGATTGAGGGATGTCTCTCATTTTTAGAGGGTGAATTGGTTAACTATAATGCTGGAAAGGGACTATTATATCAATTATTTGAAACATTTAAAAACTGGGCCTATTGCAAGCGATTATGTTTAGAGTTAATGAAGCACTGATACCCCTAACATAGTAAAGGGAAGAAAGATCTTTTGCCAATAAAATCTCATCAGGTGATGGCCTTGACAGAACATCCCACTATTCCTGTCAGCCAGAGCTGTCATAAACAAAACATTGATGAGACAATGACAATAATTAACACAGTGTTAATGGGATATAGAGCCTCACAGTTATTTTTTCAGCTACAGTGAACTTAATGCATGCCAAGCAGTGCACTGGCTTAACATCATAACATGTTTCTCTTTTATTTACTGTGGTTATGTTGGCTCTCTTGTGTTACAAATCACAGATATGCTTTCTCAGGCTTATGAGATGGTAGATAAGGGAACAAGGTGCTAGAAATCCAACAGCTATGTTCACATTACTATTAAAGGTTGAGAGTTAAGAAATTGGCTTGATCTGAACTGTTTAGATAAGACTATGGCAATTTGGCCATGCACAATGGAAGACATTTTGGATTATGATTGAAAATCTAGTAGGTAATATTCTTTTAAAAGTGGAAACCTTGAGCCAAAAGTTAAAATAATCAGAGACATTGGATTTTATTAGAGATGTTGTCACTGGCAGAATCAGGTTAATAAAGTCATGCAAGGTGTTGGCTGCTGCTACTATAAGCAGACATATTTGGTGGTGATTTTGTAGTCAACAAGACAACATATCTAGTACAGGACAGCAAATTGAGTGGGGAGGCAGTCAAGGATAGCTCGGTAGATTCCCTGAATATAAATCTCTGGACCCCCCACTGAATGTGACCTGCTTAAACTTGACTATGTTTTCAAGGGTATATCTAAGAGGTCTCTCCCTCTTGGCATTTCTGTTTTTCAATAAGATACTTATAACACATATAAATATGTCCTTAAGCCACATTTCAGGATTAATAAATTTCATCTCACACAAGAAACAAACATGATACGTCTAGACAGAATTTTTTTTTTCATTTTAGCCTTTCTGCTTGAACTCAAATCAAAGGAAATAGCTGCATTACATAAAACGCATTCACTTGTGGAAATGGTAATGTTTTGATCTCCATTAAATACTGGAAATAAAAAAAAGTTTGAATGTACGCTGAAAAGCAGGATTATTTTTACCATCCTGAATGACAAATCTTTCTGAACAGGCTTTCCAGCAATTAGTCTTGCTCTAATGCTATTTCTACACTGGCAAGATGAAGTCTGTTACTTGCCAGATCTCTGGAGAATATGGTGCTTTCTGTAGAGGCACAAGTATATGTCCAAATGCCAGAGTATATACTTGTACTTGGCTAGTGTAGAAACAGCAGAAGAGACCTGAAATACTCGAATTTTTATTGGATTAGCTCAGTGATTTCTCTGAGGAATCACTGCTTAACTTCTCTAGGAGTCACAAATTATTAAACATAATGTAAGGAAGTCTGTGGGTTATTCTGACTATTTACTGAACATGCATTATGTTTGGCATTACTGAGAGTCACAAGGAAATGAAATCATGGTCCTTACTCTAAAGGAGACCATAAAGGGTGTTTTCCTCTTTGATTTGCAATTTAATTGAAGAGATTTATATGATGCTTCAAAATGGATTTTTAGTAACTATTTTTACACGCACTTCAGCATACAAATGCTTTTTTATGGATAGTCTGTTAAATACTTTAGAACTTCTTTTAAAATAATTTGAAAATATTCTTATCGTCAAAATTTATGGTGTTTTTTGTAATATTCTAAATTTCTTGTTAATATTGTCCTTCGTGTATCTCTTCTATCAAAAGAGAAAAATCTGGCAGTCTATGAAGACTGTTTAAAAAAAACTTTCATTTTGTCATTTTGTTAGATTCAAAGGCTTCAGAATAGTCTGTTCCCTATTCTGTCTCTTTTTGAGAACTTCAAGAGGAATGACTTTTTCAAAGAACACCCTGTTGAAGTAGATTTTCATTGCCATTCTAGAAACACATAATTTGGATGTCATCCCATAGTCTTTCTCAATTAAAGTACTATCAACTCTAAGTTTTCTTTTATCTCAGGCTAAAATCAAAACTTGCTTTTTTATACAAGTAAATATATAGGACAGTCACTATACATAGTAATCAATTCACATTTTTTTCCTTTAATCTTAGCACTTAGTTATAAAATTAGTTAAGGGTTATTTGTATTATAGGTACTATTGTTTCAGGATGAATGGCTTTGTAAGTATTGTTATTAATAAAATATAATTTTTCTAAATTTAACTAATATCAAACAAGTTACATACTTCTGTCTCACTAATATTTAGGTTTTAGGGCATTAACTGGAGCTATTGATTATAAAATAACTGAAAACTCAAATATGGTAAGTTATTTTTCTCACATAAATAGCTCCATATACAAAAAGTTGTGGCTATTTAACCATTATTATATATTTATAATAATGAATACTAACATTTTGTTTTCTGTACCAAATGCTTTCAAATATATTTTTGATATATTCTCAATAGCTTTAGACCACTTTTATTCTAGTAGTAGTAATGATGGTGGTAATAGTGGTATTGCCATTTTGCCAATCAGAAAATGAGCGTTGGAGAAGTTAAAAATTCAACTCGGATACATATGTTTTCTAAGTCGCCGAGGAAACTCCTGAACTCATATCTCTTGAGTCCAAATCTCTTACTAATTTCACTATACTTTCTCTTCACGTCTGCGGGTTGTAAATGTGAGATATTCAGATCTGCAAATTTTACAGGCACATAACTTGTTGGGGTTGCATTCGAGCAGCCCCTAGATCTTTCCTAAGCATTAGTCTGGGCCCACAACCAACCTGAAAACCTTAATGAATTTCAAAATCATAACCTTCTGCAAGTCAATATCTTGCCTCCCTCTTGTTTCTGCAACTTTTTTTTTTTAGTCATAGACCATGTGTTAGCATCCTGAGCTCATATTACTTCATAGATGACTCCAGATAACAAATGCCAACAACTGTTCACTCTGATTCCATCCCCTTGATGAGCTTCTAATCTCTATTCTGGCTCTACTCTCATTCTAGCTCATCAGAATAAAGTTACTACTAAATCTTTTACTTCTGTAGATGATTTGCTCATTTTGGAAGAGCAAAATGATAATAAAAACAGAGTCCAAGATTTTGCCTTCACACATCCCAGTAAGTTTTCTTTTTTATAAAAGAATTTTATAGCTTTGCCTCGCTATTTCTTTTGAAAATGATAGTGTGAATTTGTCAAAATCATAATGTGAATTTGTGCTCAAAGCATTGATTGTCAGTTGCTCAGCCTTTTGAATGAATTATGCCTTTAGTACCATATACAGATCCTACTGATGTTCATTATAAAGTGTCTGTTTTTCTAATTTTCATTTTGTATTCACAAGGACAGTCTCAAGGCCTCAGCTCAAGGAAACATAGAAGACCATTTATTTATTGGTAAATGTGGTTTAACATAATGTTTCACAATGGCTACTGTAAAACTTGGCATTTCTTCATTTTTCCTATCTTTATTCTCTTCACCCAGTCATTACCATTGATCGAAATCATTCAAGAGGATGAGATCAAAGTAGATATTTAGATAGTTGCAATAGGTGAGCATTTATCTATCTTGCATTTCTCCAATGCGTAAAACATCCTTTGAAGTGATTCCAATGTTTATATTGATGCTGAGTGTTCAGATATTTCAGTAAAATTGTGGCCATCTGAAATCAGATTTTTTGCAACACTATTTTTTGCACCACTGTTTTGTACCACTATTCATTTTGAAATAACAAACAAAAGAGAAGACTCCCAGTTCCTTGAAAATAAAGCCGAATTGTTGAGCACCCGGGAACAATTAATTTATCTAAAAGGAGAAAACCCAAATACTATACTTGACATAAGAAAGCATTCATAATGAAAAATGCTTAAATTACCTAACAAGCACAATCCACTTTTTTTTGCATGAAAGCTAAGAAGTACAAGAGAAGCAACATGAAACAAAACGTAACCAAACAAAAGTGAAAAATAAGTAATCAAAAGGAGAAATATATGACAAAGAAGTGTCCACTGGACCCTGGTGGTGAACATGCAGGTCACACATAGTGATAGAAGTGGTAAAGAGACTCTGTAAGGCTAAAGAAAATGAGCAATGAAGAAACGCAATGAACAAAGCAACTTTTTGACTAGAAGGACACAGCAGTTCTAGACTCTCAGAGAGGTGATCTTTACTATCTTAAAAGGAGTAAAGAAGAAAAGAACTCACTTTCCACAGTAGAACCTGAGAATATACTTACAGAATATTTCTAACAACTGGACTATGGAAAAAGGGAAAGGTGCAAATATGCACTAGTACTTCTATTCTCCTAAAATAGTCCACATGTTAACAGTAGGCCAACCACTACGCTTAAACAGAGAACGGCAAACTCCCACAGGTCAGCGCACTCACAATTCTTATCCCCTGCCCGGTCTTGTACTAGTGAAACTGGTATTTGTAACTTTAGCTCTTCATATAGTACAACACAATTATTCATACTAATAATCTAATTTTCTATCTTCAAGAACATTTAGATCATGTCCTGTCTACCTATGTAAAATTGCGAGAAAACATGTAACCCTTAGCAGATTTTCATGCCCCGCAATTTCTTCTGTATGTAAATTTCTCTCTCTCTCTCTCTCCCAGAAAGCTTGAAAAACTTATTGACCGGAATAATTTAATCTCTTCAATATTTCCATATAACATAATTTTTGTAATAAAAACCATGGAAATGAAATCGTAGCCATCTTCTCAACCTTATTCAAAGTTAGAAATTCGTCTTCCTCTGAATTAGTAAGATACAGAGACTACAGCAACTATTCTGCCTCTTTTATTCAGAGATCTGGCTTCAGTCTTCAGAGTTTTATTACTCTATAAACTCAGTAGATAGTCACATAGCATGGCAGCTTTAGCTAAAAGAGAGCTTGGTGTGGATTGAAGCATATTGTCACCCTGGTGTGAAATGTGTCCAGAGCACTTTAAAACATACTGCTTATAGCAATTTTAAAAATAAATACTGGTTCTGTTTAAATATGCCATCTGCTTTAACCTACATGTCATTAAGGTTGTTGAATATCATGCTTTTTGAAGAAGCCCATCAACAAATCCAAGCTCAAAACAGCCTTTTGGTCCATGGCCACACAGATGTGGAGTTTTCAGCTTTGAGGTGAACTTGAGTATCATCTTTGCATTAAATCTCAGTATGTAAGGTCTAACAAAGACTGATATGAATCTAAAATTAATGGAGTCCCTGATGGTAAGCCAACACAGCTTTCTTTTTGTAGAAAATATAATCTGTTAGTAATTAAATGAATGGCCCAAACTATTTGTTCCATGTAAGTTTTGATAATTTAGTCACTATGCAAGGCTAGGCTACTGTGCCTCTTGTTTCTTACAAGATATGCTACTTTATTTCACCTTGAAATTAATTGTTGTATCAAATAAACAAATCTTCAGTAAAATTTAGAAAAAAATGTGAAATTTTTCAGGTAACAGACTTTGCATCTATTCACAGTTAATATATTTAAAATATATTAATTCCTAACCTATAAATATACCCTTTCATAACAGAAGGAAATCTCATCCTAACCAACATGTAAGGTTAACCTGCCCTACCATTCTCCAGTGATATAGTCATATAATTACAGTCTAGAAGACTAAACAATTCATATATTGATGACTCATAATGAGGAAAGTTATATTGAAAGCAGTCCTTCAAATGTATAATTTATAACCAATAAATTTTACCTTATTGAAGTGAGACATAAAATAACTTGCAATGCATATAATTAGATCATTTTAGGGAAATAAAGCATTAACCCTTTTTCTTAGAGAAACTAGTAATCCAATAGGTTATATATAGATGTTCAAGAATTTTTTCTTAAATTCACTGTTTTTTATTATTGTGAAATAATGTATATCTTAATTTCTTTCAGATAAAATAATGTGAATAATAAATTAATGGAACCTAAAAATGGCTTTAACAGATTTAATATGTCAGAATACAGAATATTACATGTTTGGTATTTGCACATATTTTTACATATAGTAATATATCATTTAAACATGGTAGTTCTCTGAAATTTTTTACTTATCTGGATTTTAGAATGCTAAAATTCTTGTTTAAATCTCATCACTATATGGTGTTTGAACATCAACTTATAATAAGCAACTATAAATGTTTACCCATATCTTTAAACATAAAATGAAATTTTTCCTTTTTGTTACATTTCTTCTGGAAATAATATCAAAATATTGTGTAACAGGTTTATCTATTTAAAAAGTATATTTACTAAATTATAAAAATTATTTTGTTCCAAAAATGGCTTGGAAGAGATTATTTTAAGTATTTCTAATGTGTGAGCAAGAAAAACAGCAAAAGGTAGGGTGAGAGTAAGAGATACTAGTCAAAATATTTCATCATTGTATTCATTACCATAAATCAAAGGCACTATAAGATTTGCCTTTATGTTTGGAAGAACAAGCTTTTTATTGACTGTCTTTCATAATTAATAGCATTTACTCTTTAAATCAAATTAGTCTACTTTTCCTATTAAAGCCTTGCTGTAGGATCATTTTTTAAAGCACAAAATAACCTTGACAAAAATGAAGGATCGATAATATGTTGATTAGGAGTCTATTTGCTCTAATAGCAAAAGTTTCCTTGTTGTTAGTTCCTGTTGCAACACTCTCAGAGGTCGTAGTTCATTACTATCTCCTGGCAGTGGTATTTTCTACATACAGAAAAGTTGACCCTACTGAGCAAAACACTGATGGATTGACTTAGTCATATATATGGATTTTCTTAATACTTCTTTAATCAGCTCATTTTTGGATTCAAGATTGTGTTACAGGATATCCATCAATTGGGCAGGAAGAAGAGAACAATATGCTGTTGAACCTAGCATCCTTAGAATATCTTGAGTTAGACTTAATCAATGAGGGGTATGGGAGCCATGTTTTATGGCAGAAAAAAGAAAAGCTTAATGTGATTGAAGTTTCAGAAAATAAAAAAAAAATGGTCATTGATGGGGAAATGAATAGCAGGAAGAAAGGTGAAGATATAACAACAACTTACATGGCATTCATGTTCGATGGGTTGAAGCTAGAAAAGGTTATGCACAGCCACTGGATCCCTTGATGAATTTAAGAGAATTTCCTATGAAATATTGTTATTTTTAATACAAAGTGGCCTCCTTTCCACTGTGGTTTCTGAGCAAAAGAACAAAAATATTTAAGCAACAATTCATGTAATGAACAGAAACAATTAATGATATATTCTTTGTCAATAATATATGAGGATGAGCTGGTCTAAAATAAATCTATTCAAAGAAAAACAAAGTTTGCTTTGAGTAGCCAAGAGGAATGAAGGAAAAATGAGATGCAATTAAGCAGAGAACAATTTAGTATAACTCTAATAGCAAAGTCTTTAACGATGCTTTGGTACAGATAAATTTGATTTAGAAATATCTCCCAAGTAAGTTGTGGAAACCCATCTCTTTAGTCACTTAAATTTGGACAGGCAAAAGTTAATATGCTGAAAGAGAAAATTGGAACCTTGGAAAGGAGCTAAATGACCTAATTGATCTTTTCCATCACTGATTTCTAGATACCACTGTGAATTAAATGACAAAAGGATAATTTTGTGCTATTTAAGATAAAAAGAAATGAACTGAACTAAGTGCTTACTTTTTTTTTTTCTTTTTAAAAATTCACCATACAGCCATGTCCAGCTAGCTCCCCTCAGATTGGATCTGTGTCACCAGACTCATGTTGTTCTTAGTTGCATGGCTCTAAGGTGATATACACAATCTTCATGTTATATGTAACATCAGTTCAGAGAGGTTGCTTATGGTTTTTCTAGACCAAATAGTAGACACAGAGTTTCTCGTTCAGATTTAGAACAAAGAAATCGTTAGACACTATAAAAACATTATCCTTGAGGGTTCTCTAACCAAGGTGGATTAATAAGATAGTTAAATAGATGGTGAGATGAAGGAAGAGAAGATAAAGGCCTAAAGATGTTGTATCAGCTAAATTAGCAATGTAAATATTTCATGATCCTTCGAGAGCAGTGTGATACACTGGCACTGGGATTGGCAAACTTTTCCTGTAAAGGCCAGATAATGAATTCTCATACTTTGCAGTCCAAGATGCAAAATTAAAGATATTTATGTAGATTATTACATCAAAAGAAAGAATAAATTTCTACATAGTATGCATTAATAACATTAAAAATATAATATTGAGTGCTTTTTTAAATCATATGGTATACTAATGAGAAAGATGGTTATTTGTTTTGGGGAAGTAACATTTTGCTTAATAGTGGTTCAAAATTGGTGTTCGTTGTCATCAAATCAGTTACACATACACAAGCTGTATAAAAACAGGTCTGTTGACCGGGCGCGGTGGCTCACGCCTGTAATCCCAGCACTTTGGGAGGCCGAGGCGGGCGGATCACGAGGTCAGGAGATCGAGACCATCCTGGCTTACACGGTGAAACCCCGTCTCTACTAAAAATACAAAAAATTAGCCTGGCAAGGTGGCGGGCGCCTGTAGTCCCAGCTACGCGGGAGGCTGAGGCAGGAGAATGGCGTGAACCCCAGGGGGCAGAGCTTGCAGTGAGCCGAGATCGTGCCACTGCACTCCAGCCTGGGCGATAGCGAGACTCCGTCTCAAAAAAAAAAAAACAAAAACAAAAAACAGGTCTGTTTTGGCCCTCAGGTTATAATTGGCTGAGCCCTTCCCTGAAATGCTTTTGATGTAGCACAGAGCTATTTCTGTAGAAGTTTTATCTCCTATGTGAAAGGATGTTAGAGAAATTCTTATTCCAAAGCTATCTTGGTATATAGAATAAATGTCTTCTAGTCAGTCGAATGTGACTGATCAAATTCTTATTTTATTCATTGTAATTGTTTGTTATAGCCACTTTTTGCGAATGGGATTTGGAATTTCCAATAGGATTTGACCAAACTCTTTTGTTGTCAACTACTCTCCACTTTCTGAGTTTAGACAACAGCACCAAAACAGCTTCACTCAGTTAATTCATTCTGTCAATGCCACTGCATGCCCTGGTAAGACCCCAGGGACACACATTAATAAATTGTCTAAGCTTCTGCTGCAGAAACAAAATAGTAGTCTTAATTTATAGTCATATATATTCATTTACATATTCATTTATTTATATGTTCTTTTAACAATCATGTGTTGAATAAATAGTACGTTCCATTCACTGATAATTATGAGGATGCAGAAATAACTTATGTTTCTCAGAAAAGTGATTATATCATGTTAACGCAATACAAAACAAAATAAACAACTAGATTCTCACTACCTTTTTGTGTTGGCAACCTCATCCAGTACTGACAACTCCCAGATAAAGGCTATAACCTTATAATCTTGAAAGGTTTTGACTGGCAAATTAAACCTTATTGATATAATAATATTTCTCTATATATGTTAGTGTTTCTCAAACATCAGAATAAAAATGAAGCTAATACAGAGAAAATTTACATGCATTCATACCTCCAAGTCAGTTGGTAAGAAATGTTTCCTGACAAGTAAGAGATAGATACATTTTGGTATTGTCAGGTTATGCAGACATAACCTGATTTCCAAATTGTTTTGGAAAACACATGAAATGTATATTATAAATGTACTAAGAGTTATAGTTCTTATGTAAATTTTCACACCATTTAAGTAAAACTTTAATAGGGATGTTGAAGTATAATCAAACATGAAAAATCAACTCAATTTTGCAAATAAATTCTATCATTTCTATCTGATTCTCATTTCATATGATTAGTAAAGTCTCTCAATATTATATCATTCCAACGCAATTTTAGAATGAGAATACAGTGAGCATTTTGCATTTATTTTAACTTTAAGCATGTGAACACTACTGAAGAATTAAAAGTATGAAAATCAAGTGTCAATATATCTAAAAGACGGAGAAGAGCCCTTTGTCTTTACCATTCTTTCTTTTATTTTTCCTGACACAGGGTCTCATTCTGTTGCCCAGGCCAGAGTTCAGTGGTGTGATTACTGCAGCCTCAACCTGCCAGGCTCAAGTGATCCTCTCACCTCAGCTTCCTGAGTAGCTGGGACTATGGGACTATAGGCATCTGCCACCACACCGGGCTAATTTTTCCTTTTTTTTTTTTTATTTTTTTTTCTTTTGTAGACCGGCCATGTTGCTTAGGCTGGTCTTGCCTGGGCTCAAGCGATCCACCTGCCTCAGCCTCTCAAAATCTGGGATTACAGGCATAAGCCACCATGTCTGGCCTCCCTTATCATTCAAGTCACCTTTTTATCTCCTCCTGGGAAGAACATCAGCCATCAAATAAGTTGGAGAATATGAAAGGTGATAGTGAGAAAGTTGACTTGGCTTATGAGGAGCAAAATCTGTCACAGTCAGATTCTCAGCATAGACTTCTTCAAAATACAGCAAAAACCAAAATAGATAAAATTCTACATTTCCATGCAAAAATAGTTGTTAACTGAATTCTTAAAAGTGAATTTAATGTGGCATTAATAATCGGTAAAGTTATTATTTAATCACAAAATACCTCTAGCAAGTGTAGTTAACAAACGTATCAAATTGAATACAAACTTTTAGGTTGATTTTTACTGAATTTAATTTTTCCCCATAAAAGATTTCCAAATAATTAAGTATTCTCTCTAAAACAAACTTTCTGGCAATTGAAGAGGTGAGTCCTTGAAGAAGGCAGCAGTAAAAATCTCTACAGAACAAGTCAGCTTCATAGGCTAGCTCAATATTAGGCATTAATATAATAACTTTCATTCCTAAATGAGTATATGTTGCATACATATTCTACCTTCTAAATTCTATTGTGACTATTTTATCTAAATAATTATATTTCCCTTTATTAATTCTGTTGTGATAATTTTACTTTAAAAAATTATGAAAACAATCTCTAAATGAAATACATGCCAAGACTTAATAAGAGACACCTGGGACCTTTGGAAACACTATTGTTTTTGTTTTGTTAAAGAAATGTCTTGGATACCATAAATACCTACATTTGAAAGTTTCAAGTAATCATAATTCATTTTTGTCTTTGTGGCTCTTGTTAAGAAATCAACAAAATAATATAAAAATTAAGTGTATAAAATAGCTCAAAATAAATTATTCCTACATTATCACTTCTTCATATGAAGCCAGAATACATGGATGGAATTTAAAGGAGAATTTTAGTTTATCAAGTTGAAAGGCAAGGGGAAATTAATTTCTTCAAGGAATGGTCTTTTATCCAGGATTCTTATCTTCTAAAACCCTCAAAAACTGCATTGCCAAGCTGTTAGTACAGTCATTTTTAAATTATTAAAGTAAAATTAGTAGAAGTATGAGATTCTCCATTTGCTGACAAGGAGAGGTGGAAGCATGTTGGTTTGCTACATCAGGAAAGTTCTGATAGCTTTTACTGTTCAGAATCACAGGAGTATTTAAATAAAAACATTCAAGAAGGACTAGTAGGAATAATGAGAGACTCTCTAGCAAATACCCTTATGTATGTATCATAGTATACTCAGAAATGGGCAAGTAGCATTTCCTAGCTTGAAACAGCAGTATGATATGCCTCCTCATACTCAAATTACTGCCTCACCCTTACTTAGGGTTTTTAGGCCATTTGCCAACCAGTAGAACTTTGAATTATAATTTCCCCCTCACTGTGTTGGAAGTGTCTCACTCTAAAGGGGGTTGAATGGGATGCCCTCACCCTTTAACTTTAACAAGGGCTGCTGATGGATGTAGTCCATTTAAATGTACAACAGAGAGCTGAACTAGATAACGAACTTATTATTCCTCTCAGAGGATTATAGGCTAGTCCCAAAGGAGTTCAGTAAGCCAGAGAAATCCATATCTACTGGCTAAACAATAGCCAGAAGGCTGACTAGAAATATTGATTTACTTTCTAGGCCATTTAGGCCTTAATGGCGGAGAAAAGCTGAAGTGCTGTTTACTTTTCTGCCAGAATCGACCAAACAACCAGTCCATTTTTTACAGGTTTTTGATTGATTTCGCTTAGAGGAATTAGAGGTGATTTATTTTTAAGCTGAAAGCAACTTGTAAATATCTTCAACGGCACAGGTTCCCTGAGAGGAAATGTTAAGTGGAAATACTTATTGAGAAAGACTTTGTTGCAAATCAATGGGAACAGGTACCATGGCTCGCTGTGAGCCGTCAGGTGTCAGACACCCTTTCCAGAGCCCTGTCAGGACTATAATCTCATCCCTTCAGCTACTCTTCTTTTGAAAGCTCTCAAGTTCACCAAGCTTGAATAAATTTAATCGCCTGACTGAATTTCAGCCAGATGCACCCTGCTGACTTTCAAAGGGTCCTAGATGGGACAACATAATGGTGTGCAAGGCTCACATGGAGCATTTTCTATGTTTGATGGGTGAAAACAGTAATTTATCACACAAGTGGCAATTTTCCATGATTCCTCGGTCCCACACAAAGAAAATGTGGAACTCCAACAAAGGAATAAAGCAGACACACAAAAGAGGCCTCATCCGAAATGCTGCCATATTAGTCTGACTTTTCAAAATACATCAACTCTTAAATCAGTGATAATATTGAAAGCTATACCTCAGCAATAGCAGCAAAAAAATGATTTGTAATTTATTGTTCAAGCTGGCAAGGTCTGAGGAGGCTATCATGAAAGGGCAGTGACTGTTTTAAATGATCATTCCAAGAGTGCTTGTCTTCATGCTTAGAATGAGTTAACAAAGGGGTAAAGGACAGCACTTGAAATTCTATATAAAAGCCCTCTGTTCCAGGTTGGTAGGAGAGAGAGAAGGAGTTCAACAAGCTTCTGATTTTGTCTCTGTGCTCTTTCCTCAGTTGTCACCACCACATCCACTATCTTGTAAATGTTTTTGGAAATGGTGCTGCTTGGGAGAGTTGTCAGTCTTCTTTTTTCTCCATCTTCCTGAAAGAATTTTTAAAACTCTATTATCAATAGAAGTTAATGTTTGAACTTTGGAATTTACTAATTTACTTATTCTTACAATTTTAAAAGATATAATATCAATCATTTTTCATAAGAATTTCTCTTCCTGCCAATAAAAGTATAGTTACCTACTGCAGAAAATTTCGACAATACATAAAATTTTAAGTGTTGAAATGATGACTTATTATCTCCTCAGACTAGAATCAGCACTGTTGTCTTTTTAGTATTTTTAATTTGTCTTTTTTACTTAGATATATATATTTTATATATAATATATATACACATATACAAACACACATCTACATACATATATATTTAAGTATGTATATACACTTAAATATATGTATATATTAAAATATGTATATATATTTAAATGAATATATGTATATATTTGCTTAATAGTTTTAAACATAGAACAACTGCATATCCACTTTTTTTTTTTGGCTTCACATTATTTCAGGATCATTTTACCAAATCTGCAGAAGATTTTTTTTTTTTTCCAAATTATGGCACCACCATTTTCTAGCAGTGAGAGTGAAAAGGACATCTCACGTCTGTAATCCTAGCACTTTGGGAGGCCAAGGCGAGTGGATCACAAGGTCAGGAGTTCAAGACCAGCCTGGCCAAGAAGGTGAAACCCGTCTCTACTAAAAATACAAAAATTAGCCGGGCGCAGTGGCAGGCGCCTGTAATCCCAGCTACTTGGGAGGCTGAGGCAGGAGAATCACTTTAACCCGGGGGGTGGAGGTTGCAGTGAACCAAGATGGCACCACTGTACTCTAGCCTGGGTGACAGAGTGAAACTGTGTCAAAAAAAAAAAAAAAAAAGAAAAGGACACTTCAACTGATGATACCTGTACTAACCTATAAAATGGGAATAATAGTAGATTCCACACCTTATAAGATTATTGAGATAATAAAAATGTTGAAAAGGAAAAAAAGTAATATGACTGATGACCCATCATTTAAGTTTATAGCTCTAAACTTACATGAGGCTAGGCATGGTGGCTCACAACTGTAATCTCAGCACTTTAGGAGGCTGAGTCAGGAAGATCACTTAAGCCCAGTAGTTCAAGACCAGGATGGGCAACATAGTGAGACCCCGTCTCTACAGAAAACAAACAAAACAATTAGCTGAGCATGTTGGCACAGACCTATAGTCCCAGCTACTCTGAAGGCTTAGGTGGGAGGATTGCTTTAGCCCAGGAAATTGAGGCTTCAGTGAACCCAGATTATGCCACTGCACTCCAGCCTGGGCAACAGAATGAGACCCTGTCTTTTTTTTTTTTTTTTTTTTTGAGATGGAGTCTCACTCTGTCACAAGGCTGGAGTGCAATGGTGCCGTCTCAGCTGACTGCAGCCTCCGACTCCCTGATTCAAGCAATTCTCCTGCCTCAGCCTCCTGAGTAGGTGGGATTACAGGCACATGCTACCTCGCCCAGCTAATTTTAGTAGAGACGGAGTTTCACCATGTTGGCCAGGCTTGTCTCGATCTCCTGACCTCGTGATCCACGCAACTTGGCCTCCCAAAGTGCTGGGATTACAGGCGTGAGCCACCGCGCCCAGCCAAGACACTGTCTTTAAATAAATAAATAAATAAATAAATAAATAATCAAAAGAAACAAACAAAACTGTTTTACATGAGCCTCATATATATTTTTACTTTCACAATATAATAATTAGCTCCCTGACTGCTTTCGGCATCCATTAATAAAAATAGCAAGTACCATTTAGTACTTAATATTTTAATGACTATTTTAATAGTCATTAAAATAGCAAGTGTCATTTAAAGGAATCATAAGTGAGAAAGAAGGCTTCTACTAGATAATTTTAAAAGAATAAACTTAAAAATTACTTTAATTGATGTAAATAATGTTTCTCTTTCCTTTTTCCTCATCTTTTGTCCTTCTGCCACCCACCCTCAGAATATTTGATCATTTAGAAGAGGCCAAGCCTCCTGAGAGAGTTGTACCTGAATATGCTGATAAACTTAAAAGACCATTTTGCTAGAGTTCATCAGAGGGACAGTTATCTACAGCTTTGCTGTAATTACTGTAGACTGAGGGCAGCAGTAATTTATGGGCTGACAATTTTCACTTTCTTACTCACTTATCTCTTGCATTTCACTAAAATCTGTGCAACTATTTCAGCAACTGGCACATGGTAGTGTCACATTCCTGTGGCAAAAATTACCTTATCGCTGCAGGGCTTTCTTGATGAATGAGGTTGCTTAATTAGAAGGGAGTTATACATACATGATACAGGAGTCACGTGTTAGGGCAAAGGGCCACAGGCAGCCTAGATTTTCTAAGTGTAGAGGTGTGAGACAACTCATTTTTATTTTCATTCTGAGAATTTAAATGGAGATATTTGCTAAGAAAAGTATGAAGTTCAAAGAAATTTTTAAAAAATCATATCTGAAAGTGAAATACATCGGTAAAGAAAACAACAGCTGTTATCATGGAGCTGAACTGGATTTGAAAACGCTAGCTTAAAACAATGATTATAAATGCAATACTGCATCATTACATTAGAAGCTTTCAGGCGTACAGCACTAGCTCAAGGCAACATTTCCCACATGGCATGTGAAATTATCTTTTCAAAATATATTAAAGTTTCTATGTTCAAATAAGTTCAAACAAGTCCCACAACCATTACTTCTGGAAACTCACAAGTAACATAACATTTTAAAGGCTCTACGATGGTTTAAACCTTAGTTTTCACTTCACTGAAATTTAGCATTTTCTTCCGTTTGAATGAAGACAACAAGCTGTAGTAATATTGGCAGTACTTGTGACTTTGTCCCCAACAAAAATGACAGATGTTTTCATATCACATCACCGTTATTGCAGCTGTCTTGAAATATTATTTGTACTCACTACTACTTTAAAAGTATGGTAGTTAGTAGACCTACTGCTAGATCTTATTATTTAATGTGATAATAAAGAGATGCTTACATTCATATATCACCAGTTTATTTTTGTTTTGTTAATTACACTTCAATGCAATTTATTTGATACCCTATACATTTTGCTTTATGCATTTGATCACATTAATTTGAGAAGAGATCTGCGACTGCCAATGGGATTTATCACACACAGAAAAAGAGGGTTAAAAGCCTTTGCTATAATTGAACTTGTTAAACTCTGTAAAAGGTAGTAATCTCCAAATTCATTTACTTAGGAATTCTTTTATTTTTCACTCTGAGGACCATGTCTGAGGACCATGTATGAATAAGTCATCCATGAAAAACTGTTTAGAAGATTCTGCCATGATATCTTCTCCTCTGACCTAGTACATCTTCCCTGGACCTAGTCTACAAATAGCAGCCTCATCAGGTTTTACATTTCTACAGTTCCTAGGTTTCTTCACCACCAGTCTTCTGAGTGCCATTAATATCCTGGAGGTAAACAGTGAACCTCCCAGATGATGATATGATGAGTGTTCTTCCTCTAGTACTTTTGGCCATGGAATTCATTTTTCTCCCTCAGAACAAAACTCAGGAGTTAGCATACAGCATGCGTGACATTGTGTGTGAAACACTGTGTCAGTCCGTTTGAGGTGATTAATGGAAAACTTTGAGCTACTAATTCAGATAAAAATGGTGTTTTCATTCGGAGAATAAAAACAAGGAAGGAGTACAGCAAAACCTCCACCACCAAGAAAGAATGCCACAATTATTTTTACCGAATGCCACAATTATTTTTACCTTTAAGGAAAGTAATTCCTCCTTTTTGTTATTGACAACTACCTATTCGGTCCTAGGGAGTTCTCACTTACCATGGAGTTTCTCAGTCTTAGCACTAGTGACTTTTGTGCCAGATAGTTCCTTGTGTTGAGTGGCGGTCCTGTGCATTGTAGGACGTTTGGCAGCACCCCTGGCCTCTGCCTATCAAATGCCAGTGGCAGCCACCTCCCAACCCCAACTTGTGACAACTAAAAAGGTCTCTACATATTACCAGATGTCTCTGGCAGACACAATTGACCCCAGTTGAGAACCACGGAGGTAAAGGTTTAGTTTGTGTTAGGAAGGAATTTGCCATTCTTTAGGAACGTCAGAATCAAGTTAAAAACTGATTAATCTGCTATATAATTAAGTAACTATTAAGCAACTTTTCAGGTGAGTTCTGTGGGCCCTAACTTCTAAGTATGAGGGAAATTCATTGTGTCATGTATTTTGCTTTGCCTATGCCAGGGGTCAGCAAACATTGTCTGTATGAATCCAGATAGTAAACACATTGGGTTTAGTGGTGGGGGTATCTAATACAATTACTCGGTTCTGCCGATATAGAGTGAAAGCAGCCACTGACAATATGTAACCATATGAGAGTAACTGTGTTTCAAAAAAACTTTATTTACAAAAAAGGAAGTCAAGACAAACTTGGCCTGTAAGCTGTATTTTGCTAATCCTTGCCCTAAATAGAATGTAATAATTTTAGGTCCAGAATTTTAAAAATGCTAAGGTAGAAAAAGTTATTTATTTGATATATTTTTAACTAACCAATCATTAAACCAAACTGATTTTCAAATTTATCATTGTCTTATCTAAAAATGTACTTACGTAAATTAAATTAGCTTGGACTGTTTCTCAAATATGTTAACATTTTGGTATCATGCACCTAAAATTAAGGTAGGAATGACTAAGTGGGTTGTTACTGAATGCTAGGCGGTACATACCTCATGTTTAAAAGCCTTTCAGTCCATGATTGATGATGACCAAAGTATGGTCAATCTTGGTCCTCATAAGCACACTACATGCTTTATTAAAACATCAGTATGAATGCCAATTAACATGTCCTCTGTTGACAGGCTGTGCCAAATGACACCACTTAATAACCACGCTCTCTTTCTCGCTTACTATTAGAACCCAGATTTGAATTCCAGGATGATAATGCATTCAGCTAAAAGACAACACCTTCCAGCCTCTTCTGAAATTTTGTGTGGACACATAACTAAGTTTTGACCTGTGAGACGTATGCAAAAATATTGTGTGAGACCTTCAGGACAAATGCTTAAAGAAAGTTGACTCAGTTAGGAAGGAGCCTCCTTTTGCTCTCCTTAGTTTCTTCATTCTACTGGCCTGGTACATTGATACGCGGGCTGGAGCAAAAGAACCCACTTTGGATCATGAGGTTAGAAACCACACATTGGAGATGGCAGAGCAGAAAGACAGGAATCTGGGCCCCTGATGACACTGGAAAGCCAACACATAAGACTACACACTTCCTGACTTACTCTAAGTGAAAAAATAATAGACGTCTGTTTTCTTTAAGCTAAAATGATTTGGACTTCATGATATATGCTGCAAAATATGATCATAATTGATTGCAATACTCTACAAGTTTAAAACTGATTCTAAATATCATTTGATGAAAGTCAAGTTTATCTAGGAAACATTGACTTTCTTAGGTATTGCTTTAGGAACTGGTGTACCGCAGATATAACCAGGCATCAGTCCCCCCTAAAAAAGGTGTGCAGAGACAAGAACTGGTATTTAGAGACCCGGTGATCTCCTCAGATGTTCTTCCCTGAGATTAAAACAATCCATTATAAACAGGAGATACTATTGAAAATAGAAAAACAAAAAGCAGTATTCCAGTTGTACCTTGTTTTTTACCATAGGTCTTTCACTATGGTGTACTCCAAAAGAAAAGGAGAAGGAAGTTCTTGTTCAAAACTGTCAAAATATTACCAAATTGTTAGTCAGAACAGGGATGAGGTTATTCCGTTTCTCGCCTGGACACCACATTTTTATCATATTTTTATCCTTTTCTTAATTTCCTAAAGGATTCCTTCTGGCCCCTTCCTCACCTTCTGTTCCACTGTTGCTGCCCACTGGGCACCATTGCTGCTGCACAGTTCACTCTGGCTGGGGGTCACCACCATGGGCCATTCAGAGATTCAGAGATATTGTCCTAGCCACATCTATTCTTCAAGCACTCTCTGTTATTTCTTCCCAATCTAGAATTACAGAAGAAAACCAAAGGGAGTAAAAACAAAACTTTTATGTTCCTTCATATCATAAATACTTCTCTCTTAAAAGTTACCTATTGGGTTCTCCAAATGTTCAATTTCCTGTGAGTTGCTATTCTGACCCTTAATACAGCAGTAAATTTTCTAAGCTGGTTATACCTATGAATAGAGATGTCTAAAAATTACCCCTGTGAATAGGATCAAGTGTTTTCCTTCCATAAGGCAAACTATAGTTTCACAAACTTTAGGATATATGTGTGTATGTGTCTGTGTGTGTGTGTGTGTACAGGCATGCACATATGTAAGCACTGAAAAGATTATTAGCAATAGATAATTGGAAATGCAAAAAAAAAAAAACTATGTATTTGAGTGAATAGAGAGGCATCTTCCTCTCTATAGGTTGTATGTGCCTTGTTGAATAATCCTTTGGTGGACAAAAAAAAAAATTGCCACTGTTTGTATATCTGTGCACAAGGGCTGGGCTCTACTGATTACGGATAAGAAATTCATGGTAGGCATATCCCCAGTCTCCTCTTCTAATTGTGCTCTTTCTTACTGCATCTACATGCAGCTACTCGATCCTTCTTGGCGGGACTATCCAGACAGCTGCTACCAGCCTATCAGAGGTGAACCTGAGACAAAAACTATTTGCAGTTTAGACTTAATTGATTTGTGTAAATACAAAGGAGATGAATGATAACTGAACTTGAATTCATGTCAAATGCATAACTCAGACTCCAAAAAGAAGTCATACTGACAAAACAAAAGATTTTACTATAACAAAAACTTTGCAGAATCAAGAACTAGAGCTCTGGGTTGCTTGCTGAGTTTGGGTGCTATTCCTCCTTAAGTACAGATGGAAACTGAAACTGTAGCAAATATCATTACTATTCCTCTGGGACCAATATAATTTAAGAAAACTTTTGTGATTTGTGATTACAGTGTGGCTAGAGACAGGAGGAAGCTGGGCACAGTGGCCTGCACCTGTAGTTCCAGCTACTGGAGAAGCTGAGGCAGGTAGATGCACTTGAGCCCACGAGTGCAAGGCTGCAGTTCAATATGATCACGCCTGTGGATAGCCACTGCACTCCAGCCTGGGCATCTCTAAAGAAAATAGACAAAGCAAGAGGAAACTGGGGAAGACAACTATTTCTACCCTCCCTTTAGTCACACAGATTTCACAGGAATGCTTTTCTTTGGTAAGATTCATTAGTTAGATCACTCTACTCCTGTAATGTCATTTACTCATCTCTAAAATATGTACACACATTATTCCTACCTCAAAGAATTGTTATCTGAACTTAAAAAAATAGTACATGCCAAGCAGTCTGCATGATATCCAACACACAGAGGACATTCACTAAGCCTTCAATAAGTCCGTTATTCAAATTATTATCTCAGGCCTATGACTGAAATTGTCAGGACCTGGAGCAAAAGTACAAATGGAGACCCACATAGCACATTCCTATGTATTTTAAAAAGTTTTAAATCACCCTGACCTACTTGCTTATTGGCATTAAATAAAAGAGGCTCTACCTTATTGATTACCTTGGCATGACAACATTGAAGGCCAGGTTCCAACACTGGAGTTTCTCACCTAGAGATGGCAGCACAGAGAGAACGAGCCCCTGAGCTCTCAGCCAATGGCCTTCTCTCTTGTTTTCCCGCCCACAGCTCCATCATGCACTGTGAGGAGCCTTCCTTCCAACTACGAGGTGCCCCAGGCAGCACATACCTTCTGCATGTAGTAGTTCTTTACTTTGAAGAACTCCTTGGATTTAATCTTCCTATTTTAAAGTTCTTAACCTTAATTACATCTGCATAGTTCCTTTTGCCATGTATCAAAACATAATCACAAATTTCAGGGATTGGGTGTTGGTAGCTGTTCTGCCTAACGCAATGTCTGTAGAATTAAAATATAGTCCATATGCTTTGATTGCTAAGGAAATAAGAAATCAACAGTTAGAAAGAAAAATTGGAAAAAATATATACTATTACAGCACAATTCTTTGCACTCAACAGACCCTCAGAAAAACATATTTAATCAATGTGTGATGAAAGCAATGAATACTCCTTATTATTAAATTTGTTTTCTAATAATCACAAAATATTTAAAGTTAATAAGAATAACACTATGTTGTGATAATTAACCACATAATTATATATTTGGATGATGTGTAGAGCTGGTATATATCCTATTTGAACACATAAAGCAAAATGAAAACAATATGAGTGATATTTATTTTCTATGCTAAATGGAACTTTTGCCAAAACAGTAAAACAATGTGATTATTTAACTGTATTTTTAAAGCACTCTGGTATGTTTATATGATTTACATTGAGAAGAATTTTATTTTCTTTAGAATAACCACTGATTATCAGACTTTTCATCCTCTTTTCTTCACCTAACTTCCAAATGATTTTATTCCTTTTTCAATTAGGCATAATTAAAAACATGCTGCCATTGTTTATTTTTATTTTTATTATTTATTTATTTATATATTTATTTTTAGATTGAAAAGGGGTTTCTAAATGTATACAGTGTTTATAAATCTTTTAGGGCTGGGCAGTGATAACTGTTTTAATCACTGAAGACAAATTTCTGCCAGTTTTGGATATAGCGAAGTACGCAACATGTATTGGATCACTTCAATGGGGACATAACTATAATTGCCAAGCACTTATTAGTATAGAGTTTCCACCAGCACTTCAGCTGGACTTTACAATTACCAAAACCAATTCCTGACTGCAGCCTCACAGTGAATTTAGAAGAGGAATTATTGTATTAAAAGCAACTGCTTAAGGCCGGGCCCGCTCGCTCACGCCTGTAATCCCAACACTTTGGGAGAGGAATTATTGTATTAAAAGCAACTGCTTAAGGCCGGGCCCGCTCGCTCACGCCTGTAATCCCAACACTTTGGGAGGCCGAGGCGGGCAGATCACGAGGTCAGGAGATCAAGACCATCCTCGCTAACACGGTGAAACCCCGTCACTACTAAAAATACAAAAAATTAGCTGGCGTGGTGGCACGTGCCTGTAATCCCAGCTACTCAGGAGGCTGAGAGAGGAGAATTGCTTGAACCTGGGAGGCGGAGGTTGCAGTGAGCCGAGATCGTGCCACTGCACTCCAGCCTGGGCCGCAGAGTAAGACTCCATCTCAAAAAACAATAAAAAATAAAATAAAAAAAGCAATTGCTTAAAGCCAGCTGAAGTCATCCACTAAGGGGTTACTAGACACTAGTCAGAGCGCTCCCCACTCTCTTTCCTTATTCTCTGAATCACCAAATTTCTCAATAACTAGCAAGAAACAGAAAGTGGAAAAAAAAAAAAAAAAAAACTCCATAATTTCTTTGAGTCGCCTAATGATGGATTTCATCCTAGAATTTCTAGTAGCAGTGGTGCGTGAACTGGAAAGTTGGTTCAACAAAAATGATTTTGTACATGGTTAAGAACTTACAGATGATGAAAAGAAATGGGAGCTCTTATTTAAAGAGGGTTTCAAAACAAACACTCGCTGAATTCAGCATAATGAGACAAGAAAATGAAGCCAGAGAAATGAATTCCATTTACAAATAACAAATTTAGAAAATGAAGAAGTCTAGTGTAATGGGAAAAAGTCTTAAAAATGTGTATGTGACATAATTGTCTGCAGTACTCTCAAAAAAGGATGTTGGTAAAAACTGAAAAAAAAAATGAGATTTTTTTCCTCAGATGACATTTTCCCCAATCTCATTATGCTTTACTTTATTTTTAATCAAAATTTCCTCCTATCCATCCAAATCAGTTTTGCTAACAACCACTTTCCTGCTTCACCAAAATGCGTAAATATTTATAATGGACAAGAGCAAAAACATAGATTGTTTTTTCCCTTTTAAATTCTATTTGCATAATCATCTAGTATAAAGGAAGCCTGAAGAAAATGAGTAGGTAAATATTTTTAAGTACACTGTTGATTTAAAATAAGGGACTTTCTGCACATTTTGAATTTTAAGTTTTCAGTATATGTCCTGCTGCAGACCTCCTTCTAATTCTGAGTGTTTTACACAGAAACATATATAGGCTGAGGCATTTGATGTCAGTCTCTAATGCAAATTAATTATCAATGTAGCTAGGAGAGGTGTTGGATCATTTTCTATCCTCTACAAATATTGATTGTATCATTCTCTGGGATTTAAGTGACTTTTTGAATCACTGAGGTCCCCTTCTATCATCCACAAATTTTTTAAATAAATTTTTTATTTTGGAATAACTTTAGATTTACAGAAAGTTTACAAAGATGTTCCATAGATAAACTGAATCCATTTTATCTACTTTTCCCTAAAGTTAGCATCTTACATAATCATGATACACTTTTCAAACTAAAAATGAATATTCAAAACCAAGAAATTAATATTATCGTGCTTTTTGACTCTGTTTATGTGGGCAAATGGATTAGAATATCATCTTCTCTTCCCCTTGAAATGACTGGATCTCAAAAGAGAATCAATGTTCGTAAAGAGGTCAACTTCAAAATTAGTAGCAGAAAAAAGGGACCCCATGAGCCTAGAATCAAATGCATTTGTCTTCCAATATGTCCTGCTTTCAGTGGAAGTCTTTCATTTTCATGGTTACGAAATGTAACAATTTTGGCTCAGTCACCCCTGGTAAAGTCTAATCTATTTCAAGAATGTCTGACTAAGTAACTCTGATGTTTCTACTATACTCCAGAATCACAGGGGGATTTTAGTAGGCTAGCAGATCCAGAAAATTCTGAACCTAGGAAAAATCCTTTGTGGATTAGAAAGACAGAAGTTTTAGGACATTATCAAAGGAGCTCTCTGAGAAAGGGAGAGTATTATATTGTCCACAAAGAGTCTTTGATGGGACAATCCCAAACCACGGCTGTGAAGAACTGTGCAAAAGGAGTATAACCTACCCTGGGAACTGGAAACTGGATTTGGCAAGAATCCCAGGAAGATCCCAGGGACCCAGGAAAGTGATCTAGCCAAAGTAAGCTACATGGTGAGCAATGGGGATCAGTCAGGGTATTTCATTGTTCCCACAGGCATCTTGGGGGCCAAGCTAGGTATACGGTTTGGATATACACTGTTTCAATATGCAACCTTTTTGGCTGCGTTTGTTACCAAGTTACAAGTACACAGTATATGTTTTTATTAAAATCACTTATCAAGTGTTTTCATACCTGTCCTAGAAGATAAGAATGATTATTTAGAAGTTTTAAAATAGAAGACAGAAGCATGGCCCTCAAGAAAAGAAAGTCCATACTTTAAATCATAAAGCAAATCAAAAAAAGTTTAACAAGACTACCATCAATGCAATTTTTCATTTTAAATTAAATCACGGGAATAAAACAATTTTCTTTTTTCTTTCTCTCTTAAGAGCTTAGTACATTATAATAGATATGACATTGAGTGATTGTTAAATTAATGAAACCATTGTTAGAGTTCTCTACAAGTTTAGAGATAGATTTATAAAAGGTACATTTGGCTGGCTGGCTGCTCAGCCCTATTTTTGTCCCTTTTAGCTTTGAAACAGCCTAATCAGGAAACAATTCTGCACTGTGGGTCAGAGGAAAAAATCCCTTGAGACAGAGCTCAGAATATCCTGACACAAAACGGTCTCAAATTTAGGGGTTCTCATGGTTCAGAACCCCCCATCCTATAACCCAGATGCTGTCACATCATATCACTTAAATATGTAAAATGCAGAGACAATTATACTCACATTTCCAAGAAATTAGCTGAAGTTACATAGTCCACAATGTGGCCTTGCAGTATGGGTCTCTTGAAAAACTTGCCCCTGGCTTTAGGGACTGAAACTCAAACTCTCACTGTCAGCAAAATTTCCCTTTCAAGTTGGGTCCTTTATAGAAAAGCTTACTTCTGCTTCGAGGAACAAGATTACAATTTGAATGTCACTAATCTGCCTCTGTGGAAATATCTAGGCACCCTTATTCATCCTAGAAAAGTTATTTAGTGCAAAGTGTTCATAAAATGGCTTCTCACACGTTTAGTATTCAAACAGGCAACACATGTGCTACTGAAGGGGCTGGGGGGAGTCATGGTTTTATAAGGTTTTTATAATTCTAGTTCCTAAAATTTAAAGCACTGTAACAATGGTTTCATTAATTTGTGAATCATTCAATGTCATCTCTGCTATAAAGTACTGGACTTTTAATGGGTTTAGGGAGATAGGAAAATTATTCGTATGATTTAATATAAAATGAAAAATTGCATAGTTAGTAACTTTGTTAATTTTGGGGGCATGACCTAGTAAAATTTTCATCTGATGTAAGGTTATTTTTGTGATGAGAGTATACATCTGTTTCTATAATTTCTGAGACAAGAAGGATAGAAAATGTATTTTAAAAACAGCATGATGGATTTAGGTTACTTATATAAATTAAGGCGAATTTTCAGAAATATAAAATGTTACCAGGGTAGATTATCACAGCAGGTGATCTTGGTGAACCATGAAAAATTCTCTTGGCCCAGTCTGATTTTGGCCACAGCTGCTGTGGGTGCCTCGGGCCAGGTCAAACTCAACCCTGGCTGACAGGCCACCAACACAAGTGCAAGCTGGTTGTCTACCTGCTTTCTGCCTCAGGGCCTTCCTCTCTAGAAATTAACTATGGAGGCAGGAGAGAGTCACTTCTAGTCTCTTTTACCCTGGATTATCTGTATGTACCCTGGATTACCTGTATACAATTTGCATGGTCAGTATTCTTGTTTCTAGAAAACTAAAATGAAAGCATTCTTGAAACAAGTTTGAACCAACATTTCACCCCAAGACTGTATGCCTAGTTCAAATACTAAGACCTTCATGTAGAGGATTGAAATTTACTCATCCTTTATTCAACAAATGTTTATGGTGAACTCACCAAGTGTGAAGCATGTTTCAGGTACTGAGGATTTAGCCTTGCAAGAAAATCACTGCCCTCGAAGAACTTCCAGTCTTTCAGAGGAGAGAGGCAATCAAAGTAAAACAGCAGCATTTCAGATGGCAGGAAGTGCTATCGAAGAAAGCAAAGCAGGAAATGCCAGCGTGAGGCATCTATTTATAATTTTAAATAGAGCACTCAAGAAATCCTACCTGAGAAGGTGACATTCGAAGAGAGACCTGGAAGGTGAGGAGGAAAGGCATGTGGTTAATAGGGGGAAGAAACTTCCCAGCAGAGGGAACAGCAGTTATGAAGAATCAAGGCAGATCTATGAAGCCAATACCTGATCTGAAATGAATACTTTATTCTCTCTGAATTGTGATTTTGTCTTTTGTCAGATGAAGCTAGCTAGTGCTAATTCATTGTGAGGACTGAATGTATTATTTTATGTAAAGCACATAGTACATGTTCATTACCTCTTAGCTCTTATTATTATCTCTCACTCAGTTTCATCCATTCTACTCACAAAAGAAACATCAGCAAAGGCTTTTGATTCAGCCAATGACATATCTAAAAGAGAAAAGAGAAAATTAAAACTGTTACACTGCCTGGAAGCTTCTCCAACGAGGTCTGGGTGTTTCCTCAGCCTTCAGTTGCATTATAAAGGCCTCATCCTGTTGTAGTGGCCTGGGTATGTGGCATATGCCATAAACCAATGCTCCAAAAGTATCTCTGTGGGAGGCGGAGAGAGGGAGGTTGTAAACCACCTGTGTAGCTACAAAGGAAAAGTAATGTTGAGATGCTTTATCACCAGAAGAACTGACTTAGTTTTGGAAACTCATTCAGGGATAAAGATGAGTAGGAAATTTTTAGGTAGAGAATGAGCAAGATAGACTTTGAGACAGAGGGAATATCACATATGAAGTTTCTAAGGCAACAGACGGACAATCTGTGCCCTCCTCAGGAGACATTCGGCAATATCTGGAGGCATTTTTGATTGTCACGACAAGGTTGGGGGTAGTAATCACATATAGTTGATAGAGGCCAGGGATACTGCTAAACATCCTACAATGCACAGGACAGTGCCTTATAACAAAGAGGTATCTGCCCAATCAATGTAAATAGTATTGAGATTGAGAAACCCTGCTGTACGGCAAGAGAGTTCTTTCATAAGAGAAACAGGAGACTCATGCGACTAGCTCTTATTATCATACCAAAGGGTTGTTAAGACAGGCAGAATTTAGATCATGTAGGATTTAATTAGATTTTAATCCTAAATTCAAATGAAGTCTCTGAAGGCTTTTTATCAGAATGTGTGCGGGGGCTGGTGGTGAGGGTATAGGAGACAGGTGGAGTTGGCAAGACTTGATTTCTGTTTGCAAATGATTCTAATGGAAGTTTCAGCTGAGGCACATTGCAAAGAGAGATGCTAATGCAGAACCAGTTTGAGGACTGTTAAAGCACTCTATCAAACCAAAAATATGGAAGAGCGCCCATGGGGAGAGGGGAAAGGTTTTTAAGAGGTGTCTCTGGAGGGAGATATGCTGTCAGGTCCACTTCATCGCTCCCAGTGGGGTAACCCCTCCTAAACCAAAGTCAAAAGAGGAGGTTTAATGTCTCGCTTGGAGGTCTTAGTATCCACTGCTTTGTAGGTCATCAAGTATGAGTCACATATGAGCAAGTAAAGGTTGGGGAGCTATTGATAGTAGAGTAGGGGATTGCAGTTCGGGAAGTGTTGTGGACCCTGAGTTTGCCAGGGTGAAATTCAGCATGTGGGCTAGAGAGAGAGATTGGAAGAGGAGAAGAGAAGAGGAGAGCATGAGCTGCTCTGTGACTGTCTTAGATCTTTCAGGAAGGGCAAGGGGACCTCAGCAGAGGAAATGAGAATTAAATTGGCAGATGCCTAGGGGATAAGGATAAACTCAAAACATGCACTTGACTATGTCAGCGGACTGGTTGGGTGTAAAGGATAGGGAGAAATCTCAGAAAAATGAAAAAATGAAAAATGAAAAAATGAAAGCACGGGCCCATCAGAAAATGAATTTTAAAATATGGAAAAAGTAGAAAATACTAGTGGGAGTCATCTACCATGGTACCACTCAAGGAAGAACTATCCCTTCTCTCCTTACCTCTTCTACTGCTTGTTCTGAATTGGAGGAGTCAGAGAATATGGATAGCCAAGATAGAGCAGGAGAAAAGAAGTCCTAGGTGAGAAATGAGTGAAGAAGTTGTCCCTTCCCTTTCTTTTTCATGGGCTTTATTCTTGCATCAGCCAATAGCTAAGGCAGGGAAGTAATCTCAACTTTAAATTAGATTCAGAGCTTTGATGAGACTAGCATTTTAATTACTGAACTCAGATTTTATTTTTGGCAAAGAACTCACTGTACGGAATAAATGTAAGACAAATTTTAAAATTTTATTTACTTTATGATGGCATCTTTCTGTCATTTTTATGCAATACAACAGTTACTGTTTCACAAATAGAAACAAACAAAAATGTGGTTCCTTTCTGAAGAATAATTTGGAAGTGGAACAACTGTATTTGAAAAGACACATTAGTGAATGTTTTAAACATGTTAGGAAGCGTTACACCAAGGTAACAAACAGCCCCAAAATAACAATGACTTAAATCCACAAAGAATTATTCTCTGTCATGTTCCAAATTATTTGCAGGGGTTGCAGAGCTCTGTTTCTGTATTTATTCAAGGGTCCAAGATGACACAGTGGCCGTTAACTCGAATTTTGTCATTCAATGTGCAAGAAGGAAAGAGAATTCCAGTGAATCTCATGTGGGCAATTAACTATTCCAGACTTGAAATTACCCACATCATGTTTCCTAACACCTTATGGATCAAACGTAGAGTTGTGGCCTTATCCCCTCCATAAAATGGCCAGGAGATATACTCCCACCTTGCTCCCAGAAGGGGAAAATGGAAATATTTGTCAGATTGCATTGATTCAATAATCAAGGTAATAATAAACTGGATAATTAGTAGGACTAAAGAAGTAAAACAGATATGGATGGGCAGATTCAATGGATAAACTTGAATAAATCCTTCTAGAGCTAAAATGTTTGAAAAAATAGCCATTTATACTATTTATATATAGTTTTCCAGGAAAGTATATGAGCCCCTAAAACAAGGTGAGTAGATAAGAGTATAGATTAATAAATATAAATATAATTTATATTTAGTAACTAATCACTTTAAGAAATCATCATCTGTAATTCTTTCTGTTATACACATCTCTCATAATGATAAAGATATCAAAAAGCAAGTAGCAGCCAAGTCAAAGGATGTAAAGATATTTATCAAGGTGGTACTTTGCCATGTGTTTCTTTCACTTGTCAGCTACTTGTTGTCACAAGTGATGTACATGTGCTCCTCAACTTATGATGAGGTTAAGTTCACCATAAACCCACCATAAATTAAAAATATAGTTCCCCCCACTACGCACTCCCAAGATGGCAGATTAGAGGTAGCTTGCCTCAGCCACTTGGAGGTAGCAGGATAGTACATAAAGATCAACTATGTGAGCTTTAATTCAAGAAGGAAAAAAGGAATCAACCAGAACCATGAAGGACACCCCAGTTCCCGGGGTTGTTGGCAGACAGCTCCCGTGGTAGCATCTGGCTGATAAACGTGATTGAAGCCCGGGTAGGTGAGAGGGACAGAGAGTCTCCCTCTGTGACTCACATTTCCACTGAAGATCTGAGCAACCTAGACCAAGGAAGAGCATTTTGTTTCTCCTGAGCACTGGAACTGCCTTGGAGAGAGGCTTGGAGGCGCTGAAAGAGAAAGGCACTTGGAAAAGCTGCAGACATTTTCCCAGACTTGGGACCAAGAGCAGGAGGCCATTTTTAATCCAGGTGCATACAAAGTCAGTCATTCTTTGGAGACCCAGCAGCATGGCCATGGAGGCATTTTAGTCTCATGCCAGAGATTGGCATGCCTGCTCTGGAGTGAAGTAGGAGCCTCCACAGCCAGAACTGTGGAAAATACCTCAGCAGTAGGTGCTGGAATTGTGCTCTCCCTCATTGCTAAGTAATGTCAATGTAAAATTTCAAACTATAAGAATCCTAGAAGGAAATCTAGGAAACATCGGCCTTGGGAAAGAATTTATGACTCAGTCCTCAAAGGTGATGGCAACAAAAGCAAAAATTATCAAGTGGGACCTAATTAAACTAAAGAGCTTCTGCCTAGCAAAAGAAACTATCAACCTACAGGATGGGAGTAAATAGACAACATACAGGATGGGAGAAAATATTTACAAACTATGCATCTGACAAAGGTCTAATATTTTGAACACATAAGGAAACAAAACAATTTAACAAGTAAAAAACAAAACTATTTAACAAGCAAAAGACATGAACAAACACTTCTCAAAAGAAACCATATAAGCTGCCAACAAACATGAAAAATTACTCAACATCACTAATCATCAGAGAAATGCAAATCAAAACCACAGTGAGATACTATTTCACACCAATCAGAATGGCTATAATTAAAAAGTCAAAAAGCAACAGATGCTGGTGAGGCTGCAGAGAAAAGGGAATGCTTGCTTATACACTGCTGGTGGGAATGTAAATTAGTTCATCCACTGTGGAAAGCAGCTTGGAGATTTCTCAAAGAACTTAAAACAGAATACCATTCAACCCAGCAATCTCATTACTGGGTATATATCCAAAAGAAAATAAATGATTCTACCAAAAAGACACCTGCACTCATATGTTCGTTGTAGCACTATTCACACTAGCCAAGACATGGAATCAACCTAGGTGCCCATCTGTGGTGGATTGGATCAAGAAAATGTGTTATATATATATATGCCAAGGAATACTATGCAGTGATAAAAAGAATGAAATCATGTCATTTGCAGCAATATATATGTAGCTGGAGGTCATTGTCCTAACTAAATTAACTGAGGAACAGAAAACCAAATACCACATGTTCTCACTTATAAGTAAGAGCTAAACATTGGGTACCCATGGACAAACATGGCAACAATAGACATTGGAGACTACTAGAACATGGAGAGAAGATCAGGGACAAGAGTTGAAAAACTATTGAGTACTATGCTCACTACCTGGGTGACAGGATCATTTTTATCTCAAACTTCAGCTTCATGCAATATACCCATGTAACAGACATCCACGTGCCCTCCCTGAATCTAAAATAAAAGTTGAAATTATCTTTTAAAACTCACTTACAAGGGAAGTGAAGGACCTCTTCAAGGATAATTACAAACTACTGCTCAAGAAAATAAGAGAAGACACAAACAAATGGAAAAACATTCCATGCTCACGGATAGGAAGAATCAATATCATGAAAATGGCCATACTGCCCAAAGTAATTTATAGATTCAGTGTTATCTCCATCAAGCTACCGCTGACTTTCTTCACAGAATTAGAAAAAAACACTTTAAATTTCATATGGAACCAAAAAGAGCCCCTATAGCCCAGACAATTCTAAGCAAAAATAACAAAGCTAGAGGCATCACACTACCTGACTTCAAACTATACTACAAGGCTACAGTAACCAAAACAGCATATATAGACCAATGGAACACAACAGAGGCCTCGGAAATAATGCCACACATCTACAACCATCTGATCTTTGACAAACCTGACAAAAACAAGGAATGGGGAAAGGATTCCCTATTTAATATATGGTGTTGGGAAAGCTGGCTGGTCATATGCAGAAAACTGAAACTGGACCCCTTCCTTACACCTTATACAAAAATTAACTCAAGATGGATTAAAGACTTAAACATAAGACCTAAAACCATAAAAGCCCTAGAAGAAAACCTAGGCAATACCATTCAGAACATAGGCATGGACAAAGCCTTCACGACTAAAACACCAAAAGCAATGGCAACAGAAGCCAAAATTGACAAATGGGATCTAATGAAATGAAACAGCTTCTGCACAGCAAAAGAAACTATAATCAGATAGTTCTTTTCAGATAGATATGTGTGCATTTACATAATTTTACAGAATGGGATAAAATTTCTGCAGTCTATCCATCTGACAAATGGCTGATATCCAGAATCTACAAGGAACTTAAACGAATTTACTAGAAAAAAACAAACAACCACATCAAAAAGTGGATGAAGGATATGAACAGACACTTCTCAAAAGAGGACATTTATGTGGCCAACAAACATATAAAAAAAGATAATCATCACTGGTCATTACAGAAATGCAAATCAAAACCACAATGGGATACCATCTCATGCCAGTTAGAATGGCGATCATTAAATAGTCAGGAAGCAACAGATGCTGGAGAGGATGTGGAGAAATAGGAACACTTTTACAATATTGGTGGGAGTGTAAATTAGTTCAACCACTGTGGAAGACAATGTGGCAATTCCTCAACGATCTAGAACCAGAAATACCATTTGACCCAGTAATCCCACTACTAGGTATATACTCAAAGGATTATAAATCATTCTACTATAAACACACATGCACACATATGTTTATTGCAGCACTGTTCACAATAGCAAAGACTTGAAACCAACCCAAATGCCCATCAATGATAGACTGGATAAAGAAAATATGGCCCATATACACCATGGAATACTATGCAGCCACGAAAAAGGATGAGTTTATGTCCTTTGCAGGGACATGGATGAAGCTGGAAATCATCATTCTCAGAAAACTAACACAGGAACAGAAAATCAAACACCGCATGTTCTCACTCATAATTGGGAGTTAAACAATGAGAATACATGGACACAGGGAGGGAAACATCACACACTGGGGTCTGTCGGGGGTGGGGTGCTAGGGGAGGGATAGCATTAGGAGAAATACCAAATGTAGATGGGGGGTTGATGAGTGCAGCAAACCACCATGGCACATGTATACCTATGTAACAAACCTGCACCTTCTGCACATGTATCCCAGAAATTGAAAAACAAAAACAACAACAAAACACAGCACCACTGTCCAGAACTTCTTTCTCTTTCTCTTTCACAGAAATCGGATCTGCATGATGGTCTGAGGGCTCTCCCGGGCTCTTCCTGTGCCTACCTACTTTTCCCTCACAAGCGTTTTCCCTAATAAATTATCTTGCGTATCTAATCACATTTGGGTTGCATCTCATTGAGTAAAAACTAACATACAAGGCTTGATTCTTTGCACTTAGCTTTTTTTCTCTCTCTCCCACATGTATTCAGTAACTTTGTCGTAGTGTTTTCTGTGTTACCTCTTTTTCTTTATATCTGTTTGTGTATTTACATACACTACCTTTTTCATACACACACACACACACACACACACAGAGAAAATACCGTTTGCATCTGTTTCTTCATTTCTGTTGCAACCATTTACTTTTAGCTCTTACCAGTCAACTCAAGCTGATGATTAATGCTAATGTTGGCTATTGTTAGTGGGCACTTTCTGTGTGCCACGCCTAGTGCTAAATACTTTACCTATATCTCATTTGATTCATAAAATCACCCTAAAAAAATCTGGATGAGTTGGTGGAACACAGAGGATTTTTAAAGCAGTGAAATTATTCTGTGTGATACTATAAAGGTGAATACCTGTCATTATACAGTTATCAAAACCCACAGAATGTATAACACCAAGAGTGAACTCTAATGAAAACTCTGGATTTGGGGTGATAATTATGTGTCAGTGTAGGTCCATCAATTATAATAAACGTACCACTCTGGTATAAGGTTTTGATGGTGGGGGGACTGTGCATATGTGGGGGTAGGGAGTATATGGGAACTCTATATATGTTCTGCACAATTTTGCTGTGAACCTAGAACTGCTCCAAATAAAATGAATTCTATTTAAAAATTAAAATTAAAAAAAGAAAATATCATGTCAAAAATGCATTTAATATATGATATGGTTTTGCTCTGTGTCCCCACCCAAATCTCATCTCAAATTGTAATCCCCATAATCCCCACGTATCAAGTAGGAACCTGGTGGGCGGTGAATGGATCATGCTGGTGGTTTCTCCCATGCTGTTCTGGTGATAGTGAGTCCTCACGAGATCTGAAGTTTTAACAGTGTTTGGCAGTTTCCCCTGTTCTGTCTCTCCTGCCACCCTGTGACAAAGGTGCTTGCTTCCCTTTCACCTTTCCACCATGATTATAAGTTTCTTCCAAGCCATGTGGAACTGTGAGTCCATTAAACCTCTTTCCTTTATAAATTACCCAGTCTTGGGTATTTCTTAAGAGCAGTGTGAAAACAGACTAATATAATATACCTAACATCATATAAGCATCGTAGCTTAGCCTAGTGTATTAGTCCATTCTCATACTGCTAATAAAGACATACCTGAGACTGGGTAATTTACAAAGGAAAGAGGTTTAATGGACTCACAGTTCCATGTGGCTGGGGAGGCCTCACGACCGTGGCGGAAAGTGAAGGAAGAGCAAAGGAACATCTTACATGGCATCAGGCAAGAGTGTGTGCAGGGGATCTCCCCTTTATGAAACCATCAGATCTCGTGAGACTTATTCATTAACAGGAGAACAGCATGGGAAAAAACCCGCCCTCATGATTCAATTGCCTGTCACTGGATCCCTCTCACCACACATGGGAATTACGGGAGCTACAATTCAAGATGAGATTTGGGTGAGGACACAGCCAAACCATATCACCTAGCCTGCCTTAAACATGCTCAGAACACTTACATTAGCCTACAGTTGGGCAAGATTATCTGGAAACACAGTACACTATAGACTATCATTTGTTTACCCTCAAGATAGCGTGGCTGGGAGCTGAGGTTCACTGCTACTGCCTGGCATCGCAAGAGAGTATTGCACCGCATGTCTCTAGCCTGGGAAAGGATCAAAATTCAAAACCTGAAGTGTAGTGTTTGTTGAATGTGCACTGCTTTCACACCATTGTAGACTATGAAAATCACAAGTTGAGCCATGTAAATTGGAGACCATTGTCCTTACACTACAGGCTATAACGCAAGTTATAGGTTTCTTCGTATTTTGTTATTAATTAATTTTCTACAATTTTGACACAATAAAGTATATAATTAAGAACGTATGTTCCTTTGCAGAGAAAATCTTTGAAGAAAATTGAAGCTCAAATCTGATACTTAGCTTTTACTAGCATCTATATTTAATATTAATTTTTCTTTAAAAACATGCCTAATTATAATATTAGATGCCATAAAATCCCTTCTCAGTTCATCTTATGTGTTGAATTGAGAATCGATTGGATTTGGCTTCAGGTGCAATAATTTGCATTACGAAACAAAGATTTGTCAATTTTTTTGTCATGTATTAAGATAAATGAAAGAGAAGAAAGCAGTAAATGTGAAAGTAATGTGTTGTAGGATGCGCATACACATGTTCCTCTCACTAACAGCATGTTAGCTTCCCATAGGTCAAATGCCAACACATTCAGGATACAGCAATGTCAGTTTGCCTGGGGCAGGAGTATGCATTAACTAGCTTCTGAGGGTTAAAACCCACTCATCAGATGTAAGCAACTCTAATTTTGTGAATTCTGATTAGTACTGCATAACATTACCTGAATACAACTCTATATATCATGTCCAGAAATATACACTGAATGGTAAAATTTGTCTGTCTTCTCAGTTTTAAATGAAAAGATTCATTATTTTGTTTTATGTGGATTTCATGTGGATATATGAAAACACAGTTTAAAATTGTAATCTAGCATGATAAACTCTGGTATTGATTAACTTTTTGGATAAGAAATAAAAAACAGTCTACATCTAAAGTCTGTTATGTATGATGAATTCCACCTAAGATCTTTGTTAATTTCTCAGTTTGCAAATACAACTATAGTCAGAAATTCTGACCTGGATTTACACAGTCCTGGGTACTATTAATGGATTTCAAGACTGTAAAACTCCTGAAATTTTAGCCATATTTCTGCACATATATATCATGTGTTTATATCAGGGCAGACGGTTCACACCTGTCATCAAATTCTTCAAGTATCTGTGATCCACAGAAAATTAAAAACTGCTGCTCTAAGTATTAATATTTACCTAATACAATTTATAAAGCTATTTACAGACTAATTGGCTCTAGCAACCAGATTTCTTTTTTGTGCTAATTATATTTTTTTACAGAAAACAAATGAAAATAAAAGGCTTATTAACACTTGACTAAGATTTCTGCATTCATGGAAACAAGTAGAGAATAATGAGGCTAAGTGAAGTGTGGCATGGTATAGAACTTAGGTTGGTTCAAGAGTTAATAGAGATATCATACCTCTTCTTTACCAGGTCTTTGCTTTGATATGATTTGCCAGTGGCTAAAAATATAATGATTAATAATTACGAGATAGATATGATCTATGTATTATACTAGCGTATAGAAAAAGGAAATTATTTTGTCAAGTCCTTAGACTTGCATCATTTTGTGACAGGATTTGAATTTATACTGTCGGTTCTGGGCTGTCCCTTCTCCTTCTAACTCTGTTCTGATTCTTTTACATATATCACTCCAACAATGAGTGAGCAAGACGTGAAGTTAAGGATTATAATTACTGAGAGACAAAAACTCTTAGAAGATATAGGTACATTTATTGACTCTCAGAAGACAAATTCTGGTACAAATTCTACTGCATTAAGACTTGGCTTCCTCCTCCACTGGAGAAAAAAATTCTGCAAAACTTTTCTGCCCTAAAAGTAGGATTCCACAATTAATAAATTTATTCTCATTATTCATTCTCCAAATATCAAGTACTTATAAGGACAAACCACTGTGGAGGCGATAAAAATTAAACTGGAATGAAGAGCCCCTACCCCCAAGATGTTGACTATCTAGGAGGACGTAAAAAACCATAAGTGATCATAATATTTGAAAGTGGTAAGTTTCAAAAGAAAAGTAGAGATTTGATGTTTACAGCCAGTGTCATAATGTGGTATTAGGCCTACCAAATATATTCACTTATGTGACACGTTTGCAGATGGTGACCTTCTATATGATAATTTTGGTGCATTTCCTTAGAAAATTCTGTTTTTCTGAGGTCTGTTGCTCCACGACTTTTGGTTCTTGAGATTTATGCTCCTGTGCAGTCTGGGCCTGAGCTTCATTAGCACCTGATTTACCATGAGTGCAGATGGTTATTGGAAATAAAAAGTCAGCCATTTCCTATGATTAAATCTCTCATGGGCGGCATCTCCCTCTTAGCTATTTCCTTACTATTGCATATGATTCATTTGCAAGCAGAACAGTGATTATTATATGATTGTTAAATCTAAAGTGGAAAGGAAAGTAGAATATTAGAAAAAGTCTAGTAGCTTATTAATATATATTATGTGCTACAATGAAAATGATTTTACCTAAGTATTAGCAAGATGATAGATTTATGGATGATGAGAGAAAATTACTCTATTGTGACGATTGAATGTAACAAAAAGAATACAGATTTTCTCTTCTTTTCCCTCCCTTCCTTCGTTCCTTCCTTCCTTCCTTCCTTTCTTCCTTCTTTCTTTTTTTTTCCTTTGCTTTCCCTGTTTGAAGGAGTTATTGTTTAAGCCAGTAATCCCCAAAAATGCCTCCTCATTTTGGTCACTTGCCAGCACTTCTGGGCAATAATTTTATTGTGAGTCTTGCAGGCAAAGGAAGGGAATTTCAGGGTTGTTCATTGCTATGTCTGTATTTTTGGAGCTTAGAGGAAAGCAAATCTTGTTTTTAACAGAACTATGCATTAGTTGTTTTTTTTATTGGAAATAATTGTTATTTTTTCACTTGGCACATTTATGAGAATAATAGTAGTGTCAGAAAAATTTCGTCACTTTCAAAATTTTGCATATTCTTTGTATTGTACTGAGTCAATAAAGTCGGTGGCCACACAGTACCGAGCTGACCTGTACTATAGAAACTTGTTGATTTGCCTGGTTATATACAGTGTTTAATTGACCTATCATATTTCTTTTCTTCTATGTTAAAGTCTAATTGTTCAATTGAAAGACAGTCACAATTACCAAAGCTCATTTCTCTCTAATTCATTTTCATTATTAGATTTATTTAGGTTACTTAGTTTCCACTCTAAGAGTGTAGATATGAAAGAAGCCTTAGTAATGAAATTTAAGCACTGCCTCTGCTGATATTTTGGAGCATGTTTTGCTTCTATTTCCTGAATGCTCTTGTAGCAAATAATTGCTCAAAAAGATAAAATGCACATACACAAAGAAACCCAAATTTTCTTTTTCTTTTTTTAATATAAGAGCTGCTACTAACTGTATCCTCCATATATCAAATATGCTACACAGCTAAATACCTAACCGTAACCCACTAGCACAATCTTATCTCTTCATAAGCTAACCCTCTATCGCAGGCTCAAATGCCTTCTTTCTATTGGTTTCTGGTATCTGCTGCTTTCTCCGACAGGGACTTTGCACTTAAAGTCACCTGTACCAGAAATGTGCTTCCCTCTAGGAATCACAATCTCTCATAAAATATTTTTACTTTTCTTTCTTTTATTTGCTACCATAGCAATTTCACAATATTTGTGTGAATACTTGAACAGTTCGTGTCTTTTCTGCTATACAATATGATAGAGACTATAGGCAAAGATTATGAAAGCTTTTGCTGAATTTTGCATAGGTGGTATTTAGCACAGTGTCTGGTATATACGTTTATGTGTCTTTTATCTATTTGTTCTTAGCACACCAGACTAACACTTAGTGGCTTTAATCAGCAATAAGTTACTGTTTCTCATATTTCTGTCAATTAGTCTGGCAGTTTTTTAGCAACAGTAATCTGGTGGATGAGCTGGAGGCGAAGCCCAGCCAGGATACTGTGTCTCCCTCTCCTAGTGGTTTTCCATCCTGGGCTTATTAACATGGAGGTCTCATGACAATGCTCCAAGAGGGGGAAGGTGGCATTTATGAACCCCATGAAGCCTAGGATCCAGAGCTTATGCATCACTTCTGTAATGTTCCATGAGTCAAAATAAGTCACAAGGTTGGTCCTGATTCAAGAGGGCCTAGAAAGAGATTCATGTCTAGAAGGGAGAAGCAGCAGCACAGTCTCACTGCATAGAAGGAAGCTTACAGGAATGGGAAGAACTCGTGCCCGTTAAACAGTCTACCACTGTATTAAACAGTACATTGTAATACATTAATATGCATGTAATACAATACAAAATAATATAATAATATCAATGTAATTGTCATTTAATTATAAAACTTAGTCCAGAAATTGACTAGATTAACTGTTCCATGTTTTGTTGCATTTTTTTTGGGTTTTTATTGTATATACACTCTAAGAATGAGAAGAGGTGGAGAGAGTGGTATATTAATTCTAAGTTATATAAGCAATCTAATCTCACATTTAGATAAATAAAAATTATAAGCAATATGAGGGCAGAAACTTTATATATTTCAATTATTGATGAATTTCTGGCAACTAGAATAGTGCTTCATGCATAACAGGTATTCATTAAATACTTGTTGAATGAATGAATTAATGAGCAAAAATAATAGGCATTATTTTCTGTGGTCTTCCCTTTTATGTTCATTGGGAAGTTGTCATTTGTTCTCATCTGTCTCAAATGATTAAATTCCAAATTTTTAGAGAAATGGCTAAATAAGAAATAGAGGTCCTGCTCGCATATGTTGTTCAATGAATTCTTGATAATCAACTGCCATAATGTAAGGACACTAAAACTTATAGGTAAGAACAGTCTTTATGATTTATTTTATGAACATTTGATCACCCACTAAACGGAGCCTCCAGGAGATTTTGCTTTCTTATTGATTGGTACAAAACGACAGTAATATATTTTCCCTAATCTCTGTAATCTGTTCAGTATAGAAAGCGTATCTAAATGAGTCACTAACCTAAATGAGTGACCGTAAATATCCAATAATATTCAGAATTTGATTTCAATACTGTATCTAGATTCAGACTGCAGTACTATTTCTCTGGACAAGAGTCTCACTTTGTTCTGACTCATGTAAAAATACAGGTCTTTTTAAAATTTAAATCTGGTAAATGAATGCTACATGTTGCTAGTATTTTAATATAGGAAAAAAGGGTGATTTGGCTATTTGTTGATGGTAATGCAAATTGAAACAAGTTTTATCTTGTAAAAATATTCCCAATTGGAATTCGTCTCCATTTATTATCTGTTTATATGGACATAATTTTAAATAGGAGAAAATGGTATAAAGGTAGGCACATTTTAAAAATAGTAGATAATATTGGAGAGAAAAAGAGAGGGGATGTTTCCTTTACGTACATCTTAGAATTATCTAACATGTACTTGAATGTACTGGCAAAATGATTAATCCCCAAATGACAATTCCTACATCTGTCAATTAGTTTATGTACAAGTCAGCTTGAATATTTTATATAAATTATAGCATCATGACTGGCAACAAAAACAGATCATGATATTTCAGGGAGTCATCTGAGTCCCTCAAGATGTAAATCCATGACAAAAATGCAATCTAAATAATAATTGATTTACTGATTTATGTGTTAAACTATAGAATTATTCAATTTGATTAAAAATATCAATATTTTCAATATAATTCAAGTAGCCCGATTCTTATTTCTTATCATTTTTATACAAGATAATTAATGTGTATGTAAAACCACTCTTCCATAGCATTAGAAAAAGGAGAACTGTTCTGTTTTTTCTGTTTCTAGCATGAGAGAAGTTTTAAGGTGATTGGCATTTTCAAAATGCAAAGTTATGCTTCTTGTTACAGAATTGGAAAAAGACTGCTGATGTGTGAAGAAAAACAAAAGGTAAAAAACACTTAACTAATTTTCAGAGAATAGAAACAAGTTTTATTAGAAGTATTTTTTTTAAGTTGTGAAGCTGTGGTAGTCTTCACAGAATATAGGTAAGGGAAATAATGTGTGAAGGAACTAGAGAGGTGTAATTTTTTTCTCGATTTTTGCAAGTTTTACAAAATATAGCATCTAAAAATTGGTTAGGAAAAACATATGTAATATGTTCTAATGTTACATAATTACTGATTTAAAATTCTTCTATACCACTGAAGATAATTGAAAAGTATTAACTGGCCTTTCAGTGATGAAAGCAAATGTGTTTTTCCAAAATATATGTATACTCCTTTTTTCTCACATGTTGAACTCCCTATGTTGCATTTTGAGATTGCTTTGCCTAGTGATTTGGGGTGTCATTCATATTTGAATATGCCAAGCAAATATTATTAAACAGGGTTATCTAGTTTAATAATCTGAGTCCACTTCAGATATTTGTTAGATGCCCAAAGTTACCAATTAATGTCTATTCTAGTTGTAAAAAGTTGCCCATCATTCAGGATGGGAAATCTGAGCTGTCTTTGAAGTCTACTGCAACACCTACATTAAATTAACTTCCCTGAAACTTAGTAGGTGCTCCTTAAATATATGTTGAACTCTATTAAAACTAATGAGCTTTATATTCTTTATATATATATATATATACTTTAAGTTCTAGGGTACATGTGCACAACGTATTACATAGGTATACATGTGCCATGTTAGCTTGCTGCACCCATTAACTCGTCACTTACATTCGGTATTTCTCCTAAAGCTATCTCTCCCCCAGCCCCCAACCCCACGACAGGCCCCAGTGTGTGATATTCCTCTCCCTGTGTCCAAGTGTTCTCATTGTTCAATTCCCACCTGTGAGTGAGAACATGTGGTGTTTGGTTTTCTGTCCTTGTGATAGTTTACTGAGAATGATGGTTTCCAGCTTCATCCATGACCCTGCAAAGGACATGAACTCATCCTTTTTTATGGCTGTATAGTATTCCATGGTGTATATGTGCCACATTTTCTTAATCCAGTCTATCACTGAAGGACATTTGGGTTGGTTCCAAGTCTTTGTATTGTGAATAGTGCCGCAATAAACATACCTGTGCATGTGTCTTTATCGTAGCATGATTTATAATCCTTTGGGTATATATCTAGTAATGGGATCGCTGCATCAAACGGTATTTCTAGTGCTAGATCCTTGAGGAATTGCCACACTGTCTTCCACAAGAGTTGAACTAATTTACACTCCCACCACCAGTGTAAAAGCATTCCTGTTTCTCCACGTCCTCTCCAGCATCTGTTGTTTCCTGACTTTTTAATGATCACTATTCTAACAGTGTGAGATGGTATCTCATTGTGGTTTTGATTTGCATTTCTCTGATGACCAGTGATGAGCATTTTTTCATGTGTCTGTTGGCTGTATAAATGTCTTCTTTTTAGAAGTGTCTGTTCATATCCTTTGCCCACTTTTTGATGGGGTTGTTTGCTTTTTATCTTGAAAATTTCTTTAAGTTCTTTGTAGATTCTGAATATTAGCCCTTTGTCAGATGGGTAGATTGCAAAACTTTTCTCCCATTCTGTAGGTTGCCTGTTCACTCTGATGGTAGTTTCTTTTGCTGTGCAGAAGCTCTTTAGTTTAATTAGATCCCACTTTCAATTTTGGCTTTTGTTGCCATTGCTTTGGTGGTTTAGTCATGAAGTCCTTGCCCATGCCTATGTCCAGAATGGTATTGCCTAGGTTTTCTTCTAGGGTTTTTATGGTTTCAGGTCTAACATTTAAGTCTTTAATCCATCTTGAATTAATTTTTGTATAAGGTGTAAGGAAGGGATCCAGTTTCCGCTTTCTCCATATGGCTAGCCAGTTTTCCCAGCGCCGTTTATTAAATAAGGAATCCTTTCACCATTGCTTGTTTTTGTCAGGTTTGTCAAAGATCAGTTGGTTGTAGATGTGTGGCATTATTTCTCAGGCCTCTGTTCTGTTCCGTTGTTCTATATACATATATATATATATATCTGTTTTGGTACCAGTACCATGCTGTTTTGGTTACTGTGGCCTTGTAGTATAGTTTGAAGTCAGGTAGCCTGATGCTTCCAGCTTTGTTCTTTTTGCTTAGGATGGATTGTCTTTGCAAGGCAGGCTCTTTTTTGGTCCCATATGAACTTTAAGGTAGTTTTTTTCCAATTCTGTGAAGAAAGTCATTGGTAGCTTGATGGGGATGGCATTGAATCTATAAATTACCTTGGGCAGTGTGGTCATTTTCACGATTCTTCTTATCCATGAGCATGGAATGTTCTTCCATTTGTTTGTGACCTCTTTTATTTCATTGAACAGCGGTTTGTAGTTCTCCTTGAAGAGGTCCTTCCCATCCCTTGTAAGTTGGATTCCTAGGCATTTTATTCTCTTTGTAGCAATTGTTAATGGGAGTTCACTCATGATTTGGCTCTGTTTGTCTGTTATTGGTGTATAGGAATGCTTGTGATTTTTGTGCATTGATTTTGTATCATGAGACTTTGCTGAAGTTGCTTATCAGCTTAAGAAGATTTTGGGCTGAGACGATGGGGTTTTCTAAATATACAATCATGTCATCCGCAAACAGGGAAAATTTGACTTCTTATTTTCCTTATTGAATATGGCTAACTAGAATAAGCAATGCAGAGAAGACTTTAAATGACCTGATGGAGCTGAAAACCATGGCACGAGAACTACGTGAGGCATGCACAAGCTTCAATAGCCGATTCGATCAAGTGGAAGAAAGGGTATCGGTGATTGAAGATCAAATTACTGAAATAAAGCAGGAAGTTTAGACAAAAAAGGAGTAAAAAGAAATGAACAAAGCCTCCAAGAAATATGGGACTATGTGAAAAGACCAAATCTACATTTGACTGGTGTACCTGAAAGTGACGGGGAGAATGAAACCAAGTTGGAAAACATTCTTCAGGATATTATCCAGGAGAAGTTCCCCAAACTAGCAAGGCAGGCCAACATTCAAATTCAGGAAATACAGAGACCACCACAAAGATACTCCTTGAGAAGAGCAACCCCAAGACACATAATTGTCAGATTCACCAAGGTTGAAATGAAGGAAAAAATGTAAAGGGCAGCCAGAGAGAAAGGTCGGGTTACCCACAAAGGGAAGCCCATCAGACTAACAGCAGATCTCTCTGCAGAAACTCTACAAGCCAGAGTAGGGGCCAATATTCAATATTCTTAAGGAAAAGAATTTTCAACCCAGAATTTCATATCCAGCCAAACTAAGCTTCATAAGTGAAGGAGAAATAAAATCCTTTACACACAAGCAAATGCTGAGAGATTTTGCCACCACCAAGCCTGCCTTACAAGAGTTCCTGAAGGAAGCACTAAACACGGAAAGGAACAACCGGTATCAGCCACTGCAAAAACATGTCAAATTATAAAGACCATCAATGCTATGAAGAAACTGCATCAACTAACGGGCAAAATAACCAGCTAACATCATAATGACAGGATCAAATTCACACATAACAATATTAACCTTAAATGTAAATGGTTTAAATGCCCCAATTAAAAGACACAGACTGGAAAATCGGATAAAGAGTCAAGACCCATTGGTATGCTGTATTCAGGAGACCCATCTCACGTGCAAAGATATACATAGGCTCAAAATAAAGGGATGGAGGAAGATCTACCAAGCAAATGGAAAGCAAAGTAAAGCAGGGGTTGCAATCCTAGTCTCTGATAAAACAGACTTTAAACCAACAAAGATCAAAAGAGACAAAGAAGGCCATTACGTAATGGTAAAGGGATCAATTCAACAAGAAGAGCTAACTATCCTAAATATATATGCACCCAATACAGGAGCACCCAGATTCATAAAGCAAGTCCTTAGAGACCCACAAAGGGACTTAGACTCCCACACAATAATAATGGGAGACATTAACACCCCACTGTCAATATTAGACAGATCAGTGAGACAGAAGGTTAACAAGGATATCCAGGACATGAACTCAGTTCTGCACCAAGCAGACCTAATAGACATCCACAGAACTCTGCACCCCAAATCAACAGAATATACATTCTTCTCAGCACCATATTGCACTTATTCCAAAATTGACCACATAGTTGGAAGTAAAGCACTCCTCAGCAAATGTAAAAGAACAGAAATAACAAACTGTCTTTCAGACCACAGTGCAATGAAATTAGAACTCAGGATTAAGAAACTCACTCAAAACTGCACAACTACAGGGAAACTGAACAACCTGCTCCTGAATGGCTACTGGGTAAATAATAAAATGAAGGCAGAAATAAAGATGTTCTTTGAAACCAATGAGAACAAAGACACAACATACCAGAATCTCTGGGACACATTTAAAGCAGTGTGTAGACGGAAATTTATAGCACTAAATTCCCACAAGAGAAAGCAGGAAAGATCTAAAATCCACACCCTAACATCATAATTAAAAGAACTAGAGAAGCAAGCCCGGGCGTGGTGGCTCACGCCTGTAATCCCAGCACTTTGGGAGGCTGAGGTGGGCTGATCACGAGGTCAGGAGATTGAGACCATCCTGGCTAACACAATGAAACCCATCTCTACTAAAAATACAAAAAATTAGCTGGGCGTGGTTGCAGGCACCTGTAGTCCCAGCTACTCGGGAGGCTGAGGCAAGAGAATGGCATAAACCCGGAAGGCGGAGCTTGCAGTGAGCCGAGATCGTGCCACTGCACTCCAGCCTGGGCAATAGAGCGAGACTCCGTCTCAAAAAAAAAAAAAAAAAAAAAAAAAAAGAACTAGAGAAGCAAGAGCAAACAAATTGGAAAGCTAACAGAAGGCAAGAAACAACTAAGATCAGGGCAGAACTGAAGGAGATAGAGAGTCAAAAAACCCCTCAAAAAATAAATGAATCCAGGAACTGGATTTTGAAAAGATCAACAAAATTGATAGACCGCTAGAAAGACTAATAAAGAAGAAAAGAGGAAAGAATCAAATAGATGCAATAAAAAATGATAAAGAGGATATCACCACTGATCCCACAGAAATACAAACTACCATCAGAGAATACTATAAATACCTCTATGCAAATAAACTAGAAAATCTAGAAGAAATGGATAAATTCCTGGACACATGCACCCTCCCAAGACTAAACCAGGAATAAGTCAAATCCGTGAATAGACAAATAGCAAGTTCTGAAATTGAGGCAGTAATTAATAGCCTACCAACCAAAAAAAGTCCAGGACCAGCTGGATTCACAGCCGAATTCTACCAGAGGTACGAGGAGGAGCTGGTACCATTCCTTCTGAAACTATTCCAATCAACAGAGAAAGAGGGAGTCTTCCCTAACTCATTTTATGAGGCCAGCATCATCCTGATACCGAAGCCTGGCAGAGACACAACAAAAAAAAAGAATTTTAGACCAATATCCCTGATGAAGATCGATGCAAAAGTCCTCAATAAAATACTGGCAAACCAAATCCAGCAGCACATCAAAAAGCTTATCCACCATGATCAAGTTGGCTTCATCCCTGGGATGCAAGGCTGGTTCAACATACACAAATCAATAAATTAATCCATCACATAAACAGAACCAACGACAAAAACCACATGATTATCTCAGTAGATGCAGAAAAGGCCTTTAACAAAATTCAACAGCCCTTCATGCTAAAAACTCTCAATAAACTAGGTATTGATGGAACATATCTCAAAATAGTAGGAGCAATTTATGACACATCCACAGCCAATATCATACTGAATGAGCAAAAACTGGAAGCATTCCCTTTGAAAACCAGCACAAGACAGGGATGCCTTCTCTCACCACTCCTATTCAACATAGTGTTGGAAGTTCTGGCCAGGGCAATCAGGCAAGAGAAAGAAATGAACTTTATATTCTTATATTCTCACACCTGTGCTTAAACAATTGATTGACTTAATGGATTCAATAAAGACCACTAAATAGGATGGGGGGTTGGTGGAGAAAGAGAGAGAGGGAGGGAGGGGGAGAGAGGGAGAGAGCCAAGAAAGTCAACTGGTGAATGGCAGAAAGAGGATGGGGGAACAAGCAATTCTTCTGCTATTTGCTGTCTAGCTCAACATAGTCAACTAGTATAATCCAGCTAGTTGTTTCTGCTGCCTAGGAAGGTTATTCGGGTTTTCCAGTGGGCACTACCTTGATTATGTGATCATCCATAGTCCAGAGTCTCACTCTCATCTTGGCAAATGGGGAAACATAATTGAATCATGACACCCAGAAATGGTCAGGCTCTTATTCACTTGCTCAACTTTATCTACTATAAAATTTATATACCACTTAATATATAGGGGAGGTGATGATAATTCCTTTCCAGGGATTCAGATACACAATTCCATAATTTAAGACATCCTATTAATTATATCAAAATCCATAGAAAGCCAAATTAACTTCCAGATTGCTTGGTAACTATGGAATTTCAGCAAAAGAACCTTTGGAAGGCCTGGTCAATTTCTTTTTAAAGAAGGCTCTCAATTTGCTTTTATTGTATACACACATACCATCTTGTGTATCTTCTTTATAGCACTTGATCTCAATTTATATTAAATAATTTAATGTATTTTTTCTAATACAAAGTAAGTGTTATGTAGAGATCTCTTCTTTTCTTGTATAAACATAATTCCAATTCTTATAACAGTACTGGACCTATAGTAAATGCTCAGATTGTTGAATAAATGAATTTCTATTCTACCAGAAAGAGGGTTATGCTAACCTCCCCTGATACCCAAAGTCAGGAGTGGAAACATGCTAATATCTGCATTTGTAGTGCCCTCTTATTTTTTAAAACTTATTGAAAACAATTTTTGTTTGTTGGACACTTTTTATTTATGAATATAATTCAATTAAATAAACTACAGCTTTTTGTGTATACAAGAACACATACCTTATTACATTTTGCTATCAATTTTCACTAGGCTGTACATGTTCCTATTTATATTATAGAGAAATACCATATCTTAAATATTTTTGCAGATAATCTCAGACATCAGGGTATATTTTATTAATTCAAACACCACAAGGTGACTGTATTTTTAAGTTATTGGATGTGGGATGGGGGAAGAAGAAAAGTGTCAACTTACCACTCACTGGTCTATACAGACTTCATTGACAGTGATAAAATATCTGATGCAAATTGGGAGCACTCCAAAAAAGCAGTGTTTCATGTTTTTTAAAAAAATTATTTCATGCATGTAAGTGTGAAAATGACTCTTAGAAAATTTAGGGGGACAGCAAGTCAGATGAGGAAAGCATATTCAGTGATATCTGCATATCTTGGCACAAGATAAAAACAAGCAATTATGGTGAACAGAAATTCTCTACTTTACCTCCTTTATTTCAGCCACTACCAAGTTTCACATTTAGAAAAATAGTATTGTATGAAAAATATTCATTTAGGTTTTCTAATATCTCAATAATATATGTGAAAATTCTTTTATAAAACATAGTGAGTTATGTTTTGAGTGTGCTTTGGCTGCAAGTGACAGAATATGCAAAATAAATAATGATTCTATTTATGTATCTCTCACGAGTAAAAATTCAGAGACTATTTCAAGGTTGCTGATGAGCCAGTTCAGCTCTGTCCAGAATCTGGGTCATCTCTGGGTTTCCCTTGTCTTTTCCTTCATAGGGGCAAGAAGGCTGCTTCATCTCCAGTTATTTTTCCTTGAGAACATGCAAAAATAGGAAAAGAGGGGCAAAGCTTTTACTTTGTATGTGTCTTGATCAGAGAAAAAAATCTTTCCTAGATGCCCACGGTATACTTCCCTCAGGTTCCATTAGTCAGCTCTAGGTTACATTGTCTTCTTTAGTTGGCTTATTTCAGAAGAGGGAAATAAAAGCACTTAAACAGAAATATGAACAAAGGTGTCATCTAATGATGACCTTTCTGGCCTATAACATTTTCCTTATGGCTCAGGAAAAAAAGGTTCAAGTGATGCTGCATTCATTATTGTATATAATGAGAGACATTTGGGAAAAAAGCTAGGGTTTCTTGAGTTAGATTTTGCTACTTCCCATGAAATGTTGGAAGCATCACTTCTAAGCTCATTTGAGACAGTGCTATGATCCGTAACAACAGCAATTATTACTATCATACATTTCATTAAATCTTTCTAATAAATTTCTTAGGGACACTTTTATTATTATGAAACATTTATTTTTTTTATTTGTTTGGTTTTTTTTGTTTGTTTTTGAGACAGAGTTTCGCTCTTGTTGCCCAGGCTGAAGTGCAATGGCACGATCTCAGCTCACTGCAGCCTCCGCCTCCCGGGTTCAGACGATTCTCCTGCCTCAGCCTCCCGAGTAGCTGGGATTATAGGCACGCGCCACCACGCTGGGCTAATTTTTGTATTTTTAGTAGAGACAGGGTTTCACCATGTTGGTCAGGCTGCTCTCAAACTCCTGACCTCGTGATCCGCCTACCTCTGCCTCCCAAAGTGCTGGGATTACAGGTTGTGAGCCAATAATAGTAAAGATTTAATTATTATTGAAATGTATTCAATTCTTAACATGATTGGTTATTGTTTAAACATTTTACATGTTTCATTTTACGTTTCAAATAATTATGAATTTATCACTGCTCTTAGGGACTTACTTTGTGTACGTTTTTGTATGACTCTGCAATGTGGGATCACTACTGCTTATATACTTTTTCCATTTTTGCTCTGTAATTAGTTCTAATGTACAATACAAATAGAGAACTAGAGAACATTTAGGTAAGAAATAATTAGTATTATGATAGAAAATTCTTATACATCAAAATACTTAAATAACCACTTTTTTTTTCCATAGGGAATTGTTGAAATGATTAAAAACTAAAATATTTGATCTTTGGGTGCATCCTTTTCTTACACTTACATATAAAAAAAGTTTCTTTAGTCCTGTAAAAGTAATTCAGGTTAAAAATTACGGTTTTAGAATATCCATCTTTTCTTTTATAAACTAAGATGGAGTAGCATATGATTCTGTCTGAAGTTTCTGTAGCTTATTTCATTGTCTCCCTGGGACTTAACAAGCACGTCTTATGAATGAGCATTAGATACAAGCATTTTTATCTGTCATTTGAATAAATTTATATCTCTACCTGTTGTCTAGAAATATGAAAAATGTTTGCCTTCTTCGGTGTGAATATTAAATGTCTCCACTGCAGTGATTATAGCTGTGTTTCTTCCTTATAAAATAATGTTGTCAACATTATTCTCTTACTCCAAAAAAAAGTACACATTTCTGTGAACAAAAAAGCCTGAGTTTAGCGGTTTAAATAAAATGGAGTTCTTTCTATAACATGTGTAGAATTTCGGGTCACTTCCACCACTAATGTGTTCATCTGAATAGTAATTGCCACAAAATTGTAGTTTCAAGTTTCTACAAGCAAATACCTAACTTTTTATACACTTAAATTTGATACCATAATTTTTACAAATTTGAGTAAAAGTTCCCATTCATGCCACTATTACATACTTTGAGCAACCTTTTTCATAACTCTTTATTGGTGAATTTATAGTTGCCAATCAAAAAAAAATAAATTGCTGATTTTATTCAACTGGGCCAGGACTTAGTTCCTAACAAATACCTGTGGCCATAGTTCATACAGATGACATTTAATTTCCCAGGGGACTTCAAGAAGTGATGAAAAACAAACTACAAATGTATCCTCCCTTTCCCTCTGCACTGACCTAGGGCTCGTTTGCCGACCAGGCTCCCTGTGCCCTGCCAACATTCTGTCTGCTGCAGCTACTCTGGGAGTGCTTTTCTCTCCCTGAACTGCAGCTTTCAGACGCTCCTCATTCACTGGTGAATCAGGTCCCACCAGGGCCCTTCCATTTGACTTGTGGTGTATTTTTTAAAGTAATACCTCACTACGTTTAGGAATAAATGAGTAACCCTATAACCCATGTTTAGTGTAATGTTTCTTGGCAATGAAAAAGTGAATAAAACTGAATTGATTCTATGACATAAATGTACCCACTTTAAACACTTACTCTGCAGTATTACTATAAGTCAACCTTTCCCATTAACCAGCATAGTTAAGCAAGTCCAAATTCCGGCTATGCCATAGAATTATGAGACTGTTTTAGTATTAAAATAAAGTTACTGAATAACATAGTTAAAAACTATGTTCTCCATGAGAAAATTATTTTAAAACCAGATTTGAAATGACACATAAAATATTTTAATAACAGGACAAAAGTGAAAACAACTAATAAAAAAGATAGGATTTCTGAAACATCCTTAGTAATTAAATATTTAATTTCATTTTAACTAAGCTACTTAAAATATTATGATTTTGTTTTTATTTGAAAAGCAAAGATCAAAAGAGATTTATTTTCTCCTCTGTTGAGCATGTTATCCATACAATATAGGTCAAATCGCTTAGTTAACGATGCTTGAAAATGGGTTCAGTATCTAGTAGAAGTCTTTCTGTTTTCTACATAATAAATTATCTTCCTGTGCCACCTAAATCCCCACTAAATACATGAAAAATAATAAAACAAATGCACCTGTAAAATAAAAATATGACCTCTCAGAGTAGTTTCACTAAGTCAAAACTTTTTTGTTGCTTATGACTTTTGAGTCTTCCACAGTAAGACAAATGAGATAATTTCATCGCCCTCTGTATGTTGCATCTTTGTTAGAAATGAGTTTCATGTCTAATTAGGTTACTTTTTATTCTTTTCGGAAAATGCACTGGTACTTTACTGTTTCGTTTGTTTGTTTTGTTTTATGTTTACTTCGTTAATGTTACTAAGCCGATGAAAGCCAAAATAAAAGACATGTAAGGCAGGAAGAAAAATTCCAAGGAAAATATATTGCTGGAAATTAAATTACCCATTTGAAAGTTAAAAACTTGAAGAACTGAATATTAACTAAATTTCATAGCAACAAGAAGGATTTTGCTTGAACAAAGTCTCTGATAGTTCACATTACTCAGGATACGTAAAAGAAGCAAAATTACAGTTCGTATGAAAATTCCAGGTAAATGGGAGCCAATTTCTTCGTCTTTACCTGGCTATCTGGTAGCCAAGCACTTTGAGCATTAAATAGAAACTTGTAGATTTACAATTACATTCATTGGCATAGGGTTTACTACGTTAATTCAAATAATAATTACATGAATAACTTTTGTGAGGTTTACAGAACCTTTGTTACTTTCCTTGGAGTCACAAAATCTGTCCAGGAATACGATAAATTTGACTTTGCTGTGACCATTTCACAATAGGTTAAATGTCGAGTTACCATATTCTTAAAGTCCAAAGCTATGTTTTCACTGACAAATTTGAGTTTGAATTATTTGGATCATTTTCTAATGTGAATCATAAAAGTAGATAGCATAAATGCTTAAATGTGCTTTTTTGCATTTCTACAACCTAAAACCAGTTTGGTTGAAAAAAATAAAATTTAACAGCCTTCAATTTGTCATGTGGAATCTGATACCATGTGCATTTTATTACCTCCATATATTTATCTAAGTGAAACATAAAATGGTTGTAATAATGGAGAATTTAAAGTAGCTTTTGCACATGAGCAGTAATGCTAACTAATATGGTGAATAAGGGCTGAATGTAAATTCTCAGAATTTCTGTTTCTTGTGATATGTTTGCTAAAGTGAGCATATCTTGGATAACTGATAGAAACACACATAATGCTAATTACGCTGTGAGGAACTTTGATGGACATAATGGAAATACAGGGAATAATCATTTCTATACAAGCCAAAACCTCGTATATATATTTTTTAAATTTTCAAACTATGATACAGTGTACATTAGATCACAGAACCTGCCAAAATATAAACCCATATCTCTTTTTAGGCTGGATTTAGACTCTGGTATTCTCGTCTATGCATTCAGAGATAATCTAGGTATGGCATAAATCAGTAAAATCAAATATCACCAGTTCCTATTGATTCTACCTCATTTATAGCTCTTGAATTGAGCCCCTCTTTTCCATTTCTGTTGCCATTTGGTTAGGCCTTCAATTATATTTTATATGAATTATTGCAATAACTACAGTTCTCTTAATGACACCAGCATTTCAACACTCCAGCCCATTTTTATGTTTCTGCCAGATTTGTTTGCCCATAAAACAAAGTTCACGATGTCACCCCTCTGCTAATAAACTTCTGTCAGCTTCTTCTTAATCATAAGATCAAGTCTAAAACCATTAACTTTGTTTACATGTTCTGAAACAGACCCTACCACACTTGTTAGTCGGTATTTAGCCTACTCTAAAATCATACAGCACTCCCAAAGGTGCACAGAACTTGTCTCTTCTTCCTTCTCTGCTTGCCTTCTACTACTTATCCATTCACATGCTACCTTTTATTCTAAAGCTTGCAGGACTCTTGAGATAAAATTAGCTGAATCATTGAAGTATGTTCCTACAATACTTGGCTCATATTTCATTTAGAAACTCAATTTATTATTTTTCATAATAGACCAGTGTTTTTATGTTCAGCTTCATTGAGGTACAAATCACATGAAAATTATATATATTCAAGATTTTTTTTACTTTTTTTAATTTTAGTCATTCTGTTAAGTGTGGGGTGATATCTCATTGTGGTTTTAACTTGTATTTCTCTAAACGCTAATGTCGTTGAGCATCTTTACATTTTTTTTTCCATCTGTATATCTATTTTGGTGAAATGTCTGTTTATGTCTTTTCTTGCTTTCTAATTAAATTGTTTGGGTTGCTTTTACTGCCGAATCATCAGAGTTCTTTATATATTCTAAATACTAGTCCTTTGCTATGATGCATTCATACCATGTACTACTACTCAGTGATAAAAGGAAGAAACTGTTGATATGTGAAACAACCTGGATGAATCTAAGTGAGAAATTCAAATGCCAAAATTTGCTTATTATATGAGTCCATTTGTATCCATTCTTGAAATAACAAAATTATAGAACTAGAGAACAGATTAGTGGTTGTCGAAGGAAAGGAGGGAGTGGGGGCAGGTAGAAGTGGGGGTGGTTATAAAAGAGCAACATGAGGGAACCTTGTGGTGACGGGACTGTTCTGCATCTTAACTGTATCAATGTCAGCATTGTGGTTGTCCTGTTGTACTACAGTTTGCAAGATATTTTCATTGGGGGAAACTGTAATGGGCACATTGGACTCCTCTGTGTTACTTTTTACAACTGCATGTGAATCTAAATTTATCGCAAAATAATGTCTATTTATTATTCCCCAGCTTTATTAAGGTATAATTTACAAATTTTTAAAAATTATACATATATTCAAGATGTGCAACATTATGTTTTCATATATTGTGAAATAATTATCACAATGAAGCTAATTACATATCCATGACTTCACATAGAAACTTACAATCTACTACTCTAGTTAATTTCAAATATATAATACATTATTTTCCCCCTTGCTACCATACATTATTATTAACTATAGCCACCATACTGTACATTAGGTCTCCAAAACTTACTTATCTTATAACTGTAAGTTTGCATCCTTTGACCAACATTTCCTTATTTCCCCCAATTCTTGACCCCTGATAACCACAGTTGTACTCTTTGCTTCTATGTATTTGACTTTTTTTGATTCTGCATATAAGTGAGATCATGCAAGATTTGTCTTTCTGTTCTGGCTTCCTTCACTTAGCATAAGGTCCAACAATACCTCTTTGAGGTATTGATTTCATTTCTTTGGGGTATATATACAGAAGAGAGATTGCTGGATCACATGGTTGTTCTATTTTTTAATTTTTTGAGGAAACTTAGTACTGTTTTCCATAACGGCTGTACAAATTTATTTTCTCACTAACAGTATACAAATGTTCCCTTTTGTCCACACCCTTGCCAGTGCTTGTTATCTGAGGTATTTTGAAAATAGCCATCCTAACAAAAAGGAGGTGATATCTAATTGTGGTTTTGAGACAGTGTAGGGAAGAGACTCAGTCCTGGCAGATAAGGGCCATAATAACCAAGATCCCAGTGGGCCTCACATGTCCAGGCATACTCCCTCCATTACCTTCCTGCCTCCCTTAACAAACTGATATGCCCATAAGTTTATAACATTCTGAGCTTCTTGGGGACAAAGGTAATTGCATTTATATTTGTGTCTATAGTACTTAACAGAGAGAGTGTTCTCATTAAACTTTTGTTGAATGAATGAATCAATCCTGGAAGGTCTGGAGAAAAGAATAACACAAAAATGTTATTAGAAAGTTGCTGAATATAGAAAGACTATTCCAATAGTCATAAAATATTCATTAAGAATGTCTTCAGACCTCTTTGTATAAACCAATATTTTTCTCTCCATCTGTAGAATGATATGTTTTTCATCAGAATGATAAATCTCAATAGCAAAATATTTTAATTTTACATGACTTCAGTGTGTAAATTTATAAAAGCCTAACCATTCTATAAAATAGACATTTACATTAATTTAATATAGACACATCTGTAGATACAGGCCCACAAATCTTGTCATTAAATGTTTACCTCTAACCTACTTCACTATCATCTGTTTATATCTGCTCACATATATGAAATCAGGCCATAAACTAAGTCAAATATTCTCTGGAAAAGAATAAAGATTCATGGTGCTAGAATCCTATGAAACTTATACTGACCTTCAGATTACTGGCCTGAATATGACTGATTCATGAAGGGATTGTGAATTTTTTAAGCAAATAAAACCTTGTGAGAGCCTAAACATTATTGACTATGTTTAGATAGATAATATAACATTGCTTTGTATTTTATAATTTTATATCAGAGAACTCTGCATAATAATAAGCACTCTATTGGATTTAACATAGCATAATAATAAGCACTCTATTAGGTTTAATGTCATTTTCCAAACCAATAATAGGCTTGAATTAAGTAGTAAGGCCTTTGCCAAATGTCTTTTTAATTGTCAAAATGTTTTACATTCTAATGTAAGAAGCAGATATCAATATTTATAAGTCAAACAGAATACTTTAATTTGATATGAGAGACATACTCGAATACCATAACAAAAACTTCTTTGTTTCATTTCTATGTGTGAAAATGTCTGTCACTTACATGTATTGTCTTCTAATTGAGGGCATGATCACTATTAGAATTATGCATAATCAAATACTGCATTTTTTTCACAAGAATAAAATTTCAAATCCAATACTAGATAATATAAAAATCTATTTGACCTTTGTAAAGTTACATTAAGTGATAATAAATTTAATTACCTGGTACAAAAAGCCAAAAATATCAAGTCATAGAAGAAAATAAATTTTGAGTCTTTTACTTTAAGATTAAATACTGAAATTATTTTAATTATATTTCTTTGCAACTTTTATTGATATAATATTGTTATTACTTTCTTAGTTATTTTATTCTATATTATTAGTTAATTCTTGAAAGAACTAAAAAACTTTATGCTGTATCATAATTTCCCACTATTGTACATTCTTCACTTTTTGCCTAAGAACAAGCTAAGAATCATGAGCATTAAAACCGTTTTTTAAAATGTGATGAACCCACAAAAAACTAAAGGTGTACTTGAGTCTGCTAGATCAACACATTCTTATAATTCCCTCAAGGCCATCATACAGTTTGGCACCCACATTTAAGCTTTGAAAATTATATGACCATCTATTACATTTTAGATGTCACATGTCCTCAGACCTTTTCTATTATAACACAAGACAGAGTTAGACCATTTTTTAAAAGATCCCTCTGTTATTGATAATTGCCTAAGGTGCTTCTTCCTTTTCTTTTTCAGAATGAAGAACAAATTTTGGTATTTTGAGTTTGGCACATCTGAAACTTTCTCAGCCACCTGCAAGAAGCTACATGAATCTGTAGAAATAGAAGTAAGAAAAAAATGAATTCTCTTTTGTAATATGATGAAATGGCTTGAGCTTTGTTGTTAGTATATTTGCATTGGAGCCCATGGAATGAAATATATATTAGCAATCCACAGAGACTTACTCAAGATTTTAAATTGTCATTCCTTTCACTCATTTGGAATACAGCACTATCTGACATACTAAAGTTAAGTGTAGATATGGGTTATTTTATTATAGTATAAAAGAATGAGAAGTGGAACACAACTTTGGAAATTGATGCAGTTGTTACTGGGCATAGTGCAGATAGAAAGGTAAGATAAAAGTAGTTGGGAAGAAAAAAGTTGCAGAATACATAAAAAATATTATTTTCGGGTCTCAATATCTTGTAACCTTTAAAACACACTTTGCTAAAATTGTACTTACTTTTATGAATAAAGGTTAAAAAGTATACTTTTCCATTCCATTCCCATTCATTAACTAGGTTTTCTCAGTTCCCAAGGTTGCCATTTCCCCATTACATTTATAGAAAGTGGAAATGCCAAGAAAGAGAGCAAAGATAGCAAGAAAAGACACATTTTAAAAAGACTTGGAGCAAATAGGTCTGTAAAAAAAAAAGACACTGTAGGACTCAAAATTTTGGAGAAATATTATAAAAGAAAATGACTTCGTTATATTGAGAGATTTTTAGGGGTTAAAGAAAAAAGAAAAGTTATATTTTGACAAATGATAAAGACAAAACCAGAGGAACAGAATTATGAAACATGAACACTTAATGACTAGTTGATATGAATTAAGAAACATTGGCTTCAACACTTTTCATTTTAAAAATAAATGCAAAAATTTGCTACTGATACCTAAATCATTAGTTCCTTATATTCAGGTAATAAGTTTGGTAAACAGAAGTAGTTATGGACCACACAATGGCCTGGCTAAGTTCTTCATTATCCTAAATTTCTAATTTGCTGTTATTAATAATACCAAAAAATGATACTACTCTCAGTGTAACCTTTTAGCACTTTTATCTCATCATGATTGGTAAATATAATTAAGTATTAGAATTGATGGTCATGGAATGGGAAAAAACCCTTCATAACAGGATCAGATCATAACCTTTGAAAGGAACATAATTACAGAGGTGAAGGATTTGGGTTCAACGTGGACTTTCTGTTATTACTATTTAGGATGATATATCTGTGTATATGTATGATATATGCACACAAATAACTGTATATAAAATGATATATATAACACATATATAACTATATGCATGTATATCTATATAATAATTGTATATGTACTACAGTTATATATTTAGTTATATATTATTGTATATAATAATATATGACATCTGTAACTACATTTAGTTATATATTTAGTTATATATATTATATATAATAATATATGACATATATAACTACATATATAGTTAAATATATAGTATATATGGTTATATATGTGTCATATGTATTGTTATATACATATACATATTTATGTGCATATATATTCAATAAAACATATACATACCCCTTTACTCTTAGAATCATTATTTTTTTAAAAAAACTGCTTTATATACTAGATTTTGAATATTTCTTATCCTCAAAAATTATGCTCAAATACAATTTGCAGCAGAAGCTGAAAAGTTTTAGAAAAATTAGAAGTATGGCTTTGGTTGAATGTAGGTGGAGATCCTGAATCCTCCTGCACCTCCCTTTACTTTATCCTACCCTTGAGCACAGATTTAAAAGCTGTTGATCTATAAAATAAGATTCTATGTGTCACAAAGTACAAAAAAAAAATCTTTAAGAAAAGTGTTGTGTTTACAGCAAAAGATTTTGAATGAAAATATATTTGAAAACGGTGATTTGTAATATGCTAAATAATGATAAAATTAAGTGGTTTTGATCCACAGAGCTTGAGATCTGACAGAAAAACTATTTAGAATGTTCTCCAAGAAATCTGGGCTACTAGAACTAAGTTATGTTTCTTGGAGTGCTGTTTCTGCTTACTCTCTCAGCCTGACCTTCTAGCTCTGCATCCCTGGCTTATTTTGGGAGCTATTAAAATAATATTTATAAATCACAGCCAGCACTGTGTGCATGCCCCCTTGTATTTTTGCATATCTTGTTGTGTGTGTGTGTGTGTGTGTGTGTGTGTGTGTGTGTGTGTGGATAGCTAGGCAAAATCTGCTTCTCTGCTCACTTTTTAATGAATCCTGTCTATCATATTAGCAGAATATGCCTTTCTACCCTCAAGGTTATTTTATAATTAAATATAACAAAAACAGAAATTCGAAAATTTGATTCTGTTTGTTGTTGCTTCCTATTTGTCCTAAAATTATACCTACTATGGTTTGAAAAATATATAACAGAATAAACTACTTCAGTAAAAACAGAACCTCCAGCAATAGATACATGTTTTATTGGCAGCTTTTTCAAAATCAAACTATCTTTTGTGTGTCTTTTTATTTAATATTTCTCTTTCACATAGTGAGCACCTTCAAAAGAGGGCAAATATTTGGGTTGATATGAATATCATGGAATAATAGTTAAGATTTACCTATTATTAACTGTCTCACAGGTGATGCTAAACAATGCACATATATTATTTGATTTAGTCTTTATCAAAACCTTATGATACTGTTATATCTCCATTGCAGAGATAAACATTTTCTTCAGTAATTTAAGAGAAATAAGAATTATGTTGCTGCCACAATGTTTAAATCTAATGAGCAAATTGATTGAAAAATATATGTATTTACACATACATGTAAAGATTTAATGATACACGAAGTAGAATTTTTTAAAGATATTCATTTATCTTCTAACTTTATTACAAAAGATAAAAATAAATTCTTTAAAATTACAAGAAAATATTTTAAAACCAATGTTTATATTAAAGTATTTGGAGGGGTGAAATGTGTGCCTAAGAAACTCAGGTCAGCATTTGGAATTGAAGATACAGAGTTCATGAATGTTCAGTTTGCTCAGAGTACCAGGCAAAGTTAATGAGAGAATAAGAAAGCCTATTCTATAGATATTTCAGTCTTTTGGTTGACAGGGATACTGGGAAAGATGGTAAATTTTAAAGCCAAGAATTTCCATCCCAAAGTACTGATTTATTGTAATGATTAAATACCCCTAGAAACCTAAATGATCTCAAGAATTAATGAATGGCATGACTAGCATCAAAAACACAAAATAAATTAGCAGGATTCAAAAGACAATATTCTTATTGCTCAGTAACCTGGAAAACAGAGTTCTTAGAGGCAATAGCCAGAGTTCCCAAGCATAGTCTCTGCCCCATGTGTCCTAATACTGAAATTACCTATAAAGTAATGTTTTACGTTTCATTGAGTAAAAATAGAAATAATTCTTATCTGATATAGACATAGAATCAGACCTACTATGGAAAAAAATTACAGTTTATCATTAATTGTATCTCATCACATTTACCATCCACACTTAGAGCTCTCCAAAGTTCTTCACATGTTTTGAATAGTCCTATCAACTGACATGTTAAGTGGATCTGAAACACTAAAGTCACATATAAAGCTTGTTTTTAACACCTCTGTACGGTGTGACCCAGGACTCATTTATTTATGAAGGTTAAAACACATTGGCAGAAAAATTGAAACCGTCTTCTTTTCTTTTAATTATATTTGTCTCTGGAATAAGATCCTCTATTTTAAAACTGAAAAGAGCAGACAATGGCATCACAGCCTTGCACTCTATAAATAGCTCCCATAGTACTATATGTTAACGACCTTTTTTCTACCTAATAAAAATATTCAGGATTTATTGACTAACTGAGGCTGTTAGCTTTTAAGCTTTTATATTCTTTTCCTCTGTAGCTACCTTTTTAAAAGTCATAAATCTCAAAGGGAATGAAAATATTATCTGACACAGTACTATAACTTGTTTATATTTCATAGCCTTCACCTCAGCTTTTACTTTCATGCACTCAACTGGTGTGCTACAATTACTGGTCTCCATCAGAACCAGCACTGAAATTTTCCAGACTAATGAACATAACGTTAAAGCAAACAGAGGAAGGTAGCCTAGGGTCAAGAACAAGTGGAAACAAATCATTAATAAATAGCAATTTATTTAAGTACATTGTCCTGCTCTCAAAGGAACATCAATGTTCTTCATCAGTCCTTGTTCTTTGCGACTGTTTGAGAATTTTTTTTCACTTCTCAGAGAGCTACTTACTCTGTTTCCCTAAAACTACACATGACAAAACTCTGAAGAGTGAAAACATGAATAATAGCATACACTCATGTTTTTCAATTGTCACATGTAACTCAGCTGGTTCAATTCTTTTTTTTAAAAAAAAAAGAAGCCTCTTTGCAACATGCTCTCCTTTTCTGCAGATGAACAAAGGAATCCTCCTTCACTAATTCTGAAAGTAACTTGTCACAGTGGGGTTCTAAGGCCTAGTCAAATAATTGTCTTAGTGTACTACCTGCTGTGTTCAATATTGAGTGAAAATGGAAGCCAGGCCCTGACTCCAGCTTATTTCATGATTCTTCTGTTATTTAAATGATTTTAGTCAGTTTGGGGGAAGCCAGACCTTTATAAATTAACAGCAGGGAAATACCAAAGGTGTCAGATTGCATATTTATCATCTTTTTCGTGTAATACTTAAATATGTATTAAGAAGTGACTGACATAAATTAGGCAGATTTCAGAAGCCACAGGCCGTGGCTTGTAGAGGACCCCCTTCTGCTTGACATTTCATCCTTGTCAAAGATCAAATTATTTTAATTTAGGCTGCAAATTATAAGGAATGAAGACTTCTTTGTGGGAATTCCCTGTGGTAATCTGACTTTTGTTGTTACTGCTGCTTGTCAGTGTGCAAAAGATATAATATGCATGCAAATAAGGTTAAAAAATATGTACTATCTAATTATCCAGCCAGTACATTCCACTTGAAGACAGTGGGAGGCCTGACACACAGTATGTGTTTGATTCATTGAGGCCTGCAGGGTATTTACACAAGATTACTTTTAATTATGAAATTAATATCTGTTTATCTAGAATATATAGCGGTAAGTGAGTATACACATGACCAGAATTCTTTAGTAAAAAGAAATCATCTTAATTTAGTACCAGAAAAGGAGGAAAAAAGCACTGCTTTCTGGAAAAAAAAAAAAAAAAAAAAAAGCATCATCCAGATCTTGGTTTCGCCCTCATTGAAACAAATTAAATGAAAACTTGGCACTTTCTCTAGAATTTGTTTCTACCCCTGCCAAGTAGTCTCAAGATGTGTTTCTTTATTTCACAGTTTTTATTTTTCAGTGAACAAGATGCAATCCTAGCTTCAGTATGATGAGGCGAATGTGGAAAAAGAGAGGGCTTTTTTTTGTTTTGTTTTGTTTGTTTTTCATCATTTTCATGGAACACTGTGTCTTCTGAGTTCAAAAATCATGACTGCCATGAGAAATGATGAAGTTAGTGTCAATAATTTTTTCTGTACTAAGACATGGCAAATGAAACAACGCCACTGTAAATATATTTCAATTTAGGAAATGCATATCCCTCACAAAGTTCTTTTAAAAACAAAGCGCTTATATCTCTTTTCATATTCACTTATAATTGAAAATGGGATAATAATTTCTAGAATGTATAATAATAACTAGCATTTTAAAGAAGTCAAGGCAAATGAATAAATAAATAGTAATTTTAAAAATACAGAATAGTCTTGTCACTGTCCACATATGTCCAGTAGTGGAAATGAATGGAAAATTCAAAAAACTAAGAAGTGACCACTCTGAATATAACAAAACATTGTTTGTTAGTGAATTTTATATTTTTCATAATCACCAGGGTGTTTTGTCACCAGGAAAATAAGAAAAATTGGGCTGATTAACCTTGGTTTTTTTTTAACCATTTTTGCAGCAGCTATAAAGTCATGCTGGATTGAAGGTCTTTTGACTGCTACTATTTCCCTCAATCAATCTACCCGGCCCTCCATATTCATTTGGACAACTGTGCCTCTCATGGCCTTTGACATCTCCTTAGGACTTCATCTAGTCCAAGAAACCACCCTTGGTAAATTCAGTGTGATTGAAATCTCTTAGAATCTCTGCTTTGAATTTTACTTTTTTTTTTTTTAGCAAAAGTCTTTTAAGCTACTTCTTTCTCTGCCCCAAAGGTGTGAGACCATGAGGCATCAATCTGCTTTCTGTACTTTCCCCCAATAGTACCTTGCAGTGTGTTCTAAACAGGGGCAATCATCACAATTTCTTCCTAAAATTTGACCATAGTTTCCAGAATTAACCTTTTTGTAACACATTGGAAATTTGCAGCTGGTTAAATATATATGCAGATGCTAACGAGTCTCTCCCAAAGGTTTTCTACAAACAAAGATATACTGGTGATTTAATTTGATCATTTTTAAGGACTTCTAGAGATAACTGGTTAATGTTAGGGGCTGCTTTATCTTTTATATTGACTCAGGGTAAGTGTTTAAGTGTTCTTGAAAGGCTTGTTTGGAAATGACAACATTATGGATTTCAACGCACTTATTAAAAGATGAGGAAATGAAAAACAAGAAATCAGGGAAATAAAGATAAAATATTCCGTTTCTGTTTCTTTCTTTTTACCGATCAGTGTGATGGAGTACAGATAGATTTAATAAACATCTCTCTGGAAGGAATTGCTATTTTGAATATACCAAGCATGCATGGAGGATCCAATCTTTGGGGAGAGTCTAAGAAAAGACGAAGCCATCGACGAATAGAGAAAAAAGGGTCTGACAAAAGGACCACCGTCACAGATGCCAAAGAGTTGAAGTTTGCAAGTCAAGGTCAGTTTTCTAACAATTAGTTGTTAAATTGCTTGTTAACCTGTTTTCAAAGGCTTCTTTAAAAGTAAAGAGTCTTCCGTTGCACTATAATAATTTATATATTTTTACAGTTGTATTTTTCATATTATGGGATACCCATGTGTGATTAACTTATATCACAATAGATTCTAACTCAAGTATAAATTGGCTACATTTTTCGTTATTCTTCTTCGTATATAGCTCTTCCCACAGAAAATAAAATACATTTGGGGTATTTCATGGATAATAAAATAGAAGATATTGTATATTAAGCTCTTCTGAAACGTGATTGTCTTAAATAGGACATTTGAGTTGCTGGAATAAGGACGTAGTTAAGGCTTTTCTAAGGTTGTGTTATAAGAGATTTTGTTCTTTTTCTGCTTTGGTCAGGCTATGAGATTGAAGCTATTTTACAGAGCTGTTGTTCTAAGTACCATATATAACAGAATGTTTAAATATCCCATGATAAATTTTGGTTGTCTGCTGAATTTTTCCAGAAAGTTAGTAACAACAAGTAGGAGACCTGGGAAACAGAAAGCAAAGACCTAAAAAAAGTAGACTAGACTAACTATGGGTCAGAATTTTCAACTCTATTGTAATATAGTTCTCATTGGGACATGATACCTAATTCTTAGAGATTTTATAAACTAGAGATATCAATGTGATATTCTGATAACTAATCATGTCCCAATAGTTTATGTATGTAATTCTATAATATCATTTTTACCTTCTAGAATTTACCTAATACTACTGATGACATTGAGAAATCAAAACATGTTGTCTCAGCTCAGTGTAGCAAGGACAAAATATGAAGAGATTTCAGTGTTAATGGACTAATATAAATAAATTACTAAAAAATGAAATAGAATAAAGTGAGAAGATGGTTGGTGGGCTTTATGGTGGTGGGCAATAGCTTTATGTTTTGGTGTCTTTGAGTACCTGGTTCAAGTTTCAGTAACAAGCAGTGACTTCTTTTATATAAAATTTGGTACCATGAAAGTGGAAAAGATTGATGGAGAAAGTGTTAGGTATTCTCTTGAAAGAAATGCTTATCACAACCTGCCAATGACAGGTGGTTTTGATGCCCTTAAAATGTGTAAGTAATCTTGGAGAATTGTATTAGTACAAGCATGTTTATAACAAATCAATTAAAAAATTACATACTCAAAATATAACTGTATGAAAATATGGAGGAAAATAATATTTTGAAGGAGAAATATATAGAAAAAATGAGGTTCGTGCTATATGAATTAGAGGAGGAAAATAAATATAATTATTAGTTTCTAGAAGTTATTGAAATTAATTTATATTTGTATTTAAATATTCATTTAAATGTAAAATTAGTAGATTTCTAAAAAGGGTAGTGAAAAATTCTAAGTATTGCAATTAGCTTAAGGACCATACTAAAACCAAGCTTAAAAAACCCTTTTGTAATTGTATAGCCTGTATTATTAGGTACTACGTATGTACTCCTTGCTTCCTTCCTTAAAAATATTTTCACTAAATAATATATACAAAATAATTTCCAGGTTAAGTTTTCTGTTTGGTCACTACATCTCAATACTTGATATGTCTTTTGCATCTACACATTCCCGATACTTATACAAATTGATTCTCAATGGCTCAGCTGCCAACTACATTCACCCACTGGGTTGTTGAACATCTCTTAGATACAGCACTGTGCTCCACCCAAACACATGTCTGTACACTCGCTCTGGAGCTGCTGCATACATGTCATTTACCTGGGCTCACTCACCCTCCTTCGTATGATTTTTTTTCAGGAACACACATTTGGAAGAAACTACAAACAAACCAGACTCAAATATTGTCATAGGCTGTCAGTGCCTGTAACTGTTGGAAAAGCGCTCTCTTTCCTTTCTGTCTTCTTGCTTTCTACTGTGGAACTATTAGAACCAATTTCCCATAAATTCTGGGAAATGAGGAAGTGGGAATATATAGGCCTTGTGACTTAGTAATACATTTTTCTCTGTACACAGATGGGAAATAGTTAAAAAACAGCAGAGCTCAGAGAGGTTTCAAAGGTCATTCTATGAGCAAAAACAGAAGTATGTTAGGCTCAATTCTGTTCCCTGACTTAACTGACTAGCTTATAGTTTTGATTTAGTATTATTTCAGGATAAATATAATCTCAGAACCAAGAATGACCTTTTGAGCTGAATATTTTTTAAAAACCTGTTATATATTAGTCTTTTCTTTTTAGTGATGATTTCACTATTGTTTTCACTTTGAGATACTTTGCAACAGAATACCAAAAGTATCTCAAAATGCTTCTAAGTTTTGATTTCATATTTATTCTGCTAATTCTTCAATGTTATACTTAATAGCCAAAAACAAAATTTACTACTGAGATAGTTACATTTATCCCTTTCCTAAATAGTAATATTTCTATTACTTGATTTTGTTTTCAATTTCTTGACATAAAAACAGCAATAGGGCAGGCATGGTGGCTCACACATGCAATCCTCACACTTTGGGAGGCCAAGGCAGGAGGATCACTTGAAGCAGGGAGTTCAAGCCCAGCCTAGGCAACATACTGGGAAAGGAGGAAGTGGGAATAGCACCTGGTGGGTGGCACAGGCCTACAGTCCCAACTACTCAGAAGGCTGAGGAGGGACAATCCCTTGACCTCAGGAGTTCAAGACTACAGTGAGCTATGATTGCGCCACTGCACCTCAGCCTGGACAATGGAGCAAGGACTCTGTCTCTTAAAAAAAACAAAACAAAACAAAACAAAAACACAACAAAGCAGCAATAGTATTAAATGTGAGTATTTCAAATTTATATATATTTCAAATTCACACAAAATCATTATAAGCACTGACTTTAGAATGAATATGGCCAATATGGCTCTAGTCCAACACGTTTTTAACCTACAGTCAAATTAATAACTTTCACTGTTAGAAAATACATGAAATGAAATGAAAAACTTAACGTAATTTTCTTCTTGTTCTTTCTTAAAATATTAACTAACACTGTTTCTCATATGCCTCTGTAAAAAATTATCAGAAGTTTCAACTAAATTTTTACACTGTTGAAATAGATACTTGCTTTCATAAACTTTAGATAGTTTCTTTTGGAGGGGGAGAAAATGGGGGACACATGTAACTAAATTCATGTAATAAAGGTAATTATTTTATTTAATAAAAGGATTTAATTTGTTTTAAGTTTACCCTTTTATTTTAATTTAAAGTTTACTCTTTTATTTTAATTTAAAGAAATATCATAGTCCAAAGGTATGAGATCAGGTTTGGAGCATTAAGTCCTTATTTATATTAAGCTGTACATAATCTGGGACTTCTGCATAATTTATTTGCTTGCAATCTTTGAAGACACTCACATAATAAAATCAGAATATCTTCAATAAGTTCATTGGTTGGAAATTTTACTGTTGACTTACTTTAGAGTTGACAAAATTGTGAGTAATTCATGTAATTACATTATTCCAGCAAAATATTCTAAAATAGTTGGATGCAATTCTGAAACATAATCACACTCACACTCAACTAATGCAGTAGACATTTTCTTTGTGTGCATATGTGTTTATAAATACAAATAAATGTATTATATATAGATGGCATAGTCTTGAAGCAAAACTGTAAACTAGGCCAAATTAGTCTTCAGTTCTCCTAGCGTTAATATTCGACCTTTCCCATGTCTTTCAGTAGCTGAGTTCATCTTTTCCTCCCCCTCTTCTGAATTAAACTCAGAAAGATGTCTAATAAATTCATTCACATTAATGTACAAATGACTGATTGCAGATGAAAGTAGAGGTTTTTGCATTTTAAAAGATATAAAGACCTTCAGCTAAAATGTTATTTTTCAAACTGTGTTCCATTGAGTTATAACTGCAATTCCTCTGCAGTTCTGTAATAAATGTAAAAAAAAAAAATTCATTGCCAGATTTGCGGACAATAAAAAAACTATAATAAAAATATATTTGTCATATTAACAGTTCTCAAATCATTAACTTGTGTTACCAGACAAAAACAACTTCTCCTCCTTCTCTTCCTCCTCTTTTTTCTTTCTATATAGGTAGATGCATATATAGATAGTTATACATACCCACATACACGCGCGCGCACACACACACACACACACACACACACACACACATATGTATATACATATAAAGAAATAAATAACTGTGGCATTGACTGGAAAGTCTATAGATCTGCAATGGACATTTAAAAATATGTCTTTGCATATCTCATGAGAAATATTGTGCAAATGGGCCACAATATTGTGCAAATACCACCACAGTGCATGGGAACCACATGCAATTAAAAGGCCAGCAAATTCAGGTACTTTTGCATGGCACAAGCACCAAACAACATATGGCAATCAGTGGACATGAAAACAAAGTGATGATACCTAAATGAAAATGCAGACCACCATAAGATGTATTTTTCCTCATAAAGAAATTGTATCAGTTAATTAACTCCCCCAAATATTAATAATAATTTTGTACTGGCTTATATATCAAGCACACTTTTATCAGAGAAGATTTTAAACATGCTCACAACTGCGTGTAAGCAGCCAGCAATGAAATTGGAGCTTTTCAGGTATGTACACAGAATAAAATATATTTGACTAATTGAAGCTTTGCAATTCAATTCAATTCAATGATACAGCAAGTATCATTATGTCATGAATTTGTTTTGTTGAAAGTGAAAAATTCTGTTAAAAAGACACTTTTGAAAGGTATTTTTTAACCAAGAGTGAGGACCTCTCAAGGAATATGAACCATTTTAGTTACTCTAATTGATTTAGCTTTGAAGATCCAAGTCTATTCCAGTTTTTGGTAGTGGAGACAGAATGGTTCAACATGGCTGAGAAGCAACACATTCATACTATTTGATTATATATATATGTCTGTATCAGGATATTGCCAATACCACAAAACCAAAACAAAATGCAGAAATCTATGAAAAATAAGATACTATCGCATTGCAATTGTCTTCCTCAAAATAGATCCATTATTCTCACAGATTGATTTTTTTTTTTTTTTTTTTTTTAAGACGGAGTCTCACTCTGTTGCCCAGGCTGGATTGCAGTGGTGGGATCTCGGCTCACTGCAAGCTCCACCTCCCGGGTTCACGCCATTCTCCTGCCTCAGCCTCCAGAGTAGCTGGGACTGCAGGCACCCGCCACCATGTCCGGCTAATTTTGTTTTTGTATTTTTAGTAGAGGGGTATTTCACCGTGTTAGCCAGGATGGTCTCTATCTCCTGACCGCATCATTCACCATCCTCGGCCTCCCAAAGTGCTGAGATTACAGGTGTGAGCCACTGCCCCCGGCCTCTCACTGATTGATTGTGTTGAGAGTGTTAGCAATTAGAACTTCTAAAATGGATTTGCACAAATAAAATTTCAATTTTCTCTTTTACTTACTGGTTTATAAAATGTTGCTTTGTTTAAAATGAAGTTGTTGACTGCTTTAAAAAGTTTGATAACCACTGAGCGAAAGTAATTATATTCAAATTATGGAGTTTCAAACATTTGCCAGAAGCTAAGGGAGCAGCTGGACTTTCTGCTTGAAACCTCATTAATAGGTGACTGTCTACCCTGCATATGGATACAACTGTCCAGGTACCCATCATGCAAAAGTTTATTTAAAAACTAATTAACATATTATATTGTCCAGACAGTTTTCAGTGATTTCATTCACATTTAACAATGATACTCTTTTCTTCGGGCAGAATTTCCCAAAACCCAGCAAGGACTCCACTGATGGAAAATGAGATGGGTTAGTGGGTACATGGATGAATGTTTTAAAAGTTTAATGGTTTTATATTTACTATTACAGTTGTCTTCTCTTTGTGGTAAGAAATGCTGAATTTTTTACTATCATTTATAATGTTAATCAAAATTTTCTTTTAAAAATTAATTCAAGTAAAAATAGAGTAAAACATCCTACCTAAGTGATAATTTAGAAGATACTTAGATGTTGCCAAAATTGTGAAGGTGAAGCCAGAAAGACTAAAGTTTAGAAAACTACACTCAGCTGCTGCAGTTTTCACCACCTTGATAGTGTTTGCATAGCCCCATGTGGAAATACTTAAGCTTAATCACTCCTACACATTCCACGAAGGCGGCATAGTGTTCGTGGTTCTTGGTGCAGGCACCAGATTCCAGCTGGCTCAAACCCCAACTCTGCTGCTTATCTGGACAACTTTGGGCAAGTAACTTCATGTCCTTGTACTTTAATCTCCTTATCTCTAAAATGGGCACAAAGAATGGCGCCTTCCTCATATGGTGACTGTGAGAATGAGAAAAGCCCAGATTAGAAGCTTAGAATAGGGGCCAGTACGTAGCAAATGCCTAGTTAATGCTAGCTACTATCTTTCATGGAAAAATTCAGGCCAAAAAAACAAAAAACAAACAAACAAACTCAGATAAGTAGCCCCATGTGGAAATACTTTACTGTAAACATTGTTTTTATTCTTCATCATCTTGGATAAAATTTACTATGTATTATTTCCCCCAGAATAAGCTTTTCCATATACTTTGCACCAAACATATCCTCATCTCACCCTATTTGATCTCTCTATGCACTGTTGGGAGAGACTGTGTATCTGATTGGCTGTCAAGGAGTATCTCTACTCAAGTGACTTTATTACTATTAATTTTTTAACTCCCAGAAATTATGAAGAAAAGCAAAACAAAGCAATACAAACCAAATTGATCAAAGAGAATAAATGAGCTGACGTCTGTGAAAGCTTGGCAAAACTTAAATTTCTTTTGCCTCTGAAGATAAATATGATTTCTAGCTCCCATGTCTTCATCTTTAAAGATGAGTTTTGGAAGAGCTCACTGGTGGTGAGTGCTGGAAGAAGTAAGATTAATCTATGTGTGCTTTACATTATATTTCCCAGATAATTGTACACTTTGTATACCTTGTAAAAGTTATTCTTATTTGAAGGTTGATGGCAATGGACATTTGTCATCCACTATTATGAATTTTTCTAGACATTTCTATGGGTTATTTAGGGTAATTTAGAAAGCAGTGTTTTAAGTTGTCTAAATATAAATGCAATATTCATTTTAGAACTGTAGATGATGTATTTGGCGTTCAAACACCGGCAAGCAGAAGAATTTCCAAGCATTTAATTTCAGTGATTAAATCAATTAAATTTGGAAACAAGAAAAGGATTTCATGCAGCATTATTACACCTGGTTGTTAAAACTGTTGAAAAATAGTATGGCGTTTGAGATGTTGCATTTCACAAAAATATATGCATACACTAATACCATGATATTTTCATTGGTTGAAAATAGATAGATCCAAACATTTGCTATCTAGTAACCTTTAAGTAGATGTCTCCCAACTATGTTTTTAAACTGCCTCCTTTGAAATTTTTTAGCAATGGTAATGCAAATAATAGCATATGCTTAATAAGACTAAATATCAAAATTGCTGTTAAATTTAAGATTACATCATATACCTGGGTATCTTAATGTGATGGCACTAAGATTTTTTTTAAGTTATAATTTTGAAGTTTGTAAAAAGTAATAAAAAGTTAGAGAATATAAGGCATATTTCTAAAATGTAAAAATAAAAAAATTTTCAATATATAAGACCAGGTACTCTTATCCTTTGTTTGGCTATCCTATAAAAGCACATGCATTATCGAGAAGCATTAATGAAATTTCTATTTGTCATAGTACTGTAGAAACTGCAGACACTGGTAGCTCCTAGAAATTTAAAAAGCACAAACTAGAAATATGAATAATATTTTGGAGGAACTGAGCCACTAGATGACAATATTTAGAATATTCTCATATGTCTTCTGAAGGTATACAAATTACCTTTTCATGACCATCATTATTGCCACCTTTCCCCTTGTTCAACAGTAAAATTTAAAAAATCTGGTGTGCAGTATAATTTTAAAAACAAAATCTGACAAGAAGTATAATGCTATAACTTTTTATGGTAGAATTGGTAAGACTGCAAAGCCATTTTAAATTGAATATAACAGGTAAGTAATCATTTAAACAGAAAAGTGGTATTTTCTAATATATAAATGAAATCATCACCATTGATCATCAATTTGTTCATTCCTGAAAAGAAATTGAAATTAGGAAAATGGGCAAAATCCAAAAAGGTACACAGGGATGGCAGAATAATGAGCAACTCTCTATCACCTAATGAATGTAGGGAAACAAGAAAAATGAGTTTTTAGTACCAGTCGCATTTTGAAAAATATATGGTTTATTGATCAATTTAATAGTTGCAAGGGAAAAAGGAAATGAATGTGTTTACTCAGGATTTTTAATTAAGGCTCAGATTGTTAATCTTATATGACTTCTGAGGAAGAATACATTGTTTATTTTCAAAATTCTACATGCTATTCTAAAACCCTTCTATATTTCTAGCTATTGATTTTTGCAATTGCAGAGAAGATTAGAAAATACAAATGCTTTAATGGGTATGTTCTGTAGACCTTGATATCTGATATCAGTGGTAAAATTATCATCTTATTTGTTTCTGTGGCACAGTTGTCCAGTCCTCTGTCTATTGAAAATAGTGGCAGATCACCTACCTAGAGTAAAGCTGCATCTTAACTTTAAGTCAATTTAACGTACCCAGTGGTAGACATATAAAACAGATTTCCAAACTAAATAAATATTGCCTGATAATATAACGCTCAAGTGATTAAATAACACATGTAGAGTATACCTTCTAATAGTAGACACATAAAGTTTCCAGATATGAGGCTATCCATACAAATTTCCTAAATATAAAGCCTGATAGCGATCTTGCCCTTTGAGGGTAATGATTTGAAGCTAAGGTGGTAGATAGCTCCCCAGGAAATTACAATAATTTCTTTCTATCATCAGGATATCTGACAATCAGTTGGGGAGGATTTTAAAAAATTATAAGCATGAAAGAACTATTAAAAAGACATGAAATCAGCTACAGAAAGTATGAAACAGAAGTCACAGTTACTTATTTATTGATATTAAAAACCATTTTCCTTGTTCCTCCAGATAGAGAATAATAACTGAGAAAAACTACAACCTAATTGAGAATAAAACTTCAATTGTACCATTTCGTGAAATGATATCTCACTAGCAATTTAAAGTTATACCAGAAGAGATATCAGACTTTTATTTTACCTTCTTTATTTATATTTTGTTTTCTAATAACTTTAATGGATGTGATATAATGGCCACACTCTAGCACTTGATTCTGCTTGCACACTTTTTCTAAGAAGGGTGCTAGGAGGGTCCAGTGAACTGCAAAGGAACTTGTTTCTTGAAAAATCAGATCTCATCATCTACTTGTATTTGAGCTGTATGAATTTGAATTAAACAAAGCAACTAGCCATTGGAGTTCCATTGCCATGAGTTTAGTTTCCATGAATATACTCTTTTATTATATAGAGCTAATTATCATGTGAATAGTAGCTCCTTGGAAGTGTGCGGCCACTCTGTTTTGTGGAAATACATAGAATCTCATGTAGTTCATGAGTCCCACCACACTGAGAGTAATCATTCTCCTGGCTTAATGAAAATAGTTCTATTGTTCTTCTTTTAATAAATTCGAGTTTGTCAACTCAGGTTATTATTTTAATGTCTGCTTTCGGCAAGGTTTGTTAGCTGTTGTACAGTATCAGATATTAATCAGATTAAGTATTGAGGTCTGAATATTATAAGGTGACAGACATTTGCAGTAAGATTACAAATCTACATGGATAAACATGACTAATTTAAAAGAGCCCTGGGGAGCATTTTTTAGAAAGTTCAAATACCTGCTGAATGCTGCACTGTTATTTTAATTATCCCATAATATGGCACAAAATAACAATCTCATTTCATCCTTTTATTTACAAAGCTGTTCCCATTATCATTATATTTTACCTGCTCAAGCTCTGAAAGATTGCTCCTCGTTGAGAGATTCATTAAAAGAGAATAATTATATTATATTTCACAGATTGGCAGAAAGAAAATGTATCTTTGAACAATTCCATTTCCCTGAGCAGCTGTTCATTTCAGAGTTGAAGACAGGTCTATTACGTACTTTCTACCCTTTTTAAACATGTCAAAGCTAACTATTAATACTGAAATTAGTAATTTGGCTCTGGTTTAATAAAAAATCAGCTGCTATTTGTAAAACTGAATTTCTGTGAATAAAACACAAACATAACAATATTTTCAAAAATATTGAATAACGAAGAACATTAAATAATTTTATTTTACCGAATATATAAATGTATGTCTCTTCGGATAATTAAAGCCCTTAGCACACTGACTTGTTTTCCTACTAATGCTTCTTAACCCAAAAAGCTACATAAAACATATTTTCTTACTAAGTCTATGATATTCAAATTTTCAGAGTATCCTGTTAGAAGAATAGTAAGAGATGGAAAGTCAACTAGTATCATAGAACATTCCATTTTTAGATTTACTGAAAGAAAGTTTCATGGAATTTGTGATAAAACGTCTTTTCAAAATTAAAAAGTCATGTGCACAAAAATGTGACTTCCATATAAAATAGGTTTGAGAAGTCATTTCATATTTTAACATGTTTTTGCCATGAAATAAGCTAACCATGGTCTCTTGCAAGGAACTGAAAATGCTACTTATACATTTCTCTAGTAAGTAATTGAGCAAAAATGAAATAATGTATTAATCAGTGATGGCTTTACAAAAATTTTTATACTTGGTGATAAATACTTTTTTGCCCAAATGTCCTCGGTATTGTTGTCTTTTTTTCACAACCTCACTCTGGCCAGCTCACCACGAGTGCAGTATCAGAATGTCTAGTGAGTCTAGTGGGAAGCAAGGAGTCAATGCATCTTTTACTCAGTCTAAAAGTAGGAAAATGCTCTTTTGATTTTAAAAAGACAGTAATTGTATCAAATTTAACAATTTAAAATGTGTGTAGGATTTGAGGAGCTCTCAGAGATATGCAATGAAGTAATCTGTGTGTCTCATTTTAAAAGTATGTTAACTAAAATATACTGACATATTAACAGTGCTATTTTGAGTTAGATATTTTATACATTTGTGCAGTTAGATATTATTTTCAATTATTTGTTAATATATTTTCTGTTTATTTTTAAATTACTGGAAACAGTTTCTTCCAAAGGTTTTTAATAAATTCTTTATTGTAATTGTTTTGTTAAGACAAACTATTTTAAATTTCTGTTTGCTTTTTTTTGTTTCTCATTTCTGCTGTTTGTCTTCTGAATATTTTATATATGTTATCTTTGTAAACATTACTTTTCATCCAAATGTTCATTTAAAAGTCAGCAATCAAAAAGGAACTATAACAGGTGTTTTCATTCTTGAGGAATGAAATGAATGTGCTGTTTATGGTAGATACTGAAATTTAACTTCCGTTGCAATTCAAGAGCCATTCTGTTATCCAAAACATTTAAAATAATCAAAAATGAAATAAATGAATTACTATAGGTATAAAAGTTGAATTAAACTAAAAAACACAACTGACATTTGAAACCCCTGTGGTAGACTTTAGTACACATGAGTATTTACTAGTGAGTACTCAGATATGTCTTGTGTATATGTGTTGTAATAGAGAGTGTATGTGTGTGTGCATGTGTGTGTTTGCATGTGTACTTAATTGGTTAATGGGGACAGGCTAATAATGGACATGTAGATATCAAAATGAAGCCTGGAATAAAAACATACTTGAACACAAATTATTTTGAAAGCCCTAATCAGAAAATCAGGGAACCAAAGTATTACTTCAAGAGGAAGGCGGGTTCAGGGGTGTTTTTGTTTTGCAGAGGAAGCTGATAGGAAACAACAAAACAAGGTTCTCTAAGAAACAAATCATTATGCCATTCCCGCAAAGGAAAGGAGGTTGAAAATGTATAGACAGGAGAAGGGAATTCCTTCTTCTCTGTCTTAATTTTCTTTCCTTCCACTACATATTATCTCTTGAGAATAATGTTTTCTTCAGATTTCATTACAAGTCCTCCTCCAGGTGAGAATGTCCATTCTATGGTGATTCCTGCCACAGTAGTTGAACAACCCACTCTCTTGGTTGACCTTGTAGCACCGCTCCACCTGACTCATGCACCAGAACACAGTAGCTTGGGTGGGAAGACATTAGTTCTAATACTGTACTGACTTTTCTTTCATTTTTTTGGTTTTCAATCTTCCCAAAGGTGCATGATAAAAATGAGTTATCATATTCCATGGGCAAGGAAAAAAAAAGAGCAAATTAGTATCATACCAATTGGTTTATTAGAATTCTCAACTTACCCAGGCTGCTTTCCTTCAGCTTTCTTTTCCACTTAGCAGCTGCTAATAGGGGAGACTTTTGACATAGACATTGAAGGCTACTGAGTTTCTTACACACAGGTTTTAGTTTTTAGTTTCCTAGACTATAAGCACATGAATACAATAAGTTGTATGGTTAAAAAAAAAAAAAAAAGAAATCTGTGACCTAATTATCTTTGCCAGGTCTGTCTCATAACCTATATAAGTAGACATAAACATTTCTGACTTTTCTACCTCCTTGTGTGATTTTTACAGCTCAATACATTTTAAACAATGATTAAATAGAAATGTAAGATTGTATTATTTTTCTATAAAATTTAAAATATGCACAAAGCTACCCATCTAGAATATTTGAAGCACATCCAAACATATAGCCCACATTTACCACAGAGGTGAAGGGGCCATTTTCTAACCGTGGACCAGTAGCCCTTCTAGAAATGAGTCCTGGCCCCACAGAAGAATAAAAATAAATGTGATCCATATTTTAGTTTATGGAAATTTTTAATTTTTGTAAAAAAACCATATTATGATTAAAGTAGTAGAGTCCTCATGACTGGACATCTTTAAACCTGTTCTAATGAAGAATTAGGTTCTGATTGCTTTTCTGGTCCAGCTTTGATTGATGATGTTTTTTAATCATCCTTTCTGAAGAAAGGGGCAATTCCTATTAGAATATTTATCCCAACGAAAGTTGACTAGAGTACAGTTCACTCTTTTCAGGTATTGGGATGATTAGAATGCCTTCTTTATGCAGGTAATTTCTTGCTGTCTTGTCTACTCATTTGTTGCTTTCTTCTTCATGGTGAATCGTGGAATATCGTATTTTCTTGCTGCTTTCCCTTCAGTTGCACATCTACCATCGCTCACTTTCTTAAGATTGTGTTGGCCAACAGCACTGATTCCCTCGGAACCATATAACCAAATCACCATGATGACCCCCCACTGATCTAGCAACAGAGACCACATCACCTCAGCAACCAGTTCACGTTGTACCTGCTGCTCTTAAATTTCTGATTTCCTTCTAGAGGTGCAATGCATTTCTGGTGATGCACAGAGCTGTTTATAAGAGCACTCTCTAAGTGGCTGTAAGGGAAAGTACAGGCTGACTAAGAAATTAATGACATTGTGAGGTGCTGCCTGCTGGGGTGAAAATAAATACTAAGAGAAGACAGAGAACAGGTAATGGGCCCTACCTATGCTGCAAAACTCTTTTCAAACAGATGCTGACTGTGTGCCAATAGATGTGGCAGTAACTGTCAACAAGATTTATGGCACTTTAACGTAGACTCAATACGAGAAGAAAGGTTGAAAGAGTTCTATGATTTTGTTTAAAGTTTAGTGTCTCCTGCTTCTGCAGCAACTCTTTCTAGGCAGAAGCGTCCATTGTCTCATTGCAGGACACTTGCAACTCTCAGGGAAACTGTGAGGTCTCAGGACTTTGAATATGTATCTTGTTCTCGCGTGTGTTATTGTTTTATTCTTGGTGGTGATTGCTGATGCTGCTATTTTTAAATTAAAAAGGAAAACATCACAGGGTTAAAATGTAGTATGTCTAGGTTCTTATAAAATGTAGAAAGTATAATTATTGTTTTTTTGCCACCTGGTAATGAGCTTCCATCACCGCAAATGACATTGCTCATTCTTCATGGACAATCCTAGGTAATTATATCTTTAAGAGAAATAAGTCCTTGAAAGAATGATTTTCTATTGTTCGGTTTCCATTGCTGCTGGTGTCGGGTCTTAAATCTGACATTCTTTCTTTTTTTTTTTTTTTTGAGACAGAGTCTCACTCTGTCACCCAGGCTGGAGTGCGGTGGTGCAATCTTGGCTCAGTACAAACTCTGCCTCCTGGGGTCAAGCAATTCTCCTGCCTCAGCCTCCCAAGTAGCCAGGATTATAGGCGCATGCCACCATGCCTAGCTAATTTTTGTATTTTTAGTAGAGACAATTTCACCATGTTGGCCAGACTGGTCTTAAACTCCTGACCTCAAGTGATCTGTCGGCCTTGACCTCCCAAAGTGCTGGGATTACAGGCATGAGCCACTGTGCCCGCCAAAACTTTCATATGCATATATAAAATTTGCGTATAGCTCTTTTCCCATAAATGATCAGTAAATGAAGAGATTATGCTTTTATCAACATATTTTTCCCTCAACTTAACTAATGTCTTGATTAACTGCTGGTTTCTGTCTTTTTCCTTCATTAGGAATTGTGTAGGATGGACAAAACATTTTCTCTAGACTTTGAAAATTTAGTGAAATGGAATTCAGTTCTTGAACTAAGTAAAGTGATTACCCTGGTATTAAATCTGTTGTTTTCTAAGGCTAATAGACAGGTTTTTTGAAAACCATTTTACAATGTTTCATGTATATTTAATGGACAGATAACAAGAAATAATCATGCCAAGACCAGAAATGTGAATCTTCATATAAGTCATTCACTCAATAGTTTAATATGTGTCAGCCAATCTAATTTATGACAACTCTTCTCACTCTACTCAAGCCCAAGTAGGCTTTCGGATACTCATCAAACACATCAAGCATGACATCATCTCAAAGCCTTTGCATTGATATTCTCTCTGCCTGGAATATTCTTATCTCAGATCTTAATATGACTTTCCATGGCTTCGCATGGCTTCTCACTTGCTTCTTTCAGGTCACTGAAAACAGGTCATTGTTAAAATATGCTCTCTTAAGAGAAGCTTTCTCTGATTCCCTGTCTAAAATATCACCCCATCTCCTCCGATTCCCTACTCCCTCTCTATGTGTTATCCTTTTAATGAAACTGAACGCTGTCATAAACTACAACATATGTGCAGAAAAGTGTACATGTCTTATATGTACCGTCAATGAATTTTGATAGTCAATACACCTATGTAACCACTCTCTCTGATCAATAAATAGAACACGGCCAACACCACAGAAACCCCTAGTTCACTTGCCCTACTCAATATGCTGACCTTTTTCACCATGAATAAATGTTTCTGGTTTTTATATTTTATAGTAGAATTATATGGCATATATTGATTTGCATCTGGCCTTTTAAATTCCATATTTTCATTATTTTATAGTATTAATTTTATGAGTACGCAGCTTTTTCCAGTGGGAAGCTATTACTAATTGTACTTCTATGAACATTATCATTGAAGATTATATATTTTTCTGGGTATAAATTGAGTAATAAAAATTGCTGGGTCATAAGGTATGTGCATGTTCAGCTATAGTAGACGCTACTAAAAGTGATTGTACTGATTTGCGCTATGATCAGCAGTGCACAAGGGCTATCACTGCTCTACATCTTCTCCAACACTTTGAATGATGAGTCTTTTTAATTTAGGCATCCTAATTTATTGTTCTGTAAATATGCATTTTAATGATGACTAATGATGTGAAACATCATTTTATGTGACCAGATCATTTGGACATTTTCTTTTGTGAAATATCTGCCCAAGTCTTTTGCCTATTTTTTAACTGGTATTATATATAATTTATATTTGAAGGAACTAGAATCTTTTGTTCTCTATGGGTTGCAAATATATTCTTTCACTGTGTGCCTTGCCTATAGTTTACAAAGTCTTAAACATCAGAATGTCTTAATTTTATTAAAGTCCAATGTATCCATTTATTACTTTTTTCTTATTGCTTTTTATCTGTAGTTTTTAAAAATAATTTTGAACATCTGCTATATTATTTTTGAGAAGCTTTATTGGCTTAACTTTAACATTAAGATGGAATTGATTTTTGTGCATGGTTTAAATTTAGATCAAGAATAATTTCTTTTTTCATATCATTATCCAACTGACCCAGCAGTATTTATTGAAAAGACTCCTACACCCACTACTCAGTGGTAACATAATCTTAATCCCAAGTTTCTGTTTATGAGTTTATTTATTTCTGAACACTGTATTCCACAGTAGGGGTCAGAAGGCTTTTTCTGTAGTGTCAGATAGTAGATATTTTAAGCTTTGGGTCATATACTCTCTGTCATACCTACTCATCCCTGCCACTGTACCACAGAAACAGCCAAAAACAATACCTAAATAAATGGGCATGGCTCTGCTCCAACAAAAACAGGCAGCAGGCCAGATCTGGCACAAAGCCACAGTTTGCTGACACCTGTTCTACCCTATGGGTCGATTCATCAGTCCTTACGCCAGTACTACAGTTTCCTAATTAATGTTTTGTTAATCAGTTTGTTAATGTCTCCCCTCTAAAATAAATAAATAAATAAATACCACAGGGATTTTGAATAAAATTACATTGATCAGTTTAGGGACAATTGGCATTTTTACAGTCTGAGTCTTCTAAATGGTGAACATGGTATAGCTTTCCATTTTTTTCATTTTAGTTTCTTATAATGGTTTATAACTTTCTATGTAGCTGTCTTATGCCTAGATATTTGGTGTTTAACAGTGCTATTCTAAAAAATATATTTTCTAACTTTTACTCTCTAATTGTTTTTGTTGTACCAAAATACACAGCTTTCTAAAATCACTTATCAATTCTAATACTGTATCTATAGACTGTTGGACTTTAAATAAATATCATGCCATCAATAAATGATGATGGTTCATTCCTTCTTTTTTTACCCTTAATCCTTTTCTTTTTTTTTTTTTTTTCTTATTTCTCTGTTTAAAGTCTCCAGTGCAAGGCTGAATACATGGGGTGAAAATGGACGTTGGTGTCTTGTTCTTGATATTGGAGGCTGTGGGGGAGATTTCAATAGTTCACCATTTCTCTAATGTTCCTTGTATACTTTTATGGATACACCTTTTCAGGTTAAAGATTTCTTCTTTATTTCAAATTTACTATGTTTTGTTATAAATACATGTTGATTTTTATAAAATTATTGTTTTTCATCTATTGAGAGAATCATACTTTTTATTCTTTATCCTGTGAATGTGGAGAATTACATTGCTTAATTTTTTTTCTGAGACAGGGTATCACTCTGTTGCCCAGGCTGAAGTGCAGTGATGTGATACTGGCTTACTGCAGCCTCTGCCTCCTGGGCTCAAGAGATTCTCCCACCTCAGCTTCCCAAGCGGCTGGGACCACTGGCATGTGCCATCATGTCTGGCTAAGTTTTGTATTTTTTGTAGGGACAGGGATTTGCCATGTTTTCCAGAATGGTCTCAAACTCCTGGGCTCAAGTCATCCGCCCGCCTCATCCTCCCAAAGTGCTGTGATTACTGGCATGAGCCACCTTTCCTGGCTGCTGAATTTTTAAATTTTAAAGCAACCGTGTATTCCTTAAATAAATCTAACTTGGAATGTTGTATTATCTTGTTATACAACACTGGATTTTATTTATTAATATTACATTTAAAATTTTGCATCTATGTTCATGAGAATGGTCATGAATTATTTTTCCTATCATGTCATCATTAGGTTTATTTAATAAGGTTATGCAAACAGAAAGGGCAAAGTTGGTAGGCAGTATGACCTGCACTTGTGAGTATGGCTCTAACTACTTTATCTAATAACAGAGGCTTATAGCTTTGTGTCAGATGCAGACCATAAAATGATTCTATTATAGGTCAATCTGAAATGCAAGCAGCCCTGTAACTTAAGTTATAGGACAGACCCTACAGGACTATATATATATATGTACCACATATATGTACTATATATATGTACTATATATGTACACATATATATATGTACTATATAGTACATATATGTACCGCATATGCGGTACATATATATATGTGGAAAAGATGCTTTGTGGAGTTGATGACACACTTCAATAAGAGAATCACAATGTAGTCTAAGGCTGTGGAGCAAGGCTATGGCATTGGCAGCAGAAAACTATATGTCAACTGAGAACAAGCTCTGGACGTGCTACTTGGACTCTATAAATATGGATCATCTGACCATAGCAAGTGACCATAATGAAATCACAGGGCCCACCATATGCTGAGTTTTGTTAGACCAACCAAGTCATAAGCTCAGAATTCATTGTAAGATAGAAGTAGATAGAACACCTGGATCAGACATGTAGGGCCAGAGAGCGAGGAAAGCTGCATGAGTGTCTGTTGTTCCCACCACTGCTGGACCCCCGCCTCCCCCTCAGCTCCCACCTATGACTCTTAGGACCAAATGTCAGAGAAGGAAAAGCTTTAATGAGAGTTCTTGAATAGTTTATCTTGCTTTGTTAGTGTGCTTCTAAAAAAGGGCTGCTATTCCAGCAGTGCTGCTTTTGGGGTAGTGGAAAGGAGAAATTCCCAATGAGCAGAGCTCTGGGAGCCTGCCCAGTTATCCTTTGTATAGAGAGTAGCCCAAGGTGAGAATACAAATGGACCTGTAGATCTTAACAAAGTGTTCCAAAGAAGATGCTTGTGGATGAACTTATAGGAATGGGGACAAGGTACCAACATTGCACTTTTTCTTAGTGCTGTAAGTATAAAATACAATACTTTATCTTTTATTTTGGAGAACATGTCCTGACATACTATAGACCACTGGATGCATAATACAAAGATGAATTGACTCTTTAGAGGATTTATCTTTCACACCCTGGCAAGTCATTATCTTATAAGATCTACAGCCTACATATCATTTATTGCTCATCTAGCCCAATTAGCCAAAGAGTACACTGGTTCTCAAACTTTTAGTCTCAGGATCCCTTCATACTCTTAAAAATTATTGAAAATCCTAAAGAACTTTTGCTTATGTGAGGTACATCTATTGTTACCATATAAAACATTAAGGCTGAGAAATTATTAAAATATGTATTCATTTAAAAGTCTTAATAAACCTATTACATGTTACTATAAATATATTTTTAAATAACTATATTTAAAAAACAAAAATTTAGTAAGAAGAGTGGCACTGTATTGCTTTTTATAAATCTCTGTAATGTCTGGTCTAATAGAAGACAGCTGGATTCTCATATCTGCTTCTACATTCCATTTATTGCAATATTTTTTTTTATTATTATACTTTAAGTTTTAGGGTACATGTGCACATTGTGCAGGTTAGTTACATACGTATACATGTGCCACGCTGGTGTGCTGCACCCACTAACTCGTCATCTAGCATTAGGTATATCTCCTAATGCTATCCCTCCCCCCTCCCCTCACCCCACAACAGTCCCCAGAGTGTGATGTTCCCCTTCCTGTGTCCATGTGATCTCATTGTTCAATTCCCACCTATGAGTGAGCATATGCAGTGTTTGGTTTTTTGTTCTTGCGACAGTTTACTGAGAATGATGGTTTCCAATTTCATCCAAGTCCCTACAAAGGACATGAACGCATCATTTTTTATGGCTGCATAGTATTCCATGGTGTATATGTGCCACATTTTCTTAATCCAGTCTATCATTGTGGGACATTTGGGTTGGTTCCAAGTCTTTGCTATTGTGAATAATGCCGCAATAAACATACGTGTGCATGTGCTTTATTAGCAGCATGATTTATAGTCCTTTGGGTATATACCCAGTAATGGGATGGCTGGGTCAAATGGTATTTCTAGTTCTAGATCCCTGAGGAATCGCCACACTGACTTCCACAATGGGTGAACTAGTTTACAGTCCCACCAACAGTGTAAAAGTGTTCCTATTTCTCCACATCCTCTCCAGCACCTGTTGTTTCCTGACTTTTTAATGATTGCCATTCTAACTGGTGTGAGATGGTATCTCATTGTGGTTTTGATTAGCATTTCTCTGATGGCCAGTGATGGTGAGCATTTTTTCATGTGTCTTTTGGCTGCATAAATGTCTTCTTTTGAGAAGTGTCTGTTGATGTCCTTCGCCCACTTTTCGATGGGGTTGTTTGTTTTTTTCTTGTAAATTTGTTTGAGTTCATTGTAAATTCTGGATATTAGCCCTTTGTCAGATGAGTAGGTTGCGAAAATTTTCTCCCATTCTATAGGTTGCCTGTTCACTCTGATGGTAGTTTCTTTTGCTGTGCAGAAGCTCTTTAGTTTAATTAGATCCCATTTGTCAATTTTGGCTTTTGTTGCCATTGCTTTTGGTGTTTTAGACATGAAGTCCTTGCCCATGCCTATGTCCTGAATGGTAATGCCTAGGTTTTCTTCTAGAGTTTTTATGGTTTTAGGTCTAACATTTAAGTCTTTAATCCATCTTGAATTGATTTTTGTATAAGGTGTAAGGAAGGGATCCAGTTTCAGCTTTCTACATATGGCTAGCCAGTTTTCCCAGCACCATTTATTAAATAGGGAATCCTTTCCCCATTGCTTGTTTTTCTCAGGTTTGTCAAAGATCAGATAGTTGTAGATATGCGGCATTATTTCTGAGGGCTCTGTTCTGTTCCATTGATCTATATCTCTGTTTTGGTACCAGTACCATGCTGTTTTGGTTACTGTAGCCTTGTAGTATAGTTTGAAGTCAGGTAGTGTGATGCCTCCAGCTTTGTTCTTTTGGCTTAGGATTGACTTGGCGATGCGGGCTCTTTTTTGGTTCCATATGAACTTTAAAGTAGTTTTTTCCAATTCTGTGAAGAAAGGCATTGGTAGCTTGATGGGGATGGCATTGAATCTGTAAATTACCTTGGGCAGTATGGCCATTTTCACAATATTGATTCTTCCTACCCATGAGCATGGAATGTTCTTCCATTTGTGTGTATCCTCTTTTATTTCCTTGAGCAGTGGTTTGTAGTTGTCCTTGAAGAGGTCCTTCACATCCCTTGTAAGTTGGATTCCTAGGTCTTTTATTCTCTTTGAAGCAATTGTGAATGGGAGTTCACTCATGATTTGGCTCTCTGTTTGTCTGTGGTTGGTGTATAGGAATGCTTGTGATTTTTGCACATTGATTTTGTATCCTGAGACTTTGCTGAAGTTGCTTATCAGCTTAAGGAGATTTTGGGCTGAGACAGTGGGGTTTTCTAGATATACAATCATGTCGTCTGCAAACGGGGACAATTTGACTTCCTCTTTTCCTAATTGAATACCCCTTATTTCCTTCTCCTGCCTAATTGCCCTGGCCAGAACTTCCAACACTATGTTGAATAGGAGTGGTGAGAGAGGGCATCCCTGTCTTGTGCCAGTTTTCAAAGGGAATGCTTCCAGTTTTTGCCCATTCAGTATGATATTGGCTGTGGGTTTGTCATAGATAGCTCTTATTATTTTGAAATATGTCCCATCAATACCTAATTTATTGAGAGTTTTTAGCATGAAGGGTTGTTGAATTTTGTCAAAGGCCTTTTCTGCATCTATTGAGATAATCATGTGGTTTTTGTCTTTGGCTCTGTTTATATGCTGGATTACATTTATTGATTTGCATATATTGAACCTGCCTTCCATCCCAGGGATGAAGCCCACTTGATCATGGTGGATAAGCTTTTTGATGTGCTGCTGGATTCGGTTTGCCAGTATTTTATTGAGGATTTTTGCATCAATGTTCATCAAGGATATTGGTCTAAAATTCTCTTTTTTGGTTGTGTCTCTGCCCGGCTTTGATATCAGAATGATGCTGGCCTCATCAAATGAGTTAGGGAGGATTCCCTCTTTTTCTATTGATTGGAATAGTTTCAGAAGGAATGGTACCAATTCCTCCTTGTACCTCTGGTAGAATTCGGCTGTGAATCCATCTGGTCCTGGACTCTTTTTGGTTGGTAAGCTATTGATTATTGCCACAATTTCAGATCCTGTTATTGGTCTATTCAGAGATTCAACTTCTTCCTGGTTTAGTCTTGGGAGAGTGTATGTGTCAAGGAATTTATCCATTTCTTCTAGATTTTCTAGTTTATTTGCGTAGAGGTGTTTGTAGTATTCTCTGATGGTAGTTTGTATTTCTGTGGGATCGGTGGTGATATCCCCTTTATCATTTTTTATTGCGTCTATTTGATTCTTCTCTCTTTTTTTCTTTATTAGTCTTGCTAGCGGTCTATCAATTTTGTTGATCCTTTCAAAAAACCAGCTCCTGGATTCATTAATTTTTTGAAGGGTTTTTTGTGTCTCTATTTCCTTCAGTTCTGCTCTGATTTTAGTTATTTCTTGCCTTCTGCTAGCTTTGGAATGTGTTTGCTCTTGCTTTTCTAGTTCTTTTAATTGTGATGTTAGGGTGTCAGTTTTGGATCTTTCCTGCTTTCTCTTGTGGGTATTTAGTGCTATAAATTTCCCTCTACACACTGCTTTGAATGCATCCCAGAGATTCTGGTATGTTGTGTCTTTGTTCTCGTTGGTTTCAAAGAACATCTTTATTTCTGCCTTCATTTCGTTATGTACCCAACAGTCATTCAGGAGCAGGTTGTTCAGTTTCCATGTAGTTGAGCGGTTTTGAGTGAAATTCTTAATCCTGAGTTCTAGTTTGATTGCACTGTGGTCTGAGAGACAGTTTGTTATAATTTCTGTTCTTTTACATTTGCTGAGGAGAGCTTTACTTCCAAGTATGTGGTCAATTTTGGAATAGGTGTGGTGTGGTGCTGAAAAAAATGTATATTCTGTTGATTTGGGGTGGAGACTTCTGTAGATGTCTATTAGGTCCGCTTGGTGCAGAGCTGAGTTCAATTCCTGGGTATCCTTGTTGACTTTCTGTCCCGTTGATCTGTCTAATGTTGACAGTGGGGTGTTAAAGTCTCCCATTATTAATGTGTGGGAGTCTAAGTCTCTTTGTAGGTCACTCAGGACTTGCTTTATGAATCTGGGTGCTCCTGTATTGGGTGCATATATATTTAGGATAGTTAGCTCTTCTTGTTGAATTGATCCCTTTACCATTATGTAATGGCCTTCTTTGTGTCTTTTGATCTTTGTTGGTTTCAAGTCTGTTTTATCAGAGACTAGGATTGCAACCCCTGCCTTTTTTTGTTTTCCATTTGCTTGGTAGATCTTCCTCCATCCTTTTATTTTGAGCCCATGTGTGTCTCTGCACGTGAGATGGGTTTCCTGAATACAGCACACTGATGGGTCTTGACTCTTTATCCAATTTGCCAGTCTGTGTCTTTTAATTGGAGCATTTAGTCCATTTACATTTAAAGTTAATAGTGTTATGTGTGAATTTGATGCTGTCATTATGATGTTAGCTGGTGATTTTGCTCGTTAGTTGATGCAGTTTCTTCCTAGTCTCGACGGTCTTTACATTTTGGCATGATTTTGCAGCGGCTGGTACCGGTTGTTCCTTTCCATGTTTAGCGCTTCCTTCAGGAGCTCTTTTAGGGCAGGCCTGGTGGTGACAAAATCTCTCAGCATTTGCTTGTCTGTAAAGTATTTTATTTCTCCTTCACTTTTGAAGCTTAGTTTGGCTGCATATGAAATTCTGGGTTGAAAATTCTTTTCTTTAAGAATGTTGAATATTGGCCCCCACTCTCTTCTGGCTTGTAGGGTTTCTGCCGAGAGATCCGCTGTTAGTCTGATGGGCTTCCCTTTGAGGGGAACCCGACCTTTCTCTCTGGCTGCCCTTAACATTTTTTCCTTCATTTCATCTTTGGTGAATCTGACAATTATGTGTCTTGGAGTTGCTCTTCTCGAGGAGTATCTTTGTGGCGTTCTCTGTATTTCCTGAATCTGAACGTTGGCCTGCCTTGCTAGATTGGGGAAATTCTCCTGGATAATATCCTGCAGAGTGTTTTCCAACTTGGTTCCATTCTCCCCATCACTTTCAGGTACACCAGTCAGACGTAGATTTGGTCTTTTCACATAGTCCCGTAGTTCTTGGAGGCTTTGCTCATTTCTTTTTATTCTTTTTTCTCTAAACTTTCCTTCTCCCTTCATTTCATTCATTTCATCTTCCATTGCTGATACCCTTTCTTCCAGTTGATCACATCGGCTCCTGAGCCTTCTGCATTCTTCACGTAGTTCTCGAGCCTTGGTTTTCAGCTCCATCAGCTCCTTTAAGCACTTCTCTGTATTGGTTATTCTAGTTATACATTCTTCTAAATTTTTTTCAAAGTTTTCAACTTCTTTGCCTTTGGTTTGAATGTCCTCCCGTAGCTCAGAGTAATTTGATCATCTGAAGCCTTCTTCTCTCAGCTCGTCAAAGTCATTCTCTGTCCAGCTTTGTTCCGTTGCTGGTGAGGAGCTGCGTTCCTTTGGAGGAGGAGAGGCGCTCTGATTTTTAGAGTTTCCAGTTTTTCTGTTCTGTTTTTTCCCCATCTTTGTGGTTTTATCTACTTTTGGTCTTTGATGATGGTGATGTACAGATGAGTTTTTGGTGTGGATGTCCTTTCTGTTTGTTAGTTTTCCTTCTAACAGACAGGACCCTCAGCTGCAGGTCTGTTGGAGTACCCTGCAGTGTGAGGTGTCAGTGTGCCCCTGCTGGAGGGTGCCTCGCAGTTAAACTGCTCGGGGGTCAGGGGTGAGGGACCCACTTGAGGAGGCAGTCTGCCCGTTCTCAGATCTCTGGCTGCGCACTGGGAGAACCACTGCTCTCTTCAAAGCTGTCAGACAGGGGCATTTAAGTCTGCAGAGGTTACTGCTGTCTTTTTGTTTGTCTGTGCCCTGCCCCCAGAGGTGGAGCCTACAGAGGCAGGCAGGCCTCCTTGAGCTGTGGTGGGCTCCACCCAGTTGGAGCTTCCAGGCTGCTTTGTTTACCTAAGCAAGCCTGGGCAATGGCGGGCGCCCCTCCCCCAGCCTCGCTGCCGCCTTGCAGTTTGATCTCAGACTGCTGTGCTAGCAATCAGCGAGACTCCGTGGGCGTAGGACCCTCCGAGCCAGGTGCGGATATAATCTCGTGGTGCGCTGTTTTTTAAGCCCGTCGGAAAAGCGCAGTATTCGGGTGGGAGTGACCCGATTTTCCCGATTTTCCAGGTGCCGTCCGTCACCCCTTTCTTTGATTAGGAAAGGGAACTCCCTGACCCCTTGCGCTTCCCGAGTGAGGCAATGCCTCGCCCTGCTTCGGCTCGCGCACTGTGCGCACACCCACTGACCTGCGCCCACTGTCTGGCGCTCCCTAGTGAGATGAACCCGGTACCTCAGATGGAATTGCAGAAATCACCCGTCTTCTGCGTCGCTCAGGCTGGGAGCTGTAGACCGGAGCTGTTCCTATTCGGCCATCTTGGCTCCTCCCCGCAATATGTTGTTTTAATTGAAGTCTATGAAGAAAATCAAGCCTCACACAGATATGTAGTTGGGAAAAAGAGTGATATGTTAATAATCTGTTCAAATACTTTTGGATATTATTCTTTGGCATTATATCAAAATTCAACAAGTAGTAGTTTCTTAAAGGTTACTTGCAATGTGAAATATAGAAACATCAATCAATTTTTTGTACTCTTTTGCATTAAAATCTACAGGTATGTCTTGAACTTTGAATGGATTTCTTAACTATGAGTGATTTTTAATACCATGAATTAATCATTTGAAAATAATATCAGTTCTGTTATGCAGGCTTTCAAATATTGACACAGATTATTATACAATATCAAAAATCATACTTGTTGATTTCAAGCTAAGACTAGTAAATACAAAAAGTTTCTAAATTCCTAATTTTCACTTGGAACATTGAATTTTATCATTGGGAACAAATACTGTCAGTTGTTTTCCATCAAACTGAAAAACTCCTTCCATTTTTAAGAAAATATCTGCCAACTACCCCAAGATACCCAAGTCTGAATAACCATAATTTTACCATCAGTACCTTTGAAGGTGTTCCATGAACAAAGTGGCTGATTTTGTTCTCAATCACACAAGTGTTTTTCTTTAAACAAGTATCACAGTTTGTTATGCAGCACAATTGCTTTATGCATATTCCCCATTTCACCACAAACAATACTAAAAAATTGTACTCAAGAGTAAATATTTAATAAAATTTTTACTGCTTCATCAAGGACATTTTAAAGCTTTGTTTAAAAACTGTAATTCATAGCAACGAACAAGGCATTAATAACAAGTATAGTTAGGTGCTACTTGTTTCATGCTAAAGATCCAGCAATTTTATACAACATTGTTTTGCTTCATCAGTGCAAATGTTAACACAATGCGTATAAAAATAATTTTGACCTCATTAATCTCTTGAAAGTGTTTCAGGGACCTTCAAGATTCAAAGACCACATTTGCAGAACTGCTGATATAATGGACCAGTGTGGCGTTCCACATACTGTGTCAATGTTTCAGGTCTCTATACTGCATTATAATAGGGGTCAAGAGAGTTAACAGAACTCAAGTTAAAACTCTATAAGTGTATTCTTTTTGTTCCATGTGGATCTAAACTGATTCTGATTTTTCTTTTTGAAATGGCTGGAAATAAATGCATTTTCATTTTGATGGCTTTATATCTCACACTGAAGGCTGTGTTAATCTGCTTCAGAAAAAAAAAATAACATAGCTGGTGCAGCAACAGCAATTGGTGTTACTGTCTGGATAAGTTTACAGTTATCCACTGTCATATACCATTATCTATCCATATTTTTATAGTTGCTAGACTAGTGTCATAAATAGGAATATTCCAGAGACCACCTCCCCCGCCTTCTTTAAGAAGAAAATGGCTTAACCCAAATGATTTACTATAGAAGTATTTTGATATTACACCAAAAATACGGAAACATTGTAAAAAATTGTTTCTGACAATATAAATGTTAGGAAAATCAATAAAGATTAAAAAAATGACCAGGCATGGAGGCTCATGACTTTAATTCTACAACTTTAGAAGGCCAAGGTGGGCACATCACTTGAGCCCGGGAGTTTGAAACCAGCCTGGGCAATGTGGCAAAACTCTGTCTCTACAAAAAACACAAAAGAAGTTCGCCAGGCATGGTGGCATGCACCGGTCATCCCAGCTATTCAGGAGACTGAGGTGGGAGGATCACCTGAGCCCAGGGAGGTGGAGGCTGCAGTGGGCCATGAACATGTCATTGTACTCCAACCTGGGAGACAGAGTGAAACCTTGTCTAAAAAAAAAAATGATGAAAAATGAATAAAGTTGTGGGTGAAGCGACAGTTGATGGCTGTTACATATAGAACAAAAAACCAGTGTGGGGGATCTGCCAACTACCAAGGATGTATAATCCAGTAATACCTTGGAAGATCTTGGAAAACACCATCTGGTTGGTCTGTGGACCCAGTGATTACACCGTGAGCCAAATGCCAGCCAAAACTCTACTTACTATCTGGCTCCCATATGCCTTCATTCTATTAGGAGTATGGAATCAGTTTGGATATCAAAGGATGAATTTCAGTATTTTTGTTTTGTTTCATTCTGTTTGGAGATAGGGTCTTGCTCTGTTCCCCAGGCTGGAGTGCAGTGGCGTGACCTTGGCTCATTGTAGCCTCAACCTCCTGGGCTTAAGTGATCCTCCCACCTTAACCTCCTAAGTAGCTGGAACTGCAGGCGCACACCACCACATCTGGCTAATTTTTGTATTTTTGTGGAGACGAGGTCTCACTGTGTTCCCCAGGCTAGTCTCAAACTCTTGGTCTCAAAGCATCCTCCCACCTTCCCCAAAGTGCTGGGATTACAGGCGTCAGCCACCGTACCTGGCCTAATTTGAGTTTGGATTCTGAATCAAGCAAACCTCAGAAGTTCTGGATGTTCCTCTTACCTAGTACATAGTCACTTGAGTAAAGAGTCTCAGGTCCTGTTGGAAAAGGACTGGGAAAATTACAACTTCATATGTTCCTGGTATTATTAGGTTCTTTCCCTGAAAGATCTGTTATCTACTTTATCAGTCATCTTCAATTAAAAGTCTGAGAATCAATGCAGGTCTAGAAACTGGGCAAAAGATAGAGAGTTGTGGAGGAAGAAGAAGGGTGCCTGGCCTTAACCTCCTGATTATCCATTCTTGATTGGTTTTGGTTGTATAAATTAATCAAAATCCTTGGTAGCTGTCCATCTGTCTTGCCTATAGGAACTCCATACTCTATTTATTATTCTACTGTTTTCTAAATTTTAGACTCCATGTTTGCCACTCCTGTCTTCCTTCTCATTGCGAAATCTACATCTATGTTTCTTCTGTCAATGAAATATCACCTCTTGGTATCTATTATTTAGAGATTCTATCGTTCCCATTTTTATTCAAGAATCCCTGTTCTGTAATGTGATCTCCTACCAGCTGGCCTTCAGAAGACAGTTACCACTGAGCTTCTCAACAATACTGATGTCCTTCTCCACAACACACTCTTTATATTTTGGTAAATGGAGTGTCCAGTGGTCCATCCTTTGGATTATATTTATCTTGCGGGATTTCTAGCTTTCCATATATATTTTCTCAGGCATGCTCAATACACTGAGTCCTTTGTTCCCTTCTTCCTTCATCTTCCGTGGCAGTTCTGGAATTTCTACCTCACTCAATGTGAGCCATAAATTTTCCAGGTACCATCCTAGCAGCTGTTAACATCATCTAGGGTATGTGCCAGGATTTTAAATCTTAATATCATAGTAGAGTGCTTCCATATCCATTAGCTACTGTATCCAAATGTATATTCTTTCACCCTTTGTCAGAGCCCCTTAGGCTACATACTCTGTGTACTCTTCCTGCACCTGCAGATCCTTCAGTAACTTCAATGATAGCCCTTCTTCTCTCTTAGAAATCCCATAGCATCTTTGTCCCAGTTGTGCTGGTATTTGACATTCAGTATTTGTCTGGTTGTCAGAGGGAGTGATGAGAGTAATCCCTGAAGAACAAGAATTATCCTATAAGAAATCTACCCTTTGTCAGCCTCTGTATGACTTCAAGTGGGTAGAAGATACTATCTTGTGAAAAGAGGAAGTGAACAACTTCTGCAGGCCCAGAGAAAATCTAGAAATCTAGAAGTTCAAACTTTTAAATTGCATTGCTCCAGATATTCATGTATCATTATAACAACTATCAGGGTTCTGATCATGGAATAAACCAGAATTCTTTGAAATCTGCTGCTTTTATGATTAGATTCTGAGCCTGGTCCTCTGCTGTCCTTGCTCTTTGGCTGCAGAATCTTGTATAAGAGGACTTTTGGCTTTTGCTTTTTGCTTTTTGCTTTTAATTAGTGATTAATCAGTGTGGTGTTTGCTTTTACATAGAACCATTCACATAAATGTATTGGAGATCTACTATGTGCTAACCACTGCTGATACATGGTGACAAAGACAGACAGGGCTCTGATTGCAAACAAAACAGTATTTTACTTTTTTTTTCTTTTGAGACAGGGTCTCACTCTGTCACCCAGACTGGAGTGCAGTGGCACAATAATGGCTCACTGCAACCTGGACCTCCTGGGATCAAGCAATTCTCCCACCTCAGCCTCTCAAGTAGCTGGGACTACAGGCAAGCACCATGACACTGGCTAAATTTTTTGTATTTTTTGTAAGATGAGGCCTTACCATGTTGCCGAGGCTGGTCTGGAACTCCTGGGCTCAAGCGATCCTCCTTCCTCAGCCTTCCAAAGTGCTGGGATTACAGGCGTGAGCCACCATGCACAGCCTATTTTAACATTTTCGAAGCTGAAGAAACTCAGACTATTTAACTCAAAGGCTGTAACAAAAGAACATCGAGATTGTTAGAAACCTACTTGTGGAACTGAAAAAAATGTGTCCCATTGTTTCACTTATTTTACAAAGGAGACCTCATTCTATCCTGGCATAATCTCTAAGGGCTTTCTTCACTTAAGCTTCCCATCAGGTTTAATAGTGCCTAGTCCCTCTTTCAGGTCCTCAATATAGCCCACACATTTCCCTTTTATCTACCTTCATATTGACAAATTCACACTTGTTTTTAGGTTTAGCTGATAACTTTCTGTTGTTTAATGTTTGTGGTCTTGTAACTAATTGCATATCCCCATTCACTCATATAATATTAAAGAAGATAATTATGCCTCAATATTACTTTCTCTATTATAAAATTTGGCAAAGATATTTCTGATAAAAGAAAAATTTCATTTGTAATTTGAATATTCTTTTAAACATGTTTTTATACCATTTAATAGTATCTAAATAGTAGAAATATCCTATTAGAGGTGTATGTGTTTTAATTTCATAATCATTATAGAAAACACCTATTACAAATTGCTAAGTACAGAAAACAAATTATATACAAATATCTTCATTGCATAAGGATAAATAATGAAAATGTCCAAATTTAGGGGTATTATTAAATTACTCATGGCATAGCCATTAAAAATCTGAGGTTAAATAATTTTAATATCATTTGAAAATGTTTATGACATGAAATTACATGAGGAAATCCTGCTATAAAACTATACGGGTTATCTTTATGATTTTCTTTTAAAATATATACATTCTTGAAGTACATAAAAAGAAAAGCAATTATCTCTAAAACAGGATAATATAATTTTTACATTATTTTAATTTTCTCAGATTTTCTGAAATTAGTTTGCATTACTTTTAAAATCAGGAAAATGTGTTATTTCAAAACTTTTTATTTAAAAAGGTTCTTACTGATATTTGTTCTTGAAGTCCTAAGCCAGTAAGATCTTTAGATAAATTCATTGACACATGTGAGCTGGGGAGAAGGAAACTTCCACATAATTTAAGGGAGTCAATGTGGGAATATTTGAATGACAGAAAAAGCTAGAGCTTATATGAGATTTTGACTAAGACATTATGATTCTAAAAGAAAAAGAAAAACTCTATGTGATATAATTCTGTGTTCAGGGAAAATCACACTATATACTTAGCAATGTATAAGTGAAACAAATTACCTGCTTTAAATTGTCTAACATTACTTTTATTCATATTAACTACAAATGTTATATTTCTCCACAGATTAGTCCATTTGTAAATTGACATTCAATACAATATGTGGTAAAGATCTGCATTTTATTTGTACAGTTTTGAGCATATTTCTTTATCCTAAGAGAAGTCCCAGCTGTTCTTTGCCTATATGCATATACAGCAGCGAACTGCTCATCTTTCATTTAGAACATCCTCTAATCTTTAACCTTTACTGTTATTTAACGCTATTCAATTAATATGCTTAGTCATACATTAGAAATATGTTAAAACTTGAATTAAATGTCTTGGATGAAAGCTTATAACACCACATCCTTTTCTATGAAAGACTTTAATTAATTGAAGTCGGAAAATATTAAATGACTATCAGCATTTTCTATACTATTAAAATTCTTTTGTTTTAGAAATTAGAAAGAGGTATAGTTTGAGATAGTGATCACAGTTATTAGGCATTGGATTCTTACTATAGTCCAGACACAATTAAATGTAACCCTCAATTATTTATCCATTGTCTACTAATATTATTGTGCTAGTATTATATGCCAAGAAATGTGGTAGATTCAAATAGAAATAAGGTGGAAAAGAAAATTAAGTTGGTAATTATAATAAAGTATGATAAGTGCTATAATGAGAAAGTACTGATGATAAAGGCACACTAAGGGCACCAAATCTGTTGAAAAGATTAGGGAAGTAAGAGAATACATGATATTAAACTGAGACCTGAAGAACAGGAACAAATTAGGTAAGCTAAGGGGAAGAGGAATGCTCATGTTATTCCAGGTTCCTGGTGGGGCAAGAGGACACATTTGAAGAGCCAAAAGCATCGTAGCATGAAATCACAATGAAATTAGCTAATTATTGGCCCCTGAAGCTTTTGTTTCTTTCTTTCCTAATAAACTTTAAGCACCATGAGGGCTCATAAAGTTGGTGTATAGTGAAGTGAAAATAAGAACTCAATTGTCAAAGCTGATGTGGTTTCCAGCACAACATTACGCCTCTTAAAAGAAAACCCATGGCCCAGTTCTGAAGCGCAGAGCCAAAGGATGCAGGGAACACTTTATTTCAATTATCTACTGTACCGACTGGACTATCCACAGATTCTCAGAAAAAAAGAAAAAAAACTTCAGTGACTTTGTGAAAGCCCAAATATGAACGTGGAATAACCATTTAATGGCTAATATCATATTAGGCATTGATTTTATTGTTATTAATATTGACCAGAAAAAAAGAGTGAGCATTTAAAACCCCAGCTGGCTCTTGTGAAATCAATTAGCTCCTCCTTAACAAGGAAATGTAGAATCATGTATCCCTCTCCTAACTTACCTGCTTTTCCCCTAATGTTTTTTTATTTTGTTCCTTTCTTACTTTCTTTCGGTGTTATGCATTATTAAGCTGATTGATTCCAGTCTATTTAACTTCTAAAATGTTGCTTTATTGAAAATATTAATTCATATATTTAAGTATATGTGTATCTGTGTATATATTTAATATCACTGGGATAAAATTAAATTAGTCCAAATAAGTAGATAGCTACTCAAGAATTTTAGCTGCTTTAGAATGAACTTAAAAATCTTATTTGGGAATATTATCTCTGAGGAAAAAAAGAAAAAAAATCACTTAGATTTCAGACCAACTAGATGAATAAATCTAATCTTCAAAGTTCTAGAATTAACCTAGGTCTCATGAATTCTTTTTATTCCTTGAAAGTTCATCTGCTTTCACTGTCTTCTATTCTCATGCTAACCAACATTAATCTTTTGGAAAAAAGCTTAAATATAGACCTCTGAAAAAACAAATTCAAGTAGACTGGTAGTTTAGTCATCCTGTCTGTTAAGACCTGGTCAAGCTATGATGTTAATATGAACCTGCTTTCTAATGTCAGTCTTATAAAATGAGAAAGCTAAAGAGAATATAGGGATCATTACAATGATAAGATCATTGGCAAATCAAGGCCTTGAAATTACACTGGTGCAATCTGTGGGACCACTGCCAGGAAGACCGTCAACCCTGAGGCCAGTAGCAATTGTGCCATTTGATGGATCGCAAGCCACTAGAACTATAAATAAATGCTGTTGTTAACATGTTTAGAATGCTTTGAATTCCAGCCCTGAATAGGAATCCCAAATGTATATCCATGTACATTAGAGAGTTCATTGTCTTTAAAATCATTTCAGCCTAAATATGACTGTCTTATTCTCCTCCATGTCAACCTCAAACTTGACCACTAGGTGTTAGACCTTTATTTAATATTATCAAAAATGAAGCAAGAAGGCACGGAAAGACGTATATCACATGTTCCCACTCACATGTAGAAGCAAAAAAATTGATCTCATGGAGGTAGTAAGTAGCATGGTGTTTACCAAAGGCTGAGAAGTATATCAGAGAGAAGGGGTCAAAAAGAGGTTGGTTAATGGGTACAAAAATACAGTTAGAAGGAATACGTTCTAGTGTTCAATAGCACAGTAGGGTGACTAGAGTTAACAATAATTTATCATATATTTCAAAATCACTAGGAGAGAAGATTTTTAATGTTCCCCACACAAAGGAACAATAAATGTTTGAGGTGACAGATATCCCAATTACCCTGATTGGATCATTACACATTGTATGCATATGTGAAAATATCATATGTACCTCATAAATGTGAACAACTATTATTTATTAATTTTTTAAATGGTGGCAATCTCAAATGGTGTCTTTATGAGATATGTATGTACTTTGAGTGAATGAAAGTCATAGATAATACAGTAATAATCTGTGTAAACTCCAAAGCTAAAACTGCTTCTGTCGAAATGGTTTTGTAATACTATATTGTCAAAAATAGTCAATATCAAGAATATAAACTCCTTAATAGTTTTCATTAGGATTAAAACAGGCATGCTGAACAAATTTTTGCTTCACTGAACAACTGAGAAATTCCACAAAATTTCCATTAAAATTTACAGAATATTGAAAGAAACATTGTATTTCTCAGGTTAAAAATTGAAAATCAGATGACATTTATGAACTGTAAACATGCTACTGGACACTAAATCGGCAATGCTTACCTACCAGGGGAAATATCTGTGAACTGAGCATTGGCTAGTTATCGAAAAGAAAACAATCTGTTTGGGCTGTAATGCAAAAAAACTAAACCAGCAATTTCTTTTTCTGAAGCTCAGCTCATTACCTAGCCTTCTGAGGCAGAAAAGTAGATGTAAGTGAATGCTATGAGATTTGGCACAAAGTGGGACTGTGGGATGTTGTGTATTATGACAAGAAAATCTGGGAATATTGCAGAAAACAAAATGCTCTTAATGGTGCAATAAAAAAATCTATAAAACACCGCAATATAAAAATAAGCTGTCTTACATTAACTGGGTGTAATGATGCCAAATGTGGAACTCTGACAGCCTAGGTGGATCTCAAAAAAAATAAAAAATAAAAATAAAAAGATAATCCATCTGAAAGGTAGTAATTTTAACTTGAAGCAAACACATAAACCTTACCGTTAGTGTGAAGAATTACAGGTTGATTTGTTATTTTTGAGAAAAAGTGTTGCAACCTCCTTTGCTTGAGGTAGGGGTGAGAGAGAGAGAGTGTGTGTGTGTGTGTGTGTGTGTGTGTGTGTGTGTGTGTGTTCTATAAGAACAAATGGTGTATAATAGCAGACAGGTAACATTAAAAAATTAAATAAAAGAGAGAAGTGCATTATCTAATCCAGGGTTTCATTAAAACACTAAATTATCTGCATCTGTGAACCTGTTAGCTTTCTCTCCTCTATACTTGATAGACTTTTCAATCCTTGGGTAATTTTCATGGTGGCGATAAATGCAAGCAAAGTGCATGAAAACTCAGCAGCAAGTGCTGGGCCACCTTCGGTGAAAGGCTCCTGGGCCACATCACTGTTCACAACTAAAGAGATGACTAAGTGTTTACTTGGAGTGAATGTTGCAGCACAGGTGGCAGGGACCTTTGGAATTTCTATCCCTGTTCTGGCTGATTTACTTTGATGCCTGTAAGGTGATAGAGAGTACTGCCATGATTCATTAGATGCATTTGAACTTCAAAGAAAGCACAGTGCAACTAGATCAAGACTAGGTTTGGTCTGAGCAAAGAAACACCAAAGAGTAAAGAAAAAAATTAAATGGGAAAATAAATTAGTATTCAGATAATAAATATGGCAGGTAAGTTATTTAATTTTAATGAAATGGAAAGAGATACAGTATCAAAAGGACCAATAATAACAAAAACATAGTTTATTAATTTAAGGCTAAATATTGATTTTTTACTCTGGAAAGGTGAATATGGCTTTAGGTGAAACATTCTTTCTTAAAAACTAACTACGGCGGGAAATACAGTCATACACATCCAAGTAAAGTTTCTAAAATGGCATATGTAATTCCTCAAGTAAAAATGAAACGCAATAACTTTAGCATTACAAATAACTTGTATCATTACGAAAACTTTGTCATTACCACCTGAACTAAAACATTTACTTTCCTTTGTGTATAATGTCCCTGAAAGAAATACTTCACTTAGGTGTTGCCATAAAAAGACGTCATTTTGAAAACTGGCACTGGACACATATGAAAATTTGTCTAAGATAATTCTACATATCTGGGCTAAATAAATATTTGTTTTGCTTAGCAGCATAGCTAGGATAACCAAATTATATGATGAGATCCTAAGCTTCTCCTACCACCCATGGTATAATAGACTAATTTTTAGGAATTGCACAAAGTCTTTTCTCAAAATAATTTTCGTTGGCCTATGATTCATTTAGTGCTGAGAATAAAAACCAAAAGTATACCTCCCATCATAGATCTTACATTACAGCAAATATTTTACCTTGGATAAAAGATATATTAATTACAAATCAAATGTCATCATCTGCTTTCCAATATGAAGGAAATAAACAAGGCGATATGGAGCATTTGTTGGGTTTTCAGTTGTCAATTTAGAATGACTGGTCAAGAAATACGTCTCTAAGAAGGCTACAATTAATAGGGGGCTGAAGGATTGGGAAACAATTATGGATCAAGTCAATAAAAGTGTATTGCAGGAAGAGAAGAAAGTTCAAGTCCAAAGACTAAAATGGGCAAGATTTTTGTCCTTTTGAACAAGAGCAAGGAATTCCATGTACCTAGAGTAAAACGAGCAATGGGGCCGGGGGCAGGCTGTTTCCAGATGAGAACAGGGAGGTAGACAATCACAGGTAACTGGAATATTTTCAATACAGAGTAATATGATCTAACTTACAATTTAACATTCTTAGTATAAATACAGCACACAGGTACACAAATTTCAAAATAAAATATACACTTGCTGATTTATCACAAAGTGATCATATGTGTACACATCACTCCAAAATAGAGGAAGATTGGCAGTAACACAGAAGATTTTCTTATGTTCTCTCTCCTCTGTACACCAGAGGAACCATTATCTTGCCTTTTATTATAAATACTTTCTTGATTTTTCATATGACCTTAACACCTAAGAATACATTCCTAAACATTATATATTGTGTGTTGAAATAAATAAAATAACTTAGTATCTATTCTTTTGTGTCTAGGTACATTTATTCCATGCTATGTTTGTGGAATTTGCTTTTTGTTGGCTTTGGCTTTGGTTTGTTCATCGTCCTTGCTCTGTAGGATTACAGAGATGGAGAGAATCAAAGCAAAGCTGTGGTCCTTGTGAGAGTGCCTGATTCTGATTTTCTTTTATTGCTAAAGCACTGCCATTTGGGGTCCCAACCCAAGACCAGGGACATTTGCCAAGCCCCATACTTTGGTAGACCCTGGACTCAGTCCCATGAGTCTGACAAAAGCACTGTACACTTGATCAACCAACCCTCCTGAAATGAGTGAAAACCCATAAGGCAAGAGTAGCCCACCTCTCCAGATCTCCATCTTTAGCCAGATGGTAACACCATTTTTTTACTCTCTTATTAGTCTTCTAAGCCTTCAAATGTGTGTGTATGTGTGTGTGTGTACACACCTATTCATGTATATATACACAAAGATGCATCTGGAGATGTATATGTATACAGCAGCACAAGTTGTCCACATTGGTAGGATTGGCCCAAATTACCAAGTTCTTATTACAATAAGTAACATTCCCTAATCTATCTTTTTAAAAGATTACTGACTGCTCTTATGAGGATTAATTTAAACAGTAAGATTTGAAGATGGAATGCAAATTAGATCAGTATTGCTGTTGTCTCTGCAGTACATGAAGATGTCTTGACTGGGTATGGTATTTGTGAAAATAGAATGGTTTTTCTTCTAAGTAGAAATCTCATGACTTGCCAATTGTTAGGGTGTGTAGGATATAGAAAATAGAAAAGATAGAGACACCAATGCCCAAGAAAAGTTGCACTGTGGATCAACTATTCTATCCCACTGTTACTATGTAGCCTAGTCAAATGAGATTTTCTTCTTTGGTGTTATTGTTTAACATTTTAATTTAAAAATATATCCCAAGATTTTAGGCTTTGGAAATATATTTATAAGATGATGCATGTTTTAAAACCCATAAAATATCAAAGACTGCAAACAGATAAACTTCAGAAAAAGTGTAATCTTTTATTATTAAAACCATGGCTATTAAAATCCTGTCAAATATATACAAATATATTACAGGCTGTGTGTGCCATATGAAACAGTGATGTTTAATAGTGTAGGAAAGCTAAAATCCAATCTAATCTGCATCCAGTTAGAGGATTTCCTCAAGAAAACCCATCTGGCTCAAAACAAATGTCATCTTTGACTGATAAACCAATGTCTAATGAATTTCTATGCTGAGTGAGTCATTGAATTCAACAGCCATTTGCTCTAGTTGAAATGAGGTACCTTAAAGTTCATTGTTGATGACAGAAATAAGACTATTCAAAACCAGGAAATGGAAAAAGAGTACAGCCATATAGGAGACATTTTTGTGAACGATACACTTGTTAAAACTGGATTCTTCATGTCCTTAAGTAAATCAATATGCTTAATATTAAGATCAAAAGTGGCATGTCTTTAAAAAACCAACAAAAAGATCTAATGTAGAGAGGAAATATAAAACTAAGAGAATATTTAAATTTGACTGCAGGTATTCAGAGATTTATAAGAATACATAACTCCATTAAATGGCTTTATAATGATTAATTACTAATAAAAATAAGCAGTCATTTTCACACAGGGCTTTTAAATGTAGAGTAAGTGATACACTGGGTGATTTTAACAATATCATTGTATGTATCAATGTATGAGTCATATCATTAACCATTTAAGAAAAGTCTGGTTGTTCCAGTTGCACAGTTGATTAGTACACGGTATTTATGATGCCAAGGCTGTAAGTTCATGCCTCACCTAGAGCACTCCCTACAAAAACAAAGTCAGATTGATGAGGGAAAAAAATGAAATAGGAAAAATGAGGTGCACTTTGCTATTGTATGTTAACATTTAAAATCATAGTGACATCTAAAATAGGAAACATTCCTCGAGTCAATTTTTAAAGAAACTCTTTATGTAACGTAGGATTTGAAAATATTGGTGGACTTTGGAAACTACACGGGAGCTCTTTTATAGTATTTTATACTATTTTTTGGTAGATATCTTTCAGAAATCATTAAAGTATGATAACATATTCTTCCGTGTATGTCTGGAAGTAGTTGCTATACAAATATAGTGGCCATCTATCCCGTGTTATAGAGGATCATGCCATTTTAAAATATTTTTATATGGTGCTACATACAAGGTTTTTGCTTTTTTGTATTTTTTTTGTGTTTTGCTTTACTTTAAAGGTTTTTTTTTGCTGAATAACTTTCAGAGAAATAATACCTTGATTAATATAGCTCACTGGCTAGTGCTTCTCAGAAATGAGGAGTGAAGGGCACGCCTTACAGGGATGTGTAACAAAGTGGGAGGGAAGCGGCAGGTGTGAAAGCATTCCTCATGAGTTGATGCACTGTGGCTTCTTTCCCTTTCTTCCAAAACCTCTTCCCCTCATACCCTTTCCTTTTCATTCAGTCAAATGATGTGATTCAGTTTTTTATTAAGAAAATGTTATCACTATGGGTATACATTGTGGGTGAGGGGCGGCTAAAACACAGAAACAGGTTTTCAACTGTTAACTATTGTTCTTGTTGGTCTGCATGAAGCATCTTTGTAGTGTTAAGTTAATTTAGCTTTCTGTATTGCAACAAAACTGCCTTTTCTTCAAAACCTCTCACTAATATATTCTGTAATTTATCTATCCATTCATTTGATATTGAGTCTTTAAAATTTATCAAAAGCTGTTCTAGAAGATTGTGATACATTGGGGAAGGGATTCTTGTTACAGAAATGTAATTCTACATATTAAACAGGCTTTTCTATCTAGGCATTTTTATGTTTACTTTTCCTCTGAAAACTATACATTATAGACAACCTGAAATGATTATGAAATGCCTCTTTTTCTATCTGCTTCTACTTACCTTTCCTCCAATACTCTCCTTCTACTGCCATGCCTCACTATAATTTGATAGATTTGGAATAGAGTTATGAGGATTGGTTACTATTATATAAAATAACATTAAAGTATTGGAACAAATTTACACTCCCACCAACAGTGTAAAGGCATTCCTATTTCTCGACATCCTCTTCAGCATCTGTTGTTTTCTGACTTTTTAATGACACCATTCTAACTGGTATGAGATGGTATCTCATTGTGGTTTTTGAGTTGCATTTCTCTAATGACCAGTGATGATGAGCTTTTTTTCATATGTTTGCTGGTTGCATAAATGTCTTCTTTTGAGAATTGTCTGTTCATATCCTTCACCCACTTTTTGATGGAGTTGTCTGTTTCTTTCTTGTAAATTTGTTTAAGTTCTTTGTAGATGCTGGATATTAGCCCTTTGTCAGATGGATAGATTGCAAAAGTTTTCTGCCATTCTGTAGGTTGCCTGTTTACTCTGATGGTAGTTTCTTTTGCTGTGCAGAAGCTCTTTAGTTTAATTAGATCCCATTTGTTAATTTTGGCTTTTGTTGCCATTGCTTTTGGTGTTTTAGTCATGCAGTCTTTGCCCATGCCTATGCCCTGAGTGGTATTGCCTGGGTTTTATGGCTTTAGGTCTTACATATAATGCTTTAATCCATCTTGAGTTAGTTTTTGTATAATGTGTAAAGAAGGGGTCCAGTTTCAGTTTTCTGCGTATGGTTAGCCAGTTTTCCCAACATCATATATTAAATAGGAAATCCTTTCCCCATTGCTTGTTTTTGTCAGGTTTGTCAAACATCAGATGGTTATAGATATGTGGTGTTATTTCTGAGGCCTCTGTTCTGTTCCATTGGTCTATATATCTGTTTTGGTACCAGTACCATGCTGTTTTGGTTAATGTAGCCTTGTAGTATAGTTTGAAGTCAGGTAGCGTGATGCCTCCAGCTTTGTTCTTTTTGCTAAGGACTGTCTTGGCTATACAGGCTCTTTTTTGGTTCTATATGAAATTTGAAGTAGTTTTTTCTAATTATGTGAAGAAAGTCAATGGTAGCTTGGTGGGAATCACACTGAATCCATAAATTACTTTGGGCAGTATGGCCATTTTCACAATATTGATTCTTCCTATCCATGAGCATGGAATGTTTTTCCATTTGTTTGTATTCTTTCTTCTTTCCTTGAGCAGTTGTTTGCAGTTCTCCTTGAAGAGTTCCTTCAAATCCCTTGTAAGTTGTATTCCTAGGTATTTTATTCCCTTTGTAGCAATTGTGAATGGGAGTTAACTCATGATTTGGCTCTCTGTTTGTCTATTATTGGTGTATAGGAAAGCTTGTGATTTTTGCACATTGATTTTGTATCCTGAGACTTTGCTGAAGTTGTTTTTCAGCTTAAGGAGATTTGGGGCTGAGATGATGGGGTTTTCTAAATAAACAATCATGTCGTCTGCAGCCAGAGACAATTTGATTTCCTCTCTTCCTATCTGAATACCCTTTATTTCTTCCTCTTGCCTGATTGCCCTGGCCAGAGCTTCCAATACTATGTTGACTAGGAGTGGTGAGAGAGGGCATCCTTGTCTTGCACCAGTTTTCAAAGAGAATGCTTCCAGATTTTGCCCATTCAGTATGATATTGGCTGTGGGTTTATCATAAACAGCTCTTATTATTTTGAGATACGTTTCATCAATATCTACTTTATTGAGTGTCTTTAGCATGAAGTGGAGTTGAATTTTATTGAAGGCCTTTTCTGCATCTATTGAGATAATCATGTGGTTTTTGTCATTGGTTCTGTTTATGTGATGGTTTACGTTTATTGATTTGTGTATGTTGAACCAGCCTTGCATCCCAGGGATGCAACTGACTTGACTGTGGTGAATACGCTTTTTGAAGTGCTGCTGGATTTGGTTTGCCAGTATTTTACTGAGAATTTTGGCATCCATATTCATCAGAGATACTGGCCTGAAATTTTCCTTTTTGTTGTGTCTCTGCCAGGTTTTGGTATCAGGATGATGATGGCCTCACAAAATGAGCTAGGGAGGAGTCCCTCTTTTGCTATTGTTAGGAATAGCTTCAGAAGGAATGGTACCAGATCTCTTTGTACCTCTGGTAGAATTCAGCTGTGAATCTGTCTGGTCCTGGGCTTTTTTTGGTTTGTAGGTTATTAATTACTGTCTCAATTTCAGAACTTGTTATTGATCTATTCAGGGATTCGACTTCTTCCTGGTTTAGTCTTGGGAGGGTGTATGTGTCCAGGAATTTATCCATTTCTTCTAGTTTTTCTAGTTTATTTGCGTAGATGTGTTTATAGTATTTTCCGATGGTAGTTTGTATTTCTGTGGGATCAGTAATGATATCCCCTTTATCATTTTCTATTGTGTCTATTTGACTCTTCTCTCTTTTCTTCTTTATTAGCCTGGCTAGTGGTCTATCTTGTTAATCTTTAAAAAAAAAAAAAAAAAAAAAAACAGTCCCTGGATTCACTGATTTTTTTAAAGGTTTTTTGTGTCTCTATCTCCTTCAGTTCTGCTCTGATCTTAGTTACTTCTTGTCTTCTGCTAGCTTTTGAATTTGTTTGCTCTTGCTTCTGTAGTTCTTTTAATTGTGAAGTTAGGGTGTCCATTTTAGATTTTTCCTGCTTTCTCATGTTTGGCAATTCCTCAGGGATCTAGAGCCAGAAATACAATTTGACCCAGCAATCCCATTAGTGGCTATATACCCAAAGGATTATAAATCGTTCTACTATAAAGACAGATGCACACATATGTTTATTGCAGCACTATTCACAATAGCAAAGATTTGGAACCAACCCAAATGCCCATCAATGATAGATTGGATAAAGATAATGTGGCACAAATATACCATGGAATACTATGCAGCCATAAAAAAGAATGAGTTTGGCTGGGCATGGTGGCTCACGCCTGTAATACCAGCACTTTGGGAGGCTGAGGTGGGTGGGCCACAAGGTCAGGAGATTGAGACCATCCTGGCCAACATGGTGAAACCCCGTCTCTATTAAAAATACAAAAATTAGCTGGGCATGGTGGCACACACCTGTAGTCCCAGCTACTCAGGAGTCTGAGGCAGGATAATTGCTTGAACCTGGGAGGTGGAGGTTGCAGTGTGCCGAGATTGTGCCTCTGCACTCAAGCCTGGTGACAGAGATTCTTGTCTGAAAAAAAAAAAAAAATGAGTTCATGACCTTTGCAGGGACATGAATGAAGCTGGAAACCATCATTCTCAGTAAACTAACACAGGAATAGAAAACCAAACACTGCATGTTCTCACTCATAAGTAGGAGTTGAACAATAAGAACATATGGTCACAGGGAGGGGAATATCACACACACTGGGGCCTGTCTGGGTTGGGGGGCTAGGGTAGGGATAGCATCAGAAGAAATACTTAATGTAGATGATGGGTTAATGGGTGCAGCAAACCACCATGGCACATGTATACCTATGTAGCAAACCTGCATGTTCTGCACATGTATCCGAGAACTTAGAACATAATAATAATAATTTTTTAAAAAGTCTTGGAACCAGGTGGATGGAGGTTTGAAGGTTGGCATATTTATTTACTGGAAAGCAAGAGTATGCTCAAAATTTTGAGATAGTTGTATTGAAAATAAACTATCACAGAAAACCTATCTATTAAAAAAAAAATAGGTGAGTCTCCAGGATCCATAGCTCCAAGCTCAGGCAGGAAACAGATATAAGGAAAGATTTAAAGTACAAAGGACTTTGAATAGACTCTTGTTAAACAAATGCAGATTTTAGGCTTTGGAGAATTATAATTCAAACACACTTTTGGCCCCCGAAGCTCCTTTAAGAACTAAAGGAAACAATGTTTATTCTTCCATAATTATAAATAAAGAAATCTAACATAGAAAGCTCTGATTGAATAAACATTTATTTGAGATTGAATTTCTGTCAAAATGGTTATCAGACAATGATGGTTACATATTGCTAACTAAAAGCAAACATGTTACCAAATAGGCCATTTTGTATGATTTCCTTTCTATAAAGTAAAATTGCATATTTTGTATACATATATTATTCTCATATTCAGTAGATATCGATAGAGAACCTACTATGTGCCAGAAACCAGTCTACATGCTGGGGAAACAGTGATGAGGTGAGAGAAGTAAGAGCCTTTCATAAAGCTGCTTCTAGGGGAAGGAAAAATACAACAAAGGAAGAAGTTTGATACCTGTTGATGGATGCCCTTCCTCAATTGTTGGTTCATCTCCATTTGGAAAAATTTCGGGAACCTTTCTAATTTAGACTGCATTAGGTCACTCTTTCTGCTTAGCCTCTTTTGAACTCCAACAAGACTCTCCAAAACCCAGGCTAAATCCTATGTAGTCTGTATTTTAAATGGTCACTTATCTGATTATCTCATTAAACTAGTGAGTCACTTGAAAGGCAGTTCTAGTCTCATTCAAAACTATATCCCCAGGGCCATCCCATATAATATATTCAATAATCTTTGAGTGGTCAGATAATAGGTTGCAACAAAATGTATTAACTGTTTTTGAGGAAGTTCTATAAAAAGAAAAGAAAGCTAAAGTCTATATTTGGTTAATTACAATAAACTGATGTCAGGACAATGAAACAAGTATTTTTATTAGCCCTATAAACTTTAGCTGAATAAACTTGCACTTCCTCCGAATGTTTCTCTCACCTTATACTGTTTGCAATATTCCAACAGTTCTGACTTCTCAATTTATTCATTTGGCCAAGTATGGTAATCTTTATATCATAGTGGCTATCACTGGGCCAATGCAGGGTCTCCATGCTTGGTGAAGTTAGGGATAGTGGATAGTCATCTTTGACTCTCTAAGGAATGCTTCAGAATGTGATAGAATATGGCCCCTCTCCAAAGATGACTGCATCCTAATCTTCAGAATCTATGAATACATTATGTTACATAGTAAGGGAGAATTGAGGTTGCAGATGGATAAGGTGGCTAACCAAAAGATTATCCTGGAATATCTGGGTGGGCCCAATATAATCCTAAGGGTCTTTATAAGTGGAAGACACTCAGAAGGAGGACCAGACAGATGACAGGGTGACACTGAGCCAAACATTGCTGCCTTTGAAGGGGGCCATGAGCCATGCAATACAGATGGTTACTAGAAGCTGGAAAAGGCAAAGGAATGGATTATTCCATTGAGCCTCCAGAAAGAAATGGAGCTTGCCAACACTTTGATTTTAGCCGAGAGAGACCTCTTGTTGACTTTTGAACTCCAGAACAAAAAGATAAGAAATCTGTGTTGCTTTAAGCCACTAAATTAGTAGCAATTTATTTCAGCAATAGAAAGCAAACAAAAATGAGGAGGGCAAGAAAATCAGACTGTACAAAGTCAGAGAGGAAGGTTGTAAAAGACTCAGCAAGAAGAACATAAGGACTTTGAAATGTATTCCAAGTGCAGCAGGAAGCCATTGGAGGGTTTCAAACTGGAGAGTTTTTAAAAGTAAACTCCATCTAGCCTGTGAAGGATGGATTATAGGCATGCCTAGAGGATATCACCTAGAAAAAGAATGCGGATAGAAAAGAGAAGGCAGCCAAGGAAGAGATGAGGCACAGACACAGAAAAATTACCGGAAGGGCAAACCATATGTTACCATTAGTTATTTTTGGTGATGACATGACAGATGATTTATGTGTTTTTTATTTATTTCTTTCTGTCTTACAAGTTTCTTTATTGAGTACATTTTACATTGTGGTTTTTTTTAAATAACAATAAATGGCATAACATATGGAGAATAAATCAGACACAGGTATGTTAGTTCCTATTTTGTAAAGAAAGAAGACAAAGAATAACCCAGCAATGCAATAGAAAACAGAAGTCATTGGAAGATCTTAGTTGCATTTGTTTACCTTCATCTAGGCAGGTACAAATAGAAGCTGGGCACTGGGATATTTTTATCATGCACCTGCAAATTCAGGTAAACTGTTCTTCTTGACATGATTTCTGCAGAGCTTTCCTGCTTTTATGTGAGTGAATTTATAAAAGAAACTTTATTCCCAAATTATTCAATAATTGAAATTTTGTTAACATAATGCATGTATTAAACTGACCATGTTCATATTTAACAAATAGCAATATCTGTAAGTAAAATATAAAGAATATAATTTTTATACATGTACTCAAAGGATATGTCAATATGTATCCAGTGAATCTTTCTTTTCCCTCTTTCTCTCTCTCATCCTAAGAATGATTTACAGGCAGTAATTTTAGTTTCCTCAGTCTCTGAATTGGCCATCCAGAGAAGCCCAGAATACTGAATGACTCATTTATGACCTGGCATTTTGCATCATGTAGAAATGGCCAATATGAAACAGGTAGTGGTCAAACCTCTGTTTATTTGTCTTGTTCTTTCTTTAATAAAGAGTAGCCACTGTCAAAGCCAGCACCTCTGAAAAACTGATTTCAAAAACAGAAGCCTCTCATTTCATGGCTTCAAATCAGACAGCAGCAGGTACACAGAGGCACTCTGTAAGTGCAGATAGGTTAAATGGTTTTCTTGGGGTAGCAGCACAATTCATCCATAAGTAAGACCACCCCAGGATCTGAATTAGAATGAGCCATTTAATAAAATGTGGTCTCACCTGCTGGTTTAAGGATTGATACTCCCAAAGACGGAATGGTATAGATTTCTATAAAAATTAGTTTCCTATTTGGGGGCTCAAAAACACTGCTAAAATATGCCTTTTATTTTGTGACAATTGATAAAGAAACAAATAACCAGGTTTGAATTGTAGTCAATCCGAGATGTGAATATGAGCAGATACAGTTCAGCTGACACAGAATGGGAGTATTGCTGTGACACTTTTCACAGCTTGAATACACATAAAATACTGTGAGAAAGGCAGCCTCACCTTGTTCCACATTCTGAGTCAGTGCTGACCATGCAGCGCCATTTTGCAAGAGAAGACCCCGTAGGAAGGAGAAAAGATGACATAAATAATCATGTCATATCCACCATAGATGAAAACGCGTAAATGAGAAAAGTTCTTACAGAAAGGGACACTTGAATTTAAACCTTAAAATTTGTATTTTCCCAAAAGACATTCACAATTATTTCTTTAAACCCAAAAATAAAATCACTTTTCATGAACAGAGCAAATAAATTGTTGTATTTTCTGCTGCTTTCCATACCAGTGCTAAAAATAACATTCACACTTTAAAAGGAAGCATGTGTCCTTCAGATATTGTGCCTTTTTTGTGAAAAAAAAATTGAAAAGGAGGTAAACAGTAGAAGCTACTAACAGCTTCCAGAAGTTACCCCATCTGAAACTCCTGATATTACCTCCTGCTTCTCTATGCCAATGTTTGCCTTGTTGTCTAAAATGACAACTAGAGCTGATGATTAAAGAAGCAAAATGTTCAGGGCAACAAGATCTTTGCCGCATAGGGTTCATGATATCTCACTCATAATGGTGGTATTTTCTGCTTTCATTGAATAATTCTGTTGGATGCATTCCTGGTATTCACTGTAAAAATCTATAAAAATTTTCTGAGAATAAAATTTTAAATTTGGGACTTTTGTCTGGGTCCTGTAAAAGTGATTACATTGAAAAATTTTCCCATCAAAACAAAAATGTCAGAAAGAGTTCAAGCTTCTATTAGAGATCAGGTCCTCAGAACCTCAAAAACTGTAGATTCCCTATAATAAAGATAGGAGAATTCACTGATTTCTGAACGAAACCAATTTTGGGATTACCAAGGAAAGAGCCAAAATCTGAGAAGATATTTTAGACCTCATTTTACTTCAAGCAGTGCAGTCTCATGGCTACTTAAAGCATAAATAAAATTCTTTCCTATATCTGGGTCAAAAATGAAGAAATCCCTTGAATTTGCAAGAAAGGAAGTTGCTTAATATTTCATCTCCCTATACTTAACTTTGAATAGCATCTGCCTGTTTTTAGATAGCATGATACTTTGCCAATTCCTCCCTAATACTTTAATGGTAGCACCATGGATCTGCTGTTCATGGCCATTGTACTTGGCCTTACTTACGTCATAGCTCATCCAAGTATCTATCAGTCTAACATTCTCTTTTTTTTTTTTTTTTTTTTTGAGACGGAGTTTTGCTTTTGTTGCATAGGCTGGAGTGCAGTAGCATGACCTCGGCTCACTGCAACCTCTGCCTCTTGGGATCAAGTGATTCTCCTGCCTCAGCCTCCCAAGTAGCTGGGATTACAGGCGTGTGCCACCACACCTGGCTAATTTTTGTATTTTTAGTAGAGATGGGGTTTCACCAGGTTGGCCAGGCTTGTCTCGAACTCCTGAGCTCAGGTGATACACCCACCTCAACCTCCCAAGTGCTGGGACTACAGGCGTGTGCCACCATGCCTGGCCAACATTCTCTACTTAAGTCCGTAATAGCAGGCCATTCCTCTACCTAACTCTCAGAATATATGGTGCCTGTTGCTACCTGTGGTAAACTATATTATTGTCCACAGAGATGTTTTCTTGACAGGAGACAGTTATCTTTGCTTGTATGACCTGTTGACATTCATCATGGCATGAGACTCTTCACCTAATAGCATGTGAAGAGTAGTTAGTGTCTCCTCTGGGAAGAAGCTTTAAGAGCTAACATGTGGTTGGTATGTCATTTCCTTCCACATCACAACCACCAACAATAATCAGGTAGAGGGTACCGAGGCAGCCTGAGTCTGAGGGAAGGAAAGATGAAGCCAATTGACAACTCAGCTTTGATGGACGTGAGCATCAGTGAAAAATAAAACTCCATGGTTGTAAACCACAAACACATTGGGGTTCTTTGTGTGCAGGATAACCTAGCTTTTTGTGAGTGGTATTGTATCTCTCTCTCTCATAATTTATAGGCTTTCAGGCTATAAGTGAAGTCTACACTAGATAAGCAAATTGGAAAAAAAACAAATAAAAATTTCAATCAGTCATTCTCTGGAATTCAATTATATGTCTTTCATCAAGAGGGATAAGAAATGTTATTTTTACTCTTTTGTTTTCCAGATCTCTTTCTAGGTCTTAAATCCATTGAAACTCTGAAGTTGCTTGGAATGAGGCACACAGCTTTTCCTCCAGAGCCTGGTTGGGCTTTGAGGTCAGGTTCCTGCAGTTTGTCTGTGAACATAGACAAGAAGTTGGTTGCAACCCTTTAAACTGGTGGTTGCATGTTGCCCATGTTGTATGACAAATCTGTAGACTTGCTACATATATTTTGGGTTGGAATATAGCATTTGATTTTGCCTACATCTTGAGTGTCAAGTAATGAGTTTGTAGTTCAGGTTAACCACCTGAAGTAACAAGCATGAAAGGCAGAAATATGCTACTGTTTTTTCCTCTTACTAATGATGATATTTGATTTGCAAAGTTCCGTTTGCCTTTACCAAGGTGTTTGTTTAGAATAGGCTAAGGACATGTTTCTCAAACCACATTTACCCCCATAGAATTGCTTTCATTAGGGTTTTGTGTTTTTTTTTTTTTTTTTTTGGTCCATGTCTGATTTATGTTTGCCTTATTTATTTTAAAACAATAGTGATAAGTAAAGAAAGGGACTTTTAAAAAATGAAACCAAGATGGTTATTTTTTAATAGTATTATTCTTCTTTATTATGGCATAGTGCTATGAATTAGGTAGAAATTTATAACACATTATTCTTTCAAATCACTGATGACAAAAATATGTACTGATTTAATGTGTGTTATTAGACAATATACATCATCTTCTAAATAGAATGTGTAAATGTTATGCTTATTTTTTAAACAAGATTTTAGTGTAGTGTATAACATGAATGTATACTCAGCAAATATGTTATTATTGTTCAGAAACTGCCAATATTATATTTGTGAAATGTCTTTAAATATATTTGCTTTAGGTTTTAAGCATTTTACTTTTATTGATAAATTTTCACTGTATTTCTCTAATTAGAGTCAAGGATCACTCTATTTGTCTCATTACTAATGTTGCCCTTTTCACACCCTGGAGAAATATTTAAAATTAGGTGGTTTTTTTCAAGCACGAGTCACCAATGCAACATTTCAAAATAAATTTCCAAGATATGTACACTAAATATTGAGTTTAATATTAAGTCGATCAATTGCCTTCAAATCTATAGTCATTTTTAAAGCCTCATTCTATAATAAACAATATGTCTTGGGAAAATTAGGAGAAATCTGTTCTTACATTCTGAAAAAGTATGCCAAAGAACAGCATGCTACAAACAGTATTCCAAAACTCTGTCGTTGTCACATCATTCTGTATTGCTGTATGTGCTAAAGGCTAAGTTTTGGCTGAGGCCCAGTCCATGTGGATGCTATCACAAGCCTTCCACTCAAGAGCAACAGTGCATATGGGTGTGGGCTGTTCTTTCTGATAGCAGAACCAGACTGACCCACCACAACACGTCAAGGAACCTCCTGTTTGGATGCGTCTGTCTGTGGGGAGGTTTCCAGCTGGTCTATTTGCTATACATTTGGATGCTTTCATGTAAACAATGAAAACATTGAGGGAATTGCCCATGGAGTCTGACTAACAATCAAAGGCTGACTTGAGCTACTCTACAAGGACAAAATGATGAAGGCAAAGAGTAGGAATAAGGGGTGTAAGGTGGATGGCCAAGGGGAAAACAAAGAAAATCAGGAAAAACTTTGCAAGGGAGGAAAAGGAGAGAGTAATGAATGATTAAAAGTGAAAGAAGCACTTTATTCCTGGGACTCTTAAGTTGGCCAGAAGTAAATGACAGCAATTGTCAATTAGGCATAACTACTAGAAATATATCTTTGCAATCAATACCTGAGTGAGTTCTTTTTAAATTGAGGAATTTGAATTCAGTATATGAAATATAACACAGAAATGACACTAAAATTTATTTAAAAATAAACACTGTGATCCTTTTCTCCCAGGTTGCAGCAGTATAGAGCTATATCAGTAAAAAAAAAAAAAAAAAACTCAGGGTAGTTTGTTTCTTTTTTTTTTTTTTTCTTTTAACAAAAAAAAAAAATTAAAAAAAAAAAAACAGATTATCAAGAATTCTAGAAACCCTGAAATTCTGCCTGATCAGTTCAGGTAGTTCAAAGTATAATTTCTTATATACAAGAAAACATGGTCTTTCTGGCTCCAATAAGATACTACTTGCCATTGCTTCTAGTTCTAATTTTAACAATATAAGAACCATAAGCATCTCAAGAAGCTATTTGCAGAGAAACCTTGCACTATTCCTGAAGCATCATAGCCTTGGCTGGTTCTGTCATTCCTCTCCATTATATGGTCCAGTGTATTCCAACAGGACTAATGTGGAAATGAGGCAGTATCAAGGGAATAATTATGTTTAAAAATCTCACCTTTTAGATAAACTTCACAATGACTTCTGTGAGGGCAGGCTGTCCTTCTATTAATTAAAATTGTTAAAATGTCTTAGATCTAAACATGTTCATGAAATATTAAATGGTAATTGGACACCAACTTCTGGAAAGCTCCATTTCAGGACCCATGTGTTCAGAGATACTTTTCTATTTTCCATCTTCATGACTCCTCACCTAGTTTAAGAACATGCTTAACTTTAAAGCTTTGATTGAAGTCTATCAGTTGTCTGTGTATTCCTGTTGAGGGTCTAATATCACATTAACCACAGATACTACTCTTGTATTTATAGTGACACAGTTTCATTATCAGTCATGTAGACCGTGCGGTAGAAATAAGTAAAAGACAACTATAGGAAAATAAGTTCATATTAATTCAACAAATCTTCATTGTGCATTTACCAAATGCCAACCATGATGAAAATCATTTAGAACAACTTAGAAATTCCTAGAAATTTTCTATTAAAAATTCTAGATATAAGAAAAAGTAGCATCACAAACCCGATTTCATTGAGATAAAGCTAATCTTAACAGAAGAGATACACTGAAATGTAGAACCCGAGAACCCATTAAAATGTTTTAAAAGGACAGATGGTAGAGGGATCAATAAAATCTTAAACCCTCTAGTTTCAATTTTTAAAATCAGATATATTCAACATGCTCAAAACCTAAATTTTATTCTGTTATGTTGGAATTCTAGAGTCTTTAGGGTCTGATTAATAATTCTGTAATAATAAGTTCACAAATCTGCTTTTCTAATGGACAAAAATACTGTAGTTTACATCACAGTCACAGAATTTTAATGCTGAAAGAAATGGTAGAGATCACATGGGCCTGCTTTTCCCCCACCCCCACATACACCAAAAATAACACGTTTTGTTGTAAAAGTTAATATGTGTATATATATCACCTTATATAGGAAGATGTGACCAATAGGAAAGGTAATGTAAGTGGCGAATGTGTTGGTTGCAGGTGAAAAAATGTCATATTGTTCATGCCTTTTTGTCCATTGAAACATTTTTCTAAAACCATCTTAGGTTGTTGGCACATATTTTATAATTCTAATAATAACCAAAATATGTTAAGTTATAATATGCTTATGTATTTATAACTACAGTTATTGAAACACAGTCTGGAATCTCAGAAATTATCCAGACATTTAATGTTCCATAAATTTAGGAAAGTTTCCTATCCAGAAAGACTTGAAAAACATGTATTTTATAGCATATTTAAAGGACTGCAAAAATGAGAATTTAGGGCAAAGAAAAGTACTGAGTATAAGTAACAAAGTCAGATATAAGTTCACAAGCAAACTTTTCCATTATGTGACTATTTACCCAATTCCTAATTCAGACATATTTCCCATTTTAAAATAGCGATAGTTAACCATAAGAGATTCTAACATCCAATTCCAAATCTTGATTTATCTTACATCCTTTAGAGCAGACTTTAGTACCCAAGTAATACATTCTCTGTATTCTTTCACTATTCAAAGTTTAGATGCCAAAAAATTGATATCGTCACCATGCTAACATGTGAAGCTATATGGCGTGTCTTCAGTTATAAATACTCTGCCCTTCCAAAGTATTATGCCCTCTCAGTGAGGCACATTTTTCAGACGGATAGGAAGTGAAATGACATAGCCCTGGGCAAGGCTGACTCACAGGTGTTGTGTGAAATCTATAAGATAGATTTCATGTAGGGCTTCCCTAAAATTTCTTTATGGTTACAGACAGCCGCTGGTTGAGGAGAATGCTTGGTTGTACACTGGCATTAATTATAAATAATGATTTCTGACATTGCAAACTTTGTGAGTCAATAGGCAAGGAGATCTCCAGCCTTTAATTTCTGTCACCTTCTAAAGGGAGTTAGAAAACAACTACAACAAAAACCTATACTGATCTATTGATGCATACAATTTCTAGTAATAGAGAAAAGGTAGATCCAAACACAGGGTTTTCTTTGTATTTTTTTAAGCACAAAGAAGATGTGATATTTAAGTATTTGAACCTACTCCAAAAATGCTGACTGCCATTAGGGATTTTAAGGCCAAGGATTTCTCAAATATGCTAAATATGGATTTGTCTCATAACTGTGTTCTTTGTTTCTCTAAATCATTTATATAACATCTTCCTACATACATAGATGTACCTTCCAAAAATATATTTCATAATTGTTTTCAAATATAAAAAGCATTTCATATCTATCCTTTGGCACATATTAGTGTCCAATTAATATACAATGTGAATTATCAGGTGCAGTTTAGTACAACCTTCAGTGAGCCCAGCCCAACTGATACTTCATCCATGAAGTAGTCTGTGAGACTTTCAGCTGAAAATAATATTTTATTGGCTTTTGCTAAATCAGTGTATATTTAATTTTAGGCTTTTTTGTCTTCACTCAGACTTCTGCACTTGTAATGCCTTGAGAAAGATGAACAGGATGAGCAGCTGAAACACCAGTGAAAAGGGCATTTCTGTATGAGACATTTACTTACTACATCCTCCCACCTCTTTGCTCCAATAGTAATTTGTAGCCCCTCTATTAGAGCAGTAATTGTGGCAGACTCAATCAGTGACTTGCCTCTGCACAAGCTAGTAAGTTGCACGTCTTTTTCAACTTTGTAGCACCCACCTAATGGCAGTATATTTTAGGAGCCCTGCTAGGGCAGAGTATACCTATATGGTCAAATCAATGAGATGCATATATTAGGAAATAGGAGTAAATCATGTTATTTTTGATTCAATGTAAAGAAATAATGGTCTCTAAGGATGCAGAGTGAGAAAATATCACTCACTAAGTAAGGTTTAGCAGTATAATTTTCCAATACATTTCTTTTTTTTATTATTTTTTTATTTTTTTATTATTATACTTTAAGTTTTAGGGTACATGTGCACATTGTGCAGGTTAGTTACATACATATACATGTGCCATGCTGGTGTGCTTCACCCACTAACTCGTCATCTAGCATTAGGTATATCTCCCAATGCTATCCCTCCCCCCTCCCCCCACCCCAAAACAGTCCCCAGAGTGTGATGTTCCCCTTCCTGTGTCCATGCAATCTCATTGTTCAATTCCCACCTATGAGTGAGATTATGCAGTGTTTGGTTTTTTGTTCTTGTGATAGTTTACTGAGAATGATGGTTTCCAATTTCATCCATGTCCCTACAAAGGACATGAACTCATCATTTTTTATGGCTGCATAGTATTCCATGATGTATATGTGCCACATTTTCTTAATCCAGTCTATCATTGTTGGACATTTGGGTTGGTTCCAAGTCTTTGCTATTGTGAATAATGCCACAATAAACATACGTGTGCATGTGTCTTTATAGCAGCATGATTTATAGTCCTTTGGGTATATACCCAGTAATAGGATGGCTGGGTCAAATGGTATTTCTAGTTCTAGATCCCTGAGGAATCACCACACTGACTTCCACAGTGGTTGAACTAGTTTACAGTCCCACCAACAGTGTAAAAGTGTTCCTATTTCTCCACATCCTCTCCAGCACCTGTTGTTTCCTGACTTTTTAATGATTGCCATTCTAACTGGTGTGAGATGGTATCTCATTGTGGTTTTGATTTGCATTTCTCTGATGGCCAGTGATGGTGAGCATTTTTTCATGTGTTTTTTGGCTGCATAAGTGTCTTCTTTTGAGAAGTGTCTGTTCATGTCCTTCGCCCACTTTTTGATGAGGTTGTTTTTTTCTTGTAAATTTGTTTGAGTTCATTGTAGATTCTGGATATTAGCCCTTTGTCAGATGAGCAGGTTGCAAAAATTTTCTCCCATTTTGTAGGTTGCCTGTTCACTCTGATGGTAGTTTCTTTTGCTGTGCAGAAGCTCTTTAATTTAATTAGACCCCATTTGTCAATTTTGTCTTTTGTTGCCATTGCTTTTGGTGTTTTAGACATGAAGTCCTTGCCCATGCCTATGTCCTGAATGGTAATGCCTAGGTTTTCTTCTATGGTTTTTATGGTTTTAGGTCTAACGTTTAAGTCTTTAATCCATCTTGAATTGATTTTTGTATAAGGTGTAAGGAAGGGATCCAGTTTCAGCTTTCTGCATATGGCTAGCCAGTTTTCCCAGCACCATTTATTAAATAGGGAATCCTTTCCCCATTGCTTGTTTTTGTCAGGTTTGTCAAACATCAGATAGTTGTAGATATGCAGCGTTATTTCTCAGGGCTCTGTTCTTTTCCATTGATCTATATCTCTGTTTTGGTACCAGTACCATGCTGTTTTGGTTACTGTAGCCTTGTAGTATAGTTTGAAGCCAGGTAGTGTGATGCCTCCAGCTTTGTTCTTTTGGCTTAGGATTGACTTGGCGATGCGGGCTCTTTTTTGGTTCCATATGAACTTTAAAGTAGTTTTTTCCAATTCTGTGAAGAAAGGCATTGGTAGCTTGATGGGGATGGCATTGAATCTGTAAATTACCTTGGGCAGTATGGCCATTTTCACAATATTGATTCTTCCTACCCATGAGCATGGAATGTTCTTCCATTTGTGTGTATCCTCTTTTAGTTCCTTGAGCAGTGGTTTGTAGTTCTCCTTGAAGAGGTCCTTCACATCCCTTGTAAGTTGGATTCCTAGGTATTTTATTCTCTTTAAAGCAATTGTGAATGGGAGTTCACTCATGATTTGGCTCTCTGTTTGTCTGTGGTTGGTGTATAGGAATGCTTGTGATTTTTGCACATTGATTTTGTATGCTGAGACTTTGCTGAAGTTGCTTATCAGCTTAAGGAGATTTTGGGCTGAGACAGTGGGTTTTTCTAGATATATAATCATGTCATCTGCAAACAGGGACAATTTAACTTCCTCTTTTCCTAATTGAATACCCCTTATTTCCTTCTCCTGACTAATTGCCCTGGCCAGAACTTCCAACACTATGTTGAATAGGAGTGGTGAGAGAGGGCATCCCTGTCTTGTGCCAGTTTTCAAAGGGAATGCTTCCAGTTTTTGCCCATTCAGTATGATATTGGCTGTGGGTCTGTCATAGATAGCTCTTATTATTTTGAAATATGTCCCATCAATACCTAATTTATTGAGCGTTTTTAGCATGAAAGGTTGTTGAATTTTGTCAAAGGCCTTTTCTGCATCTATTGAGATAATCATGTGGTTTTTGTCTTTGGCTCTGTTTATATGCTGGATTACATTTATTGATTTGCGTATATTGAACCTGCCTTGCATCCCAGGGATGAAGCCCACTTGATCATGGTGGATAAGCTTTTTGATGTGCTGCTGGATTCGGTTTGCCAGTATTTTATTGAGGATTTTTGCATCAATGTTCATCAAGGATATTGGTCTAAAATTCTCTTTTTTGGTTGTGTCTCTGCCCGGCTTTGGTATCAGAATGATGCTGGCCTCATCAAATGAGTGAGGGAGGATTCCCTCTTTTTCTATTGATTGGAATAGTTTCAGAAGGAATGGTACCAGTTCCTCCTTGTACCTCTGGTAGAATTCGGCTGTGAATCCATCTGGTCCTGGACTCTTTTTGGTTGGTAAGCTATTGATTATTGCCACAATTTCAGATCCTGTTATTGGTCTATTCAGAGATTCAACTTCTTCCTGGTTTAGTCTTGGGAGAGTGTATGTGTCAAGGAATTTATCCATTTCTTCTAGATTTTCTAGTTTATTTGCATAGAGGTGTTTGTAGTATTCTCTGATGGTAGTTTGTATTTCTGTGGGATCGGTGGTGATATCCCCTTTATCATTTTTTATTGCGTCTATTTGATTCTTCTCTCTTTTTTTCTTTATTAGTCTTGCTAGCGGTCTATCAATTTTGTTGATCCTTTCAAAAAACCAGCTCCTGGATTCATTAATTTTTTGAAGGGTTTTTTGTGTCTCTATTTCCTTCAGTTCTGCTCTGATTTTAGTTATTTCTTGCCTTCTGCTAGCTTTTGAATGTGTTTGCTCTTGCTTTTCTAGTTCTTTTAATTGTGATGTTAGGCTGTCAATTTTGGATCTTTCCTGCTTTCTCTTGTGGGCATTTAGTGCTATAAATTTCCCTCTACACACTGCTTTGAATGCGTCCCAGAGATTCTGGTATGTTGTGTCTTTGTTCTCGTTGGTTTCAAAGAACATCTTTATTTCTGCCTTCATTTCGTTATGTACCCAACAGTCATTCAGGAGCAGGTTGTTTAGTTTCCATGTAGTTGAGCGGTTTTGAGTGAGATTCTTAATCCTGAGTTCTAGTTTGATTGCACTGTGGTCTGAGAGATAGTTTGTTATAATTTCTGTTCTTTTACATTAGCTGAGGAGAGCTTTACTTCCAAGTATGTGGTCAATTTTGGAATAGGTGTGGTGTGGTGCTGAAAAAAATGTATATTCTGTTGATTTGGGGTGGAGACTTCTGTAGATGTCTATTAGGTCCGCTTGGTGCAGAGCTGAGTTCAATTCCTGGGTATCCTTGTTGACTTTCTGTCTCATTGATCTGTCTAATGTTGACAGTGGGGTGTTAAAGTCTCCCATTATTAATGTGTGGGAGTCTAAGTCTCTTTGTAGGTCACTCAGGACTCGCTTTATGAATCTGGGTGCTCCTGTATTGGGTGCATATATATTTAGGATAGTTAGCTCTTCTTGTTGAATTGATCCCTTTACCATTATGTAATGGTCTTTTTTGTCTCTTTTGATCTTTGTTGGTTTAAAGTCTGTTTTATCAGAGACTAGGATTGCAACCCCTGCCTGTTTTTGTTCTCCATTTGCTTGGTAGATCTTCCTCCATCCTTTTATTTTGAGCCTATGTGTGTCTCTGCACATGAGATGGGTTTCCTGAATACAGCACACTGATGGGTCTTGACTCTTTATCCAATTTGCCAGTCTGTGTCTTTTAATTGGAGCATTTAGTCCATTTACATTTAAAGTTAATAGTGTTATGTGTGAATTTGATGCTGTCATTATGATGTTAGCTGGTGATTTTGCTCGTTAGTTGATGCAGTTTCTTCCTAGTCTCGATGGTCTTTCTATTTTGGCATGATTTTGCAGTGGCTGGTACTGGTTGTTCCTTTCCATGTTTAGCCCTTCCTTCAGGAGCTCTTTTAGGGCAGGCCTGGTGGTGACAAAATCTCTCAGCATTTGCTTGTCTGTAAAGTATTTTATTTCTCCTTCACTTATGAAGCTTAGTTTGGCTGGATATGAAATTCTGGGTTGAAAATTCTTTTCTTTAAGAATGTTGAATATTGGCCCCCACTCTCTTCTGGCTTGTAGGGTTTCTGCCGAGAGATCCGCTGTTAGTCTGATGGGCTTCCCTTTGAGGGGAACCCGACCTTTCTCTCTGGCTGCCCTTAACATTTTTTCCTTCATTTCAACTTTGGTGAATCTGACAATTATGTGTCTTGGAGTTGCTCTTCTCGAGGAGTATCTTTGTGGCGTTCTCTGTATTTCCTGAATCTGAATGTTGGCCTGCCTTGCTAGATTGGGGAAATTCTCCTGGATAACATCCTGCAGAGTGTTTTCCAACTCGGTTCCATTCTCCCCATCACTTTCAGGTACACCAATCAGACGTAGATTTGGTCTTTTCACATAGTCCCATATTTCTTGGAGGCTTTGCTCGTTTCTTTTTATTCTTTTCTCTCTAAACTTTCCTTCTCGCTTCATTTCATTCATTTCATCTTCCATTGCTGATACCCTTTCTTCCAGTTGATCGCATCAGCTCCTGAGGCTTCTGCATTCCTCACGTAGTTCTCGAGCCTTGGTTTTCAGCTCCATCAGCTCCTTTAAGCACTTCTCTGTATTGGTTATTCTAGTTATACATTCTTCTAAATTTTTTTCAAAGTTTTCAACTTCTTTGCCTTTGGTTTGAATGTCCTCCCATAGCTCAGAGTAATTTGATCGTCTGAAGCCTTCTTCTCTCAGCTTGTCAAAGTCATTCTCCGTCCAGCTTTGTTCCGTTACTGGTGAGGAGCTGCGTTCCTTTGGAGGAGGAGAGTCGCTCTGATTTTTAGAGTTTCCAGTTTTTCTGTTCTGTTTTTTTCCCCATCTTTGTGGTTTTATCTACTTTTGGTGTTTGATGATGGTGATGTACAGATGGGTTTTTGTTGTGGATGTCCTTTCTGTTTGTTAGTTTTCCTTCTGACAGACAGTACCCTCAGCTGCAGGTCTGTTGGAGTACCCTGCAGTGTGAGGTGTCAGTGTGCCCCTGCTGGAGGGTGCCTCCCAGTTAGGCTGCTCGGGGGTCAGGGGTGAGGGACCCACTTGAGGAGGCAGTCTGCCTTTGAGGTCGGGTTACCCTCAAAGGGAAGCCCATCAGACTAACAGCGGATCTCTCAGCAGAAACCCTACAAGCCAGAAGAGAGTGGGGGCCAATATTCAACATTCTTAAAGAAAAGAATTTTCAACCCAGAATTTCATCTCCAGCTGCGTACTGGGAGAACCACCGCTCTCTCCAAAGCTGTCAGACAGGGACATTTAAGTCTGCAGAGGTTACTGCTGTCTTTTTGTTTGTCTGTGCCCTGCCCCCAGAGGTGGAGCCTACAGAGGCAGGCAGGCCTCCTTGAGCTGTGGTGGGCTCCACCCAGTTGGAGCTTCCCAGTTGCTTTGTTTACCTAATCAAGCCTGGGCAATGGTGGGCGCCCCTCCCCCCGCCTGGCTGCCGCCTTGCAGTTTGATCTCAGACTGCTGTGCTAGCAATCAGCGAGACTCCGTGGGGGTAGGACCCTCCGAGCCACGTGCGGGATATAATCTCGTGGTGCGCCATTTTTTAAGCCCATCGGAAAAGCGCAGTATTCGGGTGGGAGTGACCCGATTTTCCAGGTGCCGTCCATCACCCCTTTCTTTGATTAGGAAAGGGAACTCCCTGACCCCTTGCGCTTCCTGAGTGAGGCAATGCCTCGCCCTGCTTCGGCTCGCTCACGGTGCGTGCACCCACTGACCTGCGCCCACTGTCTGGCACTCCCTAGTGAGATGAACCCCGTATCTCAGATGGAAATGCAGAAATCCCCCGTCTTCTGCGTTGCTCAGGCTGGGAGCTGTAGACCTGAGCTGTTCCTATTCGGCCGTCTTGGCTCCTCCTTTCCAATTCATTTCTTAAAATAATAAACATTTTACCCACTGTTAATTGGGTTATTTATTTTCTTCCTATTGAGTTGTTTGTGTTCCTTATATTATTATTCTCATTATTATTATTTTGCTTATTAACTCCCTATCAGATGTATAATTTGCAGGTATTTTCTTCCATTGTGTAGGCTGTCCTTTCCCTCTGTTATTTCATTTCCCATGCAGAACATTTTTAGTTTGATGCAATCCCATTTGTCTACTTTTTGTTGACTGTGCTTTGGGGGTCATATCCCCAAAAATCATTGCCAGACCAATGTCATGAACATTTTCCCCATGTTTTATTCTAGTAGTCGTATAGTTTTAGGTCTTGTGTTTAAGTGTTTAGTCCATTTGAGTTGGTTTTTGAACATGGTATGAGATAGGGATCAAGTTTCATTCCTCTGCACGTGGATATCCGGGTTTCCCAATACCATGTATTAAAGATACTGTCCTTTCCCCATTGTGTGTTTTTGGCATCTTTGCCTAAAATCAATTGACCATAAATATATGGGTTTATTTCTAGTTTTTCTATCCCATTCCATTGGTCTGTATGCCTGTTTTTATGCCAGTGCTATGCTATTTTTGATAGCAATTGCTTCATAATATTTTTTAACTCAGGGCATGTGATGCCCCAGTTTTGTTCTTTTTACTCAAGATTGATGTGGTTATTCAGGGTCTTTTGTGGGTCCATGAGAATTTAAAGAGTGTTTTTTCTGTTTCCAAAATGGCATTGGGATTTTCATAGGAATTGCACTGAATCTGTAGACATTTCTGAAAAGAAGACATACAAATGACCAACAAATTCACAAAGAACATTCTCAGCATTACCTATCATTAGGGAAATGCAAATTAAGACCACTGTGAGATACCTCATGTCTGTTAAAATGGTGTTTATAAAAAAGATGAAAGATAACAAAGGTTAGTGTGGATGTGGAGAAAACGGAACCCATGTATACTGTTGGTGGGAAATGAAAATTAGTGCAGCCTTTATGGAAAAATGGTATAGAGATTCCTCAAAAAAATAAAAATAGAACTACTATATGATCCAGCAATCCTACCTCGGGTATATATCCAAAGAAATTGAAAACTGAAATCAATATGTCAAAAGGATATCTGCATCCTCATGTTCATTGTAGCACTATACACAGTGGTTAAGATATGGAATCAGCCTAAATGTTCAACAGATGAATGGATAAAGAAAATGTTGTAAATGTATACAATAAAATACTATTCAGCCTTAAAGAGGGAAACGCTGACATTAGTAACAACATGAATGAAGCTGGAAGACATTATGATAAGTGAAATAAGCCAGACAAAGAAAGACAAATACTGCATTATTTCACATGTATGTGGAATCTAAAAAAGTTGAACTCTTGCCAGGCACAGTGATTCACGCCTGTAATCCCAGCACTTTGGGAGGCCAAGGTGGGTGGATGGCTTGTGGCCAGGCGTTCGAGACCAGCCTGGCCAATATGGCAAAGACTGTCTCTACAAAAAAAGAAAAAAAAATTACCTGGGCATGGTGGCATGCACCTGTAATTCCAGCTACTTGGGAGGCTGAGGTGCAAGAATCGCTTGAACCTGGGAGGTGGAGGTTGCAGTGAGCCGAGATCACATCACTGCACTCTAGCCCAGGCAACAGAGTGAGACTCTGTCTCAAAAAAAATAAAATAAACTAAGAAAATTTAAAAGTTGAACTCATGGAAGTATAGGAAAGGAATAACGAGTTGTTGGTCAAAGGGTATAAAATTTCAATTAGATATTTTTTAGAAATGAATTTTGAGATCTATTGCACAGTAGAGTGACTATAGTCAATAATAATATATCTTATATTTTAAAATAAGCAAATTTCAAACATCTCACCACAAAAAAGATATGTTAACTAGCTTGATTTAATCATTCCACATTGTAGACATATGTCAAATCATCACATTGTACCCATATATACGTATACAATTATAATTTTTCTTTAAAAAGAATATTAAAAGATGTAAAATTATAAAGCAATAATAATAATTTTAAAAATATAAATGTTTTCTTCCTTTATCTGTAAATTAAAGGTCATGATAGTATCTACATCATGTGGTTATTGTGTTAAGTGAGATAATCCATATAAAATATCTTAGCAAAGTAGCTCACATATTTGCTAAATATCAATAACTACTATTTTTATAATACTTAAAAGCACCAAAAAATTAGAAACCATTCATAGTAATGCAATTTAGGCATGATTGCTCTAATAATTTACTATATATATTCCAGTAATTTTTCTAACATGCATATGATGTATAGTCTACAAAAATGTAGAATAGTGATGTATATATAATATTGCAGAACAAAAATTTTCTCTTATGTACTCTGGGTATTTCCTTTATGTCGGAAATGTTTTTAAAAATATGATGGCAATGGCATTACAGTATTCTATCATGTAGACATACTGTAATTGATTTAATTCATATTTTATCATGTCTTTATTGGTTGAGAAAATACTTTTTGAAAGAAGTACAATAGCAAGAAATATTAAACTATTAAAAGATGTTGGCTTGCGTGGTGTCGATACAATGTAAGAAAATATATAGTTCTGCAATGAGAATGATGCATAGATTTACTTGCCTTTTTTTAGGGAATGGAGAGCTGTGTGGTATCATTGGAAATTTTTCTGTTACCAAATACTGAGGCTGAATTCTTAGCAGAGCAGATTACATGGAACTGTGCTAAGTTGAGAATAAAGCTTCAGTGATTTGCCTCATAGTGATATGAACTTTGTACCATCTAATTTTTGAATATTAAAAGCCCCCAAATATTCCCTGTATACGAATAGGTCTATCACTATAGTATGTGAGGCTAGCAACTAAAAGCAAGAAGAGGATTTCAGAAATCTGTCTTTATGTTAGTAAAGAGTAATTTCTTTACTCTATGAATTAGATAAGAATTAATTAAACGCTCACCTACTGTACAAAGTCAGGACTAAATGACAGCTTATTCTGTTATTTAAAATTTGCATTGTGCCAAAATTTGGCCTCATCATCATATCATGGCAATTATGAATTAGTTTTAGAGATGTTTCCAAACTTGGAATTCTTCTAATCTGTTACTGGTGGGACATCACTGACATTATGTAATTGTTAAACCTACCACTATTAAGAATTGCTAGTTGATTTGTTTAAAGACAGTATTTGTTTCAGCTGTTGCTTGTCTTCTGTCAAATATCTGAGGCAGAGGAAGCATGGCCTTTCTAGCGAGCAGAGACCCTATGTGAATTGGCGCTATTAAAAGTTCCACACATGACCACTATTTGACTCATTCCCACATGTTGCAATTAAGTGCTTGTTAAATGTTGCTTTCCTCTGTCTGCATGAAAAGCTATTAGAAGGAAAAAAAATGTGGAAAGATTTAAATGTAAGCCTGGATTAGTTGAAGAAGTAGGCTCATGTCAAATTGTGACCAAGGACTTTGTGTTTCATTCTTGGTGAAAAGAATGCTCATAATCCAATATTATTTCAAGAAATATTCATACAAAAACTTTTTATTGTGTGTCAACCCTATACCAGGGCCTGTATTAGGAGTTGGGACTATAAAGATGTATGAAATATGGTAACTGCCTTAAGATGAGAAGATATGCACATTTAAAAACAAAACAATACAAAGCAAAACAAATCTATAATGTCATGAGAATAAACATAGAACTTAAGTATATTCAAGGCAATGGTAACATAAAAACTGTGAATTATTTCTGCCCAGAGGTGACAGAGAGATGCTTCAGAGAAAGTGATGTTTAATCTGTATTTTAAAGAAGGAAAATACTTTCATCTAGGACAACAGAGAAGGCCATTTCAAACAGAAGAAATCACATTTATAACACGCACACACAAACACACACACACACACACACACACACACACACTGCTATGGACTGAAGTGCACCCCCCAAAAAATGCATATTTGACCTTCTAATCCTCAATGTGATAGGATTTAGAGGTGAGGCCTTTTAGAGGTAATGAAGTGTAGATGAGGTAATGAAGGTGGAGCCTCTATGACGGGATTAGTGCCTTTATAAGAAAAAAAAAGCAGACCAGAGCCCTCTCCCTCTTTCTGCCATTTGAGAACACAACAAGAAGAAAGTGTACGCAAACCAACAAGAGAGCCCTCACCAGATACCAAATACCAGATACCAAATTCACTGTCACCTTGATCTTGGACTTCCCAGCCTTCTAAACTGTAAGAGATGAATATTTTATTGTTATGTCATTCAGTCTATGACATTTTTTAATAGCAGCACAAACTAAGACACACATAAAGTTAGAAACAATACAGAGTGAGAAACTATAAGTCTGATGTTAATGCGGAAAGGTATCAAGTGATAAAGATAATATAAAAGCAAGCAGGGAGGGCCTTTTATGCCATGCCAACAATTTTGAGTTTGGGGTAACTAGGATTCATTGAAGAGTTTAGTAGAAAGTGACTTGAGGAGGTCTGCATTTTAGTAAGAAAACTCCAGCCAGGTGGATTAAGGTAGGATTAGTCGTTGCCGAGAGAAAAAATAAAATAAAATTTGGAGGCTGTTTCCAAACACTGAAACTATCACTGCGTATCACCTTCAAGGAATCTCCTGAGTACAGTGCCAAGAGCAGAGGAACATGTGGATCATGGGGCTGTCACATTCTTTTGAGGAGCTATTCAGGAGCTAACAGCCATTCATTGACCAAACTGGCAATCACCTGCTACTGTAAATCCTGGAACCGTCTTGCAGTTGAGCAAAGCAACTTATGAACTCCTATTAGCCAAAGCCCCTCAAGTGTATCAAAAAGGGACATTTGTCATGAGGTCTAGAATAATCTCCCACAAAACAATGAAATACAAATATGTTTCTAATAATTTAAAATCCTCAAAAGAGTAATTCCTGAAGTAAAGTTTGTAAATAAACTTAGGTATTGTCATCTTGATTATCTGTTAGTACAATGAGAAATTACTGATATTCAGACATCTTTTTTGCACACATATATACATACTCACCTCAATATGAACTAAATTTTAAAAAAGTAAATTACACAAAGAATGAACTTAAAGCTACTTACTAGTAACAACTGAGTGGTATCATGTCTGTATAGTTTTAGAAGACACCTTTTCAAAAGAAAAATGAGCTTAGCCAGTGGAGATACAGCCAGTATTTGTATGTAGAGTTGTCATTCAGTTAAAATCTATTTTCTGAACCTTATCACGTGAAAATTTACCATTCAACTAATATCCCAAATTATTCTCAAAACTAGCACTTCTGCCTTGTGTCAATACAACAATGTAATAAATCAGAAAGCCCACAGTACTTGATATAAATATCTTGGCTCTGACTATAGAACAATGACCCTGAATCCATAAACTACATATGTACATCATTTCATATCTTTACTGTTACATCTGAAATGAGATTGCCAAACATATTATCATGTATCCTGTTTCAGACCTTTCTTTTCTTTCTTTCTTTTTATGTATTTTTTATTTTTTATAAGATAGGGTCTAGCTCTGTCACCCAAGCTGCAGTGCAGTGGTACGATCATGGCTCACTACAACCTCCACCTCCTGGGCTTAAGCAATCCTCCCACCTCAGCCTCCTGAGTAGCTGGGACTACGGGATTGCCCCACCATGCCCAGCTAATTTTTTGTATTTTTTGTAGAGTTGGGGTTTCACCATATTGCCCACGCTGGTTTCAAACTCCTGAACTCAAGCCATCCACCTGCCTCCACCTCCCAAAGTGCTGGAATTACAGGCATGAGTCACCATGCTAGACCCCACTGTGATCTTTCTAATGAATTCAGAACTAATAGTGTAACAAACACATTTGGTCACATTGTCTTCATTTCCTGGTCCGGGTATATCAGATATTATTAGGTGCATCCTTTCACTCAACTATTCCATGTATTCCCCCAAATAGATTCTCTAGTCTCAACATGCAAACCTACACATTTTATATCTTTTTTTTCCTTTCAAACTCATTATTCAGAAAGAATTTGCAATTGAAACTTATCTTTCACTTAAGGATGGTAGGGCAACAGCCATTTCTGCAAGATAAGTGAAATTGCTAAATAGTTAAAAACCAACAATATGCATTAAGATCATCTCCTAGTTCTTACGGGATTCACTTTTTTATGTATGTCTCATAGACACTAATGGGTCTATGAGAAAATGTTTTCAGTCATGTAGGACATCTGCTTTAAGCAAAAAAAGTAGAGTGACCATAGATACAGTTAAGGAGGTGCTAACAGTATGGCAGATAAAGATAACTACTGTGCAATGAATCTTGAAGTCATTATGTGCATAGCTTCTTCAAAGATATAAATCTCAATAGAAAAATGGTTGGAAAATAGGTTTTTCTGAACTAAATCTTCAATTTTTTATAGTTTATGCCACCTATAAAGATTTATAAAATGCATTTCTTTTTTATCATATGAGATTTTTCTTCAAACCTATAATTTTACGTATATGTATTGCTAATAATGATGCCTGGCATTTGTGTAGAATTTTTCAAAAAGAGTGTTAGTACCAAGAATCTATGAACAAACACCTTGCCTACCTGACTGGGGATGCTAAAAGATTTTACATGTTTTATATTGTCTTAAATTGACACACCATTAACTTACCTAGTTCTTCAAATAAATACACTGTCATCTTGCATTGTTTATGAAAAATAGCATATAAATAACAGTTGGTTAGCATGAAGTGTTCAGTTTTTAATCTCATTTTGCCTTGCACATCAGATTATTAAGTTGTATATGCATATATGGTACTGTATGGTTATCTACTGGTTTTAAATCAAAATATCAAGGAAAGGAGACAATAGAAGATATGCAAATATAGTGCTAACATGGTACAATTATTGTGTGAATGATCTTTCAATACCCAAGTTAGTAATAGCACAGGAATATCAGTTTTACTGTCTTTATCCTCATTAGCAAAATGTTGGGTTTTGTTCTAAAGAAGAAACATAATTCAGCTAGGTTTTGGAAAATCACGCTTTGCCTGTACCCTCGCCCCCTTGGCACCAGCACACACAAAAGGATACTGGTAAAACCAATTTATTGGGAGCTATTTTCTTTTTCCCGTCTAAGTCCCAACTAAAAGCTTTTGTGTTTGGGGCATTTAAGCTGAGAATACCTTTTTTGTAGTGCTCTCTTTCAGAGCACTCAGTTCATGTGCTTTGCCATTATTTTAGAATGGTAATGCTTTCCTTTTAAATGATGCTTCCCTTGCCCCTCAAAGGCTCCATTGTCTGCCTGGGATCCTAAGTTTGGTTGCTTTCAGCCCCTGATAAATTAGTAATGGAACAGAATCAGGAGGCTTTGCGGCCTCTGTGCCCTGTTATTAAATTGTGTTTGGTGCTAAAATGTATGTGTACACCACAGCCTGTGTAATGACAGGTAACTGTTTGACTAATTGGCTCAGGCTCAATAGAATCACAGGGCCACAGGGACCTTTAAGATGCTTTGGTCTAATCATCTCATATTTTTAAGGAAGACTGAGGCCTTGGATGTTCAAAGACACGTACATGATCATAAAAATAGTGAGCAACACAGTTTGGACCACTATATATTCTGCTTCTCATGTTATCTCTCTTTGAATGGAAGTTCAGATTTCTGTTAAAATACAAGGGAAAGTGAACTTAAATTTGGCCACATTTTATTGAAAAAGATATGAGTCTTATAAAAATATGTGATTCAAGTCAGTTTAAAAAAATTGCCCTGTAAACGATTTCTGTTATTATTTACTCATAAGACAGCTTGTATTTCTGTAGAACTCTGTTCTCCCCAAAATCATCCTTCTAGGCTTGTACCTGTATTGTAACAGTTAACACGTTAGTAGTTCTGTAAGATGGGAAAGAAGATATTATTATCTGTGATTTACTTAGTTTTAATCTGGACTCCAGTAACCATATGTTTAAGTTTTCTCTCTTCTTGAAAAATCACTTTCTACATCATATTTTACTTGTTTGCTTGAATACCTAACCCTTCTACCCCACCCCCCTACAGAAAGCTTTCGAAGGCAGGAAATCTCCTTAAGCAACTTTCAAGACCCGCAAATTCCAGCACAGGGCTTCACAGGCAATAGGCCTTCAGGACATCTATTTAGTAAATGAGCAAATGAGTTTCTGTTTGACAGATGAGAAAATATTTCTTATGTATATGTTTTCTTAAGATCATCAATTAGAAAAGAGAACCAAAATATAGTTTTTAACTTATGCACCTATTTATTTATCATTGCACCACATGGACAAAGACTCAGATTGCCTGTACTACCAATAACTGACATTTGAAAGGAATGAATGTGACCACAGCCCTTCCTGAAAAGGAAGTGCTTTGTAAACCCCGTGCCCCTGTCTACCCCATCTAGAGCTGATTGGTTGATAGGATAAGAGGGACCCTGACCCACATTACACACTACAGACCATAGGCTGACCAGTGACTTAGAAGCTAACAACAAGGTATAAAGAGAGGCAAGAGAGGCTAAGAAGGTTCATATGCCAGCTAACATTGTGACAGAGCAGAAACTATGAGTAAGCAGAGGAAATTGGTTAGGAGAAAGAAGAGAACGCAGCATATGTGCACTAAAAATGGAGATGCCTCGAGAAACGGAGAGCATAGCCTATGAGAGAGAAACTGAGTAACCTAAGGCTAGAACTGCATCACTTTTGACAATTTTACTTTTCTGTTTCTACTACCATCTTACATGCACATTATATATAAAACTCCCTTATCGTGAAGTGCATTCAGGAATCTCTCTCTTTTTTTTTTTTTTTTTTTTTTTTTTTGCAAAAAAAGCCTTATAATAAACTTAGTGAATGGCACAGGAATCAATGACCCTCAATTGAGAAAGGTCAGTACATTTTAATCTTGCCAAGGTACCTACTTATTAATTCCTTGTCTTAATTTTATGAAGTGTTACAGGCTTTTAATACAGATAATTGAATATTTGCCACATATTTAAAGAAACTGTGTTATAAAGTCTTCTCTGTGTAGTTGATTTTAAGATTTATTTTGGACTAAAATCATATTACAATATTCCTCAGGAGTGAAAATAAAATTTCCCTAACAAATAAAATAAAGAAGATATACAGATTGAATTGAAATAGGAAGTTTCTAAATCCATGAACTGCAATTCCATTCTGGTTGTTTTCAGCCTTGCACTATTTCTCCTGATCTAGCTATCGTCTTGACCTATAATGGTCCCGCTCTGCCAGAATATAAGGTTGCATTCTGAGAAGATATATTTGATTCTTGTAAGACTCAGAGGTGGAGTCAGGGAAATAGTGAATTCAGATAAATGTAAGAATATAGCCTTCAAAATATATACTAACCGTGGCTCATAGCAGCAAAATGTTCACTAGTTACACTGTCACCTCTAATTCAGAACCAAACAGACCATTTAAGTTGATTCTTGGCAAGTCTTTAAACCTACTTGTGGTGGTTCTAAAATTTGTCCAGAGATTCTTTGATGCTGCTTCCATTAAGTGGTGGAGCTTAATTTCCCTCTCCTGGAGTGTGGGGTGGACGCAGTGGCTCACTGCTAATGAACAGAATAAAGCACAAGTGTTAGTGTGTGATTGCAGAAACTAGGTCGTAAAAATCACTGCAGCTTCCTCCTTTCTTCCTAACTGTGCACTCTGGGTAAAGCCAGCTGCCATGTCATAAGGAGATCAAGCAGCTCCACAGAAAAGTCAGCATGGCAAGGAGCTAAGGCTTTCTGCCGATAGCCTCTGAGGGACTGAGGCCTCCAGCCAACAGCCACGCAAATGAGCCATCATGGAATCAGATCAGCCCAAGTTAAACCTTCAGCTTCTTGGTGATGGCTTACCTGAATCATCATGACAGACTCAGTCAGAGTCACCTGGCCCTGAATCCTTGACCCACAGAAACTGTGAGCTAATAAATGTGTGTTGTTTTGAGCTGCTAAACAAAAAGGTAACTTATTATTCACAATAGATAACCAATACACTGCTCTTACATATTACAGAGACACTATCAAAGCCAAAATTAATGTTTTGCTATTCACATTATTTTTAATAACTCTTAATCAGAAGTGATACATAAAATGTCCAGTATATGTTCTAAATAAGTTATGCTTTGTAGGAGTTAAATAGATTAAATTGCTAAGCCAACATAAGATATACCTGCTTCCTTAAAGGAAAGGCAAAATTTCCCCGAAACTGAATGCTAGGAATCCCCAAAGAATCTACATCTTCTAACATATTTCTTTTATTCATTTCTTAAATTGCACTAATCTCATTTTTAAATCTTAGAAAAAAACAAATGAAAGAAGAATTTCTCATGTGCTTTTACATTGTTATTCTGAGAACTCTTTGGGTACCTCTTCCTGCTGAATTCTAAATCAATAACCTTGCATATGCTTGAAGTATCTCCATGTATTTATATAGGTATATCTGGATACTAAAATACGTATGTTGTTTTTCATTCCATGTTTTATTTATTTATTTATTGCTGTTGTAGATTAATTCCTCTTCAGAGCAGCTGCCTGTGGGTGGTGGGTGAATCTCACAGCATCCTTATAAAATGTCTTATAATCTGGTGATGTGAGAGAAATATTTGAAGAGAGGCAGTGTGTGTGTGTGGTGTGTGTGTGTGTGTGTGGTACAGTGACTATGGGTGTGTGTGATTTTAATGTTTAAGATAAAGGTTTTTAAATCTAGAGGTCATGTAGTTCTATATAGTGGTTAGATCAGTGAGCTAGATAGTAAGCTAGCAGACTTGACTCATCTCCAAAACGAATATAGAAACTGGATAATACTTGGCTGGCAAAATCCTGATTTTTTCATTAACCATGGAATTATAGACTTAATAGTTTCAATATTTCTTTGTACCCTTGTGAGTAATTTTATGGTATTTGGATATTTATCTTGTTGTAACCTAGTTAGTAGAATTGTTCTAAAATAGTTTGATGAAAAAGAATCATAAAATGGGGTGTCACCTCAGATATTCATGCCATTTACCCTATGTTCTAGTTATCTATATTTATATAACAAATCCCTTGAAATTTAGTGACTTAAAACAATAGGCCGGGAACGGTGGCTCACGCCTGTAATCCCAGCACTTTGGGAGGCCGAGGTGGGTGGATCACGAGGTCAGGAGATCGAGACCATCCTGGCTAACACGGTAAAACCCCGTCTCTGCTAAAAAATACAAAAAATTAGCTGGGCATGGTGGCACATGCCTGTAGTCCCAGCTACTCGGGAGGCTGAGGCAGGAGAATGTCATGAACCCAGGAGGTGGAGCTTGCAGTGAGCCGAGATGGCACCACTGCACTCCAGCCTGGGCAACAGAGCCAGACTCCGTCTCAAAAAAAATAAATAATAAAAAAAAAAAGAAAAAAAAAATAAGCACTTATTACAACTCATGGTTTTCTGGGCCAGCAATTGGGCTAGTCATCTTTCTGCTCTACGTGGCATGACAAGATCACTTGGCATCTTAGCACAGGTCTGAAAGGCTGAGTTCACCTAGGTCCACCTTCTTCTTCATGTAGATTCAGGGCCTCTTCACATGATTTTTGTAGCTGAATAGCTAGTTGAATTTCTTACACAGTTTCTCAGGGCTCCAAGACCAAGTGTTGAGATAGGAGGTGGAGGCCGCCACTCTCCTAAGATCTGGCCCAGAAATTGGCATTTGTCTTCTGTTTTTTTCTTTTGGTCAAAGCAGTCATAGAATCTTCTAAGACTTGATAGAAAAAACATCAAAAAACTTGTGGCATTTTTAATCTGTCACACCATAGAATACACACAAAGACATGTATTCATTCACAAACATCTTTCACGTATCATAGACATCTCTAGGGGGAAACCAACTTGTTCATTATCTATATTACAAAACAAATTGGCTTTAAAATATAAGGTAATGTTTAGATGACAAAGAAATTAAAACAAAAAACCTGTTACAGTTATGTACATCAGTCTGCTTAAGTATTAACGTATTTTAACATAGTGATGATCATTAATATCAAAGAAATTGGTTACAGAATGATCACCTTATAAGGTTATATTAAAATAAACAGTATTGTCTATTTAGTTAAACAATTGTATATTCCTTTGTGTATTAAAAGCAACTGAACCATTAAAGCAATCAAAGGGTTAAAGAGACATAAATTGATAGAGTGGAATGACAAAATGTTGTCATTTTATTTTGAGTGTTGTTGGATAAATAATGGTAGGTGTATTTTGGTACGTTGGTATTTAGAATCTCAATAGAAATACTTAAAAGGTCAAAAACACAGATGCCTCTTTACCTGTAACAGCAAAAATGACATCATCTCTAGCCTTTATAACTATAAACATTTTTCAGAGACAGCAATTTATGGATGCTCTTCTAAGAATTAGTCAATATATTAGCTTTCTTTAAAACATACAGCTGCAGCAGTAAGCCACATATATTTTATTTGGCCTTGCAAATTTTCTGTTGAGTTCTAGGAGCTGTGGATTTTTGAGATATTTGGCTCAAACTCAAAATGAAAAAATCATTTTAAAAAATAGAAATGCATTTCATTCTTTAAAAATGCTAAAAATATATGATGCAAAATGTCATAGTTTGGCTGTAATAGCAAAATTCTTAGAATCAATCAGTCAAAAATAACTGTGTTATTTAGGCGCAATTTGAAGGCATACAAACTAAAAACAGTATTTTAAAACCAGCTATAAGAGCTTGATGGCTTCTCTACACACTGATAGCTATTTGCCTTATAAAAATAACAATTGAACGAGCACAGGGAACAGGCCGCCACAGAAAAGGTTGCCTTTTATGTAGCACTAACATGCACTCAGTAGCATTTACCGACTTAGTCTGGGGCAGGGGCAAGAGGATGCTTCAAAAACAAAATAGGCTACCCTCTTTCGCCACTGTTCTTACTATATAACCCCCTTGCAGTAAAGATAAGAAACAAACTAAAATTCACATAAACACCCCAATTTGGAAATTGTTTTATATATGTTTACTTTGCCAGAATAAGCATGGTATTTGGAAAAAAGTACACAAGTACTTGGCCCAATCATCTATTCATTTTTAATTCATTCATTTAAAATATATTGATAAAGAACCTCCTATGTGCCAGATACTGTTGTCAACCATGAGGGTATATTGAAAAACAGACACAGTTCTTGCCTTCAATATTCTGAGAATCTAAGGGAAAGGCAGATATGAACAGGTAGTTATACCATAGCTTAAAAAAATGTAATTATTAGAGCAAGGATGAGATACTATGGAATATATGAAGAAGTCATCTAACTCGGTCTTAGAGAAGTGGGTAAAGGTTTTCCAAAAGAAGTACCAGAAGGGCATGTGGGAATTAGCCTGGCCAAGGAAGGGATGTAGAAGACACAATAGAAAGAAGATAATATGAAACTGTCACAGGATTAGGGGGAAATGTGCTAGCTGGAGCAATTAGCACAGTACGGGAGAGTAGCAGAAAAGCATGGCTAGTTAATGTTAAGATGGGTAATATCTGAATGAGACTACTAAGCAAAAAAAAAAAAAAAAAAAAGAATGCAAGAGAAAAGACAGCAGTCCAAATTGAGAAAGTGTATGCTAACCAGTAGGATCAGAGAAGTAAGCCCGAGCCAAACCCTGAAGCCCTCTGTATGAAACTGAAAAATATTGTTTAGTGTTTAGTGAGTGTCTCTGAATGTTTTAGACTTGTTTTTAGGTGAAAAAAAAAAAAATGATCTCCGGATTGGAGACAGGAAGATTAAGATGCTGTTGCATAAATTTGGGTGGGGCGGGGACAGAAACCTGAAAAAAGAAGTCCCTCCAGCTTTTACTGACAGTCTACTTAAAGTCCTTACAGATTCTGCCAGTGTCCATCACAAAGCAAATGCCATATATTTTTTATTTATGTTACAGCAAAGCCCTACTTCTGGTAAAGTCTTTGTTTCAGTTATTTATTACTGTATGACAACCCTTCACACATTTTAGTAGTTTAAAACAACAACCCCCATTTTTCTCATGATTTTGTGCATTTATTGGGCCAAATTTGGCAGCTTTTCTGCTTCTAGTGATGTTGGCTGTGGCTGTGGTTATCTGGGTGCACAAATGGGCTGAAATATCCAAGATGTCTCATCTACATAGCTGCCACCTATACTGGGATGCTTGCACACCTTGACCTCTCTTTCTTTCTGTGTTGTCTCAGGGACTATCATTCTCCACATGACTTCTCTAAAAGGCACTGTGTAGAACAGCCAGACTTCTTATATGGCAACTCATAGATCTAAAAATTGCAAAAATAGAAGTTGCTTGACTTTCTTAAGGTTTAGGCCCTGTTCATTAATAATCTCTAGTACTCATGAGTGGAGCCTCTACTGTGGGTGAGATATTTAATTATGGTCAGGACTTAACAATATTCTCTTAGGACCTCTGCCTAAAAAAACAAAGCAACAGAGGCATGCCTATGTGTGTCACAATCAGGCTACTGAGGTCCCCAGAAGCGGTTGTTTTCATTTGTCTTTAGGGCCTATTTAATATAGAAATCAGGGCCAACCTGAAAGCGTGTGGTTTGGCTATTTCAGATAAATTTCTGATAAAAATGCATTAATCCTAAGAAGAGCTGTGAATTATCTTTTCCTGTTTCTCTGCTTCACCTGGATATGTCATCATACAATAAAGAACAGAACATATAACAGTCAATCCACTGTCATCTACCAATGTCTATTTCATACCATTAAGTCCCTCATCTTACTACTGGCAATTCATGATGAATCTGATTTGATCACATGGAGCTCTGTGACTCTACCTGTTGGAAGTCCTGGATACATTTCAAAAATAGAACTGCACTCCCTCTACAAACTTCAAACCACAGAGGCTCTCCCTATTACAAAAATCTTGATATTTCCGCAAAAGATTTTTTTCTAAATGCCAGGACTCTGCTCATACAGAAGCCTTGCTATACATTAAGAATAAATAATCAGCATTACTTGGAGACTTAACTCTCATGTTTCAGTGTAAACCTCCAGTGTGTGAAGTGGCATATAACATAAAGGATTCCTTTAGCCAAAGAGACAAATACAATAAAAAATGATTTGCCTAAGGGATAAAGAAACCTCAAGTAGCAATTCTTAGGACAGTGGAGTTCTCAGATTAGGAAGATCTTGCCTTTAACTTTATGAATCTACAATGTTCTCAAAAATGATCATTTCTCAACCTTGGTTCTGAGGAGTCCTCAAGAGCAAGAAAGAATGTTGCTCTTCTGAAGGTGGCCACCATAAATTAGGGAGATTTTTGGAAAAGGTAATATCTGAACTGATTCCTAACAGATATGCAGGATTTAGCCATGCATAGCATGTAAGGAGAGCATGTCATGTACAGAAACCCAGAGGCAAAAGAGAAAATGGCATACTTCAGGAATAGCAATCTAAAAGTTGGCTGGAAAATGAGTTGTGGGTTGGGGCAAAATTGCAATAGATGAGCTTAGGGAGATAAATAGGTTTTAAAAAGCAAAGGTTCATCTCATCATTATGTATCCACCAAAATATTTTAAAGAGAGCTATAGCTATAGTGTATTAGAAATACTAGCCTGAAAGGAAACTGTAAGACAATACAATGAAAAAGGTGATGACAATCGTAGTAATACTACCTGCTGTTGTAGGGTTGCAAACTCACAGTTTACTCGGGCACATAGAAAACGGTTTATGTTATCAATAATTAATCTAGTTGAATTTACCTCCATTTGCTGAGTAGTGGGGAAGAAAAACAAGATATAGTCCTACCTACTTTAAAACATGTTTATTCCAATTCTTAATGAATCCCTTTACATAATGCATAGTATTTCTAAGATAGAATGTGCAGCCCTTCAGGATGTTAACTACCCATCTTAGTCCTCAGATTCCTTCCAAGGAAGGAAGGAATCTTCCTTGATGTGTAATGGGAGAATTGTGGCCCAAGCTACCTCTTGGTGGGAATGATTTGTTTAATAAAACGTCTTCTGATTTTCTTGGTTCCCTGGGCAATGACCCTTGTTCAGTTTACTGCTGCTGGCCCAGTTAGTGTTCTAAGCTGCAGTCTGATTCTACTTTAAAGTGGTCTGATTAGTTGGAGCTGGTTTGGCCCTAATTCTGAGTTTATCATTCCACATGCACTCCCTATCTTGCCCCTTCATCCTCTTGGACTGGCCTTTGCAATAGCCCTGAGAAAGATGCCTGGCTCTGAGCTCAGAAATCTTCCAAGCTATTCTTCTAGGAACAGTAACTACATTTGGGTCCCATCTGTGTCAGTTTGTTTAGGCTGCTGTAACAAAATATCACATACTGGGTGGCTTTTAAACAGCATAATTTATTTCTCACAGTTCTGGAGGCTGGAAAGTCTGAGAACAAGGCCCAGGCAGATTCAATGTCTGAAGAGGACCTGTGCTCTCACTCTCACTCAGACACAGCTTCTTTTCATTGTGTCCTCACAAAGTAGAAGGGGCAAGCAAGGTCCCCTGGGTGTCTCTTATAAAAAAATTAATCTCTTTTATGGAAGTCCTACCCTCATGACCTAATTACCTCCTAAAGGCACCACCTCTTAATGCTATCACATTTAACATATGAATTTTGAGGGGACATAAACATTCAAACCACAGTACCATCCATTCTACAACGTAAATTCTACGTGGGCTCAATTATGCTAAACTCTTTCTACCCAAGACCATTGGACTACTGGGTTTCCTTTTTTAGGCTGCAAATTCAACTGATACGTCATTATCTTGGAAGCTCCTATATTCCAGAGGACCCCTCTGCCTTACTTATACTTTCTCCTAACCTAAGACAAGATAGGATAAATACATCTTCTTGATTATTCACCACACAACCCAGGATTCATTCAAAGTCTTCTGCAGTGCGTATAGCACATTTCACTATGCATAATCGTATTATCATGACTTGCTGTTAAGGTATTTAATTGAGGAGTTGTACATGGAAGAATTTATTTCTGCTTTGTGTTCTTAATGACATTTAATGCCAATTGCTTTCCAAGAAAAATATGGAATGTAAGCTTTTGGAATATTGTGTCTAGTCGTAAAAGAATCAGGCTGACAGATTAAAATATTGAATTCTACCATATAAAATTCAAAAATATCACCAGATTATTTTACCTCTGTTAAAACGTCACAAATTATATCTATATAAACTATGTTTTTGTTTCTTTCCTATATCCATTTTAAGCAAGAAAGTGCTGCTCAATCTTATTTTATATTTAGTCATGTATAGACTATATATTGAATGGATTATGGATTAATTGAATCCAAATATAATATCTAGTTTTTCCCCTAATTGAGGATATCAAGTCAATCACTGGAAAGGCAAAAATATCAACTTTAGGTGTTTTTGTTGAATAAATGTGTCTAAAAGTTCTGTTCCTCACTCATCCTTCACTGTACAGTATATGATATCTAAAGTTTACAGACGGAGAATATTGTATTTGCTTGGAATGATCTATGCCAACACTTAGGTATTTCTGCATAAAAATATGAAGAGGCCACCTATACATTATTAAAATCATTGATTTAAAAACAACAAATTCAGCCTAAAACACTAGTTATTTTATTTCTATGATACAAAACATTTATAGTTTGGCTTTTTTTTTTTCACTGAAATGACAGATTTTTCCCACCGTAATATTTGTCTAAATTATTTTGGTAGTGGGCAACCCAACATGTTGAAAAAGAGACTGAAAACAATTGCCTGCATAATTTAGACCGGTTAAAATATCATTAAGAAAATCTAGCAATTGCCCAATTAATTTTTTTATGTTTTCTTATATTCTCCATATTGTAAATACTACCATTCTGGATAGGGTTTGTCATTTATTCAGCTAATTTGATCAAGTGAGCTACTAGACACACTTAGTGAATAAAATCTCAGGCGTGTTTTGGTTTTAAGTGATTTTCATGACTCTTTGATTTCGTTAAATGTATAACCAATCATAATCCACTTTACTTTGTACTGTGTAGACAAAATCTTCATGAGCAATGAATTAGCTTTTTGTAGATGTAAAACAAGTTTTAATTATAACCTTACCTGATATAAATGTTAACATTTTGGTGAGCAGCAACATTTACTAAAAATAAAATGTTACTATTATCCCACGGTATTAAGTAGCTCTACTTAAACCAAAAGGGTTGCTAAAATTAACTAAAAGTGCCTTGTTGCCTGAACTTTAATAAGCTGAGGTCTCACCCCTAATTATACCGATAGAAAGTTCCTAACCTAACTGATGTAATAGGAAGTGAAAGCTAAAGAAACTGCCTTATTTTATTAGTTGCAATAATGCCTATTATTTAAAGGATTAAAAATGCCCAAGACTTCTTATAAAATGATGATCATCATGAGAACAACAGCCTTATTGAGGTCTGAGTTTATTGGCATGTGCTGCTGGATGATCAGCAGCAGGGTTTGATTTCAAACATGCTAACACAAGATAGTAACTGGAAAGTAATTTGTTTCACTTTTTCTTAGTAAAATTATGATGGAAAACTCTTCACCTGGGAAAATCCAAATTCATACCATAATCATAATGCTGCTTATAAGGAGTCCTAATGATATACTTTATGAATTTTCATTTCTGTTTGGAAGTCAGCAAGTGTGCATTCTATAAATGTAAACCATCTGTTGGCACCTCCTAAAAGACTAGATTTCAGTCCATCCCAACATGAATTATTTATTTTGATGGATTTCTTTCCTAAGCAAATTCAACTGTGTGTGTGTGTGTGTGTGTGTGTGTGTTCATGTGTGTGTGTGTGTGTGTACACATATGTAGGGATGTATATGTGTTTTAATTTGTTTTTAATCTGCAATAAAGTTTCAAAGTCAGGACATGAATAATTTCAAACCCAGAAGATAAAAGTGCTCAACAATTTGAAATGTATTTATTTTACATAACATGCTTGTGAAATTGAGGAACACCATTTAATATTGGATCAGAGGTAAAAAGAGAAATGGTAGCAAACAATAAAACATTCCTATAATTTTAATGTTTCAATGACAATGTCAGACATTCCTATTACGAACCAGAAAAGAGAACCCCATAGCTACCCACTGGGCACCACCCGTGATCTATAGTTACAAGGCAAACGCAATGACAATGAACATTTGAAATACATTGACTTTGGCTGGGCACGGTGGCTCACGCCTGTAATCTCAGCACCTTGGGAGGCTGAGGTGGGTGGATCACCTGAGGCCAGGAGTTCAAGACCATCCTGGCCAACATGGCAAAACCCGTCTCTACTAAAAATACAAAAATTAGCCGGATGTGGTGGCTCACGCCTATAATCCCAGCTACATGGGAGGCTGAGGCAGGAGAATGACTTGAAGCCGGGATGCAGAAGTTGCAGTGAGCCGAGATCACGCCACCGCACTCCAGCCTGCGTGACAGAGCAAGACTCCGTCTTATAACAAAACAAAACCATATATATATATATATATATAGAGAGAGAGAGAGAGAGAGAGAGAGAGAAACTTTACTAGATGAGAATTTACTATATTTTGAATGAACACGAAAGATTTAATTGAGGTTAACTTAATAGACCTTGTTAATTTGCCAGTATTGCATTTTTACATAATTTTTGCTCATAAATATATAAAATAGGCTTTTTTATGTCAACAATTTCTACACATAATTGCACTATCGTCTTTGTGTTGTATTCACCTTTTGCCTTTCTATGAAGAAACTCATTAAGTAGGACAGAGACAGTCAATGCCCATTTGTGAATCTGTTCTCTATACTAGGAGAGACAGAGATGAGTGTTCAAGGCTTTTTTTTAAACCATGTTCAACAAGGAAAGTTACACTGTATAGAATGGTTGCTTTGAATCTATTGAACAAATTTCATAGACAAAGCCATCTGAAATCTACATTACAAATTAGAGCAGGACTTAAATCAGGCTTTAAGAGTCAAAATTTTCCTGTTTTGAAAAAAAGTGCCCCCCAATAATAATTCAAAAGCTGCAGATTTTCCTAGGAAGAATTACATGTTTTTGAGGGATAGGCACAGTTGAAGCAACACACGTACCCTAGGGCTATGGATTCTTTTTTATTCCTTTATATGATTACTATTCCATTTATAACATAGACAAATTAAATCAACTGTGAAAAGTCTGTTCCTTTTTGCACCAAAGACCAAGTTCCTGCTGTACATAGACTTGATTGTGCTTATGCGTATTTCCATAACACTTGTTGCCATTGGAGAGCTGCAGCTGCATTTGCTGTCTCTGGGGTTGTTCCCTCCCATTCCTTTCACCCTCTAGCAATTCTTGTTCTCTTCCATTCAGGCAAATTTGAACTGATTAAATGTTCTTGGATTATGCAAGGAAGCTATAGGACAAAGTGGCAGAGAATATCCTGTTGCATTTCCCCCTAATTTCAGCTGTTTATAAATTTCATCTGTAGTCTTTGAAAACATGTCTTTAATTATTCTCCTAGTCAACAAATCTAAAAAGTGTTTAATCCAGACTATTTACTGGCTCTTAACTTTAAAAAGTTATAATGTACAAACAAAACTAATCTATATTCTTCTCATCCAAAATACCTTCTCCAAGCATGATTACCTCTATTCTTAACACACAGTCTTCTTATTCTGGTAATCCTTTAAAAATTAAATTCAACCATACTTGAATACATGGTATCACAAAGTCGTACTGTTCTACAAAAATGTGAATGTTGAATAAAACTTATATTAATCCCTTTCACAGTTAGAAGAAATTTTTCTGTTAAATATGTCAACTTTTACTCATTTTATTAGTCCATTCTCACACTGCTATGAAGAAATACCTGAGACTGGGTAACTTATAAAGAAAAAGGGTTTAGGCCAGACACATTGATTGGCTCACGCCTGCAATCCCAGCACTTTGGGAGGCCGAGGCAAGTGGATTACCTGAGGTCAGGAGTTCAGGACCAGCCTAGCCAACATGGTGAAACCCCATCTCTGTTAAAAAATACAAAAATTAGCCGAGCATGGTGGTGGGCACCTGTAATCCCAGCTACTTGGGAGGCTGAGACAGGAGAATTGCTTGAACCCGGGAGGCGGAGGTTGCAGTCAGCTGAAATCGTGCCATTGCACTCCAGCCTGGGCAACAAGAGCCAAACTCCATCTCAAAAAAATAAGTAAATAAAAGGTTTAATAGACTCATAGTTCCACGTGGCTGTGGAGGCCTCAGGAAAATTATAATCATGATGGAAGACACCTCTTCACAGGGGTGCAGGAAAGAGAACTGCCAAGCAAAGGGGAAAAAGCCCAGTATGAAGCCATCAGATCTCATGAGAACTCACTATCACGAGAACAGCATGGGGGTAACAGCCTCTATGATTCAATTACCTCCCACCATGTGCCTCCCAGGATACATGGGGATTATGGGAACTACAATTCAAGATGAGATTTGAGTGGGGACACAGCCAAACCATATCACACATCATAGTCCGTTGGTTTATTTGGTTATGCTACTCAGAGACTCTTCCAAATAAAGAATGGCATTCTTTTGTATTGACACCACTTACAGTCTGTTTTCCAAGCTAATAAAAATGTCTGTGTTTTGTTGAGGGTAGAAATCGTAAATGCATTTCGTGTTCAGGTAACAGAAAGCCTAGAACTAATATGAGTTATTCTAATTTTTTAAAAAAATTAGAATAAAATTCTATTCTAGTAACAGAATAAATTTTTTTATTTTATTCTAATAAATGACAGAATAAAAAATCTGTCACCCAGGCTAGAGTCCATTGGCAAGATCATAGCTCACTGTAACCTTGAATTCCTGTGTTCAATTAATCCTCCCACCTCAGCCACCCCAATAGCTAGAACTTCAAGAGTATGCCACCATTCCTGGTGATTTTGTTTGTTTTTAGAGATAGGATCTCACTATGATGCCCATGCTGGTCTCAAACTTCTGGGCTCCAGCAATTCTCCCACCTCAACCTCCCAAAGTACCAGGATTACAGATGTAAACCACCGTGCCCAGCTGAGTTATTCTCATAATTTAATTAGAAGAGATACATATAGAAAAACCAAGGAGAAGCTTATTGGCCCTGGCCCTTGCTCACCCTTTCCTCACTTTTCTCTTTAATGTTATTCTTGATGCTACTATTTATTTTGTCCATTATACCTTCAATGCATATTTGAATCTGTCTACATCTCTTCTGCCTTTACTGAGTATCCTAATCTCTCAAACTATGCAATAACCTCCAATTTATTTTCAAAATATCCACTCTGGCTATATTCCATTAACTATCATAACAACCTGAGTAATCTTTTAAAACATGTAAAACAGATCATTTCATTTTCCCACTTAAAATATTTTTTATAAAATACAAAAAATAGCACTTCAAGTATTCATACATTTGGAAATTCTAAACTATCAAAATGAAATAAATAAATAAAATATTTATTTTAGAATGGAAATAAAAATAAAATACTGTAGATTAACTTTAAGAGAGGCTTTCAAGTGGTATTTAAAGGGAAAATTATAAAAGTACTACAAAAAAGATTAAAAATTAATGAGCTGAGAAATCAATATGACTATAATACAAGTACTAGAAAAGAAGAAAGTACTAAGAAAGAAGTCCCAGGAAAGAAGAAAGCATAAAAATAAATGAGCTAAGAGATCAACTCAGAAATTTAGGAAAATGGCAGTAATGCAGAGTATGTGGAAGAGGAAGATAATATGAGAGATAAAAGTAAAAACTGATTCAGTAAAAAGCAAAGATTCAATAGATAAGCAAATAAAACAAACAAGCTAGTTCTTTCAAAGTCTAATGAAATAGACAAAACTTGGCCAGTATTTAGACAGAATGATTAATAAAGAATGAGGAGAATCATAAGAGAACACTACCTTAAAAAGCTAGAAATAAGGGTTTCTGGCACATAGAATTATTTCATGAGCTTCAGAAAGGTCAAGAATATAGGACAGAAATATGTGCACTGTGTCTCACACTTAATAGGACCTCAGTGATCTTTGCTGCGACAGGTTTGTTGGGGTTGGAGCACATGCTCAAAGCCTGATTGCAGTTTACAGAACAGTGAAATGGAAGGTGAGAAAGTGAAGAAAAAAGTGCAAATAACCATACTAAAAGCTTAGCTGCACGGAGAAGAGGAGAAAAAAAAAAAAGAGATGAGAAGACAGTGTAATAAAGATGAAGGGCTTTTTTACAAACTCTGGTGAATGAATCAATAGAGAGAATTAACATTAAGTTCAGGATCTAGGAGTAGGTATGCATTATATTATTTTTTACACGTGAAAGTCTTTAGCAAGGGCATTATTTTAACCTTGTTATTTATTCTTACTTTTGCAACAACATACAGGTGACCAAGTAATCTCTGGATGTGCTTCGTGTTTCACAGTGCTCTGAAAAGATTTCAAGAATTCTTATTCTTTTTTTCTTTCTTCCCACTTAATTAGGGGCCAAGGGAGATGCTGCAAGTAGAGTGAAATGTCTTTAATTGAATTCTATGTCTTGATCTTTATCATCATAAGAGTATACACATATTGACTCTGCTGATTGCATTATGTGTAGTAGCAATAGGAGGGTGATTAATATTAAAATATTTAATCACTAAAACACCTCTAACTAAATTATTTTATTTTTTCCAAGGCTTAAATGGGAATGTTTTCATTTTTGTTTCAAGTTTACATCTTCTTTCAAGAGGAGTTTTCAAGCTGGTTGATTACAAATACTTCTTACCCAGGCAATGGAGAACAGTTTTAAGAAAGTTGCTTTGTTCTGACAACAGATTCAGACTTCTTCACATTGTCGTGCCCATTTGTCTTTTTTTCATAACTTATTATTTACTTTAAAATTTTGTGAATTTTTTATATCGTTACTATAATGAATTGAATGTGGGACTTCCTCCAACTTCTACTGGTGCCTTGCCACGTTTAAAAGAAAAACCCAGTTGTTTACACTACCCAGTGCTAGGGACATTGTTAACTCTAGGGAATGAATCCGAATTTGTGAATACTCATGGTAAGAAAATTCCTTACAAGGTATTATGGAAGGGCTGAAGATGGGGTAAAGAGGAAAAATCTCAGATGGGTTCTATTTTTTATTTCTTATTTTACTTTTAGAATATACTTGATCACACACTGCTGCATTTGCTATGGAGGAAAACAAACAGAGACACAATTTTGCACAGAAAGAAAGATTTTTAGGTAACTAGAAGTGGCTAGAAATAATAATTGAAATATATAAAGTACTCTATGTATGTATATGTAGGGTTGATAAAATATATAGAGAAGTACTTTCCAATATATATTACAACAGTTTAAAATAGATCAATGCTAATTAACATGCATATGGTTAAACTGAGTAAGATTCAGGGTTGCTGGGTGATGTAACTAACATTTTATCTAGTGTATATCTGAGTTGAAACTCAAATGCAATCATCTGATTCTATATTCTGTGGTCCATTTTAAATAGCACCCTTCCTCATTAATGAGGATAAATTCTATGTTCTATCATGTGATATCAAGATCAGAGAAATAGATTCATTTTGTCCAGTAATTCACTAGCTGTGTATATCTTCCTGCACCCTCAACAAATGGCTGAATACTTTCATTGAGGTTGGATTGAGGATGTGAAGAAAGCATGATAAAAATAATCTGAAATCTCTTCCGGATGTAGCAAGAGAGTATAAGGCAGGTACAATGCTTTCAACTCAAATCTTGGTCCTTTCTCTTGGTTCTGTAGCCTCAGAAAAGCTACTTGTTCCTCTAGATCGAAAATTTTCATCTATAGAATATAGTCCCCTCCTACTTCTTCTTTTGTACCTCTCACTCCTTCTTTCTCTTCGTCTTCACAAGTTTGTATCAGCAAAAGTGAGACCCACATAATATTGAGTCTAAACAGCTTAATGTCAGGGAAATGTTTATTAGTTGCATTGGACAGTTATAAATAACACATAACCTTTATAACCTAGGCATACTTTGTTTTCTGAGCATAAACTATCATTCATTTTAATATGATCTTATTAACCTAGTCATAACTGATACTGGCAAGTAGTACCTAAACCAAAGGCACATACTGTATATTTGGGAGACAAATGGACACATACAAGAGAAGCCCCATAGATGCAGTCTGACAGAAGTCTAACACAGAGGAGATGCATATTTCTGAGAGGATAATAAAAAGTAAAGAGGTCATTTTAGTTTTCAACTTCAAGTATAACAATATTTTAATTGAATGTATTTTAAAATTTCATTTACATCGCAGTATTCAAAAATCTAATCCCCCTGAGGGTAAGATAAACTTAATGCCAGAGAGATTTCAGACATAATAGCAATAAGGATAGAGGGATAGGAAGCTGTAGTTATTTCAGATGTTAATATTCAATTATTAAGATTAGGCAATAGGGCCCTTAACGAATTGTTAGACAATATAGTGCTAATAGCCTGGGCCAGACAGCTGGAGATGTAGAGGAGATCACATATAGGGAAATCAGGGGACTCCTCAAGTGACAGCAAGACGGCAGAATAGGAGTTGGCAGCACTCTTGCCCTCACATACAAATCAATTTAAGTGGCCGAGTTTGGTGGCTCATGCCTATAATCCCAGCATTTAGGAGGCTGAGGCGGGCGGATCACGAGGTCAGGAGTTCGAGACCAGCCTGGCCAATATGGTGAAACCCCGTCTCTACTAAAAATACAAAAATCAGTGCAGCATGGTGGCACACACTTGTAGTCGCAGCTACTTGGGAGGCTGAGACAGGAGAATCGCTTGAACCCGGGAGGCGGAGGTTGCAGTGAGCCAAGATTGCACCACTGCACTCCAGCCTGGGTGACACAGCGAGACTCCCCCTCTAAAAAAAAAAAAATGAATTTAAACAATCATTTACATGCAAAGATATCTTCACAAGAGCTAAGGAATCTGGATGACAGATTATAGCACCTGAGTGGAACACAGAAATAAGAGAACAAACATACATTAAAGAGGGCAGAAAGAACATTTTCCCCTTACACGCAACACTAGTTTGTCCAAGCCCATATAGCACAACATGGAGAGAGATATCCTCCACATGGGAAAGAAGAGTGAAACGAGTACTCCACTTTCTGTCAACCACAGAACCATGCCAATGCCAGTGGACTCTGGCCCCAGACTTGCTCCTGTGTACCCAAGCTCCAGTTAAACCCCATGGACCTAAGTTCTAAGCCCATTCCAGAGGCATACCTGCCCCACGGTCCAAGGCTTCAGGCCTTGAGACAAGGCCTAGGGACAAGGCCTGTTTCTGTGGAGCCTGGCGCCTGGTTGAGCCCTGTGGGCCCAGGTGCCAGCAATGTTTACCCACTGACCCAGGCACCAAGCCAGCCTGTTGGAGTATTCTAACATCCAGCCTGCCCCTGAACCTCATCCAGAATCTCTGGATAGGCTGACTTGTGAAGAGTTTTCCCTTCCTGAGTAGTCTATGAGGACTGAAAGAGCTGCCATTTCTTTAAATAAGCAGACATCAAGCAAAGCCATAAAATCACGAATAATCAGGAAAACATGATAGTATCAAAGTATCAAAGTAAAGCACCAGTAACCAACCCTAAGGAAATTGGTAACTACAAGCTGCCTGACAAAAGAATTTTAAATATTCATCTTAAAGAAACTCAATGAGCCACAAGGGTTCAACAGCAGACTTGATCTGGGTAAAATTTCAACAGCAGACTTGATCTGGGTAAGAAGAATAAAAAACCTGAAAGAAGCCTACAGGACTTATGGGACACCATCAAGAAAGCCAAATATGCATTATACAAGATTCAGAATGAGTAGAGCAAGAGAAAGGGCAAAAAGCTTATTTAAAGAAATAATGACAGAAAACTTCCCAACCTGGAGAGGAAAATGAACATCCCAATCCATGAAGCCCAAATAATCCAAATAGATTAAACATAAAGATCTTCATGGAGATACATTATAATCAAGTTTTCAAAAGTCAAAGACAATTAATTGTGAAAGTGACAAGAGAAGAGTGAATTGTTACACAAAGGAAATCTCTGTAAGACATTCAGTGCATTTTTCAACAGAAACCTTGCAGGCCAGGAAAGGAGATGTGACATATCAAATGAGATAAAAACAAAAGATAAAAGAAAGCAGACCAACTAGAAGTATAATACCTAACAAGGCTGTTCTTCAGTAATAAAGGAAAAATACTTCCCCAGACAAACGAAAGCTAGGAAATTGATCACTATCAGACCTAACTTAAAAGAAAAGCTAGAGTTCTTAAGTTGAAACAAAAGAAGGCTAATTAACATAAAAGCATACGAAAGTAAAAAATAAAACTCCCTATAAAGGTAAAAATATCATCAAATTCAGCAGACTCTAATACTGTAGTGATAGTATATAAATTATTTTTAATCTGGTCTAAAAGTTAATAGACAAACAAAACTTTAAAAACCCATAGCTACAGTAATTTGTGAATGGATACATAATATAAAAAATGTAAATAGTGACATCAATAACATAAAATGTGGGAGAAGTAAAAGTGTAGAATTATTATCTATAGTCAAAGTTATCAGCTTTAAAAAAGACTATTCTAATTATAAGATATTTTAAATCATCCCCAGATAACCAAAAAGAAAATCTGTAGTAGATACACAAAAGAGAAATGAATCACAGTATAGCAGCACAAAAAGCCATCAATTCAGAAGTAATACAGTCAGAGGAAAAAAAGAAAGAAAGAAATGCAAAGCAGTCAGAAAACAACAAAATAACAGTGGGAAGTCCTGTCCTAGTAACAATTACATTAAATTTGAGTAGATTAAAGTTTCCAGTCAAAAGACCTAGAGGGGCTGAATGGATAAAAATACAGTATCCAGCTATACACCTCCTAAAAGAGACTCACTTTAGCTTGAAGGACACACATAGATTGAAAGTTTACAGAAATCAAGAGATATTTCCTGCAAATAATAATAAAAAAGAGCAGGGTGGCTCTGCTTACATAAGATGAAATAGATTTTAAGTCCAAACCTGTCACAATAGACAAAGAAGGTTATTACATTATGATAATGGAGTCAATTCATCAAGAGGATATAAAAACTGTATGCATATACGCACCAAATATTGGCACACCTAAATATATAAAGCAAATATTTACTGAACTGAAAGGAGAAATAAACCACAATGCAATAACGGTAGGGGACTTCAATACCCCATTATCTTCACACAGACAGAAAATCAATAAGGAAACAGTGGGCTTCTACAACACTACTGACCAAATGAACACAAGAAACATATAAAGAACATTCCATCCAACACAGCAGAATGCACATTCTGTTCAAGGGCACACAGAATATTCTCCAGAATATATATGTTAGTTCACACATTTTAACACATTTAAGAAGATTGACATAATATTAGATATATTTTCTGACCGAAATGGCATGAAACTAGAAGTCAATAACAGGAAGAATATTGGAAAATTAAAAATATGAGGAAACTAAACAACATACTCCTGAACAACCATTGGATAAAAGCCAAAATTAAAATGTAAATTAAAGAATATATTGAGACAAATAAAAATGGAAACAAAACCTACTGAAACCCATGTGATACGGCAAAAGCAGTTCTAAGATGGAAATTTAATAAATCCTTACATTAAGAAAAGAAACCAGGCATGGTGGCTCATGTCTGTAATCCCAGCACTTTGGGAGGCTAAGGCAGGCAGATTGCTTGAGCCCAGGAATTCAAGACCAGCCTAGGCAACATGGTGAAACCGCATTTCTACCAAAAAAAAAAAAAAAATATATATATATATAGCCAAGTGTGGTAGCCCACACCTGTAGTCCCAGCTACTTGGGAGGCTGAGGCAGGAGGATCCATTGAATGCAGGAGGTTGAGGCTGTAGTGACCCATGATTGCACGACTGCACTCCAGCCTGGGTAATGTAACAAGACTCTCTCAACAAAATAAAATAGAAAAAGAAAAGAAAGGAAAAAGATTTTGAATAAACAACCTGATGTTCTACTTCAAGAAGCTAAAAAATGAGGAGCAAATTAAACCCAAAATTAGCAGAAGGAGGGAAATAATAAATGTCAGAGCAAAAATAAATGAAATAAACATGAGAAAATGATTTTAAAAAGTGATGAAATTATGAGTTGGTGTTTTGGAAAGATAAAAAAAATTACAAACCTTTAATTAGACTAGGATAAAAAAGAGAAGATCCAATTAAAACCAGAAATGAAAGCAAAGACAGTACAACTGTTACCACAGAAATTCAAAGGATCATAAGAGGCTATAATGAACAATTATATGTTGACAAATTAGATAACCTTGAAAAAATGGTTAAATTTCTAGGAACACACACTCTACCAAAACTAAATGATAAAGTAATAGAAAATTCGAACAGACCAATAATGAGTAAGGAGATTGAATCAGTAATCAAAACCTCCCAACAAAGAAAAGTCTAGGAACTGATGGCTTCACTGGTGAATTCTACTAAACATTTAAAAAGAATGCCAGTGCTTCCTAAACTCTTCAAAAAATGGAAGAAGAAGAAGGAATACCTCCCGACTAATTTTGCAAGGCCAGGATTACACTGACAACAAAGCCAGATAAAAACACTACAAGAAAAGAAAATTAGAGGCCCATATTCCTGATGAACATAGATGCAAAAACTCCACAATATACTAGCAAACCAAATTCAGCAGCACATTAAAAGGGTCATACACTATGATTAAGTGGGATTTATTCCAAGGATGTAAGGATGCTTCATCATACACAAATCAATAAGTGTGATATACCACATTTCCAGAATGATGTACAAAAACCATGTGATCCCCTAAATAGATGCTGAAAAAACATGTGAAAAAGAATTAACATATTTTTGTAATAAAGACGCTCACCAAATTAGGTATAGAAGGAATGTACATTCATTAACGTAATAAACGCCATACAAGAGAGACCCAAAGCCAACACACTCAACAGTGAAAAGTTGAAAGCTTTTCTCCTAAAATCAGGAATGAGTCAAGACTGCTCTCTCTCAACACTTGTTTTCAATATGGTACATATAGGAACTCCTAATCAGAGCAATTAGCTAAGAACAAAATAAAAGTCATTCACATTGAAAAGAAAGAAGTAAAATGGTATCTTTGCAGACGACATAATCTTATATACAGAAAACTCCAGACTATACCAAAAACTGTTAGAATTAAAAATGAATTGAATAGTATTGCAGTATACATAATGAACACACAAAAGTTAGTTGCACTTCTATAAACTGAAAAGGAACTACAGAAAAAGAATTTTAAAAAACAATTCCATTTAAAATAGCATCAAAAAATAAAATATTTAGGAACAAAGTCAAAAGTGGTAAAATATTTATACACTGAAAACTACAAAGCAGTGATAAAAGAAATTCAAGAAGACATGAATAAATGGAAAAATATCCATGTTCTTGAATCGTAAGAATTAATATTGTTAAAATGTCCATACTACATACAAAGCTATCTACAGATTCAATGTAATTCCTACCAAAATTCCAATGGCATTTTTCACAGAAATAGAAAACACAATCCTAAAACTTATATGGAACAACAAAAGACCCCAAATAGCCAAAGCAATCTTGTACAAGTAGAATATTGAGGCATTGATGTATCACACTACTTGATTTCAAAATATACTACAAAGGTATAGTAATCAAAACAGTATAGTACTGGCATAAAAACAGACATGTCAACCAATGAAACAAAATAGCCCAGAAATAAATCCACTCATTTGTGGTCAATTGATCTTTCACATAGGTGCCAAGAACACATAATCAGGAAATCATAGTCTCCTCAACAAATGGTGTTGGGAAACCTGGACATCCACATCCTGAAGAATAGAATCGAACTCCTATTTCACAACATATAAAAAAAATCAACCTAAAATGGATTAAAATTTTAAACATAAAACCTTTAACTAGAAACTGCTAGAAGAAAACATCAGGAAAAGCTACTCGTCATTAGTCTATGCAATGATTTGTTTTTTGGCTATAATCCCAAAAGTACGGGCGACAAAAACAAAAATAGACAAGTGATATTGCATCAAACTAAAAATCTCTGCACAGCAAAAGAAATAATCAAAGGCATAAAGAGACAACCTACAAAATGGAAGAAAATATTTGTAAATTATGCGTCTGATAAAGAGTTAATAGTAAAAATATATAAGGAACCTAACAACTAAGTAGCAAGAAAAAAAATAACCAGATTAAAAAATTTGCAAAGACCTGAATAGACATTTTGCAAAAGGAGACATACAAATGGCCAAAAGATATGCGAAGAAATGCTCAACATCACTTATTATCAGGAAAATGCAAATCAAAATCACAATGAGATATCACCTCACACCTTTTAGAATGGCTATGATCAAAAAGACTAAAGATAAATGTTGGAGAAGATATGGAGAAAGGGGAACACTTGTACCCTGCTCCTGGGAATGTAAATTGGCACAGCCATTATGGAAAAATGTATGGAAGTTTCTCACAAAATTAAAAACAGAACTGCCTATGATCCAGCAATCTAAATGCTGGGTACATATAAGAAAATGAGCTCAATGTGTTGAAGAAATATCTGTACTCTCATGTTCATTGCCGCATTATTCAGAATAGCCAAAATATGAAACCAACCTTAGTATTTGTGTTCATGGATAGATAAAGAAATGTGCTACATGCACACATTAACACACATATACACACACAGTGGAATATTTTTCAGCCTTAAAAAGAAGGAAATTTTGTCATTTGTGACAATACACATGTACCTAGAGGACATTGTGCTAAGTTAATAAGCTAGACACAGAAAGACAAATACTGCATGATCTCACTTATATGTGCAATCTTAAAAAACAACAACAGCAGACTTCTAGAAATAGGAAATAGAAAGATCATTGCCAGTGACTAGCAGTTGGGGAAATTAGGATATTATGTTTTAAAAAGGGTACAAAGCTTTAGTTTTGCAGGATGAATATATTCTGAAGATCTAATATAAAGTATGTATTGCAGTGTCATTAATAATATACAGCAGTATAGTTAATAATAGTGTTTTGTAAACTTCAAATTTGCTGAGAATAGATCTTGCAACACACACACACACAAAAGGTAACAATGTGAGATGATATGTTAATTAGATTGTGGTAATCATTTCACAATTTGCATGTACATCAAAACATCATGTTGTACACCTCCAATATATACAATATTTATACCTCAATAAAGCTGGAGGGGTGATAAATAAATCAGGGGACTAATCTCTGAGCCACATTTGCTAAAGTTACCCAAAGTTTCTTAGCCAACAACAACAACAAAATTGAGTATGATTTCCAAACTTACAGAGTATATTCTTTATAATTTGTTACTTAGTTTATAGCAAATCATATATGGTATTCTCAGCACGGAAGATGGATTTAAGTATTGTCAGCCCAATCTGACAAGCCGTTTGCCACAGGGGTTAAGAATGTGGGTTCAGAAGCTAGATTATCTTCTTTTGAATTTGGGCTCCTTCACTTACCAGCTGTGTGATATTAGGCAAAGTACTTAACATTTCTATTCCTCAGTCCCTTTGGCTATAAAATTACATTCATTTTAAAACAGATAACATAAAGTCCTGTTACAGATTAGATGTGAAGCATGTCAAGCAACATCTGTCAAACAATCACCACTCAAAAGTTATTAGCCAATATATGTAGATTTTATTTTATATAATATACTGATAAAGAAAACCCATTCAAGCAGTAATATATAGAGAAACCTAGGCTAAATGAAGCTTTCATGAACATTGCAGACAAACCAGTACAGAAATGTCCCCTATTAAGGCTCCTTTCCATATAGAAAGCTAATTTGTAACCAGAATGCCAATTCCTATGTGCAACTTGAAATAACTGTCAAATAATTCTATTTTCAGTCCAATCTAGCCAGCACATTCTCGTCATGAAAGCATGTTTTCTGTTCTTTTGTTTTTGTTTTTGTTTTTTGAGACAGGATCTCACTTTTTGCCCAGGCTGGCGTGTAGTGGCATGATCTTGGCTCACTGCAACCTCCACCTCATGGGTTCAAGCAATTCTCCTGCCTCAACCTCTCGAGTAGCTGGGACTACAGGCGCACACCACCATGCCCAGCTAATTTTTGTATTTTTAGTAGAGACGGGGTTTCACCATGTTGGCCAGGCTGATCTCGCACTCCTCACCTCAGGTGATCCACTCACCTCGGCCTCCCAAAGTGCTAGGATTACAGGCGTCAGCCGTCTCGCCTGGCAGAAATCATGTTAAATGGAGGAAAAAAAATTATTATAATTTTTCTTGGTAAACTTGTCCTTTAATTAAAATAGCCTGAAGCACTCTTACCCATTATACCATTAGTCTTGCCAAGGAACCCACAATATTTGAATGTTGGAGGCTGCTTGGAGACAGGCTCCATACCTCTTGGCTAGAATCTACCTCTGTGATATCCCTTTTCCGATGCTTACCTGGCTTATTCAGCTCCATTCTTTTAGTTTTTGAGTACTTTTCCCAATAGGGTATATTTAATTAAAAATGCTTTCTGTATTTTTGTTTAATCAATTACATTCAAATGTACATCATCCTTACCTGATATCACTGTTAAATAATCATAATTAAATATGGGATTTTAGTACACTTTTCAGTAGGACATTTATTTTTAGCCAGTAGTCTTTTCTCTTATTATTCTTAAAGTTTAGCACAGTGTGTGTTTTGTGCGTGTGTGTGTGTGTGTGTATGTGTACATATGCACATTTCCCTAATATACAGTAAATCTGGAGGCTAAATTAGTTTCAGATTTGGGGAGATTTACTCATGACATCTTCATGAATCTCAATTTTCCTTCCATTCAAAAAGTACTGCATACATGACTCTCCCGCATATGTGATATGAAGAACAGAAGTAATGAGAGCCATGGGGTAAGAAGAGTTGCCTGAACTTCATTACTGTCTTAGTCTATTTGGGCTGTTATAACAAAAATAGTATAGACTGGGTGGCTTACAGATAACAGAAATTTACTTCTCACAGTTCTGGAGGCTAGAAAGTCCAATATATTTGGTGTCTAGTGAGGGACCACTTTTCATAGAGAAGAGAGCTGTCTTTTCTCTGTGCCCTCACATGTGAGAGGGCCAAGGAAACTCTCTGGAAAGGGACCAGTCACCCTCATGAGGGCTCTACCCTCATGACCTAATCAACTCCCAAAGGCACCCCTTTTTTTTTTTTTTTTTTTTTTTTGAGACAGAGTCTCACTCTGTCACCCAGGCTGGATTGCAGTGGCGTGATCTCAGCTCACTGCAACCCGCGCCTCCCAGATTCAAGCGATTCCCCTGCCTCAGCCTCCCCAGTAGCTGAGATTACAGGCACATGCCACCACGCCCTGCTGTTTTTCTTTTTTTTTCTTTTTGTACTTTTAGTAGAGACGGGGTTTCACCGTGTTAGCCAGGATGATCTTGATCTCCTGACCTTGTGATCCGCCCACCTCAGCCTCCCAAAGTGCTGGGATTACAGGCGTGAGCCACCGCGCCCGGCCAGCACCCTCTTCTAATATCACGTTGAGGATCAGGTTTAACAGATGAATTTGGGAAGAACGCAAGCATTCAGTCTATAACAGTGTCATTGAGCTAAAGGCTCTTATGAAAGAATAAATTTTGAGAAAACATTTGACAAGAGCAACGGTGGTTTAATCTTACTGCCCTTTCCTCTGACTTGTTAATATTCTGCACTTTATTCAAGGCCTAGTCCACTTTCGATCTCCTTTTTATGTCTTCCCTAATCACTCTGTCAGAAGCCGCCTTATTCCCCTTATGTGATAATAAGCACCTGGAAGGTAAATTGATCTCTCTCTCTCTCCCTCTCTCTCTCTCTCTGTCTCTCTCTCTCAGAATCTCTCATAACACTGTATTTCATAGAAGGAAAATATCAATAAGAGAAATTTAGATTTAGATTTAGAGGTCTTCCACTCCTTCATTTTACTCAAGTTAGGTGATTTGACCAACATCAAATAGCAAAGATGGTACAATAAATCAGTTATCATGGATCCCAATTTAGTTTCAAGTTACGACAATGGCTGTAGAAATAGAAAAAACAAAGCTGGGGTCATTTTGAAGCAAGATCTGACAATATTGTAGATGAATTGGAAAGAGAGATTACAGTCAAAGAAGATTGAATTATCATCAGTCTTACTGAGAGAATAGAGGTAATATTAAGAGGAGAGATTTTTATTTATTGGATGCAGTGGGTTAAGGAGATAATCCAAACATCATATTTTATCCCTGAATGAAACATTTAAAAAGAGACAGTCTCACATATTTGCTTTGGAAAGTGAAATGCCATGCCAAGGTATAAAAGTATAGCTCCTATATTTCTAATAGTGTCTTAGGTGGATGCAACACATTACTTTGATTTTTAAAAAGAATCAGGATATTTGAATTAGTTATTCATTATCAAAATCTAATATGTTAGCATCTATATGGTTCTAGGAATTTTTTAATGTCTCCGCATTGCTTGATTCTCACCACAAGTTTTTATCACTTACTCACTGTCTTTGGCCTTTCCCTTAAAGGAAATGAGTTCAGTTCCATTCACACTAGCAACAGGCTTCTAGACTCCAGAGTCACCACTGCACAATTCTTTAAGTGTCAACTCTGTTTCCCACACTTAAGTAGGCATTGGGCATAGTTTTGGCAACATTTATACAACCTCAAAGCAATAAGCAAGTGTTCACTTCAGTCTCCCCTTTTCTATTTTTTTTTCTTTTCCTACCTCTCTTTTTGTATAGGAAAGGTAAATTACCTAAAAATAGGCTTACAGCATTTCCTCATAGACTTTTCCATTTATTTACATTTAATGTCTGAACTTGCTTTCTTAAAAGATTATTCTCTCCCTCTATCTTACCCTTTTCCAATCTCCAATCTTCATACTGTCACCTCTGTTAACAAATGTGCATATGCTTCCTATTTATATAAAGTCCAAATTCCAAACATTTACAGTATTTCAGAGACACTCAGAAAGCGTCACATACTTTAAAAAAAAAAAAAACAGCCTTCATATATTTGGATGGGTTTCTTGTACATTAACTGCTGCCGACACTTTCATCAAATTTAGTGGCACTAACATTATCTTCAGTTATTATTATTGACTTGGAGGTTATGAAGGGTATAGGTGAATTTAAGAACTATGACCTTGCTCTGAGGACACCAATTAAATTTTATGACTTATCTTATAAGAAGCTGGAGTCAAAAAAGGGACAGAATAACTTTTTCTCCCTTCAGGTTGTAATATAATTTATGAACAACCGTCAGGATTTGCTCAAAGCATTTCTACAATGTAAGATATTGCTTTGAAGGGCCTGGGTGGCATTACTGAATGAATTCTGACCTAGATTCCTAAGAGAAGCAGGTCTCACAGCTCTCCGCTCCTTCTCAGACACGCAGTAATCTGAGTCTCAAGCACCGAAAGCTGTCAGGATTTGTGACCTTTACTGTGAGTGACATAAGCTAAGCCAAAGTAGAGGCAGAATGACCTCTTACCTCACAGAAAGTCACACAGGAGGTCACTTTCAGGACAATGTAAGGACAGGTGCCCTACTGCTTCTTTGCCCTGCAGGGCCTTTCGGTTTGGCTGATTTATCCAACCTCGCATACACCCTGCTCCAGTAATTCAAAGAGAACTCAGTCTACACTGGAAGATCAAGATTGGTAACCACTGGAGACTGGTCTCTGTGAAGGAAAATTATGTCAGCCTGTAGGCAGGTCAGGGACTGAAAGAATCAAATCAAAATGGCTAAGGTTTCTGCATTCTTCAGGCATCATCTGCCTAATAAATATAAATTAAATAAAGTTGATTTGCTCCATATTGACCTTTCAATATAAATGTGTTGAAATGTATAAATTAGGTCACTTTTGTGTATATATATATGTGTGTGTGTGTGTGTGTGTGTGTGTGTGTATATGTGTGTGTGTATATATCTATATGTGTGTGTGTGTATATATCTTGATGCAATTTGTCTTGTTATCCCAATTAATTGTCTCTGCTTCTAAAAATAATTTATTGTGAGATATTTTCTTATTTAATCATTAATTTTCAGTCATGTTATAATGTTAGTAAAACTGTTTTTCTTAATATTTTCTCCCATAATTTGCATATTGTATCTCTAATGTTCTCCTTTTCTGTTATTGTGTCTACATAAATGTTCTCATGATGTATTTATAAACTCCCTGGGGTTTAGGGAAATAAATTTTACTTGTTCATTTTACTTTGCTTTCCTACTTTCAGGTAAAATCAAACCAGTTACAAAAAAAATTTCCAATTCAACTTAAAAAAGCTTTTCATTTGCAATATATTTTTATTTAGTATTTATAAGCTACTTAAAGTCAGCTGATTTCTTAAGGACAATTTCCTGACGTATGTATGCTATAGGTTATTACTTATATGTCGTTTTTTATATTAAGCTGTATAACTTGGGTTTAGGAACATAACATTTATATATTTAATTATAGTATATTAGGATTTATGTTTAACCCTTCTTTGCCTGGTCAAAACAGCTCAGTATTTTGCTGACCTTTATAGAATTACAGATAGCCATGAAAGAAAATTCCAAGGTAAAAATTTTAGGTGGGAGAAATTGTATGTTTGGACTACTCAATGTAAATTAGGCTGCTGGTTGTTTTTTCTATTGTGATTTTGTCTTATATACAGTATATATTATAATTCATAACAATAACAATAATGAGCACTTACTTTCATTAAATGCCCATGGGGCTAGGTTAGATGAAAGCGCCGTACATTTATAGTTGCTCTGAAAGGCTTAATCTAGGCCAGAACACAATTTAAGTCACTTTCAGACCATTTCTTAATGATGCTTGAGTTTCCAACCTCTAGCTGGCATTTATGACTGAGAGTCAACAAAAGGACAGAGCTGACTTGATATTAAAGTCATATCTATTGAAGGAAACCTGGAGAGATTCTGTCTAAAGGCTTAGTGATTACCTAAACAGATTCTACAAATTCAATAAGGAGAATATATAAACATTTTCAGATACCTCTGTGCTTATTAAATATATATATTTTAATAGCAACTTTTATTAATCCTCCTAAACTGTAACCATTTACTGTCACTCAGCTTATTAAGAGTTGATTACTCAACAACTGAAAGACAGCAACAGAGAGCAAGATGTCAGAGTAGAAAGGTAGCTTCTCACCACTATAAGTAAATAAGGAGACCCACATGGCAGAAACTAAGTTTTTTCACCAAAGATCTTTCTCTTGGGGAGGGAAGAAAAGGTAAGGGAGCACTTTCTGATGTTTTTGGTTGAGGAGATAGAGAGACATAGTTCATTTTTCCTTAGGAGTCATCTTACACCATGGTCACAGGGACAGCTCTGATAATGATCTGGAAGTATGAACTAAGGTTTCTTAGGTGAGTCCAGGATGGCACAGGCCAAAATAAAATTATGTTGTTATTTATCACTTAATGATAGCTTTAGCACTCCAAAGATGATAACTTTAAAAATAATTATGCAATTATTGAAACATTGACACTTCTTGGTTGTTTTGGGTGCAAATCAAATGCTTTTTAAAATTCTATGACTTTTCACAAGTACTACATAATGATCGTACAAAATTTATTTTACATGGAACCTAGGCTTTGAGGGATTACTGGGTTGTTCTTTTACAACAGTGGGACGTAGAATGTAGAAATTATTTAACAGAGACATAAAAGTGAAATCTCTTTGGCAGAAAAGTTTTCTGCTTATTGGGCATATATATATTGGTAATATGTAATTGATAAGGGAAGATACAGAACATATATGTGCCTCTATGGTGTTATCTTCTCCACTTTGTCACATGTTTCTTTCCATTATTTTCTAAACAAAACGTATACGCAGTGGCTGGTAAGGTAGCAGGATCAAATTATTTTTAATTTTTTCTTCATGTCAAAAATAAGACCTAAAGTATATTCCTTTAAGGATTTATAAAGGTAATATGGTAAAATAGATACGTATTAGTCCCCTTTCCCAGCTAAACTTCAATCCCTTGATAATAGATAGATAGAGTCTTAATAAGTTTGGAGACACAATAATGATTTAAAATCACACATAAAACTATGCTAACATAATCTAAAATCCCCAAACCTTATTTTACCACTTAGGCTTGCAGGAAGTCTGGAGCAACTTTATATTGTGAGGATTCTCCTGACCCACACCAGGTATCAAGTTAGTGTAGATTCCAGGCTCAGAGATCCATTGATCTTTTGATCTTAGCATGTCATTTAACAAAGTTATTACTCTCTTTTTTCCTATCCTAAAATGAAGATGCTAATTATCTACCTAGAAAGATTAGAGGACATAATGAATGAGTAATCACACAATAAAATTATGAAGTGCTATACAAATGTAAGGAATTACTATGACTTCATTGCTTGAAACTTAGGTATTAAAATGTACAGTAAACAGAGAATTGCACAAGGCAGACTGCCATGTGAAGATCAAACAGTAGCGAGCTGTTTTGGAAACACTTTTTAAATTTCATTTTCTCAAATTTTCAAATTTATCATACCTATGAGCTTTAAACTTTGCTGAATACATTTTAACATTTAAAAAAACTTTTTGAAATCAGCAATAATGTTCTTAGAGCTGTAAAAACATGATGTTCCAACTGCACTTTTTTATAAGCTTTGTACCCTTTTCTTGGTTTTATTGCCAAAACAACCCATGGAAACAAAAGATGCAGAAAAGATATGAAAGGAAGTAACGACTGCTGAGCAGTTATCCTGTAGATGAATAATAGACAAGTAACATAAACAGATGCAAGCCTAACACGAATGCAAAATGAATGAGAGGAAACAAACAGCAAAAGCAGTTACAAAGTTAGGCAGTGGGAGTGGGCATTCATCTATCTCCCTTGGAAAATGCTCCATTGCTGACAAAACAAAGTCCTTCTTCACTGTAACATAATCATTGTTTTAGATGTTTCTATCCTTTTTTGACCTAGTAAAAACAACAAATAAAAAAATTATTTTTTAAAAATGTAAGACCCCATATAAAGCATGCTAACATCCTTAGTTTGTATTCATGATATTTCAATAAGCATCTAAAAATTAATTACTAGGTACTCATAGATATAATATGAAATTCCACCATTTGTAACCATTCAGCAATTCAACCACCCAGACATCCCACATAGAGAGGATTGCCTGTAACTACCCTGCCTAGATTCAACTTCACGTCCACCTCTCTTCTCTCTACAGAAGACAACAACTTTAACCCTCTGTCCTGTACCATTTTCAGAATGATTTGCTACGATCATTGCTGTTTTATTTTTATTAAATCAGAAAATGTACTCTAAGAAAAGTTATTCTTGTTAAGCCCAAAATGTAGCCTGGAAATTCCTGGAAACTAAGTAAAAAAATCAAAAGTATTAGTCTGTTTTTGCACGGCTATAAAGAACTACCCGAGACTGGATAATTTATAAAGAAAAGAAAGTTAATTAACTCACCATTCCACATGGCTGGGGAGGCCTCAGGAAACTTATAGTTAGGGCAGAAGAAGAAGCAAGGCACAGTCTTCACATGTCAGAGCAAGAAAGAGAGAGAATGAAGGGGGAAACTGCCAAGCACTATTAAACCGTCAGATCTTATGAAAACTCACTATCATGAGAAAGCATGGGGGAAATCCTCCCCGTGATCCAATCACCTTCCACCAGGTCCCTCCCTCAATACATGGGAATTACAATTCAACATGAAATTTGGGTGGGGACACAGAGCCAAACCATATCAAACAGTTTTCATTAATTCTTATTTCTGATAAAAGGGTTATGAGTTTCAGAGAAATTTTCCTTTCACCAACCCGAGAGATATTTGTCATATGGGTGTATATATAGGAAACACCAATCTAATAGACATATTCAAAATGTGTTAATACAAAAATAATATTGTGAAGTTTTAGTGACATATGTAGTAATATAAATGGCCTTTAATAATTATCACCTCTACTAGGGACAAGATTATTGATTACTTTTTGTGTTTACATTAATATTGAATGAATGAATGATTAACATTCCTTAAACACTGCAAAGATTATCAAGAAAAATAAAAAACAAACGTCTTGTTTTTTATGTTATCTTAAACAGGCAAATTAAAAAAGATGATCTATTTTTCGGTGCCAAGATAACAATGCATTTTAGCATCTTGTTGCATATCTTAGGTAATCATATTATTGATTCTACTACATAAACTATTTTGTTGCTCTCAGGCCTGTTTCTGATTCATATTCAAAATAAAAGCATGAATTATATATGAATGAAAATTCAAATGGCATTTTTAAAATTACCTTGAGTAACTGTAAAATATTATAATAAAATATATATTATCTATACTTACTCAAGACTGTGCTCTCACATTAATGCCTATTTGGTGGCCTAGGCAAGGACGTTAGTGGATTGAACACACTACATTAAAGAATAAATTCCTCATATATTAGCGCTTTCACAGCCTGTCTCTTGAAGGAATAAAGGACAATACACAAACCAGAAGGAAGTCAAAAGTAATAGAAGGAAGGAAAGAGGGAGAAAGGGAGGAATGGAGGAAGGGAAGAATGAAACATGAATACATTGAGCATACCATTTATAGCCCATGTTGCTTGTTTCAGTGGAGTCAATTTCACCTTCACATTTATACATAAATAATATATATGCATATAAATACTTACATTTGTGGGTGTATATATTTTAAACAAAGTAGTAGCATATCACAAATGATTCATGTAGAAATGTGCTAGGCAAGTGTAACGCTGGACTATGGAACTTTACCTGTGGTTTATAAAATGAACCTCATTTACAGGAAGAGCACAAATTTAAGCAATAACAGAAAGAAGTTTATCCACATTCCAAAATGATTGCTAGGGTTAATATGCCAGATTGATTTATTGATCCACTACCACATTGCCAAGAAATTAAGTGGAGGATAAACATCACATTACAACTTAGGAAAGGGAAAAAGAAAAGTCACCACGAGAAAAAAAAAAGTGCTTAATGTTAAATTCTGAAAATGTTTAGGGGTCTACACGACTGTTTTCACCACATATTTTTCTATTTATTTTCAATTCTTGTGAGATGTGTGCTGGTGTGAGAATTAAAATGGCTTTCATGTGTTAAGTTGTTGGTTTATAAGCTTTTTCACTATCACAGGAAAGAGAAAGTTGGAATTGAATTACTTGTTTCTAATATATAATTCATAGGGGGAAAAAATTTCACGACTTTGATTTTTAGAAAATTTTATGAACTTTTCTTTGTTTCCTTCAGCTGAGATTTCCCAGCAGTTCTAAAATTATTTCACGAAAATTACAGAACTATATTACATCGATCAGCTGTAAAAAATTTGATTCTCGTTGAACAGAAAAATTGTTCTTTTCTCAATGTATATGTTGTTTCAAGTTTTTTTTCTTCTTTAGTGTTATTATAATAACTTTATGTTCTAGAAGACAATATTGAAAGGGTCTCTGGTTCATCCTACCTTTGCTATTAATTTTCCTTTTTTTTGGCAGAAATAATAGCTTTTTTTTTATTAATTGGAATGAATACTCTCCATTTTTCTATGAAAATTGTTCTGCCTTCCATGCTTATTTCAAAAGTGATAAGCTGTCTTTCATGTTGGGAGTTTACCTCTTCTGAAGCTTGGTTAATTTGTAATAATTATAATTTTTTAAAATAATGATTTTGAGGTATTATTGGTTCTTTCAAATACTATCTGTAATTTGAAAAGCCTGTAACTGCAAGACAGGTACATCACTCTCAATTTTTTTCTTAATTTGCAATAAAATACATATTTTACAGTAATTTTTGACAGAAAGGAAAATAAGTGAACCAGCTTATTTCTTATTTATTTCAAAACTCTGAATTATTAGTAGCATAAATTGTTTTTGTGTATCTGCGTGTATGTCTTGTGCATCCATGTGTGTGTTTTTTGCAGTGTGTGCGTCCATATATGTGCACACGTGCACTAGGTAAGCATACCAGAAAGGTGGTCCATTATTTATGCCTATCACATATGTTGCCACTAAGTTTTATAGCTTCACATAACAGCTAAATTAGTTTCAAGGAGCTAAACATCAATACATTGTCTTTTAAGTATGCAAGGATAGATTAGCTTTTTAGGAGAGAAGTTGAAGCAGAATTCAAGAAAGAAAAACAATTAAGGGTATTGGGAAAAGTTGCCATTTTCCAATGCCCTTAACTGTTTAGTGGTGCTTTACTTCAGGTTTCCACATTACACTCTAAGCAAATATTATAAACAATATGCTGCAATAACTTTGAGTTGCACATTTTTATTTACAAAACTACATGAGCCACTGATTTTCAAAACAGTAATGGTCAAATACTGGCATTCTACTTCACAGATGAAACCTCTGATAAAATTGATATCCACTCTTGTATTCTGAAATAAAGTCTCATTTCTGAAGCCCTTCTCTGTTGTACAGAATGAATTTTGTTTCTTAATATCAAATTCTTTTGCCTGTTCCAAGCAAAACAGATGGTTAAGATAATTATAATAGAAATGGCATGCTGAGAAAACTGTAGAGAGACCATTCCATTCTTGTATTTTTCCTTTTCCTCTTTCTAAATGCAGTGTAGAACAGTGCGGGACAATGAACAAAACATGCAAGTTAAATAAAAGTGATTTCTAGTCTTGGCTCCGCAGATGTGACCTGTGGTACTCAGATCAAGTCAGCTAACCTCTGTGGTCTCAGCTTCTTCTGTAAGATCAAGAGGAGGGGTTTGTTTACCAGGTGACCCTGTTAGTACTCAGGTCTAATACCTGAGAAAGGCTTCCTGAAAGAAGAGAAGTCAGTCTGAGAGGGAGAAGAAGAGAAGGTTCCTGCAAAATTAAATCCAAGTTACTTTTTTGTTGACCAAAAGAATTTTTATGCAAAAGGCATTTAAAATGAGTTTCAAACAGAGAGCAGAAATGAATCTGAAATGCCTACCGTATGCTTTTTCAGCACTTTCTAGCAATTATGACAATTTAGGTGGTTATGTAAATTACACAATTCTTGTAAAATGATATAATTATGAAATGTTGGGGTAGAAACAGAAAAGGACTACATTGCTTTAAAGTGAATACTGCAATGATATAAGATGGAGAATACTCCCCCTACATCACCTTTTCTAAGTTCCATGAGATTTTACTGCTGCCAATAGAAAAGCATCGAAATAAAGTAACTTTCTGAGGGCATAAAGGTTAGTAAAAACTGGATAGGGTGATAAAATATTTTGGAATGATTTTTTGTTATTTGGATTCAGATTATTAAATCTATGTTTGCATAAACAATTCATTCACATAAAACTATTTTCAAAAATATTATTCATTCCTTGCAATTTATTTGGCATTTGGAGTGTTTAAACCACTGGAAAAATATTTGTAACAAATATTTCACTTAGCATTGCGTGGTTCATGTTTTCAAGAAGGAGAGGAATATTTTATTGGGGGATATTTTACTGCTAAGATACATTCAAGTAGTTTAAGAACCATAAATATACACGTAGTATATGTGTTTGTAATTTTCAGAAATCTTACACTTACTTTTGGAGAAGAGTGTATGAATTTTTTTTTCTTTTAAATCTGTAGTTACTATCTTATACTTCATTCCTTGGTCAATTAGCACGGACAAGGGTTCATGCAACTGTGTTTGTGAGACGGAGGAGAGGATTCTTTTATCTTTACTACTTAGGTATTATGTTGAATTTCAAAGTCCATCACAAGGTTCCTTACTTTTTCTCCATAGCTGACAGTTTCATCCCAAGGAGGCAAAGAAGAAAGAACTCATAGCCAGAGGTTTGTAGCTCAGAAGGGCCTGTACTTGCCAGGCAAGGGGGACCACAAAGATACCATGCCTTCCAGGCATTTGGGACTATTTTGTTGAATCTAAAACAGGTGCACTTCTCACTCTGAGCTTTAGGGTTAAAACTGCCTTTGCCAGGCCTTTGTTTAGTTAAGTGGAATTGTGATGTGAGGAGTGACAAACAGAAGCTTTATTTCCGGCTTTCTCTCACTCTCTGGGGAGTAGGTGTGGAGTGGGAGGGGGGTTGAGAAGTGTGTGGCTCTTCTCTTCTTCGACCTGTGGTTGCACCCCCCACACACTCCCTGGACTCTGGTTTCTCTGCTTTGACAGTTGGTTCTCAATGATGCAGATAATTTCCCTCTTGGACTACCTGTCCGCCCTTTCTCCCCTCCTCCACGCAGCTATACTTCATATTCTCAGATGATAATGATCATCTTTAGGCAATTTATAGAAGTGTGTAGAAAAATCATTTGAAAACATTCCTGCTTTATCAACCTTCCTTCAATGATTCACTTCACAGCACGTCTGACTAAGGGAAGAGTCATTAGTGTGGAGCGTGGACTGCCAGTGGGGGACATTATCCCCAATCACACCCACTTTACGCTTGCAAGATAGCAAAAAGGAAATTCTGGGACTCAATTTATAGGCAAGAACAAAGGACACTGGCATGAAATATTGCTTTACAAAGTAGCAAATACGAACATCCTCCCCTGGCAAAGAAAAAGAGAGACAGAGAGACTTTGACATTGCTCTTCAGTCAGAGTTGCTTCAGACAGTCCCATTTGTCATTGGATCACCAGACTAGGGTGGGGAATTGTCTGAAAATTGTTTCCCCACCACTTCCTTTCTATGTCCCTTTTTTCTTTCTTTGCCTGTGCATAGCTTAAGGCAAGTCCCTTCTTATACATAGGCTTGCATTGTCTTGAGGGATCTTCAGTGTGTTCCCCTCTGTCTTCCAACTCAAGCCAAGACACCTCAAGAAATTACTCTCTTTTTGCAACCATTCAGGCAAAATAACAAGCATGAATAATAAGCTTGAATAGTCTTTGTGTAGCAAAAACAAAATGCTATTTCAGAGTGACCAGCAGATTCTTCCTGATGCTCTGGATGTAGTCAAGAACTTAAAATTGTTGGAGATTGGAAATTGACACATTAGAGCTTGTAAAGAAGTTTTGCTTGTAGAATAGAGCCTAGAATTTGTCACTAAAACAGACAGATTCATCATTCTGGGAGTTGCTACTTTAGTGAGCACTTTTTTGTCTTACAAGTACCTCTTCATTATTTTGAGAGCAATGAAACCCTAAGCTAGTAAAATGATAAAACACTTTACACTAAATATTGTTTTCTAATTAGTAACACATTTGGGGTGTTTCTAATCAGACTGTGCCCTTTAAAAAGTTAGTTTTTTTGCTTTCTGAATTAGGGATTTGAGTTAGTCCTGAGTGCATGCTATACGCTAGGTAGTTTAAGATGGAATCACACAAATTTTGAGATGCATTTGGTTCACTCTTATGATTCTCTTGCTTTTGTCTCCAGGGTCTGGATATAGTGCCATGAGATTCTTCCCTAAAGCAAATGCATGGTCATATGGCCAATCATCCTAAGTTCAAAACAAATAATAATAATAATAGTAATAATAATAATAATAAGCCAACCTTTAACCCCTGAAGAGATTAAATTCTTTTTTTTTTTTTTCACTAACTTACTCTAGATTTTGTGGGCAAGGAATTTCGAGCAGGGCAGCCTTTTGCCTAAAAAGACATATGGATTCTAAAACACCAAAATATTGAAGGATTGAGTACAAAATGGGCCAGTATGTAGGGGTCTCTGAGAAGATAAGACAGATGGATTCTAGGGAGCGTGAATGTCTAATCTCCTTTAGCCTTTTACAATTCTTCATTTAATCCTCTTATATTACTCTTAGATCTTCACTTCATTTTATCCCATATAGGAGAGGAAAAGAGGGAGGCAAAAGGATATGAGAGGATAAAAGCAACCGGAAGTGGTCCTTAGCAAACCGGGATGGGCCAACCATCTTTGGGTCTTGAAAGCATTCCTAAGAATTCTCAGAAAGACTAAGAGGAAAATCCAATAAACACATCAACTTCTCTCAAACCCACCGAATGAGGCTTTAGCTAAGTTAAACATTACATAGAAGACTTGATTACTTTGGGATATTTGAATACTGTTACTGACATACTTCAATCACAAGGTATTTTTTCCTTAGAAATGTCAAAACTTCACATCAATTCAACTTACTTTTCCTCGAAAATCAATAAAGATGACCATCTTTAATCAGAATCACATTAAAGTGAACCTTCAGACACTATTAGGGAATAGAACACAGTATGAGTTTTATTTTTTTTTCTGTATAGCAGAAAATTACCATCCATTTCATACCAAAAGACTATATATAAATATATGTACACACACACATTCACACACACATATGTGCAATTACACTCATACATATGCATAATAATAAACATATACACACATAAAATATGCATAATTTTATAATATGGAAATTATTTTCCTGCAGAAATCTTTTCATGATTTTCTGATATATCTCTTTCAAATGCTAATAAATTATTTTTATTAAATAGTTTTTTGTAGAATGTTATCAGAAAATATAACGTGAACTGGACAGTCATTAAAAAGCATATTTTGGGGGAGGCCAAGGCAGGTGGATGGCTTGAGGCCACAAGTTCCAGACCAGCCTGGGCAACATAGTAAGACCTTGTCTCTACAAAAGATTTTAAAAATTGGCTGAGCATGGTGGTGATGCAGGCCTATAGTCCCAGCTACTCTAGGGGCACAGGTGAGAAGATTGCTTAAGCCCAGAAGTTCAAGGCTGTAGTGAGCTATGATTTTACTCCAGTCTGAGCAACACAGTGAGACCTTACCAAGAGAAAGAAAGAAAAAGAAAGAAAGAAAGAAAGAAAGAAAGAAAGAAAGAAAGAAAGAAAGAAAGAAAGAAAGAAAGGGAAAGAAGAAAGAATTTTTAACCTTGCTTAATACAATTCGTCAGCCAACAATGAACAACAGAGACTTAGGGACTTAGCCCTTGTCCTCCTGGAAGATCACAGCATAATAGTAGTCAAGACACAAATTATAACATAGTAATTATTTAATTGTTGTGAAAATATTTATAATAGTCTTACATGTTAAGAACACATCTCATCCGGTAGGAGAGGAAGAAAGACTTCCCTGAGGTACTTTGACTTAGTAGTAAATATGGAGAGGGTAGCTTTCCAGACAGAGGTAGTAATGTGTATAAAGATTACTCTGAATAGAGAATGGTTCTTTATAGAAAGTGAAATGAGCAAAGTAAACAAGGAGAATGAAAAGAGATAAGACTAGTAAGAAAGATCGGTTGATCTCAGAAGCTTATTCTAAAGTTTAAACTAAGGTTTTAAAGTATGTTTGAATCTATAGAGTCATAATAAAATGTGGCAATGTTACAATAATTCTCTTATTATATGCGTTTTTCACTTGAAAGAGTTTAGTTATTGCTCTATCTTATTTGATGGCATTGATTTCTACTCCTGTTTTTTAATTTGTGGAGTATTTTTGACTTTACAGTTTACCTCACATAATAACTCTTTAATTAATGAAATTTTACCATAACAGCTTTTGAAAACATACACCATTTTTCAGGTAAGAGAAATTTTTCCTTCAGTATAATGGCATTTACCCCAAAAATACACTAAGTGACTAGGCCATGCTAAGTATTATTTTGACATCATGGTTTCAGGCAAAAAAAGCATTCATCAATTTATGTGAAGTCACATTTTCTAGAAAGAGAAATCATATGGAATAAATTTGAATTGTGTGTATTTGCCAAGTAAAAGAATGAAGACAAAGTACTTCAGTTTATTGCACATGAACTCTACTTTTGTTGTTTTGAGGCACTCTTTTGTTAAATATTTGTTTTGCCCTAAAAATGTTAAGTTCAGGTTTAGTACAAGGTAAGTATGAGCCCATAGGAAGTAACAACAGTAGAAAAAAAGGATGCAACAAGACTTTTCCAAAGACCAACTCTTTTTCGCACCTCCTCCACCACAAATCTTTCACTATAAAGCAGTTTTACCTTTTGGCAAAGATAGGAAAATTTCATTACATTGCATTTATGTACAAACTACATTGACTTTTGCATTATTGTTATTAATACATATAAAATTTGTCTAATATTTATTTTTACATGTTTTTCTATCAGTTAAAACTATTTGGTTATCTTGGCATGGACGGAATATATCATAATTTATCCTGTTACACTTAACAAAATATTTTATTTAACAACTTTATGCTTAGAGACAGATTTCTTGGGAATGAAGGATGGTCATTGATCATAAGTGTATTTTGTAATTGTTGAAAAAACAATATCCCTAAAGATTAACCCCAGTAATTTTCTCCCCAGATAGCTTAATTTTCTGGCATTTCTATAGTGGTATAAATTTCATAGAAACAAATAAATAATGCTACAGACATAAATATAGATACACGTGTTCATATATATCCATATCTATTCACGTATGCAGTGCATAATGACATTTCAGTCAATGACAACTGCATATACAACTCTAGACCCATATGATTATAATACCGTATTCTTACTGTACTTTTTCTATGTTTAGTTATGTTTAGATACACAAATAATTACCATTAAGTTACCATTGCCTACAGTATTCAGTAAAGTAACATGCTATACAGGTTTGTAGTAAACTATACCATCTATATTTGTGTAAGTACACTCTTTGATGCTCTCACAATGACAAAATCATCTCACAACACACTTATCAGAATGTATCCCTGTTGTTGAGCAATGCATTACTGTATATGAGTGTATGTATGTATGAGTAATACTGACCACATATTATAAACACAATATAGAATGTTTAAAATTGGAAAACTTCTCTAACAAAGAAATAATCAGATCTGCTGGATTTTATATATAAGTAAATTAATTTGGGCTAATGCAAAATTTGTTCTGCCCTTCTTTTGTAGAATAGATTTTCTCATACATATACATTGGTTTTGTGTATAATTTCAGCACAGCCTGCTCATTTTCTTAATGAAATTTATATGTTCAAATTTACTGTGAGTACTTCTAAATGCTATTCTTAATTCATTATCACCATTCACAGCAAATTATTTTTGAACACACACACACACACACACACAGAAAAAAAACTGATGCTAGGTAGTTGAAGCTTTACTCTTCTTTGGTGATGACAGAACTAATGAGTTTTGAGACAGAAAAGAATACATTTTTTGAAAGTGTTTTAATATGTCCAGAGCAATGGTAGAGGTTGAGTATTTATTTGGCCCTGAAAATCTTAGTGTTAATTTCTCTCATGATTGATTTTACTGATCGCTACAAAATTCAAAATCATCTACCAGCTTCACTTTTGCTCACATCCATTAGTTTTGGGCAAAGCCAGTGTGCTTTGTGGGTAGTCCTGTCTGAGTGGCATTATGAAGCAGCCAGTGTAGCGCTGTACTGTGTGTGTGAGTGTGTGTGCGGGTGCGAGTGTGTGTGTACTATAAACAGCTCTAAAATTGTTTTCAGATTACTCATATTAAATTTAGTGTCTCTTCAAGTTAGAGTCTTAGGTTTTACAAAACAATAATGAGTTGAAACTCCCATTCACAATAGATAGGACACTTCAGAAAGTTACAGCAACTAAAATAACAATAAATAATTAATTTAGAACTGGTTGCAGTGGGAGGTGGCCTATGTGCCAGAGCATGTCCAGCAACAACTTTGTCTTTGTCCTTCACTGTTGTCAGCCTCTTATTTCCTTCAAAGTGAAAAATAATAACACTAACTCCAGCTGTTTCTACCCTGTGTTCTACAAACCTAACACGCACCAGTTGTAAAAATAAAATAAAAATAAATGATGAAAAATCTTGTCATCACTGGAATTAGTGAGACACAGAAGCTGATGATATAATAACCCTCATCGTCAAAGCCAGAAATTCTCCATGATTCTGGAATTGAGTTCTCTGAGCCTATAGGATAAGATGGGTTAAACTACTCTATACTGTAGCTAGTTCAGCATAGACAAGGGCTTAACAAATGCCATCTTAATTGATATTCTTGTCAGACACAGCTGACAACAATAACAAAAATCTTGCTAAACTATTTTATTTTATATTTTCTTGTGGCATACATAGTCATTCAGAATTCTGAACATAGATATGATCTTATATGCAAGAGATAAAAGAGAATAGATAAAATTTTAATAAAATTCCACATCTTAAGTGCCCTCTCATTTTGCCTGCTGCTTTTTGTTTTAATGAAATTATGGGTAAATGTTATCACATAGGTATGTGTGAAATATATATGCCATTATGTGCCCTTGTTCCATGCTTTTAGTATTTGCATTTTTAATATACTCCAGCACAAAGGACTAGGCCAATAAACAAGATTGCTGCCTCCTTCTCCTTTCTGCCTCCCTCCTTCCTTCTTCTATTTTCTGTGTAATTTTGTCAAGATAAAGCCATATAAGTTTTAGTTATACCATATATAAAATAGAAATTTAGATCACTTGTATGCCTGGTAGATTGACTTTAGCAGATCCTTTTTGGATACTTTCATTATGATCTATTCTTTTCATTTGCATTGGCTAGTTTGTTTGGCTGTTTCTCATAGATTTATCTGGTAGTTTGCATATTTAGGAAATGTTTTGCAATTCAAACATTAGCCACTATAGTCATTTGAGTAAGAATGTAGGAAAAGATTACTTTCCAAAGTGTGAATCTAGTTCAATTTACAGTGTGGTGTGCATGAAGTTTGGGCAACTATATATATTCTCAGACCCTCCAAAGTGAAATTTTTTGAACAAAAGTTCATCAGGATTGTGAAGGAAACACAGTAGTGTCCAAGGTAGAATGAACCAAGGCTTGGACCACCTGTATTCTAACCCTGGACTTCTCATCAAATAGCTGTGGGCCTTGAGATAAGTCACATATCCTTTCTGGATGGCAGCTTTCTCTTAAAACAAACAGACAAAAAAATGAGATTCTTGCCTGGTGCGGTGCGGGCACCTGTAGTCCCAGTTACTTAGAAGGTGGAGGTGAGAAGATCGCTTGAGCCCAGAAGTTTGAGTGCAGCCTGGGCAACACAGTGAGACCCCCATTAAATAGATAAATGAGATTCTTTTTTAACCACATGACTTGTAAACTACTAGCTTTAAAATTATGTAATTTAAAGTAAATGTTAAAAACAGCAGAAATTCTTCATTTTGAAAAGTAACCACAAACATGAATTGCAATCTTATATGTGTTATATAATTGATTCATTTCATGTATTATAAGTTAAATGAAACTGGATATTGATAAATATTTGATAATTATCTGAAAAATTTGGCCAACATAGATTTAGTGAGCTATGAGATACAGTTTGATATGTGTATGAATCATAAGATAATTATGAAAATCTTTATCATTTCCTCTAGGGAATCTTAATTTATAATCCTCAAGGAAAATAGTCATGATGTTAAAATTTAAAAGAGATATTGCAGAATGCCAATTAAAATACTTCATTGTTAAAGCAATGTATAATTGCTTTAATTTTAAAGAATATATTACTAGAAACTGTCTTTTCTCTTTACCAGTTTAATTTTCACATTTCAAACCTAAATAATCTACACGCCTTTAAAAAGTCTTAGAGTCAGAAGGAGAAAAAACATATCTATTTTGCTTACATATAATCCTCTTAGCACGCACATGCCAGATGGTGTTTCATATCAGGTCAGAAATAATGAAGGAATCTGGCTTTAAATCTAAGAATCAAGAAAAAAAATGAGTAACTAGGGATTATATGTTTGTAATAGCATTTTTCCCTGAAATTCAACCATTTATAATAATTTCTGATAGGCTTCTGTCTCTGTGTGTGGATTTATTTTTACTTATTTCATTTCTATTATACCTTCTTGGGATTCTGACAGGTTATTTATTATGTGATTGGACATTTTCTCAATCCTTGGATATCTATAGCTAAATAATAATTTGACCTTCAGATATTTCAAATGGAAACTTACTAACTAGTTTGGAAACTAGGAGATTGGTGACTTATGGGGAGGCAAAAATAAATAGAAATTCTACCAAGCATAGAGGACAGTAATATTTTTAAATTCATTTTAGAGAAATTAATTATAAAATTAAATGGTCTAAATTTTTAAGTAGTAAATAAATAATTCCCTTTATATAATAATAGCACATTTTATTATCATAAATTTGACTGACTATATTTAAAGACTAAATTTAGGCCTTTGTGTGGTAGACAAAGTAGAAAATGATACTCTTAATTAATCCACTAATTGTTATTTTTTTTAAATCTCTATCACTTTTTAAAAATATATCCTGTGATTGTCTATATCATTAACCTGATCAAAATAACCCATCACAATATTCCGATCACTCTTGTTAATATCTATATATAAGAATTATTTGCTTATGTGGCCTTAGCCACATTCAAGCTATAAAAAAAGGACAAACATTTCATTAATACAAGTAGCTAGATTTTTTAAAAAGTAAAAGTTTCTCTTTCAACATAAGGAGCTCTGTGGACCCACTCCTTGGTGAAACTGATAAAAACCGCTTTAAGAAAGTGTTTAAGTCTCTCTACATGGTCTTATGGTCTTAGGGGCAACAAATCTCTGGAAATGTTCCTTAAAAAGGCACACATGGATCATGTAATGAATAAATAAATAAATATGTAGTCAAGAAAATCTATTAAAACTCTTGAGTCTCCCATACTCAGCAACTAAAGTTAGAGTGTCAGGCAGAAAGACTGTACTATTGTCCCCATGCCAGTTTGAAGGCTGTCAGAGGTTTTGCGAAGGGAAGAAACAGACTGCAAAACAGAAAGCTCCATATCTCTTCCCACAGGAACTGACTTAATTTGTCATAGAGTGTGAATAAGTTCAAACCTAAGGGTGCTTTCAAAAACAGTGAAGGTAATGATGAAAGGCAATTGGGGGGAGATTGGTGGATTCTTTGGAAATGCAGGCTGCACTGTAGGCTGGCTACTTTGCTGGAGTGAACCACGAATAGAGGCAACTAGGAAGTGTCCTCCTAACTTCAAAACATATCTCAAACACCGACCTCAGGAACTATCTCTTCAAATAATCCTGAATTTGATTGGATCTGTTGGTCAAGCAATCTATGCACCAGGGCATTGTTAAAAACAAGAGCATAAGAGGCTGGTAATTAGTGAAATTGAATATGGTCAAAGAAAGAGATAGTCAAAGAGTGTCCTGAAAAAGTCACTATCATTGCAGGGCATATAGCCAAGGTTGTATTCCCTTAGGAGCATTATTAGAAACTTCACACCACAAGAGGGAAAAATGGGGCATTTGGTGGTGGTGGTGGACTAGAATTCACAAAGATAAGCCAGACAGTCACAAAACAAACAAGCAAACAAGTCCCAATGTGAGTACCCAGAATAGCTAAAATGCTTTACCTAAAGTGTCAAGTTTCTAATACAAAAGTATGGTACCTGAAGAGAAAGGAAAATCTGACCCATACACAAGGGAGAAAAAACAGGCAACAGAAACTACCTGTGATTGCAAGCAGATATTGAGTTAAACAGACAAAGCCTTCAAATTAGCCATTATAAGTACACAGAAGTAAGAAATCATGATTAAAGTAAAGAAGAGAATGATAACAATAACACAGCAAATAAATGCTATCAATACATTATACATAAAAATAGAAACTATTTCAAAGGAAACATTTAAATTCAAGGGTTGAAAAATAACTGAAGTGAAAATTTCCCTGGATTGAAGTGGCAAAGAAATAATTAATGACTTGAAAATTGATCAGTAAAGATTATATAATCCAAACAATTTTTAACAATGAAGAAAAATGCTACTCAGAGAAATATTAACATATTGCAAGATGGAGTACTAGAAGGGAAATAAAGATAGGAGGAAGCAGGAGAAATATTTTTTAAAAAGGCTAAAAACTACCCAGCTTTATTGAAAAATATTAATATACATATCTAGTAAGGCTAACAAACTCCAAATAGGATAAACGTGAAGAAATCCACACATACACACATAGTAAAAATGTTGGAGACATTGGAAAAAAATGTCCTGGAAAAAAGGACCTGGAAAAAGACCTGGAAAAAAATTTAGAAACAGCAAGAAGTAACCCCCACTCCATAAATTCCAAGTGAATTTAAAGAAAACTAACAGATGGCTTCCCACCTAAAACAATGGAGGTCAGTATGCAATGAGATGCTGTATTTAAAGGGCTGAAAGAAAAAAAAATCAACCATGAATTCTGTATTGATCAAAAGTCTCTCATAAATGAAAGCAAAATAAACATAATCCCAAATAAACCAAAACTGAGAAAATTTGTTGCTAACTCACTCACGTTGAGTAATAAAGGCAAGTGTGCAGGTTGAAAGCAACTGACCCCAGATATTATAATAACTTGAATCCACATTATAATACAAAAGGCACTGATATAGTTATTGAATTATAAAAGATAGTATAAATACATATTCATTGCCCTTTTTTATATATATTATTCTTTGAGCTTCAGTAAAAGATACAAAATTATATAATGTAATAATGTAGGAAAGTAACGTGTTTGTAACATTTATAGATGTAATAGGTATAAAAATATAAAAATTCAGAAAGGAAGTTGCATTATGTAGGAGTAGCAGTTCTATATCTCACTGGAATTATGTTAGTATAAATATGAAGCTGATTCTGATAAGATGTAGATGGTAAGCCCTAGAGCCACCACTAAGGTTGCTTAAGAAGAGATAGTAAAAAGATCATTAAAGTAAGATAAATTCTGCATTTGAAAATACTAAATGCAAAAGAAAGCAATAGATTTACAACAAAGACATCAGACTTATAGAAAACAAAAATTAAGATGGCAGACATGAATCCAGCCATATCAACAATGGTAGTAAGTGTGAATGGATTAAATAACCTAATCAAAGGCAGAGATTGTCAGAATGGGGAGGAAAAACAAGATCTATTTATATGCTCTCTTCAGGGGACACACTTTAGATTACAAGATAAAAAATAGATTGAAAGTAAATGACTGGGAAAGACAGATCATGCAAACAGCAATCACAAGAAAGTTGGAGTGGTTATACTGATAGAGTTTAAAACAAAGAATGATACCAGAGATAAAGAAGGACATTTAATAATGATCGTCAATCCTTCAGTAGGATATAAGAATTGTAAACATATATACCCTAACAACAGAAAATCAAAATAAAGCAAAAAATGACAGAAGTGGAAGGAGAAATAGACAATTCAGTAATAACTGGAGACTTCTATATCCCACTTTCAAAGTGGTAGAATAATTAGGTAGAAATAACAAGGAAATAGAACATTGGAACTCTGTGAACCACTGTATGTGTATCAGCATCTGTACAAACACCAATATAATAAATATCTATATAACATTTATATAAAACTCCAGCCAACAACTGTAGACTATGCTTTTCTTTTCAAGTGTACATCAAACATTCTCCAGGATAGACCGAATGCTAGCCCATAAAGTAAAGCTCAAAGATGAAAAATAATACAAAACATGTTTGGCAACAATGGAATAAAATTAGAAATCAATAACAAAAGAAATATGGGAAATTTACTAACATTGAAAATTCAAAAACATACTCTAAAATAACCAATGAATCAATGAAGAAATCAAAAAGGAAATTAGAAAGCACCTTAAGATGAATGAAGACGTAACATACCAAATTTTGGGGATGCAGTGTTTAGAGAGAAATTTGAAGCACTAAATGTAAGCATTAAGAAAAAAACAGCTTAAATAAATAGCCTATACTTCAATCTTCAGACACTGCAAAACAAAAAAAGAAGAGCACACTAAGCCTGAAGCAAGCAGAAGGAAGGAAAAAACAAAGATTAAGGCAGAAATTAGTGAAATAGGAAAGTGAAAAAAATATAAAAAGTCAGTGAAGCCAAAAACAAGTTTTTTTAAAAGATCAACGAAATTAACAAACCTTTAGCTAGATTGACCAAGAAAAAGAGAAGATTCAAACTAGTAGAATCAGAAATGAAAGAGAAAGTATTACTATCAGCCTTTAAAAAAGAAAAGACTATAACAATACTATAAAAAATTTAATGCCACTACATCAGATAACTTACATAAAATGAACATACTCTTAGAAAGACACAAACTACTGAAACTGACTCAAGAAGAAATGGACTCAATCTGAATTGATAAGTGTAGAATTCAGAGTAGTAATCAAAATCTACCCACAAAGAAAAGCAAAGACCCAGATGGCTTCACTGGCAAATTCTACCAAATGTGTAAGACAAAAAATTAATATCCACTATTCACAAACCCTTCCAAAAAATGAGGAGAAATACTCCCTAATTCTATGAGGCCAGTATTATCATGACACTGAAATCACATAAAGATATAACAAGAAAAGAATATAACAGACCAATATTTTTATGAATATAGATGCAAAAATTCTTAGCAAAATACTAACAAACTGAATTCACAACATATAAAATGAATTATACAACATGAACAAATGATATTTATCCCAGGAATGAGAGTTGGTTTAACACCTGGAAATCAATCAATGTAATGCACTATAGCAATAGAATAAAAACCAAAAATCACATGATCAACTCAGTACACACAGATAAAGTACTCAACAAAACTTAACAATTTTTATAATAAAAAACATTCAACAAACTAGAAATAGAGAGTACTCAACCTGATAAAGGGCTTCTATGTAAAACCCACAACTAATATCATACTTAATGGTGAAATACTAGATGCTTTATTCAGAAATAAGTCATGGATATCCATTTACATCACTTTTATTCAACATTGTGCTGGAAGTTCCAGCTAGGGCAATTAGGCAAGAAAAATAAATAAAAGGCAAAAAAATAAATAAAAGGCATCAGATTGAAAAGGAAGAATTAAAACTATTTCTATTTGCACATAACATGTTCTTATATATAGGAGATCTTAAGGAATTCACCAAAATAATATTAGAACTAATCAATGAGTTTGGCATGCTTATAAGTCACAAGATCAATAGGTAGGAATCAATTGTATTTCTAGACCCTTGCAACACAACAAAAAATGAAATTAAAAAAAAATTTTATTATAGCCTCAGAAAAGAATAAAATGCTAAAAATAAATTTAGCAAATGAAATTCAAAACTGCAAAACATCATTGAAAGAAATTTTTAAAAATTTTAAAAAATTAAAAGAAAGAAAACATTTGAAAATTGCAAAACATTGTCAAAAGAGATTAAAGAAGATGTAAATAAACAGATAAACATCTTGTGTTCATGGATTGGGAGACTTAATATTGTTAACATGGCAATGCTCACCAACTTGATCTACAGATTCAATGCAATCACTATCAGAATCCTAGCTGGCTTCTTTACAGAAATCAACAAGGTGATTCTAAAATTCATTTGGAATTGCAAGAGATTCAGGCCAAAATAATATTTCAAAAAGATTAACAAAGTTGGAGTATCCACATTTTCTGATTTCGAAAAAGGAGTACAAACCATGAGTAATCAAGACAGTGTGGTAGTAACATAAGGATAGACATATATATATATATAGCATAGAATTGGGAGTCCATAAATAAATGCATGTATCTGTGGTCAACTAATTTTAGATAAGAGTGCCAAGACCATTTAATGGAGACAATAGTCTTCAACAAAAAATGCTGAGACAACTGGATATCTACATACAAAGAATGCAGTTGGACTCTTATTTCGTGCTATACAGTCGTTCCCCACATTAACAATGCTTTAGTCAATGATGGACTGCATATATAATGGTGGTCCCATAAGATAATAATAACTTAATTTTACTGTACCTCTTCTATGTTTTGACATGCTTACATACAGAGATACCTACAATTGTGTTACAGTTAGTTGTCTACAGTATTCAGTACAGTAAACATGCTGTACAGTTTTGTAGCCGGGGAGCAATAGACTATCCCATTTAGCCTAGACGTGTAGTAGACTATATCATCTATATTTGTGTAAGTGCACTCTATAATGTTCTCATAATGACAAAATCACCTAATGATGCATTTCTCAGAAAGTAGTCCACTCATTAAGTGACACATGACTGTATAGAAAAATTAACTAAAAAATAATCAAGGATGTAAGTGTAAGATCTAAAACTATAAAACTTTTAGACGAAAACAAGGGTAAATCTTCATAAACTTGATTCAGCAATGGATTCTCATATATGATGCCAACAGCATGAACAACAAAAGAAAAAATATGTAAATTGGACTTCATCAAAATTTAAAACTTGCATTTCAAAGGACTCTATCAAGAAAGTGAAAAGACAACACAAGTGAGAGAAAATAATTGGAATCATATATCTCATAGAGACTTATTTCTATAATATGTAATGATACAACTCAATAACAAAAAATAAATAGCCCAATTACAGCATGGCAGATGTCCTTAATAGACATTTATCCAAAGAACACATAGAAATGGTATATATACGTATAGAAGAGATACTAATCAGCACATGCAAAGGTGCTCAACATCCTTAGTCATTAGGAAAATGCAAATCAAAACCCTAAAGAAATACCACTGCCCACCCATTAGAATAAAAATGTCAGATAACACTAAGTGTTGCCAAGAATGTGGAGAAATCATAACCCTTATACCCTGTTGGTCACATTGTAAAATAGTGCTGCCAATTTAGAGAACATTCTTTCAAGTTTATCAAATGGCTAAACATAGATTTAGAACATTGACTCAGCAATTCCAATCTTAGGTCAGAGTCCATGAAAACTGAAAGCTTATGTCTACAGAAAGCCTGTACATTAATGTTTAAAGCAACATTATTCATAATAGCCAAAGGTCAAAACAATCAAAATGCCAATCAGGGGATGAATGGATAAAGAAAATATGGTATATTCATACAAATAAATGTTATTCACTTATAAAAATGAATTGAGTACTGATGCAAACTAGAACATGGAGTAACCTTAAAAACATGCTAAGTGAAAGAAGGAAATCACAAAATACTACATATTCTATGATTCCATTTGTATGAAATATTCAGAATAGGAAAATCTACAGAGGCAGAAAGTAGATCATTAGTTGCTGGGAGAATAGTGGACTGAGGGTGAGAGGTGGGGGATTGGAGAATACAGCAGCAATATCTAAAAGATACAGGGTTTCTTCCTGAAGTGATGAAAATGTTCTAAAATTTACTGTGATGATGGTTGCACATAACTTTGAATATACTAAAAAAAACTGAATTTCACACTTTAAATGGGTGAATGATATGTGGATTACATTTCAATAAAGCTATAAAAAAAAACTCTGTCCCGGGAATGGTGGTTCAGCTTCTTTCTCAAAGGATATAATGTAATATTTTAGTTTAGAAAGTCCATAAATGGACAAAAGTATGATCAGCTTCCCCTTATCTTCCTTCAAGCCATCTCTTATTCATTGTAGGCAGGATTCACTTTCAAAGCAGATCAGGTATTCATTTCCATTAGCATTTGGCCTTTGGTCAATTCAAAGCACAAAAAGAGCTTTTGTTGGCAGACATCTTAGACCACCAACAAATTCACCTATGAGGTTAAGCAAATATCATTGTGGTTTTCACTAGTTTTTCATTAGAAAGATATTTTTATTTAACTATTGAATGCTTTTGCAAGATGGTTTCAGTGTAGAGACAAATAGAGTAATCTTGATCAAGATGTATCTCCTTTTAAAACTATGACCTTGTAAATATGACTTCAAGTATCATAGCTAAGTTAAGCTAGAGGTCAAGTGTATGATCTGTTTGGAAAATATTTCAAATTCCTTCTCCATTTCTTTTCCTCTTCTCTATTTTGAACACATGAATACTGGAATACCTCGTATTGAAACTGATTATTCTTTTCTCTCAAATTTTACATAATCTGAACACTTTGAAGGCTTAAGTGTTATGAACACGAAGTTTCATCTGGGACATGTGTCTTGTTTTCATATGAATCTACCCTTCCAAATAAAGCTTATTTTATTTTAAAGCCAAATGAAAGCTAATATTTGCATATTAGTAATGAACCTACTAGGAAACAAACAAGTTAGGATGTCCTCAGAAGGGTTTATTTACAAAGGTATTTATTATTACAAAAGTATGGACAGGACCATGGATTCAGACGCAATAGAGGGACACCATCTAGACTTCAATGGACAAAGAAAGAAAAGATAAAAAGTGAGAAAGATGGAGAGTCACCTGTCTTGAGGAGAGCCTAACTTTCTATCAAGCACCGGTACATTCATTAAGCCCATGGTGACCTCACAGGGAAAGCGTAAGGGACTAGATAGTTTGAGCTCCATGTGGAAAATATTCATACAGGTCTATATGTGGACGTATGATTTTTTTTTTCACTTGCATCTCACTTTTAGCTTGTTTTGAGGCCTGTTCTTCTCCTTCTCATGTACGTTCTAGTTTTTTTTTTAATTTCCCGTGTAACTGGTCAGCATATGACTTTTATATAAACCTGGTATAATTACTCATTTCAAAAGTTTACAGTGGTCTTAGAGCTTTGGAATAGTTGAGAACACTTGTCCAGATAAACAACCAAGAATGATTTGTGATGATTTTTTTCTTTAATGTTACTAAAAATGGAAAAAGTGAAATTATACAGATTGCAACTGGAATAAGGTACTGGCTTCAGAGATTTGAAGTCTAGGAAAAAAACCCACGTCCCAAGGAAGCAAACAAAAATCCAAACATTAAATTCAAATAAAGGTAGAGGAAAGTAGTGAACAATTGTTCACAATTATAAAAAGTATTACTGAAAAAATATTACTTATAGATAAAACTGAATTATTCTCACTTTAAAATTTTAATAAATAAATAGGACTTTAGAATACTTAGGCATCTGCTTTAGATACACTCTGGATCTCTAGGAGTTCCTTAGAGACTAGACTGTCTGGCCCTTTCTCTTGTCATTTGATGTGAAGGCCAGGGAATGAAGTGGCTTTCTCAATTCATAAAGTTTCATTCAGTGTGTGAGATGAAACAAGATCCTAGCTTAGAGGTTCAGAAAAACTTTTAAAACTATATATTTGTACATTTTTCTTGTTCAGTGTACTACATAAAAACTGATAAACTGTATAGAAAATAAATTGTTGGAAAGAAACAAAAAATCATTCATAATTCTATCTACTGAAGACAGTGATTACCAACACATTGGTGTAAGTCCTTTAAAAGACCTTTAAGTTATTTTAAGAACACACACACCTCCCTCCCCACCCACACATACACATACACGTTGACAAAAGAGGGAACTTGCTATATGGTTCTTTTTTTTTTTTTTTTTTTTTTTGAGACGGAGTCTTGCTCTGTCACCCAGGTTGGAGTGTAATGTTTCAATCTCGGTTCACTGCAACCTCCACCTCCCGGGTTCAAGTGATTCTCCTGCTTCAGCCTCCCGGGTAGCTGGGATTACAGGCACCCACCACTATGCCTGGCTAATTTTTGTATTTTTGTTGGAGATGGGGTTTCACCATGTTGGCCAGGCTGGTTTCGAACTCCTGACCTCAGGTGATCCACCCACCTCGGCCTCCCAAAGTGCTGGGATTACAGGCGTGAGCCACTGTGCCCGGCCTGCTATATGCATTTTCATAGTCACCTTTTTATTCTATAATTTGGGTTCATAATAATATTTAAACCAAATTTATTACTCATGACATATAACAGTACACTAGTGTGACCTTGAAAGTCCAAAAAAACTTAGACATGGCTGAGAGTTGAGTAATAGTTACTGATATTTACCAGTGTCATTTTATTTCTTCTCTAACCACATTCCTTATCTCCACTTCTGTCCAGATTAAAAAGTTAAAGTAGAAAAAATTTAAATTATTTCTTCTTCTTGTTCTATTTCATAACGTGTTCATATTATTTCCTTAATGGCATTTGTTATATTTTACAATCGTATATCTTCATTTTTGTTTTAAATTTGTTATACTCATTAGGCCATAAACTCCAGGAAGGCAAGAATGTTATCTGCTTGTTTTCAACTCTTTAAAGTTCTAACATAAAACTTGGTATATAGTAAGAGGTTTGTAACTGTTTGTGAATGAATCTGAAAATTAATCTGCTTAAAGAAATAATATCCAGGCCATATATACAAAGTGGCAAACATACAGAGAGAAACATGCTTAACATTGTATAAATAAATTTTTTTAATGTTTGACTTTTGTGAATAAAATGCATACCTTTCAAATCTTGTCTTTTTCCATTTGCATATAATTTCATTGCACAGAGAAATAACACTGGTTACTAATTACACTTCTAGTTACTGTTATTATCTTGGAGCTCCAATCCTAAATCAGAATGGCTGATGGCAAATCCTACCTCAACCATGAATTAATTTAATTAGGCCAGTTACTTAACTCTGTGTCTCGGTTTCCTCATCGGCAAAATGAAGGTAATACCAGTAGCCACCTTATGAGAGTAATTGAAGATTGAATGAGATAAAACGTGTAAAACATTTGTATGCTAATTGTACTTATTATAGATTAGTGGTTATTTTTACTATTATTACCATCTTTATTATTATTTGGAATACATCTACATGACATAGACTTTTATGAAATTTGAAAGGGAGTGTACGTGCAAGAGATGGGAGAGGAAGAATGAATAATATTTATGCTTACTATGGGGCCCTGCATTTTGTGGGGCACTTTATAAATACATTGCCTCTTTTTTACCCTTGAGACTAATGTGGCTCGAAAACCTTAATTTTCTCCCAGGTTCATCATTAATCACCTTGACTCACATGCATGCCTATACTACAGGTTCCTTTCTTATGGGATTGTTTATATTTGCCCTAGATTGCCATATTCTTCCTGTTTATTCTGTATGAGAAATCTCACTACATCTCTCAGCCACCAGGCAAGAGTCCATGCTTTTCTCAAGACCACTCAACTGCTGCCTCCGGTCATAATCATTGCGTTCATGCTTTTGTCTGTTCATTTGCCATCAGGATGAGTGTAGGTACTTACAGATCAGCTCCTCTATTTCAGCATGAACTTCTTGGACTTTCACTTCACTGCACATAGACAGTGCTTACTAAATGTTGAGTGGGAGGAGAAGCAATGGAGTGGGAGAAGGAGGGAGGAGCGAATGGAAGTCAGGACAGTACTGTGTGACTCTGACTCTAAAACTGGTGAGGCAGGCATTGGCCTTCTCAATTCAGTACTGTATTCCCTTAGTCTTATTCATTTGAAATTAGCTTAGGTGATGACAAAGAAGCTGTTTGGGCATTTAGTTTTCATTTGGTATTTTTGAAATTGTGCTACATTTTGTGGGTGAAATTATATATTTTCTTCCTAAACTTTTCCTTTTGAAACTTCATTACTTGCTTTGTTGTAATTATGTAATAGGAGAGAGCAGGATAGAGGCCAAAAAAGCAGTTTTTTAAGATTATTTTTTCTAATTAATAGAGCAAAATATGTTTGTTGGAGAAAGAAAGAATAGAGAAAATTAAAATAACTAAAATAAGAAAATGCATTTATCCCCTTATCCAGAAATAAGTACCATATAATATTTACATATATTTTCTGCCTAAACTTTTTCTTTTCTTTTCATTGCAGTTTACAACCAAAGCAGATTTTTTCTCCTTATTTCCTAAACATTAAATTTTTCTTTGTTAAAAAACATTAATTTGAAATAGCACATGGAATTTTTTTTCTAAATGAATGAAATCCCCAAAAGAAGAAAGAGCGTGCCATATCCAAGAAAGTTAAAAGCTAAATGTAAGTTGAAAATGAAGACAAGAGTGTCAACAAATAGAGCTAGAGACAAGATTATCCCGAGCATGTAGGCCCTGTCAAGGGTTTCAAGTTTTATCCTAAAGACAATTGGAAAGACCAAGTGTTTTTAAGGAAGGAAGCCATGTGATCAGATCTGTGTTTGAGGGAGGCTGAGTAGACTTGGGGAGACCAGTTAGGAAATAATTGCAGCTACTTTGAACTAGGATGGTGGCATCAGAGATGAACAAAAGTGAAAGTATAAGGAGTACTTGGGAAGAGATAAATGGCAAGAGAGAAAAAGAGGAAGAAGGAAAGAGAGAGAACGCAACATGTAAAACCTCACTATACTAATAACTAGGGAAATGCAAACTGAAATAAGATACCTTTTTTCTTTTATTTTATTTGGAAAAAAAGAAACATTTATTACTATCACTTATTGGCTGTAATGTGAAGAAGCTGATATTGTTCAGACTTGTATGATGAGAGGGTAAACTGTATCACCGTCACCACAGTTCTGTGAAAGCTGGTGGAAGGCATGAGAATCCTGGGCCAGAGATAAATTTAGTTTATTACTCAGAGCAATAACAGCAACCAGAATAATCAGCATTTTTGCACTAGTTCCTGAAGTCCCAGTTCCCACAGGATGACACTAAGGGGGCCAGGTAACACCTGCTTCTGCAATGGTTTGCATCATAGGAGAAGAACTCCAAGCTTAGGGGAAATGCTATTATACTGAAGAGTTAGCATACCTTCCCCTTGCTCCAGAGGGAGACATGTTGTTTTCCAAGGCTGTTCACTCTACATCTTTTTAAAAGATATTATGGAATAAATGACAGACGATGCTTTGCTTCCCAGACATACAGAAAAGTGACAAATCCATGGAGAATTTTCTCCCAGTACCACTTGGGAATGTAATATGTCAATATCTTTTCAATCTCTATTTCTCTATCTTGAGAATCATTCATATAAGGAGCCATGCTTGAATATATTCATTGCAGCATTGTTAACAGAAAAAATGAGAAAGCGCAACTTTAAATAGAAGAAACTCTAACAGAGGGATATATATACTGTGGTATTTTGGGCATTAATTAAAATGAATCAAATTGATATATATACGAAAATAGCTTTCCAGGACATGTTTTTGTCTGAATAAATCAAATTTTAGAATGTGTTACCATTTTTTTATAAAAATTGATATACAAAACTGATATATTTCAAATTGAACTGGTACATATATGAGTATAAGAATAGACAAAAATTTGAATGAATATATTTCATAATTAGTATTACCTCTGTGTAAAGAAAGATGCCCAAGGATTAGGAGTGATGATGAAAGGACAATTATTGCCATTTTTTATAAAGTACATAGTCATGTATAATGTTTACGTTTTTAAAAGTTAATTGGCAATACTTACTAATTGATCGATTTGGAAAAGGAACAAGACAGAGATGTCAAAAATGGTGAATTATCTAGCTTAATCAGTTAGATGGATGGTGGTGAAATTTGGAAGGACTAGGTACTTTAGAAAAAAAAGTATTTTGGTGGCAAAGAGAACGATGAGTTAGATTCAGAAGTATTAGATTCAGATGTTGAATGAATGATTTGATGCTAGGGCTTGAAGTTTAGGAAACTGATTTACTCTAAGCTGGGGATTAAAATGTGTAGCTCATCTGCAAGATGATGGCAATTGAAGCCGTATTGGTGAATGAGAATTTCTAAGGAAAAAGTATAGTGAAGAGATGACTCAGGACAAATCCCTGCATAATTCCATCCTTGAATTGTTGAATATGGTGGAAAGGGAGGCCAAAGAAGGCTAGGAATAAGTGTCCAGAGATGTAGAGGAACACAAAACATGAGAGTAAATATCACAAAACACGAGAGTAAAATCACAAAACATGAGAGTAAATATCACAAAACACGAGAGTAAAATCACAAAACATGAGAGTAAATATCACAAAACATGAGAGTAAAATCACAAAACATGAGAGTAAAATCACAAAACATGAGAGTAAAATCACAAAACATGAGAGTAAAATCACAAAACATGAGAGTAAAATCACAAAACATGAGAGTAAAATCACAAAACACGAGAGTAAAATCACAAAACATGAGAGTAAATATCACAAAACATGAGAGTAAAATCACAAAACACGAGAGTAAAATCACAAAACATGAGAGTAAAATCACAAAACATGAGAGTAAAATCACAAAACATGAGAGTAAAATCACAAAACATGAGAGTAAATATCACAAAACATGAGAGTAAATATCACAAAACATGAGAGTAAATATCACAAAACATGAGAGTAAATATCACAAAACATGAGAGTAAAATCACAAAACACGAGAGTAAAATCACAAAACATGAGAGTAAATATCACAAAACATGAGAGTAAAATCACAAAACACGAGAGTAAAATCACAAAACATGAGAGTAAAATCACAAAACATGAGAGTAAAATCACAAAACATGAGAGTAAAATCACAAAACATGAGAGTAAATATCACAAAACATGAGAGTAAAATCACAAAACATGAGAGTAAATATCACAAAACATGAGAGTAAATATCACAAAACATGAGAGTAAAATCACAAAACATGAGAGTAAAATCACAAAACATGAGAGTAAATATCACAAAACATGAGAGTAAATATCACAAAACATGAGAGTAAAATCACAAAACATGAGAGTAAAATCACAAAACATGAGAGTAAATATCACAAAACATGAGAGTAAATATCACAAAACATGAGAGTAAAATCACAAAACATGAGAGTAAAATCACAAAACATGAGAGTAAATATCACAAAACATGAGAGTAAAATCACAAAACATGAGAGTAAATATCACAAAACACGAGAGTAAAATCACAAAACATGAGAGTAAATATCACAAAACATGAGAGTAAAATCACAAAACACGAGAGTAAATATCACAAAACATGAGAGTAAAATCACAAAACATGAGAGTAAATATCACAAAACATGAGAGTAAATATCACATAGTAGAGGCTAAGGAAAGAGACTTCATGAGGAAGTAATGGTCACACGTTTCAAATACTGCAGGAATAGCTATTAGGATGATGAAGCCCTTTGATTTTAGCAGCGTGAAGATATGGGACCTATACAATTTATATGATACAGTCTCATGAAATGTTGAGGAAAGGAGCCAGATTTGAACAGTTTGAGAGGTGAGTAGGAGAACACAGTGAAGAAACCTATAAAGATGTTTGATTGTGAAAGAACACCTTCACCCTGGGGAAGGTGATAGCTGTAGGGGAACATAACATCTACAGAGGTTTTCTTTGAAGAGGATTGCAAGTGGATCAATATATTCAGATGGCAAGGATACAGTGGAGAGGGGGAGTGCATGCAAAAATCAGGGAAATGTGGGTGTATAAAGCAGGAAGAGATGGGTTTGCTTTATAAAGTCAAAGACAGAGGTGTCACACATCTATGGTAACAGGAAGCAGAGAGGAAAGGTAGGTGCTGGTTTATGTAGATTCTTAGATGGCAGACTGCTAAAGCAATCCCACTGATTTTCTCTGCATTAGGTGACACAGTCATCTCTTGAGGTGAGAAAGATTTGAAGACTTGAAGAGAGGGACATAATCTTTGTGTTGTTGGACATGTGAGATTTGATGTTGCGGAGACTAATGGACTGATGATCTCCACCATTCTCACCCGACCACATTGATTCATTCTGAAAATCAGGTGCATGTTGAGACTTTGGATTGAGCCAAGTCACATTAAAGCTCTGTTGTGATTCTGGCAACATATTAAAACCCTGTTATTTTCCTGGAAATGATATTTAGAAATAGGATTTTAAAATGAAAAGTTAAATGTCTGCAGATTGTGCACATGGATATGTAAGTAACTAAACTGAAAGGACAAAGCAGCCATCACACTGGAGTGCTATCTTCTAATTAGTCTTGAAGAGTTGGCTGGCTGCCTGTGGGCCTGAAATGAATTCCTGTTTGCCTTTGTATTGAGTTAAAGAGTCAGGCATTTGCCCCCAGTAACGGAGGCATTGCTGCTTCTTGCTTGGCCATTGCACCACCAGATGTATCATATAAATACTCTAATGGATAGTGGTGGACTAGGAACATAGGAGATAATCTGATGCAGGCAGATGCTAGCAGTCAAGATTACTCAAGCTGTATTGAAATTTCCTTTGCACCTGGCACTGGAGGTGTTAGCCATGCCAGTTCAATCCCCCCAACACAGATGTTCTTGTTGTACCACTTTGTATGTATAACATTTAGGTTTCTGTTCAGCTTTGCCACAGTACACATAAATACTGTAATCCAAAGACCACCCATTTATTAGTGCACCTGCATATTCAACCAGATTTCTTTCATTCTTTTCAATGAATGCTCAACATTAAAAAAAAAAAGACAGCCATAGGGTGAATAACCTTTTCAATTTGCCAGATAGCTTAACAAAATGATAATATAATGATAAAATAACAATACCAGAGCCCCCCCATGCAAATCCACTAAAACAGTGTTGCCAAAACATGAAAATAAAGTGAACTCTGTTTAATCAAAAGGATATTTTATTAACTTATGTCTGAAGTTTTTCTTTATTTCTTGTTAGGGAAGATAGACTATTTAAGTAGGTTATTTTTTCCAAAGATAAACGCTTCTTTTTTTCTTCAAATGGGAGATTGGTAAAGCTTACCTCTTAAGGGGCAGATTTTGCTGAATGTGAACCTCTGGAGCCCCCATTTTAAATTAATAGGAGTGGAGCTCTGTGCAGCTGAAGACTGCATATGACCTCCTGAATATAGGATAAAAAAACCTTTGGAAGGAGACAAGATCATTACTCCAGAGAATAGCCTTGTGTAGTTGCTGTCCTACTGAAGTGGAGAAAGGGCATCCAAATGTTTTGATCTTGTTTTTATAGTTGCAAGCAGTGTCTGTATCTTTCCAAATACCCAATCTTGTCGTATATATCTCTCTATGAAAAGGAATTTCAATGCTACTTAATTTTGGTTTAGGGGGAGATGGGACTGACTTTAATTATTCATTTGAAGCAAATAAATGTTTAAACATGAGATACAATTTAAAAATTGATGAATGGTGATGGTTTTTTAAATTTGGCGTTTTTTTTTTTTCTATCAGTAGTAATAGTTACTCAGGCTTATACTCATGTCCTCAATATATAAGGACTGCTTGTTTCCCACTCAGCATCTAGCTATAATTATATTCTGTTTGAGACATGTGCCCTACAGGAAAAAAGAGAAACGATGTATGCAAGTATGTCGATATTACTCCAGTAATTTAGTAAGTCATTGTATAGAATATATAGGCTACCAAGAAGCAAGCCAATTAAGAGATGGAGTGGAAAGAAGAGGAGAATCCAAAAGGAAGAAAGTAAAAAGGATAAATGAAAAAAAAAAAAACTAGCTATTTCCAGGAGGCTATGAATATTCTTTTGTTTATTTCTAACAACTCTTGGAGCACTCATATAGGACTGAAAAAACACTAGCTGTGTTTTCAGTGAATAAAGAATCAAGCTAGATACAGAGGCTACCTAGTACTTCTATATTTCAAAACCAAAGCGAGAAGGCTAGAATGCAGAAAAATGAAGAATGGAACCAATAAAGCCGGTTCCTTTAACTGTCGTAAAATTAATGCAACTATTCTCGTTTTGAATTATTTTACTCAATACAGAAATACTAGTATATGTGTACACACAAACATAAAGAAATATCAATGCATAACACAGAAGAAAGAGGGAAGAAGATGTATAAAGAGGGAGAAATTGAGGCTGTTTACAATCCCTTGCAACCCAGCAAAAGGGAGGGAAACTGTTTGAAGTAGAAGTTGAACCCCCATTAATCCTTCCTGCCTCCTACTTCAAACATGAAGATTAAGTAGAATATACTTCTTTATCCTAGACTGGTCTTTGTTTTCTTCAAGTTTTTAAGGCCTTCTAATACTGCACTTCCACCAGCAGTTTAAAAACCCGAATACTAGTCCCCACTATTCCTGTTCCATCCCTGAAATATTTTTTCAAGCTCAAGTAAATGTTTTATTTTAATTGTTAGCAGTACTAGCAACTATTAAAGGTCTGTCTTGGGCCAAGCATAGCACTAAATGTGTTGAATATACTCTCTCACTGGATATTTTGTTTTATTTTACTGGAGAGACAGGTGCTTATACAGATTAAATACTTTTTTCAAAGTCACACAATTAATAACTTAAGGAGCAACAATCTGGACCCAGAACTCATATAAAAGCTTGCATATTTAATCACTGTAAAACTTTACTGAGAATATCATAGAGTAGAGCTTTACAAACAAACTTCTATAGAAGTTCATCTACAAAGTTCTGTAGATGCTGGTTCAAGGTTCAAATGAGAAATTGTGCTGACAAGTCATATATAATTTTGGGGATTATTCATTTTACATTTTTTTAGTTCACTTTGAAGATAGAGTATTGGAATCCATTTCCTTCCCCTCTTTTGTTCCACATTTATATACTCATCCTCATGGTTTGTGTGCCCTGGTTCCCAAGTACAATAAAGGAGTAAAAAAAGGTTGCCACCTTAAGATGAAAAAACAGTTTTATTTTGACACATTTATCAGTCAGGATTTTTACTTGTAAACCACAGAATCCACTCTCATTTGTGGGAGGAGAAAAGGAACATGTTTACTGATATTAGTTACCCCCAAAATCTCTCCAAAGGACAGATAATTAGGCTTAAAAGCCATACAGCCAGGAACCACTCACCAAGTACATTGCCTGGCATTCCCACAGGTAACCTTAATGTCTCTGCTTCTGTGCATGAGTCCAACACCTCACCACAGAGAAGCTGGGCACAGGATGCTACCCCTAGGACTTCGGACTCCATGCCCTCAGAGAACAGAATGTCTCCATGCCATCCTGGCCAGAACTGTTTCTGCCTGTTATCTCCCTCTTCAAGCCACTGCATTCCAAACATCTCACACCAATGCACCCGACTGGCAAAGCTTAGGTCATATGTTGGCAGATTACACTTTGAAAGATCCCACACACGATGACTCACACTCTGATAGATTACAGTCTGAGGGATCAGGTGCTATCGGATCATATGTTGATGGATCACATACTGATGGATCACATGTTGACCTCAAAGGAGGCAGAGGGAGAGAGCTTCTGTAGCCCTCTAAAGGCAGGGTTCCTATTCCTGAAACATAGAAGTTGCTTAAAAAGTGTTGGGCAGCAAGAAAACATGATCAACCTCTTCAACTCCCAGTAAGAGAAACAGTATAATAAAAGATTAATTAAAAGTTATTGCCAACATTTATAAATTCCATCTCATACATTTTTACCCTAATACTTAGGTTTTCTTCACATTTCTTAATAGAATGTTTGCTAATAACTGATATGAGTTGTGCTTTACTACTCATTGTCATGTAGTACAATCTATTAGCCTATCAGAGATTGGCTCACACACTTTCTACAAAAAATAGTTGCAACAATAAATAAACTTTATGCATTATAATATTACTTGCATATTAGAATTTGCTGAATTTTAGCATATATTATTTGATTTGATCTTTGCAGCAATCCAATGAGGCAACCAGGATATACGACACTATTCCTATTTTATGGGTATAGAAACTACATTTCAGCAGGTTCATGTGATTTCTCAACATCAAAAATCTGATTATGTTGTTTACTGTAAAAAATATCTCAGTGGGGACCCACAGTCCCTTATGTAAGTTCAAACTCTTTAACATGATTTATAAGGTCATATGCCCAGGTATTGCTTGCCTTATTAAGCCTAATATGCCTTTTCTCCCACATGCCCTGAAATTCTGTGCTGCAACCATACTGAACGGTTTCTAGGTAGATTTAAGCACTAGATTTCATCTCACCTTTTGCTGTACTTTTGCACTTGCTGTTTCTCCTCCTGAAACCACCATCACCTCCTTGTTCACCTGGATATGAGTCTCACATGCTTCCAGTTGTTGCTTACACATGAATTCCTCAGGCAAATCTTCCCTTAAGGTTGGTTAATTTTTCTTCCTACAAACTATCTATCACCTTGGACTTAGCCCTGTCATAACCCCTATCATGTTTTTCAACTGGTGTTTTAATTACACATTTTCCTATGTGGATTCCACATCTCTTTACAGTCTTTCTTAGTATAGACTGTAGTCTCTATAAGGACACATATTATGTCTGTATAGCTCATTTCAGTAAAGCCAAGTTTTAAGAGAATTTACATTTTGTAGTTAATATGCAAGTTTTTATTTTGAATATGTGCATTATTAAATTAATTATCAACTAGTTGGTATTGTATACCAGAAATGATCTTACCCAAAGTCTATAGTTTTTCTTGCTTCTATCTACCTGTCAATCAATTGATCTATCTTCTATAACATACATATATATATCATATTATTTGGCCTATCTGCCTGTATTTTGCCACCCTATTTTAGTAAGCTATAGTAAGATTCTACTTCCCATACGTAGTAAGGTTCATTCCCTCATTCTGGCCGTGTGATTTTTTGCAGAGTACAACATAGAAGCAGTTGAGAATGAGAGATCAGAAGACAAATCACAAATGCCTTGTGGGGCCAGAAATGAAGCACACTGGGCAGGGACTTGGGTGATTGGAAAGAGCATGTCCTGTCTAAAGGTGAAAAGGTTTATAAGGAGGATAAGTTGGCCCAATGTTGTCTGATCCTCCAATCTTTGAAGATAGTCTCAGAATCACATGTTTATGTAGAATCCACTTATTTTTTAAAACCTTTAACAAATGTTGAAAAATTTAGAACATAATATGTTATGAGCCAAACAATTCTGTGAACCAGATTCAACCCTCTGGCCAACAATGTATAACTTCTGCTCCCAGAAGAGATGATATGAGGTGTCCCCAAGAAAGAGAAGCTTTAAAACATAAGAAAAGAGATAGGAAAGATTCTGATGGTCCAAGCAGAGAAGATGGTTACTGTGGGTGGGTCTCAAGAACAATGTAGAACCATAGCTGCTCCCTGGAAGAGTTTTGAGGAGGTGGAAAGACATTATCAGTTGAAAGAGATGTGAATGCATCCGGGGAGGCAGATATCAGGATGAATCTCCACAAGTTTCCTCAGCCCCACATGGACATGGCATCAGAATGCAAGCTTGTGTCACATGAATACACAGTGACAGTATGACACACTAAGATGAGAGGCTATTTTCACATTTTCCTAGCTGTTATACAATCTTTAGAGAGGAAATAAGCCTGTAAGATATCTGAGAGTAGATTTACTGATAGGTTGGAGCAATGGGAACATGAAGGAAGAATGAAGTTGATTAAGAGGATAAAAACATAGGATATTTCTTGAATAGCTACAGTTGTGGACACATACACACACAATGAAAGCTTATACAAGTGCTTAAAGTGTTTCCAAATAAAAATACATTCCCTGATATCAAAGAATTGCTAGAAAATAACTACCAACAATTTATAGTAATACATTTCTTTTTCCCCTAGAATTGATCTACATGAACGTACGTTCTCTTCCCATACTCGTGGCCCTGTTTTTAACATCCCTTTTTCAATGTGGAGAATATTTGCTGCCCTGTTGTGACAACACAGGTCTTGGCTATTTTGTAATTTCCAGAAACATGCTAAACTTCCTTTTAGCCAGTTGACTAGGCACTTGAACCTTTTAGTTCTCATGGGCAAAGGGCCAATGAAGAGTTTACCAAGACAATTTAGGCTATATTAGCTCATCAAAAAGCATAAGCCCTATGTTTTCTCAGCCGTTGTATGTTTCCCAATTTAAAATGTAAGTAGAGAGGTGGTCTCATCTAATGGATTAAAGTATGGTTAGTGATTTAGCCAGAGACTTCAGGCTAATCATTTTCTTGCTCAGATTAACCCACATAGACACAGAAATGTGTCAGCTCACCAAGCTACTTGTAGAACTGTGTAGAAGAGCTGCAATAAATTAGAACAGTTGAAGCCTTGGGCCACATCAGGATTAAACATGGGTACATATATAAGGCCCCTCAAGTTTTCATGTATTCAGATTTCATCTAGGATAGCAAAGCATGTTGAAATTTGTAAACAAAAGCACAGTCCTCATTTTAAAGTACAGTATGTAATTTACTATAATATAGATCAATGTTTTCATAAATGTTAATCATGTTGAAAAACATTAATGGAGAATATTTTTAAGTAAAATTATACCAATTCATTTTCTCCCTGTCTAAGAATGTGCTTGTCAGTGAGTGCCATTTCCACTTCTTATTTTCTCAAATAGATGTCACTGGGAAGCTCAGTTAAAATAATAAAGGAAGAAATATCCTGCAATTAATTCGCTGGGGGAGGAGAGAATAGGGATGAGATTTGAGTAGTTTTTATCCATGTTATCAGACCAGAAGCTTTAGATTGTCTAAATATTACAGACTGTCAATTGGCATCAAGGTTTTCTTTGCCCCACATCTGCTACTGAAGTAGGTGAAAACTGGACATCCTTCCAATGGTCACCAAAATATATCTCATGGAACAGAGATGAGGTTTTAAGAAGCACTTTGATCTCAGTTATCCTATCTGAACAAACTCTTTACATTTCCATCATACTCATGATGTTTTCCATGGCCCCAGTACATTATAATTGTGCAGGATGTGCTCTATAAAATTCAAGAAGATGCCATTCATTTAGACCACAATGTGAATGGTGACCCCTTCAGTTATGCATTATACAACCTGCAAAACTGCATGCATGCACTGGCTTGCAGATTTATTCACCTCTAGGATCAGAAGCTCTTTCTGCTTTTGTTATTATATCCTAGCTGGCTATCTTTTAAAAATACATTAGTGCTAAATATTCTGGTTTTACATGTGTACTCTTCTCTGAACAGAGGTGAATCATTGCTGCTTTGGAATATATTCATCATCAGAATAGAAGAGTATAAGAATCAGAAGAAAACAAAATATATATCCATCTTTAAGTTCTACTGTGAATACTGTAGTTTATTGTTTGTTCCTCAACCCAATTTATTATTGACTAATCCAATTATCATCATAAGGAAATGTCTTATGACTGTTTTATGTGTGTGTCCTTTAACTTAGGTATAGAAAACCTTAGAGGATAGACGAAAAATAAGTGCTGAAACTTTTAACTTTTTTTTTTTTTTTTGGCTACTGCTCTTTTTGATACTGGCCCCGAAGTAGAGATTATTCGCACATCTGTTGATTTTTTTTCACGTTGCACACATTTGCACCTTTTTTTAAAATGTTGACTGAATCGCTTAATTGTAGACGAGCATTCATTTTAATGTAAATCTTACAGTATTACATGAGTGAATGTATGAAAATAGCTTGGAACAGTTTAAATTGGGCAGAATTCTGCTTTGATCATAATGTGCCTCTTCAGCATTAAAATAAACTTGCAACATATGCTGAAAAACATGTGTAATAAGTGCCTCTTGCATGGTGACTTATCTGGAAAAAAATAAATCACCATTTAATAGAATTCAAAATTCATAAAATACTTCAGCAACTAGAAATGTGATAATATGATTGGCATCTTACAGTAACAGATCAGTACCTGACAACTTCTGTTTCAAAGACGGAATTTTAAATTTTAATAATAGTATCAAATTGTAATCATTTTTAGAAATATTTGAAAACACAAAACATTTAATAGGCAGTTCTATATAATATTTTTTTATATTGTTACAGATTTGGTTCTAATTTATTTATACTATTTAAAAGATACCAAAAATGTAGCAAATTGATTTCAATCTTTAGCAAAGTCAGTATAAAAATAATGAAATTAACAGTTTTCTTGAATCACTGTCAGGATTGACAAGAGTTAGTCACGGCAAAGGAGTTTTCAACAGTGTGGCTAAGTAACAACAGCTTTTGCCCCTGAAAAATACCTTGTTATTAGTAATTAATGACAGATACCTAAAGGCACTTTCCATCAGTAGCCTCATGATGTTGAGAGGAATTATGATATCATGGGAAGAACTCTAGACACTGCTGAATTACTGTGAGCAAACCATTCATCTTCTCTGACTTCTTTCCTCCATCTGTAAAATTGTATCAGTAAGAAATGCTATTGGTTACCAGAAAAAAAATCCAGTTAACAATGGTTTAAGCATATAAATACTATGAGTACATTAAATCATAAAAAAGAATGGGAAACTAAACAGAGCTAGATAAATATAAGAAGCAATTATCACATTATAGATAATCCATTAATGGTTACCTTTATCAAAAGAAATATATTTGTCACTTCAAGAAGTGTTCTCTGAAATCATGAGCAATTATTTTGTTCCTAGCTAGTACTCATTGTAAGCCAAATTTAAAGGTGAGTCTACCCTTTATTGGAGCCTCTTATAGAAGACTATCAGGAAAGCTTCAAGTGTACTTAATATAATACATTATTACTAATTCAACGTATGCTTATTGATTGTCTGCTCTGTGCCAGGTTATGCATTTGGACATCTAAAAACAAAACAACAAACTCCAAAGCAACATGATATATGATTCTTATTTTTTTAATTTGTAATTAATTTGGAAATAATGTTCACATCTACAGATATATATTCACCAGGCCGTCCTCTCTATAGAGAGCTCCATGTGGATGTCCCACAGAGTCCACAATACCAGCACATGCAAAATCAAACTTACCATGTTTCCTACTTTCCTACTTGCTTTTCCCCCAGGATTTTGCATCTTAGTTGGTGACATCATCATCAGCTTGTCTACCAACCCTGAACCCCGGTGGCCACTGCAATGCCTTCCGACACTCCCCAGGTGGCTATTCATAATGCTGTCAGTTCTACCTCCTAAGCAACTTTCACTCTCATGCACCTGGTCACAGCTTACTTTAACTCCCTATCATCTCTCATCAGCATTATTTCAATGCTTCTCTAATTGATCACCCTGCTGTTTCTTACCTCATTGCCTTTGAATCCATCTGCAATGGTCTGAATGTTTGTGTCTGCCCAAAATTCATATATTGAAATTCTAACCCCTAGGTGATGTTACTAGGAGTGAGACCTTTGGGAGTTGATTAAGTTATGAGGGTGGTGCCATCATAATTGGGATTAATGCCTGTATAAAAAGGGACCACACAAGGATCCCTCAAGCCTTCCATCCTGTAAGGTTACAGTGAAAAGACAGCTATCTAGGAAACAGGCCCTCACCAGACGCTGCTAGTGCCTTGATGTTGGATTTCCAGCCTCCAGAACTGTGAGAAATACATTGTTGTTTATATGCGATCCAGTTTATGGTATTTTTGTGTAGCAGCCTAAATGAATGAAGAAACCATCTTCCACAACTCCCTAAATGTCCTTTATAAAATGTGATCTAACTGCCTCTCTACTTAGCTTAGAATTTTTAACTACACCCTAGTCAAATGTAAGGAAAACCCAAGCTCTCAGGCCCTTCATGACTGAATCTTCATTACCTAATTTCTCACAACTTTTTAGGCTTTTCCTAAGCTTCTACAATCCCAACTCTCTCCCCACCACCAACCATCCTCCATAGAGTTAAACACTCTCCCTTTTTGACAATGCTACATTACGTTTTTTTTACATGTTAGTGCTCTTAAGGAGACTAATAGCTTTTTACATCTATCTCAGTCACATTCCAGAGTACCTGGCATACATTGATCTACTAAGCATCTGTTGGTGCTCAATGTAACTTTGTTGGATGAGGTAAATGGATAAATGGGCAAAGAAATCATATGTAGTATTATGAAACAATATGTATAAGAAAATAAACATTGAGATAAAATGTAAGCCAGGAAAATAAAAATTCTTGCCAAATTCCTAATCAAGAAGAAACAAAAAGAGACAATTAGAAATTCATAACACCTGTGTAAAAATGAGGACGGCTTTTGTGGGTAATGTGGGGAATACATGAGTTGCACTAAAATATTCCTAGTGATTATGCTCAACAATGAGGAGTTGTCTCACTAGGTAATGAGGTAGCCAAAGTGCACAGTGATAGGTATCATTTTTTAACTGCTAGGTCTTGCACTCTGGGGGCCACACCATGTAATTTTTTGATTCTCTCATTGCTGCCTCATAGTATAGGTTGAGTACAAAAGAGTCATAAACATATTGTGTTTTTATAACATTTAGCAGAGGACTGGCAACATAAGAGAAAGTATTAAAGGAGAATTGTTACTAAACAACTTTAAAGAACTAGATTCAGGAATGGGTGAATCCTTGTGCTCAATTTATTAACCAGAATGACCTCTATGCAGTGGCATGTTGGCCTCCAGAAGTTCTAGACTTAAAGGCCAGCTCTGAACCTGGAGTGAAATCTGAACATCTCCTTGTCAATTATTGTAGTAAAGGTCTCTTTTTGTGCCCTGTACACCACTATATACTCAGGAGCTAGATTTTGTTTTTGTTTGTTTGTTTGTTTTGATCCTTGTTTTCATAATTTCTGACATTGTAGTAAGTATTTGCTAAATAACAAATATCTTGCTTTGCAATATTGTTATCCAGAAAGCTAAGAAATTGTATACTTCGTTGTCACTACTCCTTTTATTTCAGAAATCTTAAAGCAATAACATAGTAACATACTTATATTAAATTATTAGCCTAATTAAGAGCTTCATTATAGTGCACTGCCACTTGCCCAGTTATAGTGAAGCTTTGTTCTACTTACTAATTGAATCCCACTGAACTTTTTGCTCTACAATGCCTTATGCCTAGAACACCTGGGCATCATCTATTTGTTCCATTCCTTGTGGAAATGTGACCATGTGGATTTTATTTCTGCTTCTAAGTTCACAGTGAGCCCAGTCCTGTCCCAGGCCGCCTGCAGAGTGCTGACCTAGTTACTCTATCTTACTTTGATTTCATGGTGGAAATGCTCATATTTTTGCCCTTTCCGGAGGTGTCCAGCCTAATTACATTTCCCATTCATCTGATCCAAATGCTTTCTTAGATCAGACATTTTTATTTGCTGTTCTTTTGTTTTTCTATTCCTTTTTCCTATTCATTCTGTATTCCCCCCACCACTTTAATATTTGTAGCCAAATGTCTTTCATCTGAGACCCATCACGCTCAATTACTTCACTTCCAATATTTTTCAAGCTATTCTCGTGGAAATTTTTGTCTATCAAAAGTGGAATAGCCACAGAATTTATAATTTTATTACTTATACATAAAGTTTATTTAGTGTAGGGGAGAAAGAGAATGAGCAAAAAAATTACTATGTAACTGATTGGAACAATATATTTAATCACAATCTAAGGTCAGTACCATTTCTCTTTTAGAGATAGGGTAACTGGGTCCCAGAAACATTAAATGACTTACCTGAAGTTGCCCTTTAGCTAAATCAAAATTTAGGACTAGGAATCAGAACTTCTGAGACATATTTCAGTTTAGTACCTTCCACTGGGACCTTCAGCATAGCTGTACCAAATGTTAAATTATTTAAATATTTCTGCACAGTTCGCCCTGTCCTTCCAGGTTCCCCCTATCCCTCCTCATGACCTCCCAGACTTTTCCAAATCCAACATTTAAAGTATCAATGCCAGGTACCTTAGAGACCTCTGGGACCCTATTTTCTTACAATATCTAGGATACACTGTGGCCAGTACTCTTGCTGATTGTGAAATATTTTGATATCTCTTCTATTTTAATACCATCATGGTAGCAATTCACATATAACCATAAAAATGTCAATAAGAGCTTCATTTTTTAGCCAGTTTGGCAGCTGGGAAGAGATCAGGCAGGCTTATTTTCTATTATGAAAGATCAAGGTATTGTAAGCCATGGGTTTCTCTTCTATAATGCAGCCCATTATGTGTGCAGGTATCTCCCAGACCTCTTTGTTTCACCCTATGGAAGTTGGGGTTTGGGGGACTGATTTAGATGTTAAGACTGGTGACTGCTGTTGCTGTGGATAGTAACGTCTTGGGTCTCTGATGCAGGGAACTCATGTCTTCTGCCAGCCTCAACAAAGCTGTGGCAGGCTAACATGTTAGCTTTCAAGAAAGGTGAAATCTTAGATGTTCCCATACCTTGACAACTGCTGTATATTTCCCTAATGAAATTTTTTCTTCTCACCTTAGTTTTCCCTAGACCTCTGCTTTCTAATTTTTTCTTACTATTTTCAATACCTGGAATCAAAATTCCTTTTTATTGATGATTTATGCGAAGCAGATCCTTTTTACTTACAACTCAAATTAGGACTCCTACAGGAATCTGTTTAGTCCCAAATGCTAATTTCAATCCTTTGCTGAGGCAAAGGAAAGAACTGAAGAGATGTGAAGGTCAACTCTGAAACATCACTGAATAACTCAATTCTTTCACCCTTTCCCCACACACTTTAAGTCCAAAATGAGTCCCCAGACTCATTTCCCTTGGGCAGATCAATCTATTTCACACCTCGTGACCTTACTTAGGAGGACTGTGTCAGAAAGAAGTTATGATTCCATTTGTAGCATTTGCTCAATATTACCTACCTTTTCACTCGATGAATGCCTGTGAGCTTGTCAAACAGAAACCACTAGTAGGTATTCTTTGAAATGTGTATCTCAGCTGTACAATTGTTATTTGAGAAACAGACCTTTCTAATAATATTTGTCCAATGAAGTTCATACGCATTTTGCATTTTTACCTAAAAGAAAAAATAATAGGATGGTTCTATATGGAAGCTTTAAACTATCTGGTAAAAGTGGCAATCAGTCCAAACACATTAAAATTCGATTTTCCTTTACAAGTGTTTGCTGCAGATGACCCCCACTGATCTTAAATATATTTCTGTATCTGTAACTGAATAGAGGTTTTCCGTACAGCATGTTCTAATGGCACTCTGGCCTTTAGCCAACAAGGCACTGAATAAGGCTATTTTTAAAATACAGAAACTGGGAACAGCTGCAGCAATCAAATTTGATAAAAACAGAGAGGAACTTTGCTTTTTTTTTTTACGGTTTGTTCAAGTTTAGTCTTCTTTCATAGAACTGCTTTTGTTCTGTTGTATGAAGGGCTGCAAGACCAATACAGTGAAGCCCTTTTAAACAAATAACTTTTAAAAGAATACGACTAAATAGAATAATTTTCCTTTGTACCAAGAGTTTCACTGCAATAGTATTTTTAAACTATTAAAAAGGGGGTATATCTCTTCTAAGAGGAGGTAGAAAAAGAATCAGATATATTGGCAAAGTTTGTACTACAAAAGAGGTTTTGGTTTCCCCCGCCCCACAAAGCAACTCCTTGAAAGGGAAGATAAAGTCCTTGGTTTTTCAGTGTTGAAAATCTGAAAGTTTGCATTTGAACCTCTCTTAGGGTTTCAAGTGTTGCTAGAGGTGATGATACTTTTCATGTCCATTTCTACTTTTCACACTACGATTAGTCATGAATGTTGCTGTATTTTCCAAAAGCTAGATTAGTGTTAGTGCAGTTCCTTTGTAAAGATAAAATAACACGCTTTTTAAAACATCAATGAAAACTTTTTCACAGAGATTTTTTGTACTTATCTAAGTCCTTCAACATGTCTATATACAAGGGCTTATTTTTTTTTTAATTCAAGCTCTTTGGAAACTTGTCAGTACATGATTAATATGAGTCATAAGGTGACTAGATACTGAAAATCTCTTATACTGTAGTAAGTTGCAAGTTCTCTCTTCTAAGTGATTTTATGTGTGGAATAGATTTCTCTGCTACTTTGTGATCGAAATGACAAAGGAGATTGTATTTCTTATGGTTATTTACAAATGGAATTAATTTTAAAATTCCATCCAAATAAAACTATTTATGTCAACATTAATTCAATTTAGTAATCCAAGACAGTAATATAATTCTTTTTCTGTAGACATAAGGTCATGAAATAAAATTACTTCAAAAGAAAGGGAGTGTGGGGGGAGGAGAAAAATATAGAAAATAGAAGTATTCAGGTGTATACTAAACTGTACTAACTTGTTAACAGTTAGCTTATTAGATATGATGGTCAATCTGCCCGCAGTCTGTTTATAAGCTTTAAAAAAGAAAACTTTAGCAGGCTTTTATGACTAGAATAATTCTTTCTTTGAGGCATGAGTCAAAAACTGCTCATCTTTAAATGGTGAGGCAATGAGGAAAGTGTGTTTAGTGCTTTCGACAATAACAGTCCCTGTCTCAGTTCATGAGTGAGGGGTCCTTAGTCCTGCATTAACAGCAAAACTCCTTAAATACACACACTGTTCTAAGCAGAAACTATGACATTCCTGTTGTGCAGAGCCTTGAACTCAGCAGGGTTTCAAGGGTTCTCTGGCAAGTCACCAGACGTCATGATATAATCCTATATTTTTCGGCAACAAACAGTTCTACATGAAGGTTGCTGAGATTTAATTCTATTTAGACATGTCGCCTATTCTCTGAAGACAAACTGCCAAGACAGTAAGATTTACTTCTGACCAGCAATGGTTTTATGCACAATAACCTCAAATATTATAAAGTCTTTCAATCTCTTGCTAAGCACGTAAGACTTACATGCAACCAGGGTAAATTGGATACCAGAAACAGTTCTGTTTTACAAGGAAATGTTTACTGTAAATCACTTTTCCTCATCATCATGTTCTGTCCTTATTTTAATGTTCAGCATTATTAAGTTTATAAGTGAGTTCAAATGTACTACCATGTTTCTAAAATTTTATTTTTATGTGTTTTTCATGTTTCACTGAAACTAAAATAAAGGGACCATAGAAACATCTCATTATAGTTTATAATATATCTCAAGAAAATAACTGATTTTCACAGTACTTCTGGATATTTAGTGTAAAGACCGTGTAGTCATATGTAAAGTAATGTTGGCACTGCCCTGTATTACATTGCATTTTAATCTGAATATTTGTTTGTTTGCTTTGTATTGCTTTTCATTGCTGGAACTGCTCAGTTCTTAGGAGAATAAGAGTGGGTGATCTCCCTGGTGACTTCATCCCCTTAGCTGGCATCAGTGTTAGGGTGCAGGATGCCCCTCCAGAAGCTATTCAGAATTTGCTGACATCAGCCTTCATTCATGAGCGCTTGCTTTGTTTAGTGATGGCACTAATATGAGGAGACACGTGAAGTAGCTCAGTTTATAGAAAAGGGCAGAAGAGGCATGGTGCTGTGAAAACATTCCCACACACACTAACGGCTCATTCACACAGAAAACAAGTGAAAGCCTTCAGTCCCTTCACAAAGCTTAACGAGAACAAACTGCTTCAAGAACCCAGAAGCAGCAGTGTTCATATTCACCACTAGTTTACACCATTTACATTTACTGATAATACACATGGCTAGTGGCAGCAATGGATTGCTGTGGGAAGTCTTTAAACTCTTTCTCTATGGGTTTTGTCGGTGAAATACTTATTTATTTGGTTGCGTTCCTGTGGTGTAGATGACTTTTCAAGTACACTATAACACAGTGACTTGCAGGCCCTGAACTCCTTTGGTCGCTATAGAGAGGTTGTTGACAATATGCTGTACTGTGATTTCTGGTCTTTCCTTATTTTAGACTCGTTTAAAGGAGTTCAGAATTTTAGCATAAAAACAAAGTTATAGTCAGCTCCGGCTGGTTGTTTTCAAAAACTAGATGGCTTTAAAAGAGATGATCAAATCCATTCTTGAAAAGTTCTTTTTAAAGTCAGGCTTCCACTATGAATATATATGTATTTCTGTGTACATATATAACAGAATATATGTATTTCTGCATACATATATAACATAATATAACATATATTAACCCCTCATTTTTAGATTTCAACAGGGAATGCAACATTTCACACTGCTAGATTTTTTAAATGACTCTTGTTAATCCATTTATGTACCAGATTCTTATCTTCTTGTTATATTTAAAAATTATTTTTACTATTCCACATCTAAAAATGAGTGAGATAATGTGGTATTTATCATTCTGTGTCTGGCTTATTTCGGTTAACACGGTGTCCTCCAGGTTCATCCATGTTGTCACAAATGACAGGATTTTATTCTTTTTATGGCTGAATAATATTCTACGGTGTATATTTGCCACATTTTTTATCCATTCATCCACTGTTGGACACTTAGGTCGATTCAATATATTAGCTATTATAAATAGTGCTACAGAAGTTGAGAGTACAGATATCTCTTTTGACGTGCTGATTCCATTTCCTTTGGCTATACATCCAGTAGTGGAATTGCTAGATCACATGTTAATTCTATTTTGACTATTTTTGGGGAACCTCCATACTGTTTTCCATAATGGTTGTACTAGTATATATTGCTACCAACAGCATATAAGTGTTCCCATTTCTCCACAACCTTACCAGCACTTGATTTCTTTTGTCTTTCTGATAACCACCAGTCTAATTGGAATGAAGTAACATCTCGTTGTGGTTTTCATTTACATTTCCTTTATGATTAGTGGTATTGAGCATTTTTTTCATATAACTAATGGCCATTTGTATGTCTTCTTTTGAGAATGTCTATTAAAGTCTTTTGCCCATTTTTAAAATGAGGTATTTGGGGGTTTTTTTCCCATTGAGTTGTTTGTGTTCCTTTATATATTCTATATATTAACTCCTTGTTAGAAGTATAGTCTACATATATTTTCTCCCATTTGCTAGGTTATCTCTTTACTCTGTGAATAGTTTCCTCTTCAAAAGCTTTTTAGTTCAATGAAACTCCATTTGTCTCTTTTTGCTTTCGTTGTCTGTGCTTTTGAGATCTTATTTAAAAAGTCCTTGCCCACCCTAACGTCATAAAGCATTTTCTCTGTGATTTCTTCTAGTTGTTTCATAGTTTCAAACTTTACATTTAAATCTTTAATTCATTTTGAGTTGATTTTTGTACATAACATGAGTCAGGGTCTAGTCTCATTCTTTTGCATGTGATTATTGAATTTTCCTAGCACCATTTATTGAAGAGACTACTTTTTCCCCAATGTGTGTTTTTGGCATCTTTGTCAAAAATCAGTTGGCTGTAGGTGTTGAATGTATTTCTGGTCTCTCCATTCTATTCTATTAGTCTATGTGTCTGTTTCTGTGCCAGCGCCATGTTGTTTTGGTTACTATATCTTTGTATAATAGTGTATTTTGAAGTCAGGTGGTGTGATCCCTTCCACTTTGTTCTTTTTGCTCAGTATGTCTTTGGCTATTTAGGGTATTTTGTAGTTCTACAGAATTTTATAGTTGTTTTTTTTTTTTTCTATTTCTCTGAAGCAGGGGTCCCTAACCCCCAGGCCACAAACAGGCGTATGGGTCTGTGGCCTATTAGGAACTGGGTCGCGTAGCAGGAGGTGAGCAGCAGGTGAGAGTGAAGCTTCATCTGTATTTTATAGCTGCTCCCCATCACTCGCATTACCGCCTGAGCTCAGACTCCTGTCAAATCAGCATCTGCATTAGATTCTCATAGGAGTGCAAACCCTATTGTGAACTGCGCATGCAAGGGACCTAGGTTGAGCACTCTGTATGTGAATCTAACACCTGATGATCTGTCAGTGTTTCCCATCACCCCTAGATGGTATCATCTAGTTGCAGGAAAACAAGCTTAGGGGTCCCACTGACTCAACATTATAGTGAGTTGTATTATTACATTGTAATACATAATGAAATAATATATAACTATATATTACAATGTAATAATATAAATAAAGTGCTAATAATATAAAGTGCACAATAAATGTAATGCACTTGGATCATCTCAAAACCACCTCCCAACCCTGTGGCTGGTCTGTGGAAAAACTGTCATCCATGAACCAGTCCCTGGTGCCAAAAACATTGAGGACCGCTGCTCTGAAGAATATTATAGTTATTTTGACAGGAATTGCATTAAATCTGCAGATCACTTTGGGTACTATGACCATTTAAAAAAAATTCTTCCAATTCATGAATATAATATGTCTTTCCATTTATTTGTGTCCTCTTCCATTTATTTTTCATCAAAGTTTTACAGTTTTATTGTAGAGATCTTTCACCTCCTTGGTTAAATATATTCCTAGGTATCTAGTTTTTTTGTAGCTATGGTAAAAGAAAGTTTTAAAAATTCTTTTTCAGCGAGTTCACTATTATCCTATGGACATGCTACTGATTTGTGTATGTTGATTTTGTATCCTGCAATTTTAGTGAATTTGTTTTTCAGTTTGACTAGTTTTTGGTGGAGTCTTTAGAGTTTTCTTTATGTAAAATATTATAACATCTACAAATAGGGACAATTTGACTACCTTCTTCCCAGTTTGGATGCCTTTTATTTCTTCCTCACCAACTCTGGTGACCTTTCCACCATCAGCAGCCTTCCTGTCCACTGCTTTGATGACACCCACAGCGACTATCTGTCTCATAGAACAAATAGCAAAATGACTCAGAGGATAGTCAGAAAAGCTCTCAACACAGGAGCTTGCCAGGAACCATATCGACAATGGTAGCATCACCAGACTTCAAGTATTTAGGGCCATCTTCCAGCTTTTTACCAGACTGGCAATCAATCTTTTCCTTCAGCTCAGCAAACTGGCAAGCAATGTGAACTGTGTGACAATCCAGTACAGGGACATAGCCGTCACTGATTTAGCCTGTTTGGTGCAGAATAGTCACCTGAGTAGGAAAGCCATTTGTTTCCATTGGTGGGTCATTTTTGCTGTCATCAGCAATGTTGGCACAGTGAACATCTTTGACGTGCACATCCTTGACATTGAAGCCCCCTTTGTCCCCCAGAAGAGTTTCGCTCAAAGCCTCATGGTGCATTTCAACAGACTTTTCTTCAGTTGTAACATTGACTGGAGCAAAGGTAACCCAGTCACCACTCAGAACACAGTAACAGTATCAAAATCACCAATTCTGTAGAAATCCTGGAGAGGCAGACCACAAATAAGGGCTTGTCAGTTGGATGAGTTGGTGATAGGATGCATTGCAGAGTTTCAAGCAACATAGTTCCACTGGCATTGCCATCTTTACAGGTGATTTTCCATCCCTTGAACCAATGCATGTTAGCACATGGCTCTAGCATATTGTCACAATTCCAACCAGAAATTGGCACAGATGTTACTGTGTTGGCATTGTAGCCAATTTTCTTAAGTTTCAGCTTTCTCAATGATTCTTTGTACCTTTTCTGGCTATAGAGTGGCTAAGTGGAATCCATTTTGTTAACAATAACTGTTTCACACCCAGTGTGTAAACCAGAAATGCATGCTCATACGTCTGTTCATTCCTGGAGACACCAGTTCAAATTCACCAGCACCAGCAGCAACAATCAGGACATCACAGTCAGCCTGAAATGTGGCTGTATTCACGTTTTTCGCAAAGCATCTGTGTCCCAGACTATCAATAATAATCAAGTAGTAACTGCTGGTCTCAAATTTCCACAGGGTATCAATGGTGATACCATGTTCAGGTTCGGCTTTCAGTTTATCTAAGACCCAGGCATACTTGAAGTAACTCTTTCTTATCTCAACAGCCTCTTCCTCAAAATTTTCGATGGTTCTTTGGTCAATCCCACCACATCTGTAGATCAAATGGCCAGTAGTGGTGGACTTGCCTGAATCAATGTGTCCAATTTTGACAATGTTGATGGGAGTCTTTTTCTTTTCTTTCCCATTTGACTTTAGGGATGGTTTTCATGACACTGGTGTTCTAGCTGCAAACGTATTGCAAAAAAAAGTTGGTATCAGCTTTAATATCTCCTACTTCATCCTTGATTTTATTTTTTTGAGTCTTCTTTCTTTTTTTTAGTTAGCCTAGCTTGTGGTTTATTGATTTTCCTTTATCATTTCAAAAAAACAAATTCTTCATTTTGTTGATCTTTTGAATTTTTGTTCTTAGCATCAATTTTGTTTATTTCTGCTCTGAGTTTTATTATTTCCTTCCTTCTGCTAATTTTGGCTTTAGTTTATTATTAAATTAATAACAAATCCTAGGCCTTTGAGATGCATTGTTGGATTGTTTCATAGAAATCTTCTTTTGTGATGTAGACAATTATTACTATAAATTTCCCTTTTAGTACTGGTTTTATTGTGTCCCATGGGTTTTGGTAAGATGTGTCCCATTCTCATTTGTCTCAAGAAAATTTTAATTTTCTTTTAACTTACTCACTGACCCATTGGTTATCTAAAAGGATGTTGTTTAACTTCCATCTATTTGTAACATTTCCAAAATTTTATTTTGTTAATTTCTAGTTTAGACCATAATGGCCCGAAAAGATAGCTGATCATCTCTTCTTACATTTGTTGAGATTTATTTTGTGGCCTAATATGTGATTCATCCTGGAGAACGTTCCATGTGCAACCGAAAAGAATATGTATTCTAAAGCTGTTGGATGAAATGTTCTGTAAATGTCTGTTAGGTCCATTTGGTCTATGGTGCAGTGTAAGTCCAATGTTTCTTTGTTGATTTTTTGTCATTAGCTTACCCTTGTTGAAAGTGGGTGTAATCCCCTACTATTTTGTATTGTGTTCTATCTCTCCCTTTAGATCTAATAACGGTTGCTCTATATATTTGAGTGCTTTTGTGTTGGTTGCATATATATTTACAATTGTTATATCCTCTTGTTGAATTGATCCCTTTCTCATTATATATAATAACATTCTCTGCCTCTTTTAACAGTTTTTGACTTAAAATATCTTTTATCTGATATCAATATGGCTTATTCTGTTCAATTTTTGTTTTTGTTTGCACGGAATATCTTTTTCTATCCCTTTGCTTTCAGCCTGCCTTTTTTGAGGTGAATCTTTTTTAGGTAGTATATAGTTGGGTCTTATTTTATTTTATTTTGCCTATTCAGCCATTCTGTCTCTTAATGGGAAAATTTAATCCATTTACATTCAAGGTTATTATTGTTAGATAAGTACTTCTGCCATTTTGTTCATTATTTTTTCCTTATCTTGTAGATTCCTTATTTCTTTCTTCTTCTCTTGCTATTTACCTCTGTGGTTTGGTGGTTTTCTGTGGTGCTAAGCTTTATTTTCTCATTCTCATTTGATTGTCTGCAGTACATTATTTGTTTGTGATTACCACAGGCTAACATAAAGAGTCTTGTAGTTAGAATTGACTATTTTAAGATGATGGCAACTTAACTTTGGTTGCATAAAATTACTCTAGACAGTTTTCCTTCCCCCTAAAATTTATACTTTTGTTCACTTAATTTACTTCTTTATCTGTGGTGTGTTCCTTTGCCATTAATTGTAATTCTTGGTTTTGACCATTTGACATTAAACGTTCATACTAGAGGATTGAAAGACGTATCATATCACTGGAAATATTAGGAATTTGATTAATTAACTTACTCTACGGTGAGTTTTATACTTTCACTTGTTTTCCTGTTAGTAATTATGGTCCTTTTGTTTCCATTTGTAGCACTCTCAAGTGTTTCTTGTAACACCAACTTTATGGTAATGAATTCCCTTAGCTTTTTCTTATCTGCAAAAATTTTTATTTCTTCTTCATTTCTGGAAAAATATCTTTGCTTTATATAATATTCTCAACTGACAGCTTTTTTTTCTTTCAGCACTTTGAATATATCATCCCATTCTCTACCAGCTTTAAGGTTTCTGCTGAGAAATCTGCTAATAGTGTGATGCAGATTCCCTTATAAGAGACTTGATACTTTTCTTTTGTAGATTTTAGAATTATTTCATTGTCTTTGACTTTTGACGGTTTGATTATAATATGCCTCAGAGAGAATTTTTTGGATTGAATGTAATTGGGGATCTTTTTTTTTTTTTTTTTTTTTTTTTTGAGACGGAGTCTCGCTTTGTCGCCCAGGCTGGAGTGCAGTGGCGGGATCTAGGCTCACTGCAAGCTCCGCCTCCCGGGTTCACGCCATTCTCCTGCCTCAGCCTCCCAAGTAGCTGGGACTACAGGCGCCCGCCACCACGCCCGGCTAATTTTTTGTATTTTTAGTAGAGACGGGGTTTCACCGTTTTAGCCGGGATGGTCTCGATCTCCTGACCTCGTGATCCGCCCGCCTCGGCCTCCCAAAGTGCTGGGATTACAGGCGTGAGCCACCGCGCCCGGCCAATTGGGGATCTTTTAACTTCCTCAATCTGGATGTTCATAACTCTACCAATACTTGGGAATTTTTCAGCTATTATTTCGTTAAATAAATTTTCTGTGCTTTTCTCCGTCTCTTTCCCTCTGACACTCCTATTATGAGAAAATTTATTCACTTGATGGTGTCCCATAAGTCCTGTAGGCTTTCTTCATTCTCTATTTTTCTTATTTCTACTTTCTTTTCCCCTCCTCTGGCTGGGCTATTTCAAAAGATCTGTCTTCAAGTTCATAAATTCTTTCTTCTCCTTCATCTTGTCTGTTGTTGAAGCTGTCAGTTATGTATTTTTTTCATTTCATTCATTGAATATTTCTGCTCCAATTCCGCTTGGTTCTTTTTTTATTTTATATACATCTTTGTTGAATTTCTCATTCGGATCATGAATTGTTTTCCTGATTTTATTGAATTGTTTCTCTGTGTTCTCTTATATCTTGCTCAGTTTCCTTAAAATCATAATTTTGAATTTATTTTTCAGATATTATATGAATGTCCTTTTTGGGAGTCTGTTACTGGAGACATTTTGTGGGTGCCATGTTAATTTGCTTTTTTATGTTTCTTGTGTCCCTACATTTATATCTGTGAATCTAATTGTGTAGTCAATTTTTTCCAACATTATGGAGTAGCTTTTGTAGGGATAAATGTTTTCCTGTAAACAAGTCCTAGTGTTAAATGTGGTGCATTGGCTTTAGCTCTAGGTCGACTCAGTACTGTAGTCTTCATGCAGTTTCTTCAGCTGTAATCCTCATCAGTGATATATATTGCCTCAGTGCTCTAGGCTGCAGGCGTTTGTGATGGCAGCAGTGTAGTTTTGCTGAGGACAGGAGCGCTAGGCTGGTTGTTGGACTCTGTGGCAATCTGTCTAGGAAAGCAGAATTATCACTGGACCAGCTGTTGGACCAAGCATGAGAGCAATGGTGCCAGGCATTCCTGCAATGGTATTTGCAGGGAAATGGGACCACCCAGACTGGCTGTCAGGCTGGGCTCAGGTGTGTGCAGGTGTGGTGATGCCAAGCAGGCCTGTGGCTATCTGTCCAGGGAGGTTTGTCTGCTGCTGAACCAGATGTTGGGCCAGGCAGAGGTGCATGTGAGTACAGCAGGGCCAGGCTCTTAGCTTTCTTACTGAGCTTCTCCAGAGTATTCTTCATACATTACCCCACATGGTATTATAAATGGGAGCTTTGTACTTCATTTTAATTTTGTGATTACATTTGAAATGATTTATTGGTAGGACTGTTTGCTGGACTATTTTAAGGTGTTATGTATGTATTCCTTTGTAGCACTTTTTTCTCTTCCATCACTGATAACATTTATTTATTTATTTATTTATTTTTCCATAAGTTATTGGGATACAGGTGATATTTGGTTACATGAGTAAGTTTTTTAGTGGTTATTTGTGACATTTTGGTGCACCCATCACCTGAGCAGTATACACTCACTATATTTGTAGTCTTTTATCCCTCGCCCCTCTCCAACTCTTCCCCCCAAGTCCCCAAAGTCTACTGTATCATCCTTATGCCTTTGCTTCCTCATAGCTTATCTCCCACATATCCATGAGAACATACGACGTTTGGTTTTCCATTCCTGAGTTATTTCACTTAGAATAATAGTCTCCAGTCTCATCCAGGGCACTGCAAATGCTGTTAATTCATTCTTTTTTATGTCTGTGTAGTATTACATTGAATATATATACCACAGTTTCTTTATCCACTCTTTGATTGATGGGCATTTGGGTTGGTTCCACAATTTTGCAATTGTGAATTGTGCTGCTATAAACATGCATGTGCAAGTATCTTTTCTGAATAATGACTTCTTTTCCTTTGTGTAGACACCCAGTAGAGGGACTGCTAGATCAAATGGTAGTTCTACTTTTAGTTCTTTAAGGAATCTCCACACTGTTTTTTTATAGTGGCTGTGCTAGTTTACATTCCCACCCACAGTGTAGAATTGTTCTCTATTCACCACATACACACCAACATCTACTGTTTTTTGATTATTTTTTTGATTATGGTCATTCTTGCAGGAATAAGGTGGTATAGCAGTGTAGTTTTGATTTGCATTTCCTGATCATTAGTAATGATGAGCATTTTTCATATGTTTGTTGGCCATTTGTATATCTTCTTTTGAGGATTGTCTATTCATGTCCTTAGCCCACTTTTTGATGGGATTGATTTTTTCTTACCAATTTGTTTGAGTTTCTTGTAGATTCTGGTTATTAGTCCTTTGTCAGATGTATGGATTGTGAAGATTATCTCCCACTTTGTGGGTTGTCTGTTTACTCTGCTGACTGTTCCTTTTGCCATGCAAAAGCTCTTTAGTTTAATTAGGTCCCAGCTACTTATCTTTGTTTTTATTGCATTTGCTTTTGGGTTCTTGGTCATGAAATCCTTGCCTAAGCCAATGTCTAGGAGAGTTTTTCCAATGTTATCTTCTAGAATTTTTATAGTTTCAGGTCTTAGGTTTAAGTCCTTAATCCATCTTGAATTGATTTTTGTATAAGGTGAGAGATAAGGATCCAGTTTTATTCTTCTAGATGTGGCTAGCCAATTATCCCAGCACCATTTGTTAAAAAGGGTGTCCTTTCCCCCACTTTATGTTTTTGTTTGTTTTGTCAAAGATCAGTTGGCTGTAGTATTTGGGTTTATTTCTGGGTTCTCTATTCTGTTCCATTGGTCTATGTGCCTGTTTTTGTACCAGTACCATTCTGTTTTGGTGACTATGGCCTTACAGTATAGTTTAAAATCAGGTAATGTGATGCTTCCAGATTTGTTCTTTTTGCTTAGTCTTGCTTTGTCTATGTGGGCTCTTTTTTGGTTCTATATGATTTTTAGAATTTTTTTTTCTAATTCTGTGAAGAATGATGGTGTGGTATTTTGATGGGAATTGCATTGAATTGTAGATTGCTTTTGGCAGTATGGTCATTTTCACAATATTGATTCTACCCATCCATGAGCATGGAATGTGTTTCCATTTGTTCATGTCATCTATGATTTTTTTCAATAGCGTTTTGCAGTTTTCCTTGTAGAGGTCTTTCGACTCCTTGGTTAGGTATATTCCTAAGATGTTTGTTTTGCAGCTATTGTAAAAGTGGTTGAGTTCTTTATTTGATTCTCCACTTGGTCGCCATTATTGTGTACAAGAGCTACTGATTTGTGTACATTAATCCTGCATCTGGAAACTGAATTCTTTTATCAATTCTAGGAGCTTTCTGGAGGAGTCCTTAGGGTTTTCAAAGTAAAAGATTATATCATCAGCAAACAGTGACAGTTTTACTTCCTCTTTACCGATTTGGATGCCCTTTACTTCTTTCTCTAGTCTGATTGTTCTAACTAGGACTTCCAGTACTATGTTGAAGAGTAGTGGTGAGAGTGGGCATCCTTGTCTTGTTCCAGTTCTCAGAGGGAATGCTTTCAACTTCTCCCCATTCAGTATTATGTTGGCTGTGAGTTTGTAATAGATGGCTTTTATTACATTAAGGTATGTCCCTTGCATACCGATTTTGCTGAGAGCTTTAATCATAAAGAGACGCTGGATTTAATCCAATGCTTTTTTTGCACCTCCTGCCAGGAGGTGGTGCTTTCCAGAGAGGAACTGGCAGTGGGCGAGGCCCTAGAACTCCCAAGATTATATGCCCTTTGTCTTCCACTACCAGGGTGAGTAGGGAAAGACAATCAGGAGGAGGGCAGGGTTAGGCATTTCTGAGCTCAGACTCTCCTTGGGTGGGTCTTGCTGCAGCTGCAGCATGGGGGATGGGGATGAGATTTGCAGGTCCCTGGACTTGTATACCTAGGAGGATTATGGCTGCCTCTGCTGAGTCATGCAGGTTGTCAGGGAAGTGGGGGAAAGCCCACAGTCACAGGCCTCACACAGCTCCCATGCAAACTGAAGGCCCGTTCTAACTCTCACCGTGCCCCCACGAACAGACCCGAGTTAGTTTCCAGGCAGAAGGTGAGACCGGCCTGAAAACTCACCTCCCAACTGCGAAAGAAAAGGTCTTGGTTCTTCCCCTGCCTGTGGAGTTTGCACACCAGATTTGCGCCCTCTCCTGAGTTCTAGCCAGGTGGCTTCCCACCCCGTTCAAATTGTTACAAAGTTTAGCTAGAGATTTCCTTCTCCCTGTGGAGTTTTACCCCCTGCTCCTCTGGTCACCCTCCCGTTGGATCCCTGTGGTATGGTGCCAGGCAGGAACGGCCAGTTAGGGGACTCCAGGAGCTCCCAGGGCCTTTCTGCTGCTTCCTCTACCCCTGTACTTGGCTTAGCTTTCCAAATTGACTCAGCTCCAAGTAAAGCCGGAAACTTCTCCTGCAAATGGACTGTCAGCTTCTCTAGTGGGGGCATGTGATGGGGAGAGGAGGGTCTCCCTTTTCCACTTCCTCAGTTGGGCACTCAGTATTTGGGGGGTCTCCCAGGCTCCGCAGGAGCAGTCCACTTCCGTCAGAGCGTCTGTGTGTCCTCTCGAGATTGCTGGTTTGTTCTTGCAATCTATTGAGCTAAAATTTACAATGCGAGCTGCTCTGTCTGGAGCTGCAATCTAGTCCTGCCTCCTGTCCGCCATGATGATCCAAGAGAACTGTTAACATTTAATTGGTTAGTTCTTACTGTTGTCACAGTAACATGGAATTTAGAGTCAAGCATACCTATTTAGAAAACCAGATTTTCAATTCTATGTAAAGACTTGAACAAGTGACATAGTTTCCCTGTCAATAAAATGAGGAGAATAATACCTATCTCAAAGGACTGTTGAGAGTCTTAAATGGAAAAATGCCTATAAATCCCTTAGCAGGGAGCCTGCTCATAGCAGGCATATAGTAGATATATTAGCCTTCCCCATACAGTTTCTCCTTTATTAATAGACCTACAATTGGATTGTATGTTCCTTCAGGTGCAAAAAGCCTGCCTTTATGTTTTACATACTTGTACTCTGAAACACAGTTTATATTAATAAATTTTTGCTAAAACTCTTCCTACCCACCCCCTTTTAAAATTTATGTCTTCTGGGTTATGTAGGTCAGGAAAAACAGGCATTTATGCTTGTGAGAAGTATATCTAAATTAAGAATCAATTAGAAGTAGATGGACATTTTGAAGACGAATCATTGAATTATTCACTCTAGTGAATGGATTTCATATGTTCCTTGGCCTTTTAAAAGTTTATTCTTGGTCCTCAGACATGTTTCATAATGTTGCTAGATAAATGAAACATCACTGGAAGGCATACAATCTACAAACACTCAAAAGGTACAACTCCATAGCTAGCCTGGTCTTACTATGGCCAAATAATGGCTCAATAAGTGTCATTATAATTAGCAATTTATGTTGATTTCAAAATGCTCCTGCTGAGTCAATGAGTACCTCCACATGGCCTCTGACAGTGGTGCAGAATGTTGCTGGACACTCTGCACAAAGGGGTTTATACTACTCTGCTCCAGCCTTTCTCCCCCTTTCTTCAGTACCCACTATATTCTGCGAAATGCTACAACCCACATTCATTCTGTGTTTGTAATGCATTCTCTTCTGTTTCTTCACATATGGCAGTCTGAAACAATTACATAATGAGACATATTATCAGGGCATAACTGTCAAAAATGAAGACTAAGCTATGAATAAATATTACCCACTTATTAGCTGAGCTGCTCGTGTGTCCTCTAATCTATATGTGCCCCTGACTTTCAAATTTACATTCATATCCCTGATTACCTGTGTAACAGATGAATGCAGCACTAATTATTTTCACAGATTTATAAAGTTTATAAAGATTTATAAACTTTAAAATGACAAATTCCATTCTAAAGTAGGGTTCCTTACCATTTTTGTGCTATAGTCTTTTTGCCTGTCTGGTGAAATCTACTGACTCTTCTCAGACATAATGTTTTAAAATTTATAAGATAAAATACGTAGGCTAAAAAAGGGAGTCAGTTATATTAAAATACTGTTAAAATTTTGATTTAGAGATATATATGCTTTTCTATGAAAAATTAGATTAAAATGCTGTTAGAAATTTTGATTTAGAGATATATATGCTTTCTTATTAACAAATTAAAATCTAGAAGTTCAATAATTATTAAAATTTGACATAATGAATATAAATAACATTTTGAAAAATTACATAAGATAAAAATAAAAAAAATAAAATTTAATGTGTTATTTTATTTTATAGAGACTTGTAGATATTTTGGTATTGTGGATAATTAAAACGTATTATCTTTTCTTAAAGTAGGAAATATTGTAACAACTATAACGTGATATTTATCAGTGACAAAGTCACAGGTATTCCTGACTACATTTATATTTGAAAGAAATGCTTAATTTCAATTACATGTTAGTGAAAATAAAGTTGCATTTTTCCTATTCAGATTCACAGACCATGTGTTAAGAATCTTGATCCAATATGACCCAATTTTGATGATTTTATTAAGTTTCTTCCCTCTGAAATACCTTTTATAGATGTTCTGTTTTAAATGTGAAAATACCTAATATGAAAGCTTGTCTCTGTTTACTCCCATGGAGGTATTTAAAAAGACATATAAATGCTTTCAGAAACGTACTTTGTTTTCCTTCAAAAGTATACTTTATAACATTAAACTGAACAAAAGCAACGTCTTCCTCTAGATAGACACAAATGGATTTCAGTATCATGGTGTCAGGATTTCACAGTTCTTGACACTTAACTTTTGAAGGTAGAGCTGTTTCCCACCTGAATCTCCAGGTCTGGTTGCAACTTCTGCCTTCCTATCTATGATTCTTCTTTTTCTCACACTCAAGGAAGCCAACCAGAGGCAATGATTGAGCACACTAATGAATGTTAAACTGTTCTACTTTCTTTTGTAATAAAATTATTTGGAAACTTTTGGTGTTCCGTGATAAATAACCAATGGATTGTGGCAATGCTCATAGTACACAAGTGTGGTGAGACTCCCTGGTGGAGAACAGCTGTTCTATGCATGGTTACATACACTGTGGAATTAATGCTGGAACATTATGTCTTTCAGGCACTAAAAAATAAATTGCCATTTAGCATTTATAGCTGCAGTACTAAAGTGACAACCTTAGTGACCTGAAAGTGTTCATGTTTCTCTAAAGCATAGGTGGGCAAACTTATCTAAAGGTCCACATAGTAAATATTTTCAGCTTTGTCGACCATATGGTCTCTACTGTGCCTCTGTAGTACAAAAAGAGACATAGACAAGACCTAAACCAGTGAATGTGGCTGTGTTCCAATGAAGACTAATTGATGGGCACTGAAATTTGAATTTTATATAATTTTCAGATGTTATAGTACTTTATTTTTTTATATTTTTAAATATATAAAACCATTCTTAATTGTTGTGAGCCATACAAAAAGGGCTAGGGGCCAGATTTGGTCCATAGGCCATCTTTTGCTGCTCACACTCTTAAATATGAAGCCAGCAGCCAGGTAGCAAACCAATTAAATAGGTTGATCTAGCTGGTTAGGCCATCCCAAGGAGAACTGTTCTTAAAATAACTCTTAGCTAGAATGTGAGGTGAGGAAGTCTGATGTTCCAAAGGATACCACATATAGAAACAGAATTCAAAATTGCATAGATAGAAACTCTCTCTGTCTGAAATCAATCAGGACCCTGATCTCAAAGATTAACAGGTAGGGGGCATCAATTGTATACAGACAGATTGCAGATTGTGCTGTATCAAAAAATGTGGAAGTGTTATGGGGGCAAATTCGTGCAACACAAATTTAGAGTTTCATTTTGTTTTTGTTTTCTCTCCCTGAATGCCTAATTAAAAGGAGTATGGTATTTATTTGCCTTTGCTAGAGTTAGTAAAGATGGCACTATTCCTATAAAATTATTTGTGTTAGCAAGAACATGAAAGTTTAAAAGCCTGGGTGTTCTAAGTCTATGAGAAATATCTTCATTACTGATTATTAACAGCAGAATTGATTTTCAAGGCATTTTTGCATGCAGAAAAACAAAGACAAATTAAAAGAAAGAAAAAAATCAGAAGGAGGGTGGTAGACAGTAGCAATATGGTGTGGGTGTAGACAGATCCCTGTGATTCATGAAAAAGTTAGGGCTCACAGATTAACTCTGTCTTGAGAAAGTGTTTCATTTCTTATAGAATGGTTCCCATCAACCAGTTTCAGATCATTGCAGAAATTAACACAGAATTCTACCTATTTAGGAATCAGGCCGTGCAAAATCTACAATACTAAATGCGAACTCCAGTCCTGTGGTGGTGGTGATCATCGTGGTGGTAGTTGTTGTTTTATAAATATCAGCAGGCACACATCTGGGGCTTCAGTGCTTGCCACAATGTCGTTTTCTGGTTGACATATATCTAAGAAATGCGTATATTAACACCCAGGCTATAGAGCCAAGCACATTTTAGTGCCGGCTACAGCTGAAAGAATATGTTTCCATTCCTTGTCCATCTGTTCTTGGCAACATGAATTTAAACTAGAAACACAGAATAAGTTTCATGAGAAATAAGTCTAAATGGGGTTTAGAACAGCAAGGTGGAAGCTCTAAGTTAACATTTGATTTTGTAGCTAAAATATTGTTTTTACTTGGAGTAATCCGGTGCTACAGCTACAGCTTAAAGTTAAAAATAATAGATTTTTATTATTCACTTAAAAGTTTGGTGGCTTGGTTGCATATTCTTTTTAAAGTGCTTTTATTAAATTTACCTACGATCCTGGGCTTAACGAACTTGGAGATTGCAAAGCACTATTTGCTGCCACACAGTTGAACTACACTGAAAATAAATCATTAGCATCTCTAAACTCTATGCTAAAATGGAGTCATTAGTGAGGAGTGAGCACTTTCTGTACAAAGTGGATTCCCTACAAAACACATTTGCTTGTTTTTCTATGAGTCCGACCTCAAATATGACCAACTATTACATGGCTTTCTTGTATAATAATCATGCCTCCCACCGTATTCCACTCCTCTAGTTTTTCTGCTACTAAACAATGTACAATTGTGTATTTATATTTGAAAATACACAAAAACACATAAGAATATTACAATGGAAAAGAACCATATATATGCACCTAGACTTTGGCCTCCAAATCAAGGGTCTCAGCACTCTGAGTTAAATAGGTGAGCAGATGGGCTGTCACTGAGTCTTGGGACAGGACTGTGTGGGATTCTATTGATGTGAGTTCAACTTCTGCTTTCTGGCTGAATGCAAATATTCAGATTGGAAAGGAACCTTGAAGCTCACGCAGTCCAACCTCCACCTTTATGTTAAGATGATTTCTAAAACGTTGTAAATTCTGTCCTTTTCATATGATTGATTTATCAAATGTAGCATAGTGCATCAAAGCAATTAGGTTCACTTTTTGGCTCTGTCACTTTCTAGGTATGTGAATATGAATAATTATTAACATCTCCAATGTTTAGCTTCTCTATCTGTAAATGAGGAGAATCACATTTATCTTAAATTGGTCTGGAGCAGGAGCAAATGAGATAATATAAAGTAATTAGTCCTAGTAAATACTCAACAAGCGACAACTCTTAACTATTAGCCCCTTTTTAATGTCTTCTGCTAAAAAAAAATTTAATAATAATGATTGCATGGGACTAATTATCTAGTATACTACCAAACAGTATTTTGTAGAATATTCCTTAACATCGGAAAAACATTTCACAAAATTACTATTGTTTCTTGAACTTCTGTACAGTTACCTATTACTACAGACAAGTTACTCAAAGATTTAGGGACTCCCATCTTCTAATGTATAAAATGAGAAGCTCCAACTCCATGATCTCCAAGGTCTCTTGTTCAAGTAATTTAACAAAATCATGTTTGACAGCATATCCTCATATTTTATTTATAGTGTTGAAATGTGTATTTGCTGCCAAATGTCTGATGTGGGATGTATAAATGGTCCTTATATACATGTGGAATAACATTAAGTTTGTTGATGTTAAAAACTACTGGGTTTTTTTTTTTTTTTTTTGGTATTATTTGGCTCAGAATCTGTGCTTCCCATTTTGTTTTAGAATAAGCTGACAGCAAATCATTTTCCACAGAACCTCAAGGTTTAGTTAAACTGAGAGTTATAAAAGTAGGCCATCTTTTTATTACTTTAAGTTTCTAAGACAAGCTTTCTTTGTGAAGTGGCTGTTATTTTTTTTAATCTCCATAATATCAAATGGCATTAAATTGTGGACATATGTATACACATTGCAACTTAAAAGGCATCTACTTTCTTTCAGATCTCAGTGACCAGCTGCTGGAGGTGGTCGGCTTGGAAGGAGCCATGGAGATGGGGCAAATATACACAGGCCTGAAAAGTGCTGGCCGGCGGCTGGCTCAGTGCTCCTGCGTGGTCATCAGGTAGTTCCCTTTCTGTAACTGACAAAGGCGTTTGATATGGCATAGCCTCAAACTAATTAAAAGTATGCAGAACTCTGATAGTAACATTGTCTTCTTTGGGCTCCAAATAATCAGTTATTAATACTAATATATTTCAAAATAATGGACATTGGCAGATTGTCTAAAATATTGGTTAGCTATTACTGATATGGTTTGTTGGAATCTGATTCTCTCTTGTTGACTACCATGGACATATTGATGCACGAATTCAAACATACAAATTTTATGATTTATACTCATATTAGTCTACTGAAGCACCAAAGTATTTACTGGGCAAATTATCTATGAAAACAATGATGAGACACCATTGACTTAAATCATTTCATGGACTAAAGTGCCACAGTAAGATTTTATATATGTTTTAAATTTTAACTTTTTCAAGCATTTTTTTTGCCCAAAATTTCCCCCCAATTTTTTTTTTTTTTTTTTTTTTTTTTGAGACGGAGTTTCACTCTTGTTGCCCAGGCTGGAGTGCAGTGGCACGATCTTGGCTCACTGCAACCCCACCTTCCAGTTTCAAGGATTCTTCTGCCTCATCCTCCCGAGTATCTGGGATTACAGGCACCCGCCAACACATCCTGGCTAATTTTTGTATTTTTAGTACAGATGGGGTTTCACCATGTTGGTCAGGCTGGTTTCAAACTACTGACCTCGTGATCTGCCCAGGTGAAGCCACGGATTGTAGCACAGGAATAATTGATGTTATTTATCTGGAAGTGTTGGTGCTAGAAGAACTGGGAGAAACACCTTTCTCCCAGTTTGCAATGTAGGGTTATAAAAACAAGGAATCTCTTTTGGCTGTAGAAATTCTGATCGTGTCATTAAACATAAACCCTGAAATTTTTCTTTTGGCATCCAGAATTTTTTTAAATGTCACTACACTTACCAGGAAGCTCATAATATTCCTGTGACTAAGGTACTTTTCAGGGTATTTATTAATAGTGGAGAGTTGAAGCTCCTTTCATTGGAGATAAATTTAGAGCCCAACTATTACCATATTGCCTTCCCTGGTCTCATCATCTTATATCTCACATATAGTCTGTAATATAAAGTATTTCCTTGCAATACTTACAATGAAATATTTTCCCCCAGGACGAGCAAGTCTCTGCCAATGCAAATTGATGGGGAGCCATGGATGCAGACCCCATGCACAGTGAGTACAGAGTAGTTGATATGCTATGTCAATCTCAGTTTTGCTTTCCTCTTTGACTAAATAACCACAATAACTGATTTTTTTCTTTATTTCTTTTCAACCTATCAGCAAATAGTCTTTTTGTTGTTGTTGTTATGTGTGTGTCAGAGCCACTACATTTAGGTTGTAGACATTATATACCCTTGGCAATGATTTAGCTCTTGAATGTTTGTGTTAGCCTAAGTATAAATAGATCTTTTAAATAGATCAATTATAAACCATAGATCAATTATAAACTATGGAGCTAAACAAAATATTAATAAAAGTTTATCTGAAACTTTTTTGTTTATTTCAGAGCACATTATTAGAATATTATTTGCAAGAAATGCAGACCTAAGCTTATATGTGAACTTATTTCTCAGCTTTTCTATGCCTCCATTTGGGGATTTGAGGGCTTTCTTCTCCATAAGAAAAAAATTTCTCTCCAGTTTCTACCATAATTAATTGTGTTTTCCAGAATGAGGTATTATTTAAGGCAGACACTGCCCCTCTCAAAAAAAAATCAGTTTTCATTTGCATAGTGAATATTTTATTGCATTTCAAAAACATGCTAGGAACTGCTTTTGGCACTGGGAGTAGACACATGAACAAGACCAACAGTGTAATTTCCTTCAAGTTACTTACATTCCTATAATAGAGGACCGAATAAATAAACAACTACATGATAAATATAACTTCAGACTGTGAGAGTTATTAAAAAATAAGGTGAAATGATGATAAGAAGCTGGATTAGGTGTGGAGAATAAATACTACTTGAGATAAGGGAGACCTCTTTGAAAGGACATAGCCAAAAGCTTAGTATAAAATTAAAAAAAATAAAAAAAAAACTTAGCTGGGCTTGGTGACACGCACCTGTAGTCCCAGCTACTCAGGAGGCTGAGGCAGGAGAATCACTTGAACCCGGGAGGCGGAGGTTGCAGTGAGCTGAGATTGTGCCACCGCACTTCAGCCCGGGTGACAGAGTGAAATTCCATCCCCCCCAAAAAAAAGACACTAAGGAGGGTGGTGTGACCAAAGCTTCTAGAATTAGGGGAGAATGGTAAGAGTTTAAGTAGAAAAGGTAGACAGAGAACAAATCATGTAGAAAAAAAATTGACGGTAAAGAGCTAAATTTTGATTCTAAGTACAATAGGAAACTACTGAAAACTTTAAGCATCATCTGATTTACATTTTTTTAAGTTCACATTGGCTGCTCTGTGGAGGATTGATTGTATTGAGCAGCAACTGAGAGATTGGTCTATCCTAGTACTCTGGGCTTGGGCAAAGATGGCAGCAGGGAAGTAAAATCAAAGTGGATGAATGTAAGCTATATTCCAGAGGTAGAACAGGAAAAATTTATTAATGAGTTCCTGGGGGTGCAGGAGGTGGAGGAGAGAAAGGGCTGAATTGAAGTCAACTCTTACCTAAGAATGATAGTGTGATTTACTGAGTAGTTAAAATTTGGAGAGAAACTGATTAGAGGGCAACAGGGGAAGGTCTTAATCTTGCACAAGCATTGTGCTGAATGCTTATGTTATATGTGAGTATGTATTAAATATTCACACAAATTCTAAATAATGGAACCACCATTTTTTAGATGGAGAAAATACAAGTTCTGGGAGGTTAAATAGCATACTCAAGGGCAGGTATGAAGTAGATATGGAACTAAAATCCAAGACTCTTTAATTAAAGCCCATTCTCTCAACCACTACTGTAAACAACCTTAGTTACAGATTTCAAACAGCACAGATTAGCATGTAAGAAGGAATTTTTCATTTTACCTTTGTAATGGTTTTACTCTGAAACTACTGGCTCAAACGTTGTGTATAACACATAAACATTACTTCATCTTTGTTTCTGGTGTATTCCTTTAGCTGCCTGAACACTAAATCTTTTTCCTCCCTTCACCAGTATGTGTACACATACATCTTTTCTGTGATCCTTCACTCTCCAAATGACACTTCTAAATTCACATTATTCTATTCACATGGATGTTAAAAATGTTGTTTTTAATGATGGTGATGGTGATAGTGATGATAATGGTGATAGTGATGGTGGTGATGCTATTGCAGAGGTGGTGATGGTTATGATGGTGGTGGGGGTAATAGCTGCTACCGTGATGGTGGAAATAGTGGTAAAACTCGTGGTAATGGTGGTGATGGTAGTTGCAATGGTGGTGGTTGTGATGCAAGACAGTAGTGGTTGGTAGCGGTGTTTTTAATGAAAAGTCACTTTTCATCAGCCTTGGTAACAAAAGAATAAGTAAATCAAAGAAATAAAACCAACTAGCGTCCATGAATACTCTTTGTATTATTTTGGACTCTTCTCAGGAGAAGAGGCATTTAGCCCTTATTCCATGTTTTGAGTCGAGAAGCGGTCACAGCTATGGTAATATCCTAAAAAAAGTTCTTAGAATGTCCTGTACATCCAGTTGGAGACACTTGACCCATGTTGATGCATTTAATTCTCACAAAAATTATATGGTTAGCCTTATTTTATGAAGGAAATAACTGAGGAAGACAAAGGTTAAATAGTTCATCTAATTCTACACAGCTAATAAATAGCAAAGTAGAAATGGAAACCCAGGTAGTCTGACTCCAGCATCTGCACGCTTCATCTCTGCTCCTTACTGTGAAGCTCAACACAAAATGGCCCCGGTGCATGCTGGAAATCTCCCTCCAGAGTGTGTGACCTTTGGTAAATGACGGACTACCTTTCTCCCTGACTACCTTTCAAGCTTCTCCAGCTTGAAAATGTCTGCCTATTGAAATTTAATTAATGTGTTAGAATAATTTAAGCTTGTTTAACACAAGCACTTTTAACTACTTTTGTTAATTTTTATTTCAATAAGTAATAAGACATTCATTTCACCTGTTAACTATCATGACTTACAATTGTTAAATTAATAAAAATTTTATGTAACTTATATTAATTTTCTTCCCTTGTAAACTCACTTATTCATTTAAAACATTTATTGCAGCTTACAGTAGGCCAAGAATCATAGTAGACTATGGCTCATTATTGTGATTTTACATTCTGGCATACTCTACTTTTCCCACAGCCGCATGGGGTTCTGAACTTTAAATTTCACTGTAATTGAAGAGAATATTTAGTATTCATAGCATTGGTATGGTTAACTATGGAGCGTTTTTTGCTTCAGTTGAATAACCCAATATTTTTCTTACAGAAAATAAGAATGCTACAATGTTTAAATTCTCTGCTGAATTTAAATATCTGTAAGCTGATATTCAATTTATGAAAGAATTGCTCTAGACATAATTTTAGAGGAGAGCAGAAGTTCTGTTTTTTCTATTAGTAGAATATATAAAACAGAAATATCAATTAATGCTTAAATATCAAGATAATACAAGTTTTGGAGTTGGTGGGTAGTGATGGTGACACAACAATGTGATTGCACTTGGTGCCATTGAACTGCACACTTAAAAATGTAAGTTAACGTGGTGAATTTTATGTTATGTATATTTTACCACAATAAAAAAGTCACTAATAGAAAAATTAATGTAAGATACATTTATAAATTTCACCAATATTGAGTTCAAAGATCAGGAAAAGAAAAAACCAAAGAGCTTAGTACTCATTCTTCAAATATGCACTTGGTAATTATTTTTAGGACCATCTAGATTCTGTCACTGTAAAGCCATCAACATAAATTTTTAAGTGCTCCTGTATTCATTGTTTTGTAATAGTCACTGAGTTAACACAATTATTTTAGCCATATAACTATTGCTTGTGATAATAAGCATATCAAACTAAAGACAATATTAATTCTAGAAGAGAGTATATATTGAAAATTGTCTTAGAAGAGCTGTCTTTAGGCCAGACTCCAGAGTCTATTTTATTCTTTCTTCTTCCTCCCCCATCCTTCCTCCTGAGCATGTAGAACATATGATTCTGTAGTCAATATGTTCTTATAATGGGAAGAAGAAAGAGCAGCTTGGGGTGGAGGGTAGAGGGAATAGAGTGGTAGGATAGGAGAGGACATAGACTAGGTAAGATTTTATTTTGTATCTGTACAACCAGCACCCCTTTACTACCCATTTATTTTAAGTGACACATGACCAGTAAAGTTTAAGTGAGAAGTGACTATTCAAAGCCTCAGGAACCTCAAATTTATTACAACTAAAATGGACTCATCATTTGCCTCCCCATATCTCTCCTTCCCCAGATGAGGTCTTCTCACATCCTAGATCTGCGATTCTTCCCTCTATCATACTGAGATAGTGAAACCATTGAAACACCTGGTGTTTCCTAAGCTAGAAATCTGAAAGTCATCCTGTACTTCTCTATATACCCTCAAATCCAATTTACGTGTCCATATAATGATATGACCTATTTCTGGAATCTTTTCCTTTCTTTCTCTCCCTATTAACCACTGTTTTAGATTTGGCCCAATTCATTTCTCTCTCATTCCTGGCAAAACCACATCAATATTTCCCCATCTCAATTTTTGTTCCAATTAAGTCCATGCTTCACATTTCTATCAGAATAGTCACTATAAAATATGAATCTCACCATGGCACTCTTCTACTTAAAATATTGTTTAGTTACTCTCTGTCTGATAAAATGTGGTTTGAGTGAGGCTTCCTGTTTTACCAACATAATCTCTTACTTTTTAAAAAGTCTTTTCATGCGCTTCCCTCTTGTCCAAACAAATTTTTCCTCTTCTTTAGTTTGGTAACACAACACATCTTTTGAGGCTCATTCCTTGCTGTCCCTCCTCCATAAATGCTTCCCTGAGCACAACCCCTCCTTCCACTTCTCCACTCCTTTTTCTCCAAATAGCCTAAAAGCTCAGCCTCAGTGTTTCAGTTTTATCAAAACAATAACAACATTACGTTGGAATTCTCAGTTATATGTCCAGCTCCTTTTAGACACAGGCTTACTGAGGTCATGGACCATGATTTGGATCATCTTGGTAGCCCCAGAGCGTAGCACTGTACCTCACACATAATTAGATTGCCAATACCAAATGCACTTTGAATTTGCAAATTTCTGAAATACTTCTTAGGGTAGTATAACATTTTTAAAAAGTGTTTTTCTACTAAATCTTCTTTCACTGAACATAATGTAGGTTGGCTAGCAATTCATTCACATATTTTTATATATAAATACATGTAAAAGTTATTTTGAGTTATCTTTATTCATTATATTCTCAAAGCAAAGAATTTGAATGTATCAGAGAAGAAATTCTTTCTCAATCTCAAAAGATTTAATCCTTCTATTTCCTGTATGGTATGATTAAACTTCTTTGGGCCACTTCCCTCTGGATTATCAATTATACATTGCTTTTGCACATTCAAAAAGCTGCATTCTGTTAATTATTTGAAATATTAATAGGCATGTATTATTACTCATGACACATTTATGAAAAGTAGTGCCAACAAGATTTTAATGCAAAATTACTCTGGGTATTTTGTTTATGATGAAGACAGAAAAAAACTCCTGAAACTTCCTTCCATGTGGTAGAGAACGGAAAGGAAATCATGAACAGATTATACATTAAATAGTGAAATGATCACAGGTAGACTAAGAAGACTCTACAAAGTGATAGCTGAGGCCACGGCAACTTCTAGAAAACATTTATGTATGTTTTAACCCCTCTTTGCCTTTTTTCTGTACCTTCCCTGGCATAATACCTCTTAAGATCTTAAACCTGTTTGCCCAGTCTTAGCTTACAACTACCTTCATTGTGCAATTGAGCCCTGACCTGGTGCGGGACCAATCCCCACCAAGCCTGCTAGTCTTGCTGTCTTAGGTATGATCCTTTCAAATCCTGGGTACCCTATGAGCACCTGTCTCCTACTGCCCAGACTTCTACTGTGTGACCCATTCCATGAGATGCTATTTTCTGACTTGACTGCCAGTTCCCCTCCCTGACACTAGCACCTCCTTGACTTGGACACTGACTGCTTGCTTTGCCTTTGTTTGTGTCCTCTACTAGGAAGACTTGGTCTTTTCTCTGTTGCTCTAGCTACTGCAGTTATCTAGAGTTCATTTTGACACTTCTTTTCACACATCCCACCATAACTTTAAAATACAGACTATTCAAAAAGAAAAACAGTATTCTGGAGCTTATTACATTTTTTGTTTATGTGTTTGTTTTTTCAAATCATTAAAATGATCATAACATTAAAGTGTTAGTTACTCTTTAATCGCTTGCTAAATACACAATAATCTCAGGCCATTAAGATATAAAGGAAAAGGTTGTATAAATTTAAGTTTTTCAAGACCCAGCAAGTTAATATCAACTAGACAAAGGTTGCTGGATTTTTCAAGACATAAGAACAGCCTGGAGATATTTGGAGGAAACCCTGGTGACAATACCTAGATATAAAATTTACCTTGCTTACCATGTACCAGTTTCTGTTGTATGTGTACATGTTTATTACTTATTTAATTTCCACAGCAACCCTAAGATGTCAGTAAAGTTATTATAATCCCCATATTATAAATTTAAGAAAAAACCTGAAGCCAGAGAAGTCAAGTAACTTGCCCAAGGCCACACAGCAAAAGGCAGAAATAGGCCATTGGGTTTTAATCTCTTAATTATGATGCTTTGCTGCCTCACTCAGTCACTCTTCAGAGGCTTAATGTATTTCTTTCTTTCTTTCTTTCTTTCTTTCTTTCTTTCTTTCTTTCTTTCTTTCTTTCTTTTTTTTTTTTTTGAGATGGAGTTTCTCTCTTGTTGCCCAGGCTGGAGTGCAATGGTGTGATCTCGGCTCACCGCAACATCCACCTCCTGGGTTCAAGCGATTCTCCTGCCTCAGCCTCCCAAGTAGCTGGGATTACAGGCATGTGCCACCACACCTGGCTAATTTTGTATTTTTAGTAGAGATGGGGTTTCTCCATGTTGGTCAGGCTGGTCTTGAACTCCCAACCTCAGGTGATCCACCCACCTTGGCTGCCCAAAGTGCTGGGATTACAGGTGTGAGCCATGGCACCTGGCTGCCTTAATGTATTTCTAATACTAATAATTAATTACAACTCTATCATTTAAAACAGAAAATCCCTTTTCATCTTATTTATATTATTTATTTTTATGTAATACATATTTTGCTTCCCACTGCAGCCAAAGCTATCCATCATATTGTTGCCAGAATTACTACTGACCAACACAGCTATGATGATCTTACTCCCTTGATCTCAAAGTTCAATGCCTCCTCATTTTACACAGAAAAAAGTTCAGAATCTTTGTCATGACATTAAATTATTCTCCCAAGGCCGGGACCAGACTGCTATGCCTCATAGGAACCACTTCCCAGAGGATTACCATGCATAGTACTTCGTTTTTTGCCTCAAATCCTTACCCTCTATTTTGTGCTTTAGAAATAGATTCATTCTTCTGGTCTCCAGGCAGGCTACCTCCAAATCTGTGGCTTCTTCCAGTAGTTATCTAGGACTCATGGTTTGCATTTCTTTTTTTTTTTTTTTTTTTGAGACGGAGTCTCGCTCTGTTGCCCAGGCTGGAGTGCAATGGTGCCATCTCGGCTCACTGCAATCTCCACCTCCCGGGTTCACGCCATTCTCCTGCCTCAGCCTCCCGAGTAGCTGGGACTACAGGCGCCCGCCACCACACCTGGCTAATTTTTTTTTTTTTAATTTTTAGTAGAGACTGGGTTTCACCGTGTTAGCCAGGGTGGTCTTGATCTCCTGACCTTGTGATCCACAAGCCTCGGCCTCCCAAAGTGCTGGGATTACAGGCGTGAGCCACTGCACCCGGCCCATGGTTTGCATTTCTTTCATCTAGTCTTACCTATGGTTTATTAATTTCATACACATAATTTTCCCCTTTTAGTCAGATTGCCTGAATTAATTATTCTGTCCTATTGGGATATATGTATTTTTATAAGTTACTTCAAAATCTTTCTGGAAGGCAATGAGATATAAATACATACATACTAAAAATAAAATAAAATCTCTTCCTTCAATGCCAAGCTTAGAAGCAATTTCCTCATGAAGCCTTTTTAACTTCCCATCTGTCAGAAATATTTGCCTGATCCTTTGTACTCCTGTGACTCTGTTGATATCTTCTTAACAGCATTCCAATTCACAGACTTGTATTTCGGCTACGCATGCCTGCATCCAGCTCTTCTGACTTAATTGTAAGCATTTTTAAATTTCATCTTTAATTCCCCTTCATACTTTGCAAATGTCTTCTTACATAGTGCAATTTCTGATAAGAAATTCATAGTCGTTTGAATCATTGCTTTGCAATATGTAATACGTCATTTTTCTTAGGCTGCTTTCAAGATTTTTTTCTTTGTCTTTAGTTTTCAGCAGTTGGACTTTGATGAGTCTGGGCATGGGTTTCTTTGAGCCTATCTTGTTTTAGTTTCACTGAGCTTCACGAATCTGTAGCTGTATGTTTTGCCACATCGGCACATCTCCAGCTATTATTTCTTCAAATATTGACTTCTACGCCACACACTCTCTCCTCTCCTTCTAAAACTCTGATGACGTGTGTTAAGCACTTTATGTATTGTCTCATAGATCTTTGAGTCTGTTCACTTTTTATTTCCTTCTATATTTTCTATTGTTTACATTGGATATCTATTCACCTGTGTTTGAATTCACTGACATTTTTCTCTTTTATCTCCATTCTGTTGTTGAGTCCTTTCAGTTATTTTTTATGTTGTTCATTGTATTTTTCAGTTTTAAAATTTCCAGTGATTCATTTTTTAACTATCTTCTATTTCTCAGTTCAGGCTCTCTGTCTTTCATTTCATTTCAAGAGTATCTGCCATTACTTCTTAGAGCATGGTTATAATACCTCTTAAGTCTTTGTTAATTCCAACAATTGTATCATCTCAGGGTTTGCATCATTGGCTATATTTCCCCTTGTGTGTTTTTGAGATTTTTCTGTGATTCATATCTTGAGAAACTTTTTATTATATTCTGAACAGTTTTAATATTGTGTTATAAGACTCTAGGTATTTTCAATTCTCACAGGAAATGTTAATTTATTGTTGTTGCTGTTACTATTTTAGCAGGTAGTTGACTCTGTTAGGTTCAGGTTACAAAAGCTGCTCTATCTTCTGTGAGTTGTGGTTCCAGTATGTTTGTTTGGTTTTCAAAGTGTTTGCAATGTTATTCAGATGTATCTTACTTGTAAAAGATCCATATGCCTGTCTGAAAACTTGGTGATGATATACCCCCAAATGCAGCTCTCAAAGTCATCAGTATGTTTGTTAAGGTCAAATCTATGCATACACAGCTAAGGGATAAACTCAGGTGATCAAATGCAACTTCATAGGATAGCTTTCTCAAGCCACCTCCTCTCCATGATCTCTCTGATATTTTTTTTTTACTCCCAGGGCTCTCATATTGTTTCTCTGACCAATAATCCAAGGCTTTTGTTTCCTCACTTTGTCATATATTTCTCGAAGTAGCATCTGCCTCCAGGGTTCTGTGATAAAGGAATAGAGAGAGAAAAAAGGAGTAGGACTCCCCCCATGCTTTGGGAACATACTTTCTCTAGTCAGAGAAAAGATGTCTCCTCCATTGGAGTTTTAATTACCTTCCACTGCCATGGAATTGCCAGAGGACTGGGATGGAAATGATTAACAGAATTTTTTTTTTTTTTTTTTTTGAGATGGAGTCTCATTCTGTTACCCAGGCTGGAGTGCAGTGGCATGAAGTTGGCTCACTGCAACCTCCGCCTCCCGGGTTCAAGCAATTCTCATGCCTCAGCCTCCCTAGTAGCTGGGACTACAGGCACACACTACTACGCTCAGGTAATTTTTTGTATTTTTAGTACAGATGGGTTTTCACCCTATTAGCCAGGATGGTCTTAGACTTCTGAGCTCAGGCAATCCGCCTGCCTTGGCCTCCCAAAGTGGTAGGATTACCTGCATGAGCCACCCACTGTGTCTGGCCTGATTAACGAATATTTTTCCCATTCACTCTGATCTGTAGGGCCCTTCTTTCCTATTTTTGTACCAGTAGGACAGGGTTTTTCTTGGCACTTTCTATCTGTACCTGGTATACAATTCCAGTTTTTGTTCTGCTTTTAAGTCCAGGCCAGGAGGTGCAAGAGTAGAGAAAAAAACTAAAAACTAAAAACTCATCACTGGTTTGATGGCACTTCATGTTCTGGTCTTCTTCCCCAATTTGCCTTTTATTATTTTCTTTTCAGCAACTTCAGATATCTGCTTCATGTGTTCTGCCCAGGGTTTATAGTGCATTCAGTGGGAGAGATAGAGTGAAGAGTGCTTATTCCTTCTTAACTGAAATTGGAACCCACACCCCCACACCATTAGATTTTCTTGTTTATGACTATTTTGAGATCTGGCTAAATTCTCTCCATCAGATTGGCATATTATTAGCTAGAACTACCTGCGTGCTGACTTGGAGATTTCATAGATTATTCCCCATTTTCATATTCCTTCCAAAAATACTAAATAAGTCTAATAAATGCCCTAAACCTTGAATCTTAAAACATACCCAATTTGAGAAAACATCACTGATATTTTTTCTACTCTTGTGCCCCAGATTTAAGCAGTTTGAGACAGCATTTACCACATTGAGAGAAAATAATTGACCAAAAAAGTTTAGTTGTTTTTACCCACTTATAAGATTAAGGTTTTAGGTATTTCTATAGGCGAGTAATGATGTGGATGACCACATGAGATTTTCTTTTTTAAATTACATTGTAGGCGAACACATTTTAGGACTATTCCAAGTAAGTTATCTGTTAGTATAAGACACTTTTAGACTATACGGATGAGGTTAGGTGAATGTCCAAGGTCATGAAACAAAGAGTTATAGAACCGGGACTGTTCCTACCTTTTATTATTGCTGAAATTGTCAGCAGTTCGTTAAGCTTGTTTGCCTAAGGATAAAAGGTTCAGAAAGGAAGAAATACCATGCTTCTGAGGCTTTCTGAAATGTGCAGTGATGAATAAAGGAGCACAGGTGTAAAACAGACAGTAGTCCAATGAGACTCCTTTATATTTTGGCTTTCTTTAGCAGTTCCACACTTAGCAAACACAGCCTAGGGCATCTACGTGAAGAAGCAACATAAACCATTGTAAGAAGAGATTGTTTTAATGGTCCTTTCAAAGGCCCATTCGAAGTTGAATATCATGAAAATCCTTTCTATTTCAAATACCATTTAAATGAGCACTTCACATAATATATATTGGAAAATATAATGGAATCCGTTGATCACTTTTTTCCCATAGTCTATGTGCTTATATCTTAATTTTTAGTTCAAGAAACAATAGGTATTTTTTAATTTAACTTGGGGATAGAACTATGTTTCTTGACTAGAAGCTACTAAAGCCTAAATATAAACAGTACATGAGAAAGGATTTATAGCAGGAATAGGGCAAATTTGAGAAATTAAAAAATAGCTAGAATTCGCATTTTTTTGTGATAGGTGGATCTCCTTTTACCTCCTATGTAAATTAACTAATCACAGAACAGAGGACTGGAAACAAATTAGTAAGTTGTACAACCTTACCACTCTTTTATTACAGAATCTCAGCCATTTTATTAAAACTTCTGTTTACCAGATTTTTATTTAAAACCTATTCTAGGTTCTACTATTTTAAAAGTTATTTTGAGAAAGTTGGCATCTGCAACTGAAATAGTCAACTTTCCTAGCACTTTAACAGAAATTCAATGTAGTCTGAGGTTAAAAATATTTTTCACTCCTTGAAAATAATGTTTTCTGGGATATCTGTAAGGAAGGAGGGGAAAAACTGCTTAGGAAGATTACTATCCAAAGGGGCAGAAAATAGAAATGAGGGCTGGAATCCACGGTCTTGTCTTTGCTTTTTTAGTGACTTCTGGACTTTGGAGAGTTATTTAATATTTTTCTTGGAATTATTTTCCTAGTCCTAAAACCTGCTACCTACGAGTCACAAAGAAATATTGAATGGTTGTTGAAAATTACCATATATCACATTTAGTGATATTAAGAAAGCATTAATTAATTTCTGGTATATATTAAGTATTGTTATATTTAATAATACATCTGAATTTTCTTCTTTTTCATAATTTAGACTAAATTCCCTGTAATCCCCAATTATACCCCCCCAAAAAGTTAAACCCATGTTATTCTACAGTGGGACAGTATTTGACATCTTTGAAATTCGGCCAAAGTGTTACAGAAAATGTAGCAACATCATTATTGTTTCCTCATTATCATTTACAGTTAAACTGATATTAAAGAAGGACATTGTTTTATCATAATGTTTAACTTTCATAATTACATAAAAAGAAAATTATGTTAAAACTCATCTAGAATAGATGCACTGAAAACAGTGCTCTGAAATAGTGCGATGAAGTTTATCCGCATAGTTACATAACTCTTGAATCTCCCAAGACCGTTGCATTAAATTCTTTAACTTTAAATATCATTAAATAATTCTTAATGTACCAGTTTCATTATCTGGATAGTAGCCTTGTTTTGAAAATGTGAAAATAATATTATTTTCTAGTTAAAAGTTGCACAGCGATTGTAGCAACACTTGCTGACTTGGTAGACACACCGTTTTTAAAGAATCTTAAGTTGCTCTAATGGCTTATTTTACCAGAGTGGGAGAAAAAATCAACAGAAGAACGTGTATTTTTAGTGATGAAAGAAAAAGACTAACCCATATGTAAACAGTAAGAAAATGCTTTAACAGGTAGGTGTAGATAATTAGTATTTTCCTGATGTGCCTAGAAATTGCATTTTGCCTAATATTTAAATACTATAGATATCTGTTAAAGAAATAAATACTACAGTATTTTTTGTTGTTGTTGTGGTGGTGAGGTTTTTTATTTTGTTTTTTTTTTTGTTTGTTTTTTGTTTTTGAGATGGAGTTTCTCTGCTGTTGCCCAGGCAGGTGTGCAATGGCATGATCTCGGCTCACTGCAACCTCTGCCTCCCAGGTTCAAGCGATTCTCCTGCCTCAGCCTCCCGGGTAGCTGAGATTACAGGCACCTGCCGCCGCACCCAGCTAATCTTTGTATTTTTAGTAGAGACAGGGCTTCACCATATTGGTCAGGCTGGTCTCGAATTCCTGACCTCAGGTGATCTGCCTGCCTCGGCCTCCCACAAAGTGCTGGGATTACAGGGGTGAGTCACTGTGCCTGGCCAGTTTGTTATTTAATAAGCCTAAATGTTGATAATTTGAAGAGAGAAAATTAATAGTCTTCTGCCCCCTTGAAACATACTGGCATGAGCAGACTGCTGTTCTTGTGAGTATATGTTTTAAGGTGTGAGTGGTAGTGAGACTCCAAAAGCAATTAAATAAAACATAAACTAAAAGCACCTTTTTACCTAAATCTTCATTAGTAAATGCTTTTGCATAAATTTACAATTTTAAACATTTATTTTTCCAAAGACTGGCACATCAGTGTTTAGTTGGACATTATTTTGTGTGTTCCCCTGTTACTTATGCATTAATTAGTTTGGTTTACCTGTGCATAATTTTTCCTAATTTCATAACAATTGTTGTTTTTTGTAATTGACAACACAATTTACTGCTTGTATGCTTTCTGGCCCTCAAGCAACAATGTTAAGATGTAAAGCACCAAGCTTTTCATTTCAGATTGGTTAAAAAAAAAGGATTGATTGTGACTAATTTCCAATTAATTTGCAGTAGTTACAGGGGAACAAAACCATTGCACCTACTAATTAAAATTTAAAATATTCCAAGGTGTCATCTTTAGGTGTCTCTGGAATATATAATTTCCATTTTGGTTCATTGCTGGATCTGTAACACCCGTGAGCTTGACAGCTCTATTAATTTAAAGGCTCAGTAATACCTATTAGTACAAAACATGAAAAAAAAATACCATTAATCATTTATTTTAATTTTGCAGCTCTGTCATTTTCTCAGTATGTTTTAAAATTATGATGACACCATAATGTGCACAAATCGACCTGGATAAAGGGGAAATGGATCATACTACTTTGGAAAGATACTGAAGTACATTATTAGAGCTTAATTAATGCCAAGCTGATTAGATATGATTGCTTTTTGTATAAAAATATTTTAAAGATTTTTTTCTTGTCATAGCATATTTTAAATGTTTTCCATCCCAAATGTTATGTTTACAATTAAACTTACATTTTTGTCACTCTTCACTTTAATGCATTCAATTTAAATATTGTTCAATGAATTTAAGTTTTTCTTTTATTCTTTATTTTGAAACCTGAATTAATCTAGTCATTAGTTTCCAATTCAAAAAATTAATTTCATTTTGGCTAGCAGATAGTAATATCTCTCATAATCATATTCTCATGTAGGAACTCCAAATCTATGTTGGACACAATATCTAAAAACATGAAAGGTTAAAAATTAAATGAGAAATATGCCAGATATGTAATACCTTATGTATTTATATTGATGTGACCCAAGCCTGTAAATATGATAAAAATGATAAAACTGTATGTACTTATCAGAATTTTGTCATTAGTTTGCAAGAGGACCAATATTCACATCCAGTTCGAAACTGAATATCTTCCTCTGGAATGTGCAAAATTGGAAATAATCTCCCAGTTGATGGTTATCATCAGAATAATAATGCACAGGTTTGATTGCTTTTAGCAGTTAGAAATCTTTCTGCTGGTGGATACAGACTATAGACTCACAAGGTCTGGGCCTGACTATCCTCTCACATTTGCCTTCTGACCTTGCCTTTTCTAACTATTAATTTTCTGTGATCTCCGATTTTGTGTATTAAAATTAGAAAACAAGGCTACCACATTCTAAGCTCTTCATTAAAAGGCAATAATCTGTATTGTTGAAAATTTTAAAGAGTGAGCCTGCTTATCACTAATACAGAACTAGTCCACTGTTTCACAGGGATCTTCCTGGGATAGAATACTAATTTTAAATAAAAATTTGAACTTAAAGTGCTTAATAAAAATGAACTGACTAGAATATCATAGTTTATTATTTTTATTTCCTCGAATATTCAGAAGACAGTTGCATATATTTCTTTGGAGGAGACTTAAAAAACTCAAAGACTTTTTTTTTCTTTTAATTATACTTTAAGTTCCAGGATCCATGTGCAGAATGTGCAGGTTTGTTACATAGGTATACATGTGTCATGGTGGTTTGCTACACCCATCAACCCGTCATCTACCTTAGGTATTTCTCCTAATGCTATCCCTCCCCTTGCCCCCCACCCCCCAACAGGCCCTGGTGTGTGATATTCCACTCCCTGTGTCTATGTATTCTCATTGTTCAATTCTGAATTATGAGTGAGAACATGTGCTGTTTGATTTTCTGTTCCTGTGTTAGTTTGCTGATAATGATAGTTTCCAGCTTCATCCATGTCCCTGCAAAGACATGAACTCATTCATCCTTTTTTATGGCTGCATAGTATTCCATGGTGTATATGTGCCACATTTTCTTTATCCAGTCTATCATTGACGGGCATGTGTGTTGGTTCCAAGTCTTTGCTATTATGAATAGTGCTGCAGTAAACATACAGGTGCATCTGTCTTTATAGTAGAATGATTTATAATCCTTTGGGTATATACCCAGTAATGGGACTGCTGGGCCAAATGGTATTTCTGGTTCTAGATCCTTGAGAAATCGCCACACTGTCTTCCACAATGGTTGAACTAATTTACACTCCCACCAGCAGTGTAAAAGTGTTCCTATTTCTCCATATCCTCTCCAGCATCTGTTGTTTCCTGACTTTTTAATGATCGCCATTCTAACTGGCGTGAGATGTTATCTCACTGTGGTTTTTGATTTGCATTTCTCTAATGACCAGTGATGATGAGCTTTTTCTCATATGTGTGTTGGCTGCATAAATGTCTTCTTTTGAGAAGTGTCTGTTCATATCCTTTGCCCACTTTTTGATGGGGTTGTTTGTTTTTTTCTTGTAGATTTGTTTAAGTTCCTTGTTCCATTGGTCTATATATCTGTTTTGGTACCAGTACCATGCTGTTTGTTTTGGTTACTGTAGCCTTGTAGTATTGTTTGAAGTCAGGTAGCGTGATGCCTCCAGCTTTGTTCTTTTTGCTTAGGATTGTCTTGGCTATACGGGCTCTTTTTTGGTTCCATATGAAATTTAAAGTAGTTTTTTCTAATTCTGTGAAGAAAGTCCATGGTAGCTTGATGGGACTAGCATTGAATCTATAAATTACTTTAGGCAGTATGGCCATTTTCATATTAATTCTTCCTATCCATGAGCATGGAATGTTTTTCCATTTGTATCCTCTCTTATTTCCTTGAGCAGTTGAGCAGTGGTTTGTAGTTCTCCTTGAAGAGGCCCTTCACATCCCTTGTAAGTAAGTCGTATTCCTAGGTATTTTATTCTCTTTGTAGCAATTGCCAATAGGAGTTGGCTCTCTGTTTGTCTGTTATTGGTGTATAGGAATGCTTGTGATTCTTGCACATTGATTTTGTATGCTGAGACTTTGCTGAAGTTGTTTATCAGCTTAAGGAGTTTTGGGGCTGAGACAATGGGGTTTTCTAAATATACAATCATGTCATCTGCAAACAGAGACAATTTGACTTCCTCTCTTCCTATTTGAATACCTTTTATTTCTTTCTCTTGCCTGATTCTCCTGGCTAGAACTTCCAATACTATGTTGAATAAAAGTGGTGAGAGAGGATATCTTTGACTTGTGCCAGTTTTCAAAGGGAATGCTTCCAGCTTTTGCCCATTCAGTATGATATTGGCTGTGGGTTTGTCATAAATAGCTATTATTATTTTGAAAAACTCAAAGACTTTTGATAGATTATATCATATCATTCTCATGACAAATCTGTGAGGTGAACAAAATAGCTATTATTAAACATGATTTTTAAATCCATAAATATAATTTACAACTCTTTTATCCAAGCCAAGTCAAGAATATCAATGATTGGCCAGGCACAGTGGCTCCTGCGTGTAATTCCAGCACTCTAAGAGGCCGAGGGCAGGCAGATCACCCAAGATCAGGAGTTTGAGAATGGCCTGGCCAACATGTGAAACCCCATCTCTACTAAAAATACAAAAATTAGCTGGGCGTGGTGGTGGACGCCTATAATTCCAGCTACTCAGGAAGCTAAGGCAGAAGAATCACTTGAACCCAGGAGACGGGGGTGGTTGCAATGAGCCAAGATGGCGCCACTGCACTCCATCCTGGGTGGCAAGAGCAAGACTCCATCTCAAAAAAAGAATATCAGTGATTCATTTATTCATTCTTTCAGCAAACATTTATTGAATTCCATCTCTATGAAGCTGCTGACATTTTGTCCTAGTGTTACAATGAATGGAGAGAAAACAATACAAAGTGAACCAAAAAAAGATATGATCTCTGAACTCAGTGCAGGTACACATAACTCAAATAGTCCCACAAATATAAAATTTCAATAATGATATAAGGTCTGTGAAGGAAAGTTCATGATCCTTTGAACTGTGATACTACGGTACTGTGGTACTATTATACTGTGACAGGGTATAATAGAGGTGTTTGATCTTGTTGTAGAAGGTCCAGGAAGGCTTTCAAAGAAACTCAAAATTGACCTGAAAACTAAAAGAGGAGAAGGATATAACTAGGCCCCAAAGAGAGGGAAGAGTGTCTTATGCAGAGAAAACAGTACAGTGTGGGAAGGAACCTGGTGTGTACAGGGTTCAGAAGGAAGACATGAAAGAAGAGAGGCAGCGTGGGGTGAGGCATACGGTCCAGTGGGAGCAGAACAGCAGGACCTGGGAGCCCTCATGAGAAATGTTTAGCTTTAATTTAAGGGTAACATGGAAGTAAAGAGAGGTTTCAACAGGAAAGTGATGTGAGTAGATGTGCACGGTGACAAGATCATTCTAGGTGGGGAATTAATTGGCGGGAGAGGTAATGACCATTTAGAAGAATTCTATAATTGTTCAGGCCTTAGAACATGGTAGTAAAAAGGAAAAAAATTTCAAGATATACAAAAAATATTTGGGGGATGAAAATGATTAGAGTCAATAATAGATTATTGGTTATAAGAGGTAAGGAAAAGAAGGTGTCAAGGATGATCTGGGTTTCTGGATCATTTTGAACAACTGAATAAATGATGAAACAATACCTTGAAACAGGAGGACCTGAAAAAACAATCAGTTTCCTCTCTAATCCAGTACTATTTCAACTGAATTATTCTCCCTATTCAATGCCTTAAGCACATTGTTAGAAATATCAATTATCATAACACCAAGCAATGGCAATTTTTTTGTGGATAAGTTATCAAAATTGAACATCTGTATCCAATTGTATTACCATGATGTAGTTTAACGTTGAGGAGAAAGTCTTTCAGATCAGTGCTATGATGCTCCAAATAGCCAAGGTTATGGCTGAGTCTAGAAATTGGGCCATTAAAGAAGTTTCTTCTTCTAATAAGACAGTGTGAGCTTATTGGACTCCCTTGATTAAACAAACAAACAAACAGAAATAATTATGCTCTCTGATGGTTAGTAAATGCCCCACATTAATTTTTTTCTAACCTTTCTTTTGGGTAAAATTGGTGTCTGGCATGTGGCGGGAATGCTGCCAGGTGCCACAGGGAGAAGGCAGATGGCCATAATATGCCATTTCCCAATGCCACCCAAGGAACACAGAAAGCTGTGTTGTCTCAGATAGAAGAGGGGTTAGCAAAATGTGTTTCCACGGGACTAAATATAGTAACACTAAAAATAATAACATTTATTAAGCATGTATATGACATGCATAGCCTTATTTGGTATTTGTAGTGGTCTTTCAAAGTAGGTGCTATTGTTATATTACTTTAGCAAACAGAGACCGAAGGTCAAAACTGAGATTCTTTGGTCAGGGTTTTATAGCTGCCAGTGACTAATCTGGGAAACAAATCCTTGCCTCATGTCCTGGGTCTATGTCCTTAACACCATTACTACGTGAAAAAGGCCATATAGAAAATTTTAGTTGAAATATTACTCAGTAAGAAAAGTCAAGTCACAAGTTGTAAATATTCTCTAGTTAAGAAAAGAAGTGTTTTTGTATTGTTTTGTTATGTTTTTGACTTCTATTTTCCATGTGACCACAGATTTGGAGATACTCTAAGAAAAGATGAACAGTTACTGGTTTAAAATTGTGAGGATCATTTCTCTGTAGAGACATGGAAATAATAAAAATGCTTTTAAAATGTCTTTGACCTTCCCTGACAACTAACTTAGAGCCACAAAAATATTTTGGAATGAAGAACACAATTTATATGTTAAAAGAGATTTCAAATCCAGGTATGAATATTTCCCATGCAATGTGGCCAAATAGTCCATCACTTTCAGGAATAAGTGTTCTCTTTTCCATACATATTTAAACTTCCTGTGAATTTAATTGGCAAGTAAACCTCCCAACTCCATTTTTTAAGGATTTTATTTTAAGTCTTCACAATGATTTCTCTGAATTTGATGTTAGATCGAAGACTTTAACATTAAACTTGGAAATTATCATTCCAGAAAATAATGGCTAGAATCATAAAAAAAAAAAAAAACTGGCAAAAGGATTTTAGAAAATTGTTATGTTTCATTGCTTTGCTTTTTTGGCAGTTATGGACCTGAAAAATTTAGCATGTACTTTATTCCCGCTGTCATATGGCTCAGCTACACACATGAATTCAAAATGGTTTCCATTATTAGAAGGAGACAATCTTATTCCAGAATCAAGCTAAGTAACTTTTAGTGTTCCAGATAATTGCTAAATTAAGCTCTACTCACAGATATTTTATGGTATTTATTTTGCTCTGAAAACCCCATTCATTTTTAAGGTAGCTGAATAAATTCAGTGATAATAAACTCTTAAAGAGATGAAGCAGGGAGAAAATTTTTGGCTAGATACAGGGTGAATATTTAATAGGAAAAAATGCTACCTGCTGAGGTATGTTTGAAGAACCATAATATTATTAAGCCCACTCTGGTGCAAAGCAATGAGAATTAATTAAAAAGAGAATGCATTTAAGCCAAATTTGATCAGTTGGTACATTATCAAAATTGAGGAATGTTAGTATACATTCTAATTCAGAATTTCCACAGAATGATTTCTGAATGGTGGCACTTAGTATAATAAAGATACGCCAAAGAAAATTATTTCCACTTTTATCCATCTTTTAGCCATTGACCCAATAAATCATGATTTTAAATTAAAATTATTTCTACCACCTTATGCCTCATAATTCTGAATTTAATTTTCAGTGTTTGACTTAATTATATCAAGGGTCAGCAAATTATGGCCTGTGAGCCAAATCTGACCAGCTGCCTGTTTTTGTGTAGCCAAAGAGTTAAGAAGAGTTTTCATATTTTTAAATGGCTGAAAAAATCCAGAGAGGAATAATATTTCCTAATGTGAAAATTATATGGAATTAAAATTACAGTTTTTAGACATAGAGTTTATTGGAACATGGCAACATTAATTTATTTACATATAGCCCAAAACTGCCTTTGCTGTATAAGGGCAGTGTTGAGTAGTTCAGAGACCACAAAGCCGAAATCATTTATTATCTAATCCTTTACAGAACATGTTTGCCAACCCCTGAAGCAATATGAATGACTACTTAAATATCATTCAGTAGATCACTCTCTAATATAATAATTCTATATTTAGAATTAAGTTAAATAATTTAACAGTTTATATCACGGACATACAGACCATTGTACCAAACCGAGGCATGCCTCACCTTATTTCATGTAGTTTGAAGGTTTCACCCTAATTAATGGAAGACTGCCTAATTAATAGGCACTCTGAGGACTGATTGGAAATGTTTATATGATAGCACTTCTTTCAGTTTTTCTCCTACCTCTCTGACTGTTTGTATTCTCCTGCTGCACTCTTAAATGGCAGCATTCCCCAGTTACAAAGTCTAACATCTGCTATTCATATATGCCCCACTGGTCTTCAGTAATTTCGTCTCAATTGCTGACATTGTTATAAGATGATCAAACCCAAATCTATCTCAAGACCTGTTCTCCCTTCCGAACACCACATGCACAGACCCAAAAGATACTGAGCATCTCCTTCAGAACGTCACCCTCAACAGTAGGTTCACCAACTTCCTGGTTTTCACCCCTACCAAAAACGCTTCTCTTTCTATAAAAAGCATCACTACACACATTACGAAGACCACAAGCATGGAAATTGCAGTAAAATCTTCCTCTTTTTCCAGTGCCCCACACATCCACTCACCCATCGTATCCTGTACTTCTGCCTCCTCAATCTCTCTTAAATCTGCCTCCACTCTGTTCCCATTGGCACTGCCCTGACTAAAGTCTATTTCACTTCTCTTCTGGATCAAATTAACCTTCCATTTGATCTCCATGCCTCTGGTATGGCACCAGCCCCTAATCTCTGCTGTCAGAGAGATGATGTAACTAAAACTCAGTTTTAATTCTGCCACTGTCCCTCCACCATGATCTAAATGGCATATTTTTTCAATCTTATTGTACCCTGAAAATATCCCTAGCTCAAAGCATATTACAACCTACCATCACATATCTTCTATCATCATTATACTACAAGCACCTCAGTTAGGTTTAAAAATACATATGTATCTATTCAACTTGCAATCCTCCACACTAAAATAAGGTAGGCTGGTACCTAGTACATTAACAATAAAGGTAATTAAAGTTGAGTAAGTTAGGATATTTGTTTTCATGTGTTTTGGGGGCCTAGAAAAAGGGACTTTCATTCATTCATTTATTCAGTTGGTCAGTCAGTCAACAGATTCTTATTGGTCTTGCCACTTAGGAAGAGAAGTAAAATGACAAATAGGCTAGGGCTTCTCAAATTTAAAAGCACAGAGGAATCATCTGGCGTTCTTGTTCGAAAGCAGAATCTGAATCAGAAGATCTGGGGTGGGACCGGGGAGTCTGCATTTCTAACAATGATGTCAGTGTTCCTAGCCTGTGGATCACATTTGGAGAACTAAAACACTAGAGTGCAGGAGAATCACCTGCAGAGGGATTTTTAAAAAGTATTTAGAAGTTGGTACCAAAATAGTATATGCACGTGTAACGAAAAAAAAAAAAAGCAGAATGTATAGACTTGCAAGAAAAATAGCCATCCTGTGTCCTTTTTTCTGTGTCAACAGATCTTCTCATTAGATGCTACCACTTTGATTCTTGGACTATTTCTTCTGATTATTTACTCCATATCTGGAAATACGCTTTGTTGTTTGTTTGTTTTTTTTTTATGGATTAGTTTTAGGTATACTCTACTTACTTAGTGCTATAGAAAGGTGGTTTCTAACACTCTTACATTACTGTATTTACCTCTATTACTCTATTACTAATAGTTAACATTTACTGAGTGCTTTTTTTGTACCAGGTAACAGTCTAAGCATTTCGTGCACATTGATTCATTTAGTCCTTACAAGAAACCAGTGAGACACTATATGAAAAGCTCTACAGTATTGATGAGGGAAATGAATCGTAGTAACTTGCTCAAAGTCCCTAGATAGGAAATGGTGGGCCTAGGCAGCCATTAAGCTGTTCTGCTTCTGAGAAGTATATAATAATTTTGTTTAAATCAATAAAAAATATATAATCATTCAGACTATAAAAATATTGTCAACTGCAGAACCAAGTACTAACCCACGATCACATTTTCTTTCCTGTAAAGCTTCAGAATTTCTTTCTTCTCTCTGCAAAGTGATCCTTACAATAGATCTCATTTTTCTTAAAAAAAAAAAAAAAAAAAAGACAAAACTCTACCATATCAATTTATCTATTATCCACACTCCTTTTGTTTATATGCCAGAAGCCCTTCTCTTTAGGTTTCTGTCTAGCTCTCTTGCAAATCTGTCATCCTGGATCTGAGTTGAATCCTTTGTTTTTTTGACTCGTCTCCTTAGCTCACTCATTTACTTTGCTAGAAAACACCCCAAATACGTTTTAAAGGGTACATAAGAGGCAAATTCTCTAGATACTTTTGTGACTGAAAATGTCTTCATTCTACCCTTGAAGTTAATCAATACATTGACTAAGTATAGAGTTCTCAGATAAAATTAACTTTTCCTCTGGGGTTTGAAGGTGTTTCTTCATTGTCTTCTAGCGCTAATGTTTTTGAAAAGCCTGATGCCATGCTGATTTTTATTTTTCTGTAAGTGACCTATTTTTTTTTCTCTCTGAGGACATTTAGAATCTTCTTTTTATCCCTTCACTTTGAAATTTTACAATAATGTGTGATTTAAGCTAGGCAGGACAGGGATAGAAATTTGATTGGCAAAAAAGAGAGGGAATGCTCTCTAGGGCAATAACTAGCACAAAGGTGCAGAGGTAGGAATTAGCAAGGAGGGCCCAGGAGATTTGAGAGTCAACTATCAAACCCAGCTCTTGCATTTACCCACTTGACTGATGTTATGCAGGTAGCAGAACCCTTTTAAGTCTCTTTGTCCTTCAGTGTAAAATAAGGGTGTTGACAGCTACCTCCCAGAGTTGTTAGGAGGCCAAAATTAGACATTATAAAAGTAAAATTATTTTTAAAATAATTTCAATAGCAGGTACAAGAATTCCTGAAAGAAAATAGATCCACCTCTGTTCTAAACTTAACAGAATGCTTCAATAAATGCTTATGGAAAGGATGTCGAGCGGTTGTTCAGATAACAAAAGAAAGGGAAATGCTACTTTTCATAATAAAGGGTTTGGAAATATTTGATGCTGGAAGACAGGGAAGCAAGAAAGAAATCACCAACGAGCTGAACCAAATACTGTCTGGAAAACTAATCAGGGAAGACCCATCTCTCTTCCCTCTGATTTTAGTTGGGCTGAACAAAGTCTTTGAAGAGAACACAAATATCTGGGGAATAAACATTATTTGCTATGTGCTGTGAGATACAAATACCCTCTTCTATCCCTTTTATGAAATTCTACTTCAGTTTTGCACTCTTCTCTGATAATATGTTTTATGGGAGTGGACTTTGAGGGCAGCTCAAAGAGGTGGATGAAATAGGGGGCACCTGAATAACGTGTGTAAAACACTTAGCAAAATGCTCAGCACACAGTAAGAGCCAGATCAACGTTATTTTTTATTCTGGCTGTTATTCTTAACATTACAACTATGAGGTGGAACTATCACAACTATCAAACTATGCAACCTTAAAAATGTAATAGAAATAAGAAGATGAAGACTATGCTTTGTAATCTTTGATTCTGTTACTGGTTTCTATATGTGCATCCTTATTTCATATTGAATAATTATAAAAGTGAAACTGAACCCACATTTTTCGTATTTATAGTTTTTGAAGTGGCCAGTCTTAATTTGAAACAGGAAGACAGAAGTAGAAATAGTCATGGGCAGTGGAAGAACCTTTCTCTGCCACTGTTGCTTTTCTAGAAGGGTACATGATAAGGAGAAGGAAGAGTTTTATAGGAGGACACCATTCTGTATCTGATAGAATTTACCTTGCATGTTGTAAGCAATGCTCTTCTACCGTCATGGAACCATTGCAGTTTCTAGGAGCCCCGTCACCACTGTTTATGAGTGCCCAGTATCCTCTTTCAAATAATAATGTCAGAGTCTCTTAGAAACTAAACAACCAAAATCATGTTGCAAAATGCCTTGTTCACAGCCAGTGCCCCCAAAATATTTGATGTATCAAGGAATAACTGAGAAGTAATTACCTGACGCTTAATAGAAGGAGGCACTCAAAGGCCATTTGGTTCATGTCCTCAGATTGCTGAAACTTAATATATTCTAAATTCTTTGGGGATAAAATTTTTACTCATTGTTATTTCTCTAGTGGATAGAAAATTAAGAGTAATAAAAAAAGCAAGAATGTTCAATGTATACAAAACAGGCATCAGAGTCATAATTACAGGCCCTGTTAACCCCCCGTAACCAGGATTTTCCCACATGAGCAACCTGAGTCTGAGGGTTCACTTGAGTCTCTGCAGCTTCCTAGAGCCTACACCTGGAATTTCTGTAACTGTGACACCGACAATCCATGTGGCTTGGAATTACTCTCGTAGGATTTTGCTTCTGCCCAAATATACCAAGACATGTAAATATCCAATGAAATAAGGCATGTGAAGAGACAGCATTCATAATAGGCATTTACTGAATGCTAGTTTCCTCCATGTGGTCTCCCCTAACAAAGAAGAAAATACAACCAATTGGTTCTCGTTTCCATAAACAACAGACAAAAAGGATGTGGATTTCATTTTTTGCAGAAATAAAGTTAGAGTAAAGAAACAGTTGTGTACTTTGACTGTAGAAATGATTAAACAAGCAAGAAGACAGGTTACATATAATTTTTAAAATAGTACTGGCCATTATTCTGATTAGTGACTGCAAACTAGAACTTGTGTTTTACTTAGTCACATAGATTAAAGGTCCCATTGTGTCAAGAGCACTGAATGAGATACTGTGCTATTTTTTCAAAGGCATAAAATCATGTAATTTTTTTTTTTAAAAAGTTTTTAATATAAGAATAGTCATAAACAAAATTTATATGCCCCCGCCAAAAAAAAACACAGAGAAGAAGCTAAGTCTTATAGATAATAATTATGTGACATTTTGGTTATGCTTTGTCATAAATTGATACTAACATATATATATAAATGGCTAGGAAGATATATTTCTTTCATAGTCTTAACAACTATTTGGAAATAATGATCTAATTTCCCAAAATGCCCTAATGCTATTATACCGTGTAAAGCATTTAGTCCAGAAATTATGAACCCGAAATCTCAACCTTCTTACTTTAGCTCTTAATGTTCTGTTTGAATCTAAGGTTATCATGTAAGTAATATGTGATAACTGCTTTCCCAGTACTCATTTAAAAATGACATTTGTGCGTAAAATGATTCATTTTCATTTTCAATGTTCAAAAATAGTGCCTTTCTGCTTAGCCTCCCATTTCAGCATCTGTAACACCATTCAATGTGCTTGTTCAATTTATCTTTCCTGCTAGATTATAATTTCTTGGGGGCAGAGCTTGTATATTGTCTATTTATTCAAAGTTCCTGATACAGTATCTGAAGCATAGTAGGGGCTGAACAAATTTTGTGAAATGAATAAATGATGAATGATGCAGTATTAGACCCTGTCTACAGCTAGAATTTCAGAGGAGTTTAAATCTCAATGACATAAGGTACAGTATACTCTAATGCTGACTTATTGAGAGAAAATCTGATATAGATCATTTTCAATCTACATAGTTAAGTGCATTCTGGTGTCTTAACTATCCAACTATCAATTCCCTAGTTCATAAGATAACAAAAATAAGATGAAGTCAGATATCCATAGAGTTTGAGGCTGGGTTAGCCTTAGTGGCCTTTTACAGGTGCAATTTATTTTTGCAGGAAAGAGAACACTGAATCCTTCCAGAATAACCTGATTCCAGCAGACTTAAATAAAGTTGTTCATTCTTTCAAGGTTTTTCACATACTTCTGTCTTTCTAGACTGTGAAGTAAATTTCCATTTCCCAAAAGCCCCACTGCAGATTTTAATGATCCTGTCCACGTGATGTACATTTTTTTGTTTCATTGCTATTAGTGAATGACAAGTGAAGGATATTCATTTTAACTTGAAAATGTCAGGTATGCACTTTAAGAGATATATTTTTTGCAGCTTTTAATGAGGTGGTGCTTCTTTTTGAAAGAAATACTCATCTCTGATGCGAATGCTGTGCAGGTGACAACTGATATTTAATAAGCGATGGTTCTTGTATTAGTCGCAGTTCGCTAAAGAAAATGTCTCAGATTGCTTTTGAAAAACTCTTAGCGTCACTAGCCCAAAGGCAAGATGTGACCTTTTTATTACATAATGAGAATCATTTATTATCTTACAATGTATCTTAAAGTCACAGACAAAATGCCACTTTGATAATTGCTTTCAATTAGCTTTGAGCATAGCATATATTCATAAAATGTCTTCTCTAATTTAGAGTCGAATTAGAGAAAATTGCAGACGTAATCTACTTTAAGGTTGTCTCATTTAAGGTGATTCGTAGTTTTATATCAAAGAAATCAAAACGAGTAGCTTTAGAACAGTCTCTCAAAGTGTTTTAAGCAGGCTTTTCAATATTTGATTCTATTATATTACCAATTAATTAACAAATTAGAAAGCTAGTTCATCATTTCTGACCTTTTATGCATGTTAACTTTTAACTTTCATTTCTAATGACTGTTTGGAAATTAAGCCTTGCAGTTCATGTTGAAAGAGAGAAACAATCTGATTAGCAAGATAAATAAGGCTTGCCTTGATACCAAGTACATCTTGATATTGGGCTGTAACTAGGACTCTGGAAACTATAATGGTGCCTTCTTTCCTGACTTCAATAAATGATACGTAACTAATGGTCAAGAAATAATACTGGATAATCATGTAACCTAAGCAAGCAGTTCTGGAATATTGCTACAAGTGAGGTTAGAGGTAACATACTATTTAAAATGCAACTTCAGATAATTTTTAAAATTATTATCCTGAGCACTGGGATATTATTTAAGTACATATCCCTATCTCCCTTAAAAATATTTTTGAAATAATAGAAACTCTGAAATTACATTTTACACTTGCGGTGTTTCAGTCACTCATGAAATATTATTAACCTTAACAGAGAGTCTCACAAATTGGTATTGTATCTATCTGGAGATTACTCTATTCTTTCTCTCTCTCTCTCTCTCTTTTTTTCTAGATAAAAATTACACACAAGAACCAAGCCCCAATGCTGATGGGCCCGCCTCCAAAAACCGGTTTATTCTGCTCCCTCGTCAAAAGGACAAGAAACCGAAGCAAGGAATAATCCTGTGTTGTTTCACTCTTAGAAATTGAATTAGCATAATTGGGCCATGGAACACATATGCTGGAAATCTTTGAACCATTTCAAGTCTCCTGCTCATGCAAAATCATGGAAGTGGTTTAACAGTTTTTGTTACTAAGCTAATGTAAAATTCAGCTATTAGAAAATTTATTGTCTCAGTTTTTATAGGCATCTTTGCATGAAGAAAGCAGAAGTTTACCTGAAGTGATACTGCATATTTTTGGTGCATGCATTCCCATAGATTTTTACATCTCCCACCCAACTCTTCCCCAATTTCCTTTTACTAACCTGTGAGAAAAACCCGTGAAACATGAAAAAGGAAATACCATGGGAAACGTGATTCTCAGTGTGATTCCAATTATTACGAAGCACTAATCAGTAACGCTACAATGATCATAATTGCAGATTGCTATACGTTTCCCTTTTAGAATCAGTGTATCAGTGACCTATGACTTGAGGAGAAACTTTTAATTCGAAGATTTTATTAAATAGTTGACTACAATACCTTGCTATATATACATAGTTTTTCTTCAACATCTTAACTCTTCTGAGTGGAAATAAAAATATCAGGCATAAGGTTTTCTCATGCTGAAAAATAGAACGCGGTTTTTATTTTGCTTAGTTTTCTTTTTAATTCCAGAAATAAGTGAAAACATGTTACTTGACAGTCAAGTGTGGTAATATGGCAAGCCTTGTTCCTTTCTGCATGAGAATCTAGGAGAGAATTCATAACCACACCAATAACGAAATAGAAGTTTTAAACTATGTGCCTAATCAATGTGTTTCCCACCAAAGATTCAGAAAACAATGCTTGAGAGAAATGGGTTAATGCATAATTAATTAAGCATTGTGGAGCAAATTTAGGGTTCCTGTGATTAATTTTGTGATGACTAAAATGCTGGAAAGCGAGTGAGTTGCCCATTAATTATGATTAAAATTCTCACCTTTCACAGACAGACAATAAGCCAGACAACACAATCAAAGCTCAATAGATGATTTCTTGCTTTTTTCAGTCATTTATAAATATAGGTGTAATTTTTCATGGATCAGTTAAGTACACTTGAAGGAAGTAAATGATTGTATCAGTTTATTTCTAGTATAAATGGGTACCTGTAATAATACTGAGCTCTTGGAAGCGAATCATGCATGCAATTAGCTCCCTCCTCCTCACCTACTCCACTCCCATCTTTATGACATTTCAAATGTTTATTTGGAAACAACAGCCTAGATCACTGTTGAAGGTGTTCATGGCATAGTTGGAGTCTCTGACTGTTTAAAGAAATCACAGAACAGTACTTTTCTTTTAGTGTTTCATTAAGCCTATGATGTAAAATGAAATGCTTCTGAGCAGTCTTGTAATATTGTTCATTCATATTGACCTGCATCTCATCATTGCATGTTTTATGTTTTCAAACATGCCATAAGGAAAACGAGTGCCTGAACTGCATGATTTATTAGTTTCTCTCCACTCTGCATTAAAGTGCTAATGATTTATCGGTTCTATTTTGTTATTGATTCATTCATCTTTCTTTGAATAACAAATAGCATTTAGTGATTCTGTTGAACACAATCCTGTGCATGGATTTATGGATTTCAAGTGAAATTGCTATAATTTTAGTTCTTTGGTTTGAAAACTCAACTGAATGCTGTTATATCAAATAGCTGCTCTCAAGCAATGTGCTATAATGGAAGATTACGTACAAAGTGTATTCTTTTAGTGTTCCTGGAACATTGGACGGTAAATATCAATCAACAATAAGCTTAATTACTTTAAAAATAAAAGCTTTTGAATAAAATTAAGACATAATTTAGCATTCCCAGGAAAATTATGATTACAATTGCAAATTTAGTACAGCAATCACTTGCGCTGGTATAAAATAAAAAAGTTGTTTGGCAGAAGAGTAATCCAGACCAAAAGAAAGAAAGAAATCTCAAAACAGTAACAAGTACATTACTGACATAATGTTACGTAACACACACATTGATTTTTTGTATCTATGGTTGCAGGTAATAAATATTTTCACATGAATTGACAAAATTTTCTACAATGGGCAGGCAGGCTTTGTGTCAAAAACATATTTTGAAGCCACAAATTATTTTATGTTCGCTACAACATACAATTATGTCTTGGCTACCTTTTATAGTATATAGTTTGAAGGCAGCAACAGTTTGTGAATCATTCTTAACAATCTGTACAGTAGAAAGCTGTTGGATAGACAGTGGGATGAGACAAATTAAACAACCTGCTTATAAGATTTCAATGATTGAAATAATGGGATGCAGCTTCACTTCAGTGTAGCTGTATAACTACAATTAGTGCTAATAGTGGTTACATTTTCAGTCAGATGGATTCTTTGGTACCCATAATAAATGTTCAAATAGGAATCCAATTTGACTTTTCTCAACTCATTTTCTAAATACACTGATGTACTTGCCCCTTCAAGTATACTGCCCCTGGGGTTTGGAAAGTAGTTTTTAAAAACGTAACTTGATGGGTTTGAAATCAGAGAAGATATTCTCATCAGTTTTATGACAGCTTCATATGAAAAATATATAGTTTAAGGAAAATTCTATAGTATATTAAAATATTGAATGATGAATGTTGTTAGCTTTACAAGATGGAAACTTCTCTTCTATGTGTGCAGATAAATTTTCAGCTATTGAGTCGCCCTCTTTTAATATAGGAGACATAAAGTTTTAAGTGGCTGAAACTCTTAAATGTAAATTAATGCTGGACTTAACAGCAGTCAGAAACAAAGAGGGAAAAGAGACATGCACTCTGCTAAACATTGCTAGGCACTGAGTTGATGAGATTCCAGAGAGACATTTCAGAGTAAACCTTGATATCCACGCTTCTAAGAGATAGGAAGGGAGGTATCTACATAGAACCAGAAAGTTTAAAAGACGTAAATTTATTTTTTCCACTTCCTTGTGTACACCATGTATTTCATGTGAAAATGCTGATCAATTTATTGTGGTGGAAGGAGATATCTTGCAGGAAGTTTAAAAATTAACATTTTAAAACAGTTTTTATTTTATTTAAAACAGGTTCATGTGATCATAGCCAGAATAAAACAAAAGGCTCAGATGTTTAGCCTAGTCTACTGCAGACAGAAATTTAAATCCAGTGAGGGCTAATGAATCACATACGTGTTTCCACATTTTATTTTGTTTTCGTTTTTTAGGCATATGGGAAGTAGTTGCAATTTTTCAGGGAAGAATATGTTTTGAATCTCACACTGTATTCTCCTTGAATCTCACACTGTATTCTTGAATGAGACAAGATTTTGAGATCATTCTTTTCCTTTTTGTGTCAACGTTAGTTTGTTGTTCATTGGTTATAAAAAGGAAAATGTGGCCAGGCGCAATGGCTTACGCCTGTAATCCCAGCACTTTGGGAGACAGAGGCAGGCAGATCACAAGGTCAGGAGTTCAAGACCAGCCTGGCCAATATGGTGAAACCTCGTCTCTACTAAAAATACAAAAATTAGCCAGGCATGGTGGCACATGCCTGTAATCCCAGCTACTCGGGAGGCTGAGGCAGAAGAATTGCTTGAACTCGGGAGGCTGCGGTTGCAGTGAGCCAAGATCACACCACTGCACTCCAGCCTGGGTGACAGAGCCAGACTCTGTCTCAAAAAAAAAAAGGAAAATGTACTTTTCATGGCACGTATAACCCCCAAAGGATTATTCAATACTGAACAATTAAATAATAATTGAATAATATTGAATCATGTTCTCCGTTATTTTTCAAATAACTGAATAATATCTCTATTAAAAGATTAAACCCTTGTAACATATATTAAAGCTGTAAACTTTAAGAAAATAAATAAATAAAACCCTGTAAAAGAGCTTTTATTTTGTGAGAGGCAGAAATCACCACTTAAAACTCCCAATTAAATTCTGCTATATTTAAATAAAGTTTGAGTAAACTCACATTTGAGAGATTCTGTATAACCTTATTGTGTTTAAAAACATGGAACTTAATTATAGTACCTTAATTATTTTCTCAGAAATGATATATACAATATCCTGTTTTTTGAAATAAAAACGTTAACCACTCAGTTCAGTGTCATTTCTTACTGCCATTTTGGACAGATTTTGTCTCTTAAATGAACTCCTCCAGCAGCTCAACAATCCATCTACCCCACTGAATATATCCACTAGGGATATGAGGCCAGACACCCTACCTTTTGTCAGGGAGTAATTAGGGACTGAATTATAGGCAATTAAGAACCAAATTATTCCAATTTGTGGTGCTTTGGGCCCCAGGTTGCTGCTGTGCATATTATTCCAGCAATTTTAGATTCCAAGTAAGCCAGCAACCTGAATGATGTAACTGTGGGAAAGCGAGTTGAATTTTCTGGATGAAACCAATTTCTTATTTTATTTTGTGTGACAGACTTCAACAAATATCTCTTGGGCACTGACTAGGTTAAACATATTATGCAAAGGGGCTGCAGCAATTAAAAGATGTTTAAGGAAACAATTTCTTCTCTAAACACCTTTGAATCTTTTAGAAGAATTAAGTAAACGGATGACCATATTACACAATTGGATAAGGGAAGAATGAAGGTAAGTAAAATATGATACGACATAGTCAAAGGAGGAAAAGATGATTTGGTGAATAAATTTGAAAAGGCCTTTAGAGAAAGTAAATCTGCAAGTGACTTTTTGAAAAGCTAAAACTTTACATGAGGAAAGAAGTCAAATTAAGGAAACTCATAATAAGAGAAGGCGAATGGGAGCAGGGAAACAGAAAACAAGTCCTAAATTCCTCACTGACTCATCTCATAAAAAAGGGAATTTACAGATGAATGATTTGGATAATGCTTATACTTAAAATTATTAGCTAAACAAACAAGGAACAAGAGAAGAAGAAAGTACAGGAAAGAGGCAAGGGAGCAAGTAAGAGAGGGAAGGAGAAAGAATAACACAAACCCCCCAGATTAGAAAACTAATTTTACATTCTGAAAGAGAAAAAAAATGAAAAAAAAAAATTCCCAGGTATTTTGGCTTGAAAACTCTGAAAGCAATATCTGCCCATTCTACATTTCCAGGGAGTTTGATTAGATTATATTCTGTGAATGTAAGTGACTTCATAAACTCTCTGAAGCTCATGAAACTAACTAGAGAACACTAACTGTAAAATGTTGATGCTAAGTTTTTAAAAAAATTAAGTATGAAAAATACATATAAAATAATATGTTAAAAAATTATAATAGAATATTAAATCTTTCCAACAAATTACAACTGGTGGCACAGTCACTAGCAGGTCCAAAAAGCTCTCTCTCTTTTACTCCATATTTGTATCCAAACATTCATTCCTTGAAGTCAGTTGATCTCAGAAAAACATTTCTGTTTAAAATAGTATTGGTAATAATAATCCTTAAATTACCAAGGACTTGATAATATATTGGTTGAAAAATTAGAAACCATGTTTGAGCTGAAAGACTGCCCACTGTTGGCCAGGCGCGGTGGCTCACGCCTGTAATCCCAGCACTTTGAGAGGCCGAGGCAGGCGGATCACAAGGTCAGGAGTTTGAGACCAGCCTGGCCAACATGGTGAAACCCTGTCTCTACTAAAAATACGAAAAATCAGCCAGGTGTGGTGGCACGTGCCTATAGTCCCAGCTACTCAAGAGGCTGAGGCACAAGAATCGTCTGAACCTGGGAGGCAGAGGTTGCAGTGAGCCGAGATCATACCACTGCACTACTCCAGCCTGAGTGACAGAGTGAGACTCTGACTCAAAAAAAAAAAAAAAAAAAAAAAAAAAAGAAGATTGCCTAGTATGTATATTTTTTCTACTGTAGCTGCATTTTTAAGATCTTCCACCTTCAAGTAGCACGTAGTGCTTCTACATCTTTTTTGCCACTCAACTCAAAAAGAGATGGGACTTTACAGTCTCACAAAACTTTCTTTCAACATTGTGTGAAAAGGTCGAAGACCACCCCATGGTGCATCTCCCAATGCCTTCTGAGCTTCGCAGTTGAGGGCAGCATACTGACATGTTTCAGCATGAGGGCTCTGGTGCCAGACCTGAGTACAACTCTTGGATCTGCTGCTCACTTCCTGTGTGACCTCAGGCAAGTCATTTAAGATCCCTGAGCCTCAGTTTTCTCAACTGTGAAGTTGAAATATGTATTGAAAATTAAATAAATTAATACATCAAATAATTTAGAGCAGTTCTGGCATGTAGACGTTAATATGCCAGGCCTGAGCGTGTGGTATAGCAGGACAATAAAAATCCATAGTGCAGAAGATCTTATTCTGTTCTGTAAAAACAGTTGACAAATGGTTGGTGTTTATCTGTTAGAAAACTAGTAGTCAACTTCAGGTTCAAAATAATTTGTCATTGTATGTTCAGGTTATGTATGTAGCATTAGACTCTCCCTAAACTAATTCCCTCACAAAATGATCTGGACATAGGCATATATGTCACAATAACCTCCTACAATCTCTAAATCTGAGCAAATGTTATTAGACCACCAAGAGAATTCTACAGTTGTACAACTTCATAGCATTTTGAGAATTAAAATAATATATCATCATCATGAGACACACCACCAGAATCCATGGCCACTGTCCAAAGGCATGCCTTTCTTGAAGTCTCCATTAAATTTGTATTCATATTCTTCTCTGTGCTTCTCCCTCCACCCCACACATCATCCTTCAAACCCAAATTAGTTTTATCCAAATTTCATTGTCAACACTCAAAATCTGCAATGAGTGCGCATCTTACCTCTGACATTCCTTAGACTCACCTCTCTTTGGAAAACACCAGGACCTATAATAGTTGATTGGTGCTCAGGCCTGTCAGATCCCAAAAGCCCCACATCATTGGTATTGCTTTTGCCAGTCTTTCCTCCCACTAACCCACCCAGCAGGGATCCAGAAAGCTCCCCTTGTTCCTGCTATACCACACACCCAGGCCTGGAAGGCCCTGTCTATAGCCAATTACACCTCCATGGCTCCCACACACTGGTGTCTTTCTTATTTGCCCCTGGTCAGACACCAGCAAGGGCATCAGCAGGCTTCACCCTGCCAGCCAGCATTTCTCCATAGTTGCCCTCTGAAGTGCTCTGGTAGAAACTGCAGAATCCATGGACTTCATGGACTTTAGGCTGTGCGAAACCAGAGGAGAGGCTGGAAAAGTAGGAGGGCAGGCAGTAAGGAGAGGCCACTGTGGCATAAGCAGGGCCACCGAGCTACAAAAAGGAGGCCGCGGTGGATAGAGAAGGCCAGTGGAGCAGTATGGAATCAGGGGTGGCCCCTCACAGGTATCCTATATTGTACTATCCTGACGAATTACCCCTCCACTTCAGTGGACAAGTTTGTTGAAACCCACCAAAACCTCACTCATCACAGGCATTGACAATGTTAATTTTAGTAATAAAAGCAGAAGCCGATGTTTATATAGTGCTTGCTTTGTTCCAGGCATGATGCTACACATAAATGAACTCACTCGAGTTCTATAATTATCAACTCCATTTGCATTTCACACATGAGAAAACTGAGGTCCACAGATATCATTTGGAACTTCTAGTTAATCTCATGGAAGTAAAAAGTAGAACAGAGGATACTAGATGCTGGGAAGGGAGAGATAGAGGGAGAGGTTTGTTAAAGGATACAAAATTACAGCTAGATAAAGGGAATAAGTTCCAGTGTTCCATACCACTGTAGGATGACTATAGCTAACAATGATATATTATGCACATTCAGATAGCTCAAAAGAGGATATTAAATATTTCCTACACAAATAAATAAATGTTTGAGATGATGGATATGCTAATTACACTGATCTGATCACTATACATTATATGTATCAAAACATCACTATGTACCCCATGAATATGTACAATTATTCTTGGTCAATTAAAAAATTAAAACTAAAAAAAGAAAAACCCTTCTCTGACAGAGTCAGTAATGGAGCCCGGAAAAGCAACAACAGATCGTCTTTTCATAATCACCACGATACACCCATCTTTCACCTGGCCTGAAAGATTAGGTTAAATGTAACATGATAATAAACTATATTTATTACTTAACTTGTAACAGAAATATTAAACAATAAAATTCTCATCTCACAGTATGAGTAGAAAAAATTGATTCAATTGTTACTAATACAGCAATTGCCACAAGAAGATTCAAGGCCATGAACAATATCACTGATGTTAAACGGACATTATTGAAACTCAGAATAACCTAATGACTATCAATGTAATAGAGAAGTTGTTGGTGATGTTTCTTAATGTCAAAACACAGCTCAGAGGCAAGTGGTACTCATCTGGCAATAACCACATCAAATAAAAGATCACATCAGCAACTTTTGTATTGTAACAAGTACTTTTAAAATCATTACAATGATTTGATGGATTACTTGCACTCAAATGATAAAATGTATATCATTTGAGAAACAGATAGATCAATGGATAGAAGGATAGATGAATAGATAATTTTCTTTTGAGAATTAAAAAAAATAAAAACACTTTTGATTCATAAATTCATTTATATTGTTATGTAGGCCAGGGGTCCCCAACCCTGGGGCCATGGATCGGTATCAGTCCACGGCCTATTAGGATCCAAGCTGAACAGCAGGAGGTGAGCAGCAGACAAGCAAGCATTACTGCCTGAGCTCCACCTCCTGTCAGATCAGTGGCGGCATTAGATTCTCACAGGAGTGCAAACCCTGTTGTGAGCTGCACATGGGAGGGATGTAGGTTGCACATTCCTTATGAGAATCTAATGTCTGATGATCTGAGGCAGAATAGTTTCATTCGGAAACTACACACTGCTCCCACCCTACCCTCCCCCATCCCCCATTCATGGAAAAAATTGTCTTCCACAAAAGCTGTCCCTGGTGCTAAAAAGATTGGGGACTACTGACGTAAGCTATTGAATACTTCAGATTTTAGCCCTGGCTCATTGACCTATCACTTTAATAATCCTTTTTTCAACCCTCTCTCTGTTTTCAAAATTATATATACATTTCCTTATCCATGGATTTGAATATACCTATATGCCTAGGACTTCCAAATTTATATCTCCAATCCAACATTTTCTGAACTCAGCTGATAATTTTACTGGCTATTCCTACAGCTTTACTTAAATATCTCACAGGCATATTAAATCAAAATCTTCCAAATGAAATTCATCTCACCTCCCAACATTAACCTGTCCTACCACCTGTGTAACTTTCCCAGTGAATTTCACCAGTCAGTACCTACCTAGTTTTTTAAGTTAGAATCCCAGGAAAATCCTCAACCACTCGTTCTTCTAGATTGCCATTCCTGTGAGTCTCATCCACTCTACCTATCACCCTAATATTTGTCAAGTCCATTCCTTTTCACCACCTCCATTGGTGGAGGCCTTTGTTCAGACCTTCATCATTTCCTGTAATAAATTATAGCTGTAGGCAGGGGTGGATCCAATTTGTGTGGGTCCGGAAGCTCCCACATTTAGTGAGATCTCACTAAGAAAAGGAATATAAAATTACAAGGCAAAATAGATATTTAGAAAAAAAACTAACGCCTGACCCATTTCCCTATTTTTTCCTGCATTTTTGGCTGCATCCCCTTTGATCCTCTCTTTGTAGACAACAATTTTATAATATTCATCTACTGAGAAGATGTAAATATAACTCAATCTTTTCTCTAGAATGGCTAAAAAGATTTTAAATTGATAGTTTAGAAATTTATTTTGGCTTCCTAATTTCTGTTGCTAATGTCACAACAGTAATTCCTTTACAGCGTCTTGCCCAGGTGGTGCCTATGAGAATTCGGGACCTTTGACCTTGCTGGTCATGGTCCAGCTCATTCAGGTTTTCACAGGGCCAGGAGAATAGGTGGCTGGGGTCAAAATGCCCAGTGAGCACAGGTTACAGTACTATCTCTTTGTGATCTTCCTTCTTGGAGTCAAGACTGGTGGAGATGCTCATCTAGGCTATTCAGAGTATTGTCTGGTGGATATAGTGGCTGGTGGATATGGTGGCCCCCATAGTGGGGCAGCAGTCTGTGACTCTGCCATGTGACTGACTGAGTTCTTGCTCCCTACTTGAATTCATCAAGTTTGGGAAAGGACCTATGCAAATGAGGGAACTGGTAGCTTCAGCTTGAGGACTTCAAGGTAAGTCAGCGTGTGGGGGTAAGAGGGTCCTGGGGACAGCCGTGTAAACCTGTACCCCAGCTGCTCATTTTTACAGAATGTGTGTCCAGGGAAAGTTACTAAATCTCTCTCAACTATAGTTTTCTCATCTGTTCAAATAAGGGTAAGTACAGCACCTGTTTGAGAGTTGTTGTGAGGATTAAATGGATATAATTTTCACAATTATTTTCTACTGGCAAGCATTCAAGTCATATCTTTAGTGACAGTCGTCATAGTCATAGTCATAATAGTTCTATCAGCAGCATAAAGTCTTCTTTATCCCTACTATCATTCTTCTTCTAAAATGCCAATTGTATTTTTTTACAAATAGGTGATCTCCCTTATGAGATCACCATTTTTTATATGAGAAAAGTCCAGCATCCTCAAGTAAGCAAGGACGTCATGAGCTGGACCTTGTCAACCTTTCCTGTGCCTGCTCCCCTTTTATCCCCATGTACTTAGCTACAGTGATGCTGTTTCACTTGCATTTCACCCATGTTCTTTCATGATTGTGCACTTTCACAAGTTTTATACTCACTGCCACATCCCCTTCCTCAAAGACTGCTTCACTTTCTTTGGAAGAGTGTCTGGAACCACTGTGACCCAGCAGAGATTATGTTGACTGTTTCTAGTGAGTCTCTTTTGCACTCCCTTAAGACCTCCAGATACCCATACTAAAGTTCTTCTTATTCTGTATTTTAAATGATCACTTGTTTTATTCTTTTATTGAACTGGTGAGTCACTTGAAAGCCAGCCCTGGGTCCTATTCACTATTATTCCCCTCAGGCCATCTCATATTACATATCCAATCATTTTTTAATGAATAACTGACAGCTGCCAAAAAGAACTTCTGGGTTGCAATAAAATATGTTACTTGTTTCAGATATAAAAAGAAAAAACATAAACCATCTATACTGGGGAAAGCATAACAAATTTATGTCAGCATTATAAAAGAAGTATTTTTATTATTCTTTATAAACTTTGGCCAAAGAAACTTACACTTCATCCTGATGTCCTTTTTACCTCGTGCCACTTTCCTGATGCAACAGCCAAACATTTCTAACTTTTCAGCTGATTCAATAACCAATTACTCACTGTAACTCACAGTGGCAATCACTGGGCCAGTTTAGGATCTGCATGCTAGTGGGGTGGAGAGTCATGGATAGCTGTCTTTGATTCTCCAAGCAATGCTGAAAGGTGGTAGGCAGAATAATGGACCCCAAAAGATGTCCACATCCCAATCTTCAGAATCTGTGAATATGCCATAGTACATGGCAATAGGTAATTTACGTTGCAATGGATTAAGGATGCAAATCATATGACTTCAAAATAAAGAGATTATCCTGGATTATCCAGGTGGGCCTACTGTAATGCCAAGGATCCTTTAAAGTGAAAGAGGGAAGCAGAAGGGGAGCTCAGTGTCGGAGAGAGATTTGAAGATGCTACACTGCTGGCTTTGAAGATGGTGAAAGAGACCACAAACCAAGGAATGCAGTAGGCCTTTAGAAGCTGCAAATGATAAAGAATCAGATTTTCTCCTAGAACCTAAAAAAGAAATGCTGCCTTGTCAACACTTTGATTTTAACTCAATGACACCCATTTTGGACTTCTGACCAGAAATGCTATAAAATAATAAATTTGTATTATTTAAGCTATAAAATTAGTGGTAATTTGTTACAGTAGCAATTAGAAACTATGTTAGGGAGATATTAAAGTAGGAGCTCCTGTTCAGAACTGCTGCTCTAGGCAAGCAGACTACACACTGATGCTCTTTAAAATAAATATCATCTCACTTAATCCTTAAAATGTTTGGATAGTTTAATCCTCACTTACTGCATTTGGATTGCTAGAACCCAGTACATATATGTTCTTACCTTTGATTCTAATATAGATAAATTGGTGAGAGAGAAAGATTTATTTTATTGTTTGGTTCATAGCTTTTTATTGATGTCATTCTAACAGGGAAAAAATGAAAAAGTAAAAGCATCTGTTGTAATGACACCTACTTCACTGAAGACAGCTATCTCAATTTATTTTTCCAGGTGATTTATTTAATTCTGGGTTTAAGTATTGGGAAATTTGCAATATAATGTGTATTCCCCCATTCTCTGGACAATTAAGGCACTTTCTTTTGTCTGTATAGTATAGCATAGATGGCTGCAAAGGAGAGGGTTAAAGTGCTCCTCTTACGTTAAATTGTTTATGTTATGTCTGCTCCACATTTTCTGGTACACTCATTTCACAAGTTCAGCTTCAGCGGGAGCAATAACTGAACAGAGCTGCTAATGAAGGCGCCCTTGCAAGCTGGGTCAGAGTCCTACTTTTGCATTTGGATTGATATTCCAGTTTGAAGCTTCAGAAGAAAAGTGTACTGACAAACGCTAATGAATGTAAACTAGTTTATGTGTAAATTACTAGGTGTTTAGAGGAAAAAATTAAAGTTCTTTGCAAAGATTTTACAGTACAAAAACTTTCTAGATTTCTTGTCTTGTTCATACATCAGAATAGGTTGCCAGCGAAATGAAAGCTTGGCATGTTCTTGAGATTTTTCCTATTCCAGGACCTTCACTCTTGTAACTGAGTTAGTTCTAACTATTAGAGATTCTATTGCTATCCATATATATGGAAGAAATTAATTGATCTATTCAATGGTCTTTTGAGTACAGCTTTTGCTTTGGTACAATGGAAGATTGGCATAAAGTTTGTATATTATCAGACCCTAAGGAATGTTCCAGAATTGCAGTTATGTAAAATAATGTTCCCAGGCTGGGCACGGTGGCTCATACCTGTAATCCCAGCACTTTGGGAGGCCTAGGTGGGTGGATCACTTGACGTCAGGAAGGCTGAGGAGCAAGAATCATTTGAACCCAGGAGGCGGAGATTGCCATGAGCCAAGATCGCACCACAGCACTCCAGCCTGGGCAACAGAGTGAGACTCTGCCTCAATAAATAAATTCATTAATTAGTTAACATTCCCTTAATGGCATTATTCACCCTACATTCCAATTCAAGTAGATTTACAATAATCGAAAAACTAAATTTTAAATTAGAAGGTAGAGATAATTGTTTTTGCCCATGCAAAGCTTTAAAAAATTGATGATTTGCAATTCCATGACATGAACAGTTGTCAGAGGGCCATAACTCTCAGACCCCAGCTGAGTTTACCTGCAGCTGTGGAAAGTTCCCTACTCACTGACCACTCCTGTGCCTGAGAACACTCTCCTACAAGGAAGCAAGCAGGCTAAGGCATACCTAGGCTCAACGCAGAACTGCAGCAGAGTGATATCCCCTGGCTCAACCCCCAACCAACTGGAGATGGGAATCCACTGAGAAATGTCCCAGCCTCCCTATTCTTTTAGGTCTGACAATTCAAAGGTATGATCCACCCAGTGAGACTGAGCCCAAATTGTCCACATTAGTAACCCACTCATTAATGTACCCTTTATTGACTTGTTTTTCCTCTCTGTCTCACTTTTCTCTATTTCTCATATTAGCTTCCTAGTTTTATCTTCCAAATAAATTAGCAATTCCCAAGTCCTTGTCTCAGGCTCTACTTTTGAGGTAACACAGACAAAGACAGTATAAATGTCTGGCCTAAGCTTGTTGTTCTTTTAAGGAGACCTAAATATCAAAGTTTAAAGGAAAAGTTGCAAATCAAATGCCTCAAGAGGCCAAAAGAGTAACATAAGGAGTGAAATCCACTGGGTAAAACTGCATAAGCGGGCACTGGATGATAGTGAGGACTGTATTGCAATTGGAGAACGCATACTTTGTTTATAGCTGGCCATAGGTACTCAGGATAAGCAAATTGTTGCTATATGAAAAAGTTTGACTGCCACTGCCATTTATCCTATTATTCAAGGAAAGTGACAAATTAATATTTTTACACAACATCTCTTAATTTTAAAATGCTGTGACAAATAGACAAAAATACCTCTGTAAATTTCATTTAACCCATGAAATCTAAGTTCTCATCACCTTTTATTTGAAAACATTTTTCCTTGGAAAATATCAGATCTAAAGTCAGGAGTTGAACTATGTGTTTACCTGACAATGGTAAGACTCACTACTGTCCTACCAGCTCCAATTTATTTGCAAAATTGGATCATATTCAGAATCACAATTGCCATGACTTGTTTCAACTGAAATACTGAAATTAAATGTGCTGAAACACTGATGTACCAAAAGTGTGTATCTCTTGAATCCTTCAATAAATTTACGGCATGTTTATTGAATGCCTATGAGCTAAACAAGCATCCAAGAATAAAACAGCCAAAGTCCACTGGCCTCATGTGGATTATATTCTAACTGGCATGACTATTGGGCCATTTCTGTAAACCATTGTCTAATCTAAGATTTATAATTTATAACTTTCATAACCTGTACTAATACTTGGGAAGCTTACATGCAAGTATTTTTATACCAGAAGCAATGGCTTTCATGTTACATTTTTTGTTTATTAGGTTTGCAGTGTTTGTTTCATCCTTTGCTCTTTCCTTATTTTACTCAGGTTTTCTAATCGATTTAATTGACTCTTATTTTACTCAGGGCTTTTACCACTACTCCCACATAATAAAATGAAAGGGATTAAAAAGTCAGTGTGGTAGGTGATTTATTTACATTATATAATGTTGCTATTTTTTATTATTGGAGCTAATGATAATCTTCTCATGATCACACAGCTCAAAGTAGGAAGTGAATACAGCCCTGACTCCCTCGAATACTTTTCACTACCCTGCATCAGGGTAGGGTAGGTAACAATATGCCAGAAGGGAAAGTTAATTTCTTCTGGAATCTAAGATTTACCTAACATTTGGGAAAAAAATAATTTTATGCAAAAACTAACACAAGTCCATACACATGTAAGATGGAAAAAATAAAGTAAAACAAACTAAAGCAAAACTTCATGTTTATAGTAGGCCACTTAACTTATTCCCCCAAGCTCCCTAGTTTATGCAGTCAGAACTTTGGAAGGCGCTTTGGGAAACCACTGACCCACACTCAAATCTTTATCAAGAGCTGGGATCTCATTTGTAAGTTACAGACCAGTAACCTACTTGTATTTCTACTTGGATGTTCCAGAGGCATCACAGACTCAACATCTTCAAAATGTGACTCAACCACATTCTCACATGACAATTTGCTTTCCTCTTTGTATTTGATTTTCTACCTCAGCAGAAGCATGACCCACTCCTTTATATCTAGTCATCAAGTCTTTCCATTCAATTTATTTCATACCTTTTCATTCATCTTCTACTTCTATTCCTACTGCTATTGTCTAATTTCTGGTTCTTATCTTTCATTGGAACTTTTTAAAAAATTACCTAGCCTCCTTGCAATAATCTCTGCTTTCAATTGATTCTACCACATGACACAATAAATTTTTCTGAAAAATATTTTCATGCCATTTACCTGTTCAAAACCTTTCACTGGTTCCCATAAGCTACTATAAAATCTAAACATATTAACCCAGTGAACAAGGCCTTTAATGATCAACTCTATGGCTTCCTATGCAGTTTGATCTCCTGCTACTCCAACCTTCTAATATTCTATACTCAAACTATTCTCTAATATAATTCTCAAGAGACTTCATCTTACAAGACACTTCTATCTTTGCTAGTTAACCATACTGATCACCGTGCAAATTTCCATTTCTCTTTTACTGATCAGCTCAATGATCATGCTGAAGCCCTTTCCCCATCTAGAATCTATTAATTTCACCATGTAAACTCTCTGCTTTATTGCAGTACTGCAATAATTTATGTAGCTATCTAATTCTTAAATAGATTTGAACTTTCTCAAGGGTAACAACAGATCCTTGTTCATCTTTACATTCCCAGCATTTAGAATATTAGGTACACACACAAGCACACCAGCCTTCTCCTCAAAAGAATCTCCCTTGTTTCCAATGTCAACTCCCTATTTATTCATCTCAGATACTAATATTCCAATATCTCCTTATTGTCCCCTAAATCTGAGGAGTCTTTAAGCAGCTGCAATTTCCCCCTTGTTTCTTCCTCTGAATTAAATGTGGATGGAAACTCACGTTGGTAAGTTAATAAGATAAAGGTCTGTACTTCCAGAGTTTGAAGCTATGATCACCAAAGTGTGATTTTAGATATGATTCAGGGCAAAATTATACCATGGGAAGCTAAAGATAGCATAGTAGAAATTAATATACTATTAACAATAAGTAGACCTCTCAGGCCACTGAAATAGCAGGAACTCTTCTGAAATAAAGGCGAAAACAGAAGAGATCTTGCAAGTGCAGTAGGGGCCAGGATCCAGTTTTACAGCCTCAACCACAGAGTGATTCTAGAACAGAGTACCAGCAGTTGTACTTAGAATGGACCTTCCCAAAGAAGGTGGGGAACACTCTAAATCAACCACAGCTGGCCTGTCTTCTAGTGGCCAAGGTAGTTAACATTAGGTCATATGTTTAAAAAAACAAATCTCAGTGGCAACACGAACAAAAAAGAAAAGTCTATTTCTCACTCACATTATAATTTCTCATGAATTGGATGATATGATGCTGTTAAATTAAGCATAAGGCCTCTGAGGTGACTACAGAAAAAAAGGAGAGTGGGGATAAACATAGAGATCCTTTACCAACAGGCATGTAAGTGGCTTGCATCGTATCTGCTCACATTCTATTAGCAGAACAAGTCACACCAGACCCCATCCACATGGCCCTAACCTAACTGCAAGGAAGTGAAAAAGCTAGATTTTCTGTGTGCCAAAATTAAGGAAATTAAAAGAGAATTTGGTTAGTATGGCATTGTAGCCATCACAGTAACCTTATGTGTATCATACTTTTAGTTGTGCAAAGACAATGCCCCCTCTTTTTTAATCCACTTATCCCACATTTAACCAGGTATACAGATGAAATTCAGGATTAAATATCTTGAAAACATTATATAACTGAGAGAGGAAAAAGAAAAATTTATTTTTAGTCAAAATATCAACGACGAGAAACATATTTGTTCCTCTTTTTTAAGAAGGTAGTTAGAAAGCAGAAAAGCACAAGGCTAAAATTATAGGGAATGGGACAGTATTATACCATATTAGCAATTTGACTTCTTGAGAGTTACTTGAAACACTAAAGTTCAGCTTCTTCATTTATAAAGTGAAAACAAATTAGACTTTTCCGCCAAGGTTAATTCTGTTAGAATTATCACGTGCATGTTAAATGCTTATAACAGTATCTGCTACAGAGAAAGTGCTCAAAAACAGGGGCTATTATGCACAGTATTATGACCATTGTTTCTGTTACTATCATGGTTATTATTACGTAGATCCACTGGACAAACAAAATCCTGTTATGTCCCAAAGAATGAGAACTCCATTTCAAGTAATCTGGAACAAAACTTCCCATATATTATGTGGCAATCTTTTAATGGCAAAGTTCAAAGTTAACATTTTGAAATGAAAAACGGAAAATATGTATGTATCAAATCCTTTTCTGGCTTCTCTGTGCTATCAGAAGGTACTTAGAATTCTCTGCATATTCATTCACCTACCTTCTTCTCCAGCCTTTTCTCTTACTACTCCTTCCCCTTGCTTTCTGGTCTTCAGCCATATAGATGTTCATTTAGTCCCTAAAATATACCTCCACAGAGGGCTTCTTTGCATAGCCTATCTGCTTTGATAACAAGGGAAGAAAACAGTGTCTTGCAGGCAGAGCAAGTAGCCTGTACTTTCTGATAGCTAAAACAGCCCTTTCTAATAAAAGCTTTCCCTGGGCTTGCTGTTGTTCAACTAACTGTGAGAGGTGCCACCAGTGCAACTGCAGCTGTGGGAATCACAATGTCACCAGTTAGCAGAAACTTAGGAGCCCAGATTTTCACTGGTGTTAAATCTCTCCTGATGCTGCTGGGACGAACCTGGAGTCTCATATAGTCACCATGTCTGCTGATATTACTACACCGGCAGCCACAAACTGGCAGCAGGAAAAACAAAGTCTTAATGCCTTCTTTTTTGCTTTGAGCCTCCTGAGAGTACCTCCTATTAGTAAAGAAGCCAAATGGCAAAGTTTTCTAAGAAATGTAGTTTGCAGGTTTCCAACCCTGGAGGTACAAAAGACAACATGTTTGGAGTTATAACCAACAGAAAACCTGCAAAAAATCCTACTATATATTCTCATAGTATTATATATCACAACTTCAAAAAATCCTGCTATATATTCTCATAGTATTGTATATCCCAACTTCATGGCATCTAGCACTTTTCCAACTCACTTATGTATTTTTTAAATTAATCTCTCTCTCAGAGAAAAGTAATCTTCATAAACATAGTGAAAACTGTCTTATATTTACATTTTATTTTACTCAATATGTTAGCATAAAACCTGGTTCACAGAGGGCATGCAACAAAATTAAGGAAATGAATAAATGATATGACAATTAATTTTAAGTTATCACAAATCATTTGATAAAAGAATTACTAATATTCTACCGAAATGTACTGAAGAATTACTATTTTTTATTCATTACTGAATAAAGTGAATTTTTTATTTTTCACATATTTGTGAATTAGCTTCAAAGTTCATATATGATAATGTGTCTTTAACCCTTTGTATTAGTATAATCTACTTTGAATGAGTTAGGAAAGGACAAGAGTATTAGAAACACATACCAGCAACATCTTATCAAAATCATAGTCCAGAGTTCAGTTAGGTGGGTGGTGGTGAAGAATGGACCACACATTGGTAGAAAACGTTGTTGGATAATAGCTGACCTAGAAGACCCTTCTAGCACAACTCAGAATTCTCCAAGGAATTCCAAGGCTTCTGCCCTCATATTTTCTTTACTACCCTCTTCTATCCTTACTATGTTAGAAAATGCATGTCTTTTAATGTGTACTTGTTCACTAGAGAACTTGTTAATGCATTCAAAGCTTGTTTCACTGTATCCAGCCATAAAACAAATTTGTGACTTATAATGGATTGGTGTAAGGAATAACAGATAAAATAGGAGTTTAAAGCACTTAGAATCTATAAAAAGCTGCAGATGGGCTAAATAATATTTTCAAAATGTTTATATATATTTGCAACTTTTTCTGTGCTCTCTAGAAACTACGTGCCATGAGCTCTATTTGCATATCCATGAAGAATTAGTTGGGTTTTGGCTTGTAATATTTTGGATCACCTTAACAGATGTAGTTCTAAATATCTGGGATTTCTTTTAACGTTGTTATATCATAGATATGGTTTTTTTCTCTTGTTCTCAATCTGTGGTGTCTACCTTTTAGAGGCTTTTTTAGAGCAAGACAAGTTTTGTCTAACACTCATTTCTTCACACACATACGCAGGCCACCACACACAATTTGGCAAAGTAAACTTAATTGAGAAATGGAAGAGATTGCAGTCAGGTGTAACATATTTTAATTATAAGGCATTAAAATTTATATTGATGAATGGAATTTAAAAGTATTATTGATAAATGTTCATTTGGTTGTTACTTTATATCTTTTGTCTTTTTATAGAATAAGAAAATACATTGGCCAAAAGAGATGTTCCCTTTTGTTCATGCAACTAAAAGATCAGTGGTGACCCTTTGATCAAGATGGTTTGTTGCTTAATAAAGGAATAAATGAAGCTTTCTAAATAATCCATTGATTTCAAATTACTTATTTTTGCTGCCACATACATACTATTAACATTTTAGAACAATAAAATGTATACATTTAAGAACAGTTATTTTTATCTTATCCTGAGTGTTAGTTATTCTCCTCATTTATCAATGCTCTTAAATTTAAAACTCCTGTCAAGAGAAATGAAAATAAAATTTAAAAATAGAAAACAATAACATCAAATCTATACTTCTTTCTAGACCTCAGTCTTCTACTGGCTTCTAGTTAACGTATTTTTTGCAAAGCATAACAGCATCTAATTTTGTAGCTATAGTGAAATTCCTGGGAATTTGTTTTACTTTAGAATTATGTTGGAATTTTATTTTTCAAATTTGAAAATATTTTAAATATATTAACATTTTAAAGTATGTAACTTCATTTTAATTTTTTAAATTATTATTTTTCTAAATCTTGAAGGATGTGTATTTCAAATACGAATAGCATGCTCACTCTCTGGTATCTTAATCTGAACAAACGTATTACTTATTTTTCTATTATATGTTTAATTTATATCATAATTCTAATTTGCACATTTTAGAATCAAAAAACATTTAGAGCTGGAAGAACTCATTTCTACATACTTTTTAAAATTATGCCTGTATCAACTGAAGTCTTTGGCCACATTCTTAGAGTTAACTAATGGTAAAGCTAGAAATACAGTACCCATTTACTCCAGAACTACTCCTATCTCCAAAAATCGCTCAAATTGGCAAAGAAAAAGAAAAAAACAAAAACCCTGAGACTTTTTAAACAAAAGAAGTATAGTCAAATCTGAGTGAGAGAATGGTTATTTCCAAAATATTTGGTTTTAGATAACAGTATGAATAATTTTAGAGGCAATTTACATAATTATGTTTTATTAGGCAAATATTAGAATTACTTTGCTTCCCCTGAATAAACAATGTCTGATGATAATGAGGATAATTGAGGAGTGGGGTTGACAGTAGTTGGCAATTTTTTAAGATAATTTTAATATATGTCTTAGGTAAAATGCAAAACCCCAAATCATTTTAGTTAATTGGAAGCTATAATTGAAATAACTGAAAAATAGCAGTAACACCAGAAGAAAACGTAATCTTGTGAGAACACACAGACACATGATGGGGAACAGCACACACTATGGTCTGTCGGGGGTGAGCAGGGGAAGAGAGAGTATCAGGCAAAGAAGCTAATGGATGCTGGGTGATGGGTTGGAACCTAGGTGATGGGTTGATCTGTGCAGCAGCTCACCATGGCACATGTTTACCTGTGTCACAAACCTCCCCATCCTGCACATGACCCCGGAGCTTAAAATAAAAGTTGGAGGAAAAAAAAACCAAAACATTAAAAGAAAAATAGACTACCTCTCTCTATACATACTTAGAAAACAGGAAATCTGAACAATGCATTTTGTGCTGGATTAGCTAAGTAGCCTAATGGAGCCTTTCATGAGCAACATTATACTTTAACCTAAAAAGTTAATATGACACTTGGATATTTTAAAGTTATTGGGTTATTTGCAAGAGCCGAGGAATGCTGCTTCCAATTAATTCACTATTAGGCCCTTATTAACATATGGTGACCAATTTTAACTTTTATATTTTCAGGGTAATTTCTTTTACCCAGAGAATTTAAGGAAGAGCAGTAGAATTGATTAAAGTGATATTAATTGGAAGATTAAATATGATTGAGTTATTTATCCTGAGGAGAAATTAAGATGGTTACTTATTACTTCTTTAGGTGTATTAGCTATTATAGTGGCCAATAAGAGTAATTTCCATTAGTCACCTCAATTTTATTTAGAACAGAGGTTCTCAAAACATGGGCCCCATACTAGCAGCATTAGCATCACCTGGGAATTTGCAAGAAATGCATATTCTTAGGGCCCATGGCCAACCTACACATCAGATCATATTTGCAGATAGGGCCCAGCACTTACTTTTAACAAGCCATACTGATGATTGTGATTAATAATAATAATAATAATTGAGAACTAATATTTTAGAAGTCGGCTGGGGAAAAGAACCTAGTAGTGATACTAGGCCAGGCGCCGTGCCTCATGCCTGTAATCCCAGCACATTGCGATGCAGACGCAGGCGGATCACGAGGCCAGAAGATTGAGACTATCCTGGCCAAAACGATGAAACCCTGTCTCTACTAAAATACAAAAAATTAGCCAGGCGTGGTGGCACGCGCCTGTAGTCCCAGCTACTCAGGAGGCTGAGGCAGGGGAATCGCTTGAACCCAGGAGGCGGAGGTTGTAGCGAGCCGAGATCGCACTGCTGCACTCCAGCCTGGTGACAGAGCAAGACTGCGTCTCAAAAAAACAAAAACAAACAAACAAACAAAAAAAACAAAGGACAAGTGATACTAAGATATATTTTGTTAAGAGGAAAGAAAAAAGAAAACTTAATCATGCACACACATATATTAACTATTAAGATATTATTTGTTAATGTAAAAGTTAGGCTCCTGATTCTTTCAAGATTTTTTGGTTTAGAAACACCACGGCCAGGTAACAAAAGTGTTGTCTAGCCACAATCATCTGAAAAAGTAAGATTAGTATTATAATATCACTTGATTTTAGATAGAGAAGGGCATACTTTTCTTACTTTATGGTAACAAAAAATGTATTTATTAAAAGCTGATTTGAAGCCATTTTACCAATAAAATAGAGATGCTTAGTTCAACACTTAAAAGAGTAAATACCTTATGTATATTTTGTAATATGCTAACTCACTTTTAGCTTTTCTTTACCAACTTAATATGGATTTTAAACTACAGTCAAAAGCCACCTCCAAGGCCTTTGACCTTCTCCACCAACCCAGAATTTAAATATAATCACATATTTTTTTGTTACCATTGATGGCTCCCTTTATCACATTTGCTATCAGCACAGAAACCAATCAATATCTCCTTTTGGTGGGGGAATCACCAGGACCCTGTAATATGTGAGGGAAGGTAGGATGACACAGAGTGAGGCCAAGATGAGTTGTGAAATACAATTGTGTTGTTGCACCCACTAGGTGACAGGGTTGAAGATTGTCTTGCAAGCTTGACAATCTGCTTGTGCTGATGTCTGTGCTGGTGTAAGTGCTTGACAGTCCTGCAGGAGCCACAACACCCCAAGTGGAAGCTCTGAAGCTGCATTTCTCTCCCTTACTCATGCCTGACCATTACTACCCGCAAATATGACACCATGCAATGTTTGCTCTGCGGAATTTGGCTTTCTCCTTCACGTAAACATTGCACACATACCAGCTCTCCTTCATTACCACTAGACTTGTCACAAACAAAAACATCAGCTTAAATTCTACTTTTCTTCAATATTTTATTTTAGGAGATTGTTTCTTTTTCCTACTAGTAGGCCTTTTGGGAAATATCCTGTTTCACTCTTGCTTCCTTATCTTTAAATTTCAGGGAGGAGCAAAGGGGTGAGATTTCTGTCCAATGTCTCACAATCATCTCATTATTTCCTTCTCGTTTCCTGTAACCAGTGAGGAAAAGCAAGAACCTCAAGAACTCATAGTCGTGATGGATTCACAGGAAGTTTTATTATATCCTTTTATAGGTCTCTCAACTTCCTCAGCTCCTCTCCTTCACAATCCGTAATTGAGATGTCTACTTACCTGCGGCTTCTCCTGGGGGACATAAGTAACTCAATTCTGCCTGCTCAAGCGCCCTGTTTTATACCAGTGCGTGTACCCTCATCTGGCCTAGGTAAAAACTGTTCGTTTAGCAAAGCTTACCCTCCTTCAGTGTTTCTTCCCCTCCTTCAGAATCCCCTTGCCAGTGCCAACTGTAGATTATTGCATTCTATCAAAATTGATTAATATTTCCCACTGAAACTGATATTACTGATTCAGTGATCAAGCAATTGATCATGTTACCCACATTAGTGCAGAATATTTATTACCAGGTCTTTGATATGTAGGGGTTTAGTTTTTACATAATCTTTCCTTTAAGAAACAACCTAGAATAGCAGAAAGCTCACTGGATTTGCAGTCAGCCAGATATAATTCCAAAATCCTGAAAAAATGAAAATAAAAAGAGAAGGAAAAGAAGGCACAGAAGAAATATGCGGCGATAAATGAGAAAAGAAGTAAAAGCTGCCCTTGCACTAATCGTTATTATTGCATTTGAACTGTGCCACTAGGAAACAGAAATGAATGATGCAGTGTTTATATTTCAAGGGAGTTTGCCATGAACTTGAGAAGTATAAATAATGAATACTGAATTTTTTAAAAAGGTATGCAGAGTGAAACTTAAAAGGAAATTCCAGGGGGAAAAAAATAGTACTCTGATTTCAGCCATTATAAAAAGCAAATCTGTTCATAACAAAAAATTCAGATGTCATCAGAAGCAGATGGCAATGAAAGATTTTACTACTGAATTCAATAGAAAGAAGCATCGTCTATGACCATTTCCTTCTGTAAAAAAGGAGGCCAGCCAGATCCTTGGGCTACAAGCCCATGGTGTCTGAAGTGAAATTCACTAGTAAAACCAATTCAAATGAAGAATAAAGAAACTCTTGAGAAGTTCTAAAAGAAAACGCTTTAAAAGTACAGGATAGTTATTTGCATATCACAGAGGAGACTGAAATGCATTAAATGAAAGAGAATTCATGAGTTCAACATTTTTGTAACTCTAATTTGGTTTAGAATAGGTAGACTTTAATTCATGGTATTTTCCACAGTTTTTTTCTGATTTCGTTTTTTAAGAGTCAGTAGCTCTCTCAAACCTTTGATATATATGCATACATATACATATATATTTATTTACTTACACATATGTAACAATTTATACATACACCTAGCTTTCAACTTTCCTATCTTTGCTTATTTAATACCCTAGCAGTGACGTATTACATTTCATAGATAGATGTTGTCATTAATTTATACCGAAATAAGACTAGCTATTTATAAAATACACATCAGTTCTAAGAAAAAATATTTTCAGATTCATTGTAGCTTTATAAAAATTTGCTTTAACATCAAATAAAAATTATTATTTTCTTTTTCCAAATTATGTTTTCTTAGTCATTTGCTAATGGTCTAATTTATTTTTTCATTCAGAAGTAAAGCTATTCTTTGGTAAGTAATTCAGGGAGAATAAATTATCACCAGACTTGGGTTTTGGTAACTTAAGTGTTAAAGTTAGCAAATACCACAATCTGCATTTGATTTCTGTGCTTTTCCTGTTATTTACCAAGTGTCTCCTTCTGTGCCATAAATAATTTAGAGTTCAAAGTGAACCATGCCTCTAAGTGCTAGAAAGCCCCAAATCACGTTTATTTTATTTGCTAATGTTTCCCTCATATAACCAGAATCTGAAACCACTCCACTTGCCCCTAATTTTAAATAAAAGTCTTTTATAATGCCAACTTTAAGAATTCTTCTGGAAAATGGTAGAAGAGAAAATTTAATATGCAATATTAATTGATTATAGAAAACTTTTTATATGTTTTATTACTAGTGGCACTATAATTTTACATGCCATTCACATAGGAAAATATACAGTTAATATAACCAAAAGATCAGAATATGAAAGCAATTAATATGGATAGATTTGGAAGGGTTTTATTGATATCTGTTATTCAACGATGGCATTTACAATGTAAGATAATTTAAATATAGATGTAATTTGAGTCAACATATACATAACCAAACTGCAACCCTTGAAAGAATAAAATTACAAATCTAATTGAATATTTCTTATGAGAATGTCTCGTGAATAATTTCAAATATTCACTTCACCACGTTGTGAAAATGAGACAGCTGATTCTTCCCAGTACAAAGAAGGAAACATTTTGCTACTTTACTGTGGTGACGTCCTTACACTGAAAAGCAGTCACTCCAAATGCTATTTGTTCGTTTTTTTATGTGACCTTGAAACAATCATTAGAATGAGAAAAGACATAACAGAAAATCTAGCCCATACTCTCATTTTCATGATTGAGAAAAGACAGGTCCAAAAAGTTTTACTTTCTCAAAGTTACAAAGTTAGATTGCAGTAGGTTTGGAATTAAAACCCCAGGATCCTTGTGAAAGGTTAGTGAAATTCTAAAACTCTCAAAAATATATACCACAGGCAAGTTCAAGGTATCATTATTATAGTGTCATTATTAAAAACAAACAGTACTTCAAAACAGTATCTAACTTCCTGCCAGTAATTTAAATGTCTTACTTGAAACCAAAATATGGAACATTCTTACGTTCCTCTTCTGTCTTAGGTCAAATTAGAAAATAAGAGTTTTAAGAAAATGAGCCAGAACTTGCCTACCTATTTATGTACATGGGTTGCATGTGCTTTTTCTTTATCTTATATATGTAATGAGAGCAATATTTAGCATTAACCAAAAAGAAGAGCATAGCGCTAAATCTCTCCAGGCTTGTTTGCTCATTTTTAAAATGTGAGTAATCACTGTCACAGGGCTTTTGTGAGGACTGGCTGTGATGATGTATGTAAAGAACTTAAAACAGTGTCAGGCACATAATAAGAGTTCAATAAACTAGTTTTCAATTACTAAGTGTTTGGCTTTACTTAATTATTTTCTCCTAATACCATCTGATTCAATTACTATATTTTATATAAAACATCTTTTCCTATTTATATTCATTAACTTTTTAGCTACCTCGTCCCCCTCTTGTTATTAAATGGAAAGAGATTAACATAGGATGTCTCAAGCACCTACAATAAGGCACACGCCTAGGTATTTCATACATCACTCAATTTGATTTTCACGATAGTCATATAAGGTAAGTATTAAAATCCATCATTGTCTCAACATGGACATTCAGTTCCAAGAAATTGACTTGACTAAAAACTCCCTAGCCATATGAGATGCTGAATTCAAACCTAACTGTGACAGCTTTGAAAGTCCATCAATTATCTAGTCTATCAGGAGACCTCAGAATCTGACAGACGTGCAACTTTAAAAATTCAAAAATATGTATGTTCTGTTTTACCTGCTCTTCTGGTACAAAAACAAATTTTGTTTAACTCATATACAGTTCCATCCTTCTATGTCATCCAACACCAATGAAAAATAAAGGGTGACAAATAAGGATACTTCCAAATTCTACCTTATAATGCTTACATTGGAGAAGCAAATTCCTGAGTTGGTCAGACTTCAGCTTAAGATCATCGCCTTGAAGAATCTCCACGAGAAACAAAGAAAATATTTCCTCCAAGCTTTTCAAACAAGAAAATAGGGAATCAGGTATCTAAAACTGCGTGCATTGAAAATAATAGCCTGTGACAGGATATGATCATCTCCGTAAGAATATTAAGTTAAGACAGTCTTACTAGCCAACATCTCTCTAAGCGGTACAGATACTTTGGTTCATGAAAGTGACTCTGTTGTTTTCCTTCTCATTTATTAAATGTGCTCTCTTCTGAAACCATAGTGTTTATGTAAAACAAACAAAAAAAGATCTCCACAAAGTTTGCACTCTAAAATTTACTATGCATGCTGTCAGAAACTTACCAACTTATGATATAAAAACCTTTTGAAAGTTTAGTTATGACGCATGTTGTTTACGAAATTTTGGACTTGTTCTCTTAGTGCTCAGATGGCTGTAATAAAGACAGCTGCTGGGGAGATTTGGCAGGTGTACAAATGAAGTTAGAAACGTACATGTTTATCACTTAGAAGCTGCATACACCTACTGTTCTTCTTCGCCAAAAGATAACAATTCCACATTTTATAGGCAATTGTCTTTCCTTTTTTGTCCCAGAGGCTCACCAAAATTCAATAAGTTTATTTTAGTGAAAAGCACCTTGCTGCACTCAGCACCTTGCCTAAGCAAAATTCCTGAAAATAAAATGAGCAGGAGCCATTACTGCAAAGTGAACAAAGCCAAAATGATCACGATCCCATTTCTTTCTAAATGAGCTCATTACTATTAATTTCTCCTGTCCTTAGAGAATATTTGAAAAGCAAGTTCATCAGGAGAGTAAAATAAATGTTAAAAATGGAGTTGGTAAAAAATATCTCTTCCTCTCTAAACTGCATCCTAAGTAAGGACATCCCTTAGGACACTAACTTTCAATGGCACAGGCTCTGAATAGATAATTTTAGATTAGCTATGCACGATTCTGCGAGCACGCATGGATGTTTTGACACTGGTATTAAACAGAAGCTAAATGTTTGTAGAACCACCTCTGTAAATGCATATAATTCGACAGATTCCATTCTCGAGAAACCTATGACTTTCCCTCCTTGGAAGTCTATGGAAGTCTGTAATAGGAAAGAATGTAATAATAGAGGCAAAAAAGTTTAAAATAAATAGTAACATTTAAACACCTTCTCTGCGGACCAAATTCTCTGACTGTCCCTGCAATACCCTAAATAGGAGGACTTTGGTGTGCATGATGGAGCCATATGGCTAGAGAGCAAGGCTTTAGGTGGGAAGAGTGAGGTGAATAAAGCATTTCATTTTTGTGACACTGTCCCAAAATTCCCCATTGAACCGCGGCTCCTCCACTAGCTTTTTGACATTGGCCTTCTACTAAACTCTTAATTACCCCCCGTTTTTAATCTACACCATGGCATAAGTAATAGTTCTTACATTCTATGAAATAAAATAAGATGCTATATATAAAGAGCTTACATGTACTCTGGCACAGAAGAAAAGCCAAAAAAATTGCATATTATATTAATGAATTTGGACAGCATTTTCAGTCTTCTGTATGTTCCCTCCCAAATGGAGAATGTAAAGAGACAAGCATAGACCTGCTTCTCCTCCTTTGAAAAGACTAGCAGGTCCAGCTGAGGTTTGAGACCATGGAGAACACTTTTATGGAGATAGGCATTCTTTTTCTGTGAGTTACACTACCTATGCTTCCTAAACATATGAGGGTAGTAAATCTTCAGGTCTAAGACCAGGAAAAAGAGCAAGGTATACTATTTGGCTGGACTTAGTCTCAGCCTTAAGTTAAAGAAGCAAAAGGAATCTTGACTCACACAAGGTCCAGCCTATTTTGGTATGATGAAAGAGTAAACAGGGATTTGGGGTTATTGGCACCATCCTATATTGTAACTTTTCTTGTAAGCCTGCAATACCAGGCCATCAAAAATTGATAATTTGAGATTCTTGTAATTGCCATCAGATAACACCTCAATTCTCTCTTTCCCTCTCTCTCAGTCTATCAGTCTAAGTATCCATCTATCTATATTCAAATGATTTTTTTCTAGGAGAGATCATTTTCATCATTATCCAAACTTCTTCTGGTCCCTTTCCCAGGTGAGTTCATTTAATGATATCTGAGTTCAAAAAACCATACATAAAAGCTAAAATGCTACTGATTAGCCTGCAAATCTTTATCAGGATTCAAGCTTCTAAAGGTAATAAAAAATGGAAAGGAAGAAAGTATTATCTCATTTAAAAGCTAGAAATGCCCAAGTATTAAATAAGAAAGTGTCACAGTGATGACAAATGAGTGTCCAAATCCGAAGCTGAAAAATCAACAATTTATTATTTGACTTCTGTTGCTTACAATTATATTTCAAATGCTTATAAACCTATCTATCACTAATAAAATATTTTCAAAGCAAAGCAAATGTTCTAAGCCAAACAAAGGTGGATTGATCCTTGAAATGTATATACATTTTTATTTTAACAATGTATAACATTGAAAAATGTTAAAATCACAATCTTTCCTTAGTCTATCTGAAAGTGTTTACATTACTAATACTACCAAATAAGTTAAACATGAAATAAAACCTTCCATGCTATGCTACTCACACCTTCCAGGCCATGCTAACCTCTGCAACATTTCCCTGAAGAAAGTCAGGTGGAACATCTTGGAGAAAAAGGCTTTGCCCCTGATCAACCAAAATATATAGAGGGCTTTGAATAATTTATCTAAAGCTGTCAATTCATATGCCCTAATGTACTCTTTCAACATGAATGCCATAGAAGGTGAAAGATCCAACTCATTGTTTTTCCTTCAGGCTCTAACGTTTTACCACTGTTTGTAAAATATCCCAACGGTAGCTAAAAAACACTTGTATAAAGAAGGAAATCAGAAAAGATCATCAAATAATCAAAACTCAGAAGTTGTGAAAAGGAGGTTGTACCTTATCGGCAGGCCTTTGAATATTATTTTGTATGTTTTTCTTCTTGGGCATCAAGCAAGTGATTAAGATGGGATTTAGTTTATAATAATGGCATTCAAACTCCAGCAGCTTCCTTCTTTTTTGATTCTATTCATTGCCCACATTTTTTGTTTGATTTTCTCGAAGGTGTATTCTGAGTTATGTGAACAAAGTATAATGTAGAGCTTTTGCCTAACTTTCTGGGTAAACCACACTCCAGCCCAAATGCTATTTGTACTTGGTTCAAAATAGTCAAACTACAAAGATATAAATTGTAAAAGAAAGATGAACAATGTTGAGGAACTGCTTTTCATTATTCTGTTTATTTGAGAGGGTTCAAGATAAAATTATCACAGAGAAACTAAAAAAAAAAAAAAAAGCCAATCTGGATTATAGAGACAAAAATTAAGGTAGAGTCATTATGTGCAAGAGTTGAAGAGCATGGCACAAGTGCCTTTCAAACTTTTACACACAGAATAGAGCAAGAAATATGTCCAACTTCATCATCCAGTAACATATACACATATGCCCACACACCATCACAAACACACATACACACACGGGAAGAGAAAGAGCCAAAATACAATTTTCATGAAATAGCACTTATCATTACGTGGGACATATTCTAGTATTTTCCAACCTATACATCTCATTGTCTTAGTCCATTTTCATGATGCTATGAAGAAATACCTGCTACCGGGTAATTTGTAAAGGAAAGAGGTTTAATTGACTCACAGTTCCACATTGCTAGGGAGACCTCAAGAAACTTAAACTCATGATGTAAGGGGAAGCAAACATGTCCTTCCTCACATGGCAACAGGAGAGTGAAGTGCAGGGCAAAGTGGGGAACAGCCCCTTATAAAATCACCAGATCTCATGAGAACTCACTCACTATCAAGAGAACAGAATGTGGGAATTGCCGCCTGATCCAACCACCTCCCACGAGATCCCTCCAATGACACATGAAGATTATGAAAACTACAATTTCCATGTTATCTCATCTCATCCCATCCTATTCTCTTCTGTTTCACCTGTGTTGGGGCAACTTTTGTGCTCCAGATATTTGCTATTGCCGTTACACATCTAGATGGTACATATGCCCCAGCTGCTTTACGTATTTCTTGCTTTCTGCCCTGAGGCTTCTTAACCACTCCTGCTCAGGACTAGATAAGAATGCCATCAACCATTCTGATAGATGCATAAAACTAAAAGTGTGAGATAAATAATACATTTTGGAATAATCCTTGATTGTTAGGGGACTGGAGTCAGTGAAAAAAATATTCTGCTCTTCCCTTCTTCTGAAGCACATGAATGACAATTTTTCAGTTACGGCAGTGGGGTTTCATGCACATAATGATAGAATAACACACCTGTGGATTGTCTCTTCCTTCTTGCCAGCTTCACTACTCTCAGTCCCCAGCTGCAATTCCTTAGGATCAAATTCCATATAAACGATTTGAACAGATACTCTAGTCTCAATAACTCCTTTTGGGAGAAACCCAGACTAAGATATCGCTTGATTTTTTTTTATGTTGATTGAGAATTGATTTCATGATCCATTAATTTTAACTTGCACTAGGCCTTGGGAAGAAAAAAAACTCATAAAAAAACAAGACACCGGGTGATGGTAGAGATTAAGAATATTCATACCAATTCTCATACCAATTGGCTTGTAAACTACCCATTGATGAGTGTTACTTAAGATGCCTAGTGTAGCATGGCTATAAGGAAAGTGTTCTTTATCAACCCCTCACTCCTGGCTGCTTTGATGATTTCATGTAAAGACAAAAATGCAAATTCTGCATTTCAATTCAATCTAACAAATATTTATTGAGTTTCTACAATGCTGAAGGCTAGAATGTTTCTAGAAGAGAACTGAAACATATCTTACATCTTTTTGTGATAAGAAATTGGAAGTCATGTGGGTACCATTGATGGTTTCAAACTCTTCGTTACAGCAAATTGGGAGTTTGGAAGGGAAATTAAAAATATAGAAATGACAAAGTTTCTGTATCTATTTATCTATCTATTGGATTAAAGAAGAGATTTAAATGAAATTTGAAGGCTGGAGCTTAAAAATCTCAGAAAAAGAAATCCATAGAAAAAAGAATTTTAAAAAATAACAATTAGAGTAACCAGTATAACTGAAAATAGTGTCAGGAACACAATTTTGGCATCACATTCTTATATGTGAATACCCAGGGAATGATAAGATAAACATGAAATTTTATCATAAGTAGCTACATATGTCCACATAATTATTACAGGGCTTCCCTGATTACTAAGGAGGTTTATTGGTTGTGCAAATTTCCTCTTCTGTGTATTTGTAGTCTTATCTTTGCCCATCAATCTGCTGGTTAGTTCTTTTCCATGGATCTCCAGAAACTTTTTTTTTTTTTTTTACATATTCTGAATAGTAATCTTCTGTCAGTTATATGTGTTACAGATGAAGGAGTCTTACTTCATTAGTATTCCAAAAGAGTCCCAGTAGCATCTGACAAACTCTTCACTTGCCAGGCTGAATTTAGTCAAAAATAGATGAGGACTCTGAAAGAGGGCACTGACTGGTTTAAGAAGTTTTATCTGTAGTCCAGAAACATGATATCCCAGGATTCTAAAGAGTCCCTATCATTATATTTGAAGCTCTACGAAGATCAATGGAGAGGTCAAAAGGTGAGAATTGTGCAGAGACAGTCCTGGTAGATCAAAGGCTTAACAGCCATTCCTACCTAAATTTCAGAATATTTAAAATGATCTGTAAACACTTTTAAGGGAAAAGAAAAGAAAAAGTGCCACCTGTACTTGTGCTGTTAAGCACAGGGCTGACTAGGGTCTTGCCCAGTGCAGTGACATGCAGTAAGTGCTAAATAAATATTTACTAAACAATATGGTGGTACTGTGGGCATTGCATCTTAAGAGGGATGTCAACAACTGGGAGCACATCTAGTAATGGATGCTGAAGGTAACAAGCAGTCTGTTAACAGAAAAAAAAAAACAATCTCTGTAAAGAATTTTAAAGAGATTTATTCTAAATAGCTAGTATGAGTGACCATAGCCCCGGGAAGCAGTCTCAAGAGGTCCCAAGTAAGTGTGCCTGAGGCAGTTGAATTAGTTTGGTTTCATACATTTTAGGAAGCCAAGAGTTACAGGCAAAGATATAAATCAACGTATGGAAGGTAGACATTGGTTTGGCCCAAAAAGGTGAGGTATCTTGAAGCAGGGGTTCACAGGTAATAAGTGGATTCAGAGATTCTTTAATTGGTAATTGGTTAAAGGAGTAAGGCTCTGTCTAAAAGTTGGAGTCAGAGGAAAGGAATGTTTTAAGTTAAGATATGGATGCTATGAAGCAAGACTGATGGCGTGCTGGCATAACTTAACACTTGCCTGGCATAGCCTTATGTCTTGTTTATAATTTGATATCTTATTGCCACAAAGAGTCTGTTTTGTTAGTTTTCTAATGTCTATTTTAACATCAGTGCTGATCAGTTGTGCCTAAACTCCAAAAGGAAAGGGGTGTAATGAGGCATACCTGAACTCCCTTCCCATCTAGGACAAGAACTCAGATTTTCAGGCTTTTCTGGGGGTCAGTCCCCTTGACCAAGAGGGGTTCTGTTCAGTTAGTTGGATGGATTAGGATTTTATTTTTAGTTTACAAATCTAAGGACCATGTCAGGTGAGAATCATTGAAAGAACTGAATTTATTAAGCCTGAGGGAAAAGATGAATTTAGTGGCATGACACCTTTCTGTAAAAATTCATGTGACTTTGATATGGAAGTGATATTAGAATCAGTCTCCCCATGGCAGGACAGGCCCATGGAAGGAAGTTTAAGAGGGAAAGATAAGGAATCTTCTCATTTAATCCAGCAAAACAAAAAACATTTCTTAAGCATATGTTCTATGTTGCAACACTGCGCTAGATGCTAGGGTACAAAAATACACAGGACATGATAACAGTTCTCAAGGTGTTTTAAATGAGACAGAATAGAAGAGGCCAATAGCTACAAAATTAAAAGCGATAAAGTGTGATAAAGTAATGTAAATAGCGTGCTAAGGGAAGACAGAGATGTGGTGATTAGTACATTTAAATGTGGTTAATCAGTTCATGGGTTACCTGAAAAGCTACTGCAATCCCCAACACAGGTATTGAAGTCAAATCTCAATTGGACCCAAGTGCATTTGGAAGTGTACAATAAACACACTTGGGTAAAAGCTGATTGCATTTTGAAAAAACAGGAAGTAAGATGACGTATTTCCAAGAATGTTTTTGCTTAATGTGCTTCATTCTAAAAGAACGTGGAATCAATAAACAATAAACAAAACTAATACCCTGACCATATATAAAGTATGGGTTGTCAGTGTATGATCCATGATGTAGATTGGAGGTTGACAAACAATGGCCCATGGGTCAAATCCAGCTTCCTCCCTGTTTTTGTAAGTAAAGTTCTGTGTGACACAGCCATGTTCATTAGCTTATGAATTACTTGACGATTTTCACACAACAAGTACAAATTTCAGTAGTTTGCAGAAGACCTTGTAGTCTGAAAATCCAAAATATTCACTATCTAGTCGTTCACAGAAAAAGTAAGCCGACTGCTGGTCAAGATGCTCACCTGTTAGCCACGTTGAAAAAGGGGTTATTGGGTTAACTATTGGATGAGATTATTTTAAATTTTATGTGACACTTTAAAATTATAATTACTGTGTATTTTTATTGTTTGATTTGGAGCAAATTGTTTTGCTAATGTAGATAGCATGTTTTTATCTTTTAACAAATAAAGAACAATACTAACTTCCTAAGAGTGATTAAATTCTCAGTGCAATCAATCCCATTCAATTGGATCATGTTTATTTTTACTTCCAATCTAAAAATTACATTGTAAATCTACAGATTACTTGGGTTTCACCACCATCTCCACTAAAAGGTACACTGAAATTGATTAGAAAATAGTTGAAATGATGATAGTGCTGTATCAACAGGACCTATATGATGAGATAATGCTTGCTGGATATTTAATGTTAAATTAATGAGGATTATGCAACCATTACTACTCTTAGAGTGCCAGTAATAGATGTTTTATTATTATGTGAGAAGAGAGATTCCGTCTTGTCACTATTTTGCTTGTACACTAATTGGTGTGGCAAAGCTTCCTGAAGAAGTGAATGCTGAGGTGTATTTTGAATGCAGGCAAGGAAGTATGAATTGGAAACTACATTTCTGAGTTAAAGTAACTAATATTATAACATTAGAAAAGTTCATTCATCTATGTCTCATCATTCATAGCCATCCTCTCATAAATATAATGCTCTTCATAGAAATGTGGGAACAAGTTCTCTTGTAGGCAGCTGTGGCAGTCAGCCTTCAAAATGACCCCGATGATGCTCACCTCCTGGTATTCATACCCTTGTGTTGTGTCTTCTCATATCAAATAGAGCTGTCTTGTATGATCAACAGAATACTGCAAAAATGATGACATGTGATGTCTTCGGCTAGTTCATAAAAGACATTGAGACCTCCACTTTGCTATCTTGGATCACTTATCACAGGGAAGCCAGCTGTTATTACATAAGGATAGTCAAGAAGCCTTAGGGCAAAGTGTTATGTCAAGGAAATGAAGCCTTTTGCCAAGAGCCAACATCAACACTCCAGATACACAAGTGAGCAACCTTAAAAGTAGATTCTCTAGTCCCAATCAAGCTTTCAGGTGATTGCAGATAGCTTAACTATAACCTCATGACAGACCCTAAGCCAGAATCGAATAATTATTCTACTCACAAATCCATAATCCACAGAAGCTGAAAGATGATAAATGTTTATTATTGTTTTAAGCCACTAAGTTTTGGGATAAATTGTTATGCATATTAGGTGACTAATATAGCAGCAGCACCCCTTGTTGAATAATTATGTAGCCCTGCTTCACTGAAGGGATTTGTCCACATGAAATAGCCCATGGCATCTTGGAACAGAAGGCCCCAGCCCAAAAGCCATATAGCAACTTCATGCAAAATAGATGCAGGCCATCTCTCTGTGTACATTCAAGCCTATCAGGGTTCCCGGATTAATGTCTGAATGTTGCAAAGGGAAATGCTTGGACTAAGAGACTGGCAAATACACTAGCTCTACTCATTTGAAGACATGTGACATGGAGCATGGCACATAACTTCTAAACATCATTTCAGTAAAACTGAAATTAGTCTTCTCCTTGTTCCAAGTGTTATGATCAAATAAGTGAATTCATGCAAAAACATCTTTGAAATCAGTAAAGAGTAAGAGAGTAAGAGTCCATATTAATAATTGGTACTCCTCAGCACCTAGTTTAAAAGGCGTAAGCTGGCTCCTGCTTGTGTATTTTTATCTGCCTATAAGACTGTCCATTTTTGTTGGTCTGAATTATTGGACATATGTGGAGCTCATAAAATTGTCTTCCATGCCTTGATGTTTGCATATGTACTATATTTATTTGCTCTGTTTTAGCTCTGAACCCACAGAAAAAAAACAGGCCTTCCTTACCTATACTAATTGTCCTCATGTTTCCCCCTTAACCATGTTCAAGCCGGCTTGCCATATCTATCCAATATAAGAAGAATCCTGATCTTCCACTCTTGTTCATCTCTGGACCTGTGCTAGGAACCACCCGATGTTAAATTAAATAAAGAATTAAAAGCAACACACTTTCTAGTACATGTTGTTCATATCATCATGGATGTAAAAGAAATACAACATTTTATAAAGGTAATTCAGCCCATATTTATTACTCAATTTATTCCTTTGTGTAATATCACTAATAATATAAATCCCACTAATATTTGTACTCTGTATCAGGGACGATTCTAGGTGCTAGAAATAGAGTAGTGAAAAGAGCAAAAGCTCTATCTTCACAAGACTTTTAGTTTAGTGAGTGGGTACAGGCAATAGATAAACTGCATCAAACACACAGCATAATAGACAGTGTTATCAAGAAAACAGAAGAAGGGAATGATTGCAGGGAGTACATGGAAGTGCAATTTTAAATAGAGTTGACAAAAAGTCTTCATGGAGAAAGTGACATTCAAGCAAAGATCTGGTGGAAGTAAAAAATGCCACATGAATATCAACGGAAATGCAAGTGTCAGGAGAGGAAACATCCAATGCAAAGGCTCTGATGTGGGAGCATGTCCGATTTGTTTAAAGAAGAGTAAGGAAGCCAATGTGGTTGAAACAAAGTGAGCAAGGTGGAATTGTAGCAGATGAGGCCAGAGGTTTTAACAGGAGTCTAGATCGTTTCCGATAACTTGGCTTTTTTTTTTTTTTTTTTTTTTTTTTTTTTTTGAGACGGAGTCTCGCTCTGTCGCCCAGGCTGGAGTGCAGTGGAGTCTCAGCTCACTGCAAGCTCCACCTCCCGGGTTCACGCCATTCTCCTGCCTCAGCCTCCCGAGTAGCTGAGACCACAGGTGCCTGCCACCACGCCCAGCTAACTTTTTGTATTTTTAGTAGAGACAGGGTTTCACCGTGTTAACCAGGATAGTCTTGATCTCCTGACCTCGTGATCCACCTGCCTCAGCCTCCCAAAGTGCTGGGATTACAGGCGTGAGCCACCGCGCCCGGCCATAACTTGGCTTTTACTTGAGATGACATGGAAAGCCTTTGAAGAATGATGAGCAGAGAGTTGATCTGATCCAATTTATGTTTATAAAAAGCTATGGACAGTTGTGATAAGAACAAACTGAAGGGGTTCATGGCAGATGCTGGCGGACTGGTGGAGAGGCTTGAGAATGATAGTAGTGGATTGGACAGGGGTGGTAGAAGAAGATATGGTGAGAAATGATGATATTCTGGATATATTTTGCAGACAGAGCCATAACAATTCGCTGACAGACTGATTTATGGTATTAGAGAAAGAGGATGATTCAAGGAATTTTGGCATGAGCAACTGGAAGGATGGAATTGTCTCTAAGTGATGAGAAAGACTGAAGAAAAATCAGCTTTTAGAATGAAGAATATAAGGAATTTATTTCTGAATATGTTAATATTGAGATGTCCATTAGACCATTAGACGTCCAGGTGAAAATGTCAAATAGGCAGTTAATTATGCAAGTTGGAAATTCAAGGATGAGTTCTCGGTTCATTTAGGATTAGTCAAGATTTGATTATCTTAAAGTTGATATTTTATTAAACCTAAAGCTCAAGTGTGAATTAAAAACAAAAGACGGAACCCTGGAACACTTTAATTTTAGATAGGCACACAGAGGAGATATCAGCAAAAGAGCTTGAGAATGAGCAACCTGTAACTCAGGAGGAAAACCATGACAGTGGAGTATCTTGAAAGCCAAGTGAAGACAGCATTTTCAGGACAAGAGGCCCTTCAACTCTGTCCAATGCTGTTGATAGACCAAAGATGGTACTAAGAATAGGCACAATGCAGAGGTATTGGTAACTTTGACAAGAGTGATTTCAATGGAGTTGTAAGCATGAAAGCCTGACTATGGTGAATTCAAGGAAAATAAAGGCAAGGAAATTAGAGAGTGCTGGTGAAAACTGTTTTGAGAAGTTTTCTTTTAAGTAATGGAAAAATCTAGTGTGGTAACCAGGGAGAGGTGAAAGATCTAAGGAGAATTATTTTAAGGTGGGAGATACATAGAAAATTTGATTTATGAGAACAATTTCAATAGAGAGAAAAGAAACAATGACACAGCAAAGAGAGATTTTCTTAAGCAATATACTTGAGTGGGCACACAGAAACTGGCACATAGATGGAAGAATTGGCCAGTGCTTACAGTAGAGATAGGCTTCAGGAACAGACACAGTTCACAGGCTCTGGTAATGATGGACAAATGTGCTTGCTGAGGCTTTCTGTAATTCTCTTTTGAGTGCTTCAATATTCTCAGAAAAATAGCATGTTGGGTCATGGACTGAGAATAAGCAGAAAGGAGTAGGTGTTGAAGATTTGAAGAGAGGAAAGACAATTTGAAATAGTCATCAAGGAAAATGGGAGAGTGACTAGATTAGGAAACCACAACGTGAATTCTAGGCATCATTAAAAGCTCACTTTAAATTTGTGGTCATGTTTAAAGTGATGTGGTGTGCTTTTCTCCAGCCAGCTTTCTACTGGGCAGAAGTAGAAGGGAGACAAGTTAGATGTATATGTGACACACACTGGCTTTGCCGAGAGAGTACAACAAAGACAAAAGCTTATGTTCCAAAGTCTAGTCAGATGGGAAGGAAAACAATGGTACACAATTTTGACAATAAGATAGTGACTCTGGTAACAAATGTAAACTTGTCAAGCTGACAAAAATATTTTCAAAATAAGAAGCAACATAATAAAGTGGAATGGACACTCTACTAGACTTGCATTCTAGTATTATTCCCCCGACTGTTTGCTCAACTTATTTGGGCTTTAATTTTTCATTGATATAAACTGAGAAGGTCATACCAGATAAATTTGAAGGCCCTGACTCCAAAATTCCAATATACTAGCCTACTGACAAGGTAAATAATCAAATGATTTTGTATACATTAACTTTCTTTTCTACTTACTCTATTTCTGGGTATTTGAAAATTATATTTCTTTATGTAATTACAAATTGGAGCTCTAAATAAATAATATAAATAAACATTGCTTTTATATGAGAATGCATTTGAAAGAATGAAACAAAATAAATGCTTATCCCTGTTGCGGGAAGTCAGGGACCCCGAACGGAGGGACTGGCTGAAGCCATGGCAGAAGAATGTGGATTGTGAAGATTTCATGGACATTTATTAGTTCCCCAAATTAATACTTTTATAATTTCTTACGCCTGTCTTTACTGCAATCTCTAAACATAAATTGTGAAGATTTCATGGACACTTATCGCTTCCCCAATCGATACCCTTGTGATTTCCTACACCTCTCTTTACTTTAAACTCTTAATCCTGTCATCTCGTAAGCTGAGGAGGATGTATGTCGCCTCAGGACCCTGTGATAATTGCATTAACTGCACAAATTGTACAGCATGTGTGCTTGAACAATATGAAATCTGGGCACCTTGAAATAAGAACAGGATAACAGCAATGTTCAGGGAACAAGAGAGATAACCTTAAACTCTGACCGCCAGTGAGCTGGGCGGAACAGAGCCATATTTCTCTTCCTTCAAAAGCAAATGGGAGAAATATCACTGTATTATTTTTCTCAGCAAGGAACATCCCTGAGAAAGAGAATGCGTCCCTGAGGGTGGGCCTCTAAAATGGCCCCCTTGGCTGTGGCCGTCTTTTATGGTTGAGCTGTAGGGATGAAATAAGCCCCAGTCTCCCATAGCGCTTCTAGGCTTATGAGGACGAGGAAATTCCCACATAATAAATTTTTGGTTAGACCGGTTGTCTGCTCTCAAACCCTGTCTCCTGATAAGATGTTATCAATGACAATGCATGCCCGAAACTTCATTAGCAATTTTAATTTCACCCCGTCCTATGGTCCTGTGATCTCGCCCTGCCTCCATTTGCCTTGTGATATTCTATTACCTTGTGAAGCATGTGATCTCTGTGACCCACACCCTATCTGTACACTCCCTCCCCTTTGAAAATCACTAATAAAAACTTGCTGGTTTTGAGGCTTGTGGGGCATCACGGAACCTACCGACATGTGATGTCTCCCCCGGATGCCCAGCTTTAAAATTTCTCTCTTTTGTACTCTGTCCCTTTATTTCTCAACCCGGCCGACGCTTAGGGAAAATAGAAAAGAACCTACGTGACCATCGGGGGCATGTTCCCCGATATATACCAAACAAAAAGGATAGAAAATATATATATTCCCCCATTCCAAAAGAACAGCATTTTCCTATCTTTCAACCATTACTGAGAAATTTACTGGTCAGCATTATAACTGATTTCTTATTAATATATAATTAATATAGACCATAGAAAAGAATAATGAAAGGAAAAATGCATAGTATACAGAAAAGGTGGTATAACATTAAATAAAATGAAAAAACAATGTCAACCATTTCTGGAAAAACTTTGGTTGTAAGATTTTATCCTCTATCCATCAAAAGTGTCAGTTCTGAAATAAGTGCTGTTCTTGAGAGTGCTTACAGCATCATAGCTAAAAACTCATCTTTAATACTAACCTTTATGTTTGTTTCCATTAAACATTTTTTAGTTTTGCAATTGAAGTGGAGAAATATAAGAACCAAGTTGGTCGTAGATGATGTATAAAATAATAGACATTTCTCTTCATCTGTAATTCAAAGAGTAGATAGTAAATATTAATATTGTGACTAAATATTAATTATCCATTGCTATGTAGCTATTGCTATTACCCCACAGCTTTAATATCTAAAAACAGCTTTACGCATTTGTTATTTCTCAGTTTCCATGGGTCGTAAATTCAGGAGTAGTTTGGATGAGCAGTTCTGGCTTTGGATTTCCTGTGATGTTACAGCCAGATGTGGGTTAAGCCTGCAGTCAAGTGAATACCTGACTAAGGAAGAAGTATCCAGTTCCATGTTGGCTCACTTTTATGACTGGTAAATCGACACTGGCTGTTGTAAGGCCTTGCTTCTTCTCCATATAAACCCTTTTCAAGGAAGTTGAGTGTCCTCACAGTATGGCAACTGGTCTCCTTCAAAAGTGATACAATAGAACTAGAGCCAAGCAAAAGCTATCCTTTTTATAACCTATTATGCCTTTTATAATCACATAGCAAGATTTCCAGCATATTCTAGCTGTTAAAAGTGGGTCACAAGTCCAGCCCACATTCAAGAGTAGAGAAATTACGCTTCCTTTTTTAAAGGAAGGAATAGTAGTGAGTTTGCAGAAATATTTTCAAATTATCAAGAGTACATGGTAGATTGATTTCCCCATTTTTTAAATTGAGTGATAATTCTTTTAGTCTTATGTCTAAGAAATTCTTTTAAAAATATTTGATATTTTCAGAAAATTGATTTTCCTTCCATTTTTCTTTCTCATTTTTCTCTTTATCTTCCTCCTCCTCCTTCTTCTAAAATCGGTTACTCAATTGATCACCTCAGCTCTCTGTTTTGGAATCTAGTAGATATAGCCTAACTGTTTCTTCCAAGGTCACCAAACCACATGTGGGACCCAGTTTAAGTTTTCCAAGTGACAGATTTGCTCATATTATTTTTAGTTATTTTGAAATAACCTATTGATGACAGCAGCTTGGCTTTCATTCCTAGGCTCTGTGATTGTAAATGTAAGATTCAGGGAAGTGAGTTTCTTGTGAATATGAGATAGATACTCGGGTGAGGGGGAGAATTTATGAAAACTTAAAGTGACAAGGTCATAGAGAGAATTTTGGCACCCACATAGTATAAACACGGTGCATGATGTGGTGAAAGAAACTGAATTGATGACTAGATAATGCACTACAGACCTTTCAAATAGCAACAGCAAAAGTCATTTTTTCTTTTATTTCTTATTTATTTTAATTAATAATGTATGATGGTGATCTCAGCAGTTTAGCACAGCAAGTTCCCATTCTCTCATTTTATGTCTGCAGTACAGAGATGTGACTCTGCTGTCAATATAGGTTGTGGCATTTGTTATATAAGAAAAACCAAAACCATATTTAGTGTGGCTAACTTTTTGAATCTCTCTACATCAAAAGGATAAATTGTTGTCTGTGCTAAGAGATGATGTCACCCCATGGCTTGTTTAAAATAAGAGGCAAAGTTGTATAGTGAGCACAGGCAAGGAGTAAAAGAGTCATTCTCTGCATATAACAAAACATAGAAAGCAAAGAAAAAATATTTCAGATTTTCATGTATATCATATATGTAAAATAGCCTATTGAAGAAGTATAAAATATATTCAGCCCTGCATAACTACAACGTGTACTATTACTATATTTCACATTTAACTTCCAGTAAATTATTTTTTGAAAGCTTAAATGTTTAGCCAAGACCAGCAAACTTTTTCAAATATTTAAATATCTTTGCTACTCTCAAGCTAGATTTATGCTATACTTTCCATCTGAATTACAATGCACATGGATCAAAGACTGGCATCAAAAGAACTTTCACTGGCAGTGAAGGTCAGAAACTTCAAAAATAGCACTAATAGAATAAGAAAGTAACAGAAAAGTGCTATCCAAGGATGGCTGTGTTTAGTGTACATCCAGGCAGCTGAGGAATTTTTCTGTAGTTTAGTTATGAAGTACATATTCTTACTCCAACTTGTATTTGAAGAATTTTTAAGTGATTTTTTTCAGAAAAAAACTCCAATCCCAATTATTAAAAAGTAATATGATTCTCAGTGTTTATTCTGTTATTTACAAAAATAGTAATGCCCTGTGAACATAAAAGCAATAACTTTTTATTTTAGAAAAGTACATTTTAATGTAAGAACTTAATGTAATTGACTTTGTGACTTATGGAAAATAAATTACCAACTGATTATTGATTTTTAGGCTCATCTTCCTGTATAAGGCTCTGGATGTTAAGAGAATTCTGGAAATTGAAAGGATTCATTTAAGTATTTCTAAATAAAACAATAGTAACCTTTTTTAGCAGAGGGCTAAACCAGACCAGTATTTCCCAGAAGGTGGGTTTTAGATACTGCAACATTTTGTGGAAGAAGAAAATACCTGAATTAAATGAAAATTTTATCAGCCAGAAAATTGTTCTAGAACAAAAATGAAAATTTCAAAGTTTTAGATTGTTCCCAAAACCCCAGAGGGTAAATCTCATTGCCTTTTTCCCCCCTCAATCTTTTCTAACATGAAACAATGAAAGAGCTAAGATGTTTAAGAGAGACAATAGAAGCGAAGCCCCATCTGAGTTTTGTCAGACTAGGTAAGAGCTGAGTCAGTTGCTACAAGACGACACTGCCAAACAAAGCCAGCCGATAAAAGGAAAGCTTTCCTTTTTGAGTGTGAGTTTCTAAATAAAATCTTTTCACGATTTGGCTGAGTATGGAAGTTCGCTAGAATCTCTGTAGCCCACAGGGAACTGGACAGGAAACAGTTACCTTGTGAAGTTTTGTATCATTGCAAGTGGATTGGAGAATGGAGGTGCTATTTTAGACTGCAATTCAAGAAGTATCATAGAAGGTATAGGGTCAAAATCAACCTAAAATTTTTCTTTCAGAGAAGGGGTTTTTGAGGAAATCAGTGTAGCTCTTCAGTAATGACATACTGAATGGTGACATATACAGCCACTCTTTGTCTTCAGCAGGCCTGAGGCGAAGTGGAAAAAGGACACCTGTCAAGCCTGGCTCTGAAACACAGCACGTGAGAGCAAGAGCAAGTTTCTCTGTGGCTAAGTCTGCTCTGAGTGACATTCAATAGGAGGAGGTTGTCATTGGTTGTGCAGCGGAAGTGCAGCAGGAGAATAGGATCTGGAGGCAGGGAACCTAAGGCCAGTTCAAGCTGACTTCCTAGAACTGGATCAAATGGAAAACCCCACCTCTCCATGCCTAAGTAACAAAAGGATCAGAGGCCACTTCTTTTGCAACCCCTCACCTTTATGCATCACAGATGAAAAATGGAAAGTACCTCTGATTGGTACCCTCCTGCAACCAATCAGATTGGTCACGAGCCAACTCTATAGGGGTGGTACCTTTGTAATTTCACTTCAGCCTCTGATTGGTTGCCTCCCACAACCAATCAGACTGGCCACGTGCCAGGTCTTCATTTACATAGAATGTAACCAAGGAACCAATGGGAAACCTCTAGAGGGTATTTAAACCCCAGAAAATTCTATAGCCAGGGCTGGTAAGCCACTTGCTGAAGCTGGCTCCCACTCTATAGAGTGTACTTTTGTTTTAATAAATCTATGCTTTTGTTGATTCATTCTTTTATTGCTTTGTTAGTGCATTTTGTCCAATTCTTTGTTCAAAATGCCAAGAACCTGGAGGACTCATCGTCAAGGCCCTCCTTCACCAGTAACAGAAGGAGAAAAAACAACAATGGAATTTACCACAGCTTAAGGACCAAATCTTCACCTGAGTTTCAAGAACCTTGTAAGCCTCAAAGATTCTCATTATTGGAAATCAGAGTAAAACTCGTTTTCAAATAATAATAATATGGTACTTCTTGCTCCCAAGGTTTAGGGAGCAAAAACTTGTTCATTAAATACATAAATTATTCTTAGTACACTGTAAAAGGCTTTCTGTCTGAGTATGGCGTGGGTTTTATCTGTACATGAAAACAACCTTACAACTTCAGAGATTTGAAATGGACAAACTGAAGTGTTTTCTCTTGTGATCAAAAAAAAAAAAAGAGTAAAATGGCAACATTATGGTGTATATCAGAAATAAAAAAGATTTCTGTCAACTTGTATAGAATAAATTATATAATAAAATAAAGAAATGGCAGTCTGTGATTCTCTGCCCCTCAGATCTCTGAGAAGAAAGCAAAGACAATGAAGTTCTTAGTAGAAGACAATATACCCAAGGAAGTTGGACAGCCCTCAGCAACCTTCGTGTGATGCACCTTCCTTGTCTCTTTCTAATGTTTTTTGCTTTTTTTCTTTTTTTTCCTTCTCTTCTGTCAACCCTTAATTTCATTTCTTTAAAATGTTTGTTAAGTCTTTATCTTTTAGGTATTAGATTTATTGTAACGTTATCACTTTTTAAAAAATCTCCCTAACTTTTGCTTTTTTTCTTAAGTATTACTTCATTCTAAAATATTAAATCTTTAGCCTTATAATTTTCCATATTTTAGCCTCTTGTTTTAATTTTAATTTTCTCTTTCTCACTTAAACCAATTGTTTGGTTTACAATGTTGCTTCTATTTTGATTTACAACTGTCCCTTTTTTTTGTAACCATATTTCTCTCCTCATAAATTTATCTGCTCTTTATTTTTATGATTTCTTTTGATGATGACTGAACAGTGAAGCGAGTGGCTACCATGTATAAGAGGATAGCAAGTCTTCCTGTTCTGATGTGTGCCACCTTTATTTTCAAAGCCTTGTTGTTTATTTGTTTTTGTTTAAAGGGTGTTTTTGTATGAATGGTGTGATATAGACATACAATTTAATTTTGTTCCATACACAGAATTAATTATCCCAGTGCTATTTACGCAATAGTTTTGCCCCAACGATGTCTAGTACCACCTCTGTTATATGTCATATTTTCATATCAATGTCAGTTTCAGGACTCACTATATTTTTATTGATTAATTTTTCTGAAATTAGAAATATATGTATTTCTATATATGTTCTATCTATATCTATATGTCTACATATATATGGGGAGAGTCATATAAAGTTATATTTAGCTACCTGCCTACAGATACACACACGCAGCTATATAGATATCTACATATATATGGAAAAACTATAAGGAAAATCAAGAGAAGTCAAGATTGTGATTCAAGGAGGGAGTTGGGAAAGGGACACATCTCAGGGGAGCACACAGGGGATCTCAAAGGCCACTAATATTGGGCCTATTTCTTAAGCTCAGTAGGAAGCACAGGTTGAGCATCCCTAATCTGGAAATCTAAAATCCAAAATGCTCCAAAATCTGACACTTTTTGAGCACCAACATGGCACCATAAGTGGAAAATTTCACACCTGACCTCATGTGATGGGTCTCAGCCAAAAGGCAGTCAAAATTTTATTTCATGCACAAAATCATTAAAAATGTTATATAAAATTACCTTCAGGCTATGTGTGTAAAGTGTATATAAAACATAAATAAATTTGTGTTTAGACTTGGTTTCATCCTCAAGATATCTCATTATGTATATGAGAATATTCTAAAGTCTGAAAAAGTTCAAAATCCAAAACACTTCTTGTTCCAAGCATTTCGAATAAGGGATACTCAACCTGTATTAATAACCATTACATTGTACATGTATACTATATATACATACCTTTCATACATATGCTTTATTTGTCAACAGTAAATACATGAGCACAAATATAATGTATTATTCATATTTACTAAAGTGAAGAATTCATGTGGAATCCAAGGTAGAGTTTAAGAGGGGAAAGTAAAATCCTACTGTGTTCAGGTAAGTTTCAGCTGGTTGTGAAGTATCTAAGTTGAGATAGGTATTCATTCCTGGAGCTCAAAGGAGCAGTCTGCTGTAAACATGAGTTTGGGAATCTTTAGCTTGCAATCGGTATTTAGCCAATGAATAAGTGTGGAGAAAAAGAAGATGGCTTAAGGTTGAACTGTGAAGAAAACTTTTCTTCAGAATTAAGAAAGAAAACTCTAACCAAGAGACAGCAAAAATTTCTGCCAATGAAGTAGGAGAAGGCTGTTTCAGGGAAGCTCGAGGGGCAGGGGGGTCATCTTTCAAAAGAAAGCCAATGAACAATTGTGGTAAACTGTGTTGAGATATCTAGGAAGACAGTTTCAAAGAAAGGGGTCACTGCACCTTTGAAAGGAGCAGAGAAGGTGCTGGGCTTCTCTAAGAAATTCTTCACAAAATGTACGTCTTCTTTCCTCAAATACAATAAAACCTAGGATAAAATTTAAAAATAGTGGCCAAACAAGTGGTAATAACAACCTAAATCAGTAAAGGTGGAAAAGAAGTCTGAGATTTTATAGAGAGTGAGAAAAGAGAGCATGGAATAGATCCTATCCCCCAGGTCCCAAAATCACAAGACTTTGAGCAATATCTCAAAGTCTTAAATGAAACAACCAAAGGTAGTACATTCATTTTCTCTTCTTCTCACCATGAAGCAAAAGAAACAACATCTGGAAAGATTGCTGTAAAGTAGAAACAGAGGATGACCTCTTCAGAAGAAAAGACTTCTGGACTACACATTCCGTAAGAAAAGTAATCTAAAGTCACATGGGTACAGAGTGGACCCAGTTACGGAAGATTTACCGAAGGCTGAGGAAGCTTAAGCTTCAGGCTTCCCGTACTGACATGAGTCTCTTCTAAGACTTTAAACCTAATTTTATATTCAGAATTTTGCATTATTTTCCTTAATGAAGGCACTTACATTTTTATAAACTCACTAAACCTCAATTCACCATTGTCTCTAACTAGGAAAAGTAAACTTTTGTATGGTACACGCGCACACACACACACACACACACGCAAAATTCATAAAGGGAAAAGCAGAGATCCTGCTGCAAATGACATTGCCACCACCTTCACTCCCATTTTGTTCTCTATCCCACAAAAATTGGATAAAGACAATATCTCCAGACTTTACACCACGTATCTTAGAGAAAATAAAACAATGCTGGCCTCAATACTGTGGGAAGAGAGCCTAATTACTAACCCAATTATCGAAACAAATAGAGTGTTTAGGCAGAGACAACAGGGTATAAATGAGACAGATACAAGGAACTGGCATGACAATTAAGCAAGCATACTAAGGCAAAACTATTTAAGAAAGAAAGTATGGAAACGAAAGAAAAAGAGCACATCCAATAAGGAAACATAGCTTGAGATACAGAAGGAAATTCTTTAGAATTGCTTCACATAGCAGAACAAATTAGGAAAAATATGATTTCTATAAAATAGAAGCTCCAAGGTAAAACAATATAAGAAAAAACAATTTGACTATAATTGCAAATGTAAGGGAAAAATGAAGATTAAATTGTTGTGATAGAATTAATACATTAGAAAACACAAAAAACAAAAATTACTCAGCTAAAAATAAAATTGCTAACATGGTGGAAGCGTTTGAGATCATCACAGTATACACAAAAAAGATTAAAGAAATTAGAAACAGACAAATTGGACACAAAGGATAGAGCAAGATAAGCCAACATAAGTATCAATTTGTGTTCTTAAAGTAAAAAGCAAAGCAAAACAAAAGATCGAATAGAAGATTATTGTAAAATTTAATGCAAGAGAATTTCTCTGATAAACAAATAACTGAATCTGCAGTTTGAAGGAAAACACTGCTCCAGGGTAATTTGATATAGAAATCTCAATATCAAGCTATAAGCTAAGTTAGATATTTAAGTATTATTTCTTAAAAGGCTTTTTTGGGCATCTTAAATTAAAAAACAAATCACGTATAATAGGAGAAAATCAGTGACCTGCCAAAGTTCTCTTCAGCAACCTTCAAAGCCAGAATACAATGAAGTGATTTCTACAGAGTTCTTAGAATAGTGTGTGACCCAAAAGATTACACCCAGCCAAAGTATCAGTCATAGTATAATGGCCATAGACATATCAGATTTGAAAAATATCAAAGAATATACAACCTACAAACCCTTCTCGACAAAAATTTGGACAAAGCAATTTAGCAAATTAAGAGAAAGCTCAAATAGAAAACTCAACATAAGCACAAAGTGATTGATGGTAAACATTAACCAAATAAAATAGAAAAACAAATCAGAACAATGTTAAAAGTCATCATTTCTATAGAAGAAATAAGTAATAAATATACAGTGTATATAACAATATAGACACACAAATTAAAGGTAACAAAATTCAAGTAAAATAAAACTATTTTATATAAAAGAACTCAGACAGTATAATTTTATTTTAAAAAATAATTTATCAGTCATTTGTTTATGTACAGAATGACATATATGTTTGCTTTGTGTACATGAAGGTAATTTTTGAGGAGTGTTATTCAGATTTTTTTAAACTTTCATTTTTATAATTTCTGTGCATAATCTGAAAACGTTATAATTAGCATTTATCACTTTTGCAGAAACAAAGTGATTTGTAAAAAATAAAAAATAATAATGAAACACAAAAGCAAAAACCTCACAATGTTAAATATCATTAATTACAAATGGTAGAAATGTAAATTATTATTTTCTTCTTTGTGTTTTTCTACAATGTTCTGGTTCCCTCACCCCATCCTACTGTCAAAACATTATACAACCAATGCATGGAAGTAAGGTGAGTAAATGTAAGAAAGAGGATAAATGTAGAAAATTATTTGAAAAGGTTTGGTGATGAATAAGACAGAGAAAAGGCCATAATGGAAAGGACATGTGGACTTAAAATAGGGTTTTTATTAAAATAGAGGAAACTAGAGAATGTTTCTATTCTGATGTGAAGGATCCTATGTATCTAGAACATTGATACTGAAGGTGATAATGGAGGTAACAAAGTGAAGGAAAACAGTTTTCTAAAGAGGTTATAAAGGATGGAACCCAGAGCACTAGCAGTGACTGTCCTTGAAAATAAGGAGCCCAGTTATTCTGTTGCAAAAGAAAGGAAGAAGAGAAAAACAGGCACAAATATAAGCAGGTTGCAAGTTTAGGGATGGAAAATATAGAGAATCTAATTTTGGTGGTTTCAGTTTTCTTGATGAATTAAGTAACAACTTCATTGTCTGAGAATCCAGTAGGAAGAGAGGATATTAGATTACTTGGAATAAATAATAGCAGTTATTTTTAAAATTAAAAAATTCACAAAATGTTTAACGTGCCACTTTTCCAGAAGGTTAAAGAAACAAAAATGTATTTATTGTGTACACAAAATTCAACGAGTATTCCTAATGGTCAAGTTATCTTCCTCATGGTCACTTATGACCCAGTTCTTTCCAGCCTGTGACTTTACCGTCTTTCAGTTCTTCAGAATCTTCTTTATTCAGTCAGCAGATAAAGAAAGAGGATTGTGTGTAGAAGATATTTTTGTGGGTCATTTCTGAAAGTGATGGATATAACATTTGCCTATATTTCACTGGATGGAACTCAGGAAAATGGCTACATCTAACTGCAAAAGACGCTGGAAAATGTAGTCAGTTTGTGAGACCAGGAGAAAGAGGAAATTGGAGAGAAGCTAACTAGTTTCTGCTTCTGATGAATAATTAAATGTTTGATAACCAAGAAAGTGGTGTGAAACAATTTCAGATAGTAAGGAAATCAGCCAACTTGACATATAATATGATCGCTGGGCCATGATGACTATAAGTCAAAAATGTATTAAGTTAATAAGCTTAAATATGTAATCAAAATGTATAGGAGAACCCTTTGGCTCAGTTGGGTAATTTCCTCCAAGCTTTGCAGTTCATACTAGACACAGAAAAGAGAGGTGGTAGGGTTCACCCAGAGCTAGTTTTTTTCCTAGGTGAGTAAAACAGAGGGAGAAACAGACAACTAACTGAAAATATTTGCAAAAAAAGGAAAACTGTTTATGGACCATAGAAGCAAGGCAGATCTAAGAAGCTGATGGATATTTTAAAAGTGATGAAGTCAATGCATTGGGAAGCTTAGTGAAGCCAGATATTTGTGGCCATAGAAATATTTGACAGAAGAGCTTTTGAAATAAAGTTCTTTGCCTCAGAGTGGATTACTTTGGGTCTCATTTTTTAGTCTGTTGATAACAGGGCTTGTGAATATTATCACAAAAGGAAAAGGCAGCAATAGAATAAATGTAAAGGTCACTGGAAGACAGGATGTCAGGGAGCTGAGAGGCCAGGGGATAAGATTTGTACATATTAAAGTTATCAAGAAAAGTGACTTGAGTTAAAATGAAAATCAAGTTTGAGTCTGTCATGAACAAACTTGGTGAAAAGTCAGTTGTTAGATGACAGCAGAAATGAAATGCATAAGGTATTTTATCCAGAGTCATGAATCTCAAAAAAATGAATTCAAGGAAGTAATGGATTATAAGTTAACAATGGCAAGTAAGAAATTCTAAGAAATATACCTAGATCCTGTGGTAGGTAAGAAGTGAAACAACCTCAACTTATTAAAAAGAAGAAGAATTGAACCTAGTAAATGTCTAGATTTCACTTAAAGCAAGAATGAAAGAAAACTATTCTAAGAGGAGGCTAAAGATACAAGGGAGCTTTCTGATTACAGAGAGGGTGACCTAGACGTTGTTGTTGGAAAGATTTGTGGGTGCTTAGGCCTGCTTAGTGGATATCAAAGGAGGTACAGAGATAAGACTAGAATAATAATATAAACTGCAGAGCTCCAACATCTGGTGGTAACTGGTGACTGGAGTGAATAGAGATAAAAAGCATGCGCGGTTTGTAAGATGGTATGGAGGCAATATTCTTAGTATTATTCTAAATTATTATCTAAAGAAGCTTCTCCTAGCATGAGGGAAGAACAGAGAGGAAGTGAAAGAAATGGGACAAATGATAGAATATTTGAATGGTAGAATATATAGTTATTGGTGATTGATTATGAGATAAGAAAGAAAGAAGAGAAAAGAATGATTCCTTATTTGTGGCTTCAGCCATGGAATGGCTTTTGGTGTCATTACCAAATACAGTCAAGCACCCCATGACAAACTCTCAGTCAATGACGAACTACATATGCGGTGGTGCTCCTGTTACATTGTAATGGAGTTGAAAAATTCCTATCACCTAGTGACACTGTAGCTGTCATAACATCATAACATAAGGCATTACCCATGTGTTTGTGGTGATACTGGTATAAACAAACGTAACGTGCCGCCAGCCATGTAAAATATAGCATGTACAAGTACGAACGGACAATGATAATGATGATAAACGACTGTGTTCCTATTTTCGAGTGTATTTCTTCTACTTATATTTTTTAAAAGGTAACTGTAAAGCAGCCCTTCAAGAGGTATTCCTGAAGAAAGCATTACTATTATAGGAGATCATGTTATTATTAGAGGAGATGCATGCATGTTATTGCCTCTGAAGACCTTCCAGAGGGACAAGGTGGGAAGGTGGAAGTGAAATTGATGGTCCTGAACTTGTGTAGGCCTAAGGTAATGTGTGTGTTGTGTCTTAGCATTAATTTTTAAAAGAACTCAAAAAGTAGAAAAAGAAGTTTAAAAGTAGAAAAAAAGTTTATAGAATAAGGTTATAAAGAAAATATTTTTGTATAGTTATATGTACCCTGTATTGGGTTTTAAGCTAAATGTTATTACAAAAGAGTCCAGAAGTTAAAAAAAATAAAGAAGTTGTAAAGTAAAAGAGTTACAGTAAGCTAAGGTTAACTTATTATTGAAGAAATTTTTTAAATAAAGTTAGTGTAGACTAAGTGTAGTGTTTTTAAAATCTGTAGTAGTGGACAGCAATGTCCTAGGCCTTCACATTCAGTCACCACTCATTTACTGACTCAGCACAATAACTAACAGTACTATGTAAGCTCCGTTCATGGTAGGTGTCCTACACAGATGTATCTTTTTTTATCTTTTTATTTTATTTATTTATTTATTTTTAAGGCAAGTTCTCACTCTATTACCCAGACTGGAGTACAGAGGCACCATCATGATTCACTGCAGCCTCAACCTCCTGGATTCAAACAATCATCCCACCTCAGACTCCTTAGTAGCTGAGACTACAGACTCACGCCACTACATCTGGCTAAATTTTTGTAGAGATAGGGTTTCATCATGTTGCCCTGGCTGGTCTCAAACTCCTGACCTCAAGCAATGTGCCCACCTCAGCCTCCCAAAGTGCTGGGATTACAGGCATAAGCCACCATGCCCAGTCCATTTTTAATCTTTCCTACCACATTCTTACCACACTTTCTTTTATGTTTAGATACATAAATGCTTACCATTATGATACAATTGCCCACAGTATTAAGACAGTAACATGCTGCACAGGTTTGTAGCCTAGGAACAGTAGGCAATACCACATAGCTTAGGTGTGTGGTAGACTATACCATCTAGGTTTGTGTAAGTACACTTTATGCTGTTTACACAATGACAAAACCATCTAATGATGCATTTCTCAGAATGTATCCTTGTCAGTAAGCTATGACTGTACAGGGAACACTGCCCAAGGACACAGATATTGTAGCCTGTTTCATTGAAACATGCTTTGAAGGAGAAAAAAGATAAATTAATAATTCAAATGGAGACGTTGAATTGAATATCTGCCAGAGGAAAAAGCTGTCTGGGCTATGGAAATAGAGGCATATCAACATTTATGTATTGGGTAGAGGTTGAAGAACAGGCAAAACAGACTAAAAAGCAGCAGCCAGACAGGTCAGAGAAAAACCTTCGGAAGCCTGTGTTATTACAAGAGCCATACAACAGGAAGGAGAGATAAATCAATAGTCAGAAAGATGCCAGATGCCAACAGGTAAATAAGCAAGAAGATTTTAAAATGTCAGTTGATTTTTACGACATGGAACACCCATAGTTTCTACTTGCGTAGTTGCCCAGAGTTTTCTGGAATGAGATCCCTACTAAGTATTCAGATTTCTTGAACACTGAAAATTATTCCATTATTTTCAATGCACGGGGAAGTTTAGATTATTATAAGATATTATACTCAGTGGAGAATTGAGTATAATTATACTCAATGGAATATTGAGTATACTCAATGGACTTGAGTATAATATAATAATTTCACTGCTCTATTCATAGTCTGTAATTTAAAATATTTATTTCAGGCATAGTGATTTAAATAGCATTATTGTTAGACAATGTATTTAGCAGTTTAAAAACTAATAAATCAGCCTCTGCAAATGCCATTTTCAGTACAGACATTAGTTCAGTTTTGTTAGAGTATACTCTAAATATGTATCAATAGTGGAGAAATAATTTGTAGAGAAAAGTAATTTATCACAGATGACTATCGTGCCGCAAATCTCCTATACTAAATACAGTACCTATTGAACTTTGGTAAACAACATTTTATGTTAATAATATCAACTTCAATTTCCAAATTAAAAAATTATTATACGTAGAGTACCTTAAGTGACTTTATTTTTTCTTAAGCAAAACAAAATTTAGCACTCAATGTAATGAAAATGTAATTTATTCACTAAAAGGAATTTAACTTATAACTACTATAAATCCTGTCAAGTCCTGAAGTCAAGTACTGAGATACTAATTTACAGTAGTTAGGGCTTACAAAGAGGAAGCTGAAGTTGAAGAAATAAGAAATCCTTCCACAATTTAGGATATGCCCCTTAAGTCTGACAGCTTTATTAACACTTTTTTGAGTTAAAAAATATATATATATACCACATAATATATATTCATAATTTGCTCAATATTGTAATAACTTCTGGACCTAGAAAATTCAAAATGTTTTACAGTAAAGGCCAAATGCATGTTTACTTTTGGCTTTTTTTTCTCCTTTTCTTTCATTCCTTTAGGCAACCTTAGATTAACAATACATTCCCCTCAATGCTGAAATACAATGTAGCGATCTGCTTGTTAGAGTTACAGGGAGTCCCAGTTATTAGCTCTTCTTAATTGTCCAAATTATTTTCAATATCTGGACCATCGAAATCCATATTGTCATACATTCACTGTTCTTGTGTTGACAACGATCACTAGGCAGCCAGCATAGTATAGGGAGGTCAGTGAGGCAATTTGGAAAACAAAAATCATGAGTGGCTAGCCATGCAACAATTTTCAAAGCTTCCTTGAATTGCTCATTGATTCTACAACTTAAGTTACAATAACTATGTGGCAGGGCTGAGTAGTACACTTTCTCAGATTTGCAAACCAAAGTCAAAGGCAAAAGATTGTTTAAGAAACCAGTTCTCTTTCTAATTAGAACAATCCTTTGCATTTATTCTATAGAGCTAATTATTTTTAAATAATATAAACAACCTCAAATGAAATATATTAACTGGTATAACTGACTAAGGATTCCTCTGAATAATGTATTACAATCTTAATTATTTGTCAGCTTTATTAATTCTAAAAGTATGGTTCCATCTGGCTGATGACAGCATAGTTCCAACGAACCAGAATATAATGGTTAAGAACATGAATGCCGAAACAAGATTGCATGCCTTGGAATCCTGAGTCTACCAATTTCTGTGTGGCACTGATGAAGTTATTTAGCCTGTTGGTGTGTGTTTCCTTATTTATAAAGTGGGAATCATAATGCTATCTTTCACGTATGTTTGAGTAAGGACTAAATTAGTTAATACATATGAAGAATTTAGGACATAGCCTGGCATAAATTAGGCTGTATATGAAGATTTGCTATAATAAACATTAGCTAGAATAGTTTTCTCTCATTTTCAGAAAAACAACCTCAATGTCTCTTAAATTCTGACAATTAGTTTGTTGGGCAAAGCGCCACCATCATCTATTGCAGATCCTTAAAAGAAATTCCGGAGGGTACAACCAGAATTTGGGAAGCATGCCCCATAGGTTTATTCAACCTTCATTTATAAAGTACCTAATATGTGCTAGATTAGAAAAAAGTGAGTAAGTCTGTCCTCAAAAACTGCTCCATTGTATTTGTAAGCATTTAAGTCGATAGATTTCATTTAATAGTGATGGTGCTACAGTGAACGTATCCAAAATGGACTGTGGAACAGGGAACACAGGGGGAAATGAGCAACTACATCTGCTCAGCAGCAACAGTCCAGATTCACAAATGTGGTCAGACCTGAACGGATCCTTGAAGCCTGACTGAAAAACCCATTCTGTTTCAGTGATTAAACATCTTAGCTATCAAGAAGCATTATAAAAGTTTCTGCCCTTTAAAATTAAATGTATCATAAAACTTTATCTTGACATCTGTCTTGGGACTTTAGGCGAAGGCATGGGGTTGACACGAGCTCTAGATTTCTTGCTCTTCTTTAATTCTCTCTAACAAAAGTCACAGATGAATATAGAGCATAAATGGTTTGTATTATGAAACCCATTACTTCCTCCTCTTTACATGTCTTCAAAGATCAAAGAAAATGCCACAAACATTATTCTTAAGGATAAAAGGATGAGGGGGGAAAGCTACAGAAATATTTGAATACCAAAATGTATTAAAATGACAGAACCCCATCAATGAATACTTAGTTGAAGGGTAGATGGAACTGTAGGCAGTTGTAATAGCATTTAACTTTTTCTGTATTTTAGGCTAATGTTCAAATACACAGTTTCATCAAGTTTGGCTTGGCAGTCACATCCCACTCATTCTGAGGGCGTATGGCAGAGAGGAGAGAAGCCAGTCTGCTCACAGAGTAGATGGATCTCAATCTCTTACTCATCTCATGGAGAAAAGCTTTTTTTAGTTGTAGTGCTGCCAACATGCAAAGTGAGGAGCAGCTGAAGTGGCTTATAATCATCTGCACACACTTTGGGACATTGATAACTTCTTTTGTGTACAAAGAACATCAGAGGAAGCATAGCAACTTAGAATTAGAAGGGTTACATCTACTTTACTACTTCACTCCCTACAGTTAAAAGAGAAAGGGTAGAAAGCAGGGAAAGATCAAATGGGCTGAACTAAATTACACATCTAGCCCATAGTAAAATCAAGCCTAGAATCCAGATTTCCTGGATTCTAATCATGTTTTATTTATACGACATTATGAATTCTTCCTGATAATGGTAAGTGAATATAGAACACCCTCCAAATTCTGGTAAAGTGCTTTCTGAAAACTTCTCATATTCCAGAAGCATGAATTTTATTTTTTCAAATGCAATGGAATATAACTGAAAGATGTCAGTGATACCTTCAGACTTTAAATGCATCTATAATATGGGACCACAGTGTATTTACACAGCTATTAAAATAAATGTCTCCTAAAGCACATTTTCTTCTAAAGTTACATGTTTCATATTACGAGTTAATTGCTTTTTCAGATTTTTACCAAAGTTTTATCTTTCACAACAAGAACAAATTTTGTACTATTTGGAACATTTGCTGAATCAGGTTCACAATCAGTTTTTCTTGTTTTCATATAGTACTTATGGTAGGATTGATAACTTCAAATTTTCATGTTGCCATATAATTTGACATACTCATTTTTAATTTATTGAAACTGTTAATTTGTGGATACAGCCATTAATACTTTTAATAAAGCTCCACCACTGGCACCTGGATTTGATTCCAGAGTCATTTTTATAAACAAACAGAGTTTTTTTAGCTCTCTACTGGAATTTTGTATGCTGTACATTTTAGAAGAGAACGTAAAGCCACAATGAAATGTGGGTGTTCAGTGGTCACCTCACTCGCTACCTGGAGCTCATTTCTACACTGTAGCCTTTTGCTTTTAGTTGCTCAAGCTCGTAATTAGCTAAATTACAAATTTCTATATAACATAGACATCTATCATTTGAGTGCCCCCTTCAAAACTCATGTTGAAATTTAATTGACAGAATAACAGTATTGGGATGTGGAACATTTAAGAGATGATTAGAGGGTGAGGGCTCTACCCTCAATAATAGATTGATGCTGCTGTCAAGGAATGGGTTAGTTATCTTGGGACTGGGCTCTTGATAAAAAGAACAGGTTTGACCCACCTTCTCCTCTCTCTACCTTGCATGTTCATTTACCCTTCTTCCATGAAATAAAGCAACAAGAAGGCCTCACAAGATGCCAGTACCAGGTTCTTGGACTTCTCAGCCTCGACAGCAATGAGCTGAATCAATCTTTCTCCTATATAAATTACCAGTCTGTGGTAATCTATACACAGAAATGGATTAATACACAGACCTATGGAATCTCTCAACAATCATCTTAAGCAGTGTGTTAAATCTATCATGTCAAGAGTAACCTACATTTGATTATATCTATCTTCTAGCCTGCACCTCAGAATGCACTTTTTTCCTCACTTGAATTAGCATTGTTTGGTTACATAGAGTGTGTCCCTGTGTACCATTTTTTTGCATGTATATATATATATATATATATACACACACACAATAGATATTCAATACCTGCAAAGTTTTCCAAAGCAAGCATAGCACATTACATAATAAAACCTTTTCTTCTCTCTCTTTCAACCAAAGAACTTTTGGCTGTTAGAATCTCTGAAGAAACCCTTCAATGATGTATTTAAAGCATTTTTGAATGGTACAACAAAATTTCAGCAAGTTCATTTCAAGAGGAGAAAGCTTATTTCTATGATCTCCTCCAGCAATTTGCTCTTTGCAGTTTTTCTCTCATCAGCACTTTGATCCTTTTCTGAAATAGGCTTTTTATCTCTAGGTTAGAGCTCTTCTCCTTATGCAATTGTCCCAGGTTCATGCTGATCTCCACAGTTCTTTCTTCAACTTCTCACTAGTTGGTAGCAATCTCTTTGTACTGAAAATATTTCCCTTTCCAATAAGCTAGTCCTCCTACCCTAAATCAATACCATTTAATCTATAACTCTGCTGATGTTTTAAACTTTGAATAATTTATAGATCTGATAGTAAATGGATTAGGTTATACCAAATAACCATTCTTTTAAGAAATAAGTTATATATGATCTTTTCAAGTTTACAGAACTCAAACTAAACCCTATAATAAATGTGAACTTATGAACCAATTATAGTAAAAAAAATAATGATTTCTTATAGTTTTCAGTCTGTATTTTGTTCTAGTAGTCCATGTGGGTTCAGGAATAAACGCTCAAAGATAGAAGATATAAATAAGTGGTAACATTTTACATTTTCACAGGGTTTCACCCTTTCATCTGTGTTCTATGAAGAGAACTGTCTAATATCTTGGCATTTATTCTAATGGAAAAAAAACTCATTTGTGATATCGTAATATATCAAAAGGCAGAATTTTAAAGCCTTGAGTGACAGCAATTTGAAAAAGAAACATTTACTTTTTAAATCTCATTGGAAAAAAACGATTGATTTCTATAACCCAAGACTTTGAAAAAATCTATCTCATAGTTTGAAAAGAGTGGGAGGACTATTTTTGAAAAGAATATTATGTTTGATTTAGGATTGAAATGTGTTATACTTAACATGTATTTTCGTGGTAATTCTTTTATAATGAACTTATGGTATGTGATCTAAATCAGGCTGAACAGATTATTTTCTGGAATATTTGCTGAAGTTGTCAAAAGAAAAGCTAGTGTTTTGGTGTTGTTAGATGGTATTATACCAGCCTGGAATTGGCAGAGGCTATCTCTACACTATGAGATTGCTGTCTGAAAATAAAAAGAACCTATAAGAAAACAGAGATTTGAAATGGAAGACAGAGATCTTGTTTCAGCATGCTTCATCACTCCTAGGGATTCCATTTATAAAAGTCAAAAATACTCCTTATTGCTTAAGCAAAACCTAGCAGATGATTAAGTTTTATCTGTCACCATGGAAAAGAGAAGGACTGAGAAAAATAAACAGAACAAATAAGCATATAGAAAAGGAATATAATTGAAGAAATAGACACAAATTTAAAAATTACAATTTTTTGAAGTTATTGGGGAAGTTACTGTTAACACCATAAGACTAATAAGAGAAGATGAGATTATGCAAAAGAATCAGTATGAGAAAAAATAAATAAATATTATTGCCAAAGTTAAAAATTTACTAAAAAGCCAAACAATACAATAAATGGATAAAGAATAAATCAGTACTAAATCAGTACCGTGAAAATTTAAATCAAATACATTTCTAGAATATAGAGGCAAAACACAAAGAGATGAAAATGGTTAATGTCAAGTTTGAAAGACATAAAGTATGTATTTAGGAACTCCAACATCAAGTCCCCAGAAAATTGTTAGAAGGGAAGAATGAAAGGAAGAAATTTAAAAGTGAGAAAGAAACACTAGAGAATATTTTATTTTCAAGCTGAAGAAAGACTCAAGTCTTCAGATGGAAAGAGAATATCAGAAACAAAATTGGAACATATTATAGAACAAAAGCCTTACATAAAGATACCTTCCATTAAAGTTAAGAATAAAACAATAAAGGTAATAAGCTAAGGACAAGAAGAAAATTTTAAAGTCTTCTAAAAGGAATAGTATATGATCCCTTAAAAAAACAATAAAATTGACATTAGACTTCTCATCACAAACAGGAAGTCAGACCAAAACATTTTACATTTTAGAGTAAAAATACTTTGAATTTATAAGTCTATACATAAAAATTATAATTTGAATGAACAGGCCAATAAAGTTATTTTTTAGACATATAAGAAATCTCTATTATAACCACCTTTTTAAAACATGATTTTAGGCCAGTCATGGTGGCTCACATCTGTAATCCCAGCACTTTGGGAGGCTGAGGTGGGCAGATCACCTGAGGTCAGGAGTTCAAGACCAGCCTGACCAACATGGTGAAACCCTGTCTCTACTAAAAATACAAAAATTAGCCAGGCATGATGACGGGCGCCTATAATCCCAGCTACTTGGGAGGCTGAGGCAGCAGAATCACTTGAACCCAGGAGGCAGAGGTTGCAGGGAGCTGAGATCACACCACTGCCAGCCTGGATGACAGAGCAAGACTCCATCTCAAAAACAAACAAACAAACAAACATGTTTCTAGAGCCCCCAGTCAATGTAATAAGGACAGGCAAATACTGGTGAGTGGTGTCTTAGCTTAGATTTCCAAAGAAGCAGACCTTGAGGCAAAAATTTGTGTGCTACTATTTTTTCAGAAATACAGTAGGTTGGCTGTAAAAAAACTTTAGCAACCTCGGATTTTGCTATCCTTGAAGGTCCTAGAACAAATCACCAGTGTATGTGAGAGACAGCAGGAGTGAGCCAGGAAACAAGAAAGACAAAACAAACAATATAAGGTTGCATTACTGAGTTGGCCACTATTTGGAGTCAAGCACAACTAGTTGCTCTGTCTCACAGTGCTGTCTTCAAAAAGTCTAGTCTTGGAGAAAAAAATGGAGTTAAGATTCATCCATTAATGCCTATGCTCTATTGGTTTCTCATCGAGAGTTAATACTACCAAACTTTTGGTTTTCAAATGCTTGAAAATGTACAGTATCTTATACCTTATTATCAAGAGGGAAGCCATGAAGTTTGAGGCAAGGAGTGAACAGTGGGGGACATTATGCAAGACTGGGGACAGGTGAACCACAGAGGACCTAAAGTGGCACATAGGACAAGTCTAATACAATTGGTATAAACATTGGAAAAGAAGAGATACAACTACCTTGTTTGCAGAATGTGCGATTGCCTGGTTAGAAATGTAAGGCACTCCAGAATTTGATAAGTGGTTACCTCTGAGAAGATAGCAACTGGGGGGACTGAAGGAGGATTTTTATATTTTGTTCTAAATATATGAGTTTCTTTCCTATAATGAAAAATCTCACTGTACAATTATCATTAAATGTGAAAAAATTTTAATATATATTTTAAAAGTAAGAAAAGGTACATCTTCACAACCTTCCCTGATCATTTCACTAGAAAATGGATTGTCTCTCAAAAGGACTTAGCTTAAACTGTATTACCATCTAGCTGTTACCTGATCTTCTATATGAGAAAGAAAACATACAGATGATCACTTAGCAATCAGAATAGCATTGGAATACTTCTTAAGCATTTGCTTTATTCCCTCACTGTGATTTATAAGTATTTTCACAAATATTGTTTGAATGAATGGAACATAATAAGAGAACACATTTCCTCAATTTGTTACCACAGCCACAGAAAATAATTTAGTACAAAGAACCTCACATAAAAATTGCATTTCTAGATTTACTAACTTAAAGGTCACAGAAAATTCAAGGTTTTGGCACTAAAACCAGTTAGTAAATGTTATAGATGACATTTTTTAAATAATCCAAAATTATTTATAGTTTATGTTTATTTTGGAAAGCAACAAAAACTAGCAATAATTTTGTAAATTTGTCTCACATGTAACCTGACTTTAGATATACTAATTGCAATTGCAACTGTTACCATAGAATTATTGTAGAAGTGTAAACCAGCCATCTACATTTGATATTTATTTGCTTAACATATATATTGTTAATATGAAGTTCTTTTTACAAAATAAATGTCAACCACTTCTTCAATAATTGTTGTTTAAACAAAGGGGATTCAAAATACCATAGAAGAGGAACAATCAAATGCATTCAAGATTTCACAGTCTAATACTGGGTTCTTTTAACCAATGGTCTCCAGACTGGAGTATGTGAACCAAAATGGATACACAAGATGATACAGCAGAATGCAAAATAAAATAGTAAAACTTGTATATGTGCTTATTTCAACCTCTCCCTTTTTAATAATCATTTTTTCTCATTTTTTAGCTTTATGATTTTACATTTTTACGCTATCATATTAGGCATTGGCCTAACATTCTCAATATACATCTTTAAATTATTACAATATATTTTAAACTAGAAATTTTCTACTTCCTATAAAATGTCTTATACGCAAACACACACACAAACAAGCAGGAAGTTTTAAAAATATAATATTATTTTCCATTTGCCCACATCTGTAAACTTTATAATACCCTTTACTTTTTTTTCACCTATAGTTTCATACTTCAGACTTAGGATCTTTTTTCCTTTATCCTTTTTTTATTTCTTAATGTGAAATTGCTGGTAAGAGAATTTCTTGTTGTTGGAAAACATTTTAACTATGCCTTCATTGTTTTATAAATATATTTTTGCTGGTTATAGAATTTTGAGTTGATATTTACTTTTTCTTTCAGTATTTTACATGTTATTCCACTGTCTTCTGGCTTCCATAGTTTCTGTTGAAAATCATCCATAAGTCTTCAGTATTAGCTATGATATTTAATTAGCTTAAAAGTCATCATTTCTATGCTCACAATGAGAAAAAAGCTGAACAAACTGAAAATCAACAGCTATTCTTAGAGCTTTCAGAGAACTGGGATGACAGGACAACCCCGAACCCTGAAAATTATAGAGACAAACAAACAAATAGAATATCAGAGCTGAGTTCAGCTTACTAGAAGAATAAGGTGCTGGAGCTAATAACTTAAAAGAATGCTGAAATGATAGTTAACAAATTGCCGGGGGCTGAGCATGACTAGTTTGAGGGTTAAAATTCCTGGCAGGACAATTTTTGGAAGGTTCCTCACATTTTTATGAGTTTTACCTCCAGAAGTCGCAACTGATTCTCCTGATAAAGAACAGAGAACAGACTCTCTGTGCTTCTGGAAGGGAGAAGGAAAAGTAACCACTTTGGAAAACACACAAGGAAAAAGTAAACACTTTTAAATATGCCTGGAACATTCAATTCTCCATATCAGAGGCCTACCCTGAAGGCAAACTACTTTACCAGAGCCTTATCTGACCTAGAAGGTCAATGAAACAACTCCAGTCCATGCTATTCTTCCTGTTTCAAATAAAGAGAGGGAAAAACAAAGACTAAGAAACTCTTCGGAAAGTCACATCCCAGGGATTCAGGCCTACTAAAAAAAATCTGAGATTTAAATAAAACACGCACTGTAGAAAAGCTTCGCCTCCCCTATGCCTACCACCACATCAACAGAGCCCAGTGTAATAGTGAATTATAACAGAGAGGTAAAAGATATACTTTCTACAGAAATCCAGTAATAGTAGACTTATAACAGAGAGAGGTGAAAAATACAGTTTCTATGTAAACTCAAACACAACAAGGAAGACAAAGGAATTAAGTCTAGAGGAAACTTCTGACAACTACATCAAACGTTAAGCACAGCCTAACTCCTAGCTAGATAAACATAAACTTCACACCAAAGTCCTATTTAGTGTGGACTTAGTTCTTATTACCTGATACATTATGTATAGCTTTCAAGAAAAAAAAATGCAAGGCATGCTAAAACATAGTCTGGAGAGGCAAAGCAAGTTTCAGAACAAGACATAGGTATGGATTGCAGAGATTTTGGAATTCTCGGGCTTGGAATCAAAAATAACTATGATTAATATACTAAAAGCTCTAAAGAAAAATCACACGCAATAGGCAAGAACAGATTGGTAACATAAGCAGAGAGATAGAAACACTAAGGGAGAATTAAAATGCTAGAAATAAACACTGTGAACAGAAATGAAGAATGCTTTTGATGCCCTGATCAGAACACTGAACAAAGCCAACCAAACACAAAAAGGAACAATAGCAGCAAAAAAGTAATAGAAGATCCAAAAACTTCAGGATGATTACGAGAGATGTAACATTCACATACCAGAAGGAAAACCAGAAGGAGACAGGAGAAAGAGGAACACAAAAATGTGAAGAAATAATGGCTCCAAATTTTCCAAACTTAATCACACACCAAATCACAGATTAGCATAGTTCAGAGAACACTAAACAAGATAAACACTAAAAGGTCTACATCTAGGCTTATCATATTCAAGTTTCAAAAGGCCAACGACAAACAGAAAATATTGAAAGAAGCCAGAAGAGAAAATAATTGCTTACCTATCTAGGCACAGAATAAAAATTACATCAAATTTCTCTTCAGAAACCACCAGCAAGAAGAGAGTGGAATCAATTATTTAAAGTGATGAAAGAAAAAGAAACGGTAGTCTAGGTGAATTTGGGTTTTAATTAGGTCTTCATCTAAGTTTTGATTGAGTCCCTAGCTAATCTCTGCTTCCTTGGCTGTGAAACATTGTAGGAGACTCATTTCCCCCATTAACAGGTTTTGAGATTAGCTTTTTAGCCTTTCAGGCCATGGAGGTTCAAAATCCAACATGTATCTTGAGGCAGAGATAAGCAAGCAGTTCCTCCAGGAGGATGTTTCAAAATACAGAATATTTCACTGTCTTTTAAAGATGCCTCCAACTCAGTCTCCAGTCTCCCATACCACTCCACAAGCCTGCAAATATGTCAGAGTGAATGCCGGCCATATATTTGGGATTCCTCAAGCGTCAATCTAAATTTAAAACTATGCAACTGTTAAAAGCTCTGCTGGCTTCTCTTTCCTACAGCAAAGTTCCCCTATCTAAACCAAACTATTCTCACCTCACACCAGTATTTTCTAAATGCCACCAGGAAAGAAAACAGCTGGAGGTCTAGAGATTGTAGCTCTCCTAGGAAAGTCTCTTTCATTTCTGGAATTCTATTTCACCTAGTCTTCACTCACATAGAGTACTCTGATATTCTCAAAATTCTGATTTTAGAAATTATCTATTATTTTCATCTGCTGTGGCAGATGCGTTGGCCTACCACAACGTGTTACATCTGTCCCAGAAGCCACCTTTTTCATTTTAAGTGATATTTTAAAATATATTTTACAATGTAGTTCGAACCCTAAAGTAGAAGTACAAGTTTATTCTTTATTGCCAAAATTAATACACTATACTGGGGGAACATACTTTAAAAATTGTTTTACAGATATGGGTATAATAGTGTTTGGTCATCACAATTCATGAAAATTATACTCTTAGACTTCTCCAAAGGCCACCCATATTTGATTTCTTAGCATGTTCACAAATCGACTTCAGATGAATTCAAGTCCTTCAATGGTATTTGCTGAGAAATATTTATACATATGAGGAAACTAATTTTTATAGAAAATATATACACACAGACATTTGCAACTGTCCTTAAAGATAAAGCAATATTCTTCATTGGTGGAATTCTTTGGAAGAATGATGAACTAAAGGAGCATTTTTAAATAAATTTCAACTTTTATTTTAGATACAGGGAGTACAAGTGCAAGTTTGTTATATGGGGATATTGCTTGATGTGGAGGTTTGGGGTATGAATCCCATCACCCAGGTAGTGAGCATAATACTGAATAGGTAGCTTTTCCACTCACACACATTTCTACCTCCCCACTGTATGAGTCCACAGTGTCTACTGTTCCCATGTTTATGTCCATGTGGTTAGGAGCACTTTTTTAAACAGATAAGAACCATATACTTTTTGCAGAGAATCATTTTACTTATTTAAACATGTACCTATATATTAAATTAGTTTTCTTCTTGAATTATTGATATTCATATTAAAGGCCTAATAAAAGAAAGATATTGTATATTTTACCATACAATTTAAACCAATTATGATGAGTTTTATCTTCCATACACGAACCTAAACTACTAGTGGTTCTATTTCCTGCTGCATCTTCTTCTACATATCTTCCAGATGTTCCCATCAGTAAGATTTTTTTGGATATTCAGTCCTTTATGGTAGTTTTATATTTCTCAAACTTTAGTATTTTTTTTATCTCTTGTCTTATTTTACTTTCTTGGAACTATTCTGCCAAGCTTTCTGTGCTGTCTGAAAAGCATTCAGCTATCTGAACATCTGGAAATAAAACCTTGCAATTAACAGTCACATTTTCATCACTGGAAGTCTGTTAGTTTGTGAACATCTTGCTCTTGCTTTTCTACTAGGTATGTTGAGAAACTGCACCATCTGGGTCTAATGAAACAAAAATTAAACTGAGCATCAGAATACTCATGACATGGTTGCCCAAAGCATCTCTGTACCTTATTTCGTCTAGGCATTTGTTTTACCTTTTCTGGGCTGAGTGCTTTTTTTACTCCATGATGCTGAATTGCCATTGACACAAAATGAGAGTATACCAATGTCCTCTCAACAATGATTTAAAATTTAAATGTTCTGATGGAGCTAGAGTTCTTAAGACAAGTTCTGAATATTAATAACACAACACATTCATTTTGTGCATCCAGTCTTGTTTTGACTTGAATTAAATAAAATAACTTAGGAATCTTATACTTTCTCTTGGCTGTCACACACAGAAAAGAATCTACTTTAATTTATGAGGCTATAAGCTACTGTATCTCAAATTCTGGCTCCCTTAGAACAGAAATATGAAACTACCTAGTGTTGTATTGTTATGTTACTTTGTCCTGAAGCCTTGCAGGAACAAAATATAGATAACATTTTATTTAATTATTGTAAATTATTAATTAGAAATGTGCTAAAATATTGGACTGGTTTTCAGGTGAATCATTAAAATGTAAACTAAGTTTTGTACTTAGAACTTTAGGTCAGTAAATGAAGCTGGAAATAGTTAAATCCACAGGTTTTCTAATTCAACTAAGTGGATTTCTAATAATTTTGAATAATCCTTTTGGGTGGGGATTTGATGGAAACAACGGCATGAGAAATGTGGGTAATGTAAATAAGTAGGGTTCTTAGACGCTTTCACATCCTCATCAGAGAAGTTTGATTTTCATCTGGTTTACATGATAATATTCTTCATACACTTGAATAAACTTTTCCATGACTTAAAAAAGAAAAAAACAATGTAATTGATGCTATCAGTGCTTTACTCTAGATTTTTTTTTTTTTTTTAAACAAAAGGAGGTCTAGAGGTCTTTTTCAGAAGCTAATTCATGAGAGAATTAGGATGCTTCGCCTACCTTTAAGTTTTACGGTCTTTGAAATGGACCAATTAGAGAAATGAAAAAAATACAAGAAAAGAATATTAAGAAATTCAAGAAAGCACCAAATTTATAACATCATTCAAATTAATAAAGACTTTGTAGAGGTTTTTGTAAATGTATCATTTCTGAAGAAAAGATGGGTTGAGGACTATTGATAATTGTAGCTTCAGTTTTTACACAGACACATACACATAAGGGATCTTCCCAAAAGTTCATAAACAATGCGTATTATTTTAGAAACAAGCATGAATTTCAAGGTTTTCGCATTTAAAAAATGGTACTAACTTGTTATAACATGTCTGAACAGGATCCGAGTTTGAGTCACTAAAAAGGATAAGATATCAGTTTGAAAAGAGACCAGAGCAACTTGAATTCTGCTAAAATTGAAGCAAGAACAAATATCAAATTTATGGTGAAGCTTAGGTGGAAGAACGGTAAAATCGTTGGTGCTTTATGAAAAGTTTTTTGGGACAATGCCCCAAAGAAAGCAGCAGTTTACAAATGGGTAACTCATTTTACGAAGGGACAAGAGGATCTGGAGGATAAAGCCTGCAGTGGCGGATCATCCACATCAGTTCGTGAGGAAAAAAATTAATCTTGTTCATGACTTAACTTGAGAGGACAGATTAACAGCACAGATAAAACAGATAAAATGATTAACACAGATAAACACAGCACAAATAAAATGATTAACAGCACAGATAAAAACCAGCACTATACTCATCTCAATTGGTTCAGCTTCACAATTCCGACTGAAGAATTAAAGTTGAGCAAACGTTCCACTGAATGCATGCCACAATCATTGCACCCAGATCAGCTGCAGACAAGAGCAGAGCTTTCAATGGAAATTTTAAACAAGTAGAATTGGCCAGGTGCAGTGGCTTAAGCCTGTAATCCCAGCACTTTGAGAGGCCGAGGCAGGAGGATTGCCTGAGCTCAGGAGTTCGCCACCAGCCTGGGCAACACAGTGAAACTCTACTAAAATAGAAAAAAATATCCACGTCTAGCTGCATGCACCTGTAGTCCCAGCTACTCAGGAGGCTGAGGCAGGAGAACTCCAGGAGCCAAGGGTTGCAGTGAGCCAAGATCGCACCACTGTACTCCAGCTTGGGCAACAGAGCGAGACTCCATCTAAAAAAAAAAGTGAAATCATGATTCTGAAGCATTTCTCTGAAGAATTGTAACAGGAAATGAAACATGACCTTTCCAGTACAATTCTGAAGACAAAGCACAACCAACGACTAGCAAGGGCAAGAGGTAGAAGTGGTCCAGTCAAAGCAAAAGCAGACCAACCAAGAGCAACAATCACGGCAACAGTTGTTTGGGATGCTGAAGGCATTTTGCTTGTTGACTTTCTAGAGGGCCAAAGAACAGTAACATCTGCCTATCATTAGAGTGTTTTGAGAAAATTAGCCAAAGCTTTAGCAGAAAACACCTGGGGAAACTTCACCAGAGAGTCTTTCTCTACCACGATGATGCTCCTGCTCATTCCCCTCGTGAAACATTAATAATTTTGCAACAGTTTTGATGGGAAATCATTAGGCATTCACCTTACAGTCCTGATTTGGTTTCTTCTGACTTCCTTTTGTTTCCCAATCATAAAACATCTTTAAAAGGCATCCATTTTTTTTCAATTAATAATGTAAAAAAGGCTGTATTGACATAGTTAAATTTCCAGGACCCTCAGTATTTTTAGGAATGGACTACATGGCTGGTATCATTACTTTACAAAAGCTTGACTTGTAATTACTTACAAGTCTTGACCTTGATGGAGTTCATGTTGAGAAATAAAGTTTATAATTTTTATTTTTATCTTAATTCCGTTTTTCTTTTTTTTTCTTTCTTTTTTTTTTTTTTGAGACAGAGCCTCATGCCGCCTAGGCTGGAGTGCAGTGGCACGATCTTGACTCACTGCAACCTCCACCTCCCGGGTTCAAGCGACCTGCCTCAGCCTCCCAAGTAGCTGGGACAACAGGCGTGTGACCCCACGCCTGGCTGATTTTTTTGTATTTTTAGTAGATACGGGGTTTCACCATGTTCGCCAGGATCGTCTTGATCTCCTGACCTCAGGTGATCTGCCCGCCTTGGCCTCCCAAAGTGCTGGAATTACAGGCATGAGCCACCATGCCCAGCCCAATTCCATTTTTCTGCAAACTTTTTGAAGTCCCCTCGTGTTTGTGTATATACATATGTGTATTATCTGTCTGTGTATATATATATAAATGAGGCATTATATTTATAAATATCTATATATTCATAGATTATATAGTTTTAGGGAAGCATATTAGGAAATGCATATATATAATATGCATTAGGAAAGCTATATATATGAATATACATAGCTAATGTATATTATGTGTATATATATAATGCATATTATATATATGCATACATATATATAGATGGCTGGATAATTAGATATGCATTAGGAAAGCTGGTAGAAATTTAGAGCACTTTTTACTTGACACTTCTCTTTTACTCAAAACTATTCTGAAAATCCTATCCCCAATCTGCTCAATAAGAATCTCACCAAAAAAAATTTCAAATACATGTTATAGTCAATATTAATAATCCAGCATGTTATTAACTATTCTAACTAGGGACAAAAGTCTCAAAACTATGAAGGCAGCTGAACAGTCAAGTTCTTCAGTGGAACTGTACAAAAGGCAATAATAATTACTGTAATTGTACCATTGATTTAAAAAAATTTATAAGTGGGAAGAATTCTCAGATTTTTTAATAATTATCACAGCAGTTTTGGTCATTTAAAGAAATGAACTTTTCACCTGTATTTCTTGAAATCTAACCAATTTTTGGTAAATCTATTAGCATCCACTGTCTCAAATGAAACAACAGAGCTCTAAAGTAGAAATCTTTTTTGCATAGGGAGTTGGGCTAGCAAACGACATTTACCCCGATTATTTGTCATTTCAAAAAGCTTACTATTTGAAATGACAGAGTGCTCGTGTTCTCCCAAAATTCGTAAGTTGAAATCCTAATCTCAATGTGATGGCATTTGGAGGTGGGGCCTTTGGGAGTTCATTAAGTCATGAAAGTAGAGCCCTTATGAATGGGATTAGTGCCCTAATAACAAGCAGACAGAGAGGCTGCCATCTGAGCTGCAATGAGAAGTTGGCAGTCTGCAAGTGAAGGAGGGCTCTCTTCAGAACCCAATCATGCTGGTACCCTGATCTTGGAATTCCTGCCTTCAACACTATGAGACATTTCTGCTGTTTAAGCCTGGTGGCTTCATTCTTTATAGTCGCCCAAACTTATTAGTATATTAGTATTGGAAACAAAGAATGTAATCTGGACTCAAATGCGCATTTATTATGGTGAAATAACAGATTTGGGGGTGGTAGTGATTCTATTAGTCATTAACTACTCACTAGTCTGATAGCATTGCATAATCAAATAAATAGTAGGTCGGGCATGGTGGGCTCACACCTGTAATCCCAGCACTTTGGGAAGCCAAGGTGGGTGGATCACCTGAGGTCGAGAGTTCAAAACCAGGCTGGCCAACATGGTGAAATCCCGTCTCTACTAAAAATACAAAAATTAGCCAGGCGTGTGGCGCGTGCCTGTAATCCCAACTACTCGGGAGGCTGAGGCACGAGAATCGTTTGAATCCAGGAGGCAGAGGTTGCAGTGAGCAGAGAGTGTTCCACTTCACTCCAGCCTGGACAACAGAGTGAGACTTTATCTCAAAAAAAAGAAAAAAAGAAAAAAGATAGCAAAAATCCACCTGCAGATTACGTTTGTACTTTTGTAATAGCCTGCTAAAGGTTGGTATGTGTTGAAATAGATAGCTAGACTAGCCATCAATATCAGCACAAACTTTCTTGTTACTTTTATACTAACTTTACAAGTCCTTTGCCTCTCTAATTTTCAGCTATCTGTATTTTATGGTATACACCTGCTAAATCAAGTCTGAGTCCTCTTCAGGTCAATTCTCCTCCATAGGCATAATTATCTGAGGAGTTTTTTATTTACTCTGCTAATGCATTTTACATCACATCAACATTAGGCTATTTTTTAAATGTTTTAACTGTGATGAAAAAGCTGTAATAAAGAGAGTAAAAATAAAGTAAACAATTATTTGTATATAAGATATTATAACAGATGGGACATACAGCAGGAAATCTTCTATGATCATATGCCAGCTCCTTTTTTTTTAATCTTCATCATCACAATTAATGGCCACACAATGTTCATTCAGATTACTATGAATCTGTGTTCTTCAGATTTCATTTGATAAATATTCTCAGTAAGTTGTTTCCTTCCATGGGTCTTTGTTAATAGACATATCTTGAGAAACAAAGAATCAAAATACATGGCCATATTAATATTGTTTCATGTAGTCATAGTCAGAGCTTTTATCAGTTTATCCATTTTGAGGACATAGCCCACTCCTTCATGTGTGTTTGTTAGTGTGCCTGTTAGCCAGCTCAGTTTAGTCCTTCTCTTCCTTTAGAAGAGGAAGAGATTCCAGCAGAGTGCTTGCTCCAGGACATCTGAGTTGAAGCTAAATGAGCTAGTATTCTTTTGCTCCAAGCCTCTCACAAGGAGAGACAGAATTATATTAGTGTTTCCTTTTTTTAACCTCCATTAATTAACTATCTTTCCCTCATTTACAATCTCACTTTTCTTCCTTCTATCATTAATTTTTATCTAAAGCTTTTCCACTGAGATGGGTCTCTCTGGTCCAGCCAATGGTCTGGTCCATATTGCTGATAACAAGATGACACATACTAAGGCTTCCTCTTTTATTCTATTCCCAGTCATAGTGAGTTAGATGGGAAAAGTACAAAGAAATAGAATCATTACACAAAATATTTGCCACAAGGTTGTCAGGCCAAACTTGGCAGTCTGGAGAAGAAATAATTTATCCCATCAATCGCTTTGGGATTCTTTCAGTTATATTCAGATTAATAGACATAATTTCTTTTTTGGGATATTACCAGCCTCTGGGACAGTAACTCTAACCTAGGAATAATTGGGTATAGCACTGAAAAGAAATTGTTTACATACAAGGGAAGATTTGAATGTAGTAAGCTCCTGCATCATCTCTTCTCCCGTCTTTTCCAATTTTATTTCAAATGCACAATAATTTATCTAACAGAGACCCATAATAATCCTCTTGGTAAAATAAAATTAATAAAGATAAAGCTGGAAGTTGTAGGGCAGCCCTTCAATCCTTTGTTACCTGCATCTTTTTAAATAGGTGTTTTAATTGCACATGTCAGTTTTTATTAACCCACCACTTCGGGAATATATTTTAAAAGTCTATTGAATGTGATATTTCTGTTTCTTTACCCATCATTTCTCTAGAAGTTAATAACTTAATCTGATGAAATGTAATTAAGAGGACCAAAATGATAGAGTATTTCTTTTTTTTTTTTTTTTGGTCACGGTTCTTTGATAACATAAGCAGCTTTGGCTTCAGTTAGTGAGTATGGGAATCCAAACCCAGAATGTGTATCAAGTTCTGTCAATATCCTTTTAAGTACCCTCCCCTGGAGCAATAGGTTAAAAGCCAATGTAATCTACTTGCCAACTATACGCTGGCAAGGGTGAACTGCAGATTTTGCCTTTTCCATTGGCATACAGAAAAAATTATATTGGTAGAGGCCACCAGGGTGTGTTGTAATTTGGCACATCATTGCATGGTTTGAATTTGTCTGTGTTCACCCATGTCTTGGACCGAGGTTACCACTTCAAGAAATCCAAGTAGAACATCAACTTCTTGAGTTCAGTCATCTCAGATCCTGACACAGGGTTGCTGTGTTGAGCATCAGTGTGCCTTTGATTTTTTTTCTCAGAATTTCCACAGAGATTTACAAAGAGCAGTACACCAGGTGGAGGCCCCTCTGTGGTCCATCTGATCCATTTTCCAGAACAAATTGAAAGCCAAAAAGTCAATATAGTCATTATAAAAAGCCAAAGAGTAGAGCCTTTTTTTTTTTTTAAGTTCTTCTATCATTGCGAAGAACACAGCCTGTAATACAGGCTCTGTACTTTTCCATGAGTATTTTACTGTTTGCTGAATGCAGAACAGCTGATTTATTTTGCTGTAGAGACAGGGTCTTGCTATGTTGACAAGGCTAGTATCAAACTCCTGGCCTCAAGCAATCCTCTTACCTCAGCCTACCAAAGTGCTGGGTTTACAGGTGTGAGCCATTGCACCCAGCCCTGATTTTCATGCCAGGTCTTGGCATTTGCTTTTGGAACTGTCTTTTGTGAACCAGGGCAATTGCCTTACATTCTAAGACAATTGCTCAAAAATATGCCCGTTCAACAATAGTACCATGCAAATCCTTAAGCAGCCTTACAGTAGGTCATAGGAAGAAAAAGGCTACTTGCTTACTAATGTAAGAAGTCTTTCCTGTAAATTATCTGGTAGGATGCTCTTACATATGCCCTTTTTATTCCATCTTATGTGGAAACTTCTTTCGGCATCTCCCTCTTTTTTTGCAATGCTTTACTGGGGCTTTAATATGGCCTTAAACAATTTACTTATTCGGGCTGTCTGTGTAGGTGCCCAATAATAAGCCAGTAACTATCTTTTAAAAGGAGTATACCAGAGAGGAGCATCTGGTCATTTTATAATTCAAAAGACAAGAGATAACTGTTCAGTAGCAGTGGTTATGGGGTTTTATGAAAGACTCCAGTTGGCTAAATATGAGTGGCCAACACTTCTAGTATCATTTCAACATTAGGACCATGTTATCCAAAAGAATAACTAGCATTACAGCCCTCAATTAAACATGGCCTTCTTTAAAAGATTTTAAGGATCAGATCTAACAGTATTCCAAATGACGGATGTGATTTCTGTAAAAGTCAAGAAAGGCCAATAGACATTGTTCAGGTTAAGAAACAGGCAGTAAAAATCATTCATTTTTAGTGGTCTGCAATAAGTCATAGGTTGCTCAAGTCCATGCAATGCTCAAAAGATTCACTGTCTATGTGGGGCTCTGAATTTTTGTGAGGTTAATCAACCATTCCTGATTATCATGCAATTTATGACTATAGTAAATTTGATTTTGGCTTGATTCTTAGGTTCTAAAATAATTATAATATCATCAATAGAAAACTGCCAGTTCTACTAGATCTACAACCCATGTTATCATATCACAACATTATAGGAGAGAATTCAAGGGTTTTTAATCATACATTACAAATGCTATCCAGACTGTTTTTACCCTACTACAATAGCATCCTCACATCCCTGTAAATTGATTTTGTTAGCCCTAAAAGACTCATGAGCAGGACTAGGCAGCACTATACACTGTGCTTCTTTATCTAATAGACCTCAAATAGTTTCCATTCCACCCCAGGCCATTTCAACCACACAATGTATTACTGGAGATTGGATCTAAAGGCACTGACCTTCATGTCAATTTTATTCTTATATTACAAAATAAATGTTAAAAGAGAGTATTTTGGCATCTAATACTGGAAGCTCATTAGAACTTTTCCTTGCTTGTATTTTATCTAGGTGCAAATAAGATGAGCATATCTTTCTCGATATTTTTAACATCAGGGGGTATTTGAGGAGAGATGGTTATGAGTCCCACAATTTCCTATGAAATTCCACCAAGCTTCAGGTGATCACACTATCAGTTTCCTCCTTTTGCATACCAATTTTAATCAGCCATCCCAGGACTTCCCTTCGATGTAATTAGACTCTGAATAGTTGCCTCTTTTATTATCTTGAAGTTTCATATGAGGAAGTGGAAGGAACAAAAAGTTATTGCCTGCCTCCCATGAGGGAGCTTGTTTCCATGGAGGTGAAGGGTTACAATCAGGAAGTATCCCACTACATCACATGCCAGGAAAGGAAGGCCTCTTTGTCCCTCTAGACCTGAGACTTTCTTCTCACATTGAGCAACACCAGGCAGCCCAGTCTGGCTAAACCCCTCTCACTTCCATCCCTTCAAGCAGTATGAACAGGGAGCAGTGGGAGCCTCGGTAGTCCCAGATAAACCAAAGGCCAAAATAAAAACCATAAAGACCCAAAAAAAGTATAAAATTAAACTGTTATTAGAACAGCAGCCCACAAAAGTAGGCTAAGATGTGCACGCTAAAGCTTAACAGCGTGACTGACTGCTAAAATAAAAGATTCAAATAGGAGCCAGAATCTCCTAACACAATAGATAACAGTTCCAGAATACAATAAAAACATCACCCATCATACTAAGAATTAGGAAAATAAAAATTTGAATGAAAAAAGACTATCAACTAATGCCAACACTGAGATAAAGCAGCTGTTGGAATTATCTGACATAAAACTTTAACACAGTCATCAAAAAACACTTCAACATCAATTATAGATTTTTCTTGAAATAAATAAAAACAGAAAACTCAGAAAAGAAATAGAACTTATAAAAAGAACCAGTGGAAACAAACAGAAAATATAGAACTGCTGGCTTGGTTCAATGTAAGACTGGAGATGACAGAGGATAAAATAAGTGAACTTGAGGACAATCAATAGAATTTACCAAATCTGAATAAAAGGCAGAAAAATAGACAAAATATATGTGAACAGAGCCTCAGGAGCCTGTGATATATAGCAGTCATATCATTAGAGTCCCATAAGAAGAGAGAAAAAGAATGGGACTGAAATAGTATTTAAAGAAATCATTACTGAAAACTCTCCAAACTTGACAAAAGACACAAACCTTCGATCTAAGGAGTCCTGTGAACCCCAAACAGAATAAACCCAAGCAAATCTACACTAAAGCACAAAATCATTAACTTCTGAAAATAGCCAGAGAGACAGCACATTATCTACAGGGGAATACCAATTCAGATGATTTCTTATCTGTAACCATGAAGGCCAGAGCACGTGGCACAATATTTTTCCAGTGCTGAAAGAAAGAAACTGTTAACTTTCTTCTTCAGGAATTAAGGGGTAATTTGCCAGGAACCTCACATCTCTCCTTTTGGCAACTAATGGTACAACTAGACAGAAAATAAGCAAGGCTACAGATGAACTTACATAGAACACTCTACCCAACAACAGCATAATGTACATTTTTTTAAATGTAACCATGGAAAATTTACCAAGATAAGTCATACCCTGACCAGAAAATAAACCTTAAGAAAATTTAAAGAATTTAAATCATACAGTGTGTTCTCTGACTATAATGAGTCTAGTTAGAAATCAATAACAGAAATACAACAGGAAAATGTCTAAATACATGGAAAGCAAACAACAAACCACCAAAAAGCCCATAAAAAGATGGAAGGAAGAAAATCATAAAGGGCAGAAGTCAATAAAATTTAAAAATTGGAGAACAATAGGGACAATCAATTAAACAAAAGCTGTTTCTTCCAAAAAAATTAACAAAATTGACAAACCTCTGCAAAACTGACAAGAATAAAACAAACACAAATCATCAATATCAGGAATTAAATAGGGGATATCATCACAGATTCTATAGCCATTGAAAGAATAATGAGGCCGGGCACGGTGGCTCACGCCTGTAATCCCAGCACTTTGGGAGGCTGAGACGGGCGGATCATGAGGTCAAGAGATAGAGACCATCCTGGCTAACATGGTGAAACCCCATCTCTACTAAAATTACAAAAAAATTAGCCGGGCGTGGTGGCAGGCGCCTGTAGTCGCAGCTACTCTGGAGGCTGAGGCAGGAGAATGGAGTGAACCTGCCATTGCACTCCAGCCTGGGCGACGAGCGAGACTCTGTCTCAAAAAAATAATAATAATAATAAAATAATGAGAAAGTATAACAGACAATTTTACATACATAAATTTGATAACGTAATGTAACAAATTCCTCAAAAGCCACAAACTACCTAAACTGACCCAAGGTGAAATAAATGTTATAAATATTCCTATAGCTATTAAAGAAATTTGATTCATATTTTGAAAGGACGCAAAAAGGAAATCTCTAGCTCTAGCTGGTTTTGTTGGTGAATTCAACCAAACATTTAAAGAAGAATTAACATCACTTTTGCAAATTTTACACTACTTATTTCAGAATTAGAAAAAGAAGGGACACTTTCTAATTTATTTTACCAAAACCAAAGGAAGTACAAAAAAAATTACCGGCCAGTATCTCTCAAGAATTTACATGACTCTTTCCCATCTTGCAAGATGGCAGATGAAAAAGCTGATAAACTGGATACTAAAGAGAAGAAACTCAAAGCCAAGAGGGCTGATGGTGACAGGGTGAAAAAGGGTGACATGACCTCAAAGCTAAAAAGCCCACGAAAGGGAAGCTTCATTGCAGCTGAAATCCTGTCCTTGTCTGAGGAACTGGCAGATGTTCCCAATCTGCTACATATTGCAGAAGGGCCATGCACAAGAGGAAGTACTTAGCCGCTAAATCCAAAGTTGAAAAAAAAAAAAAAAAATGAAGGAAAGGTGTGTGGTGACAAGCAGGGTGGTGCCCAGATAGTTAAACTTCGCAAAATCCCTAGATATTATTCTACTGGAGATGTGCCTCGAAAGCTGTTGAGCCACAGCCAAAAACCCTTCAGTCAGCACTTGAGAAAACTACGAGCCACAGTCACCCCCGGGGCCATTCTGATCATTCTCACTGAGTGCTACAGAGGCAAGAGGGTGGTTTTCCTGAAGCAGGTGGCTAGTGGCTTGTTAGTTGTGACTGGATCTCTGGCCCTCAATTGAGTTCCTCTACAAAGAACACACCAGAAATTTGTCATTGCCATCTCAACCAAAATTAATATCAGTAATGTAAAAATCCCAAAACATCTTACTGACATTTCAAGAAGAAGCGGCTATGGAAGCCCACACACCAGGAAGGTGAGATCTTCAACACAGAAAAAACAAATACAAGATTACAGGGCAGCACAAGATTGATCAGAAAACTGTGGACTCACTAATTTTCCCCAAAATCAAAGCTATTCCTCAGCTCCAGGACCACCTGCATCTGTGTTTGCACTGACAAATGGAATTTATCCTCACAAATTGGTGTTCTAAATTTCTTAAGAACCAAATTACATAATTGATAACAACAAAGAATTTACATGAAAAACCATCAACAAAAATATTAGTAAACCCAATTTAACAATATGCATAAAAAGAACTTTCCTGCATTACCAAATAACATTAATTCCAAGTATGTTAAGACTGATTAAACATTTGAATATCATTCAGTGTAATCCACTGAATGAAGAAACACCTGAGGCTGGGTAATTTATAAAGGAAAAAGGTTTAACTGACTCACAGTCCCGCAGGGTTGGGGAGGCCTCAGGAAACCTACAGTCAGTCATGGCAGAAGGGGAAGCAAACACATCCTTCTTCACACCGCAGCGGGAAAGAGAGGAGTGCCTCTTATAAAACGACCAGATCTCGTGAGAACTCACTCACTATCACAAGAACAGCATGGGGGTAATTGTCCCTATGATTCAATTACCTCACCCTGGTTCCTTCCCACAACACCTGGAGATAATGGAAACTACAATTTAAGATGATACTTAGGTGGAGACACAGTCAAACCATATCACAATCATGTCAATAAGCTAAAAAAAAACATATGAGCATTTTAAGTGGCCCACAAAAATAACAAAATCCAAAATTGATTCATGATTTATAAAAAAAGGAACGTTCAGCAAATGAGAGATAGAGAAGTACCACAGTTTGCTGAAGAGCAACTGTAAAAACCCTACAGTCAACATTTTACTTAATGGTTGAAGACTATAATACACTTTCTCTTTAAGATCAGGAAGAAGACAAGAATATCTACTCTCATTACTCTTATTGAACATATTACTGGAAACTTTAATTACTGCGATAGTGCAAGATAAAGAAATAAAAGGGATACAGCTTATAAAGTAAGAAACTGCTCCTAAAGTTGAACAATGTGGTACAATAAAAGATCAAGTCACAAAAATGAATCATGTATTTATACACTAATGATGAACATTCTGAAACGGAAATTAAAAACACAGTATCATTTATGATCACTCCAAAGAAAATGAAATACTTAGGTCTATACTTAACCAAAAATATACAGAATCCACATGCTATAATTTTTTTTTTTAGACGGAGTCTTGCTCTGTTGCCAGGTTGGAGTGCAGTGGCGCGATCTTGGCTCACTACAACCTTCGACTCCCTAGTTCAAGCGGTTCTCCTGCCCTAGCCTCCCGAGTAGCTGGGATTACAGGCACGCATCACAACGCTCAGCTAATTTTTGTATTTAGTGTAGAGACGGAGTTTCACCATGTTGGCTAGGACGGTCTCGATCTCCTGACCTCGTGATCTGCCTGCCTCGGCCCCCCAAAGTGCTGGGATTACAGGCATGAGCCACCGTGCCCGGCCTACATGCTATAAATTTTAAGATATTGACAAAAGAAATGAATGAATATCTAAGTAAATGGAGAAGCATACCTTGCATGAATTGGGTTGGAATTTTCTTCAAATTGGTTTATAGACTTAATGTAATTCCAAAGGACCTACAATAGCTTATGCAATTTTGACAAAGAAGGAAAGAAAGAAAAACAGAAGAAAAGAGAATAATGCAAGAGGAGTCAGTCTACTCAACATTAAGGCTTACTCTATAAACGTAACTATAATTTTATATATTTTTTATATATATATAATTTTATATATACATACATATAAAGATTTTTACAGTCCAGGAGTAGGCAATGAATTATTATTAGACTTGACACCAAAGGCCCAATCCATAAAGAAAAAAATGTATAAATTCAACCTCATTAAAATTAAAAACTTTTGCTCTGCAAAATACTATTAAGAGGATGAAAAAACAAACCAAAGCCTGAAAGAGAATATTTTCAAAACACATATCTGTCAAAAGACTAGTATCTAGACTAGATAAATTACTCCCAAAACTTAACAGTTAAAGAAACAAATAATCCAATTAGAAAATGGGCAAAATACAAAGAGATACATCACCCATGAAGATATAAAAATCCTTCAGTAATAAGCATATGAAAATATGTTCATATCATTAGACATTAGGAAAATATAAACTCAAACCACAATGTAATGTCACTAATCTTTTTTCTATTTTTAAAATGTTTCATCTTAAAAGGTTATATAGGCCGGGTTTGGTGGCTCATGCCTGTAATCCCAGCACTTTGGGAGGCTGGGGCAGGAGGATCATGAGGTCAAGAGATGGAGACTATCCTGGCTAACACGGTAAAACCACATCTCTACAAAAATACAAAAAATTAGCTGGGCATGGTGGTGGGCGCCTGTGGTCCCAGCTACTTGGGAGGCTGAGGCAGGAGAGAGAATTGCTTGAACCCAGGAGACGGAGCTTGCAGTGAGCCGAGATGGCGCCACTGCACTCCAGCCTGGGCAACAGAGCGAGACCCCATCTCAAAAAAAAAAAAAAAAAAAAAGTTATATACATGGTCCAAAGAAAATAATACAAAAATAAATAAATAAAATGTTATATAAATGGAGTAATATAATATGTAATCTTTTAAGATGGAGTTCTTTTTTAAATTCAATAATTCCCTGGAGATGTATCCAAGTTGGTATGTATCAATAGTTCCTTCCTTTTTGTTGCTAAGAAGTATTCAATAGTATGGATGTGCCATAGTTTGTTAAACATGGAAGAGAGATTAGTGGTCCGCAAGGGACAGAGATGGAAAACTTTTGTGGGGAGGGAGGTTGACGTGATTATAAAAGAGCAATAGGAAGAAACCTAGTGGTGATGGAAGTGTTCTTTCTCTTAGCTGTGGTGGATACATGAAACCACTATGTGATAAAATTGTACAGACTGAATACACACACAAACACCTACAGATGAGTATAAGCAAAAACAGGTAAATCTGTGTAAGACAGGTAGATTATATCAGTGCCAATATCTTGAATTTGATATTGTAATAGTGGCTTTGTAAATGTTATTGTTAGGGGGCGGTGGGTGGGGTGGTGGGTCCTTGCTCCCAGAGCTCCCAAGATGGTGGCAGGCCACTTCCAAAATGGCAGCGGGCTGCTTCCAATACGGTGGCAAGCCTTGTGTTCTCTGACCTGGGGTTCTTGGCCTCACGGATTCCAAGGAATGGAATCTTGGGCCATGTGGTGAGTGTTATAGCCCTGTTAGAAGCCGTGGGTCACGGAAGAGAACCGTGGAACCCAGTGACTAGGATTCAGCTTGATGAGGACGAACCTGAGCACTTAGCCGTGCAGGAACAATGGCAAGCCTTTAGCCCCATCGGGAGGGGCAATGGGCCCCTGGCTGGAATAGGAGCGCAGCAGACACCCTGCCAGATCTGGAGGGATGGAAGTCAGAGGCGGGTCTACGATGGCGGCAAACAGCAGTGGTGGGCGGAGTGAAAGCTCAGCTCCAGCCCTAACAAACACAGACCAAAAGAGAATGCAGTTGCAAGATTTAACAGAGTGAAGACAGAGCTCCCATACAAAGGGAGGAGACCCAAAGAGGGTAGCCGTTGCCGGCTCGAATGCCTGGGTTTATATCCCGATCATTGTCCCTCCCGCTGTGCTCTCAGGCAATAGATAATTGGCTATTTCTTTACCTCCTGTTTTTGCCTAATTAGCATTTTATTGAGCTCTCTTTACTATCTGATTGGTCGGGTGTGAGGTAAGTTGCAAGCCCAGTGTTTAAAGGTGGAAGCGGTCATCTTCCCAGCTAGGGTTAAGGATTCTTACTCGGCCTAGGAAATCCAGCAAGTCCTGTCTCTCATTATCATCTCTTTTATAAACACATATGAATCCATAATTGTCTTAATACAATTTTTCATTGAACAATGGACTAAAAATCAGGGAGTTTATTGTTTCTTATGACAGAACTTCCATAGGAATGTGGGCTTCAAAATAGGTTTGATCAAAGTTGGGATTCTGTTTTCTGGGAGTCCCCTGGCTCTATCCTCCTTAACATTTCAGCTTCTACCTCAAGCTAATTGCCCTTGGAGCAGCAAAATGGCTGTAGCAATTCCAGATTTCGTAAGCATATTCCATACTCTCCAGAGCAACTCTGATTTATACAATTGTGGTTAGGGGCATCTCTTGTATGGAAGGACTTAGCCCTGGGTTACTGCCTTTTACTGAACCATTTAATTTGCCAAGGATGGAGAAATTATTCTGATGAGTTTGTGCCAATCAGGTCCCACCTTATAGCTGGTATCAGTGCCAAGTAACCACATCACTATTGTCAAAGAATGCTGCAGGGTGGAGGACAATGCAACTCTTCACTTCACTAGTAAATCCATCTCTGGAAAGATACTTGCAGATAATAGTAAAATGCTACAAAGATTAATCAACAGGTGTTATGATAGATACTGACTGTGGGTAGCTTTTAGAGAGGATGGCCAAAAAAAGCATCTTGGAGAAGGTGATGTTGAAGCTGAGATCCAAATGAGAAGGAACTGGCCTTGTGAAGAGTTTGGGGAAGAACAATCTAGGCAGATCGATTATGGCCTAGTTGCTTATTTCATTGTTCACCTCAAAGTCTGTAACGTTAACAAGGTCAGGGACCATGCCCACTGACTCTCTGCTACACCTACCTGAGTCTTGCAATGATTTGGTACTTAATAAATATTGCTGATTAAAAAATGAAGAGGGGCTGGGCGCCATGGCTCACGCCTGTAATCCCAGCACTTTGGGAGGCTGAGGCGGGTGGATCGCCAGGTCAGGAGTTTGAGACCAGCCTGACCAACATGGTGAAACCCCGTCTCTACTAAAAATACAAAAATTAGCCTGGCATGGTGGCGCATGCCTGTAATCCCAGCTACACAGGAGGCTGAAGCAGGAGAATTGCTTGAACCCGGAGGTGGAGGTTGCAGTGAGTGGAGATCGTGCCACTGCACTCTAGCCTGGGGGATAGAGAGATTCTGTCTCAAAAAAAAAAAGAATGAGGAGGAAGGCAACTCCAGCACAAAAATAGCTTGATGAAATGAAATATTTTGTAATTGTCTCTGAAAGACTGGAAAGGAGAAACCCTGTTTTAGGCCGGCGGGATAGATGAACAAAGGCAAAGGCATAGCACGTTAGGAAACAGTGGGAAATCTAAAGTGAAACAAATGGGCTATCATGCTGGGTAAACAGGAAAGGAACTTAAATAAGTAAGATTGGTTTCAATTACGGAGGGTTTTAAAATCCAGATGTAACTTACCTCTGATGGCTTAGGCACTGGGGAATCGTTAGAAGTTCTTGAGCAATGAAGTAGAATTAAAAAAAAAAAAAGAATTTAAATGAGATTATTCTGGAAGCAAGGAGTAGGCTCATATATAAAATTAACAATTATGCTCTTCAGTGATAAATGTCATGTATATATGAAAACAAATACTGTTGAAAAGACACTAAATAACCAGATTATGTTATAATATTATTGAGTGGTTATTATGTGTTCAATATTATTCTAAATATTTTATATGTACTTATGTAATTCTCATGCAACTCTATGAGGTTAAGTATTATTTTTTTCTATTACAGATGGAAACTGAGGCACAGAGAGCTAAGGAAATTGTCCAAGTTCACCTCAGGTAATAAGATATGGAGCTGAGTGGCACTGTATTCTTTATCAACACTTGATCTTATCATTCCATAATCCTATGGAGATAACAGGATTTTAAAGTTTTTTAAAAAGAGTAGGAATAGACAACATGTGGACTCACCTACAAAATATTTCAAATTTTGGCTCAGCATTTCTAAGGAATAGTTGAAATCTTTTTATCAAATGTCACCTATCAGCTCTTGAACTATATTCACCAGACATTCAATTATCTTTTTAAAAAGGCATGAGAACTTTACTTTTCTGTATATATTTTCACTGTGTTCTTTTCATGAATTCCTTTTATGTAGGGCCTGAGTTAGTTATTAAATATTTTCTCCTGGAATCTTTTCTTTTTTCACATTTAAGTATTTTCACTAGCAATCTATAATACTTAATTTTGAGGGTGTTTTCTTACAATCTTTTCACTTCAATTTTATTAAACTCTTTTAAAATATCTGAACACTTCTGACTTATACTCTAAGTAGATAATTCTACTTGTAAATAAAATGTTTAAGTTAAGGAGAACACCCACAAAATATTGCATAAAAACATGTTCTTTAGAACACAGATACTTGCTTTAGAAATTCATTACTCTCTATAAGGTAAATAGTTAAATACTATTTATTTACTTAATTCAGGAGAAAGCACTCCTGTGGTATCGAAATTGGTTCTTCATCTCTCCTCACCAAAAACACTCATGCCTTTATTATTTTCTTTTTCTTTTTATTTTTTTGAGACGGAGTTTCACTCTTGTCTCCCATGCTGAAGTGCAATGGAGTGATCTCGGCTCACTGCAACCTCCGCCTCCCAGGTTCAAGCGATTTTCCTGCTTCAGCCTCCCGAGTAGCTGGGATTACAGTCCACCACCATGCCCAGCTAATTTCTGTATGTTTAGTAGAGACAGAGTTTCACCATGTTGGCCAGGCTGGTCTCGAACTCCTGACTTCAGGTCATCCGCCCACCTTGGCCTCCCAAAGTGCTGGGATTACAGGCATGAGCCACCGCACCCGGCAGCCTTTATTATTTTCAACTCTAGGTATTAGAAACATAGATTTCAGTTGAGTGCTATTTCAAAAATGTATTTTAAAGCATTTTAAAAGTTTTTCCCAAACATTTGATTTGCTATTTTAATCTAATTTTATACTTTTCAACTATGAAAGAGTAAATTATTCAGACAGACATTTTTTAATGTCTCCTTTCAGTCACTCTCTAATATGGCATGATCTAGCCATAATTTTCTTTGAGGAAGTTAATATTTAGGCACTAATTTTTATGTTCTATGAATGCGATATTGATTACATACTATAATGTTTAATCAGCTTTTCTAAGCAGAGATGCTCTTCATTTTTTCAAATTCTATAAGATCTTTTAGCTGTAATTAAAGAGTCAGCTATACTGGAAGCCATTGTACTTTGCTTTTTCCAGTATTATCGCATAATTATTGATTGCCAGACTACTTTTAATTCTCTCTTGTTGGTATACATCATTTTAAAATACGTATTGTATTTAAAAATCCCATAAATTACCATGTTGTATCCTTTAAATCTTTTTCCAAATTCTATTCTATACTTTTGTATCAATGTTTACCAAAAAAAATTGTACAGCAAATGTTTAGCCTATTAGCTATGTAATTAATGACTAAGCACATTAACATGGAGAAAAGCTTCACTTCTATTCTCCATTTTGTAAAGTTTTCCATGCCACAGTGGACTAATATCTATGAATCTAATTCTGCAGAAATGTTTTGGGCACTCATCCTAGAGAAACGAATCACTGAATAACCAGTGAAGATATTCTGAGATTTTTTTTTTTTTTTTTTTTTTGTTAATGAAAGAAATTTTTTTTTTTTTTTTTTGCTGGGAAGGCCTCAGGAAACTTATCATGGCAGAAGGAGAAGCAAACACGTCTTTCTTCACATGGAGGCAGGAAGAAGTGCCAAGCAAAAGGGGGAAAAGCCCCTTATAAAACCATCAGATCCCTGAGATAGTTTGCTCAGAATGATGGTTTCCAGCTTCAGCCTGTGTGGGGTGAGGGGAGGGGGGAGGGGTAGCATTAGGAGATATACCTAATGTAAATGACGAGTTAATGGGTGCAGCACACCAACATGGCACATGTATACATATGTAACAAACCTGCATGTTGTGCACATGTACCCTGGAACTTACAGTGTAATAAAAAAAAAATCAGATCTAGTGAGAGCTCACTCACTATCATTAGAATAGCATGAGGGTAAACACCCCCATGATTCAACTACCTCCCACTGGATCTTTCACGACATGCGGGGATTATGGAAACTACAATTCAAGATGAGATTTGGGTGGGGACACAGCCAAACCATATCAGTCCTATTGTACTCCTTTCTGCCCTTAGGTGGAGTACAGGTTGTCATTTTTTAATTATTATTATACTTTAAGTTCTGGGATACATGTGCAGAGCGTGCAGGTTTGTTACCTAGGTATACACGCGCCATGGTGGTTTGCTGCACCCATCAACCCGTCGTCTACATTAGATATTTCTCAGAACGCTATCCCTCCCCTAGCCCCCCACCTCCCAACAGGCTCCAATGTGTGATGTTCCCCTACCTGTGTCCATGTGTTGACTTACAGCCCCGGAGCATATGTGTATGTCAGCAAAATTACATGCTTTCTCAAAAGATAAATTAACCTGCATGGCTAACAATTCATTTAAGGAAACTCAAGCAAATCCTGTTTAGATATTTACTCTTTTTACATATCTTTGCTTTAGCTCATTGATTCATGAGACTGAACAAATTAAAATAGAAATAGGGACACATTAAGCCTCTCTTATTCAATTACTCCACATATATTTAACCTTAATTATATTGGTTTGCCTTTCTCCTGTGGCTGTTAAATATTATAGTATGCAAAACTATTCCTGGTACTATTGACAAATATGTCAAGCCTTGTGTTCATCAAATCTAAGTGTTCTGCATTTTGTCATGTGCAGTCAGTTGTAGGCACTGAGGTCAATTTCATAAAATTCTGTGAGAGTCAAAGGACAAGGGCAAGAATCTCAAACAGAGGAAACTCAGTTGTTGTGTCCTGCCTATTTGTAGCCAGTTTTCGTGATCAAAAGAAACAGACATTCATTCAAATTAGTCCAAGAGAAATGGAATTTATTATGAAGAGGATATATCCATCTAAATTCAATCAGGAAAAAGAAATCATAGTAATTTGAACAGGAACTTTTTAATGTAAAGAATTATTAAATATGGCAGGGAAGTAAATATAAGGATGTAAAGAGAACTCTGCTGGTTAGCCTAGGGCTCAGGGAAATGATGCAATGAAGGACAAGGTTGAAGTGGGGATTCCAAGGTGGGGTTCAGGTCTTGTTGGAGAAGGTGTAGTTGCAACCTCCAGAGAAGTTTCCTAGGACACTCAGATCAGAGCTGGTCCATGGTCGCTGGGCAAGCAGGAAATGAGGTGGCAGAGAGCCACAGTTCATAAGTGAATGTATAAAGAGGGAGTGAGGATGGGGCTTTTGCATGAGAATTAGAACATGTGGTCTTCAGGTAGAGAGGGTCATGGGAAGCAGCCTTTCTAGGCAGGCAGCTGAGGTGAGACTTTGGCAGGTGTACAGAATTAGAAGAATCCTTCATCCTCTCTCAATGTCTCTCCTGCATCCTCTACTGACAGTACTTAACATGTGTTCACTGTAACAGAGAAATGTTTGGAGATCAATCCATTATTGCAGTGCAGGTACTACAGGGTGAATTTAAAGCTGAGGGACAATAAAGTGACAATTATTGCACAGATGAGAATGGAATAACTGACACTAAAAAATCATAAGGAATGAAGTCTGTACTTAGAAACCAGTTTTTTTGTTTGTTTTGTTTCTCTCTCTGGACTGAAAATTTTTTCTCAATATAATTCTCAGTCTACCCTTCTGGCCCCATTGTTGGCTTCCTTCTATATTATTTTATTTTATTATTTTATTTTATTTTTTGAAATGGAGTTTCACTCTTGTCACCCAGGCTGGAGTGAAGTGGCGCCATCTTGGCTCACCGCAACCTTCAACTCCTGGGTTCAAGCGATTCTCCTGCTTCAGCCTCCCAAGTAGCTGGGATTACAGGCATGTACCACCACGCCCAGCTAATTTTGTATTTTTAGTAGAGACAGGGTTTCTCCATGTTGGTCAGGCTGGTCTCGAACTCCCAAACTTAGGTGATCCACCCACCTCAGCCTCCCAAAGTGCTGGGATTACAGATGTGAGCCACCGCACCTAGGCTCTATATAATTTTACCTTGTACATGACCATCATGACCTCTCTAACTCTTCTCTGTATGAGACATTTCAGTTCAACTTCCATTTCTAAATGACGCTTTCTATCAGTAGTTAATATCCTAAGTCATTTCTAAATGACGCTTTCTATCAGTAGTTAATATCCTAAGTTCTTGAAAGAGAGTCTTTTTAACAAACTTTATTGTTTTGTGCCAGCCTCATTAAGCATATACATGAACTGTTCTGGGGCCCATTCCTAGTCTAATTGGTTCTGTACCTGGAGCTGAGTCACATAATAAAAAACATGCTCCCAGGAAACCCTCTACAGCAGGAGTCATAGATGGATAGTTCCTTATTGCAAGAGGCCATGGCCTGAGAGAGTGATTGGAGTATATATATATATTTAATACATATTAAATATATATTATATTATATTATATTATATTATATTATATTATATTATATTATATTATATTTGGTTTCCCATTCCAAAAATCCTGAGACAGGATTCTGAACAACCAGACTTAAGTCCAAGACCCACCTTTGGATTGAGAAACTATGAGAAGAGGCACAGACACTCTGCCAAACTTCTCCTGCCTCCCCTATTACCATATGCATGAGAGTAGGAGGTAATTTTCAAAAGAAGGAATCACAGGTCATCGATTTCTTAGGTGCTCTGCATAATCATGTGGAGGGAAATCAAATGTCTAGAAAAATTACACATATGCTTCCCATTCTCATATCTTATCACTTGATTAAAAAAAATTTGGTTGTCTTAGGTAAAAATACTTCCCGAAAACCTCTGATAATTACCCTCCTCAGTGTATCACTTCTTTTCTGCCATCTCCTTCTACCCACAAAAGAATTAAGTAGTCCAAAAAAATCCTGTGAAATGAAATTAATTGGAGAAAGCCTACTCAAACTACCATACAACCTGAATATTTGACTGTTTTTAAAAGATATTTTTTTACATTCAACAAGCATAACCAAAAAACAGATATTTTACCTTACTGGGTAGAAAATAATTTAAAATTAGTTTGGCAAAATACCAATATGAGCTGAACAGTACCTGTCAAAGACTAAAATTATGTGGTTTATAGTGAAGATGTAATTTAGATTCATGGAAAATTCATCAAAAGTTGAAAGCTTCTGCTTTTCTTAAGAGAATATTTTCCTCTGTAACATAATGCATAATGTTCACTTGTTTGGCAAGTCCTTTTGTTTCCCTTGGAGAATAAAAAGAAAATTCTACCCAACCGTACATGTCCAACATATCACAAATTCTGAAACAGAACTTCATTAGCAACTGTAGAATAACCTTAACCATGGCTTCTCAGTATAGACTGTATAGTGATATAAGCTTGGGTGCCACATGAAAAAATAATAAACAACATGGCAAAAACTACCTCAGCTATGTCAATTTCACATATAAAGAAGAAGAAATGTCTCAGACAAGTATTGTGTTCTATATACATTAATTGACATAGCCATCTATTAAGCAAAATAACATTCATGGCCTGATGAAATTACTGAAGATTAAATATTTCAAGATTTATCATTATCTTGATGATGATTACCATAATGATAAATTTTAATCATTATCATATCATTTCATTAAAAAGGAAAAAGGCCTCAAACCTAAATCTCATGACTGTTTAATATAATGATAAAGTTAAAAGTCAACTCAGTGGAGTTCACAAGGTGCAATGTAGGCTGAGTGAGTGAATAAGTTGGGCAGGGAGGAGAGACAATCATCTTTAAAAGCTATTGATAATTTCTCAAAAATCGACTTAGAAAGTAGAAATAAGATACTTATTGCCTAAAGGATCCTTACTTCTAGACTAGTCTGGAGGCTCAAATCCTTCCAAATGGATACAACTTTGTCCATCTGGATTTCTTGATATGACAATGCTGCCAGGGAAAGTCTTCATTTATATTTGAAGTTGTGTTTATTATACTTAATTTTTAAGTACGTGCAAATAAATAGCTATTGAGTCATAGTTTAAAATAGTTTAAAATACAAAATAAATGATAAACTTTATAACTTTATATATAACTGATATATTATTATTTTGGAGCAGATTTAATTTTTTAAACTAAGGAGCCTAATTTGAAAGAGGTGTTATACTTAGTATATTATTTTGAATGGGCCTAACAATTTTTAAATTCTGCAAGGACATGATATTATTTATTTTCTTTTTGCAAGAAAGATTTGTTTCCTCTATTATACAAAATAAAAGTTTTAAAACTGAAAAAATACAGGTACATAAATATTTATACATATCTTTCTACCATAAGTTTAAGAAACCGTCCTACCCTCATAAGATTCCTGTTCCGTCCATATGGTTGGAGTAAGGTGGACATAAAGGTATTCAGTCTTTGTGGCTGGGGTGAAGTGGACACCATGCAATTTAGTTCACAGGGTTGAGATTCGGTGGAAGCAGTGCCATTCAGGCTATGCAGTTGCAGGGAAGTGGATACCTGCTCTCTGTGCTTCCTGGGGAGACTCGTGAGTCAGGCCTAGTCAGAGTATTCTGTTCAGCCAGTTACAGCAAATGACTGAAGGCTGCATATGGGACACAGCTAAGTCACTTGAAGTCTTACTTAGACCTTCTTAAAAGTGATTAGGAGCAAAGCTCAATCTTTATGCCATTGCCATCATAGTAGGATCTGAGTTTGAGCTGCTGATTGCCATCTTTTTTTCTGTGTAGGGAGGGCCTGAATAAGAAAGAAGTCAATATAAAGAAAGAACTAATAAGTAAAGTAAGAGAGTCATTTTGAACTCATTTCAGTCCATAGAACCAACGATACCTGAAATGTCTATTAGACTTTTATTTTATTCTAAATAGAAATAAATTACTGTCTGTTTCTTAAGCTATTTCCATTTGAACTTCGATCACATGCAACCAGAGTGTTATCAAGTACAACAACAATTATCAACTAAGATGATCAAAACTTAGACTTCCTTAAAGCCTATTCAGTGTGCTGTATTGAATTGTTTAACGCATGCCTAAAAGTAACTTAGGGGGAATGGAAATATTTTTCCACTGTGTGAACTTCACGATACATTCACACTCACAACAAATATTTATTGGATGCCTACTATGTTGCTGACTTTGTGTTATTATTGGAGACATAACAATTAGCATAATTTTTTTTTTTGAGATGGAGTCTCACTCTGTCGCCCAGGCTAGAGTGCAGTGGTGTGATCTCGGCTCACTGCAAACTCCGCCTCCTGGGTTCAACTGATTCACCTGCCTCAGCCTCCCAAGTAGCTGGGATTATAGGCGCCCACCACCGCGCCCAGCTAATTTTGCATTTTTAGTAGAGATGGGGTTTCACCATGTTGGCCGGGCTGGTCTCGAATTCCTGACCTCATGACCCACCCGCCTTGGCCTCCCAAAGTGCTGGGATTACAGGTGTGAGCCACTGCGCCCGGCCAGCATAATTTTCTAATCTTACTTTGCAAAGTCATCATAGCAACCTTGTGTGCTACCAGATGCTCTTCAGGAAGATTATTCCTCAACCACCAAAGGTTTTAGTCACTGAAGTCCCAGACCTCAGTCCCTCACCAGGAACTACTTTGGTCTAAGGAGGTTGCCTGTTTAAAGTTATAGCCCATACAATTTTTATAAGAAAATATAATTTTTGCAAACGAAGTATTAATAAAAAGGATTTTTAACAAGACCCCAAAATCACAAACACTAAAGTAATTTATTCTTTTGATTGCATTAAAACTAAGAATTTGTCTTTATCGAGTAAGACCATAAAAGAAAAACAGGAGCTACAAGTCAGATGAAAATATTTCAAACCATGTAAATAATAAAGGATTACTATTGACAACATTAACACCTGCATATTAAGGCTTTTTAAAAATCAAGCCATAAAGAAGCCAAACATAGAACGTCAGTCGTTTTACAGAAGTGAGAGAGTTAAATGACCATCATACGAAAAAGTGTTCAACCTCACTAGTGCTCAGAAAAAATACGTTTTAAAACCAAGACTTGATATTGTTTTACTAACTACATGGGCGACATTTAATAAGTCTGAAAATTCTTAATTTGATAAGGATGTGCTGTAATTAGAATTCTAATGAACTGCTAGTAAAAATGTTAATTGGTATAAGTACTTTGGGAAACAATTTGGCATTACGTTGCAAAGTTGAACATGGCAGTAATCTGTGACCTAGCAATTCCAATCCTTGGTTCACCCTGTAGAAACTTTTGTACAAATTATAGGAGACATATTGTTCATAAAATTTTTTCATAGTGGAAAAAGCTAGAAACAAACAAAATAACCTGTTTACAAACAGAACAGGTAAGTAGACAATGATAGTCACTCTTTGAAAGATTATACAGCCATAGAAATTAACTATAGCTACACAAAACAATTTAGATGAACTTTAGAAGCATTATGTTGAATGAAAAAAAGAAAATCACAGTATATGATATTTTTCTAAAGCTTAAAACAAGCAAAACTAAACAACATATTGTTTAAGAACACATACATGTGTGGTAAAACTTTTTTTAAAAAAAGAAGAAAAGAGAGCAAGGGAATAATAAATGTAAAAGTCAGGATAGAGCTGTGAAAAGAAAAATCTTAGACAAAACAAATTTAACAGACTTTAATTGAGCAATGAACAATTTGCGAATGGGTCAGCCCCTCAACCAGAATAGGTTCAGAGAGACTCCCATGTAGCCACATTATGGACAGAAAAAGGAAAGTGACGTACAAAAAGCAGAAGTGAGGTACGGAAGCAGTCAGATTGGTTACAGCTCCACGTTTGCTTTATTTGAACCCAGTTTGAACAGTTGGCTGTCTTTGATAGGTCAAAACTTGGTGATTGGCATAAGAATTAGCCACAGTCTGTTTCTTCATCCAGTTAGGTTAGTTTACTATGTTCAGAGAAACATTTTGGCTATACTTAAAATATGTGAGGCAGCTCTAGGTGAAATTTACATTAACAGTGCTAGCTAATGTTTGATACAATGGTACAACGTTTGGATAGTGGAGGGAAAAACAGGTAGATTTATCAGCATTGATAAATTCTAGTGTTTGAGTTGGGATTTGGGATTCAGAGTATTTGTTTTATTATTATACTTCATATCTTACATGTAAGTTATATGTTTACTATTTTGTGAGTGTTAAAATTATATATTCTTTTAAAAGAGAATTGTCCACATAACTTGAATACTAATTCAAACAAACTAACAAAAAAATTATAAAAATATCAGGGGAATTTGAAGTCTGGCCAAACATTAAATGACATTAAGGAATAATGTCAATTTTTAAGATGTGTATGATATTATGTGGTTTTTTTTTTTTAGAGTTCTCTTTTAGAGGCACATATAAAATATTTACAGATTAAATGATATAATGACTGGAATTCACTTCAAGGTAATATGGAGATTGACATGAAGTAGGTGGGGCAATGGTGAAACAACACTCGGCATGTGTTGATCATTGTTGAAGTGGATATTAGAAACACAAAGATTGGCCGGGTGGAGTGGCTCACGCCTGTAATCCCAGCACTTTGGGAGGCCGAGGCGGGTGGATCACGAGGTCAGGAGATCGAGACCATCCTGGCTAACATGGTGAAACCCCGTCTCTACTAAAAAATACAAAAAATTAGCTGGGCGTGGTGGCACGCGCCTATAATCCCAGCTACTCGGGAGGCTGAGGCAGGAGAATGGCGTGAACCCAGGAGGCGGAGCTTGCAGTGAGCCAAGATTGCACCACTGCACTCCAGCTTGGGTGACAGAGCGAGACTCCGTCTCAAAAAAAAAAAAAAAAGCCACACGCAAAGACTTATTTATTGTTCTCTCTACTTTGGATTTTGTTTGAAATGTTGTTAATGATGAGAGCATCAAAGAAAACCAAATTCTTTCCAAATAAAATTTTTATTAAATGACTCTTAATTTTTGACCATTATACTATATTTAAAAATGTCACAGAGCACAGTGGCTTGCACCTGTAGCTCAAGCTACTCAGTTGGCTGAGGGAAGATTGTTTGAGGCCAGGAGTTCAAGACCAGGCTGAGCTAGATAGCCAAACCCTGTCTCTAAAAAATAACTTTAAAAAAAAATTAGCTTGAACCCAAGAGTTCGGGGCTGCAGTGAATTATGATAATGCCACTGTACGCTGGCCTGGGAGACACAGTGAGAGCCCATCTCTTTAAAAAAATTAACTCACCTCTAAGAAAAGGCAGTATCAGTTTCCTCTTCTCTTCCCTTTTTATCAATAATATTATCCTATTCTTAATCAGTTCAACTTAAAACTGTGAAAATCATCTATTTTATGTCAATACTTAAGGTCATCAAAGCCTACTACACGTCTTCCATCAAAATGCCTTTTGCTTATCTCACCTTATTTTCTCAATGGCCTGCCCCACTCATAACCAACACAGTAACCTCTAGTGACTCTCATCACTTACTTAAAAAGTCCAGACTTCCTTGGCTGCCTCTCCTGGCCACCTGCAACTGATCATCTTTGCCTTTCGGTTTCTTTTACACTCTCTTTTTCACACTACTCTATCCACAAAGATCCCACATGCATTAGCCCTTCTACTTTCATGTTCACACTCATCTGGCTACCTTCAATAAGAAGCTAAACAATTGTTCCTTTCTAATCCAACATATATTCACCCGTCAAGGCCCCTTTTCTTTCTTTTTTTTTTTTTTCGGTGGGGGGAAGTTGATTATTTTTATTTCTCTCTTCCCACAACAAGTAAAAAAAAAAAAAAAGAAATTACAATCAATGCAAGTACAAGGATTCAATTTTTTAAAATCATTGGTACAAAGATGGCCACGGCTCCTGCCCTGGTTTAACCCACATATTTAAAGAATGTGTCGGGGCAGGCATGGCCACAGAGATAGTACTACAAAATATACAAAGTGTTTTTTTTCCCCTCACATTTCATAGCACCCTGCCTCAGTTCCAAATGAGAGCACTAGAAACACAAATCACTGAGACCATTTACTGTATAACTTATGAAAAATGCTGTACAGGTGTGTGACGATAAACATAGAGTAAAAATGGCTCTGTTCGGGAATTGGTATCTACAAGGGGGAAGGTCAGGGGAGGGCTGTCTGATATTTTGACCTGCTGGGATGATGGGGAAGCTGGGATAAGGGAAGACCTGGTCTTGCAGCGTGGCTGCACCCCACTCTCCCTTTCCTAGATAAGGCTGAAGCTCACTGACCAGGGAGAACTGGGATGGCTGAGCATGATGGGGGCAGTGGTGTAATAAGACAAGGGGCTGTGAAAGGCATGGAGAAGGCATCTAGGGTGAAAAGGAGCACACCCCTTTAATCCACGATCCATGATCCATGAGCACTTGATTGTACTCAATGATCCCAGTTCACTGGGCAGTCCAGTCAGGTCCAGGCTGCCTCTCCCTGAGAAAAGTTTGGAGCTTTATAGGCATGGAGAGGGGGCAGAAAATCAAAGCCCATCTACAAGAAAATGGAAAAGTGCTTGGAAAAAGATTCCAGTGGGTGGGTGGATGGAAAGAAGGAAGTTAACCCAGGAAATCATCTTGAACAGAAAGTGAGGAGGAGGCAGAGAGGTGGAGAACTATTCCATGCACAGATGCTCTCTGGAAATCAAGGTGACGACATACAGGCTACGCAGCCTAGAGAACTTGCACGTTTTATTTCAAAAGATCCAGCAGAGAGGGTTTTCTATGTGACCAAGAGAGTAGCAGTAGACTTTAGCCATAATGCTCTTTAATTTGATTTCAAAATTAGCTAAATTAAGAACCTGGGGCCCTTTCGGCAGATAAACCATCTCCCCTGAATACTACGCTACCCATTCCCTACACTCCTCCTCCATCTGCAAAGGCCTCTTTTCTTCAGCAAAACCTTCCCTAACCCATCTAGCCTTCAGTGACCTCCCTTTGAAACAGCCGAGTATGAAGAGGTCCCCGGAGAGCCTGTGACCGGCCTGCACACTGGGAGGAGTGGACACTGGGATGGAGCCTGGGGAAGTTCATGTGTTTGCAGGGGTGGGTAGCGGATCCCTCATCTTCCTGGGTCGAATCTGGGATTCAGTCTGCCAGGCGAGAAGCCTATACTAGCAGGACTCTCACTCTGCTGAGTCCCTGTTTCCCCTTTTTTTCCCTTTTCACCCAGTAAGTTTTATTTTTCTCACCCTTTAAAGTGTCTGCGAGCCTAATATTTCATGGCCGTGTGACAAGAACCCATCTCTTAGCTGAACTAAGGAGAAAGGCCTACAACACCTTCTTGCTGAAATACTTTCTTCTTTTGGCATTTATAATACCATGTCCACCTGAATTTCCTTCAGATTCACTGATCTCTCCTGTTTGGTATTCTTTTCTGACTTGTCTTTTACTCGACTTCAAAAGGTTTATATTCCCTGGACTCCCCTCTGCCCCATTTCTCTTTATCATTTGTTTGTTTGTTTTTGAGATGGAGTCTCACTCTGTCGCCCAGGCTGGAGTGCAGTGGCGCAATCTCGGGTCACTACAGCCTCTGTCTCCTGGGTTCCAGCTATTCTCCTGCCTAAACTACTGGGTAGCTGGGATTACATGCACGTGCCACCATTCCCAGCTAAATTTTTTTTTGTATTTTAGTAAAGACAGGGTTTCACCATGTTGGCCAGGCTGGTCTCGAACTCCTGACCTCAGGTGATCTGCCCTCCTGACCTCGGCCTCCCAAGGTGCTGGGATTACAGGAGTGAGCCACCACACCCTGAGCCACCACGCCTGGCACCCATTTCCGTTTCTCTTATCTGTAAAGAAACCTCAGTTAGTCCCATGTTTATTATATAAACACCAGTGACTCCAAAATCCTTATCTCCAGCTCACATCTCTCCCTCTAGAAGTCCAGAAAGCAGAACTATTGATTATTCTCTCAATATCAGTCAGTTTGTTGAGGAGAATATTAACCATGCTAAGCATTTTATAGAAGAAATGACTTAACTCAGAGAACTAGAGAATTATTCAGTATTCCTCCCTTATCCATGGTTTCACATTCCTAAGTTCAGTTACCTGATGTTTAACCACAGTCCAAAAATATTACATGCAGTAAGATATTTTGAGAGAGACCACATTCACATAATTTTATTAGAGTATATTGTTATCATTGTTTTATTTTATCTATTTTGTTATCATTGTTAGTCTCTTATTGTGCCTAATTTGTAAATTAAAATTTATCTTAGGTATGTATATATAGAAAAAAAAAACATAATATGTACAGGATTTGGTACTATCCACAGTTTCAGGCATCCACTGGAAGCTGTGGAGCATATCCCCTGTGTATAACGGGGGGACTGTTGTACAACCATTGGCAAGACTGGGGAAGCCACAGCAAGAGACAGGAAATCAGGATATTCAGAAAACACAGAAACCACTGTTAATAGTCTCAGCTACTTGCAGCACTCAGGGAAGTGATTATCAGGAGGACATCTTAAAGCCACTGGGGAAAATTCCATACCTGCCATCTCCAATGCCCATATAGCTGCCTGCAGCTCCCACTGAAGATCAATGGCTTCTTCTTCTTGTTCACCTTCCAAGTCTCACACACGAGTTTCTCACTGGCAAAACCTAAACCAGTAACTGCTAGTAAGTGAGTCTAAGAAAGGTAGATTCCAGGCTTTCTGTCACTGCAATACAGAGGACAATTTAAGAGTAAAATTTCTGAGAATCAATAAGCAATATCTAGACACAACCAAACTTCATACTTTTCAGTCTTTCTAACTCAATAAATAATATTACAATACATTCAGTTCTTCAAACCAATTATTTTGAGTTCAGGGATACATGTGCAAGATGTGCTGGTTTGTTACTTAGGTAAACATACGCCTTGGTGATTTGCTGCACAGATCATCCCATCATCCAGGTATTCAGCCCAGCATCCACCAACTATTCTTCCTGATCCTCTCTCTCTTCACACGCCCCACCCTCAAACAAGCCCCAGTGTGTGTTTTTCCCTACTATGTGTCCATGTCCTTTTTTTAACATATAACTCACATACAGCACATCAGGCAAGTCCTATCAACTCAACTTCTAAAACAATCCTAGGTCCTTTCCTTTTGCTATCTCCACTAACACCTCCTAGTCTAGGCCACTCTCTTTTCTCACTTGGATGGTTACAGCTTGAAGATTCTCACTTCAGAGTGTCTCTTTGGTCTCATGGCATATTACTCACCACCTCAACCAGTATGCCCCAACCAAAATTTTATCAATTATCTTCGAACTTACCAAATGTATTCCACTGGCCTGCAATGTTATCCCCTCAACACTCACCTGGCTGATAACATTTTATCATGCACATCTCAGCTTAATACTCATCTCAGAGGGATGTTCTTTCCTACTCTAAAATAGTACCTGATACCTTAATTCTCTACATAACATTTATTGCTTTCAGAATTTCTTTTAATTTACTAGTTTATTGTCCATCTTGTCCTTCAGCATTAAGTGTCACAAACAAGGAACTTGTTTGTTTGCAACCATGATATAGTGCCTAGAACAGTATATGGAGATTAAAAATGCTTACTTAATGTGCTCAGCGACTGACCAATCAAGCATGTGTTGTCATAAGTGTGAGCTTTCTAGAATAATTGTGATATTTTTTATACATTTAGGTCTTACTGAACACAACAGTCTTGATGTCATAATTTTCCTATGACTCTTTCTAAGTACCATGCCCTGTTTATAGCCTCTACTAAACAAGTAGTCCTCAGGAAACCATTCTGTGCTATAGGACAGTACTGCCATGGTCGTAGACGGTGTCCTAGGAGTTTGTCTGAAGACAGTCAGTTCTTAGTCTGGTCAATTACCTAAATTGTAAACATATTTGCGAAGGAAGATACTATCTCTTATAATCTTCATATAGTAGACAGAGAAAAGCAAACAGTAGTGGAAACTGAAGCCAAAAGTTTATGATGAACAGAGACAGGAGTGTGGTTGTGTGGGGTACAGGGCAGACAAGAGTTACATTTAAGCAGAAAGTATATGCAAATAGAAACTAGGCAAAACAGAAAGTATGTTCTGTATATATTATATAACTGAATGGGAGAAGGAAGAGCAAGACCTCACTGGAGTTGCTAAACTGAGTTCATGGTTCAGTATGAGAGTAAGGACCCACGAATGCTTACACTCGACTGCCTTGAATTGACTTGGAACTATCACGGAGTAAACCTCAAAATTCCTGGCTTCCTGGGCATGTGTACTCACAATCACTTCCCCAAAGTGTGGAGAAGCTTGGCTGAGTTTCCCTCTTCATACTAAAATACACCTAACTAGATAGTTCACTGCTCTAATTTTTACATTTGTGTCTTATCGTTTTATCTTTTATTCAGTAAATATTTATTCAGCATCTGCTATGCATTAGGCACTGTTCTAGGTTTTAGGGTAAGATGTTGAATGAAAAAAGATCAAAAAACCCTAGTCTGCTGAAAATTACATCATAGAAAGAGAGATAAACAATAAAGAAAATAAATAAGTTAAATATAGTTTACAGGATAGTGATAATGCTAAGAAAAAGAAAGTAAGACAAAGAAAGGGGGTATAGTATACTGAAGAAAAAAGGAGGGATGACTTTTAGATAAGGTGGCCATGGAAGGACTCGGCCAGAAGGTTACTTTTGAGTAAAAGTTTGAGGAAAATAAGAGCACTACTATGAACACACTTGAAAAATTCTATGCAGAGGGAAGAACAAAAGAGGCCTTGTGTTGGCAAAGTGCCAAGTGTGTTCAAAGAACAGCAGAATAAGCACAGGTAAGAATGAAGTTTGGCATTTTCTTCTGAGACTTTCTCCTTTCACTGTGGAATAGAAAGTGAAGTCATCAGCTGAGAGTGAGGATGGGGAAGGAGGCATTAGGTTTCTCTGTAAGTTCCCGGTTATAATGTCTTTCACTTAGTAGGTACAACACTTAATATTCGTTGACTGTGTAACTGACCAAAAAGAAAGAAAGAAAGGCAGTAGCTATGCAGTAGAGGCCCAACACTAGTCACTACTGTGTTGAGTAGGTTGATTACTTACAGTCTTTAAGATACAGTTTTTTGGCCAGGCGCACTGGCTCACGCCTATAATCCCAGCATTTTGGGAAGCCAAGGTGGGTGGATCACCTGAGGTCAGGAGTTCAAAACCAGCCTGGCCAACATGGTGAAACCACATCTCTACTAAAAAATACAAAAATTACCTGGGTGCAGTGGCGTGCACATGTAATCCCAGCTGCTCGGGAGGCTGAGGCAGGAGAATCATTGAACCTGGGAGGTGAAGGTTGCAGTGAGCCAAGATTGTGCCACTGCACTCCAGCCTGGGTGACAGAGTGTGACTCCATCTCAAAAAAAAAAAAAAAAAAAAAAGAAGATACAGTTTTTCTCATTAGTAAAATTAGGCTCATAATAGCTACTTTATATTAGTCCATTCTCACATTGCTATAAAGAACTACCTAAGACTGGGTAATTTAGAAAGAAATGAGGTTTAGTTGACTCACAGTTCCACATGGCTGGGGAGGCCTCAGGAAACTTAAAACAATGGCAAAAGGCAAAGGGGAAGCAAGGCTTGTCTTACATGGCGGCAGGAGAGAGAGAGAGAGCAAAAGGGGAAGTCCCACATCCTTTTAAACAACCATATCTCGTGAGAACTCACTATCACAAAAATAGCAAAGGGGAAGTTAGTCCCCATGATCCAATCACCTCCCACCAGATCCCTCCTCTGACACGTGGGTATTACAATTCTAGATTTGGGTGAGGACACAGAGCCAAACCATATCATACTTAGCGTAGGGTAAAAAGTACTATTGACTGCATTTGTGGCAAAGTAATTAGAAAATGATGACTCTTGAGTGCTTAGTTCTTTTGTTTTAAATATAATTTATGTAATTAGAAGTTTATATAATTTAATTTTTAATATTATTAAAATTATTAACTTTAATAAATGTTATTAAAATTATTGTTACTTTTAATAAAATTTAACAATCAGCTTTCAGTAAAGATAAATTGGCTCCAAGACATCACTATACCTACCCTTGCCCTCTAGTAAGGGTTGGATAAAATAATAAGGGAGAGCTTAGGCTGGGCACAGTGGCTCACGTCTGTAGTCCCAGCTCTTTGGGAGGCTGAGGTAGGCAGACCAAGAGGTCAGGAGTTGGAGACCAGCCTGACCAATATGGTGAAACCCCGTCTCTACAAAAAATACAAAAATTAGCCAGGCGTGGTGGCGTGCACCTGTAATCCCAGCTACTCAGGAGGCTGAGGCAGGAGAATTGCTTGAACCTGGGAGGCGGAAGTTGCAGTGAGCCAAGATCACACCACTACACTCTAGCCTGGGTGACAGAGTGAGAATCCATCTCAATAATAATAATAATAAAAGAATAATAATAATAATAATAGCTTAAATTTGTTCAAAACCTGTATAAAGTGTTATTTTGAGATGTTATAGCAGAAACAAGAAAAGCAAAAGATAGAGTACCGCCTTATGTTCGTTGGAATTTATCATGTATCTTCAAACAGAATAATTAAAAATTAATGAACAAGTTAAATTTCTCACTTAACTTAGGTGAGATAGAAAAAAAGCTTTCTTACCACAAATATGGAAGAAGATTTTAACCTTTTCTTACTCAATGTCTAAAGAGTTGATCAATTTACTCTTTTTTGTTTTATTATTTTACTGTTTAGACATGCATCTCTCTATACATAGAAGGGCCAACTATACAACTTCTAAGAGATTTCTTTAAGTTATGAGCTAGTTATCTTTGGAATTTTGAGTACCATTTGATATTAAGAATCCTTTCCATCTGGTAATAAGAGGCACAAATGGTGAAGAAGCTTAAGTAACACCTTTTCACAGTGCATAGACAGTGAGCTATGTATTAATTCTGGTGAACTCTCTGCATATTTTATTGTAAGCTTGCGGATTGTATGTTGTTTATCAAAGTGCAGAAATAAATATAAACCAGATAGTTATTAATACATGTGGCTTTAGTTTCATAATATCTAAATATATTTACCTTTTTTTGAAAGGCATATTTATTTTTAGTTTAACCTTTCATAAAATGCACCTTCAAAAAATCTCTAAGTAGAGATTAAAAGGTATCATAATATCTACCTTAGTATATATATTGTGATTAGAGAGAAATGGTATCTACCACACTGTAACCTTTTCAAGCAAAATTAAAGGGAACTTTTAAAATATTTCATTATCCCTCTTCTATTCCTCATTCCTTCACCCCACCCAGTAAGTCTAAGAAAGATAAATACAGAGGAAAAACTTGGAACACCTTAAGACACATTCATGTATAAATCATAACTAATATGCAAATGATGTAATAGAAACAGAGTATGGCTTTTCTAAAGTAAATAATATGTATTTACTCTATTTTTAAGCCCACTAGTTTTTAAAAATAGGTTAGTGATTCCTCGACCTATCAGTCTCCTTTGCTATTGATGTTGGGGCTTATTTTGTTTTGTCAACATGTTTCCCTCACATCTTCAGAACCAATCTGGTGATTTTTCACTGCTCTATATACATTTATTTAATATAATGGTTAACGTACAACTCATTCACCTCTACTTAAAAAAAGAAAAAAACAACTCAAAGAAAGAAACAATACCTCAATAATTCCTCAGAAATTAAAAGAATTCAGTTATATCCTTCTAGAAACAGAGATGGATGTCCTCAAAGTACAGATTGATATACATCATATTTGCAGTGCCTCAAATCCAATGTTTCATTTCAAAATTTCATTTTTTAGTTTCTAAATAAACAAAACCTGTTTTTTATTATGTTTTCATCAGAAAAACAATATTGTCTAGGAAATTTCTTAACAAAAATTTGCAAATAATAGAAAAGTTAATGTTAAATATATCAAGAAATCTAATCATCCTTGAGTGATTTATACATGTGTAACTTTAAAGGCAGTACAAAGACAATGGGAAGTCTTGCTATCTGTTCTCTGGCAGGCCATATGCATGCTACAACATGCTCTGACCGGTCATAAAGTTTCCTTTTTGCCGCAGAGTCAATGTTCAGGATTATCTGGATACTCCTTATTGGAAGATAGTTACCTTCCCATTTATTATATTATTTTATAATATGTAATTTATAAGTTTAATCTATACGCTTTTCAATAATGATTTCTTGTATTGAACTCATTTCAATATCAGTTTCATAATTTTTAAGAAATCCTTTTCCCCCAATTCTTAGTATTATTTTGCCCTTTAAATTTGTTTAAGACTGAGTGTGGTGGCTCAGCCTATAACCTCAGCACTTTGGGAGGCCAAGGCAAGTGGATTGCTTGAGTCCAAGAGTTCGAGACCAGACTGGGCAATAAAACCCAACTCTACAAAAAATATAACAATTGGGCTTGTGGCATAAGCCTGTAGTTCCAGCTGCTTGGGAGGCTGAAAAGGGAAAATAACTTGAGCATGGAAGATTGAGGCTGCAGTGAGCCAAGATCACGCCACTGCAGTCCAACCTGGGCTACAGAGCAAGACCCTATCTCAAAAAGAATTTTTTTTTTTGTTTAAAAAACATGTCTTGTAAATTTGTTTGAGTTCATTGTAGATCCTGGATATTAGCCCTTTGTCAGATGAGTAGATTGCAAAAATTTTCTCCCATTCTGTAGGTTGCTTGTTCACTCTGATGGTAGTCTCTTTTGCTGTGCAGAAGCTCTTTAGTTTAACTAGATCCCATTTGTCAATTTTGGCTTTTGTTGCCCTTGCTTTTTGTGGTTTAGCCATGAAGTCCTTGCCCATGCCTATGTCCAGAATGGTATTGCCTAGGTTTTCTTCTAGGGTTTTTATGGTTACAGGTCTAACATTTAAGTCTTTAATCCATCTTGAATTAATTTTTGTATAAGGTGTAAGGAAGGGATCCAGTTTCAGCTTTCTACATATGGCTAGCCAGTTTTCCCAGCACCATTTATTAAATAGGGAATCCTTTCACCATTGCTTGTTTTTTTCAGGTTTGTCAAAGATCAGATAGTTGTAGATATGCGGCATTATTTCTGAGGGCTCTGTTTTGTTCCATTGGTCTATATCTCTGTTTTGGTACAATTACCATGCTGTTTTGGTTACTGTAGCCTTGTAGTATAGTTTGAAGTCAGGTAACATGATGCCTCCAGCTTTGTTCTTTTGGCTTAGGATTGACTTGGCAATGCAGGCTCTTTTTTGGTTCCATATGAACTTTAAAGTAGTTTTTTCCAATTCTGTGAAGAAAGTCATTGGTAGCTTGATGGGGACGGCATTGAATCTGTAAATTACCTTGGGCAGTATGGCCATTTTCACAGTATTGATTCTTCCTACCCATGAGCATTTACAAGAAAAAAACAAACAACCCCATCAAAAAGTGGGCGAAGGACATGAACAGACAGTTCTCAAAAGAAGACATTTATGCAGCCAAAAGACACGTGAAAAAATGCTCATCATCACTGGCCATCAGAGAAATGCAAATCAAAACCACAATGAGATACCATCTCACACCAGTTAGAATGGCGATCATTAAAAAGTCAGGAAACAACAGGTGCTGGAGAGGATGTGGAGAAATAGGAACACTTTTACACTGTTGGTGGGACTGTAAACTAGTTCAACCACGGTGGAAGACAGTGTGGCGATTCCTCAGGGATCTAGAACTAGAAATACCATTTGACCCAGCAATCCCATTACTGGGTATATACCCAAAGGATTATAAACATGCTGCTATAAAGACACATGCACACGTATGTTTATTGCGGCACTATTCACAATAGCAAAGACTTGGAACGAAGCCAAATGTCCAACAACGATAGACTGGATTAAGAAAATGTGGCACATATACACCATGGAATACTATGCAGCCATAAAAAACGATGAGTTCATGTCCTTGGTAGGGACATGGATGAAGCTGGAAACCATCATTCTCCGCAAACTATCGCAAGGACAAAAAACCAAACACTGCATGTTCTCACTCATAGGTGGGAATTGAGCAATGAGTACACATGGACACAGGAAGGGGAACATCACACTGGGGCCTGTTGTGGGGTGGGGGGAGGGGAGAGGGATAGCATTAGGAGATATACCTAATGTTAAATGACGAGTTAATGGGTGCAGCACACCAACATGGCACATGTATACATATGTAACTAACCTGCACGCTGTGCTCATGTACCCTAAAACTTAAAGTATTAAAAAAAAAAGCATCTTAGCCAAATATATAATTCAATACAAAATACCAAACTATCAGAGATTCTTAACCGTTTTTAGTTCCGTGGACCTTTTTGGTAGCCTACTGAAGCCTAAGTTATCAGAAAAAACATTTTGGAATGCATAAACAAAATATGTAGACTTATAAAGGAAGCCTACTATATTGAAATACTGATATTCAAATATTTTATCAATTGTGTAATTCTATTCACACATCAAATAACAAGACCTAGCAATATGCAAAATAACTACCAAAGCAATGATGATCATAAACAATAATTTGTGATACCGCCAAGAACTGTAATGTGACTTAAAAATATCTCTAATGTCTATTCGTGATAAAATTATAAGTACTGCTGCTGCCGTTGCTGCCTACATTCATAATTGAAGGAAATGCTAAATTTCTTTTGGTGGCTAATGAGAATAAAGATGTAAATTTTCCCCATCCAACTTCACACAGCCCTTGAAATCAATTTATGGACCTTGGGGTTGGTGGACCTAATGTTATGAACCTCTGACATAAAATTTTAAATTTTACAAAAGGGCCTTCCTTATAATACCTACAATTTAGAATGTCTTCCACTAAGTTGTTTAGTTTTTTTTATTCCTTTCATAGTGAACACAGATTTGATTCCTTCTTTGTCTTTTTCCCCATCCCTTTAGCTAGTATTGTGTTTGACTCAAATGGAAAATTCTCTGAACACTTGTTATTTGGGTGAATCTGAGAGAAGGCAAAAATGTCTCATTTTTTTGTTTTACTTTGCATGGTATGATCAAAATGTAAAGTTTAAGTGAGAAAACCATAGCCTGGATTCCCTACTGTGTGCTAGTTATATGTCTACTTAACTTTTCATTTTAGGAAGTGCTACAACTTCCCAGGACTGTCTGTGCCACGTATTTTTGCTTTTAAAGAAAGGGCTGAACCCTCACATGCAAGTATGAATAAGACTTTCTTCAAAGAAGAGATGAATAATGCTCTCTTTTTCATTTATCTTGATAAGATGCTTTGAAGATAATATATAAGAAAGCTGAGATGCTAAGAGTTTAAGTCATTTGGTTCTAAATCACAATTATTATGCAGTTAAACCTCATTCTGGTTTTCTGAAATTTAGTTCAGGGTCTCCTATTGCTCAGCCATATTAGGTAAAAAACTTTCCAGAATATTTCCCAAAAGTATAATCATTTTAGTGAAGTTAGCATTTTCTTTCTTCTCTGATAAGTGATCACTATTTGTCATCTATATGGTATCAAAAACCAAGTTTGTTATGTTTTTCATTTGTCCATAAAGAACAAACTTACGGTTTACGGAAATTAATCAGTAAAAGGTTATTCCATTTCTTAATTATTTATAATGTATCTACTATAACTGTTTCTGAAACATATATGGAAGTGTTCGCAATTCTTGTCAGTATGAGAGGTGTCCCAGCTAGAAAACCCTGCTTAATTACAAATGTGCTCACTCAATTAGATATTTTATACAATTAATATTATAGCATGTTGAAAACTGAATACACAATAAGAAAAATAAGACATGAAAGTGAAATGAAATAATTTGATGGCAGAAAAAGTAAGAAGTAAATTCACAATCAAAAAGTCAAGGGCAAGACCCTTTTCTGATATCTAACAGAATAGTGATCTAAAGTTTCAAACAGAACCTATTTTGGAGCTCCTCCCCCTCATGAAATGGGAATCTCATAGGAATGTAGCTTCAACAAATAGTTTTTGAAAATCTGCTGTATTGAGGACAGGGTGCCAGGTGATTGGTAACATAAAAATGGAACATGAAATGATGCCTGTCATTGAAAAGCTTGAGAATATTGATTGACTCATTCACTCAGTGTACCTACTGTGGGGCTCTTCCCATGCTGAGAATACAGCAATGAGTATAATAGACAATGACTCTTCTGTCTCAGAGCCTACATTCTAGTAGCGGAGGCCTATATTGCCTATAAATAGGCAATAAACCTGTAATCTTTGATATTGTTAAGTACTATGAAAAGCAACATAAGTAGAGCAGAATACAGGATGGAAAGTAAAGTGTGTTGCTATTTTAGATAATGCTGTCAGTAAAGGCCTCCTCCAAGAGGATGGCACTTGAGTGGAGGCTTTAATGAGAACAAGCCATAGGAATATATGGGGGAAACAATTTCACAGATGTCCTAAAATCTATGCATTAATAGATTCAAGGCTTATGGCACAGCAGATCAAAAATCATGGAATGGGCTGGGGGTGGTGGCTCACGCCTGTAATCCCAGCACTTTGGGAGGCCAAGGTGGGTGGATCATGAGGTCAGGAGATCGAGACCATCCTGGCTAACACAGTGAAACACCGTATCTACTAAAAGTAAAAAAAATTAGCCAGGCGCAGTGGCGGGCACCTGTAGTCCCAGCTGCTCGGGAGGCTGAGGCAGGAGAATGGCGTGAACCCAGAATGCAGAGCTTGCAGTGAGCCAAGATCGCTCCACTGCACTCTGGCCTGGGCCAAAGAGCGAGACTATGTCTCAAAAAAAAAAAAAAAAAAAAAATCCTGGAATGAGAAGATATGTAGTATGTCAAGAAACAGCAAAAAGACCATTTTAACTTGAGCTAAGTGAGAGAGCAAATGATGGTAACTGAGGTCAGGACTTGATGACTATGCCAAGGACTTTGGGTGTTATTCTAAGTGTGACAAACACAATTGGAGGCTTTTGAGCAGACAGTTGATTCAATCTTTCTTCCATACATATATGTATAAGGCACCATGCTAGATAAAATAAGTAAGACATAAATTTTTCTCATCACTTAGGGAAACAGGAGAGTGTAGACAGACACATTAAGCAAGGAAATGCTATGAAAGCTGACACTTTTGTACCGCAATGAAAACATCTGACTGCACCAGATACAGGCTGCAATCCTGGAACTTGAGAAAGTGCTGATTGAAGAGGGAGACAGGATGACAACTGACACTGATTGCCCAATAAAAAATGTCAGAAGGAAAAAAAATAGACTGAAAATGTCCACATAAAGAGGAAGAAGATGACACGAATCTAGAAGACATCAAGAGTGTGAACAGAGACGGAAGAGCTCAGGGTACCATGTCACGGAAACCAAGCGAAAGATAGTTTGAGGTAGGAGGATTGTTCAACCACTCAAGTCATATAAGCCTAGAATAAAGGCTGGGAAGAACCAAAGGGGCATTACACTTAGGGCCATGTATTCATTCATCCATTTGGTCAATTTTTTGAATACTGTTTCCATCCAAGACACTGAATTAGTTTCTTACCAGGGACAGTGTTGAGTAAAAAAAGGTAGAAGTTGCCATGTGTTCATGACATGTACAGAAAAGTGGATCATGTCAATGGTAAAAATGAAAAAATAATCACACAAATACAGTTTTAAAAACTAATAGTAATAACTGCTATAAAAGGATAGTGCATGGTACTATTAAAATACATAATGTGGAGCTTGATCTAGAGTGGGAAGCCGAGAAGAGTTTTCTGAGAAAACAATGAAAGAGCTGAGATCTGAGGTCCTGAGTAACCCAACAGGGCAGCTTTAGTTCAGAGTTGGGAATGAAAGGGAGTGAGGGTCGTCCCAGTGGTTTTTAAGAGAGTCTTAGTTTGTTCCAGAAATTAGAAAAATAGTTAATGTCTATATCATTTATTTTTCTGAAAATCTGTTTATGAAATTTTAAATCTCTATAGTATTGAAAAAGTAGTAATTTCATTTCATCCAACCTAAACTACAGTAATGGCCAGAAGATTAAGTAAAGTGAGAGAAGGCGAGAGAGAGACAGAGAGAGAGAGATGAAGATAGAAGTATTACTGATATAATAATTATAATAATCTCTTAGAATAACAAAGATAGAAACTTTGAGTTGCAGCCCCAGAAAAAGTGTAAGAGCATCATTTCGGGTGACTCAGAGCATGAGTGGGATTCTAGAATGCTTAACAGTTGCAAAATTAGAAAAGATTTACAAAATAACAATCACATTGTCTTCAAGACTTTTACTTTGGAGATCCTTAAAATTATGTTTAATCCTCCTCTCCCGTCAACTGTGGGAACTTTGGGAATGTACTTCCCAAACTTCTCTTTCAGCAACAGTTTCATCTTCTTTAAATAGGTTAATAGCTATTTAACATGGGTCTTGTGTAGATTACATGGAATAATATATGAAAGGCACCTTGTTTAACCCTATAATAATAATAAACAGTAGCTGTATTAATGGTGTATTAATGGTAATGACGGTGATGATTATGATAGTGATGACGTTTATGCTGTTGATGATGACAATGACAACATGATGTACATGAATTTATTCACTGTGCTGGGCAGCGGAGAGCTAAAAGACATAGATCCCGACCTCAAAAGACTTACCATCTAGTTGTTGACACACACAAATTGTTAAAACACATACAAATTGCACTGTGCTTTTAAAAACTGAAAAGTGCAAATAAAGACTAGAGGAGATCAGAGGAGGGTCTTCTTACACAAAATGTGGGATCTCAATGATAACTATGACTGCCATGAACCTTAACCCCTTTCTTATATGCTGTACTAGGTTCTTAGAACTTCTGCAACAACTTACAGTTACCACAAACTGGGAAGCTTAATACAAAGTGAATTTATTGTCTTGCAGTTCTGGAAGCTACAAACTTGAAATCCACATGCTGGCATGTCCATGCTTCCTCTGAAATCTGTAGGGGGATCCTTTCTTGCGTTTTCCTAGCTTCTGGTAGTCTGCCAACCATCACTGGCATTATCTGGCTTGTAGATGCATCACTCCAGTCTTTGCCTCCATTGTTACGTAGCATTCTGCCTTTGTATCTCTGCATCTTCACATGGCTGTCTTATTATAACGACACGAGTCTTACTTGATTAGAGGCTCACCGGACTCCAGTGTGAGCTCATTTTAATTAAATATAACTGCAAAAACCCTATTTCCAAATAAGGTCACATTCTAAGGAACTGGGGGGTTAGGATTTCAACATATCTTTTTGGATGGGGAGAAGAACATACAACTCAACCCGTAATGTATCAACTCTGTTGATGTAAGGATTCTTTTTTCTCATGGAACTGTATGTTCAGTTTTATAAGAAAAGTGAAAAGAATAGTAGGGATTTCTTTTAGCTAAAAATGACAATAAGCCAACTTAAAATGAAAACTTTTTGGAGAGAAGCTCACAAAATTGAAGACAGGTGTTGAAACTAAGGGTGGCTCTGGTACTCTCCCTCTTTATCTTTCACCTTTTCTTCTCTTTGAGTACCTGCCATTTCCTCTCAGGCTTATCTTTGTATCACTGGGTATATGTTCTAGGACCACAATTTTAAGTAAAGAATTAGAGAATAACCCCGTGTCCTTTAACAGAAAAAGCCTAGAAAAGGACTCTGACTAACCTTGTTTTGGGCCTGGGCAAATGACTTGGTTGCTATAGGTACTATGATCATGGCCTAGCATAGTCATAGGCCCAACACTTTTGTCTGATGCAATAAGTCTTTTCCAAAAACTGGAGAAGAAAGTTGTCCTGGGTAGGTATATTTGTTTGCTAGGGCTTCCGTAACAAAATGCAATCATCTGTTGGTATCCATGAAGGATTTGTTCCAGGACACCCCTGTGGATATGAACATCTACAGATGCTCAAGTCCCTTATATAAAATGGCATAGCATTTGCATATAACCTACACACATCCTACCCTATTATTTAAATGATCTCTAGATTACTTAGACTTACTCATAATACCTAATATAATGTAATTACTCTGTAAATAGTAGACGTTCGTTTTTTAATTTTATTATTTTTTATTGTTATTTTTATTTTTATTGACTATTTTCCCCCAAATATTTTTGGTCCATGGTAGGTTGAATCCATAGATGGGGAACCCAGGGATATGGAGGGCGGACTGCACCATAGACTAACTGGCTTAAACAATAGAAATTGATTTTTCATAGTTCTGGAGGCCAGAAGTCCAACATCAAGTTGTTGGCGGGGTTGACTCCTCCTGAGGCCCCTCTCCTTGACCTACAGATAGCTATCTTCTTGCTGTGTTCTCACATGGACTTCCCTCTCTGCATGCTCACGTCTGTGTCTTTATTGTTTCTTCTTATACAGACACCCATTGTATTGAATTAGGGCCCACCCATACGACTTCATTTTACCTTAATCGCTTCTTTAAAGGCTTTATCTCCAAATACAGCTACAATCTGAGGTACTGCGGGTTAGGGCATCCACCTGTGAATCTCGCAGGAACACAATTCAACCCATAACAATACACAAAGGTGAGAGCCATCAAGCATTTGTCTTATTAATCACTATATCCTGATTGGACCGGGTGCTCTGCTAGGCAGAGTGTATCACACAATCTTTATAGGAATCTTGTGAGGCTAACTCAGTCATTGCCTGGAATGTTACATATGAAGTTGAAGCTGAGAAAAGTTCATATTTTGTCCAAGGCAATACAGGAAAGCTGAAATTCAAACCCAAATTGTTTATCTGATTCCAAATTCTCCATGCTCAACACCACATTGTACTTACAGAATTTTTTTGCAGCTGGGGAGTAGTTCATTTTTTGTTTTGTTTTAGATGTGTTATGTCTTTCTCTAAAGATGAAGAATGATGCTAAAACAAAGAACAAGTTTAAATCCTATAGTCTTTTGTATTATAGACTTTGGGCAGCTTAGAGAAAATGTGGAGGGTTTCCATATGTCTCTTCCCAATTTCTGTTCATAGGCAAAAAGAAGACAGATCATTTTGGGGGGAAATTGATAAATCTTTTTAAGAAAACATCAAAATTTTAAAGAACAGATATACTTCACACTGTGGAGAAAATTTATTTTAAATAGAAGCTTGTGTTAGTCTGTATGTTTTTAATTGGAAATTGCATTAATTAGCAAAATATAAGTCTTATCTTTTGATCAGTGAATAATTAAAGACCATTTCAGCTCAGTGGCATCTATACAATTGCCTTATACCACAAAGACCAAAAATTCAGCACAATTTATTTTAGTTGAAGCATCTCTTAATGTTTACGCTTGTATTTCCTAAACACAGAACTACAGCTAATCTTTAAAAAATAGTAATTTTAGAATCTTATCACAAACATAAACTACACATTAATAATATACAATAATAAAAAACACATTAATCATTGCTTTTTGTAGCGTATGTGCACTAATCGTTTTGGGGGCAGAGTAAAGTTTGTGGTTGACTATAATATCAGGCTAATTCTTTATAGAAAATAAAGGGGAGAAAGAGGGCCACATTCACTTATTTGCTTGTTGATGATATGCTCAAGATCAATAACTGAAACCTCACATAACGCAAGAATACTAAGCAATTTTATTTCATAATAGGTTGTGGAAAGTGACCACACTTTGCATTTCCTGACTTTGTGGTAGTTTGGGGCTTTCAGTGGCTCCATCAACATAAAGAAAATGAGAGTCTAGTGATCTTCACCTTCATAGTACTGCAAAAATACATGAAAAAACTAACAGTCAGGAGGAAGCAGACAGATCTATACAGCAGTTCAAATTTCAGCCCAAACTCCATCTCCACATATACTTTCACATTATTTCGAAGTGCTTAAAACTTCTAAATGTGATGCAGGCCAAACTATTAGCACTTGGAACCTATTAGGTCTCTATAATGATGTTGCATTGCCTTTGAGCAGAAATAATATTCTTTTGAATTCAGTTTGTTAAACTGACTTCAACAGAGCTCATTATTTAATTGATGGCTATTATTTAATATTATTAAACTAGCTTTACTTATTGAGAAAAATTAAGTTCAGAATTAAGAACTTTATCATGATCTCAGCTAACCTTTTGAAAAAATGAAATTGAGATAGTCAAAATATGTCTGATCATTCTTTACATACGAGTTATCTAAGACTGAATAAACTAAAAAGTTGTCAGATGGCATTATAGAATATATATTTAATAATCAGAATTTGAAGTTGGAAAATTAGTAAGATATTAGGAAAAGAGCAAAACACATGATGTTTAATATTAAGAATGTTACTATGTTAATGTTTATTACAAAGTAATGTAAGGTAACTAGTATTTGATTTCTGTTTTACTGATATAATGGCTAAGACAGCAGAAGAAATTCTAAGATACCTCTGGCTGTACAGAAATTAAAGAAGTGAATGAAATGCAGCACACTGTATAGAAATGCACAAAGTATAACCATTTCAAGGCCCTTGAGATGATTATATTTGATAATGCTTATGTCTGAATGCTTACCAGAGATATAGACTTCTAAGCACACAAAAGGAAGTAAAACTCTCCTCTTGGCCTCTTTTATTTGGTCTCTGGCTAAACAAGAGACTGTCTATCTCGAGTTGTCAAAACATTCTGGCTACATGGTTATCCCGACTTAAAAGCAACATATTGGCACTGCCACTAATGAGAAAAATGGAAGAGATTTGGGTCATCATTGATCAAACTTGACTAGTGGCAAAAACTTCAAGGCCTACTTAAACAACGTGATACCTAGTTATTATACCTCCTGGTGCCACATGTTAGTATAGTGACAAAATATTTAGACATGCATTACTCCAAGTAAACTTTAGACTCTATTAAAATTTAATACAGCCTTTGCTGAACTTTACATATGACCTTTGGTCTAAAAAGAAAATAGGCAATAAAAGACACTATTTCAATCTGTTTTATTTCATGATTCCATCTCAGAAAGGTTTAAAACATATTTAAATGCCTTATGTATAAAATCCTACATTATTTTGATTAAAATATTGGCAATTTTACAAAATGTTAGTTTTTAATTACCAAAAGGAACCAATCCATATTAAAAATTAAATGGTTGCATTTTTTAAAAAAACTCTGACTGCTTATTAAGCTTGAGTTAGCCATAAAAACATTTTTGGCTCCCCTACAACAAAAGAAAGATTTATCTAAGCTACACTATTTAAAAACATCCATTTAGGCTGTCAACAAGTACGTCAAATATCAACCCAATGTGATTTAAAGTTTCAAAGCGATAAAAGAGAAATATTCCTTGGGCTCTTACAGAATCTGCATGGTTTCATAGAATCAGAGAAGATTGAAAGGCTGGCACAAATACAAGACGAAGATTGACAGTTGCCTGGGGTAGCAGAGTTTAAAAGATGATCAAGTCCTCCAGTGTGTGCCTGTGTTCTGTGCCAGCCTAGATATGACCTCTACTTTTCCAATTCTCCCCCTTCTGTGTGCACATTCCTGTTCAGTCGCTATGCCAGTTCACGTTTACAACTACAGTTTTATTAGTCTCATTTTAAGTATATTTTGTATTGTAATTCCATTTATCTTTTTCCCACATGACCACTATCCTTCTATCATATGCACAGTCATTGAACATTCGCCACAATTTTTAGGAATAATAAGTGACAAGAACTTGGTTGTTGTCCTTAGGGAATTCACAAGCTAACAATTATCTGGTAAAGCTATTCAGGAAAAAGTGCACCATGAGTAAACTTTACAATGTCATCTTTTCAACTTTTATTTTATTCCTAAATGCCTCTAAGGATACTACTTAATTCTTACATTCTCCTTTCATAGGTAAAAATTATTAGTCTCTATTCATAGCTGAGTAAAGTAACATTCCCTGATTTTCAATCACTATTCTATCCATTAAATGAATAGCAATGTAATAACAAGCATAAATTCATTATCTTAGAAATTATATTTTTACCTCCTAGTGAAATTAATATTGCTTACTTCTTTTACTGTTAGATTCCAATATCTACTTAAAGAACTGCACTTACATTTTGTTGACCTGACAAGCACAGGCAACAAAAGCAAAAATAGACAAATGGGATTTCATAAAACTAAAAAGAGAAGGAAACAATTAACTGGGTGAAAAGGCAACCCATGGATTAGGAGAAAATACTTACACATCATGAATCTGATAAAGTGTTAATATCCAAAATGTATAAGAAACTAAAACATCTCAACAGCAAAAAAAAACTAATAAGTCACTGGGCACGGTGGCTCACGTCTGTAATCCCAGCACTTTGGGAGGCCAAGGCGGGCGGATCACGAGGTCAGGAGATCGAGACCATCCTGGCTAACACGGTGAAACCCCGTCTCTACTAAAAAATACAAAAAATTAGCCGGGCGTGGTGGTGGGAGCCTGTAGTCCCAGCTACTCGGGAGGCTGAGGCAGGAGAATGGCGTGAACCCGGGAGGTGGAGCTTGCAGTGAGCTGAGATTGAGCCACTGCACTCCAGCATGGGGGACAGAGCAAGACTCTGTCTCAAAACAACAACAACAACAACAAAAAACTAATAACTCAATTTAAAAAATAGGCAAAGAACCTGCCTAGGTATGTCTCAAAAAAGAACATACAAATAAACAACAGGTATATAAAAATGCTCAATATCACTAATCATCAGGGAAATGCAAAGTTAGACTATATGCCATTATTTCATGACTGTTAAAAGAACTCTCATCAAAAAAAAAAAAAGATAAGTGTGGCAAAGATGTGGAGAAAAAGGCACTCTTTACACTGTTGGTGGAAATTTAAATTAGTATAGCCACCATGAAAAACAGTATGAAGGTTCCTCAAAAAATTAAAAATTGAACTACCATATGATCTAGCAATCCCACTACTGGGTATATAGCCAAAGGAAACTTTGTATATAAAATCCACATGTAGAAGAGATATCTGAACTCCCATGTTCATTGCAGAATTATTCACAATGGCCAAAATATGCAATCAACTTAAGTGTCCCTCAAGACACTTGGGGACAAACATATATGGATAAAGAAAATGTGTACACACATAATGGAATGCTAGTCAGCCTTTAAAAAGAAGAAAATCCTCTCATTTGTGACAACATAGATGAACCTGGAGGACATAAGTGAAATAAGTAAGGCACAGAAAGACAAGTACTCATGATATCACTCATGAAATCTAAACAAGTTGAACTTATAGAAGCAGAGAGTAAAATGGTGGTTACCAGGAGCTGGGGTGGTAGTGAAGAAGATTGAGGAGATATTGGTCAAAAACTACAAGGTTTCAGTTAGACAGAAGGAGTAAGGTTTTGAAACCCATGGCACAGCATGGTGACTATAGTTAATGATAATGTAACATATATTTCAAAATTGCGAAGAGAGCAGATTTTAATTATTTGCACTATTAAAAAATGTATGTGAGGTGAGGGCTATGTTAATTAACTTGATTTAATCATTCTATAATTTTTGCATATCTCAAAACCTCACTTAATATATGCAGTTAATATAATAAATATATACCATTATTAATTGTCAATTGAAAATTACATTAAATTAAATTTTAAAATTCACATTTTGGTAGTAATGTCATCCAAAATATGAAAGTGGTAAATTCGAAAGTCAAGAATTTTGTGTATGTAAAAATAAAACATTGCATATGTAATGTTTATCACTGAATTGTCTTTATGAAATTGATGTATTTACTTCATGATGATCAATACATTCTCCCCTAAAGTACTCCATAAAGTAGAATATGCCTAGTATACATTATACTCAGAGTACCCTTCATATTGGATAAATAAACATCTCTTAGTTGAGCTGCCAATGTCATAACACTGGTGTCTCCTTTTCAGAAAACTTTAATTCAATGTAGAGTGCTCCAGCAAGGAGAGCTATTCTACATATGTTGTCACCTTTGACCTTGGATGATTGCTCCAGAAATGACTGGAAACCAAAGTAGAACCAATCGCATACTTCATCCTAATAATATATTTTGTAGAATCCAGAGACATGAGAAGGGGACCTTTAGACAGTTGAATCATACTCACTGACTCTAGCATTATGTAAAGAAGATAACAGATAATTACCAAGTGAGGCTACCCCAGGAGTAAAAGAGTATCAGCACAGGACAATTTATAAACTTCATTTATATACTAACAGTTTAAAGGAGGAAGTAAAAAAAAAAAAAACAGACAAGGTAATCTTATACTGGTACAGAAAACTGCTAGAACATTCAGAAACCATGATGAAAACTAGCAGCAAACTTGAAATGGAAGAGAACTCTCTCACCTTTCAAGGGTATCTATTTAAAAAACAAAACTTACAGCAAACATCTGATTCAATAATAAAAGCTTGGGAACTATTATTAAGTAGACTAGCGTGCCTACAATCTAGTGGCCTGATGGACCTTGATCATACCGAATCAAGTTGGTAGCATCAGTCTTGGCTATGGGAAAAACAGTACCATATATTGGATGCTGATTCAGAGCATATACAGCCTTCTGGAGAATTTTTCCCCAGCCCTGCAAAGTATTGTTACCTACCTGGCAATATAACTGTGTTTTTAAAAGGCCATTTCACCTATCAAGCCAGCTGCTTCAAGTTAATAGGGAAGATGGTAAGACCAGTGACTTCCCCAAGCACAAGCCTATTGTAGCACATCTTTGACTATGGTAGAAGTATTTGCATTATGGAAATTGGCAATACTACAAATCAGGGATTGGGAGAGTGAGGAGGTGAGTAGAAGGGCACTGGTTTGTCAAAACACAATTGAGTAAGGGCCAAGTTAGAACAATTAGATAAGAAAAATAACTGGAATAGTAGTTGGGATGGAAGAAATAGAAGTCATTACTTGGTAAAGTTATGATTGTCCACATAGAAAATACAACCAAATACATGGACAATTTATTATAATTAATAATAGGGTTAAGCAAGTTTTTTTGAACATGACTAATAAGTGAAAGGAAATGAACTACAGCTACAAATATCAACATGAATTATATTTCAGAAATATACTATCGAGTGAAAAAAGCAAAGTACACAAGAATAAAAACAGTAGAAATTCATTTTTGTAGAGTTCAAAAACAAGCAAAATTTAGCACCATATTGCTTCTAAATGTGTACATAATTTAGAGATATAAATATATATTTTTATATAGAATGTATATATACCTATATAAATATATATGGTAAAATTATACGTGTGTGTGTGTGTGTGTGTGTGTGTGTGTGTGTGTGTGTATATATATATATGTATATATATATATTTTTTTTTTTTTTTTAAGACAGGGTTTGGCTCTGTCACCCAGGCTGGAGTGCAGTGGTGCTATCTCCCCTCACTGCAACCTCCTCCTCTCGGGCTTAGGTGCTTCTCCCACCTCAGCCTCCCGAGTAGCTGGGACCAGAGGATATTACCATATCCTGCTAGATTTTTGTATTTTTGGTAGAGACAGAGTTTCACCACGTTCCCCAGGCTGGTCTCAAACTCCTAGGTTCAAACGATCCACGTACCTTGGCCTCCTAAAGGGCTGGGATTACAGGTGTGAACCACTGTGCCTGGCCAACTCAAGCCTTAAAGTAATTGTTGCTGAGTGTTTAATGTTTACAGCATTTCCAGCTCCCTCCACCTTGTTCTTTTGTTCTCCTCATTATCTGGCATTATGCCGCACATTTTGATTTTTGATAACTTCATATCATTGACGTTCTGGATCAACAAAAATGGTCCTATCCCCTTATTTTTAATAGCTGAAGAATATTCCTGTATTTTATTTAATGATTGCTTTATTAATAATCATGTAAGATGCATTTCTGGTTTTCTCTGTTGCAATATTGCAGTGAAAATTCATGTATATACAAACAGAGGGACAAAGAGACTATTTTTTACTATGAAGCATAATTCTGGAAGTGGAATTGTTGAGTAATTTTTAAAAATTACCTGCCAATAAAAAGCTGTATCAATTTGTACTCTCACAAACAGTTCTTGAGAATATCTTTTCTCCAATAATCCATGTCCAATAATCCATTTTTAAAGTTTAGAGCTTTAATAGGCAAAAAAAAAAACCACTTCAGTTGGTAATTACTGAATGTTTAGTGGAAGTAATCATTGTCACATATTTATTTGTCATTTACTAGTTTTGTAATTTGACTGTTTATATCCTCTGCCCACTTTTGTATTGGGTTGTTTGTCTTTTTTGCACTTATCATGCCACTGCACTCCAGCCTGGGTGACAGAGTGAAACTCTGTCTCAAAAAGAAAAAAAGCAAAAAGAAAGGCTTGAGTTTAGTAAAAGAGTAGAGAATTTTCACTTCTTACTTGATATATTTTCCTCAAATTTGTTGTAAATATGGGTTGTTGTTTACCAGTAATAACACATAAAACATGGACCAGCAAAAATAGTAACTACTGACACCTCAGGTAGGTGAGGGATGTTCTTGCTGAATCTGAGAAATGTGCAATAAGTATTTGAAGCACAGATTGCTTAAGTGTTAGAAGAAGATACACAAATTAGGTGTTGGAGTTATTGAAATGTGATCATTTTACTTTACATTGTTTTCTATTTTGTGAGTGTAAATAAAGTGCTGGGTATCCTGACTGTTGGAAAGTGAGGACAAAAACCAAAAGGAATCAGGAAGGAAACTCTGCGTAAAGGATCCTAAAAGACCTGTTTTGATTATTCAAATCTTCCTAAGATATAGGGGAAAAAACTGAAATAATTATATATATATATATTTTATATATATACACACATATATGTGTGTGTGTGTGTATATATATATACACGTATATGTGTGTGTGTGTGTGTGTGTGTATATATATATATATATATATATATATATGTATCCAAATTAGAAGTTAGAAGTTTATGTAGAAAGCTGAGGGAATAAGGATGCTACATGGGTTACCTTGCTGCAAAATATTGCCGTCACTAGTATCTAGAACTTAGAAGGGAGAATGTGAATTCTTTAGACGGTGTAATTATAGAACATAGGGAAATATTAGTAATGGATGTATTAGAAGAGACATCTGCATTAACGGAAATTCCTCAAGGAAATAAATGTCAATTATGCCATCCAGGGCATTTCCAGATAGGAAAACAGGCAGGCAGGCATACCTGTGCATTGTTAGGTCACAGTCGAGCAAAGCCTGAGGAATACGTGAGACCAAGCCACGCCATCTTCCCAAGCACCAGAAATGCCTTCCTCCTCACTTAACCTGCCTCAACAAAATGTCACACCCACATTAAAAATCTATGCAATTCTAAATTCGATTGTGGAGGAAACCTCACTCAGAGCCTTGCTTGCTTGTAGCTTGTCCTGCTTATACTACAAATATCTCTTTTAGATTGACCTGATTTACCTGCAGTGTGCATTTTCCATTTGAAAGTTTTTAAATAATCTTTTACGGACAGTTTTGTTTTTATTCTTTCTGTGGTCTTCCATCTGCTAAATTTACAATACAAAAGTCTTGTTGCTATATGAGTAAGGAGGGATTCATAAAAGTGTGGATGTCTCTTTATCAATAACTTTCACCATTATCATACTGGAATCAGTCCCAGGTAAAAGCTAAATCGAGAAGTAGCAGATACAAGAGTCTCCAGGAAATTGTCTACCTTGCTTATTGGACCTAGAGTTTGTCTTTATCCTGCCACTAATGTACAACTGGATTAGGTAATGCAACATTTTCCTGGTTGTTCAGTCATATTTCTCTCTGAAGAGCCTGAATATAAACTCAGTTAAAAATGCAGGAGGTTGGGAGGTAACCATAGATTTTAAACCCACAGCTGTAGTAATTTATCCTCCTAGGAAAGATATACTAGTTAGGATGCTATAATAAATGGAAAACTCTGAGGGGAGGGAGCCATTTGAGCCTGAATAACTCTGAAACCAAGTAATAACTTCACAAATAGGAATTTCAGATGAAAAAGATTTATGTATCAGAGAGGAATAAGATGAAATAGATATTCTGAATGCAGTACAAAATTTTACATGAGGAGATAAATGCTGAGGTGACATACTATGTTAAATCAGTCGTACTGATTTGTTTTTTCTTTCCCGTGCTACTTCTTTGGTATTGCTTCTTCTTCCTCCCTGGAGTCTCAGTATCTCCCAAGGTTCTGTTCCTCTTCTCTTTTGTTCTTCTCCCTGTTCATAAACTCACAACTGAGATGAGTCATTTATTCACAGATCATTCCCAAACATAATCTCTAGTCTTGACCACCAACTTATGCTCCCTACAAATTGCAAAGACTCATAGGGATCCAGCACTGGAAGAAAGATTAAAAGTCATCTAGCCTAGTGTCCTTCTAAAGCAAATCTCTCTACCATATTCTAAACCAGGGCTGTCCAATCTTTTGGCTTCCCTGTGCCACAATGGAAGAAGAATGGTCTTGAGCAATGCATAAAATACACTAAACTATAGCTGATGAATTTAAAAAAAAATCACTAAAAATCTTACGTTTCTTTAAGAAAGTTTATAAATTGTGCTGAGCCACATTCAAAGCCATCATAGGCCTCACGCAGCCCACGGTCTGTGGGTTGGACCAACATATACCCAAAGCCTTCTCGTGATACAACATTTCACAATTTTTAAAGAGCTGTTGTCTGCATTAGGCAGAAATTGGCTTTCTCAAACTCTCATCCACATCTTTGATCTGACCTTTAGGGTTTGTAAGAAAAAGAATGTCCCTTTCATATTACAACACTTCAAATGTCCAAAATAGTTACCATAGCTCCTATACTATACTGTAGGCTAATCAGGCCTAATTTTTTTTTTGCTTTTGAGACAGAGTCTCCCTCTGTCACCCAGGCTGGAGTGCAGTGGTGTGATCTCAGCTCACTGCAAGCTCCACCTCCCAGGTTCATGCCATTCTCCTGCCTCAGCCTCCAGAGTAGCTGGGACTATAGGCGCCCACCACCACGCCCAGCTAATTTTTTGTATTTGTAGTAAAGACGGGGTTTCACCATGTTAGCCAGGATGGTCTCGATCCCTGACCTCATGAACCGCCTGCCTTGGCCTCCCAAAGTGCTGGGATTACACGTGTGAGCCACCGCACCCAGCTGGACTAATTTTTTTTAACTATTCTTCATGTGATGTGGTTTGGAGTAAACACAGTCGATTGCAAAATAATAGTCACAAATTCTTTCCATCCCTGAATGCACATGCAGCTTGTCCGAAGAATAGGGGGATATACGTGCTCTGGAACTTTGAATCTGGGTTGGTCTTGTGGCCTGCTTTGAGCATCACAGCAGAAGTGATATTAGAGGAATTTCAAGCAGAAACCTTGAGAAGACTTATCACTTCCACTCTCGCTTTCTTGGAACCTGAGACATCCTTGTGAAGAAGCCTGAACTAGCTTCCTTGTGTAGAGACCAGCTCTGCTGTCAGCCCTTAGCAACCTTCAGCCACTTATAGGAGGCACTCAGTCCCAGTCGAACAACCAGATGACTACAGTTGCATGAATGACCCCAGATGAGACTAGCAGAAGAGCCACTCAGCTGAGCTAAGCTCAAATTGCTGACCACCAGAAGCATGAACAGATAAAATGATTGTTGTTCGAAGCCACAAAGTTTTGGTGTGCTTTGTTACCCAGCAATAAATAATAAGTACAGCAAACTGCCCATTCCCCTTACCCAATCTCTTAGAGTTTCTTTCCCTATGAAATTATGGTACCTAACACAGAATACACTACTCTCATTTGAGGTCTGACTAAAACAAAATAGATCAAAATTCGCCTTTTTTACATAATTTATTTCCACTGTAAAAGTTTTAAACTTGCTCTAAATTTCAGGTATCACATTCTCAGATATGTAATACAACTATTCTCTCTATATAAAAAGGGCATAGGCTGGTTGCGGTGGCTCACACCTGTAATCCCAGCACTTTGGGAGGCCGAGGAAGGCCGATTACCTGAGGTCAGGAGTTCAAGACCAGCCTGGCCAACATGGTGAAACCCTGTCTCTACTAAAAATACAAAAAGTAGCTGGGCGAGGTGGTGAGTACCTGTAATCCCAGCTACTTGGCACCCGTAATCCCAGCTACTCGGGAGGCTGAGGCAGGAGAATCACTTGAACCCGAGAGGCAGAGGTTGCAGTGGGCTAAGATCACGCCATTGAACTCCAGCTGGGGTGACAAGAGTGAAACTCCATCTCAAAAAAAAAAGAGTAGATTAGAAAATATTCAAATATTCTTGACACTTTATACATTTCTTTAAAACATGCATAATTTCTCAAAAATATTCCCCTTATTGCTTTTTTAGATAATTTACCCCTTCTCTTGTCTCTTCCTGGAAACTATTTGTTGGATGTTGGCCATTTAGGATTAATCTTCTAAGTTTTTTTTTTTTCTTTTATTTTTCACTTATTTGTCTCTGTTACAATTTATGAGATTTTCTCTTTTTTGGTTTCCTGCCCATGATTTATATTGTCATATTTTTAATTTTAAGAGATTTATCTTAATTCTGTTACTGTTTCTTTAGAATAGCTTTCTGTTTCCATTTCAGGGATTCAGTAAGTATTTTCTTCTCTCTGATAACATTAAATGTAAATTTCCTTCCATTTCTGTGTTGGGTCTGTTTCCTCCGGGTTTCTGTTTTGGGAGTTTGTTTATTGTTTTTAATTTTTTATTTGGTGTCTTTTTTCCTCATATTGGAGACTTTCTTACATTAATTGGTAATCCTTAGCTGATAAATCACATCTAATCATGAGAAGCTAAAAAGCTGATAGAAACTGTGGGCAGGGAATAGGAGAGAGGAAGAGATTGAAGGAGGAGAAAGAAGTTTGGGAACTTAAAGTTGGATAATTGGGACCCTCATATGTCAATATATAGTGATTGTTTCCTATTCGATTTTTTTCTGCAGGACCATGCATTTTCTAAGAGGAGACTCCTCTGGCTTTATGGGTGATGTTCTAAAACGAGATAGAAAAAGAATCCCAGAGGATTTCATATTCACTGTGCTGATTGTGACTTGACTCTTTGCTTCTGTTCCATTCCTCTCTGCAGTTCGCTATTGGGCTGGCTGTCCCTGGGCCCTGAGCTTCTATGGCTCAGTTTCTTCAGAGTAAGCTTCCAGTCTATTTACGGAGGTGTCAATGAGATTTGGGGGAATGCAAAAGAGTTTGGGATCTGGGTGGGCTAAGGATACAAGTACATATTTTACATGCAAACTTTAACCTGATTTTCCTACTTTTTTTCCCCCATGTCTCATATATTAACTTCCTTGTTAACTGGTACTTCGAGTTCTGAATCTCCCTGAAATTTTGCACTTAGAAGTTTGAATTGGCCCACTTCTCATTCATGCCCTCCTCTGCAGCACTTGATGCTAGCCTCCTCCACTAATCTGAGTCACCGTCACTCCCCCTTTTCACCTTCCAAACTGTGCTGAGAATTCTGCTCCATTGATTTCTCTCCTGTTCTCTACAACTTAGTGGGCTTATACCTTTTTTAATTATTTTATTGACATTTCATGGGGTTTCTAAAGAGGCAGAGGTGAGAGATGAGACAAATCAGGGTGAGGATAAAAGGTTTTGGAATATTTTTGTTTAAATTAAGAAATCATATAATGTGTTATTTCAACCCTATGTATTGCCAAATTCTTGGGTTTTCTCGCCTACAAAAAAATTATGCCAATGATAATACTAAAGATAACTTTACCAAAAAAAAAAAAAAGAATCCCAGAGAGGATAAAGATAAGTTTTATTTTTAAAAGGTATGCCAATTCAGCAAGCCGATATACATAACTTAGAAAAATTTGAGCTCCAGACTTTGATGGTGATTTTATTTCAGAACTAAAATACTTTTGAGCTGAAATACCACAAGTTGTCATCATCTTGGTTCATTCTGCAATCATCAGGCTTTAGATTAGGGTTGACAAATCATAACCCACAGGCCAATCACCTATTTTCGTAAAGGAAGTTATATTGGAACACAGCCACTTCCATTTATTCACACACTGTCTATGGCTGCCTTGGTGTTACAAACAACAATAATTACACCAGAATTGAGTAGTTACAAAAACATTTACTATCTAGCACTTTACAAATAAATTTTTTGACCCCTGTTTTTGATGATTAAACTGCAAGAATATAAGATTAGTGATGTTGTTTGGTAAATGAAATAAATAAATAAGTAAAGTGGAGAATGAATAAGAACTGAAGAGTAGTGAACATCTTATCTTTCTGGATTATGCAAAAATAATTTTTAAAATTGTCTCTTACATGTAAAAGGTGAGAGCAAATAATGCCTCAAGTGCATATTATATTTGAAACATATGAAAGTCAGAATCTACTGTAACAAGACTCTTTATATCATTAATCCAATTACATAAAGGATCAAGGCATCTGGTAGCCTGATTCAATTTTTCACTTTAATCATAGTGGACACAGCACTGTACAAGGAATAGAGGACACCTGGGTTTCAGTGTAGTCTGTGCTATTAACGTACTCCACGGCCTCGGGCAAGTCACAATCTTTATAGATTTAAGGTTTCTTGTCCATAAGGTTAGGCAATTAAATTGCATGATCTTGCATTAACCGTGATTCCATAATGTCTTGAAAACAGTGCAGTTAACAGCTTCATCCCCTGGACATGATGTTATTAGGCTGTTTTACTGGTTTTGATATTTTAAAGAATAGTATCAAACACTAAAATGAGGAATAGTGAAGCTCTGGCTATGTTATGATTCCTATGCTCCTATACTTTATTTGGATTGCCTTAGAAAAATCATTTATGCAATTCCATGCTCCAGTTTTCTTTTTACTAAAACAGCAATAATAGTGTTTGTATCTTTAGTATTTCAAGATATACTATTCTTTTTGGCAAAGCTATTTGAAAAAAACTTGGAAGAAAAGAGGTACATAAATATTAAATTCTTGTTTTTAAATTAATTTTAGGTTATGATAATATTTCAAAAAATACTTAACCTTGCCCTTTAAAATATTGCATATAGAATGCAAATTAAATGCTAAATTTTACATAGTCCTTACTCATGTGTGAAAAAATTAGATATTCTGCATCGTAGACAACTCTTCTGAAATAATGTCACCATGTAATATCACTGTTAGCTTTCCCAGCTGAGAAATGCTGTTTTCATGAATAGTGATAAGAAAGGAATTTGAATGGAATTTTACATTCTCATGCCTTGTTACATAAAATTGTCACCCAGGACTATAAATTGTATCCCTTTTACACTGAATATAAACTATCAATTTCAAATGTATAGCATAGATTTTGATGCATTTCTTTCTATTTAATTTTCAAATGTTAAGTAAACTATGTTGGGTAAAGAGGACTCAGAATATGATTAGAAAGTAGTAGATACATTTAATCAAAACTATGGCCCCTTCCTATTAATATATAATATTTAAAACTTTCCTCTTTGTGCGCTATATAGAAATTGAGAAGTTTGCTTTACTAATCTAACTTACTGTAAAATTTTTCCAGAACAAAAATTTTTCAAGTTCTAGGCTTTTAAAAAACATACTGAAATTATTTTTAAAAAATATTCCTTCTTAGCATCTGATACTTTCACTACCAATTGTAATATTCAAAGATTATAGTTGATATTTAAGTAGAAAACATGATTTCATAATAAATGAGCTATGACTGTTTTATAGGAGATAGTAAATTAATGAAGAAGAAATATTTTAAATAAATGTCCTATTCAATCTTTTTAAAAAATCCATTTATTTGTATACAATGTAATGGTCAGGAAAACGTAGTGCTGCTGTTGAAGATCTTGTCATTGCTTGCTGAATTGAAATTGATTATTTAATATTTATGAAGCATCTATAAAGTTCATTGGAAACCCACAAAGCCTGATAGTTCTCTCAGGGAGTGTATAGTAACATAACCAACCTTCGTAAGGAGGTACTAATGAAAGATCTAGTAGAACAAAGACAAACATTTTACCAAAATGGCATTCTAATAATATTTTTATTTTTTAGACTTTCTCATTTCCTATCACTGTTCTATCAAAACAGATTATTAATGTACATTGTTTTTATAGTTACAATTCAGGGCCATATCTCTGGTTTTGCTTCTACAATAATGGCTTATTTTACCCATATCTTTTCATACTAAGTTTTGCACTTCATTTATGAGGACTTTTTGGGTTGTCTGTAGACTCTGCTTCAAGTTCTTGTGAAGCTCAATCTGGTTAACTTGTATAGTAGTAGTTTTGTTTTCCTCTTCTTTTTTAATAAATAGCTATATGGTATGTTGTTTTTTGCTTTCCATCTGATTTTTGGACTTTGATGTTTTATACAGTATTTCTCCTCTGATCATTCTCAGCATTGCAGCCATCAGGGAATTCTTGTCTTAACCAATAAACAAGTTCTGGGATAATAGAGATTCACTTTCTCCCTGTTAATAGAATTGCAACTGGCCAAGAGAATCCTGTAATTCACAAATCCAGCTCCATATGATTCCTGAGATAATTTTCATCATGCATGATGCTATAAATTCATGGTAATATGTTACAGAGCCCACTCTCAGCAACAAGACTCTAAACATGCTACTGACTTCAAGACAACAATGGACTCCTATGATGTTGATACGAGATCACCACCATCCTCATTGCTTCAGATAACTTCTTAGAATTTCGATGTAACCTTTAAAAATCAAACATCTCTTTACATGTCTAGCCCAAATGGCATGAAAGGGTATGACTCACACATGGAATAACAAAGGAGCCAGTGTAAGTGAAGCAGAGTGATCAAGCAGAAAGTCGCAAGACATAAAGTCAGATATATAATGGGAGGGGTGCAGTTTATTTCTGGTAGGCAGCTTTTAAGTTGGCTCTAATGTATCCCACCTCCTGGTATTCATGTTTTTGTTTAACATTCACACTTTGAGTGTGGGCTGCACCTAGTGACTTGCTTCTAATGAAGAAAGTACAGCAAAAATCATGAGATATCCCTTTCAAGATTAGATTACAAAAAGCCTCTACTTCCAATTTTGCTCATATTCTCTTACTTCCTTGCTCACCCTCTGATGGAAGCCAGCTGCCGTGTTGGGAGCTGACCTAAGGAGAGGGCCATAGCAAGGATGAAGAGAGGCCCCCATCCAACAGAAATGAAATCTGCCAACATCCTCGTCAGCAATACTGGAAAAGGATCTTCCACAAGTGGATTCTTCACAGGAGACAACAGCCTCAGTGGACACCTTGTGAGAGACCCTGAGTCAGAGAAACCAGCTAAGTTGCACCCAAATTCTTGACCCACAGGAACTGGGATATGTAAATGTTTGTTGTCTTAAGCTGTAACATTTTGTAGCAAGTTGTTATGCAGTCATAGATGACTAATATATGCTACTTAAGATCTTATAGTTCATTTTGATAACTTTGCATCTCTCTGAATATGATGGAAAACCATTGGAAGATTTTGGGAAGAGAAATGATGACTTGCATTTTAAAAGGATTACTGTTGCTGTTGCATTGAGTACGATTTTTGGGGAATAAAGGCAGAAGCATGAAGAAGAGTTTAGAGGCTATTTTCCTAGTTCAAGTGAGAGATGATGAAGACCTGAACTCCAATGGAAGCAGGGGAAGTGATGAGAAGTGGTCAGAGTCTGACACATTTGCAGAAAGAGCCAAAAGGGTTTGTTGATGGGATAGAGGTAAGCTGTAAGAAAGAAGGGAAAAAGTCAAGAAGGTCTCCAGAGTATCTGACAAGGTTAATATGCTATATACAGAGATGGGGAAAGCTGTAAGAGAAGCAGATTTAAAGATGAAGGATATGAAAGCACAGTTTGAGGTCTGCCCCATTTAATATACCTGTTAGACATGCAAGTGAAGCTCCAATTGATCAACTAGATGTGTGAATCAAATGATCAGGGGAGAGGTCCAAATTGCAAATATAAATTTAGGAATATGCATAATATAGGTGGCATTTAAAGCCTTGAGTCTGGATAAGACCTTCTAGAGCTACACATCAACAGAAAGGGAAGTAATCTAAGTACCAAACTGAAAATCATCTCAAAATTTAGAGGTCAGGGAGCTGCAGAAAATTGATAACTAGGATTCTGAAAGAGAGCAGATTATCAGGAAATAAGACCAGGGAAGTGCAGTGTCCTAGAAGTCAAGAGAAAAAACTGCTTAGGTAACTTGTGTTTAAACACATCTGTTTTGTCAAATGCTGCTGACAGGACATGTACAATAAAAACTGAGAATGGACCATAGGTTTTAGCAACATGGAAGTCACTGGTGGCCTTGATAACAGAATTCTAGTGGAGACATGAGGTGAACTGAAAAAAGAATAGGTAAAGGGAAATTTTTAAATGTAAGTACAGACAAATCTTTGATGGAGTATTGCTGTAAAGAAAGGAGAGGAAACAAGTGGTAGGTTGAGGAGTTAGTGAGGTCGAGAGAGACTTTTTTAAACTAGGAAAGATAACAGGAGGTTTGCATGCTGATAATTCATTTAAAGAATATAAATAGTTGCCAGAAGACGAAGTAAAAGTTGGAAGTAGGAAGTCATTTCATGAAAAAAAAAAATGCACTAATTTCAGGGAAGAAACTAGTCTGTCATAATTATTTTTTAAGCTAAAAGAACAGATTTTTTGAATTCTACCCTAAGTGTTGAGTGGGAAAAAATGCAAACGGGAGCACAATCTGATGAGAAAGCAATAAATATCTTTATTACAAGGGTTTCTTCCCCCCTCTGTGTGTGTGCGTATGTGTGTGTGTGTGTGTGTGTGTGCACGCATGTGTGTGTATATATATGTACCTGTATTCTAATATATTAATAAAATATTTGTGCTTTTTATTGTTGACAAACAAGTAAAATTATGACTCATGATTCAGAGTTTGTGTAACTGATATTATTTTTCATTTTGTATAATTCTTCCACAATTATGCAGCACCACATAGCATTTTTTCCCCATCTGTAGCAGTGGTTCTCAGACTGTAGTGTGAGTAATCACCACCTGGAGAACTAGTGAAAAAGTGAAGATTTTCTGCTGATAATATTCAGAAAATGATTTAGTAGGTTTGGAATAGTGCCAAGGAATTTGCATTTTTAATAAACATGTCCAGATGATTCTGATGATACAGTCCTGAATGAATGTGATGAGAAACTCGAATAGAGTCGGACCTACATAGGTCTTCGAGACTGCGACGTGATGTTGGGCAGGCATGCTATAATGCTGGGGGCTAGGCAGGGAAGTGGACTATAGTGAAATTGAAGAAGGCTCCCAGGTTCTACGGGTTCAGGTTATCTTTCTGGATTAAAATATAAGCATATTTTATGTTTTAGTTATTTGTCCCTTTGATTTATTTTATATCTCCTATGAAAAACAAAAAAAGGAATAATAGTTTAATCCTAACTGAGATTAGAGAATTGTTTATTAGTCTTCATTTTGGAGTTTATACCTAAATGGGCAGTGTCTTTACTAATAGGAGTTTAAAGCAGTTTATTACACTATAGCTATGTGCTCTTAAGAAGAGGAGTTGCGGTAGTGTTAAGCAGTCAATTCTCAACTGTTCAAAACAACTTTTATCCAATTTATAGATTACTCATATTCTTTATAAGTGGTTCTTCTTCTACCCTTTTCACTTTAGATTCTCTCCATTTTAACAGTCACCTACCAGATAGCAAACAGAGGAAGAAGGCAAACATGAAAACAGAATACCCATGATTAAACATTCAGAATCCTTCATGTTTTATGTGTCTTCTGCACAGCATCATAAGTAGAGCAGCAAATAGTTGGCCTTGAAGAAGTAAAGTAATAAAGTGGTAAGTATTAGGTCATTAGTGTTATTACATTAGGGGACCTACAATTACTTTAAATATCAGAAAATGAGCCATACTTAAAGATTGTGAGAAATAAACAAGAGTGAATGTGTTCATCTTTGACAGGTGCAAAGGGACAGAAACACAAGGAATTTGCTGACATCTATTTGGGGCAAGGAACTGCACAAGGATCTTAGAATAATAGATGTAGTGTCTGTCTTCAAAGAGTGTGTAATTTAGTATAGAGAAGTAGATATGTATATATATAATTTAGCATAGACAGGTATATCTATCTATATATATAGATAGATATAATTTAGTGTAGAGCGTTGGTTGTTCAGTGTAGACAGTTTGTAGTTTAGTATAGAGACTTTGTAGTTTAGCGTAGAGAGGTAAATACATAATTTGCTCCGTGCAAATACATATGACAGTCTGTGAAAATCTAAGAAGGGAATATAGCTTAGACTAAAAGTGAAAATTAGAAATGCTTCCTGGGGAACATGGTACCTGAGTTCTACATAAGAAGAGCTTTTCAGAAAAGAAACAAGTCGGAATAGAATTCAGACAGAAGGATATGACATGCAAAAGCACTGAGTTGAGTGCTGTGCATGAAGGGTTGAAAGCAGACTAGAAAGTTTGAAGAAATAGATGAGGAAAGACAGGATCAGATCAAAGATGGGTCTTTCATGTCAACCGTGTAGTTTAAAGTTCATCCTGAATGCCTCAAAAGGTCAATCAAGTTGATAACTTTAGACCAGACTTAGTTGCCTGTGTATGTACTTGGTTAAAACAGTGTAGTGTTTACAGAGGAAGCTTCAGTTGACATTTAAAAATCAGAAAAATTCATACAAAATCCAGTTCCCCAGACTGAAAGTGAGAAAACCAATGTACAAAGTACTCCAAATTTCACAACTGACTGAGAGGCAAAGTTAGAATTTCAATCCAGACATACTGGCTGTGGAGTTCCTGTACTCGATCATCACCTCATGATCAAGATAATCTAAGATTTAAAATGCCTGGCATGGAATGTCCAAGTGACTGCCCATGCCATATCAAAGAGAAGTTAATGCCTGTGACATGACAAACAGCAGAAACATTTCTACTTACCCTTTAGTTCTGTGGGCTATGACTAAAGAAAGTTACATTTGGAAGAGACTGGAGAGGATATGGTATGCTGAAGTTTTTCAAAACATTCCCTCTGTTTTCCCTGCGCAAAGGTGTTGCCTAACTTTCATGACAAAATAGATGTTATATAGTTAGTCGAATCTCCTAAGATCCTCCAAGCAAATGACCCCAATCCCTCTGTGTTACCCTGAGATACCAAATGGTCTTTATAACTCAGTGAATGAGTCCTGGTACCAATAACTTGGGAATTTACTCTCACTAGACTGATGTGGGTAGAAAATTCATCAAAATGGCAATGAAAGTTTACATTGCATTGAAAGATATTTTCCTAATTTTTCATCTGTTCCATTTTACAGGATGGAGAAAAAAATGAATATTTTTGTTCCCTGTTAATTTTAAAAGCAGAGCATATTTACTTTTGAAAATAAGAAAATTCATATATAAGCAGAATTTAAAAAAGGAAAGTGTTCTCAAAAACAAGCGTTCACACAATCAAGAGATAACTAGTATTAAAATCTCTATGTCTTTCCTTCAAGGTATGTGTCTTTGTAAACATTTTAAAATTATATTTACACGCACAAGAAAATTTTGGTACATTGAATACACAGGATTGAATAAACATTCCAGTCATCATACTAAATGGTTATGTAATATTTCATTGCATGGTATTTGCCATAATTTATCAAAAAAATTCTCAACTATTAGCCATTTAGTCAGTTCTAATTTTCCCTATTAAAAATTTGCTAAATTTTTATACATAAATATTTTCACATTTGTTCAATGTTTTTCTTACTATAGATTCTTAGAACTTAAATTATTAGTTTCCTATGTGTGTTTTAAAATTTTTTTTTTTTTTTGAGACAGAGTCTCGCTCTTTGGCCCAGGCTGGACTGCAGTGGCGCCATCTCGGCCCACTACAAGCTCCACCTCCCGGGTTCACACCATTCTCCTGCCTCCGCCTCCGGAGTAGCCAGGACCACAGGCGCCTGCCACCACGCCCAGCTAATTTTTTGTATTTTTAGTAGAGACGGGGTTTCACCGTGTTAGCCAGCATGGTCTTCATCGCCTGACCTCGTGATTCGCCTGCCTCGGCCTCCCAAAGTGCTGGGATTACAGGCGTGAGCCACCGTGTTTTAAAATTTTTAATACATTTTGCCAAATTCTTGTTCAAATTTTTCAACCAACTAAGATTAGCTATTACTATCTTTAGTCCTTTTCAAATCTAATGGCAATAAAGTAGTATGAGATCAGGAACTCTTAATACATATTTCCTAAATGATTAGCCAATTATCTCAGTATCAAATATTTAATTATATTCCCTATTAGTCAAGAGCTACTTCATTATATTTTGAGTTATTACATATATTAGGTTCCATTTCTAGATTTTCTCTTTCATTCCAATTATCTGCTTGTTAAAACTTGTGCCTATACCACATTGCATTCATTAATAATGATAAAAAATACATTTTAAATTGTACCTCAAATACTCTTCTTAAGACAAAATTTGGGGCTTTTTAGAATGTGTTCATTTTTATAAGAAAAATCTAATTGGGATATTGAGTGAAATTACACTAAATTTATACTACACTTTGAAAAAATCAACATATTGGCAATTATTTTCATGTTATGTCTCATTTATGCAAGGTTGTTATATAAAAAAGATACTAATAGTCTATTGTTTTTCTATATAAGTTCTGTCCATTTTTATACTGGATATGTTGTTATTAATAGAATAATTTTATTTTCTAGCTATTTTTGGCTATTTGTAAGGATGTTATTGATATAAATGTATTCATTTTTATTCACTTTTTATATTTATACATTAGTTTTATGCTGCTTCAGTTGATTTTCCTTGGTTTCCCAGTAAATAATTTTATTTTAAGTATATAATAATTTTGCAATTCTGTTCTCAGTCTTTCATTTCTATAAAAAGCTGCCAGGCTCTCTCCACATTATCAGGCAATCAAAAAGTATGTTTCCAAGTGTAGATCAGAGGACATATGTAGAATGGGACTTCAGGGGTTATCCAGCCTACCTTCTTTCCAGCACCTGTGATGCGTGATTCATTAAAAGAAATTTTTAAAATTCTGCAACTTCTGCATATGGTATTTTTTTCAATTTAATTTTTAAATTAATTAAATTAAATTGTTTTTTAATCTAGTTTTTTATATTTTTTATCATATGCTAAACTTACTGCCTCTGGTATTGAATAGGCTTTTTATTTTCCTTTCTTTTTTGGGGGGTTAATAAGTTCCTTAAAGACACAGGAAGATACACAGCAACTGGATACAAATGGAAAGTAAAGCAGAGAAATCAGTGTCCACTGGTGTCCTGCACATAGTTTAGCACAGTGTCTGGGAAACAGCTGATTTTGAATAAACTTTCAACAAAAGTGATTTCCAAAAGGCCTAGACAAATAACAAAAACTTGATACATTGACTTGTATTACTAAGTTTGAAATTAAAAGGAGATTTTTTCTAACACTATCATCTTCACTTCTGGGGATGAAGGGAAAATATCACTACATGAAAAAACATCACTGATAAAAAAGCAAATTTAAACACTGTATCAATTCAAATGGACACATACTACCACCATCACCTTTCCCCAGTCACTATCTTCAAGAGCAAATGAAATCACAATGAAGAGCTCTTGGGTTTTAAACTGGAAAATTAACAGCTGATGACAAATACTAATTGCTACCCCAACTCACGGAAAATTTTTTGTATTTTTTTCTTCTTTAGTTTTAGGAGGAAAATTTATATTAATGATTCCTTTTTTAAGCCTGTTTCTCAAAGTGGAGAGAATTAACATCTCTGGTGGGTTGATTGGACTTTGAATATGACTCATAACATATTTTACCTCATTTTTCTCTCTTGAAGAAACATAAGCTACTATGTTTCCATTACCATAGGAAATGTAGATAAATGACTGGCCTTTCAGTCTAAAAAGACACAGTAGTTTGGGCCAAGAGATAGTTAAGAAGAATAAAATTAAATCTGACTTTTATCGTGTTTTATTGTGGGCCATTCCTTTAGACAATTAATTCTTAGGCTTCAAGACCATGAATTTATTTTGAGATGTCAGTTTTAAGACAGGGAGGAAAAAAAATGTTCAAGGCAATGATAATGTCCCACTTTAAAGTTCTTGTGTTTTTGCTTAAATGGTTATAATAACACATGCTGTAGAAATTTTCTATATTTATTTTGGAATTACTGCTATGTGCATATGTATTATTCTTGGTAGGATGGGCATCTTCATATCTAGGGCATCCCACTATGATGACTGATTATGTTCCAGCTGGTCTTTCTCTACTTAGGAATGAAATTTTTTACTGGAGTAAATTTAATCAGGCAATCTTGTTAAATGTGGCACTGGTCCCAATCAGTTGAAACTTTTGAAAAAAAAAAAAGAATGTACAAGAGAAAAGACAAAAGCTGCACTCTTTAATATCATGAACTTCTCCAGTGTGAGTTCTGAGGTTGGCAGTCTTTGATTCATATCCTGAATTCATCACTTAATAGCTCCGTGACTTGCAAAGTGCTGCTGAACCCCTCCTAGTTTTGATTTTCAGTAAGTTGGAAAATAATATTAATAGTCTCTTCCTAGGCTTACTATGGAGGATGAAATGTGGTAATGTATATCTGCACTTAGCCAGGTGTTAGGTACACAGGAAGTGGGTGATAAATGTTTCCTTTTATTATTAATATTATGTTCTCCAACCAGCATCAAAGAGTGATTTGCAGACCACCTGCTTCCTTATAACTTCAGGTACTTGTTAAAATACAGATTCATGGGTCTGTCGCAACGCCTACTGTTTCAAGAATTCTAGAGCTGAAGTCCAGAAATCTGTATTTTTCATAAGAACCTGAGTATTCTTATGCACATTAAAATTTCAAGATAATTACAAAAATAAATTCATTTTTAAATACTGTTTTCTCATAATCTAGCAGCACTATAAAGCCTCTTTTAAGTAACTGTATCATGTTATCTTATCAACAGGCTTTCTTCTTCCTGGAAGAAAATAAATGCACCTTGCTGGGTTTTCTGTTTGAAACACCCAACCCCACTGCCATCTGAGCTCAGGCCCATGTAAAACTGCTTCCATTCTGAGGCCATCTTCTCTTGAGTCTTACTCATCTCTTTTTTCCCTGCACAATACCAGTTGGATTTTTCTAAAACACTCATTAGACACTCTCTTTTTCAGTCTTTTAGTAATCATTCTGTACATGATACATTCTGAGCTCCTGAACACAGAAATCAAAATCCTCAAAACATACAGCCCCTGCCTCTCTGTTCAGCCATATTTCCATACTGTCCATGACATAGTATACTCCACTGAAACAAAAAAAAATTACCATTTTAAATAATTTCTTCTGTCCTGCTTCCAAGCCCTTCCTTCCATCAGCAAATGACATTAAATGTCTTCCTGTTGAAATCATATCCACCAAGATTCAGCTCAAATACCATCTCCTCCCAAGAGCTTTTTCTGATCTCTCCAGATGGAGCATACCCTCTTAAAACCCTTAATTTGGAGCACTTTAATAACCCTAAAATTTTTCTTTGTATTGCTATGCCCCCATTAGGTTTTTAATTTCATACAGGTGAAGAAGACATTGCCTCTTCATCCTATGATCCCTCATAGTGCTTGACGTAATTCTGAACTCAAGATAGTTGTTCTAAAGTAACCACTGAATGAATACATGATACTAACATGTAACTTGCAATAATGATTCTCTAGAGATACCCAACTTATGAAATATTTATCTTTCGATACTTTTAATTATTCTTGGAATGAAAAGGGATTCTTACTTTATTGAAAGTGTATGGACCTTAGAATTCTCCCCCTCTAAACATTCTCACTACAGTTAATAAATCTGAGAACCACAATGATCTGCTCAAATCATACTGCAAAGAATGACACTGGGACCGAAAGTACTTTGAACTAAGTCTCTACCCAAATGATTTATACATTTATTTCATCATGAATTGGTGTTTTTTTTATTTTTGTAGAAGCTTATTCTACTGCTACAACAACAATGTATAATTAACAATCACAAAGTTCCAGTAGTGTATAGAAGTATGTATCCTCATGCTTAGGAGACTGTGGTTCAGCTGAACTACACCGTGTTCTGCTTCAGGTTGCAGTTCAGTGGGCTTAGCTACAGACGGACAATGCGGTTAATGTTTTATTCATGTGTGTTCTTTCTGAGGGGCCAAGTTAAAAGGGCAGCAACTACCCGGGGCTTACCTTTTTTCTTGGCATGTCACTAGACCCCATCATTTATGCCCACATTCCATTGACCAAAAGAAATATTTGGTCAAGCCCAACAACGCCACTTCTAGTGGAGAAAATTCCAAAGCCACATAGCAAAGTGCATGGAAGCGTGGGAAAGATGTGACGAGCACACTGACCAACCTACCACCTGTCTCTATAATTACTTTTTACTATGCATATATTTATATTTAATATCTAAAAACTGGATTGCATGTATCAAAATACTTCATTTCTAAAGATAAAATTGTAGTTACTCTTTGTGACATTTTGCAACTTGTAGGAAATGAAGTGAAAATTAGCCATATAGAAATATATTTTCTATGTAACCATTATGAAACTGAAAAATATATAGTTCATCTTGACTTTGAACTTGACAATATGTTCATATGTATGGCTACTATTCTTTATTATTCATAGTTCTACTACTGTGAAAGATTACAATGACTCTATTCAGGCTAGCAATTTAAATGAGTAAAACTCTAAAAATATTGGGAGGCCGAGATGGGTGGATCACGAGGTCAGGAGATGGAGATCATCCTGGCTAACACAGTGAAACCCTGTCTCTACTAAAAATACAAAAAATTAGCCAGGTGTGGTGGCACACGCCTGTAGTCCCAGCTACTCAGGAGGCTGAGGTAGGAGAATCACTTGAACCAGGGAGGCAGAGGCTGGAGTAAGCCAAGATCACGCCACTGCACTCCAGCCTGGTGACAGAGCAAAACTCCGTCTCAAAACAAAACAAAACAAAAACAAACAAAAAAAGAAAGAAACAAACAAACAAAAATATATATATATAAATGGATTTGGATTCTAGTTCCTGTTTGCACGAAACAAAAGAATGAAAAGATATAATTTTTAGTTTCCATTGATAAAATTTATGAGAAAATTTCTTAAGATCTGAATTTTTAGCAATTACCTTGGTTGACTCTGACACATGTTGCTGAAGATCAGTTTCAGTAAACCCTTCTTTAAAGAAAAGTTCATGGAGCATGCACATAAATACACTGCAGAATATTTTACACATATATATTGACTTTCTGGCTGGTCTGATTATTATGGATTATCAGAACTTATTAACATTACTGCCACTAAAGTTGGTATACAACCCCCACGGCTAAATTTTAGTGGCTTAAAAACAAAATAAAATAAAAATAAATTTACTTTCCATGTGAAAATGATACCACTTTACAAACTAATCAACATTTAATAATTTTACCAAATCTTTGGCTCCCTGCATAATTACCTACAATCTAAGCAACATTTTATATATAAATACTTTGCTAGGCCATCTTATTTATACATAATCTTATTTCAAAAAGTTTACTACTTTGCCGTGAGACTCAATAAAATCCATAACTGCATATTTGACTGTATTTTTCTTAATAATACGATAATGGTCAAACCCTAAAATTCCTCTCAAGTCTCTTTTATATAAGATGGGACAGTGTTAGAAAGCGCTAAGTGATTCGAGAATTTAGAGCTTAATAACTATTTTTTAAAATTAACATGCAACTAGTAACTGCTGTATAACAGTCATACCTAAAACCTTGAAGCTGAAAATGAAAGTAAAAGAATAGTTTAAAGTAGGCCAGGCGATGTGGCTCACGCCTATAATCCTAGCACTTTGGGAGGCTGAAATGGGCAGATCACTTAAGGTCAGGAATTTAAGAACAGCCTGACCAACATGGCGAAACCCCGTCTCTACTGAAAAAAAAAAAAAAAATTAGCTGGGCCTGGTGGTGCACACCTGTAATCCCAGCTACTTAGGAGGCTGAGGCATGAGAATCGCTTCAAACCAGGAGGCAGAGGTTGCAGTAAGCTGAGATCACACCACTACACTCCAGCCTGTGTGAGAGCGCGAGACTCTGTCTAAAAAAAATAAATAAATGGTGTATTATTATGGCAAAATTTAAAAATTAAATACTGAATTCTCTCTGTTATTTTAAATCTCTTGAGATTGGCTATCAAAAATCCTTAGCTGACTTTTATAATAAATGCTATAGTTTGGATATGGTTTGTTTGTCCTCATCAAATCTCATGCTGAAATTTGATTCCCAAAGTTGGAGATGGGGCCTAATGGGAGGTGTTTAGGTCATGAGGGTGGATCCCTAATGAATAAGTTAGTATCCTGAGGGGCTGGATGGAGGGAGGAGTGAATGAGTTCTCACTGTTCCAGGTTGTTAACAAAAAAGCCTAGCATCTTCCTCCCCTTTCCCTTGCTTTCTCTCTCCCCATGTGCTCTCTGCACACAGCTCCCTTTTACCTTCCATTGTGAGTGAAAGCAGGCCCTCTCCAGATGCAGGCATCCAATCTTGAATTTTCTGACCTTCAGAATTGTGAGCCAAATAACCTTTTTTCTTTATAAGTTATTCAGCCTCAGGATCTTTTAGAGCAACACAAGATGCCTACAACAATAAATTTCATGTCCAAGTGAACAATGCTGACTTTGTTTTTCTTTTGCCACATACAGTTTAATAACAGCAAGCTCTCTTTTTTTCCAAGAATTCTGAAGAAGGTGACACGTTGGGTGTGTTTTTCATCCCAAGTCACCATAGGTAAGAATGGGTAAAGGAGGTCCCATAGGAAAATGGACCCCCATTTTCAAACTTTCATCATCAAAGAAAATATACCAAAAATTATTTATTATTGTCTAAGCATTTCAATTATTTTGCAGTGTCTATAAGGTGGGGTGGAGAGGCAAGAGGAGAATTCCAATTTGAAACAATTTGTGATGAAAATAAGTTGTTTATTTTTATATGATTACCCAGTGTTTTATTAATTGGTTTAGCTAGGGTTCAGGTCAAGGCAAGAGCTATGTGTAAATTACTCTGAAACTATTGCTAACTTTGGCAGTGTTGGTGCTTTAAAAAACTACTCAGCTTTCATTAGGATCATTTATTCCCATTCACAAGAAAAAGCCTTTGAATTTTTCTAATACAAAAAATCCTGTACTGGTAATTAATACTAACTTCACCAGGCAGCAAAGTATTTAATAGTAAGATGTCTCACTCTGGTCCTTAATTTTATTTCCTGTAAAATAAAGAATTAGTATGACATCATCTCCAGTGCTTCCTCTAATCTTAAGATATTGTAGTAGTAGAGACTTGTTTAATTATTTTTTAATATCAATCCATAATTCTAGGCTGTCCTCGGTGTGGAGCATGTGACAGGATAATTTGTTGAAATACTATTTTGTGTTTTGTTTTCACTGCTACACAAGGATTAGAAAAAATCCGATCTATTTTTATTTTTATATCTGTATTCCCCTCCTTCCTCATTCCAAAAAGTAGCCAGAACTTGTGTTCCTTTTGTTACTTGAAGGTAAACTCTTTTTCCGGCTTTTGTTTTCAAAAGGCTTAGCTTATTGAGGGGTGATGCTGAAGGCTGGAGAGGGAAGCAAAGAATTGGGGCAAGGTGCAGGGTACCACAAACATCAAAGAAGAGAAAGTTGTCTTGACTAGGAAAGGGATGGAGACCTGCTGGGCCCATGATTAACAGGGATCCATGCCCCAGTGCCTGCTGAACCCCCTGGGGTATGGAAGAATTGGGGGAGATTGGCTGAGACATGAGATGTCCAGGGACGTTCCTGAAGGACTTAGCAAAGTTCCCTATGGCTGTCACTATCTACCTTCAAGAAGAAGTGGGCTTGGCATAAAGAAAAATGAAATCATGTCCTTTGCAGCAACATGGTTGCAGCTGGAGGCCGTTATCCTAAGTGAACTAACTCAAAAGCAGAAAATCAAATATCTCATATTCTCACCTGTAAGCAGGACTTAAACAATGGATATATATGGACATAAAGAAGAAGATAATAGACCCTGGGGACTCCAAAAGGTGAGAGGGTGGGAGGAGGGTGAAGGTTGAAAAATCACCTATTGGGTACAATGTTCAATACTTGGGTGATAGGTATACCAGAATCCCAACCCCCACCATTATGCAATACACCTATGTAACAAACAAATACATGTCCCTCCTGAATCGAAACTAAAAATAATTTTTTAAAAAAGAAGAAGTGGGTTTGGATAATGAGCATGTCATCATAGTCGTGCTTGACTGAGCCATTGAGATCTTCCCTCATTTTTCAGTCATCCAGCAAAATCCTAAGTTCCCCAGTGGCTCTGCAGAGGTGGACGGATGTTGCTAGAATAACTAACGTTGGCTCCCTTAACAGCCAAAAAAGATAAGGTTTGGAATCAGATTCAATTTGATTTAATGACATGAAGATAATATGACATTTCTTGCTTGTGAGTTTAGGAACTAAAAATTATAATGACTGCAAGTATTGAGCAATAAAAATGTCCTTAGCAAATGAATTATAAACAGAATTCTGAATAATGAGATTAAAATTATCTTCCTCCGCTGTGCACATCAAAAAGCAATGTTCAAACCATATATATTGAATAAACATATATGTTACAATAGAATGAAAATACTGATATAGTTTGTTAGGATAGATTATTGTAGGTAAAGATCCTCTAGGATTTTTCAGTGCATACAAAAATTTAAAGCTCTTAAATTTATTTTTATAAACCCAAGTGATGAAACCTAAAATTAAAAGAATACAGCATTCTTTAGCACTTATCTGTATATATCACCAAACACTTAGGAGGTTTGACTCTATAAAGCTTAGTTACTTTGAAAGAGAACCCAGCGAACTTGTCACCATTCACGTACTGTGTCAAGTATACTGACTCTAGTCCCAATTCTGATCTTAACACGGTGGATTTGGTTAAATCAGTTAACTCTTCTGATTCTCAGTGGTGTCATCTGTAAATTAAAAAGATTGTAATGGGAGATTCTACAGCTTCAACCAACTTCAAATTTATTTTATAATCATAATTCTTCCAAACATTTTATTTTCCTGACCTTTAGTCAAATATCCCAAACCTTGCCATCTTCAATATCATTTATCTAAAAGAAATACTGCCAGTTAAAGTAGTCACTAAAATGATCCTGTCATCAACTATAATTTTCAGAATTCCCTTTTCTTATCATCTTAAGAGTCAATCTGAGTAACACATCAAAGTCTCAAGGCTACTAGTTAAAGTCACATCACTGTGGAATAAAGGCAGCACTACCCACCTTGTTTTGTTCACAAGAAGCCCTCCAAATAGTTTAAGTCGTTTCAATGAAAACCCACACTCAAAGACTCTCTTATATTAAAATTATTTACCCAAAGTATGTTGCCAGCCTTGACACCAGCTACAAAGGATGAGATCTGAAAATGTTTTAGGCAATGGCAGCATCTTTGAAATCAGCATCATCTTTCAGTGTTATATATTGTATTCAATTCACTAAAAACAAGGAATGTGCATTAGTCTCATTTATGATTTTCTTTTAAAAATGCCTTTTTCTAGACACATCTATTAGGCAAGTGCCAACTGCGGAGCAAAGATCCAGAATCTCAGAGTACCAGCATTCTTTTAAATCTAAAGTTCTTAAATATTTGCTGGAAATCGGTCTAATCCCTGTAAAAATCACAATTTGTATACATAGTTTTGTACGTTAGCTCAATGAGAATTATTTGTAATACTTTACTGAGACTAAAATGAAGGCATTCATTTGAACTCCAAATATTTGGATTTGCCCACATGCTTTTAGGACTGGAAAGCAGAGAAAAGTAGTAATTCCATTTATAGTTCAGAAAACTGCAGCATAGACATCATTGATTTCCGCAAAATTATGGAGTAGGCACTATCAAGTCTGGAATACAAATAATCTTATGCTATTTGTCTTTCATTTTGATGAGATATTACAATTAACGTCAGATAGATTCATTCTCTCAGTAAACCTTTCTGGTTATACTTTGTACTTACTGAAGTGCAAGAATATTTCGCCAATAAAGTAAGTTTTCTCACATTCTCTGAAGAAACAATAGAAACAACTAATACAAAATAGAGAATACTGTAGGGACAGAAAAGTGTAATACTTCTCTTCACCCATCGTAAGTGTCATGGCCAACACTCCAATAACAAAAGACAGGTTAACAAGAGAAAAGCGTAACGAATGTATTTAAATTACATGGGAAACCTCAGAAATGAAGACCTGAAGATCCAGGGAAAACTGTCTTTTGATGCTTAGGTTTGATGAAGAATGGACAGCCAGGTAGAAATATGACTGGACAAAACAGTATGATCTTATGGTAACAGACTGAGGGGGGAAACCCACCAAAGCCTGTCTGTTCATATTCTTCTTGGTCGTTCAGTGTAGCATTTCTGCATCCCAGATATGGGGCAGGACTCCTCTGGAATAGAGATCATCAGGGAGAAGGGAGAGGGAAGAGAGTGACCTTTCCAGGTTTTACGGCTTACTTTGGGGAAGAAGGGTTCTAGTTTTTTGACCTGCCTTGGGGAAGTTGAATTCTGCTTTCAATAACTTGCTTCAGTAGAGAAAGTGTGGGAGGGGGAGAGGAGACAGCAGGACTGGAGAAGGTCAGACAGATCTTGCTTCTGAGGCCTTTTCAATATCCTTCAGTTCAAAGTACCTATCACTCCAAGCCACCACACTTCGGGATATTGTGTTCTGAGCCCCAGTAATACCATGGGTGATGCAGCCTGTCTTATTGAAGTATCTGTGAAAGTTTTTTGTTTTTGTTTTTGTTTGTTTGTTTGTTTTTGAGACAGAGTCTCACTCTGTCACCAGGCTGGAGTCCAGTGGTGTGATCTCAGCTCACTACAACCTCTGCCTCCCAGGTTCAAGCGACTACAACCTCCACCTCCCAGGTTCAAGCGATGCTCCTGCCTCAGCCTCCCAAGTAGCTGAGACTACAGGAGTGCACCAACATGCCCAACTAATTTTTTGTATTTTTAGTAGAGACGTGGCTTCACCGTGTTGACCAGGATGGTCTCAATCTCTTGACCTCATGACCCGCCCGCCTTGTTTATATTTAACATATAGAACTTATTCTAAGTGTATGTTCTTTGTACCATTTTATTTTTTGTTAAAATGCATCAATGGACAAAATTTAAACAACTTTAGTATAAAGATCATAACTGGGTTTTATTTACTATTCTATTGCTGGAGCAACACCTCATTCCATAAAATAGAATGTGTGTTCTGATGAGCCCAGCAGAGAAACTTGGTTTTATTAACGTAGACAGAAAAGAGCTGAGGAAAACAGAATCAAAAAACAAAAGCAGACTGGTATTTTCTAAGGATGTTTTTGTTTGTTTGTTTGTTTGTTTTTTGTAAAGGTCTAAGCAGAGGGGACTTCCTCATCATACTGGCTAAAAGTAGCTTGTGGGGAATTGGCTATTATCTCTCTTTCCTGATTTCACCGAGTATCAGATAAATGCTTAATTTCTACTTGGTGGTTTGAAACGTCAGTGTGAATAACTCCATTTTGTTTTGGTCTGTTGAGTGTAGTAGAGGAGTTCATTCCAAACCAATGGCTTCCTAGAAATTTAATTGAACAAACGTATTCTTTTCATAAAACAATTTGATAGTCAAAAGTAGGTTACTCCCCCCACCTTTTTTGTTGTTGTTGCTTTTAACTGACAAATAAAATTGTATATATTTACCATATACAACATGATGTTTGAAATATATATACATTGTGGAATGGCTAAATGGAGTTAATTAACATATTCACTACCTCACATAGCTATCGTTTTTGTGGTGAAAATGCTTAAAATCTACTCAGCATTTTTCAATACAATACATAGTATATTGAAAAATGTTAAGAGTATGATAAATACGTATTCACCATCTTTACAATAGCCGTGTTCTTATCTGACAAAATAAAATGTTGTTAGTTTAATGTTGACCTTTCAATACCTTTTTTAAAAATTTTATCAACCTAAAATTTGAGCAAACTGATGAGCTATTCAGAAACATCAAGTCTCTACAAAAAACTGTTCCTGGTATTCTAAATGTGAAACAATTTCTCCATTTTCCTAGATGACTAAGTGGTACCTGATGAACTGATAGACTCAGGGCACCATAGAAGAAAAAAGAAACATAGAGATGGGAAAAAAGGCAAAGAAAAGGAAATGTGCCTCGAGCAATCATTTCAGATAATATTAACTGATACCAACTTACACTAGTCTTATTATAACCTTCTCTTAGAAAACAGCATTTTTATGTCTACGTGGTGATATCGAATCAATATATTTAGCAGTTCTCATGGTAAACTCCCTGAAAATTATTTTATTGTTTTTACTGTCATAATTTAGACACATATTTCACAAACTGTAATCCATAGAGCATCAGTCTTACAAGATGTTTTGCCAAGGGAATAAAATAATCAAACACATTTGGAAATTTTAGCGTAGTCTGTCCTTACCTCATCCTGGCTCCACATCCCCATCTCTTGGAGGCATCCTCCCCACCAAAACACTACCCTGAGATTTACTCACAGGAAACATTTTCTTATTAAAGGCTTTGAAAAGGCTGGGCAGGGTGGCTCACGCCTGTAATCCCAGCACTTTGGGAGGCTGAGGCGGGTGGATCATGAGGTCAGGATATCGAGGCCATCCAGGCTGACAGGGTGAAACCGCGTTTCTACTAAAAAATAGGAAAAATTAACCGGGCGTGGTGGCGGGCGCTTGTAGTCCCAGCTAATCGGGAGGCTGACGCAGGAGAATGGCGTGAACCCGGGAGGCGGAGCTTGCAGTGAGCCGAGATCGCGCCACTACACTCCAGCCTCTAGCCTGGGCGACAGAGCGAAACTCTATCTCAAACAAATAAAACAAAACAAAACAAAACGGCTTTGAAAACTGCCAGAACGGGGCCGGGTGCGATGGCTCACGCCTGTAATCCCAGCACTTTGGGAAGCCGAGGTGGGCGGATCATGAGGTCAGGAGATCGAGACCATCCTGGCTAACCCAATGAAACCCATCTCTACTAAAAAATACAAAAAATTAGCTGGGCGTGGTTGCAGGCGCCTGTAGTCCCAGCTACTCGGGAGGCTGAGGCAGGAGAATGGCGTGAACCCGGGAGGCGGAGTTTGCCGTGAGCCGAGATCGCGCCACTGCACTCCAGCCTGGGCGACAGCGCAAGACTCCGTCTCAAAAAAAAAAAAAAAAAAAGTGCCAGAAGGTTTTTTGTTTAACGTTGTTTAAAATCAGTTTAATTGTGTCCAACCCAACATTTCTCAAACGTTCAAACTTACCCTGGCAACTTTTTGTTTTTCGTTTCCAGATAACTTCTATTATCATTCCAACATAATGTTCTTTCCTCCGGATATACTTCGGGAAACTGTGTCCTTCTGTTTATTGTGTAATCACAGGTGTTTAGATTGCACATTAGAAAGGGCTTGCAATCAGACCTGAACAATTAACTAGCAACCAGCTATTCACAGTCGGAGGGGCTCTGTTGGTTCATTTGCTGGCTCTATGACTTTGGGTGAATCCTTTCACTTTCTTGAGCATCTGTTTCCTTCGCTGTAAAATCACACACTAGTCTGCCGAAGCAGGGTTGTTCTAAAGATCCAGTGAAATAATTCATGCAGTAAATGAAGTGTCCAGTTCATAGCCTAGCACCAAGCAGAACTCCATTAAATGTCTGTTCTCAGCCCTCCACCACCCAACATTTAACAAATGAACAGGTAAAAATTAAATTTTTAAAAAATGCTTCTCATATTCAAAGTTTTATAAATCCCAAGGAAATGGTCTACTCTACTAATCTTGGGTTAGTGGGCTATCTGTTATTTCCATGACTACTGAAAAATAATTTTACATATGGATAATTGCAAAGCAGATCAATTTTCAGAACAAATGTCCTTGAAAATGTCTCTTTAATTTCCATTTAATTTGAAGAGATTCACTTGCAGTCCTTATTCATGCAAAACACCCATTGACATCACTTAGTTCTTAACTAAATTAGGTAATGTAAATTATAAAAGCAAAATCATTGAATAGACACAAGAATCTCGTGCTCATATTGTGACTCCACAACTTAAATTTAAAAACCAGGGAGAGGATGAGGACTCAGAGTAAAAACGTAACAGTGATTAAAATGTTGAGAAGTAAGACTTTAAGTGAAAGCATAAATGAAACAAAGCAGAATTTTACACCTCATCACAGAAAATCTGAAACAGGATTTATAGGAAAGAGTAATAGATTCCATCTTACCTCAAACAGGCTAAATCCTATCATGAAAACAAAACAGATTAATATGTTAGGTACTGAGTTAGAGGTGTCAAAGATCAAAGTTTCAACAAATTGAGTTTCAGAGACCTAATTAGCTTTTTATTAGTGATTCATGAATCAGACAGCATTCAATCTGTAAATTAGAAGGGAGTTCTGATGAACTAAACTGAGCGGGTGAGTTTTACAGGCAGAAAAAAGGGAAAGAAAGCAGGAAAAAGGGACAAATAGTGGATTGGCCATTTCAAGGTTACTTTCCTGGTAGGGATGTAAACAAAAACATGTTGGTTCAATGAGATTTGGCTATTATCTTCCTCTTGATTTCTTGGAAGATCAGATCTTACAAGTAATCAACTTAGGTTTCAGTTTGGTGGTGTGGAGCCTTAGCATGAGTAACTCCATTTTTAACTTGCTATCTTTTCTTTAACCGAGGAAACATGAGGGGGATTACAGAAGACCCCATGAAGAGGTGTTTCGTGGTTATTATGTCTCTACTTTTAGTTTACTCTCTCGATTTGGTGGGGGGATGTTATATTATCTGTGCATTCCTAACATAATACAATGTGTGCACACTGTAGATGATCAGTGTGAATAGAGACTTTAATGTGAAGAAATAAGTTTAAACTTCAGTATAGCAGATTTAGTTTTGGTATAATTAACATAACCTAACCCCAAGATGTTAATTACCTAAATAAAATTGTTACTTGAAGCTATGGATTTTCTTTATTTTAGCAGTTTTAAAAATAGTATGCATACTTATCAATTCCATCAACAAATAGTCATTGAATATCAACAATGTGGTAAACATTCTGCTAGATGATGAGAATACAATCATGAATAAGATAAAATGCCTGTCCTCCTGGAAGTCATAAGCCTAATTGTGGAAGCAATATTGCATTAACAAGGACAGCAAATAAATGTATTCAATCTGTGATAGGTTGAACATCCTAAAAAGAAACAAGGTCTTTAGCCAGCTTCTAAGATGTCCACCAATGATCCCAGCATCCTGGTATTCACACCCTTATGAATTCACACCCCACCTTACACTGTAAGAAGATTGACCTGTGTGATCAATAACCTATGGTAGAAGTGATGGTTAAGTCACTTCCAAGATAAGATTGCAAAAGACCATGGGCTCCATCTCGGGCTCTCTCAGCTTATTCACACAAGGAAGGTCATGTTGTCAGCAGCCTTATGAAGAAACTCACAGAGCAAAAAGTGAAAGTATATGGCCAAAAGTCAACAAGGAACTGAGACCTGCCAACTACCATGAGTGAGCTTAGAAGCAGATTTCCTAGCCACAGATGACTGCAGCCCTACTCAACAGCTTGACTACTACCTCAAGAGAAACCATGAGCCAGAATCTACCAGCTAATTGCTCCTAGATTCTTGAGTCAAGGAAACTGTAAGATTATAAATGTGGATTATTTAAGCTCCTAAATTTTGGGATAGTTTGTAACTCAGTGATTGATAACTAATACAGATCCTTCACTGCAGATAGTTTGGGAAGCAATAATTTAGAGTGTTCTTGGCCAATAAAAAGATATTCAAGGCTTAAAGATGAATTGACAAATTCATATTAAGCATGACTCTGTGTTGGAAAATAAGAAGAGTAGTTATGCCATTGATAATAAACTAGATGATCTACTGATGCCTCTTCCTGTTCCAAGATTGAAGTATCCAGAATCCAAGCACTGATATCCCCCATTACATCAGAAATGAGTCAAGTAGCAAGAGCTATTTATAATAAATGTCATGGCCTTTTCCTCTATTTTAACTGATAACACATTATTTTAAGAATTCTCAGTAGATTTTAGTAGGAGTGGGTGTGACAACGTGCGTATGTATAGAAAAGAATATTTTTGTTTTAACTCTAAAAGCAAAGATTATTTTTAGGTCGCATCCATACACGTACCTGAAGTAATGGTATTCTGCTTCCTGAATGCCTTTCTGAAAATGCTGCCTGCCTTTATTGACTCAAATGTTGTCAAGCGTGTTACATACACATTTTTCCTAACCAAGGGAAGACTCTTGTTCCTAAATAACTTAGTTTTTGGGTGGATCACTTGCTTCCAAATACATTTGATAAACCAATGAGCATTGATGTGATATGACACAATAGAAATGAGTAATTTTAACTTACAATGTAAAAGTGAATCAAGAACAAAAATCTGAGTTTTATTTAGAGTGTGTCATAAGATACAAAGAAGATTTGTAGCTTTCTTTGATGTGCTCACATGAAATGCCTGTAGTCAAACGGCTATTTTTAAACTTGAGAAGAAATTCAGGACAAAAGGAACATTTTAAATATAAAAGGGAATTCAGGGAGATCACAAAGAAGTGAAATCACTATTACGAAAGTTCAAAGACACATTGTTCTTCAAATATCAAGAAGCTGACTTAAATACCATTGGTGACCCTTATTCAGGGGATACTTTCTAGGGTTTAAGGAAGTGACAGACATGAGGCCATTCTTTTGCCCCCTTTTCAGAAACTCTTGGTTTTGGATCACTATTGTGTTTAACTTCCTTAAGACTAATTCTCCTGTTGTGCTAGACATTTTGAACTCAGTGAGATCTCAACTGCAATATAATTGGTATGCTGTGTCAGACATCAGGTCGGCTGACCACCAGAGACCAGGAAGAGGACTCTCATGTGGCAATCCCCTGTCTGGGCAAAGTGAGTATTGCATATCAGGAATTTGCTCCTACACGGATGGGAAGCTAGAAAATTTTTCTAAACGTAGGCGGGATGTCAGGCTATTGCCAGATGTAAAGGACAGTCCTAAAAGCCATCCGGAAGGTCTTATGGATAGATCTCAGTGGGAACAGGCCATGGAGGCTGAACTAGAGAGGAGAGGTCTATAGTCAAATGTTAGAGAAAAAGCTCTAACAAACAAGAATGGCAACTTTTACAGAGTACCAACTCTGCAAGGCAATTTCAATACGTTAGCATATTTCCTTCTCACAGCAATTTTGGAATATAGGTTTTATATCCATTATCCACATGTGGAAACAGACTCAGAGAGATGAAGTAGTTTAACCAGTGATGGAGCCAGCATTCAAATCCATGACTGTCTCATGCCAAATCCTCTTTCCACTACATTGTCTTTTTGTTTTTTTCCTTAGTGAGCTCAACATAACCAATGATTAAAATTAAAAAAAAATCAGGGATTTCTTTTATAATGGATCTTAAGGGCACCAAGTACACATCCTTTATTTAATAAGTTAAAAAAAGAGAAAGAGAAAGAAAGTTCACATTAGTACAAGCTATGATTCTGAATTATAAACTTCAGATACTCTGTTGGTCACATAAATACCACACCCTTAGAAATCACAAAGAATCTGTTTCTGTGCCAAAGGAAAAAAAAAAGGAAAGAAACCTACGCATTAGAGAAATGTATTTAGCTCAGTACAGCTTTTAATTTTCTTTTGATAATGATTTTAAGAAAAAACTCATTTCTTTTTATTTTTCAGCTTTATTGAGGTATGATTGACAAATAAAACTTGTATATAATTAAGGTATATAACGTGATGTTTTAATATACATTCATGTACTGCATAACAATCTTTTAGTCAACAACAGACCGCATATACAATGGTGGGCTCCTAAGATTACAATGGAGCTGAAAAATTCCTATTGTCTAGTAGGCAAGGCATCATAGTGCAATGTGATACTCACCTGTTTGTGTTGATGCCGATATAAACAAACCTGCGGCATTGCCAGTCATGTAAAAGTATAGCACACACAATAACATACAGTATATAATAATAATAAATGACTATTACTGGTTTATGTATTTGCTGGAGGGGCGGGGCCCTCAGGGACAACCTCTTGCTAAGGCAATGAAGAAGGGAAATGTGGGGTCAGAGCCCCCACACAAAGTTCCTACTAGGGCACTGCCTAGTGGAGCCATGAGAAGTGGACCACAGTCCTCCAGACCTCAAAATGTTAGATCCATTACCAGCTTGGATTGTGTGCCTGGAAAAGCTGCAGACACTCAATGACCGCCCATGAAAGCAGCAGAGATGGGCGCTGGACCCTGCAAAGCCACAGCGGTGGAGCTGCCCAAGACCATGGAAACCCACCTCTCACATCAGCGTGACCTGGATGTGACACATGGAGTCAAAGGAGATCACTTTAGAACTTTAAAGTTTAATGACTGGTCTATTGGATTTTGGACTTGTGTGGGGCCTGTAGCCCCTTTGTTTTGGCCAATTTCTCCCACTTGGAAAAGGTGTATTTTACCCAATGCCTGTACCCCCATTGTATCTAGGAAGTAACTAACTTGCTTTTGATTTTACAGGCTCATAGGCAAAAGGGACTTGCCTTATCTCAGATGAGACTTGGGACTTGGACTTTTGAGTTAAAGCTAAAATGAGTTAAGACTTTAGGGGACTGTTGGGAGGGAAGGCATGATTGGTTTTGAAATGTGAGGACATGAGATTTGGGAGGGGCCAGGAACAGAATGATATGTTTTGGCTGTGGCTCTACCCAAATCTCATCTTGAATTGTAGTTCCCATAATCCCCATGAGTCATGGGAGGGGACCTTGTGAGAAGTAATTGAATCATGAGGGGCGGGCTTTTCCTGTACTGTTCTTGTAATAGTGAATAAAGTCTCACGAGATCTGATGGTTTTATAAAGGGAAATTCACCTGCACACTCTGTCTTTTCTCCCACCATGTAAGACCTGTCTTCACTCCTCCTTCCCCTTCTGCCATGATTGTGAGGGCTTCCCAGCTACAGGGACTTGTGAGTCCATTAAACCTCTTTTTCTTTATAAATTATGCAGTCTCAGGCACTTCTCCATAGCAGTATGAAAATGGACTAATACTCTAATCAAACCGTTTTTTCAGAACATATCCCCATCATTAAGCTATTCATGACTGTATATACGTTGTGAAGTGATTCGTATGATCAAGTTAATTAGCATATCCATCACTGCACATAGTTACTTTTTTTGGGGGGAGAGTATGGTAAGAGATCTACTCTCAAAAATAAGAAAAATCTTTTAACTAAAACTTATTTGTACTCAGATATTCAGGCTGTTTTAATTGTCCAGTATTTTTGTTTGTTTGTTTTCAAAAAAGTCATTTCCCAAAACATTGCTTAGGTTAATACTTAAAGTTAGTTTAAATCTGTAGAGAAAGGCAGTTCGAAAGTATGCTATCCTTGCATTAATTCATTCATCCAAAAACATGCATTAAATACCTTCTATGTGCCACTGAATAAGAACACAAGGTCCTAAAAAGTGTATCAAATGAAAAAACAGTAACAAATATTTATGCAGAATATAAAGCTATGGAGAAATGCTAGCTTTGAAAGTTCACAAGACGAGGTTCCCTAAGGCTAATTTGAGGTTCAGAACTGGGGAAAACCAACTTATTCCGGAAAGATCTTACAGAGGAGCTACTTTAGGCAGCCAGGTTGGAAATATTATTCCTCTTAATGGCTAATACATATAAAACGCTAACTTTATTGTTTGTGCTTTAAATCATTCCAAATCAAGTTGTAACTCAGGAGAATAAAATTATCTTTCTAAACAAACTTTTGTGATGCTTTTTTTGTCTTTGTTACTAACCTGTCTTTTACATTTAAATAAACCATAGCAACCACACCTGCATCTCTCACTGTTGTCCATGAAGTGGAGATTAGTGAAGTCTGGTAATGTTTCACTGTTTACTTTAAAGTCACCAAAGTCATACTTTTCATTCTAAAAGAAATGCAAATGATTTTTTTTTTTTTTTGAGGCAGAGTCTCACTCTGTCACCAGGCTGAAGTGCAGTGGCACGATCTCAGCTCACTGCAACCTCCGCCTCCCGGGTTCAAGCGATTCTCCTGCCTCAGCCTCCCAAGTAGCTGGGACTACAGGTGCACGCCACCATGCCCAGCTAATTTTTGTATTTTTAATAGAGACAGGGTTTCACCATGTTGGCCAGGATGGTCTAGATCTCTTGACCTTGTGATCCGCCTGCCTCAGCCTCCCAAAGTGCTGGGATTATAGACGTGAGCCACTGTGCCCGGCCAAACGATCGTATTTTTAAAGGCAGGTAGAGATTCGTGTTTTGTTTCTTGCTTATTAGTTTTTGCAAACTTTATATATTACTCAAAAATTAAGATCTATAACCACCTAGATATATTGCTGTTCTATAAATAAAAATTTCTGTTGTCCTTGCAAACTCTAATTTGAATGCTAATAATTTATCTCTAATTAATTAACTCTAATAAACTACTGATTTCTTCCTTCATGTAGTGGGTTAAGAAAAAATACGTCTATGAAACTTGCATGTTGTAACAAACCATTTCAAGTATTAGAAAAAAATATTATCTTTTGATTCCCACTTGCAATCCAAACTATTAGAAAAATGTAACTTAGTGTAAAAGATAAGTGTGTATCCTTCCCTGCCACTCATTTGATCATAAAAATTTTAATATTTATAGGTAATATAGCATCTTAAAAAATAAAACTATAGATATATATACCTTACATTGTTAGTGGGGGTGATATTACTCCCAAGTGTTGAAAACTGGTTATTGGAGGGATGTATCTTAGGTGTCATAATGGTTTGTGACACTCTAAAGGACTACAGGACACAAACAGATACACAGTAAAACTGTGGTATTAAAATATAATGAGAAGGAGGTGATAAGGAATAAACATGTCTAAAAAAGCTCCTTGGGGACAATAACAAAAAAAAGGTTGTGAATACATATATATGTGTAAGTGTATATACACACCTTTATGTACACTATTTTTTCTTTTTAACGAAAACAGAATATATGGTACTGTATATTCTGTCTCTTGCTTTTATTATCATTCAATACGCTATGTCACATGTAAATCATAGTTGCATGCAAATCATTTCAGAGGTAAGGTAGGTAACATCAACAAGACAAACAGGGTTTGGGGAAGAATGTAGACCATGGCAAAACTGTGAGCCCATGCTTCTTCATGAGGAACATCAGCTCCTTTACATCAGCTCCAGCTCATGGTTGCTATGTGGGAATTTAGGCCCAGTGTTACCATATTCTCTAATTTTTCAAGCAATGGAAGTCTAAATTTTTGTGTATAATATGAATTTTGAATGTTGACAATAACTTTCCCTTGAGGGTCAACATTATGTGGGTCAAGCAAAACAGGTCTGGACTAGCACACAATGCTGGCTTCCTTTTGGACTTGTGAGGTAGAAGTTCAACTCACGATTTTTCAAAGAAATGTTGACATACTAACTGCAACACAACCTCCTGCAACAGAATTCCCACGTGATTTGCTCAAGCCTACGGAATCAGAAACTCTATGAATCCACCCAGGGATGTCACTTTTTAACAAGGAGTGTCTTATATAATCTCAAATTTGAGAACCAACCATATAGCATACTTTTTAACAGGTATATAATGATAATTGAATTCCAAACTATAAGAGTATCATACTTTGTCAAATCCATTTCCTTATTGGTGGATACTGAAGTTGCTGCCAGATTTTTTCCTTGGTACCTAATATTTCAATAAATGTCTTCATGCACCATTGCTTTTATTTTTGTAGTATAGATTTCCCAAATGAGGATTATTGGATATAATTTTAGGGTCTAATAGATGTTCATTTTAAAGTCTAGTAGACATTGTAAGCTTACCTTCAAAAGGTTTCAAAAAGTCACATTCCAACCAGCAATATACATGAGTGCCCTTATCCTAGGATCCAACTCTAAGTATATTAGAAACTTCCTTCCAAATTGATGAGTTAAAACATTCTTTAAGGCAGGGCGCGGTGGCTCATGCCTGTAATCCTAGCACTTTGGGAGGCCAAGGTGGGCGGATCACAAGGTCAGGATTTGAGACCAGCCTGACCAATATGGTGAAACCCCATCTCTACTAAAAATACAAAAATCAGCTGGGCATGGTGGCGGGCACCTGTACTCCCAGCTACTTGGGAGGCTGAGGCAGGAGAATCACTTGAACCCAGGAGGTAGAGGTTGCAGTGAGCCGAGATCGCGCCACTGCACTTCAGCCTGGGTGACAGAGCAAGACTCTGTCTCAAAATAAATAAATAAATAAATAAATAAATAAATAAATAAATAATAAAAATAAAAAAATTCTTTATTTTTTAAGTGTACAGTATAATGTACTGATTTGGGGTGCAGTTAAAAGTTTTTTTTTCCACATTTATAAGTTGTTTGCAATTCCTCTACTTGAGGGAGTTTACAGATAGTCACCAGCTGAAAATGGCAGTATTGAGAGTGAGAGAGTATACAGCTACATAGTATCAGTTTCCTTGATACCCTTACCTTCTTCCCAGGCTCCACCCTCCTCTCAAATTTCTGCTACTCCTCACATACAGTGTTCCTGAAGCCACTGATTATCTTTCACCCTCCTGTGAGGACTCTATGTTCTCCTTTGGAATTATTTTCACTTGTTCATTTTCTTGGCCAATTTTGCTGTTTAATTTTATATCTTTTTCTTATCTATTTGATGTAACTGTGCAAACTAGATCTTTAACAATTTGCCTTACATACTGTTTTAATACAACAAATTTTAAAAGTTACTGTTTTACTTAATACTCTACTCAATTTTGAGCAAACTTCATTTGATTTTAATTATAGCAACCATTTAAAACAAGCAGCGCCATTTTAGCTTGTTGCCTTTCTGTAACTGCTTTTAGAAATTCACTTTCTTTAACAACGTGCAATTTCTTCATAATGCCATAGTAAGTTAACTGTAGAGAAGTCACTAATGAATATTATTTTACTTTATTAAATAACAGCAAGGGAAATATAAAAATTTAAATAGTTTTACATGCAACCTAAAAACTTTCCAAACTCAAAAATGGACTTTTTTTTGGAGGGGGGTAGCTTTCTCTCAAGAACTCTTATTTCAAAATCCAAATGGGATTTCAAAATACAAGCAAATAAATGTCAAAGCCTCTTGGCCTCTGCTCTGCCATTCTATGCCTGAAATCCTGCCAAAATGAAATTTTCCGTTCAAAAGGGCTGGCATTTACTAAACTGATGTTTTAAAGACATTCTCAAAAAGTAGTGGAAACTTTGTCCAGCTTTTTATGTTCCTGTCTTGTAGACAGAACAGCTGCCTTTGCAGATATTTTCCAAGATCTTACATTTTCTGAAAAACAAATTTTCAGCCCTTCCACTGTCTTCAGCAAGTGGGTCTATTGGTTTTTCCCAGTGCCAAGCAGAGAAGATAAACAACTGCCAAACTAGAAGCTAGTGTCTGAGTATCAAGGCATAGAAAGGACAGAAGAGATAGTGTTTCAGTAAGTATCAATGCAGAGAAAGGACAGAAGAGAAAGTGGGAGAAAGAAAAGAGGGTGGTTCAATCGTTCACAGTCAAGAGGGACACATTTATCTCAAAATTTTAGGCTGTTTCAACAAAACCGAGCTGTAGCGAGACTAGCTGCTTATTCACACGAGAACATCATTTTCAGTTACTATGAAGATCAAAGAGTTAAAAGATATGAGTTCGTTTAAAGAACTCAAAAGGGAAAATATGAAGCCACCGCAATACGTAGTAAAATCTGAGGCTTAACAGCGCAGCGCCTGAGAGTGCCAGTCCACTAAAGGGAGGGAGAAGGGGCGCAGAGCTTATGGGGGCCTGGGAAGGAGTGATAAGTCTTTGGAAATGGAAACTAAAGCTATCAGCCAGCGAAAACCATCAATATTCCTAAAAATATATAATACTAATAATACATAAAAGCTTTAAAAAACTAACAAGACACTGTGGGATACAAAAAAAGGTAGAAATGAAAATTACAGAATGTTAAGTGAAAAAACTGAAATCCATCTACAGTCGAACAGTTTGCACCTTTAAAAGCAATGACTTGAAGCAGCAAGCAAAAGTTCCCAGTCCTTAAGACTTTCTCCCCACTCTCAATTCTTTCTTTCCTCTAGTGCAAAAGCTGTCTAAGCAGTGCACGCCGGAATTATCCCCACGTGAGCCTTCCTTTAATTTCGGTCTTAATTTTTTTCTCTCTTGTTATTACTCCCAGACCCCAACCTCTTTTTCCTCATCTAGTATCTGTTTCAGGGACAGGACAAAGAGGAGGCAGCGAGCTGAAAAAAGTTTTGTGGTTTGGGATACTTGGGCCTTTGTTGTGTCATTTCCTCTACCCCTCCACGCCCCCAACCACGTGACCAAGAAGGGCCGGAATTTTGTGAATGGAGACGAAAGGTGGCTGTTGGGGCGGGCGGGACTCCGCCCCCTTCCCTAAAGCGGCCAATCTCCTAGCGGAGCGCTGAGGGGTCAGCAATAAACAACAATGGGCTGGGGATTTACGGCTCGTTATTGGCTGCGGGAAGAACCTCGCCGGGACCTAACCCGAAGCTCCGCCCCCTCGCGGTTACCCTGGATACCCGTCAGGCTCGGGCTGCAGAGAAGGTCTTTGGAAACTGTTGCTCAGATTACAGGCGCTGGGTTATTCCAGGAGTGCAGGGTGGTGGAGGACCCTTGTTATTGACCCCCTGCTTGGTTGCACCCTCAGATAGTACCCATGAGCTTCACTGTTCAGCCTCGGGGCCCAGGCGCTTCCTGGAATCTCTCCTTGGCCGGGGTTAAAATGCAGTTCCCGCTCAAAATGCTTATAGGTGCGCGCGTTGTGAACTCCGATTTAGTAGTTTCCGGGAATGCGCGGGGTCTGTCTTTGCTGTCCATAGTTATTGGTTGTTTTCCCAGTAATAAGTGTTGATTGTTTGTTTGTTTGCTTCTTTTTTAAGTAGATCTTTCTCCTGCCCAGGTCCGGGGTTGAGTGCTGTGCGCTCTTACACTCCATTTTAATGTGTCTCCATAACGTTCTATTTAAGGAAGGAAACTTTCAAATAGAAATTGAGAACTGCAGCACGTTTCCTAACGGGCGGAACAGCTGCCGGAAACGTCTTTTGGTCACTAGTTCTGGTCACAAATGAATTTCAACAGCATTGAGTCCCTGGTCCTATCCCCGCGGCCTCCCGTCCGCTGTTGGACACTGGCTCCTTAAAGTGACGCTTTACTGTTCTGAGTCCCATAGGAGGATCAGGGCAAGTGGCTTCAGAGATGCAGCCCTCACTGCTTAACGTCCTAGTTATTGTCCTTGAAACCCGAGCCATCTCACCGCTCGCCCCCAACCCTGGGCTCTGGCTGTTTAAAAGCTGGAGAGGAAGTGAAAGCGTCAAGTACAGTAAGTGACACCCTCCGCCTCCGTGTATACATAACAAAAGCTCAGGAAACGTGCGGGTTCTAGGATATACGAGCAACCCCAAGCACTCCCTCCTCCTCCCCACAGCCACAGTGGACTGGAAGTACCTTTTCCCAGTGCACACGTAGGGACCATTTTGACTTATACTTTTTCACCTAGCTTGCTCTGTTGTCCTCCCATCACAACCTCTGCTAATCAGCAATTCTGCATCTCCTAGGTGCCTTCCTTATAGATTCTTTATGTTTCTGTCCCACGAACGATAGGATCTAATTTTAGTTGAGGATGACTGTTTAAAAAATGTTTCGATAAACCATAATGGTGATGGTGGGTTTTGAAAAACGGGAAAATAAATTGGGCCAAAAGCTGAGTGGGAATGAGGATAGAGAGCGAGGTGAGCTCCTAGTCAGGGCAAGAGTAGAGAGGTTGGAGATCCTGAGGGGAGGGCAGCTGAATAAGGCGGTACGGGCTTTGTGGATCGCGGCTCTAAGGGTATACCAGAACCGCACAACAGTACTTTAAGGAAACCAGCCCAATAGTGGACCTAACACCCCAATAATGGGAACTGGCGACTCGAAACACACGGTTTCAGTATCCCCAGGCGCCTTAACAATAAGCAGCGGGTTACAGAGGAAATCGAGTCTCTCCGTGGCGCTTCCAGGCTGAGGACCCAGCGCCTACCGGCCGAGCACCCCCTAGGGCAGAGGGGCGAGGGAGACCCGCGGGAAGGGGCAGCAAGCCGCCTGATTGACAGCCCGAAATCTGATCTTGTGAAAGAGACGCGGAGCCAATGGGAGGCAGCGATCCATCAGTTTGGATTGGAGGCCCCTGGAGGAGAAGTAGAGGAAAAACCACCGAATTGAGCTCTGTCAGAGGCGCTTTCGGCTTCCAAGGGGGAAGTGCTGGGCTATAATTAATGTTTTTATTAAATTTGGAGGGAAGTTTTTGCAGCCTTTCGCCTAGCGTGGCCTTCAGGTGGGTCTTTCCAACAACTTTTTATGTCTCTCCAGATAATTGCATGGTTGTGGGTCGCAAAAACTATCCTGATGAAAGAGGTGTCTCCGTCTCTTTAGTCCCGTTAGGTGCAAAGCAAGTCTCGTTGATCGCCATTGCTAGTTTTGCACACGTTTGCGAATCAGAGCTGCCCGGGGTACACCGACCGCGCAGGGAAACATCGAGAGTGTAAATAAATACATCGCCTCTTGTTCGGATTTTTGCTACTACCGAAAATATGTAAATTGTGAACTCTGTTGGCTCTCTTTGGATCCAGGTGAAGGAGGCGGTGTAGGGAGGGTTATTTTTGTGAATGGGACTGTCGGAGGGTAATTAGCTATGCAAATTCAAGAGCTTCATTCATGATTTTTTTTTAAGCCTAAAAGCCATCTTGTTCCCCTCTAGGTTGATAGAAGTCCAGATCCTGAGGAAATCTCCAGCTAAATGCTCAAAATATAAAATACTGAGCTGAGATTTGCGAAGAGCAGCAGCATGGATGGATTTTATGACCAGCAAGTGCCTTACATGGTCACCAATGTGAGTGATCAGTTTGAAAGTTGCTGTTTATAAACTTGACTCCGTCGGGGGTGGGGAGAGGGAGAAAATGAGAAGGGAGGGGGCACGGGGGTTGGGATTGCAGATACTTATCTGCTTTGTTGCCACTGTAGGGCGACTCTGCTTCTAGAAGCCCAGTCTTCAAAATGAGCTTACCTTTCAGTGATTTGGATAAGGCATAGTTTTGTTTTTAAGACCCCTTTTTCTGATTAAAGTGCCCAACATGAGTGGAAGAGGAGATGGAGGGCAGCAGCAGCTGCTGCACTCAAAGTTTTTGGCTGGGTTTGTCTGCCACATTGAAAAGAATGAAGTTGAGACAAATGCTGACACTTTTTGTTTATATGGGGTGTTTTTGTTTCTTTTTTTTTTCTCATTTTCTCTTTTTTTTTTTTTTCATTTCTCTACTCTTTTTGCTTTTTTTTTTTGTGGGGGTGGGGTGGGGAGGAGGGGCTGTCCAAGAGAGAATAAAACCCACTGTTTTAATCTAGCATTGAACCAGCCTAAAAACAACTTTAAGTGTAAATGCTTCAGGTTGTTTTGATGCTGAGATACCATGAATATATGATTGATAAATAGTAATGTGCTAAGATCGGCACTGGGAAGCAACTCTCCCTGCCTGCTTAACATAAGCTTTCACTGTCAAATAAGTGAGAAAATGAATATTAGAGTTGATACTATGGACTTCTATTTTTCTATTCAGAGAAGATCCATTAGACTTATGTATGCATGTCTGTGTGTGTGTGTGTGCGCGCGCGTGTGCGTGTGTGTGATCTGAGGTTTACATTCTTTTAAAGGATTTTATCTTTCCCTTTGTAGAGTCAGCGTGGGAGAAATTGTAACGAGAAACCAACAAATGTCAGGAAAAGAAAATTCATTAACAGAGATCTGGCTCATGATTCAGAAGGTGAGGTTTGATTTTGGGCTGAATCCCCATTTTTTTACCTACACTCTCCACCCTGCTAAAAGAAAAGGAGCACTTCAGTCTTATCTTAAAAATAATAAACTTTGAAATTACTGAATCTAACTAAGACTTTAACTTGGAACGATTTACATAATGCGGCAGTTTGCATGGGAGACTATTTTATGGTCCTATCACAAAGTAATGAAAGAAGGAAATAAAAACTTCTCAATGACAACCTTCTTTTAATCATTGTTTTGTGTTTAAATACCTTTGTCCATGGGGCATATAACTCACCCCATTCACTAAGATAACAATTTAAAAATATCCAATACAGTGGGACAAATTCAGCAGCTATGTACACTGCTTACTTTTTTCTTTCTCCTTTATTACAAGTTAAACAGTATTAGTGATTGTTTGGTTTCCCACCTCCTTTACACTAAAACCATCTACTATTAACAGAATTTTCAAGGGTGATTTTGATGACTAAATTGTGAGGTCATAATACCTTGTTTATCGACCATAATGTGTTCACTGAATCATACTTAAGGCCTCCTTAATAATTATAATACTATTTGGGAAATTAGTTTGCAGATTCTTTTTATGAACTGTTGCTAGGATGTCAGTATGTTACAAATTATTTTAGCCATATGAGGACATTCATAATAAACTTAATATACTTAGATTTAATTATCAAAGTTTAGTTGGCAATTTTAATTAGATATACTGAATTCTGAAACTTCCTCAAATCTTCATACCATTTAAATACCTCCCTCTCTCCCTCCCTAACATGACCATATAGTTTAGAACTTGATGAGAACCTGGTGCCAAAGAATTATCTTTCTGACTTTTATAAACCTATTAATGTAGAAATTTTCCTCTAAAAACTTGTATTTGAAGTGGTTTCTTTTAGTTTCGAGGTATTGAAGTTGAAAACATAATACTTTGACAGTTGTACCATGTACCATTATATATTTTATGTAAGATTCAGAAGATATAAATAAAATGCTTTTCAGTCTTTCTAATCTTCCCCCTACTACTATTTTAGCAAGAGTTAAATATATTTAAGGAAGATTTCAGTGAACAGACACATATTCACCTCAGCCTTTTTGTGAATTCTGGTATCCCTGAGCTTATTTATTAAGCTGTTTGTTAAAAAGAAGAAAAGATGATTGACTTTATTCTTTAGTTGACTAAAATAATTTCTTAAAGAGTTGCTTAATAGGCATGAAAAGTAGGCAGTATTATTGAGATATTTAAGTTATGCCTCTTTTTTTTATTTTTATGTTGACTGCGTCTCTTGAAATTAAATTTATATTTAATACCAATTTCATGACAAATATTTCCATTTAATGAAGATTAAAGATTTGCAAATCTTATGTTTATGTCTTTGACTTGTTTTTTAGAACTCTTTCAAGATCTAAGTCAATTACAGGAAACATGGCTTGCAGAAGGTAAGGCAAAATTTGCTTTAAAAGGGGGGAAAGCAACTCTAGAAGGAGAAAGAAAAGAAGTCCTGAACTTGCTGTCTTAATATTCAGCCCAATTAATTGAGCTCTAAAAGAGCCACCTCATGTGTCATGCATACATTAGAGCCTCTGATGAGTTTGTCTTTGGGGACTCTGGGGCTGTACTACCCAGTGTCATCACAAATTACCAGGAGAAATTGCTTCCAGCTCACAATCACATCTGCTTTTGGCAAGAACTAATGCACCAAGACTTCAAGTTCTAAGCCTCTGTTCAGATTTTAATTGCAATTGATCAGGTTTATATTATTGTACCTCCAGAGACCTCCTAGAGCCAGAACCCGGCTGGCTTGCTGTTTCCTTTAGAGCAGCGCATATCATTATTTGGTGTTCTGGTGGAGGACTTTTCTGATGGCAGAAATTAGTTTCTCTGGGTTCATCAGGACGGGATGCTTCAAGATTTAAGTGCAAGTGTCTTCTTTCCACCTTGTTCACAACACAGAACGTTAGGTGTGTATCTAATGCTTAGGAAATCTATGGGTTTAAAATAAATGGGAGATATGAGGATTTTAAAAATGTTTTCCATGTGTTACTATTCATGTTATGTTTGCTGAAATTGACCTTTGCTATTTTGTCAGTTTTATTAGGATTTATTTAATAGAGCAAGGATACATTTAAAGGCATTACTTTCATTTTGAATTATTTTTTGTTAAAATTTTGTGGTGCAATCTGTTATATCTTTTATCGTATGCAACTTTATAGGAAAATGAGATTGCTTCATAAAGCTTTATACAACTTCAAAAATGCCTAATGTTGAGGGACTTCTGTTGGCATTCATAATTTGAAATTTTTCTTTTGGATTTGGCATACAAATGTGAAACATTAATTTTATGGTGTGGTTTGTGGGAAATACAAAGAGAAAAATTATAGATATTTAAGCATTGAGTGTATAACAGTATTATTTGTGTGTTCACATTATATGGGAAACATGCAAATTTTGGAACAGATTTTAAGATGGTTAAAAAGGAGAGAGTGGGTCTCTTTAAATGGAACCCAGGTGTTACTGTAGCTACTTTGAGGCAGACTGACGTGTTTTATCGGTGGTCTTGAATGCAGTTGATCAAGTTGCTGTTAGCATGTAAAATAAGTTTCTTTGTTTTGCTGATAGTCTAGTTCTCCAAAGAGCTTTTTCAATCTTTATCAATCTTTAAAGTTAAATAGCTTTCCTAATAGTCCTTTGAAAGGATGATTGTATTTATATGTTAATGAAGGTAAGACTTACTGAAAGTTTTGGCTATATTTAAGGATCATTTTGCTAGTCTGTGTAAATGAAACTTACTGCAATACATTACTTTTTATTGCAACATAAGTCATATTCAGATACAAGTTTTTCAAGGAAAATTTGCATGGAGATTCTTGTATTAACTTATGCCTATTAGTTTTGCAAAGTCAAAGGTTGTGAGAACATTACCTTTATGAGAGAATTTATTTGCTTCTCCAAAATAACTTAAAATATCTATTTTAATTGTTCTGGAAGGTTTGTTGGTTCTTAGATGTTTAAATCTCATTGATTCCAAGTCAGTGCACTTGCTGGCAGATTTTGAATGTGCATAGCAACTCTGTTCCTGGAATTTTAAAATGTGGAATCTGTGACAGACTCTTACCATTTTATAATCAGTTTCAGTACTTTTTTTTTAACTTTTGACTTACTTGTTTTGTGTCTTGTAGCTCAGATAAGTGATTGCAATAATTTATCCAAATTTATCTTTTAAAACTCTGCAGAGAATAGTCTTTCTCCGGGATTATTAACATACCTGTAAATCAAACCTGAAGATTTAGCACTACAAAAAATAATCCTAGAAAATGATCAGTGTATTTGGAAGAACATGGACCTTTACTTAGAAAAGAATTATAATTTCAATTAAGTTCAGGAATTAATCATGAGTGTTTTATATGAATTCCCAGGTGGACTACTATTTACAAACTATGGATAAGATTTCATTTTAGAATAATTTAAGCGTTTTCAAAACAGTTTACGTTAATTTATCTAATCACGATGTAAGTAAAAAGTTGTTAACGTGATGTTTAAAACCTAATAGTGAGAAAAGAGATCTTTTTAACTTCTTGTTTCTAGACTCCACTTTTTTTTTGTTTTGAGAAATTAAATATATTATTTTGCACTGATATTTTAACTTGACTTATCCCACCTCTTGAACGGTATTAGCTAAGAAGAGATCCCCAAATTACCCTAGTTTATTTGTAGTGAGATGTGTCCATTTATGTCTTTCTGGACATCCAGAAATTAAAACATTGCCAAATTGGCAGACCATGAACCGTTTACATATTTCTTTTCATAATGCTCCATAGCCAAGAAAGTGACCATGGAATTTTAAGACATCTTGACCCTTTTAAAAAAGATCATTGGCAGTTAATCAAGTTTCTCGCATGAGTTAGAATTCCACTGGGAAGTTAAACAGGTCTAAAAACCTTATTAGACATAAGAGTCAAGTTAGTTGTCATATGTCATATGATAATTGTGTTTTTGAAAAATTATAAAAGTCCTCAAATATTTGTGAAATGATATCTTAGCATGTTTAGTTTTTTTTTTTCTGTAAGACTATTCATAAATTTTACCCCAAATGCAACATATGGATTAGTCATGGGTAATTATTATGGATTATAAAATTTCTTTTATTTCTAAGGGGAAGTTGGAATAGATAAGGCAGGACTGTTTGAGGGTTGGGATGGGACCAGTATTTTCAGTTCAGTAAAGTCCTCTGTAAAAATATACTTGCATTCTACCAAGAAAGTTAATTCCCATACAGAGATTTAAATATGTTGGTGGAGAATATAACTTTACATTAATATCATTTCCCAAGAAATAACACTGCAATTTAAAGGTTTTTTTTTTAACATCTAAACACAGTTTAAAACAATTATCTTATTCTGAAGAAAACTGCAAAGTTAATGTTTTCAGTAACCACAGTAGTTAAAAAAAAAAAAAGTCAGGGAATATGCCAATTTTAAAATGTTGCCATAGTCACTTTATGTTATAATTTTACTATGTGCAATTCTTTATTGATTCTTTGTCTTTTAAATTAGACTGCTACTGACAGAAAGGCAATTGCAATTATTTGATCCCATGAAATAATGAGTTTAAATATCAATTCTATCAACATCATGGTGATGTCTTATTCTTAACAACCTGAAAGTCATAGTTAAAATGGAACCTCTTGTGTATCCAGAACAAAAATAGAAAGATGTAAAAAATTAAGACAGGATTGTATTCTTCCAAATTTGCTTCTTAAAGCTCACCTACTAACACAACTTAAAGGGAAATAATAATTTTCAGTATATATCTGATGTAAATGTGTAGCTGCTCTCTTGACTGTTATTTTGTTTCCGGTCTAGATGTTCTTTCAGGTTCACTTTCATCAACAATATTCTCTGTCTTCAGGGTAAAATGTTTTCCAGTGGTTTTGTATTGAGTCAAGTTTAGTGCTGCCTCCACACTTCGAGTAGGAGTTTTATCTGCAAGAACAACCTTTCTACAGCAAAGCTTATTACATCATACGAATAAGGGTTTTTTCCTTTTGGTTTTATGTGACCTTCAAACAACAGTCAGGTCAACTTAAAAGCAGAGATGTCATTACTTTCCCCTCAATTCGCTTTAATGGCTGATGGTAAATTTATATTCAAAATCATAAGTAATATGTGCTATTGTTACTTACTATGTGTAATGTCATCCACAATATACAGTAGTCATAATACACTCATTTTTATTTTTCAGAAATCCTACTTTTTTTTAATGGAACATAAAATTGGTTATGTGCTCATGAATTATTTTCCCCCACTTGGTGCAATAAGGATTAAAGGCTTTAAAAACGACATTATTTTATGTGGTTTACATAAAACATGAATTTAGAATTAAGCATTGAATTACAGAACTCCATATAATCTCTTATAATTGAACAACAATAATTTCATGTGTGTGTGGGCGGGGAGAGGATGGGCTATCACCCCTCTTTTTGATGTGCTAGAAAATAATCTAAAATATGAGAGAAAGACTTCCCATTTGAGTTTGACTTAAAGACAGCAGATAAAGTATATTTTATTTCTAAACATTCATTGGAATTGCATAAATGTTTTTTCATCCATGTTTTATTTACAAAATAGAAATTTTTTTTAAAAATAGAAAAATAGGATTTGGTGTAGTATAGTGTAGTTTTTCCAGAGGATCCTAATAAATAAAATATTGCTAAGCTTTTCTATTTCAGTTATAGGAAATGTGCAGTTTGTTACATTTTGTAGTATAACTTTATTCCCTTTGATTTGTGTATAATGTTATAATAAAAAATAATAATAGAGTCAGACCTCTGTAGCATTAGAGAAAATATTTGGCTAGAAACAACGGCTAGTTGGCTCTGAGCTTCCCTTAAGTTTTCAAGTTACTGCAGGTCAGTTTTAGTTAGGAATTGAAGCTGATTTGACACAACGACTAAAACTTTACTGTTACAGTAAGAATATAGAAATATGGAAATAATGCCTTGATCAAGTATTAAAGGTGTTTTGTCATTGGAAAGTTGCCTCCTTTTTGTATGTTTAAATATGTTTATACTTCTGCATAATTAATGCTTTTACATTTGTACAATCATTTTAATGTTAAAAGTGGATGTGGTATAAAACCAAGCTTAGTGGACTCATGATTATTTTGTTCCATGGCCTGTAGCTTCAATTTAGGATTAAACAGCATACCACTGTAGGAAGGTGGATTTTTCTTTTTTTACTTCTTATTTGAAATAAAATTTAAATTTCTCATGAGAAATTTGTTTCTAACTCTTTGATTCAAAGAGAAATGCTACAAAGTTCAGCAAACAATCTACAGTATTCTTATGATAAAAATAGTTGGATAATAGAAAAGAAAAATAAGGCATTTCCGTAATGGTTTTTCTTTTCCCTTTCTTGAAACCTTCTTTGCATCTTTCTGTCTTTTCCTTTTTTCTTCCTTAGTTTTATACATGCAAGTTTCTGTAACAAGTTACTCTGTAAAGCAGGATGCATGTATGTATTTGTGTGTGTGTATATATATATATGTATGTATGTATGTATGTATGTATGTATGTAACTTTGTAAACGTCATTTATTTAAATGTGTTCCTTTAATGGATCTGAGCTCTGAGACAGAGCAATAAAATTGGTGTGTTTATATTGCAAGTCCAAGTTTACTTGCTTTAGCTCCCTGGAAGGGTGTGACATGAAAAGATTGTGGTTGGGCCACATGGCTCATATGCTGGACTGTGTTTTTGTGAATGGAGGCAGAACTCCAGTTCTGCCTGCTTGTCTTGAGGAATTGCTGAGGAGATCAGCTGTCTCATTCACGGGCAGAAAGAATGACTCATACATCTTCCGCCTTGTTTGGCTCCAGGTCATTGTTACAGTGGATAGAACTGGTTTTAATTAAATATTAACCCCTTTTATACTTGACGTTTGTTTTATTTGTAATTCTTCCACTTTTTCCTTAGCTTTAAAAAAAAACCCAACAGGCACATAGTTTGTAAGAATAGGAGGGTTTTCGCTTCCCTGCAGCCAACCTTGGAAACTTTTTCATCGCTTACTTTTTCTTAAGTAATGATTATTATTTCATTTGAAAGTTAAAAATAAGCATAACATAAAGGCAAGCTATATTTAAAATTACCCATCTCTAAGGCAATATTAGTTAAGAAAAGTATTAAAATTAAAAAGGAGAATTGGTGAGTTTGTGACATATAGGTCATGATTAATATTTTTATGAATTTCTTTCTGATAATATGCATTGATACGTAGCAAAAAGACAGAAAACAGTAAAACAACTTTGGATAATAATCTAGGTAAAACAAATAGCTGAGAGTGCAGATACTGCCCTTTTAAAGCCGACATCCTGAGACTTGATGGCAACTGGTCTATTAACGTGCAATGAACTGATAGAGCCGCTCCAGCTATTACCAATAAAATCCACATGCTTAATCTCCTTGAAAGCATTTTATTGGTCTTTTGGTATATACTTTCTCCCCTTCTCCTTTCCTCCTCTTCCCCTTCGTCTTTAATTACATAGTGTGGGGAAACATTTTCATTCCCCAAAGGTGATTATATCCAGCACAGTTTATAATAGATAGTAGTGGAAAAAACATTGCTTTTTTAGGCTGACCTCTATTGTTAATTTTCAACTTTGGAGTTGGTATGGCTTGCTGCAAGTTTTCAGGCAGCTGCAGTTTGCTCCTTCACAGTATTCCCCTGAATTGAAGAAAAAAGGAAATGTATGATACAAGTGTGGCAATACTTTGTCATATTTTCCTTGCCTAGATCCAACTTGTGTTTTTAGTTAACTGCTTTCCGTTTACTCTAACTTGAAATTAGAGGTATACTTAAGCCTTTGTCTATTTAAGTAGCATGCTGCTTCGTTTGGTCTATTCAGTTTCTTAAGATTAGCTTCTGTGAAAATGTGAGTCATATGTTTTTTGTTAAAATTCTGTAATATGTTCAGGAATAAGTGTGAAGTATTTATTCAGTATGTTAAGGAGTTAGAACAGAAATAGGAATTCTTATTCTTACTCTTTACAGATTGTTATCGTGCAGCTATTTTCTGTATATTTGCGAGGTATAACTTCTAGATTATTCTACTCCTAAAATTTGGCCCTTTTTTCCTCACACATATTCCAGCACACATCACACACCCATCAGTGAGTCTGTGCTGCTCTTGCAGTGACATATATTAGGAAGTTGCAAATCTGCTTACGATGCTACAAAAACAAACAAAAGACCTTTAGAACATTCATACCATCATATTCAGTTACAAGTATACTTTTGTTACTCACCAGCTATTTTTAACTTTTCCTGTAAAGGGATATTATATTTTTATTAGATTCTTATAAATGTTGGCTTTTTAAAAGCCCAGTAATTGTTGTGGTTGATATATTTGCATCTCAATAGTTATATCTGTTTAGCTGTTAATTCTGAGGGAAAACCAAAACAATGATATAATGGGAAAAATGTGCAGGATTTGAATCTGTGTACTTGCTGTTATTTATTAAATATATATTTAAAACACTTGTAATTTTTTTGATATGAAGACTTACTTGAAAGCACACCCTTCGCCTTGTAATTTATGAATCTTTTAGAACATTTTTTTCTGCAGTGTCAAAAAAATATGTTGTGTTAATAGCTGAGAGAATGCTAATGTACAGATTTTAGCTGTTTCGTTGCCTCTCTAGTAGACTTCATTAGAAGTAAAGATATTAAACTGAGCGTTGTAATGACATGTACTTTTTTGTGGATGACTTGAAAGACAAGGGTTGGTGGGTAGAGGACTGGAAAGAAGAAAATAAGGAACATTTCTTGAGTAGCTGGCATTGCGTTTAGACTGTTTCATTTAATCCTCACCAAAAAACTGTATTTTCACTAGTAAACTGATAAGTAAAATTCAGTTCTAAGAGGTTCAGAAACTTAACCAAAGTTGCACAACTAGCATGTCACAGAATTAAGATTTGCAGTTTGCTAACTTTGAAGTTGTTACCCACAGTATCAGATATTGGAGCAATATGAAGAGAAAAAAATTCTCCTTGCAATATAGGCTGATCAAATAGGTATCAGTTAAAACTTGAAAAAATTATTAATTTGTTTGATTTTGTTTGGTAGCGGGGGTAGAGTGCATTGGTAATAAGGTTAATTATTGGTGTACAGAAGAGAGTTGTTAGAAAACAGTTGAATGTCAAACTGCATACGTTTTTATAACAGGCACAATTATCAGATTCTTATGCTCTTCATAATATAACGTAAATTTTATTCAGCCAAATGTCTGTTTTTAAAGAATAATATTAAACTAATAAAAAGAAACTTTAATTCTGTATATTGTATTCTTTTTTATATAAAATTTTTTTAAAATGTAGAATTCCTTTTTATGTAGATTTTTTTCTTAAGCCATTCAGTTACCAACCTGAAGCATTTTCAAAAGAGACTGTTTATTTTAATAAGCATTCCTCATGCAGAATAGGCTCATTTAAGAAAGTTAATTAACGTCTATTTAAATATGACTTGGCTGGATAAAAAAGTTTCAGTATTACGTAACACTAATGAAGTAATACTACCTAGTCAAATGACAGCTAAAGTTAATTAGGATGATAATTCATTATATTTTTATCAAATTAAAAGTAACCTAACTTCTATTTTTTGGGCGTGTGTGTGTGTGTGTGTGTTTGCATGTATTTATGTGTGTTTGTGAAAGCTTATTACTAATATTCAGTTTGGAATAGGTTACTTCGATGTCTAAATCAACTGTGATGAAAACATTTTAGAAGTGAAAAATGCACTTGTGTTTTGATTGCTGCCAAATGCATTAAGTCCTTGCTATTCAGTATTTTTCCTTGACTAAAAATAGGAACGTCTTTTGACATGAGGACTGACGAACTAGTGATATTCTTTTTGTTAATGCCTAGTAGTTGCCAGGAAAATATTTTGAATGAAAAGATGACATTTGTGTTATTGTTTGTTATTTTGTTAATGTGAATATAATCTTTGAAATATAATACTTTATTATATATGAGCCAAATCAAGGACCATTCTTCCATTTAAAAACCTTTGTAGCATACTTTGGCAAAATTCAGTGCAAGCATCTTAAAATATGGTGTATTTTGCAGGACAGAGAACATACCAGCAGACGTTTCTAAAAAAGCAGAGAGACGTGTGTGATAACTGCACATCACTTAAAATAATTGTGTGGTTAATTTAAGTGGGCTGCTTACACACTGGCAGTGGGTGAATTGAAATAGCTTTTGCTCTATTCTTGAAAAAAAACTGCAGGAAATGGAAATTCTATAGCTTTCTTTATTTTGCATCTCTTTTATTTCCATCTGGCAGGTGAAATTCGGAGGGAATACACCTGCCATCATCCTATTTCTGACATATATATGGTTCCTAGGTGACATCAATGATCCCCTTCCATTTCTCCTCCTAAGTAGTGTTGTCAATACCATTTTAAATAGGAGCTCATTGGCAAATAATCATAGGTTTGATCTCAGCCCAAGAAGATCTTACTTGACAGATTTTACTTGACATTCCTTATGCTTTTGGCAGTTTCTCTCTTAATTTTTTTTAATTTTCTTTTTCTTCTTCAGCTCAGGTACCTGACAATGATGAGCAGTTTGTACCAGACTATCAGGCTGAAAGTTGTAAGTATAGTATGACTCATCTCTTGTATTTTTCTGTCTTTCTGGTTTCCTTCTTTCTTCTTTCTCTTTGGTTGGTTTTCACGTCCAGTGTCTTGTCTTACATTGTACCAGCACCTTTTTAACTTACAGCCATAAGATGATTTGATTTGTTAGGTTGTGACATCAGCAGAAACTCTGTTTTGAGCAGAATGCTTGAATTCTGTATATCGGAAGAGAACTCCAAATAGTAGGCAAGGAAGACTGAGTTGATTGAAAGATGGTCTTGTTCTTCATATTGGTAAATATCTTTGGGAGGAAATAGCATGTGATCCATGAACATGCACATGTTTACTTCCAGTTTGCCAATATGCTTACAGAGAAATGCCTGGATGCTGATGGGAGGTAGAGTTAAAAACTACTTGAGATTAGTTATTGTATAATTTATAAAAGATTCTGGACCAAACATTCATTGGCTTATTGTAGTATTGTACATTCATGAATTGTCACCTGCTTTTATTTAATTTTTAGCCTGAAATTTTCTGCTTCCTGGTTGCAGTAGCACAAATGGAAGCAGCCATTGGCTTCTCTCAGGGTTCTTCCTTCTGCGTTCCTTTCCCTAAGCCTTGCTCCTGGGTCTGTCAGAGAATGCGCAAGGAGTGATGCATGGAGTACTCACTGTCCCTTAATTGCAGAGTGAGCGTTTTGCCTGTACAAACGTGGTTGCCTTGGGGTTTACTGCTGATATTTATAATCTGCCATTCTACCAGCTAACTGCTGCTACTGACCAAAGGAGCAAATACTAAGGAAAAGGGTATAAATGCCATCTTAATTATGAAACTGGCCTAATGCATTTTTGTTCTGTTGGTGACATCTAAATTTGTTTTATTTTTTCTAATACAGATACCTGCATTACTTCAAGTAACAGATGTTGTGGGCAGTGTTTTCAGCATTTATGTTTGATATGTTAAATTTCTCAGGCGTAGAGGGTTGTGCAAGGTTTTGTCCAGATTCTCTAACATGTTACATGTTTCAACTCAGCTTGGTTATAAAGAAATTACTGTGGTAAAATATACATACCACAAAATTTACCATTTCAACTATTTTTAAGTTTGTAGTTCAATGGCACTAAGTACATTCACATTGTTGTACAACCTTCACCACTATTCAACTTCAGAACTTTTTTGTATCCCAAGCTGAAGTTCTGTACCTGTAAAACAATAACTCCCATTTCTCTGCCCTCAGTCCCTGGTAACCACTGTTGTATTAGCTTTATTTTTGATCCGAGAAGAAAACTGTATAATGCTGTTTGATGTCTAAATACAGGTAATTGACATAGGCTTTCAAGAAACTTACTCAGCAACTATATAGACCTTAATTAGACACCCTTAGAAACACTCCCAGAAGGATGATGGCTAATACAAGTCCTCCCCTTCTTGATTAAAGTATGGGAAGAGAATGTCATATTGCCAACATTTCCCTTCCTATGGGCAATTGAATTCTTCTTTCTAAAAGCTAAACACGTCGTCTGAGTAAAAGAATTAATCTCGTTGATATTTTACATCCAAAGTAATTGGTAACAATTCCAATACTATACCAATTGTCAGGGTAAAATGAACCACCTATAGGTAATTTTTTACTCCTTTTCTTATTTGACCTCTTTTCAGCTTTTCTTATTGAATATTTAGTCTCTTTGAACTCTTTTCTGAAGGTCACACTGGCGTGATTTTCTTCCTTTATTTTTTTTTGTTTTTTACACCCTTGACCACTCCTTCTTACTCAACTCATCTTCCTTCCCTCCTCTTTGTGGACCTCTTCTTTCCCTAGGGTTCTGTCCCGAAACCTTTCCTTTTTTTTTTTCTTTTCTTTTCTTTTTTTTTTTTTTTTTGAGACAGAGTCTCACCCTGTTGCCCAGGCTCTAGTGCAGTGGTGCAATCTTGGCTCACTGCAAGCTCCACCTCCCGGGTTCACACCATTCTCCTGCCTCAGCCATTCTCCTGCCTCAGCCTCCCGAGTAGCTGGGACTACAGGCATCCGCCATCACTCCCAGCTAATTTTTTGTCTTTTTAGTAGAGTTGGGGTTTCACTGTGTTGGCCAGGATGGTCTCGATCTCCTGACCTCGTGATCCGCCCGCCTTGGCCTCCCAAAGTGCTGGGATCACAGGTGTGAGCCCCTTTCCTCTTATTTTACATGCACCATGCCAGCACTGTCCCATAGAACTTTCTGTGATGGAAATGACTACACCTGTGCCACCTGATACAGTGTCCACTAACCACATTGGCCATTGAGCACACGAAATGTGGTTAGTGGGACTGAGGAAATGAATTTTTAACTTTATTTAATTTTGATTATTTTAAATTTAGACATGTCTGGATACTGGCTACTGGCTACTGTATTGGTCAGCACAGCTTTGAACAGCGATGTCTTCCACATTGTTGTCTCCAGCCTGGTTCTTCCCTCCGAAGCTGTCCATTGGACATCCTCACCTGATCCCTGCTAGTGTCCCTGTGCAGATTAGAAAAAGGCAACACCTCTGGACTTGCTCCCTTAGCCCTTGGCTGTGCATTGCACAAAACACCATCTACACGCCAACTCCAATCTTTAACGCAACACTCCACAGACAATTTACACTCAGCAAGTCCAACAGTGAAATCATGATTTTTCCTGACCAACGTTGCTCTTTTACTTCTGTTGCCTTTCTAAGTTACTGGCATCACCATCCAAACTGAAATCCTGATATTTATCCTTAGAGACCTCGGTTCTTTACAATAAACCTCAAATTGCTAACCAAGTTGTTGATCCTAGCTTTCAAAAATATCTTAATTTCATGGCCTCTCCTTCATCCCTATTTCATTGTTTTAGTTCACACACCTACATTCTGCCTTGACTGAACTTCTGAGTCAGCCTTTTGGTTGGTTTTCTTGTCTTTTGATTTTCCCTCTTTGCAAGCCACCCTGTGCAATAGCATTAACACACAGCTATTTGGCCTTGTTACTTTTCTTCTTAAACTGTCTGCAGGACAGAGTCCTATTTCTTTAGCTGTACGGAAAATTCTTCTACAACCGAAGCCTTGACTGTCCTTTCGGTTTAAACTCTTGCTACTCCAGTGCCCTGACTTTTCCTTTCCTCTGTACTTTAGCCCTTCTAATTTTTCAGTTATCTGGGCAGATTGAGCTGTTTTAAATCTCTTTGCCCTTGCATGTGTTCATTTTGCTTTAAAACTTTTCATTTTTGTTTTGCAATCTGGTGAACCTCCTATTTCAGACTCAGCTTAGATTTCACCTCACTGAAGTCTTTCTCAGCCTTTTCTTGCCACCCTGACCCCACAGAGTTAGCTGGACTCCACAGCATCTTGTATATTATATTTATTGTATTATAGTATTTTAGATACATTTGTGTCTTTGACAAGATTGTGAACTTCTTGAGGGTACAAGAAACACGTCACATTCAGCATGGCTTACATGTTATAGGAGAACAATAAGTAAAATTATCATTGCATTCATGATCACCTTCTTAGTGCTTATTTCCTCCTAAGCATCTTCAGAGTCTTAATTCGTTTCTTAAGGTAGAAACATGATATGCCTTAAAACTGCACGTATAGTCTCATTCTGGGAAAACTTGCCGAAACTATGAAAGTTTAACCAAATATTTTCAGAATTGTGAAGGTTTATTTTACTTTAATTAGAGAATATTTACAGTTTAACAAATATGGCTTTGGGACATGTAAATAAGACACACAATAATTTTAAAAAACCCATAAACAGAGGCAAAAATAAGTCTGAAATCGCCTAATTTAAAAAAAAAAGTGGAAGGATATGTTATTTCAGGTTTTCACAGACATGAAGGACTATTGTTTAGATCATAATAACCAGCTAATTTTATTCTTCACCGAAGAAAGGACAAGAGGGAAATGATTTAAAAAGAAGAATAGGGCATTTGTATTAGATACTAAAGAGGATTTCTGGATGCAGAAGTTTATCAAATATTGGAATTGAGAGGTTAGATGGTCTCCAAAATGCCTTTAAGCAGATGTTTGATTCTCGTGCGTCTGGGTATGCTTAGTGGGGGCAGAGGGATCTATCTCTAGAAAGAGAAAGAAACTGCATCCCCTCTGTGTGGCCTGTCTGTAAATTCTATGGGGATATTTTTAAAAATGTGAGTAATCAGGTTTCCTTGCATACCTCAATGAAATCAGATGCTTCTGCCTTAGCTTTTACTGCTTTAGTCCTTTGGTAAATGAAGGTTAAGAGAGTGAAGAGCAAAATTTTGCTCAATACTGGATTATAGAACATGCATTTGACTGTAACATGTTTAAATGCATGTAGAATAATAGAGATCAGAGCATCCAAAAATTGTGAAAATGAGATTAAATCACAACACTTGAGAACTTTCTAAAAATTTCCCTGAGCATTGTTTGTTGCTGTTTACAAAATATTTTAATTGGAAATGTGGAATCCAGTGATGGTATATTATAGATTGCTAACCTTTGAAGGATGCTAACTTTGAAGCAAGTATAGGCATTAAAAATAAGTGAAAACAGAGCCTGGGCATGGTGGCTCATGCCTATAATCCTGGCACTTTGGAAGGCTGAAGTGGAGAATTGCTTGAGCTCGGGAGTTGGAGACCAGCCTGGGCAACATAATGAGACCCTGTATCTATCAGAAAATAAAAATAAAAACCAAGTGAAAACAAGTTCCTACAAGTGCATGCCAGGAAATCGATGAAGGCTAAGAGAAACAATAACATGCTTTTAACAAATTGTTTATTCCTTAGCAATAAATCTTTTCATATCTCAGACACTCTGTTGGAAAAAATAGAATTACGTTAGGATGTGCTTAATCCAGAAGAAATAGAAGTGTATCTTCTCAAAAAGGACAAATTAAGGAGTATTTCAAACAGAGGTGAACCTTATGTTTCTGAAGTGGATATACATTTGTATTTAAACAGAATTTTCCTAAATTGTTTACTTTAAGTTTAATTACATCAATAATGTTATATTTTCAATCTTATTTTATTCTGAGACAGGGTCTCACTTGGTTGCCCTGGCTAGAGTGCAGTGGCATGATTTTGGCTCACTGCAAACTCTGCCTCCTTAGTTCAGCAGTCTACCCTACTTCAGCCTCCCAAGTAGCTGGGACTACAGGCACGCACCACCATGCCCGGCCAATTTTTGTATTTTATAGAGAGATGGGGTTTTGCCCAGGCTGGTCTTGAACTCCTGGGCTTAAGTGATCTGCTCAAGTCGGCCTCCTGAAGTGCTAGGATTGCAGGCATGAGCCATCATACCCAGCCTTAAATCATATATTTTAAATTTAGTTATATCATTTTTTTTTTCTTTTTGAGACAGAGTCTCGCTGTATCATCCAGGCTGGAGTGCAGTGGCACGATCTCGGCTCACTGCAACTCCTGCCTCCCGGATTCAAGTGTCTCTTGCCTCAGCCTCCTAGGTAGCTGGGATTACAGGCATGCGCTACCATGCCTGGATAATTTTTGTATTTTTAGTGGAGACGGAGTTTCACTATTGTTGTCCAGGCTAGTCTCAAACTCCTGACTTCAAGTGATCCGCCCGCCTTAGCTTCCCAAAGTGCTGGGATTACAGGTGTGAGCCACTGTGCCTGGCCGTTATATCATTCATCTTTGAAAATCTACCACCTTTCATTTTGTTCTTCGTAACAAAGTTATGTGTTATTTTTAGAACTAGTTTGTTTCCATTTGGTTACATTAGTTCATTTCAGTCTTTTCTCTGTAGTGATTCACATGATAGTGACTTTCACATTTACATTTTATCTTCTTCCAGAGCATTTCCAGGAGTGTGCATAAGTCCCAGGGTTATGCAAAATTCCCAACAGAATAGATCCTTGTAACTCTACTGCTTTGTCTTACACTCAGTAAAACACACTGGAATGCAAGTCCATTGGAAAAAATGTTATTAAAGAAATAACAATAACCCTGACTCTTCACTATTTACAAAAGTAAATCTTTTGCAAACTTCTGTACTTTATCAGATATCTGTAATACAATACTAGAGGACCATACAAAAATCATCCAGACAGACCCTTGTGTGGGGACTCAACTGTTTAAAACCACTAATATTATTACATGGATGGCACTTTAAGTAAATGAAAATCATAACTACACTTTGTTTCTTTAAGAATTTCTGGTTTTAAGAATAGCATTTGGGTCGGGCACATTGGCTCACGCCTGTAGTCCCAGCACTTTGGGAGGCCGAGGCAGGCGGATCACCTAAGGTCAGGAGTTCGAGACTAGCCTGGCTAACATGGCGAAACCCCGTCTCTACTAAAACTACAAAATTATCTGGGTGTGGTGTCGCATGCCTGTAATCCCAGCTACTCAGGAGGCTGAGGCAGGAGAATTGCTTGAACCTGGGAGGTAGAGGTTGCCGTGAGCCAAGATCGTGCCATCGCACTCCAGCCTGGGTGACAGAGTAAGATTCTGTCTCAAAAAATAAATAAATAAAATAAAATAAATAAAAGAAAGAATAGCATTTGACTTTTTTTTTTCAATGAAGTGGAAAAAAGAAATACTTAGATTACTGTTACAAATCTGCTTCTAAAAAAACTGAAGTCAGTCAGGTCTGTGTAGACCCTGACTGAATAATTTGTGTTAACACGTACCTGTCCAGGATCAGAAAAATTCCATTTGTGGTTTGTTTTCATAATTTCCTGCCTTTTTACTAAGTTACCTTCCTACATCTTGTTTCTTTCAACACATACAGTGAGTACTTTATAAAGTTGATTTTTTATTACTAATTTTGAAAACTTTCTTGCCCGATTAAGTTTTTTTGATATGATTGGTCAGGAAAACTTCATCTTCTTTCGTTTTTCTGACTGCTTTTACCAAAATGAGAGCACACACTGAAAGAGAAATGGCATTTTTTTGGATTTAAGAACATGAGTTTTTTGGTTTGTTTTCAATTTCAAAAAGATTTAAAACTTTTTTTGAGGCATATTTAAACATGTTACCAAATAGACTCAAACTATCCATTTCAAGCATGACTAGTTGCATACCTTCTCGCCCAAGTTAGTATTCCTGAGAGTTATACGATAGCTACCTCTTGATGGTTCTGAGTTTCTTTTGGGTATGCTTTTTGTAGTTGCTGCTTTGTGTGTGTGTGTGTGTGTGTGTGTGTGTGTGTGTGTGTGTGTGTGTGTGTGTGTGTGTGTGTTTTGAGATGGGGTCTCGCTCTGTCGCCCAGGCTGGAGTGCAGTGGCGTGACCTCAGCTCACTGCAAGCTCCGCCTCCCGGGTTCACGCCATTCTCCTGCCTCGGCCTCCCGGCTAGCTGGGACCACAGGCGCCCGCCACCACGCCAGGCTAATTTTTTTTTTTGTATTTTTAGTAGAGACGGGGTTTCACTGTGTTAGCCAGTATGGTCTCCATCTCCTGTCCTCGTGATTCTCCTGCCTCGGCCTCCCAAAGTGCTGGGATTACAGGCGTGAGCCACTGCGCCTGGCCCAGTTTAAATATTTTGTCAAAGCAGTTTATGTACAGAGTAGGAAAAAGTGCAAATAAAATTATTCCCCGTTCCTGCAACCCACAACTCACAGTCCTCTCTAGAAGCAACTGCCTTTTAGTTGTCCTACATACTAAATAATATGCTTGTACTGCAACTTCTTGTTTTATTAGTTTTAGATTTTACCTGTTGTCCTATGAAGATAGAAAAACATTTTGGATAGGTTTTAATTACTTTAATGCCGGTAATCAGCTGTCTGATTCTACTTCAGTCCGTATTCAGACCTGGGCATGAATAAAAATCATTTGGGAAGCTTGTGCAAATGCAGCTTCCTGTTTCCTATCCTGTGAGAGCTTGACATTACAGGCCTAGAACTAGGCTTCTGTATCTCTAAGGAACTGTTAGGTGATTCTGATGCAGGCCTTTCGTGGAGTGCAAGGTTAGATATTTTCTCATATACTTAATTGTAAAATAAAGACAGCAGTATCAGTCTTTTGCAATTAAGTTGTAAGATGAACCTTGCCATTCATACCCATATAAAATTTGTTATGTGATAGAGGCAATCAGTTTCTGGAAAATATTATTTAAGTAATATATTGTCATCTTATTTTTAAAATATACTAGGGAATCAAAAAGCGAAGGCTATATAAAAATGATATTTTAAATATATTCTTATTTTATCATCTTTGCTAGAATTATATATATTTTCCTCTTCCAAAGATTATTCTCTATTTTAGCTGTGAGAAAGTCATTGCTGATTGTAGATTTCTTTTATACTGGAACCAATTCTAGTTTAGAAGGAACTTCCCAATGCTGATTAGAGAGAGCCAAGGCATTGATGACCCACCCTGTTCTAGGTGTGTCTAGTAGGAATTCTTGTCATTAGATGTTCTACTGTTCCACTGGTGCAGATGTGTTCCATGTCTGTCACAAAGCCCAGCAGCCCCCTTTCCAGTAAAGCGAAAATTTTAGTTTGGTACTTGATTGTTTTACAAGGAATACATTTTTTAAATCAAAATGAAAATCCAATGAAAAGTACTCTCCATCTTGCAAGTAGGCTCTCTTGCAAGAATTTTTATTTTAGATACCCTCCCAGGAATCCATCAAGTCCAGTAAAAGAAATAAAATCTAAATCATAGACCTTGGGTATGTCTCTTAACCTTTACTTACTTATCTGTAAGTTGACAGGGAAACAAATCTTTTAGGCCCAGAGCCACATTATGATTTTGTGCCAGAAGGAAAAGAGAAAGGATACTAGCTAAATCTGGTGAATGCATGCTTGACTTGAAAAGTGGGTTTTAGAAAAAAACGTAATTCATGGGGGAATAATGTAAGTAGAATTTGCTATGAAGGACACTTTCCCTTATAGGAAGTAGGTGTACTTTCTTTTATTGGTATACTTATAATTTTCTCACTGTAAGTATACGGAATATAAGTATTGGACAGGTGCAGCCAATACTTATATTCTGTATACTTACAGTGAGAAAATTACATTAGTCTTGATTTTAGTAAAGTATGCTCTAGTAGATACTTTTCACTATTTTTGGTTTTACCAGTTTATTCTTGTTAAGGTACATAGGGCAGGCTTACCGCCCAGATGAAAACCAAAAACTAAAATTCAAAACTCTACAAAACTGGTGCTTGCTCTTCCAAAGATGAAAGCTAAAAATATATATATTAACCCAAGTCTTTAGCTTTTTCTTTCCTATTTTTCTTCTTTAATTTTGTCCTTAATATAACAATATATTGTAGAAATTGACTTTTGAAATGTGCTCAAAGGAAGTTATGTCAGCAAATATTTTTTACTTACCCTCCCTATAATTAGTCACAAGTTATTTTGAAGAAAGTGATCTATACCTTCTTTGGTTGAACTTGACCTCATATTAAATAATTATTTTGTTATACAATGAATGGACTTGATAGAAATATAAGCCAAACAATATTTATTGGAAAAATCTAGGTAAAGGATGTCAGTGGAAAATATTTGCAGAACCAAATATTATACTTTTTGTCCCCATATTTTTAATAAATACACATACATCTATATATTCTGATATGTAAAAAAGTAAACACAACAATTATTAGTATTTGAAACTAAAATAAAGCAGTCATGAAAATAAATATATTTGGGGGCTACCACCTCATAGAATATGTAAGTTTCATGAAATAAGATATAAAGAAGAAATAACCTGAGCTAAACTAGTACATGTGGACCTTCACATCGTAATTGTATGCTTAGTGTTTGTTATGGGTTTTTATTGGTATCATTTTTCCACTTTTTTTAAATCATAATAAACATGTATTTAAGATGCACAATGCATATTTGCTTCTGTCTGTTACTGAATTTTTTCCTAATGAGAGTTGGTGCTGTATCTTACTAGGTAAAAATTTTGGTTAGATGCTATTGTTTTTTTAAATCTAAAGCACTATTTGCATTTGACAGTAGCTAAGGGTAATGTTAACTCAAGAACTCCATTATTGGCAATATATCAGGAATGGCTAGATTAAAAATACTGTTTAAACAATGTCTGATTAAGCTTTAAGATCAGAAAAGTACCTTTGTGCAATGGTTTTGTATGTAATCTTTTGAATCTTTTGTAAATCTAGAGTTTAGCAAAGAAGTTTTTTTGGTTTGTTTTGCTGTGGGTATGACATTATTAAACTATTCAGAGATTTGTTTCATAGTTACTCCTAGTTATTGCCTATATAGTCCTGTTTTGACTAGTTTTTAGGTCCTGTTGAAGAGGCTTGAGTTGTGATGGACCCTTTAATTATCTTTTATTGTAGCAGAATCTTGTATTCACATTTCTGTTTGCAAAATTGGAATGATTATATTTTGCAAATGAGATCCGTATCCATTACTGTTATTTTTTATGATTTTTAAATATGAATAATAAATCTTAATGTATAACAGTTCTTATTTTACCTATGAGAGTTTAGTTTAATTAATTTATTTATTGGGTACATATGCTACACAGTTGTAGTCTGTACAGGTGTTACGTAGGTTTATAAGACTCTAGATGTTTATTCATTCAACAAATGTGTTTTGAGTCCCTATTATATGACAGGCTTTGTCCTAGTCACTGGAGATACAGTGGTGAAAAAAGTCAGAAAAATATCTGCTATCATGGAGCTTATGTTCTTACTGCATATAATTGATAAATGAAGTTGTATTTATCACATATTGAGTAATGTGAAATTATATGAGTGATGTGAAATCTATGCATAATCACTGTGTATTCAGACTCTGATCTATTACATATTGAAGAAAATGTGCTTAGGTTTCATGTAATTTTAGGTTTTTTTGTTTGTTTGTTTGTTTTTGTTTTTGAGACAGGGTCTCACTCTGTCGCCCAGTCTGGAGTGCAGTGGCATGATCTCAGCTCACTGCAGCCTCAGTCTCCTGGGCTCAAGTGACCTCAATCTCCTGGGCTCAGATGACTCTCCCATCTCAGCCTGAGACCATAGGCATGCACCACCATCCCCAGCTAATTTTTGTATTTTTTTGTAGAGATGGGGTTTTGCCATGTTGCCCATGCTGGTCTTGAACTCCTGAGACCAAGCAATCCTCCCGCCTTGGCCCCCTACTGTGCTGGGATTACAGGTGTGAGCCACCACACCCGGACTTAATTTTATACTTATTTTAACAAAATGTACTCTGTCCAAAGGCAAGGCCACTGGATTCCCTAGTGGATGATGGCTATCAGTGTCTGTCTTAACACCTTGTTGACCTATGCTAAAATTCATGTTATAGGGGACTGACAAGAATATCTTTGGACTTTTAAAAAATGAGGTACTCTACTGTTAAGTATTACTATTTACAGAGTATTGTCCTATTCATTGAGATCATATTTGTTCTTTAAGATTCAGATCAGATGTTATTTTTCCCTTGATTATCTTAGTCAGAATTAACAAATTTTATGTGCCAATACATACTTTACATAGATCCTAATTTTAATCCTATTTTCATTGGCTTGTAGAGGATGGTTCATGCCCGGTTTATGTGTATGATTCACATGTTTGAGGTATTCATTGAATACTGAATTGAATGAATAGTTTCTTGGGTATTTAGAATCTTATTTTTTAAAAAACGTATTCATGCACAGGTGGCTTGAATTGTTTGAAAACGAGTGCCAATATCTGCTTTTATTTCCCTCTGTTTTATTTTTCTTTGAGGGCTAATGGAAAGCTGTTTGCATTTATGTAACATTAGAGCTAAATCTCAGTTATCAGATTAGGGCACTCTAATAAATATTATTAGATACTCCTATCTCACCACACATTTCTCAATAATCTCTATTAGGACAAATACTCTGAAATAACTTGATATTATTCCTGTTTTACATGAAGAGAAACCCAGGGCATAAAATAATCAAATAGCTAAGGCATGTGATGACTGAAATTACACAGCTGAGAATCCCATCTCATGGTTGCTTAGTCTATGCAGATCTTCCCTCCCTGATAGCCAATACTCAGACTACACGTACAAGCTTCAAAACTGTTTCTATTCTGAAAAAAAAAAATCTGCGTGGCTAACAAAGAATGTGTTTCACTAATAGTTTTTGAAAATTATTCTCATCAAGGTATGATAGATGAAGAGAGACCAAGAGCACCTTCCAATAGAGGTTTGTCTCAAGAAAGATGTTCTGTGAACTCATCTGAGCGAATAGCTGTGAGAAAAATAGATGGGAGGACATGGTGTTCGGGAACTATTCCAGTCCTTGTCTAGGCTGCAGTGTGTGCGCTTCTCTGCCTCAAATATTTTCTCTTATTTACCAGAATTCAAGAGATGTTTATGATAACACTGTGTATTTATGCGTTGTTTATGCACAGGTTTTGGCCCCAGAATGTTTCAGACATGGTGTATTTTTCTCACTGGAGGAGAACAGCCGTTTGGGAATGGAGGCAGTAGTAGTAGTAGCAGCAGCGGCGGAGGTATTAGTAGTAGTAGTAGGAGTATTACTAATGTTCATGGAATTCCCATTATAGTAGTAAATATTCATAGAAATTTCAAAGCTGCAGCTTGAGACGATAAAGATTAATGATATCAACACCTTTAATTTAAAGATGAAAAACTGAAACCCAAAAAGATTATCAGGCTCTTCATGATTTTAAAAGAAAGATTGTACACCCTTAGCTGTGTGTTGGGAAAATAGCAAATAAGAAAAAGTATGAACCTGGATGCTTTCACTCATTAGTGATTTTTTTCTTTATCAGATTCACTATAAGATACTTATTCCAGTATCTTATTCCAGATACTGGAATAAGAAATACTTTTCTCACCCATTTTGTTATTCAGAAGGGTATTTTTAAATTCTGCTACATCACTAGCACAAATGTATATTTGTTGGATGAAGGAATGACTTCAATTCAATATTTTTATGCCAGGTTTTGTCTCGTTTATCAATGTTAATGTATCTATGCATAATTCTTAGCTTAGTATTATGTCGATTTTTCACATTAAGTATGATCGTGATCTATAAACCAATACCAAGTTCTGGATAAATTTTGATTAGAAATATGTGCCCCCCTTTTTCCATTTATCCCCCAGAACTTTTCAACACTGAATTTAGTCCTAAACCATAAGATGTTTTTCTTAGAATTATTTCCAGCTGCAGAGTTACCAGCAAAAGTTGTTGTCAAATACTATCAAGGCCACCGAACATGGTTAAAAATGGCTCATCCCTATAAAGATGTATGGGTAGTATTGAAGCAAACCTCTCAGTAGTGTTAGCTTTTCCTCTGAAATGGTGGTCCTGCTGTGAAGTGAACTTTTACTGCTGTTTGGGGTTGTTTTTCTCCATCCTCATGAACACAACAGCCTTATTATGTTGATTTGATTTGATTCCCTAGTCCTTGGCACTGGGGCCAGAATGTCAGGTGATGCAGTTGTCTCAACTCACGGGTCTGTAGGGAAAGCCAAATAGCTGGATGTCATTGCTGTGTTTCTCTGGATGTTTTTGCCATCTGAAATCTCCATGTTCCTGTATTCTTTCAGGAAAATCAATCCCTGTTTTCCTTTGTGAAAGCTCTATTTTCATTCATAGTTTTATTGCAGATTAAAGGCTGTTGCATTAGAAAGTTATCAGCTAATCAATAAACGTCAGTCATCCCATTTTGTGATAAAGCTGTCCCATTGATCAAAGTGGAAATGTGGGCTTTTGGCTTTTACATAGCAATTTCTGAAGTTCGGATAATGTGCTTATGGAATATATAGACCTATCCTCTTATTTATAGGTCTTATGTAGAGATGGACATATGAATTTATGTGTACGTAATGTACATATAAGCAGGCTAATATATACAAACATCTGAATTTTATGTAAAATATAACATTCTTTTCTTAGAATTTTGGTTAAATTCTAAGAAAATGAGAAGTCATCAGTAAACTTCTCTCTCTATATATACGTATAGGTGTGTGTGTGCATGAAGTTTTTTTTTTTTTGCCAAGATTGGTATTAAAATGTTTTCAAAAACCTTAATGCAAAATTTCAATGGTTGTGAATATAGTAAAACACACATGAATTTTGTGATTACAAAATTGGAAAAATATGCTCTTATTTTCATATTATTTATAATAGTTAAGGGAATAGCAGTTTTAGACTCTTTAGGTTTGGCATCTTTATTTTGGTAACATGCAGCTTGTCCTGTTGGTTAAATTCTTACCGTGGCTTTTTTTCATAACGAAAAATAAGTTATGTTCACAAATATTCATAGTGCCAGGCATTGTGCTAGGTGCTGTGAACTGAAAGATGAATACAATACTAGCAATAATACTAATCATTTATATTTGTTCAGCATTTTAGATTTCATAGGCCATTTTCACATCCTGTATCTCATTTGATTCTCACAGTTACCTTGGGATATAGACAGAGTAGACAAAGCTCATACAGTTTTAGTGTGGTTCCTATATAAGGAACTACATTCATAGGTGTTGAATGGCAGAACCAAAACTCACCTTGTAACATTTTCCCTTGTATGCATTCCAGTAAAATGTACAAAGTTGTTATTCATTGATTTGCCATGACTATACAAGTGAATTAAAGACGTAAAATAAGTGTTTTTGCCACATCCGTGTATACATATATATATTCGTATGCTTGTGTAATACAATAAAAGAAAAATGGAAAATTTATCAAAAATGATTTTTATTCTTCATGGAATTATTCTAATTTATAACATAATGCACAAACTAATACGTATATGGAAAGCAAGGGTGGAGTGGGCAATCCCTGAAGTTCCCTGTTTGTCTATGAAAATCTTTATGCTTGTGCTTTGGATTGTAGAAATGTGGTTAAGTTCTATGTATACATAGGTCTTCAGCTTCAGGAATCCTGAATGTTTGCTTAACAAAATAATGATGCTCTCAAAAGAGAATTTTAAAATTGGTTTGGACTCTATTTGGCAACACATAATTAGGCCAGGAACATTTGCTAATGTGCTGAAATTAATTGAATATCACATTTTGCGTCTTGTCTGATACTACTTTTTTATATTATTTCATGCTGCTGATAGTGTTGATGTTGAAGACACTAAAGCCATATGATATAAACGTGATGAGATTTATCTATGGGACTGAGTACATTGTACTGTATAAGAGTAGGACATTGGACCTAGGCCTCTTGAGTTCAAGTCTCTACTATTTACTAGCTGTGTGACCTTGTACAAGCAATTTAAGATCATTGTGCCTCAGTTTCCTCTTGCATAAAAATGGGATAAATATTATCTCCCCTAGGGTGACTAAATGAGTATTTATATATATACACACACACACGTGTGTGTGTGTGTGTGTGTGTACATAACATTGTATATGTTTATGTGAAATATCTAAGTAATATATTTGGCACATGGAACATACTATATAAGCTTTTATTCTGTATATACAAAAATATATAGATATATGAAATACACAAAACATAACATTCATAATATATCACACGTGCATTCATTTCTGATCAACTTAACTTTTTGTGTTTTTCTTCATACTCATAAATAATGTCTACACCTACCAACATGTGGGCTTTATCTACTGTATCTACACATACTGTAAATAGTTGTAACAACTTGACCTTTTGCTGTTGATCACACTAAGTAGTTCAGTGTATATCTGTAATGATACTGTTAGAAGAAACTAAGAAGTGTTGTTTGTTCAAATCTACTTTGACCATAGGAATTCAAAAACAAAAAGTGTTGCACTGGAAACATTCTGATACTTGTAATACAGACCCTACTATAGGATCAGTTAGCATCTTATGTGTAAGATTATGGGTTATGAATTCTGGCCAATCAAGGACACCCTAATTTGTGGGTCTAACAAAATTGCTTCTATCCTCAATGTTTTTTTTTATTTCAAAGTTGATGTATTCATTGAAAGGGAAAAAAAGTGTTGATTTTTCAATTAAGATGCAACCTTTACAATGTAAAGCAATAATAATTATAGTGTTCGCTCAGCCTGAAGAAAAAATTTCACTACTTAAATAGCAATAATCAAGATGAGAACTACATTAGAAGGGTGCTAATTTTATGATCATTGCTATTTAAATAATAAAAATGAATCCACAGGACCCTTGCTGTAACACTATTTGCAATGAAGTGGTATTCAGCTTTAAAATGGTCCTCTTGAAGCCCATTTAAAATTAATGGGCTGCTTAAATTGTGAATGACCAAAGATCACCTTATAAAATAGCTACTTTTCCAATCAATCAATTATTAGGCTATGGCTGGGCTTCTACAGGACCAGATGTATTTGACCCAAAGTATTTCACAAATATTAGTGCAATCATTCTTATATAATAACAGATTTTTCTTTTTCTTTTTTTTCTTTTTTTTTTGAGATGAGGTCTTGCTCTGTTTTCCAGGCTGGAGTGCAGTGGGGCAATCATGGCTCACTGCAGCCTCAACCACCCGCGCTCAAGCGATCTCCCAACTCAGCCTCTTGAGTAGCTGGGACTCCGGTGTGCGCTACCATGCCCAGCTATTTTTAAATTGTTATTATTATTTGTAGAAAGGAGGTATTGCTGTGTTACCTAGCGGTCTTGAACTTGTGGACCCAAGTGATCCTTCCTCACAAAGTGTTGGCATTGTAGGCATTAGCCACCACTCCCAGCATATGATAACAGATTCTTATATTTTCAGCCCCCAAGGAAAATCAATAACAACAACAAAACAAATCAGAATTTGAGTTTCATCAATTGGATTCTGCATGCTAAATATAAGAAAAATAGGTTCTAGTTTTTCTCTCTCCAAAAAGAATTACTAGCATCAGAGAATTTGGCACTGAGGTAAAATCTTAAAGTAGCTATAAGCTCACATGGCAACATGTGAGCTTTGGAGTAGGTTTAAATCTAAGTTTTATAGATTTACAAATTTTATAAATTTATAAATTTTATAGATTTATAGATTGGAGTAGGTTTAAATCTGGGTTTAAATCTAAGTTTTATAATTTGCTATTTTTGTGATTTTGAACTAATTAACTTCTTTAAGCTGTGTAAGTAAAAGGGGAAAATAAATGGGTGAATGTAATGATTAAATGAGGTATCTTGTCTGAAGAATTTGGCACATAGATGAGTATTGAATAACTCAGTAGCTCTGTAGAAGTCAGGCAGTATCAATATCTACTTAATTTATGTACTGTTTTTAGGGCAGAGGACTTTATAAGCTATAGTAACAGTAATGAAGATTCAGAATAGCAATGTTGATAATATAATTAAAGGAATTTAAGATGATTGCATTTGATTAATTTAGCCATGAAAGAGTTGGTTTGTGATGTCATTACTGCTGCCACATACTGGTAGCATATCTTCCCTAGACAGATGTAATTATTCATTATAGATTGTTCTCTAAGAGGTGAACACCGTCTTCCTTTCCATTGTCCTCCACTAGCAACTCAAAAAGAAGAAATACTTTAGATGTAGCAGCAAATACATTACAGATCTGTGAAAGAGCCTGCTCTTTATTTTATGTGGTAGGTTGTCTATGCACAGTACTCCAAGTATTTAACTTAAGAAAGATAAATAATCTATGTATGGCTCCCAATTTAAAAAAAAAAAGGTTCCAGAGAATAGATCTTTTTTTTTTTTTTTTTTTTTTTTTTTGAGACAGAATCTCACTCTGTTGCCCAGGCTGGAGGGCAGTGGTGTTATCTTGGCTCACTGTAACCTCTGCCTCCCAGGTTCCAGCCATTCTCCTGCCTCAGCCTCCCGAGTAGGTGGGATTAGAGGCATGTGCCACCACTCTGGCTACTTTTTGTATTTTTAGTAGAGACAGGGTTTCACGATGCAGGCCAGGCTGGTCTCGAACTCCTGACCTCAAATGATCCACCTGCCTCGGCCTTGCAAAGTGCTGGGATTACAGGTGTGAGCCACTGTGCCCGGCCAGAACAAACCATTTTTAAGCAATCATTTTGAGACTCATTCCATTTTAGACATTATATGAATTACTTGCAGAGTTATAATGCCAGGATAAAGATAGATAGGTACTTAAGTATCTATTTATATGGGATATAATTCTTATGCATGAAAATATTTAAAAAACATGATTCCTGCCTTCTAAAAGCATACTGTGAAGTATGGAAGAAGGGGAAGCATATGCTGGGACTAGTTAAGGTACAGTAGAGTGGGAAGTTAAAATAGCACCTAAGAGTGCAGGCTTTGGAGTCCTACTAGTTAGGCTCAGTGCCCCATCTACTACTTCCTATTGATAACCAGGTAACCGTGGTATGTCAATTAATCTCTTAGTACTTCCATTTCCTTATCTTTCAAAGGGGCTTTGAAGAGTGAGGATACTATAGATGTGTAAGGAGGATAAAATAGAGCATTCATAATTATTAATATTATTACTATTATTGTATTAACGATTAAAAAAATACTACCTGACTACAAATTAAATGAGTGGTCCTTACAGATACTAAATTCTATAGTTTTTTTTTTTTTTTAAGCAAGATCAACACAGATTGGAGTACTTGAGAAAGACTTCATGAAGAAAATGAAGCCTGACTTACAACAGAATGAGAAATCTACTCAATGAAATATTAGAAATGACAGGAACCTGGAGATAATTCACCCAATATCTCTGTGTTTGTTGGATAATAATAGCTAATACTTGTGTAATGCTCACGATGTGCTAGTTCCTCTTCTAAACACTTTATAAATATCTTAATGCAGCCAATCTTCATAACATCCTTATTTAGTAGAAACTATTATCTCTTTCTTTTGGTGAGAAAATCGAGGCACAGAGTAGTTAGGTGGATTGTCCTGTGTCACACAGCAGCCAAGTTGTAGATCTCGCTCCAGAGTTTATACTCTTAACCACGATGCTACACTGTCTTGTAGCTAGAGCTGTGTGCCAAAACTAAGATTGTCGGGAGCAAAACAGTTTGCCCATAGTAACAAACAGTGCCCAAGTAGTGACAGAACTGGAACGATCTTCCTTGGCACCTAATTTTTAATACATGTGTGCTTACTACATAATCGACTGGGCTTCTCAAGATTTGTATGATTTACCCAGTGATGAGGGGAGGGCCTATTAAGTTGGGACAAGACCAGGTATTAATTGCTCTGTCCATCAGAGAGAATGGTAGCAGTGTTTGAATATAGACATACACACTGGATAGCAATGGGAATGAAGTTTGATAGGTCATTTTGTGGGCTAGCAAAAGTCAGATGTATTCAAGGTTTATCTGAACAACAACAAATGGGCCAACCTGGAAATTTCTGAGAATGAAAATGTCGTGTTATTGGGGAGGAGAAAGTGGAAAGAAAAAAGCAAAGGGTATAATGTATTTTTGTAAATGGATTTTAGTATATAGGCACACTTCTAGTTAACCATATTTAAAACAAATACATGCTAAACAATGCATATATACCAGAAATTTTATGTCAGTGGAATCAAATGTAGTAATTCAAAGAAATAGTCACTGGCTAAGAATTTATGTATGCCTTGTATGGTAAGAGGAGAAGCAGGCTTTATCTGACTTAACTTTTATCCCTATGCACACCTTCATTTTACAAAGCTTCTATTTACTTCAAAGGGGTGAGGAGGAGAATGCAAACCAGGCCTATCACGGTTGTGATCATAGGATTGTTTTGCAGGTGGTATCCATGTGTTTCTCCAAAGTTCATCTTTTCTATTTGCACACTTGGAAGGAAAGCAGAGCGCTCTTTCATCTTCATACTTTTCTAGTTTTTTGGAACTATCAATTACAAAGGAGTGCTGTATAAATCTTCTTTGTGTGTTTAAGTGCTAATATAAGCTGCTGAATATATCAGCTGGCTACAGTATTTGATACACCTTACACCTGGAGTTACAGCAGACGCTTTGGCAGAGCTCATTGTTCTAAAGAACTAGATTATAATGCAGAAAATAAAATAAGACAGAAATATTAAAAAATTCATTCCATATGCAAGTTTCCACCATTGTATTGTGTTGGTAGACAACCAATGCTATTTGTTGTCATTGTTTACCATCCTCTTTGATCACCAAGTTATGGAAAAATGATTATCCCTATAATTGATTTGTGATCTAGAGCAAACATTGTAATACCTGTTCATTCAAATGGGCTTGATGCCACCATCTAAGCATCTCAAAAGGTTACATTTAAATAGGTGCCTTAGGCCTGTAATCCCAGCACTTTGGGAGGCTGAGGCGGGCAAATCACGAGGTCAGGAGATCGAGACCATCCTGGCTAACACGGTGAAACCCCGTCACTACTAAAAAATACAAAAAATTAGCTGGGCATGGTGGCGGCCGCCTGTAGTCCCAGCTACTTGGGAGGCTGAGGCAGGAGAATGGCGTAAACCTGGGAGGCGGAACTTGGAGTGAGCTGAGATCGCGCCACTGCACTCCAGCCTGGGCGACAGAGCGAGACTCCTTCTCAAAAAAAATAAAAATAAAAAATAAATAAATAAATAAATAGGTGACTTAGGTTTACGTAGCAGTAAATATAGTTTGACGTTTTAAAAAAAGGCAGTTAAACATTAGAACACTTGAGTATTTGGATATACCTCCTCATTTAATAATAGCCACCTTAATAATCACATCTTAATTTTTTTGACATTTTGCAATTTTTCTTGGAGTCTTTTAAAAATTTTATTAATCCACAGAAATTAGTAACTGATATTTACTTAAATGAAATTTATGTGACAATAAAATCAAACGCAGAGTTTGTTTCCTATGTAGTGCCTCTGTATACTGTATATTATGTATAACATAAAGACTTGCATTGTGCAAGGATTAGTATGATTTGATATGTATTTTGATGTTTCTACAAAATGCTCTGCCCAAGATAGAAGTAAAAAGATTTGTAATGTTCAAGTATTATTGCTTCCATGCTGAGATTTTCTATTTCCAATAACACCTGTACACCACTGCTACCTAGTTACGCTCTACATTTTATGCTTAATGTAGTAATCTAATTTCCCCTTATTTGCAGTTAGCAAGTCAAAGTAAAAAATATACATTGGAATGTTGCCATGACACTATTGCTATGGAGGCAAATTTAGTAACAGGTGAACTATCTTGGTTCCCATCAGACAAGGCTTGGTTCCTGAAGGATGGAAATGATCTTATTATATGGAGTTCTCTCCTGTAATATAGCCTTAAGGGTACACTCCTGGAATAGTGTAATAGGGAGACTCTAGAGCCGATAAAAAAAAAAATCCTGTGAACTAGCAGCTGGGAGGTTGTATCAACAACTCTATAAAGTGTAACAAGAATTTAACGAACATTTAAGAAGGCCTTCTGGATTATTATAAATAGGGTGAAAATTAAGAACATTTCTTAGGTTACAAGTGTATGTAATTAGTGAATACTTGTATAATACTTGATTTTATATTTTCGGCTATTGTAATATTTCTTTATCACTAGATCATATCAACTAAGTCAAATGTAATTGTAATTTGGTATAAATATGACTTAATATAAACTGCATGCGGGGTATTGGTATTGAAATCAGATTTAACAAGCTGCATATCTATGATTACAGCACTTCTCAGTAACTGTTCATTTTAAAGACTGTGCAGGTGGACAAGAGTAATCTCTTAAACTCCTTATGAAATACTGTAATTTGGCTTGGTTCATTTGTGATTCAGAACTCCCAAATGGATCCCGATGAAAAATTAGAGATGTGTTCTTGTAGAAAAAAATGAGTGTTTTAAGAAATCACAAAAATTACTCATAATATGCTAATATAATTCAAAAATTCTTCATTCCAATAATAGTTTTCTTGGGAGTACATCCTCTAGGTATGGAAATGTGATCTGTGCATTCACTGATCCAATACATTTAGTTCCTACAATACTTGCAAAGTATTTAAAGAGGTATTCAAATTAGTTTCTTACATAGGTGTCTTACACAGTGTCTCCTCACTGTGTATTTCATGGCCACCGTTAAGTCTCTCCAAGGCTTTCTTGCTTGGCTTTCCTTGTCAGCATTTGGCTTGTTTGCTTCTTGTTGTATTGGCAATGGCTGGGTTTGTGTCAGCAGAGACTCTTAGAGTTCATTATTCTGATGTAGCTCTTGTGCTGTAAATGTTTTTAAGTTAATATTTATTTTATTGTTAAGAAATTAAAAAAGGACTTGACTGCTTTAAAAAAAAGTGGCCCTGCCCAATCACAGTCTTTACTTTTGTATGTCATACATCTCCCCTTATTTTGAGGGGGGATTCTTAATCTCATACAGTTAAATGAAAAATTTTCAAGTTGGGTGAAATACTTTCGGTAGAAGCTTTTCTGTAAGAGTGGCAGTTCCTCATGGAAACTCCTTCAATATACATTGAATTAAATATCAGAAGGGATTTTTAAAGAACATTTTCAAATTTATTTTGGGGTAAAAATTATAAAAATGTTGTGCCAAATTAGTAGTTGGTTCAAATAAAATGTTTTTGCAAGATTTACCCCAGCCAGTATTAACAGCTGTAACAATTGAGACCAGGTGACAGAAAATTTCGTTTTAAGAAGGTGTTTATTGTCAGGAAAATTGTGAAGTTTCCTTTGTAATTACTCTATCTTTGTTATTTTGGCAGCCTGTAAAGTTTTATTGGCATTTACTGAAAGGTACTTTTTTTGGCCCTAGCCAGCTGGCTTTCTTTTTTTGGGCAAACTTTCCTAGCTCTGGTATTCAGAACATATTTTCAGCTTTGATTGTCTACCAATGGGGTTGTTTTGAACAAGGAGCCAAGTGACTAGTGATGTCTGAATTGATCTCAATCATGTCTTCAGTAGGGTGACATCAGAATGCTGCAGGTGTACTTCAAGCATTGAGGGTTGTTTCCAGCATGTCATTTTGGTGCTAAAATAGTCAATTTAAGACCATTCAAACTACAGATCCTTTTTACATACAGACTGGAAGAAAAGTATGTGAAATGATGTATCAAAAGTGAGGATTCAATAACTCAAAAGAGAATAAAATTTTTCAAACAATATAGGATCACCAAACTGAGATTGAAAGATCCTTTCCAGGAGCTAAATATTAAACAGGTAATGCACAAACATTTGAAGAATGGAACGATAATAGTATTTCCCTAGATTCATGAGTATGTTGTATAGATGTGGAGTTTTAGTCGTCTTGGTGTTGGCCTTCTCCACTTTGTAAGCCATGTACCATTGCTCTTACCTCTGGGCTTATTTGAAGAATTGTTTAGATCATGCTAATCCGTGTGAGATGAATTCTAAATTTAGAATTATACTGCTCTGGTTCTGAAGCCCACAGTAATAAATTCATTTAAGCAAGTATTTGCATCACTGATTACTTATTTTATTGCCTTTAAAATACTGCTGGAGAAAATGATTTTATTTTATTTCATGTTAATACATTTATTGGACTACTTGTTGTTAGTGAGTAATACTTACAAATCTTAGAAATGCCTTTTTAGTAGTTATTATTTCAAAGCCATGACAGGCATATTAGTATTTGGTAGTCTTCTATGGCAATGCAATATTAATTTTGTTTTGTATGTTACTATGGCGCATTGATAAAATAACTAATGTAAAATCTTAAGGTGGAGCTCCTGTGTTTGTGATTTAATAAAAAAGGAAAATTAAAGATCATATTTATCATTTACTTCTGAATAAGCCATCTTGAGATGCTACATCTTCATCCACTATCGTCTGTTTATGATCTGCTTTCTTTTTTGTAGCACTGGATTTCAAGGAATATATTTACCACTTTGTTCTAAACTATTTGTTAGAGATCTATACAGATTGCCTACAGAGGACAGCACTGTGGAATTTGTTCTGGCATCCTGGTGGAGGTGTGGGGGATGCAGGGTAGAAGGAAGCCCACCTTTTTCTTTCTTTTTTTTTTTTTTTTAACATGTTCTTATGGGAAGAACCTGTCTTCATAGTCACTCAGTAGCCAGGACAAAGCACCTCTGGTGTCTGCACATTCTGCAGGCCCATCTGCCGTAGCATTCCTCAGTACTTCATCCTGGCCTGAGAAACACCCGGAAGTGCTGGGATCTTCCAGCTCCTACTCAGCTACGAATAATAACAAACACTTCCCAGTCTCTTCTAAATATGTATTGTCCATTATTTGAAACAAACTACAGAATTACTAGGCAGAGAAGAGATTTTTATTTTTGGAACTTTGCAGGGCTTAAAGAGTGTCCCTATTACAGCAAAGTGGGACAATTTCTGTAGAAGAGGTGTTTCAATATTCATAAAGGTCATAATTAGGTAATTTATTAAGTATAGCAAATTTTGAGAGGTGTGGATTTGGATGGGTATCTTGATTCAGGCACTTCATTTCAATTTATTAGATCTGTTTCTCAAATAGCTCCAGCTTGTTCAGGTTTTATTCCTGCCAGTTGGATATGAAGTACTGTATGTTTGGGCTCCCTGTACAGAATTTGTTTCCAAAAAAATAGTGTCGTGCTGCTTTCCATCTACTGGACCAGTAGGGGTAGGACGATCTGATTTGAAGCCAGTGCAAAATGCAAAACTGATTAGATTTGGATTGTTCATACATTAGGCCTTCCTTTCCCTGTTCTTATCCTTTTTCCAGATGGAAGAACCAGTTTCCTCCCAGGGCACTTTCTCCTGGCAATTAGACTGTGAAGATGAGGATCATTTAGTACCACTACTGCTGAAGTACCATTATATTAAGTTTGGGCTTTAAAATTTAGAGGAATGAATCAACATATTCTGTATTTGGTCTCTTTATTTTGCAATTAATGACGCTTGTGATGCTTTTAAAATTAGGAATCTAACTTTGTCTTTCAGTTCTACCTTTTCTTTATTAATATACTAACATCTTACTTTCCCACATTTCCTACTGAAATGTGGGAGGTCCCTGTCCCACTGAAATGTGGGAGGTCCCCTACTGAAAAGTGGGGGGTCCCCGTAGTCAAATTTTAAAGCATCAAGTGTTTTAAAATGTTAACCGTATTACATGTACCTCTTTCTAACGTGCATTATGTACCCTCCCTCCCTTCTTAAATATAGTACTTACACCCAATTTTGCTTTTTCATGGTGATTAAGGGTTGCCATTATGAACATTGGTTGCCACCCTTTGCTAAAATGCAGCAAATGCCCTCAGTTATTATTGAGGCTTGTAGAGCTCTGTGTGTGCCCTTATTAGTAAATGGCTTTAGAATGTTATGCCCTTGGAATTCTTGTACCAGACCTTTGCCATTTTCCTCTTCTCTCTTACATCAGTAAGTAAGCAGGCACTTACACGCAGGCATTACATTTTAGAGCTATAAAAAAGATGACTTGGCCTAATGGCTTCAGCTTGCAGATTAGGAATGGAAGGCCAGGGAGGTTGCACAGTTAGTCCATGATTATGCAGCTAGCTGGGGTAGGAACTGGGTAGAGATTACTCGACTCCTAATCCAGTGTTCTTTCTTCCAGGCCACACCTTTCGCTTTTTCCTTCTGTCGGGATACCTTGTCCTAACTGACGTTTTCCATGTTTATTTATTTATTTATTTATTTTGCTCTTAGTGTGTAGTTGACTGATAGAGAAATTGGAAACAAGATTAAATAGAAAAAGTAGTGAAGTAACATCTGATGGCTTGAAGCTCTGTTTCTACGAGTCAGTGTACATCCTTGAGTCTGTTTGTCTTCTGTATAAGGAAGTGGTTGGACTAATACTAGTAGTAACAAACATTTACTGAGTACTTGCCACATGTCAGCTACTATCAAGTTCTCATTATGTGTTACGTCATTAAATTCTTACACAGATCCCATGAGGAAGTTCTGTGGGGTTTGTGACTTTACAATATTTGATGTTATAATTAATAATTTTGATATTACAATATTTGATATTACAAAAGGGGAAACTGAGTAACACAAAGGTTACCTAGCTTACCAGAAGTCCTTCAGTTAGTAAGTGGCAAAGCCAAGATTTAGTCTCCATGTTCGTAACCAGTCAGCTTTTATGTGACCGGGTCATCTATATGTTCTCTTTTGGCTGTAACACTTGATGATTCTGGGTTTGAATAATAACACCAACAATTAACATCATTAAGGACTCAATACACACTTTATACGTAGTGTGGCTCCCTTAGTCCTATCGGAAACTCTATGAGGCAGGTGCTGTTATTATCCCATTTTATAGATGAGAAAACCGAAGTACAGAGAGGTTAAGTGGATTGCCCAGTCTTATAGTTAATAAGTGGCAGTGGCAAGATTTGGAACTAGGCAGATTTAAGTGCCTGCTAGCTTTGCCACTATGTCTTATTGCCCGTGAGCAGGTACTTGAGTATTTAACTCATGAGTGTGACATAAGTTTTATAATATTTATTTTTGCCAATTAGAGATGATGTGTATGTGTGTGTGAGAGAGAGAGAACATGCACATGCACATTTACTTGTACATATGATGATTTCTTATCTATGTGTTAAATAGGGGGTAGGCAGGCTGATAAGTGAGTGAAGTGAACTTAGCCCAAGTGGTATGGGGAATGGAGTGGTGGGGACTGTGGGACTGTGGCATATAGGAAAGCACAGGTCCTGGCCAAAGGGGCAGCTGAGAGTGGCTCAGCCAACTCCTGACCTGTTTTTCAAGCAGGAAATTGGACCCAGTATTGCTCGATATTGTGTGTGTGTGTGTGTGTGTGTGTGTGTGTGTGTGTGTGTGTTCCTAGAGAAGCCAGCAGTTTGGATTTCTAAACCAGAAGATTTTGAAGCTGATTTTTAAATGATCACAGTTAATTGGTTATTTGCAACCACTCTGAAACAAAGAAATGTTGTCAACCTCTGAGTTAGATCATCAGGGCTGGGGGAAAGTGACCTTCTGAAAGTGAGAGTTGGCCACATCTTGGTATCCCCACTACTTTTTGAAAAGATGAAAGATGGACCCCAATCTGGAATACTTACCCATTCTCTTCTATTAAGATGTTATGGTATTCTCCAATGTAGAGACAGTTGAATTTTTAAGTCTGCTTTTGAGAAACAGCTGCCTTATGAGGCTGCAGCATTCATCCGAAGGCCACCAGTCTGTCCTCAGGTCTAGTTTCCAAGTCTGTAGACACCTGATCACTTCCGGGGCTTTTTCAAACTGTATCTCCTTCATTTAGGTACACCCTGGCAAGACTACTCAGGGATCCCTGCAAGAGAGTGTGAAGTTACTGTTACTGGTAGGAGTTTGGGATCTCTCTCTCTCTCTCTCATACACACACACACTCACAAAAGTTTGATGCTCCCTTCTGTGAAATGAGTTTCGAGACTCAGCACTTATTTTTGAACTGCCCAGGAAGATCCTTGCACGTGCTAAGGATCTACTTCAGGAAGCAAGGTGGGGGCATATTGATGACTGCTTGCCTTCCCCCATAAAGGTAGCTCCACTCTCATCTGTTTTGCACATTGGGCTTCCAATTGTGATTCCTTTAGTACAAAGGTCTCCGAAGCTAAAACAAACACTGGCTCAATCCTGAAACCTTAATCATATCTAATGTCTGCTTCAGTTTAAAAACCCTGATGTTCCTAAAAAGGGATGAGAGTTCACATAACTTTTCCCCTGTGTTGCCGAAATAACTTCCAGGGGCAGACTGGGTATCTGATCTCTGCAGACTGACAATACTCCTTTAAAACTTGGTGGCATTTTTGTTTTAATGGCTGCTCTCCTTAAAGAATATTATTTAAGAAAAAAATACATATCAACTTGCTGTGCTATGGTCTAAATTCCTGTCTCGGAAATATTATAGGTGAATGTATTTCCAGATGCTGCAAATAATGGAAAATCATGAAAACTCGAATCAGGGTCCCTGTCCTTAAATGTGTTTCAGTTTGCATTTTGATAGCAGTTTAGAAATGTTATCGCTTGTTTTGTCACAGACATAATTCACATCTTTCTTCAGGCACTGTAAACAAGAGAAATGGTTTAATGGCCCCATAAAGGCACTCTGCTGATGGCTGAGATTAGGCCCTTTAGTAATGGATATTGGTGTGTGTATGTGTGAGTGGTATATGTACACAGTGGGGGTGGGGAGGGCTTGGAAGAGGTAAATGTACTAGAAAGAATCTTTGAGAGCCTCAGATGCAGCTGAAAATGCCTTCTGCTTCTGTGTGTCTTAGAAGATGGATTCACAAAGCATGTGACACCATTGTCTTTATTTATACTCAAGCCTTCCCCTTTGCTTCTAGAATTTAACTGAGCACTAATTGAGGTCATTGCGATCCATTTATTACCTGAAATTGAAGTGATATTAACTTAAAGTGAATGCTTTTCATCTACTGAGTGTATTCCTAACTACATATATTTGTATAAAAGGCTGTGTGCATTTTTCATGCCATGCTTGTATCTGGTCTTAAATATATCTAATTTATGTATACCATTTACTTCTCCCCTCCCTTTTACAGAGATTTTTTTTTTTAAATCACTGCTATAGCCAAGTGAAATTTTTTTTTACAAGCACTTTAGTATCCACACTATGATTTGTTTTGACTTTTTCAGTTATATTTTTTAGACAGGTGCAAAAAATTCTCCATGTTATACATCATCACCCTGATCTAAGTAAATTCCTTGAAATTTCTCAAAGCACATAAATTTGTAGTTTTAGTCTCAATTTTGTGTCATTTTTTTAATCAGCTAGTTTGTGTATATTGCTGTAAAATTGGCTACACAAGGCTGCACATTTTTGGTTTTGAGAGACAGAGTAAACCAAGAGTTAAGAGATTAAAATTAAGTGTCCTTTGTTGACTAGTTGAGCTGTCTCTGTCACTAGCAGGTGTCACTTTCCATCCAGCCACTTTGGTGTTTTCCTTCTCCTTTTTTTATTATAGACTATATTCTGGAACAGGAATCAGCAAACTTTTCTCTGTAAAGAGTCAGATAGTAAATATTTCACGCTTTGTGGGCCATATGGTTTCTGTTACAACTACTCCATTTGGCCATTGTAGCTCAAAGTAGCCCTAGACTAGACCGAAATGAATGGGTGGGAGAGTGTTCTACTAACGCTTCATTTACAAAAACAGGTGGAAGGCCGGATGTGGCCCATGAGCTGTAATTTGCCAGCCTCTGTTCTAGAACAGCATACAGAAGACTATTCTAAAACATGATTTTTGAACAGACCAGAAAACGCAACCTCAAAATAAAGAGACTGTCTTCAAGGCTCTTCCTCCAAAACTATGGATTTTATTTCTGTTTAGAGAAGAATTAAAAATATGACGTGTTTCTCTTCCCAGGGTAATTGTTTGCTACTCACAGAAACTGATAACCCTATTTCACTCTTAAGACAAGAGTTGGGAGGAAAGCAGAGTGAAAGGTCAGAGCCAAGACAACTTATCACTGTATTTACTTTCGCTGTCCACATATAGAAGGAGACCTTTCCATCATTGTGACATTTTGGTTATCAGAGTATAAGGGAAGCTTCAACTGTTGAATAGCAACATTCTTCCTTCAGTGGAATATGAGTGGTGTGAATTTTTAAATGCCTTTGGTCACAGTAATAAATTGAAAGAAGGCAGATTGCCTAAAAGCAAACGTGAATACTCTGAGAAGTGTTTTTATTTAGATACACGTGCCAAGAATATAGTACTAAGGTCATACATACAGATACATGTATCTGACACACGTGAATTAGTCAAACTTAAAGAATACTGCCTAATGTCTTTATTAGGGAATTTTTAAAACACCAAATAAAGCTCTAATTGGACTTCCATGAGCTCTTGATAATAAGGACTGTGTCTTACTATTTATCTTCATTCCATAGCTCCATATTCCTTCACCCTCTCAGGACCTGCCGTAGTGTCTGGGGCATGGTAGATGAATTAACAAATGAATTAATGAATTAATTGCTGAAGAAATGAATGAATAAAAATCTCATATAATGTGATAGTGGTGCTCATGCATGAAGGAAATAATGAGTGTCTGTGTATAAATCAATTTGAATTATATACTCAAGAGTTCAACAATTACAACCTTAAGATTGAGCCCAGGGCTCTAATTCTTAATGTGTTATGACTTAGTGTTAGATCTTTAGTCAGACATGGTGCTTAGCTTCTTTGTGCCTTTTTAAAAGATCTGTTAAATGGGAATTATTATATATGTTCCTGTCTTAACTGATGAGAATCAAATAGAGTATGGGACAATTCTTTGAAAATGGTTAAATATTATGTGTGTTTGAGTTTGTTTTTTTTTTTTTTTTGTATAGTTAGTGTTTTCTATTAGGATTACAATTAGTATTTTCTATTAGAATTCCAAACTCAACCAGTTTGTTAAGTCAACACTTAAACATATTATCTTTGTTTAATTTACAAGACATCATCCATCATCTTCACTGTAAAAATATAAACAAAAACATACATCATTCATAGATTTCATTGTTCATTCTCTGGATTTACATTAACCAGTCAGTTGTAACAAACATTATCTGTTTTCAATGTAAGGATACAAATAATGCCCCAATGTTATGATTGTTTGGGAAGTTATTCTCCTATGAGCAAATCTTAAATTCATATTCTCAGCCAGGTGTGGTGGCTCACGCCTATAATCCCAGCACTTTGGGAGGCCGAGGCGGTCTGGAGTTTGAGACCAGCCTGGCCAACATGGTGAAACCCCGTCTCTACTAAAAATACAAAAAAATTAGCTGAGCATGGTGGCACACACCTGTAATCCCAGCTACTTGGGAGGCTGAGGCCGGAGAATCACTTGAACCCGCGAGGCAGGGGTTGCGGTGAGCTGAGATTGTGCCACTGCACTCCAGCCTGGGAGACAGAGTGAGACTCTGTCTCAAAATAAATAAATGAATGAATAAATAAATAAAATAAGTAAATAAATAAATTCATATTCTCCCCTTATATTTCAAGTGTTCAAATGTGATTTTACATTATGTATCTACCCTCAACCAAAGCTGTAGTTGTATACCAGCATTGTTGCTTTTAGAAAGCTCAGGGCATTTCTATCCTCTGGTAGAATAATAATGACAAGATTGTGCCCTCTTTCTAAAATATAGGTAGAAAAAATTGAAAGCAATGATGTGTCATAGTTCATAGTTCTAAAATGAAAACAGTTACTAGTTAAGCAAACACTTCATGAGGAATACCATAACCCCAAGTAAACTTCTGAATTAAGAAGTGGTTAAGTTTATTTTGGAAGTGCATTTTTTAAAGTCTTGGTATTTTGGAGCTCTTAAATTTAACCATTAGAAGAACTCAAGTGATCATTAGTCAGCCTTAAGATGTGGTTTTAAAGGTCAAGCTTCCATCAAAGAAAAAATGCAAGACACATCTCTTGAGTGTTCTTTCTGCCTTTCCTCCCAAAAATTTGATTGTCCGGAGGAGTTGTGGATCATAAAAGTTTCCATGGAAAATGTGTTTGAAGAATGCCAGAGGAAGACTGCAGATTTTCTAGATAAATTATCTGACCTGTCTGAAGTCAGGGATAAAAAATATAATATCATTTTGAACCACCACTTTGCAAATGAAATGAAGGAGTCAACTCACTTGATTTGGTACACTTGAAGAAGGAAAGATTCACTTTAATTAAAACTACAAACAACGCAGATGCCTGTAACTCTGTTCCAGACTCAGCAAGGATGGTACTGTAAGAGAAATGAAAAGTACCTAGCAGCCTCGGCAGCAGGCTGGAGCCGTGTTCAACGAAAGTAATTTAATTAGTGTTGATCATGACTCCAGATGATGGTGATTTGATAAGGAATAATTTAGTACTTAACAGCCTTTTACATGCACCAACTCCATGTGGGAAGGTAAAGCAAATTGCACAAAATGAATGTGCTGCTTTCGCTTGTGCCTGTGCCAATGAACTGGAAAACCGCCTGTTAGCAGACTCAGATTCTCAGCCCTGTGATGAAATACCCAACACGTTTTCAACTCAGCCCTCTCTAATGGGAGTCTCTACACTACTCTTATTTAAGAATAAATAAGAGAAGTCATTTTTGTGACATAGAATCTCCAGGAAGCAGGAAAGTTAAAATAAGGAAAATAATGTAGCCTACGGCTTTTGTGCTGTAAGTCGAAGATTTTTAGGTTGGCTTTCTCTTTTTTCCTCACATGCAGCAATTCAAAAAAAAAATTTTTTTTGCCAACTCAGATTCATTGGATTACTTATTTGGCTTATGATTAGAAAAAAAAAAAATCAGTTTCAAGGGCCCATAGTGACTGAGGCCCACATAGGTTGAACCTGTTATGGAGAGAGTTGGGGATCTCAAAACTACTGGAGCGGGAGAACTTGTAAGAATCCTTGAGCGTTGGCATCTAAGGAAAAGGAAGATGTTGCTGGATTTTTAAAAAAAACTCTTTTCAACTACTGGACCTATTTGAATGCGGCATACATCAGATCACAGTGGATTCAAATTTGCTCAATTATGAGCATCACCTAAAAAGTTTTATAAGATTCAGAATCCTGATACAACCCAGCTCTAATGAATGGAATTTCTGGGAGTGGTGTATTAATTTTCTCGAGCTGCTGTAACAAAGTATCACAAACTGGGTTGCTTTGTGAAATTTGTTTCACAGTTCTGGAGGCTGGAAATCCAAGATGAAGGATGTCAGCAGGGATCGGAGGGCTGTGAGAGGGAATCTATTCCCTGCCTCTTCCCTAGCTTCTGGTAGTTTCCTGGGAACCTCTGGCATTCCTTGGCTGGTAGAGGCCTCACTCTTACCTATGCCCTCATTTTCACGTAGCAGTCTCCCTGTGTGCATGTCTCTTTATCCAGATTCCCCCTTTTATAAGGATACTAGTCATATTGGATTAGTGCTCACCTTAATGATCTTATGTTAATTTAATCTTCCAAATAAGAGATTCTGGTGTTGAAATTTCAACATGTAAATTTTGATGGGACACAATCCAACCAATAACAAACGAGGTCTGAGAATCTGTGTTTCTCCAGCAGCTCCCTAGATAATTTGATGATGTGCCAGATTTGGGGCTCCTGTGTTCAGGGATCAGCTTGCCTCTGATAACCCTTTGAGAATCCTTATGCCCTGCAGTAGACTGAATGTTTGTGTCCCCGTCTCACCACCCCCGCCCCAGCAAATTCGGATATTGAAACTTACTCCCCAGTGTGATGGTATTTGGAAGTGAGGACTTTGGGAAGTGATTAGGTTATGAAGATGGAGCCAATGGGATTAGTGCCCCTATTCCCTTACTAAAGAGATCGCAGGGAGCTCACTTGTGATTTCTGCTATGTGAAGTTGCAGCGAGAAGATGGCTATCTGTGAACCAGGAAGTGAGCTTTTACCAAACACTTAATCTGCTGGTGACTTGATGCTGGATTTCCCAGCTTCCAGAACTGTGAGCAATAAATACCTGTTGTTTATAAACCATACGGTCTATGGTATTTTTGTTACAGCAGCCTAAACAGACTAAGACATGCCCTTTCTTCTAAGGTCACTTCGGGAAACTCACTGGGCCAATCTGAAAGCAGTAGAGCACTAAATAGCATTTCCACTAGCATGGATCATGCCTTTTGCTTCTAGGTCCATGCTAATGGACATTTTGATAGAAGGCTGTTGTTATGCTAGCAGCCATTCCTGATGGCACCCCAAACATGCCATTCCTCTCCACCCTCCATTTCCTACCCATCTGGAATAATTTCTCCTGTGAAGTTGAAGCACATTTTCAGATGTCTCAGCTGGGTCAGAAGGCCATACATGTTCAAGTAACTTAATTAGTGTAGCTTTGATTAATGTCCCTCAGAGTTTTTTAAACTTTATATTGATATACATTCATTATAATGCAAAAATCTGAAGTGCATAGTTTGATGAATTTTACATGTGTATATATCCATATAACCACCACCCAGAAGCAAGATATAAAATGTTTCCAGCAAGATATATTTCCGTAACTTTGTACCTGTGAGATCATCTGTTTTTGCATGTAATTTGTCCCTTTTTATTCCTGTATTCATTCCATTGTATGCATATGCCATGATTTATTTATCCATTTGCCCATTGATGAATATTTGAGTTTTTCCAGTTTTTGCTATCATGAATAAAGCTTCTTTGAACATTCTCACACATGTCTTTTCATGAACATATGCACCCTTTTTTCTTGGATGTATCCTAAGGGTGTATTAATGGATCATAGAGTAGATTTCTCTTGCCCTAGTAGATATTGCCAGAAAGTTTTCCAAAGTGCTTATTATACTAATCCATACCCTCAGCAGCTTGTATAAAAGTTCCCATTGCTTCATGTCTTCACCAAAACTTCATAATGTCTATCTTTTGCAGGTTAGTCATTCTAGTGATATCTGTAACTATCTGATACAGCTATATAGTGATAATCTCATGTGGATTATTTTGCAGTTTTCTGAAGAATAAAGATTTTAAATACCTTTGCATATATTTTGTTGTCGTTCCGATTTGTTTTGCCATCTGGATATCTGCTTTTGTGAACTACTGGCCTGTTTCAAGACTTTTTGCCCATTTTTTAAGTGGGGAATTTGTCTTGTCTTACTGATATTTTGCAATTCTTATTTTGTTAAATGAGTTCTTCATCAGATCTTTCTACTTAAAACATCTTATAGCTTGTGACTTACTTTCCTTTTTTTTAACAGTGTCTTTTGAAAAAGTGTTCTTAATTTCATTGAAGCCTAATTTGCTGATATTTTTTCTTTTATGGTTAGTGCTTTTTGTGTCCTGTTTATAAATATTTTCCTACTTCATGGTACTCAAGACTTAAAATATAGTAATATTAAACATTATAGTCTCCAATATGGCTGACATTTTGATAAATATGATAAACTTTACATCATACTGCATGCATATTTATTAGCTATAGAGTTCATCAATTTTTAGTCATGTAAACCTGATCTAATCTCTCAAGTATAATATGATTTGTTACTTGAATTCCTTATATGTCGCTGCTCCTTTTTCTTATGAAAATGTAAAACCAATACTTAATCTGAAGTGCTAAAACTTGGATATATGCATGTTCTCACTTATAAGTAGGAGCTAGATGATGAGAACACATGGACAAAGGAGAACAGACACTGGGGGCTACTTGAGGATGGAGGGTGGAAAAGCGAAGAGGGTCAGAAAAAATAACTACTGGGTACTAGGCTTAGTATCTGGGTGATGAAATAATCTGTACCACAAACCCCCATGACACGAGCTTACCTATATAATAAATCTGCACATGTATCCCTGAACCTAAAGTGAAAGTTAAAAAACAAAACAAAACTTGGAAATACACACTTTGCTAAATATGTTCAAAGATGTAATAAATAATCGAAAACCACTTGTTTAAAAAAAGAGGCCGGGCACGGTGGCTCATGCCTGTAATGCCAGCATTTTGGGAGGCCGAGGCAGGCGGATCACGAGGTCAGGAGATCGAGACCATCCTGGCTAACACGATGAAACCCCGTCTCTACTAAAAATCCAAAAAGTTAGCCGGGCGTGGTGGCGGGCGCCTGTAGTCCCAGCTACTCGGGAGGCTGAGGCAGGAGAATGGCGTGAACCCGGGAGGTGGAGCTTGCAGTGAGCCGAGATCGCGCCACTGCACTCCAGCCTGGGCGAAAGAGTGAGACTCCGTCTCAAAAAAAAAAAAAAAAAAAAAGAAATGCATGGTTAATGTATTACAAAGCTGTGTCATTTAGTATTTCTTATTCTAAGATCTCGCCTACACACAGACAACACGCAGATATACAATGGGAGACAATTTTCTTACTTTATTTATTTATTTATTTATTTATTTATTTATTTATTTATTTATTCGAGGCAGAATCTCACTCTGTCACCTAGGCTGGAGTGCACTGCCGCGATCTCGGCAAACTCTGCTTCGCGGGTTCAAGTGATTCTCGTGCCCCAGCCTCCCGATAGCTGGAATTATAGGTGGACATCACCATGCCTGGCTAATTTTTGTATTTTTAGTGGAGATGGGGTTTCACCATGTTGACCAGGCTGGTCTCCAACTCTTGGACTCAAGTGATCTCCCCACATTGACCTCCCAAAGAGCTGGGATTACAGGTGTGAGCCACCGTACTGGGCCTAGAGCACTACTTTAAATTCTTCGTGGGTTTTCTTTTCACATTTAAAAAATGTTTACCCAGGAAATTTAGGACACATAGACAAACGTTAAGAGAATAATGTTAATTCCCTCCTGCCCTTCAATTGGCTTTTACCATTTATCAACATTTTTCTAGTCTTATTCATCACTTTCCTCATACACAATTATTTTTTCTAGAGTATTTTAAAGAAAATTCTGGATATTTTATCTGTAAATATTTTATGAACCTCTAACATTAAAACTTTTTAAATACAACTATTGTCACATCCAACAAAATTAACAGACATTAAATTATCTAATAGCTAGTCTATACTAAAATGTCATTTATTGCAGAGTTGTCTTTTTATAGTTGGTTTGTTCAAATCAGAATTCAAGTCCTCATAATTGATTCTTGAGGCTCTTAAGCCTTTTCTTTCAGAAGAATTAGAGCTTTCTGACTTGGTAAAGTTAATGCACATGAGTATTCTTGATATATGGAGATAGACAAAATTTCTCTTTTTTCTTTTCTCTTTACTTTGAATAGGCGTACTAAACATGTATGTACACACACACACTACATTAAAAAATGCTTTGAAATAGTGTACCAAGGGTAATTATTTTATTATTATGTGTTAAGTTTCTCTTAGATCACTTAAGTAAAATGTGCGTATTTGGCAAATTTGTTTTCTAGAATATTTCAGATGACTCTTGATTGCTGTTGAACACTTGTATCAAAATTATATGCATATAAAACAAATAGTATTTGTTTTCCTGAAGCTTGGTAGTTTGTGATATCAAATTTTTATGTTAAAAATTATATATAACATTCAAGCTAATGCAAGTTTATAATTCTGTAATGCCGTCATTAAGATTGAATGACAAATGACATCATAAACCACAAAATTCCTCTTGTCATATCTTCCTTTTTGGAAAGCGGACTTAACATACTGTGTTTTAATTTCAGTTTCTATAAGAGTTAGAATAAATCTCCAGAACGTGTGTCTCTGTTATGTGTTTATCCCTTGACTATTCATACCTGTGGATATTATATGTAAATTACAGAATCTATTCTTATGATTATTTTTTCCTTTTTTAAACCAATTTCCCATTTATACCAAAAATTTAATTATTCTGATAAGATTTCTAATAGGCATTTCTTCAGTTTCATATCGAAGAATAAAAAATATATAGCTTTTTTTTTCTTTTTTTTCTTTTTTTTCTTTTTTTTTTGAGGTGGAGTCTCGCTCTGTTGCCCAGGCTGGAGTGCAATGGCATGATCTCGGCTCACTGCAACCTCCACCTTCTGGGTTCAAGCAATTCTCCCGCCTCAGCCTCCCAAGTAGCTGGGATTACAAGCACCTGCCATCATACCGGCCTAATTTTTGTATTTTTGTTGAGACAGGGTTTCACCATGTTGCTCAGGCTGGTCTTGAACTCCTGACCTCAGGTGATCCACTTGCCTCGGCCTCCCAAAGTGTTGGGATTACCGGCGTGAGCCACGGCGCCCGGCCTATAGCATGTTTTTTATTTATTGGATTTACAGCTGTGATTCCCTCCCCATATACGTATTTTTCTAGTTTTCATATTTTGTGATGTAGCTTTGTACGTTATTAAACATAAATGCATATAAGCATTACTGTGCATTAAGTCACAGTAAAAAGGTGAAAACATCATTTCATATAGAATAATTGTTTCATGGTAGATTACATGTGACAAACAACATTTACATATTTCTCAGATTTCATCTTCACAGTTCTGGTAATTAGATAGGCAGATACTTAATCTCTATTTTATAGATGAGAACTGGCCTCAAAGATGTTGAGTTTTTGCCCAAAGTAATATCAGTCACTTCTGGACCTGCGCCTGGATTTTCTTTGCCCCAGTCTAGTTGTCATTTCATTAAACTATTATTATTGATGCAGTTGATATATTTTCCTTTCAATAATGCTTAAAATTATATTTTGGTCTTTAGTTGATTCTTGGCTAATCATCTGTAATTTTTCTGCTTTAGTCATTGGAAACCTTTCTGATATGTTTTCAAAATGTACTTTCTTGAAACTGAGCTTCTAGCATTGTTAATATCAGTTAAGCAAATTACAAGTGATTCACTTAAGTAATGAGAGAAAATTCAAGCATGCATTTTGTTACACAATAAAGGCAGAAAAGGCGTATATGAAGATTCTCTGAAATCTTCTGCTACTGAAATTCATCAAACGTGATTTTTCTTACATATGTAAGTTAATATGAAATGTGAATGACCTTTTTAACAAGAGAAGTAGAACACATTAATCTCCATAATTCCTACAGCATTTAATTTTTGTGGATATTTTTGTTCTTTTTTCTAGTGGCTTTTCATGGCCTGCCACTGAAAATCAAGAAAGAACCCCACAGTCCATGTTCAGAAATCAGCTCTGCCTGCAGTCAAGAACAGCCCTTTAAATTCAGCTATGGAGAAAAGTGCCTGTACAATGTCAGGTAAAGCCACCAGGTGTATGTATGTAGGATAGTGGTTCTTATTGAATCAAAAAGTCCAGAATAATATGAAATCTCAAGTCATATTTTATGAGTAACGTCTTTAATATGTAACAAGCTAATTAGGTAATGCATTTAGCAGAACTCTAAAGAACCATTTACCATCCAATCACACACTTTGGATTCATTTTAAAGCAATAATTTTTATCCAGATCATTAGTTGCTTTTCTACTGTAGTGATGCATCTTGGGTTTGAAAAAGGGGTTTTACTTGGCACAAGCAGCTTTTGAAAGTTCCCATTAGAATGAATGCATTATACACTTTAGATAGAGAGTTTGCAGAAAAAAATGAAACATTTGGCAGGTCTGAGCAGTACATTAGTTATCTGCCAGGCTTTGCAGATGATCTGTAAGATGAGTTCATGGACAATTGCAATAAAACTGGAATTTCATAAGGCTTAGCAGAGGCTATTATCTATTAAAAAGCTGGTTGTTCTTCTGATGATAATAAAGGGTGGTGCAGTAAAAGTGCATTGTTCATTTATTAGAAAATTTGATCACATATATGTTCATTAAAAACCCTTCAAAGTAAATTGTATGATGCTACTTTTCATATTGGCCTTTAATTGCATAAAGAAAAAGTTGGCTGTCTCTACTGAGTATTATCACTCTCAATTACAGTAGAAACTTAGTTCTTAAAAGAAGTTAGTTTGCAAACTTACACAAATTATTCCAAATATTCATACTGTTTTATAAGTTATATCAATTCAGATTCATTGTACATTATGACCCAAAGGGGTCTTCTATTAAATAATTCCTCAGATATTTATTGCATACGCTGTTTATGTCCAAGATATGTAAGATTCTAGAAACATAGGCCAGACGCAGTGGCTCATGCCTATAATCCCAGCACTTTGGGAGGCAGAGTTGGGCGGATCACCTGAGGTCGGGAGTTCAAGACCAGCCTGACCAACACGGAGAAACCTCGTCTCTACTGAAAATACAAAATTAGCTGGGCATGGTGGCGCATGCCTGTAATCCCAGCTACTACAGAGGCTGAGGCAGGAGAATCGCTTGAACCTGGGAGGTGGAGGTTGCTGTGAGCCGAGATCGCGCCATTGCACTCCAGCCTGGGCAACAAGAGCGAGACTCCATCTCAAAAATAAAAGAGAAACATAGACTTGTGCCATTATGGCAGCTGACCAATGCTCAGATATTTTATTACCATTTGTTCTTGCAAACTTGTCTTTTATATTTGCTTTTCTAAGAGGTTCACCAGAGCCTGAAATTATGAGCTAGCTCAATTGAAACTGCAAAGTTTTATAAAAAAGGTCTCTTGTAGAAGGTAACTATTAAAGCATAATGAGTTCAGATAAGACAGTATTGATCGATCTGAGTTTTATTTTATAGTTTAGTTTTGTTTTTGCATTTTCTCCTTACAAGTACTGTGTATCCACAGCATAATTATTTAACATATTGAGGAATTTCTAGTCAATGGCAGTTAGATATAGAATTGTCATTGCCTTTCAGCATTAATCAGAATTGTGACTGTGAAATCATCACTGTTTTATATGCCATATCTGACATCCACAAATCAATAATAAAGGAATTGCCTGAATATTTTGTGTTTCTTTTGGGGGATGAAAAGTCCCCACAGTGATATATGGCATATGCAATAAATTCTGGTACTTCCATCGCTATACAGAAAATATTATTGAGTACAGCATTTCATGGGGGAATAGTATCATTTGTTTCTTCATTCATGAGAATGAGTTAGGTGAACCATTTCACAAAAGAAGTGGGTTTTTCTTCAGAAATACTGGTAAAGAACATAGGTGGAACCAAACATGCAATTCATTATATGAACACTGTTGACTTTGCTTTGAAGCAAGAGCTGCCTTGTGCAGCATATATTCCTTTACTCCTTGTAAAAGATTTTTGCAGCTGGATATAATTCCGTTGCATTGATGGAGCAACAGAATAAATTATTACATAATTTAATTCAAAAAGAAATATTTCTTTCTAAAGAAAAAAGTGTACTGATGATTGCTTTTTATTTTATTTTACTTATTTTTTTTTGAGACAGGGTCTCACTCTGTCAGCCAGGCTGGAGTGCAGTGGCACAATCTGGGCTCACTGCAACCTCTGCCTCCCGAGTTCAAGCGATCCTCTCACCTCAGTCTCGTGAATATCTGAGCCTACAGACATGCATCACCACGCCCAGCTAATTTTTTGTATTTTTAGTAGAGACGGGGTTTCACCATGTTGCTCAGGCTGGTCTTAAACTCCCGTGCTTAAGCGATCCTCCCACCTCAGCCTCCCAAAGTGCTAGGATCAGGGGCATGAGCCACTGCGCCCAGCAAAATGAAATACAGCATTCTAACTTAGAAATGCCCTGTTGTTAAAAAAAATTTAAGAAAATTTAGTTTTAGTAAAATATTTTATAGATGACCAAAATTAGCTAAATCACATTCCTGAAAGTTACACCTAGGAAAGCAGTTTAAAATCATAATGTAAAATCAAGCTTACTCATTTTATTCTTCTGTAACTGTGTTTAGAAGTTAGACTATAATAGGATTTTATTCCTAATGACATTATTTTTTACTTATTCTCTAAGAAAGTTTAAATATATCAGACATTTTAATTTACCTCATTAATCTTCATTATCCCATGTGGGGAAGTTAATGCCAAGCATCATTTATTTAATATAATAAAATGAAAATAAAGTAAAAGCATTGCCTTCTTAAAATCCCACCACAAATAAAAGCAAGCCAGGTGTGGTCTCTGCCTTATTAAGCTGATGTTAGTTCTTGTTTTAAAATCTTACATAATATAAAAGAAGAATATAATATCAGAAGTATTTAATGATTTAGGAAAGATCTATCAAACTTTCTCAAATAGATATATCAAGAATAGATGGAAAAAATACCACTGCTTTTTTGGACGTAATTTTCCCTGTACTAAGTTGTTTGTATATGCATTAAAAATACACATTTAATATTTGTTCTGTTACAAGGTTTTGCATTAATCATCCTATTTTCTGTTTAAGGGTGTTGTGATTTTGAAGTTTATCTGTTCTGGATTTAAACAACAATAGCAACAACAAAGTTTTCATTTCCATTTGACTTAAGTCTAAAATATCTTTTCTTCCTTTGGATTAGAAACTTTTTTAAAAAATTGCTCCAAAGAAAGAAATGTTCTCTCTTCTTTTGTCCCCTGGGTAGTGCCTATGATCAGAAGCCACAAGTGGGAATGAGGCCCTCCAACCCCCCCACACCATCCAGCACGCCAGTGTCCCCACTGCATCATGCATCTCCAAACTCAACTCATACACCGAAACCTGACCGGGCCTTCCCAGCTCACCTCCCTCCATCGCAGTCCATACCAGATAGCAGCTACCCCATGGACCACAGGTAACCTGCAGATACCAGTTTTCTAGAAACTGTTTTTTGCGTTCTTGGAAAAAATTTCTATTAACAATTCTGAAGGCCTAGAGTAGATTTAAGGTGAGCCTATTAATTTTGCACATCTGTGCAAAATATTTTTAGAAAGAGCTCACTCTATCTATACTTATAATTTGTGGAGAAAGTCATTTATAAACATTCCTTTTATAAACATTTAAATTGGTTGCTAAAATGGAAAATTAATCTATCTACTGACATTTGAGCATTTCCCTTTCGCTTTGCTTGAATTAAATTGCTTCACTTAAACTTTAAATCAGATCATCCCATTTTTATGAGCATATGTGTGTACTTGTTCTGTAAAGTTAGGAGACTAATTTTAGTAGGTAGCTTATGGAATTAGGTTTTCTACCTTATATTGAATGGTTCAGCTGTACATAGTTTTGCAGAATATAACTTATTTGATTAAAACTGTTGACCATCTTTTCCAGGTGATTAATATTTAATATCAGTAGACGCATGACTCTGGACACTGCGAATATACAATTAAAGAGATAGAGACTCAATTAGTATTACTTAGAAAGGAGCAAGGCAAGAAGCATAGCATAGATCTAAGGAGAATACTGCGTTAGGTAATTCATGACTCCTTGAGATTAAGAAATTCATATTTAAGTAAAATACTAAATAAAACCTGTAGAGGTTCTGAGATGTACTACCTTAATATACAGCTTAAAATCAGGTTGCTTATATACAGCATCTCTCCTTCTTTATCTCTTCTGCCCTGTGCTTCTGTATGCAGTGGCGTGCTGGTAAATGTTTAGCAACAGCCTGCATGAGAGAAAAACAAAACGCCCTCATCAGTAGCTTTTGCTGGGTCTGTGATGTACATATTGCTTTCATGGCCCACTACGAGCCATCACTGTGAGAACCCTGAATGCCGAGTTGCAAAGATGCAATAGCACAGCGTAATGTAGTATTTCTAGCATACGGATACCAGAGACATAAGTAACCTCAGGTGTATAATTGGTAATGAAATGTAGTAAGATAATTAGAAAGTGATGAGTTTTGCATTTTTATCTTCTGTTTTTAACATATTTTTTGATTGTGAAGTTATATAATTTAACTGTTAATAGTGGCTGTGTTTAAGAACTGGCTCAAAAAATTCCTGCAAGTTTGACAATAAGTCAGTGCAAACTGGCCCTGAGACACCGTTGTAAAAATAACTCAGCCAAAGGAATCTTCTAGATCAGCAGAGGAAAGCAGAAGATGTGCCACTGGCAACTTTCTGAAAATAAGGGAGCACTCAAATGTGCTTTTTATAGGTTTTTTCATGGGACTCAATCTCAAATTCAGAAACTCATTTTGCTATAAAGGGCGTAAGATGAAAGCGTTCTTTACAATGTGATACAAAGCCTTGTCTTTTCCACCCTTGGTTCCATCACTAAGTCCTCTTGTGGGGTAGTTATTAAATGCTTCCTATTATCTTTTTCTTCTCACCCTGTAGCCTTGAGACTTTGTCAGAGTGCAATGGTATGTGCATCTGTGTAAACAGTTTTGTAAATACAGATGAAAGAATTCTTATTGCAGGGTGGGCCATTAAACAGATGGACATTGTGCAGAGCTGAAAGGGAACAAAAAAATATGAACAAACCAAGTTTTATTTTCTCCACTACTGGTGACTTCTGAGTTCTTGATAACTGAATCTCACTCTTCTGATCAGTGCCAGAATTATAGATTGTATAATTCGCTTTTTGTGCAAACTGGTTATTTCTTAGGGAAGGTGCCTGCTGAATAAGCAGTGTGCCTGGTTTTAGGTGACCTAACTTGAAATGCTTTAGCCAAATTCATTTTAGTTTCTCTACTTGAAGTCAGATATTTGAGACTGAGAACAGCCGGCCCGGAACTCCAAGAGGGAAGCTCGGGGTCTTTTCCCACTGACCCCTGACTGAGTTTTGAGGACAGTACCAGCTGGCCAGTCCCAGGAAAATCTCTAAAGCCGTATGTTTCTGAGGAGGATTTCTTAGAGGGCTCTGGCCAACAAATGACAGTCCCTCAGTTATAAATGGCAAATTTGCTCTGGGAACAGATCCTTTCCCCAAAACACCCCCTCCAGCCAGGCACCCCACTTCACTCTGGGAATGCTTTACGGCCAACTGGCCTGCACCCTGCTTCCTTTCCTCAGCCTCACTCTGCTCCTGGGGCCAGCCCTTTGGCACTTTTTCCTGAACCCACTGTGCAGGAGCCCTGTCTCTCTTTCTCAGTGTTTCCACCACTTACACCCTGTTTTTCTTTATCTGGGAGTTCATCAGCATGTTCTCCTTATCTGTTAACTCCTTTCCAGAAGCTTCTTGAATCACTTTCTCTTTACCATTGGTCAGTGGCTCCTAAGAATTGCACCAAAACCTTGCAAATTCCTGAGAAGCATGCGTGTTTGATATATACATGTTCCCCAGCAACTTCCAACTGGAATCAGGTCGACTCGTAAAAACAAATGGCTTGATTCCTTACAAAGCTTTCAGTTACAAGTATTATTAACTTCCTTTTAAGGCTTCACAAGTGAGCCAGTTTCTTATTTTAACTTCAAGTTACAATTTTCTGATTCACTCCTTGACAGTTCTTAATGATAATTTCTGTTTCTTTTTTTGGCTAATGAAATAAGCAAGAGAAGGGAAATGAATGCAGTGCCAGTCAGCCTAACTGCTCTGCAATATCCGAGTTTCTAAGTTTATTTTCTGCAGGTGTAGGTGGAATTTCAGTGCTTTCCATGACCACCAGTGAGCCTAGAGTTAAATCACAGGATGGAGTGTTCTTAGAAATGCTAAAGCAATCGCTTTGCCATTCTTTAGCTTTTACCTTATTTTTATTTAACATTACCGAAATTAAATGCTAACTTTCCAAATTAAAGTCTCAGGAATGCTTTTAGTGGGGGGGTTATTAGGCTTATATTTGCTCATAGAAATGTTTTATAGGTTATTTTTAAGCACTCCTGGGGCATTTTTAGAGCACTTTTAAATCTTTAATTAATCCACATCTTTGTGGTGGGTCAATGATATTATGGATGAGAAACACAGAACAGAACGATTATGTGATTAGCCAATTGTTATAAAGTATAACCAAGAACAAAGAGGCATAGGACTCATTTCTAGCCTTCTGCTGAGGCCTCAGAACTTCCTCATGTCCTAACAGCGGGACTTGCCCCAAACCTATACAACACTATATGTTATTTTCACCTTTGGAGATCAGCTGTGCATTTATGCTTATTTTTATCAACCTGATACTGTATTTGAATCTATTGGAAGCCAATATGGTCTGCATTGCTGTTTGACAGTAAAGAGGTAGTCTTTTTACAACCGGCTTGGGTTTGAGTCCTTATAATACCTAGTTTTGTTTCTTACTAGAACGCAATGTTAATTAGGACATTGTTGAGGAATTGAAAGTCCTGATTTGAGAAAAAAGTCATTCCTCTCTTGCTTTCTCAGCAGGTTTTTGGTTGGTTGGTTTTTTGTTTATTGATCAGTTTGGTAACAGAATTAAAAGATAGAGGATGCAGTTTGAGATCTTTTTCTGGTATATAATGATTTAAGAATCTTGTGTGGAAATTATCCGTGATCCAATTGATTTAGAACTAGGCATTTTAGCCATTAATCGTTGTGTGTGTGTGTGTGTGTGTGTGTGGGTGTGTAAAATCCTCAAAGTTTTTCATTGCTCTCCAATCCTTACTCAAAGTACATCTTTAACTCATATACTGCAACAGTGCTGCAAAAGACTGATTAGAAAGGGAATATAAGTCATATGATTAAAAAACATAGAGCTACTAATCCAGGAAAGAAAAACGTAATGCTTGTTAAAGATTTACGCTTCAGGTCAGCTGGTATCATGTTCGTTCACTAAGAAATGGAAAACCGTATCCGTATTTTAAAGAATGTTCCATGTTACCGTTTCATCTGAAACACACTCTCTTATTCCCTAGATTTCGCCGCCAGCTTTCTGAACCCTGTAACTCCTTTCCTCCTTTGCCGACGATGCCAAGGGAAGGACGTCCTATGTACCAACGCCAGATGTCTGAGCCAAACATCCCCTTCCCACCACAAGGCTTTAAGCAGGAGTACCACGACCCAGTGTATGAACACAACACCATGGTTGGCAGTGCGGCCAGCCAAAGCTTTCCCCCTCCTCTGATGATTAAACAGGAACCCAGAGATTTTGCATATGACTCAGGTAGGCCTGCGCTCTGCGCAAATTACATTCAAGGCACTTTTTCACCTCCCTTGTCACATTGGTTAGTGTTGGTATCAGACTAGGTAGCTCCTGACCATTTTTTAATAAGATCTTTCAGATTTTGTCCGTTCATTGAAACTTCATCTACGTGTAAAGATTTGAACTATCAGGTCATTTTGACATGAGGTGATGGTTGAAATAGTGTCTGGAAACAAAACCAGTTTAAAGAAAAATACACTTTACAGAATTATGCACAGTCTCAGCTCGAGAGGGACATTGCAATTTTTTTTCTTAATTCTGTACTTTTTTTTCTTCTTATTTTGCTACTACAGTGCTACTTAATAAAAATGTTTACAGAAAGTAATATTCTTCTGAACTAGGTCACATGTTGCTTATAACATTTAAGAAAAAATTACTGGGGTCCCGGTGCAGTGGATCACGCCTGTAATCCCAGCACTTTGGGAGGCTGAGACCGAGATCGAGGCCACCCTGGCTAACACGGTGAAACCCCATCTCTACTAAAAGTACAAAAAATTAGCCAGGCATGGTGGCACGTGCCTGTAGTCCCAGCTACTCGGGAGGCTGAGGCAAGAGAATCGCTTGAACCCGGGAGGCAGAGGTTGCAGTGAGCCGAGATCGCACCACTGCACTCCAGCCTGGGTGACAGAGAGAGACTCCGTCTCAAAAATCTCAAAAAAAAAAAAATATATATTGGTGGCAAAGATTCTAAGTGTTCGTAAGTAAGAATTCTTACATATTAAGAGGGGAATAACAGATTATTCGTAGAGTTTAGCTTTGTCTCTGTGAGCTAGAAAGTAGTACAAAGCAGCGGGTCAAGTGGGGGAGTGGGGTTTCCTGAAAGGAGGGAGGGTTTAAAATCTTTTCCAGTCTGGTGGCTCACGCCTGTAATCCCAGCACTTTGGGAGGCCGAGGTGGGCGGATTACGAGGTCAGGAGATTGAGACCATCCTGGCTAACACGGTGAAACCCTGTCTGTACTAAAAACACAAAAAATTAACCGGGCATGCTGGCACGTGCCTGTAGTCCCAGCTACTTGGTAGGCTGAGGCAGGAAAGTTGCTTGAACCCAGGAGGTGGAGGTTGCAGTGAGCCAAGATTGCGCCACTGCACTCTAGCCTGGGTGACAGAGTAAGACTCCGTCTCAAAAAAAAAATTTTTTTTCCAAATAGTACCACCAACTTTGCCAATATTTGAACCTTGAGACTTTAAAAGAATTACTTAACCCTGCTGAGTTTTTCCTTCTATAATCTGCCAAATCAGGACATCTGTTTTTAACACATCTCAGGTATTTTGAAAGATAATCTATGAAATAAAAGCTAATGTTTATAAGGTTACCATGTACCTGTAAAATATTGTTAACATTATTGTATCTGTGGTCAATAGATGGTTGTGGATGTGGAAATATTTGAGAACAGTTTCATTTCCTTTTGTCTGGATATAAAGTTTGGGCATTCTTTATGAAGGGAGTATTGCGTCCTCTGCTGAGTTTTTCTATCATCAGTCTACTTGAGTAAAGAAAACTACCTCCAGGTCTTGAGTTACCAGTTTGCGTATAAGATTACCTGGTTGATAATGAACTGCCCTTAAGGCTCTGCAAAAGAGAGCCCTGTGACTTAGAAGTCTCCCTCTGGTCATCCTTCTACACTGGCCAATAGGTTCAAAGGACGAAGGGAATTGGCCCCGTTGAGGCATGCCTCAACTTCTAGAAAGCATGCAAGCTCCCCAAAACCTATGAATTCTCTGCCCAAGTGGCCTTGAGTCTACTTCCAGGGCCTGAGTAAGTGCATCCCAGGCCCTGTTTTCTGAAACCAGAGCACATTGCTCCTATATATAGTGCTAGGTTCAAGGGTGGCTAAAGGGCAGTTGTTCGTGAAGGCATGAGGATGGATCTTGATGTGTGAAACTCTCACAGTGTGGCCCAATATTGAGCTCAAGGATAGGAAGAGAGACAAAAAGTGGGGTGTGTCAGGATCTGAAGACTGGGTACTAGCTCTCTCCATACCACATACTCTTCCAGGCTCATTTTAGAGATTTCCTCAGCTACTAAACTTGACATGGCTGAGAGGTTGTTATGGTATACAGTTGCAAAGATGAGAAGACACCTTATTTATCAGTTTGCTTGGCCGATTTATAATTTAAGAAATTTTAACAGATTGTATAAGAGTCTTTATTTGAATTTTTGCCCCAGGGACTGTAATTTGGGGAGTATCTTGAAATTCCCATTGTGGTTTCAGTTTAGAACCTTTTGTATCGTCCACTGGTGTCTCTAATTAAGAACCCTGCAATACAGTGGGCTCTATTATAAATAGTACACATTTATCTCTGTAAATTTCAAATCCTGTTAATTGATATTATCCTTATTCCCCAAACCACATTTTAATTTGTTGTAGTTTTTAAAATTCATTATGATTTCAAGAAACTTTATGTGGAAATCATATAAATTATCTCAAATAATCATTCCAAAGAACATGTATAGCATAGCACTTAAAATATTTCTTTTTGTGCTCTAGAAATGAATTTTTTTTGAGACGGAGTCTCGCTCTGTCGCCCAGGCTTGAGTGCAGTGGTGTATTCTCAGCTCACTGCAACCTCCGACCCCCGGGTCCAAGCAATTCTCCTGCCTCAGCCTCCCGAGTAACTGGGATTACAGGCACCCACCACCACACCCGGCTGATTTTTGTAGTTTTAGTAGAGACGGGGTTTCACCATGGTGGCCAGGCTGGTCTCAAACTCCTGACCTCTGGTGATCGGGCCACCTTGGCCTCCCAAAGTGCTGGGATTACTGGTGTGAGCCACCATGCCCTGCCTAGAAATGTTTTTATATGTATAATACCAAAAAGAGCCACACTGAAACTCTTCTCTTTTTTTTTGAGATGGAGTCTCGCTCTGTTGCCAGGCTGGAGTGCAGTGGCACGATCTCGGCTCACCGCAACCTCCGTCTGCCAGGTTCAAGCGATTCTCCTCCCTCAGCCTCCGGAGTAGCTGGGATTACAGGCATGCGCCACCATGCCCGGCTAATTTTGTATTTTTAGTAGAGACAGGATTTCTCCATGTTGGTCAGGCTGGTCTCAATCTCTTGACCTCGTGATCTGCCTGCCTCGGCCTGCCAAAGTGCTGGGATTACAAGCGTGAGCCACCACGCCCAGCCTGAAACTGTTTTCTTGATTCTGTGATTGCTCCATGTATATCTTCTCCTCATATTTATATTGTATATACAGTTATATGTAGTGTGGTATTGAGAATGTATAACTTTTCTTAAGAAGATGTGAACCTAATGGAAAAGAGATTTTAAAATTCTAATAAGGGCGAAATACAGCATCTTGTGCTGTAAGAATTACATTCATACATAATATGGACTTCAGAGCCAGTCACTATTTGACCCTCAAAAGCACAGATTGAGTCATATATAATCTTCAAAACATAGTCCAGCATCGTTTGTCGAAGGTATGTATGGCATCTCTTTTGTAAGTTAAGTATGCCATGTCTTGCAGATTACTTGTAAAATTCTTACCTAAAAAGCTGTTAATTTTATATTGCATTCTCCCTTTTAAATTATATTTAAAATTACCAAAGTTGTATACCACCTTTGAGTTCTAATTTCAATATTGCCAATAGGATACAGTTGTGTTTTGCTTGAATAGTTAAATGGTAAAATTGTATCTTTCTGACAGGATTTAAAATAAATATAGTAACCCCATAACCAGGGCCTATGAAAACTTAATCTGTGGGTGTCAAAATGTATTTTACTTGCCATGAAATTGCTGCAGTTAAGTTGACACATATGTATATGTCATACATGGCAATCAACAAATATGATTCGTAGATATTTTGTTTGGTTGTCATTAATTTTTTCATCCTTGCTGAAAGTACACTTAATAACCTTTGAGGAAATCTAATGCATTTATCACTGAATCAGTGATTTCTTTTTTCACCTATTGGTGTTGAACAAATAGCACATTAGGAAGCACATAGATTTATATGTGGTTTAAAAACAATGTAAAAAGCATTTTGTTTATTTGTATTTGTATTTTGAGATGTAGTTTCATCCTGTCGCCCAGGCTGGAGTGCAGTGGTGTGATTTCGGCTCACTGCAACCTCCAGCTCCCAGGTTCAAGCAGTTCTCCTGCCTCAGCCTCCCGAGTAGTTGGGACTACAGGCGTGTGCCACCATGTCCAGCTGATTTTTCTATATTTTTAATTAGAGACAGGGGTTCATCATGTTGGCTAGGCTGGTCTCAAACGCCTGACCTCAAGTGATCCGCCAGCCTCAGCCTCCCAAAGTGCTGGGATTACAGGCATGAGCCACTGCACCCTGCCGTAAAAAGCATTTTCTAAGTCAGTTAACTCAGCATCTATGATCCAAAGGCTATTCTTACGGAAGACCTTTAGAACTCTTTATTGCTTAATTCTATACACCATAAATGTTGTGAAAATAAAAGAAGCCTCGTAAGGGAAAAGGTAGCTTATGATTGTGCTCTAATAAAGCCTGACATTAATTATGACATGGGAAATGGAAGGTCTATTAGTTATAATTATAATTACAGGAATGCAATTTCAACTGCCTAATATTTAAGATAAAAAATGCAAAATAGTATGTTAGTAGAGTATAAATTTTTATTCAGGAGAAAAGAAAAAGACTTCAATCAGAAGACAGTGAGGAAACAAGAAATAGATATTTAGGGCTAGCTTAATGAACCAGTACAGTATGATCATGATTGTATCATGATACTAGGTTCTAAAAGATCCAATCCAATCCATCTATTATTGTCCCTTTCCTTCTCTTCTCTAGCCTATTATGCTGCATAAAGCAGTACACATTTTTTGTTGTTGTTGGTTGGTTGTTTTTGTCTAAATCCAACATGATATTTTTTTTCATGCCCTTATGGTCAAATGCCCACATAAGAAGTGTTAAATACACATTGAGTGCTTCATCTGGAGTGCGTCATGGAGATTCCCGTAGAAAGTATCCTATTTTCTTAGAGTCAAGACTGTTTTCTCATTTTCATGACCACATATGAGGTTTTGCAAATTCAGAATGTCCAGTGACGCAAATATTTTAGATGTTTATAGCAATATATTTTATTAGAGCTGAAAGTGTTAGGTGGTTGGTTGATATTTTGCTTTTTTTGTTTCATTTTATTTTACTTTTTGATATCTTACAGTAGATTTTTTTAGGGAGTAGTGAGCACATGAAACTAAACTTTGACTTTAGAGAATATCAGCACACAATGTTCACATGGTAATTTCACTCTCAGGAATTTATTCTAAGAAATAGTGAAAGATGCATAGTGAATGTTTGAGAGAGACAGAAAGCAAAATATTAAAAATATATAATAGGTGAACGGTAAAGTAAGTTATGGGTACTTGTAAAAGAAATATTATGCAGCCATTAGAAGTCAGATTTTTGAAAAATATTTAATGAAATGAGACTACTGAGTTTTTAAAAGTATGCAAGGCATAACTCATGCAAATTAAGAGCCAGTACAGAAATACCTTGGCTATATATAGGTGGTGATATTATAGGTGATATTTTGTATCTGTGAAGTATTAATATTTTATATTTTAACAATGCTTATGTGCTGCTTTCCTAATCAAACAGAATGAGTATTTAAAAAAAAAAATCAGTCGGGCCAGGCGCGGTGGCTCATGCCTGTAATCCCAGCACTTTGGGAGGGCGAGGTGGGCGGATCACGAGGTCAGGAGATCAAGACCACGGTGAAACCCCGTCTCTACTAAAAAAAATACAAAAAATTAGCCGGGCGCAGTGGCGGGTCCCTGTAGTCCCAGCTACTCTGGAGGCTGAGGCAGGAGAATGGTGTGAACCAGGGAGGTGTAGCTTGCAGTGAGCTGAGATCGCGCCACCGCACTCCAGCCTGGGCAGCAGAGCGAGACTCTGTCTCAAAAAAAAAAAAAAAATCAATTAATGTATAGTTGAAGAAGAGAAGTGTCCAAACTCATCACGTCAGTCCTATAAGTGAAAACAAGTAAATGATGTTATAGTCTCACACGTTGTAAGCGTAAATGACTTTCTATTGGTTTGTGTCTAGTACTGCCTTAGAGGAGGGAGGGAAAATGATGCCTTACTTAGTGGGATTCATGTTCACCTTGCACAGTGCTTGCAATGCTACCATTAGGGTTTTATTCCTTTGCACATTGCAGTGTATTAAAAATCTTAACTCAGTAGTTGGTTGGAGGAGTAATGTACATTAATAAGGTGTTTTTAGCCCTGAAGACCTATTCTGTTATCCTAATAGGTTTAAACAATGCTTCTCGGCCATGTGGTGGAGCAACTTAATCAGAGTAGGGAATGAAGAGAGGGAAAGAAGAACTTTCAAAGGCAAGAGGAAGATAGCTAAAATAAGAAAATAAAGGACAATGCTGCATACTTTGAGCTTAGAGAGAGCAGGAAATAAAAGCAGAGGGTAGAGGTGAGAACTCAACATCATATGTTTGCCGAAGAAACGGTTTTTGCATTTTTAAATTGTGTTTCTTAAGGCCACTCCTGCTGCTACTCATGAGGCCTTTTTTCAATTTGGAGGCACGTAACTCTTTGACAGCAAATGTTGTTCGTGCTATTTTAAACTGGGAAGTTGACACAAATAAATGTTTCATAGAATTCTAAATCCTGTTATCATGAAAGCTCTTGAAGTTCACCTACTTCAAACTTCTCCACACCCAAATTTTACAGATAAATATCTGAGGTTCATCCAAATGAAGTAATTTACCATCAGTTACAGATATATTGTGAAGCAGCCAAAACTAAAATTAGGATTTTCTAATTCTTAGTTTAGTGAAGAGTTCATGATTTGTCTTTCTACATAATTGTTCAGATTAAAGGGAAATACTGAGTGTTTTTGTATGGTTTTCGAAGGATCTTCATGATCCAGGGCATCTGCTTGAAGATACGAGGTGTGCTTTCACTAATTTGGGAGGAGCACATTTCACATTAAATAGTGCCCACATTTTACTCTAAATGTTAGGTGTTCACCGCAGTGAGGTAGCAAAATAGAGCAATTCAACGATATAAATTATGAAGATGCATTCTGCTTTCTTTTAAAAAATATACCACGAGCATTCTTAAGAACTGAGATTATCAAAGAAGTGATCTTTTATAATAGCTCTTTTGAAAAAGACTGAAAAATAATGAGAAGAAAAAGTGGCTAATTAATGGCCCTTCCAAGCTCTAAGTCCTTGATTGCATGAACATAGAGTTTGAGTCTTCTCATTGGACCTCGCTCTTTCTTTCTTAATGCCCTTGATGGCTCAGTGGCTTACACTTCACCTTCAGCTGTGCTTTTCAGACCATTGTCAGCTGAATCCATTTTTCACAAGTAAGCTTATGAGGGACTACAGGATCTCAAATCGATGTAAAGAAAGCTGTTGTTGAGGAATAGGGTGCTTTTTCCATTCTTCATTTTATTTTATTTTATTTTTTTAATTTTTTTTTTGAGACAGAGTTTCACTCTTGTTGCCCCGGCTGGAGTACAATGGCACGATCTCAGCTCACCACAACCTCCGCCTCCCTGATTCAAATGATTCTCCTGCCTCAGCCTCCTGAGTAGCTGGGATCACAGGCGTGCGCCACCACCATGCCCGGCTAATTTTGTATTTTTAGTAGAGACGGAGTTTCTCCGTGTTGGTCATGCTGGTCTCAAACTTCCGACCTTAGGTGATCCGCCCGCCTCAGCCTCCCAGAATGCTGGGATAACAGGTGTGAGCCACTGTGGCTGGCCCATTCTTCATTTAAAATCCATCCATTATTCACCCCAACAACCCCTCCCAGGCTCCTCATATACTTCCTTATTACCCTATTAGGGCTTTGATAAAAGCCAGTAGAAAAGCCTGTAAATTTAGAGAACGGTTATCTGTCCTTAGCACATCGAAAAATTATGTGTAGGCAGAAAAATGATGAAATAAATACTGAAAAAATATTTACCTTATGTTAAATACGTTAAAACTGGAATATGTTTAACTTTCATCTGTCAGAGCTGACAAATCTATCTGCTATTCACATAGGCCCAAGCTGGCACTTTAATCAAGAAATTTAAATACTCTTGGGTTTCTGAAATGGCAAGAGAGGAATGTTTTTATATTGTAAATGTTATTCTATGTTTTGCTGTGTTGGTGGATACTCATCCTAATCAAATAGTAGGAAAAGTAGTGAAGTAATTCCTAATGCTGCCTGTAGTAGTAAGCATTGCTTGGGCTTCCCCTTGCAGAGTTTATAATATGGTTTGAAAGTGAAACTTGTAGGATTAAATAATTGGGTAATGGAGCAAGAACAACATGGTTATTTTCTGCATCCATATAAAAATATAAATGTGTAGTGTTTTATAGGTTTGGAGATGACATGTCAGAGCCTCAATCAACTGACTAAACTTGCACAAAACTTAAGAAAAAAATAACAACATTCAGAGGGCTAAAATATCCCAGTCATTTATTTCTAAACTATTACTATTGCATTTATTACTACTACTCATCTAGCAATATCTCAGAAATTGTGTCATCAGGATATTTTACCTTAAAAAACAATTTATTGCTATTTACTTACAAGATGAGATACGTGTTCTAGGGAAACTAACCTCATACATATTTTCCAATACACTTTTCTTTCATCCTTTCTGAACAATTGGGGCACACATAAGCAACCAAAAATATTATCCAGGAAACAGAAAGTATGCAGTGATTACAAAAAGGAAAGCTGTTGAAAGACACTAATTAAAGTCAGATGGAACACAGGGAGTAGAAATAAAGGTAACTGATATTTATTTTGAATATTCAAGGCTTACCATAAACTAGCAGGCTTCATTATTTCCAAAATGGAAAGCCCATGATCAATAATTTCTCCCTCTTGAACATTCTATGTGTGTGTGTCTTGTTTTGTTTTGGCTGATGTGTTTTAAAGAGATAGGGTCTCGCTGTCTTGCCCAGGTAAGTTGCTAACTCTTGGCCTCAAGCAATTCTCCCTCCTCAGCCTCACTGTAGTTGGGATTACAGGTGCATGCCACCACTGTCTGAACATTCCAATGTCACTTACTATTCAGTGTTTTCACATTGAAGACATTATTTTATCTTAGTTATTTTTTAAAAATTGTATTATTGCTGGGATTCTAATTAGGCAGCTAAGGAGGAAAGGAAGTAGAATAGTATTTTTCTATTCATATTCCCTTTGAAAGTATGGAAGTGTCACCAAGTTGTTACGAATGTATGCCTTCTTCTCTTCTCAGCAACCACAACAGTCTATCTCAAGGCCCGCCTCCCTCTTATATAGTTATAGAAGGCCTAGAATTATAAAAACCACAATATCTAAAACTCTGAACACCTAAACAAATTATTTCAATATAGATAATGCATATACTTCTCAAATCAATCTATTATGAATTTTATATCCAGCCCCTAATAATTATAAATTTATAATTCATGTATTACATTGATCAGACTTTAAATATATTGAATAATGGAAGTTAGACAACATATTACAATTATTTTAAATATGAAATATTACATTTGAAGATATTCATTTTCAGTTTGTCATTTTTATTTACATATTTTTGAACCACCTTAAAAAGTAATTCCTTAGAAAATATTGAATATTTTTAAAGCCCTGGAAAAAAAGTTAGCAATAAATTAATAATTCGGTATACGTTCACTCTTTGGTGATTTTCCTCTGTCCCATATTTTTTCTGAATGGTGGGTTCATCTCCCACCTGCCTATGTTAAGTATTTTAGTTTTGAGCTCTAACATACTGCCATAAATTTATTTATTCTGTATGACTGTATTAATCAGATATTAGAAATTGGAGGTTGAATATTTGTCATAATGCCATAATAAATAATCCTTCCCAGGTTTAAAACCAAAGACTGGGCAGTTTTTCTGTTTATCCTCTTCCTTTTCTGTAGGCATGGCAAGGATCTGTTGATCAGTGGTTTAGAGATATACACAGGGACTGTTTACTGCAACTTTTTTCTCACATGGCTTCAGGTCACTGAAAGAAAAAAGTGTTTTTTTCCCCTTCGGAGTCAAGGAACAAAGTACAAATGGCTGATAAAACCCATTCCATATTCAATACTATTCAGGATAGGATTGACTCTTCAAAAAATATTTCCATAATTGCTTATATATTGCTTCCTCTCCATAAAAACTCTGGATATTTTTAAATATTGCCATCTTTAGTAATTTCCAGGGCAGCAATGATTATGATTCCATGAACTTTGGCCTTTTGTGCTTGATATGTAACACTTCCAAAGGCTAAACCGTGGCCTTATTCCATTACAAAACATCACTTGCTTATGGCTACATTTTCTCCTGAAACATGGCAGCTCATTTTTTCCCTCCTAACTCTAAAACTATTGCTTAAAGAAATTCAAGTGTAGGATCACTTGGGAACTTTAAAGAATGAGCTATTGAACTTTCAGAAAATGTTAACATCTTATCTCTTTCTCAATATCCAAAGATAATTTTCTTTTACACATCCAGTGATTTGTGGACTAGTAGATCACTTAATCTCTGATTTTTAGGTGCTTCAATTGTGAAAAGTGACAGTGATGTCTTCCTAATTGATTTTGTTATTGCAATAGAGGTCATAGATTGGCCTCACAATTTGACTTTGCCTTTTATTGCTTAGCATGTCTCATATGAGTTTTCCTCATTTCTTTTGGAGTTAAAATTGCAAATCTCCCAAATCAGTACTCTGGCCCACTATATCAGTTTTTCTAAGAAATACTTAAATATGCTCTAAATCTACAGTTACAGTAAGTGGCATTGGCTCTAGTGATTTGATTTGAGAGTTGAGACTACAGTCTGGATTTACTCTTTATGCATTAACACAGGCCAAATGGACAGGGACTGCATTTTAAGGCAGTAATGGAAGGCTGAAGGCTGTCTTAAACCAATCATACCAGTTTTACCCATGACTGATTGATCCCTAGGGGCAGAGCCCTGTAAGCATTTCTCTTACATGAATGGACGCTATAGAGCCTGGAGTTTCATTCATAAAATGGAGACTGAAAGGAAACACACACACACACACACACACACACACTCACTCACTCTCTCTGGAATGTCCATTTATACAGAGCTGAAGGGTGTAGTGTTCCATCAGCTGCTGCTTATGCCAGTTGACTGGAAGTAATGATTAATGCTCATTGGTCCTGCTTGCAAGTAACCTGACACTATTTATGGCCTTGCAGTGTTCCTAATGTATAGTGAATGAGAAGACAACATTCTCAAATCAGAAACATAAACAGGAACTGGTGGGTCTGAATTCCATTCAAATATGTCATTTCAGCCCCACAGTGTTTGTCTAACTTGGATTTTACAGGCAGGAAAGGGGGAAGGGATGGATAATCTGCTTGTGAGTTGTACTAGCTTGGAAAAAGGCAATTAGAAGGGGGTGGAGTGTGCTTTTATAGGGTGGGACTTTTAGTTTCTTTTTTAATAAAACAACCAGGATATTTAGGCCCAGAACTGCTTATTTCAAGTGGGTAAAGTGAACATACAACTGTTTTTATAAGTGGAACTGAGATTTGAAATTAAATGAGACAGTTTAAAGATACATGTTTGGATCTCTCTTCTCTCTCTCTCTCTCTCTCTGTGTGTGTGTCTTTGTGTGTTTTTGTCTGTTTCATGAATATGAACAAAAGAAGGGAACATATAACATTTTTTAAAGTGTTTACATAACTAAGTATCTGTTTTTAGGTTTCGAATATAGTTTTAGAATTTTTACACTTAAATGATTTCTATACTTAAATGAGTTAACTAATAGGTTTGAGGAAAAGAGACATTTTATTTCATAAAACATTTTCAACTAGGATATGAACAACTTGAAAAAATTTTCAAGGAATTTTTATCAGATTAAATAGATGGTTATTGTTCTTATTTTGTGTGTGTGTGTGTGTGTGTGTGTGTGTGTGTGTGTATGGTTTCTATTTAGTTGTTTCTAACAATCTGGAAAATTTTACAGGAGAGTAATTCAAAGATAAATATGAAAAGTATCAAAAAAAAAAAACCAAAAGAACAACAAGCATGTGTTATTGTGATTCATTTAACTATTCTCTTTAAAAGTATTTTTCAACTCTCTGTTCTGGTAATTTTTTTTTTTAGTATGTGGGTCTGTACATTTCACTGCTCCATCTGTTTTTCTTAGTATTAAAAAATAAAACCACTCACTTAACATGACACTGGAAATATTATAGTAAATCCTGGGCCTGACATCCATTTACGATTTGTGTCATATTGAGCATGTTTTGTAACCCCTTATGCCTCCAGTTTCTTCATTTATAAAAGGGCAAATAACTCTCATCTTTTAGTGTTTTTGTAACGGGTAAATATGGTTATGTTTATAAAGTCACTGATACCGTTTCTAGCACATAATAGGGGTGCAGGCAATAATAAAGGATTCCCATTGACATGATTTTATTTTGACTAGATACTTCTTCAAAGACTGCTAGTCCTTTATTAAGATGCCATTATTATTTCTAATAATTTAAAGTACAGTATTTGGGGCTAGAGGATAAGATAAAATAAGAGAGACAATACTCTTAAAACAATCATATTGTGCTAGTCCAGCAAGAGAAACAGTCTTGCTGAACTTCTTTTTTTTTTTTTTTATTATACTTTAAGTTTTAGGGTACATGTGCACATTGTGCAGGTTAGTTACATATGTATACATGTGCCATGCTGGTGCGCTGCACCCACTAACTCGTCATCTAGCATTAGGTATATCTCCCAATGCTATCCCTCCCCCGTCCCCCCACCCCACCACAGTCCCCAGAGTGTGATATTCCTCTTCCTGCGTCCATGTGATCTCATTGTTCAGTTCCCACCTATGAGTGAGAATATGCGGTGTTTGGTTTTTTGTTCTTGTTTACTGAGAATGATGATTTCCAATTTCATCCATGTCCCTACAAAGGACATGAACTCATCATTTTTTATGGCTGCATAGTATTCCATGATGTATATGTGCCACATTTTCTTAATCCAGTCTATCATTGTTGGACATTTGGGTTGGTTCCAAGTCTTTGCTATTGTGAATAATGCCGCAATAAACATACTTGTGCATGTGTCTTTATAGCAGCATGATTTATAGGAAACAACAGGTGCTGGAGAGGATGTGGAGAAATAGGAACACTTTTACACTGTTGGTGGGACTGTAAACTAGTTCAACCATTGTGGAAGTCAGTGTGGCAATTCCTCAGGGATCTAGAACTAGAAATACCATTTGACCCAGCCATCCCATTACTGGGTATATACCCAAATGAACTTCTTACTAGTATTATTCATATGCAAAGCAAATAGAAAAAGTTATCTGAATATTGTGGTGATCCAAGGAGAGATGAAAACAAGAGGACAAAGCTGTTCATGGTATGTTTTTTTTCAAATCATGTAGTTTCCAGCAAGAGAGAAATTTAAAATTGAAATTCCACATTAAAACCACTATCTCTTCAGAATTTTGTGTGGCCCATTTTGGCAGCTAATGGCATCCTGTATCATACTTTCTTTTTCTTTTTCTTTTTTTTCTGAGACAGAGTCTCACTCAGCCTCCCAGGCTGGAGTGCAGTGGCATGATCTCGGCTCACTGCAAGCTCCGCCTCCCGGGTTCACGCCATTTTCCTGCCTCAGCCTCCCGAGTAGCTGGGACTACTGGTGCCCGCCACCACGCCCGGCTAATTTTTTGTGTTTTCAGTAGAGACGGGGTTTCACCGTGTTAGCCAGGATGGTCTCGATCTCCTGACCTCATGATCCACCCACCTTGGCCTCCCAAAGTTCTGGGATTACAGGCGTGAGCCACCGCGCCCGGCCTCATATTTTCTTTTAAACCTCTGTTAATTGTCAGAGTATGGTAGTATGAAATAAATACTCAAAGTTGGTCAGGCGCGGTGGCTCACCCCTGTAACCCCAGTACTTTGGGAGGCCAAGACGGCAGATCACCTGAGGTCAGGAGTTCAAAACCAGCCTGACTTAAGATAGTGAAACCCTGTCTCTACTAAAAGTACAAAATTAGCAGGGCATGGTGGTGCATGCCTGTAATCCCAGCTACTAGGGAGGCTGAGGCGGGAGAATCACTTGAACCCGGGAGGCAGAGGTTGCAGTGAGCTGAGATCGCACCGTTACACTCCAGCCTGGGCAACAAGAGCGAAACTCCGTCTCAAAATAAATAAATAAATAAATAAATAAATAAATAAATAAATAAATACTCAAAGTTACAGTTGTGTCTATGTTTTCTATCACTTCAACTTTATTTTAAAATTTCAGCTTAGTAAGACTATCACAGGCTTGTAAAACTTGTAATAGTGCGAGCCTAGTAGATCATATAATCTAATGTTGTTTGGATCTGGTCATTATTTGTGTGGGGTATTGTCCAAAAGAAAACCCCAGGTGCTTACAAGAGAAGTTTATAATTGTGTAGATAAAATTCTATACTGTTATTTTTCGCCATGTAGCCTTAAACTTTCAAAAGCACGTAAATTCAGATAACTGCGATAACTGCATTATTTACTTATTCTACTTTTACTTTTTCTTTCTTTACTTTACTTTTACTTTTTTTTTTTTTTGGACAAGGTCTGGCTCTGTTGCCTAGGTTGGAGTGCAGTAGTATGATCTGGGCTCACTGCAACCTCTGCCTCCTGCGCTCAAACCATCCTCCCATCTTAGCCTCTTGAGTAGCTGGCACTACAGGTGTGTGCCACCACATCCAGCTAACTTTTCAAGTATTTTTGGTAGAGATGGGGTTTCACCATATTGCCCAGGCTGGTCTTGAACTCCTGGGCTCAATCAATCCTCCCACCTCGGCCTCCCAAAGTGCCAAGATTACATGCATGAGCTACTGTGCACAGCCTACTCTTTTTTTGAGATGGAGTCTCACTCTGTCACAGCTGGAGTGCAGTGGCGCGATCTCGGCTTACTGAAACCTCCGGCTCCTGGGTTCAAGCGATTCTCCTGCCTCAGCCTCCCGAGTAGCTGGGATGACAGGCACGCGCCACCATGCCCAGCTAAATTTTGTATTTTTAGTAGAGACAGGTTTTCACCATGTTGGCTAGGGTGGTCTCGAACCCCTGACCTCAGGCGATCCGCCCACCTTGGCCTCCCAAAGTGCTAGGATTACAGACGTGAGCCACCACGTCTGACCTCTACTTTTCTCTCTTTTTTTTAAGATTTTGCAAATGCTATTACAAGCATATTAAAACCATCTAAAAATTAACATATTTCTCCCCCATACTCAATCAATAGTAGATTCAGTACATCCGAGCTATTGTGAAGTAAGTATCTCTGCAGATTTTACATTATTTATATTCACAGTTTACTTAAAACCCTAAAGAGAAAGATCCCATCTAAGTGTGAGTGAGGTAATACTAAATTCATCACTCCCTTGTCAGGATTTCTCCAGCTTTGCTGCCTTCTTCACATGAGGTTCAGTAACTAAGATGTTACATTCATGTGAAGTTCAGTAACTAAGATGTTACATTCGCATCCAGTTCAGTAACTAAGATGTTACATTCACATCCAGTTCAGTAACTAAGATGTTACATTCACATCAAGTTTAGTAACTAAGATGTTATATTCACATTGAGCTTCCTAATGAACAGCAAATAGGTCTTATAAAACTTGACTTTTTTGCTATCATTCTCACATGAATTCAGATATATATGTCCTTATTTTGGAAGATAATTACTTTTAGACTTGTTCTGCAATAGAGTGGTCATATGGTAAAAGTAAAAAAAAAAAAATTATTTCCATTATCATTCATTCTAGGAAACTTTATGAAATAAGTTTTCTCAATTGAGTGCACTCAATTTGACATGTGACAATTGGAAAAGCAGGCTAAAAGTATGGCATATACGTGATGGCTTTGCATTTAAACACATCTGCATAAAACTCAGGTAATCTATGCATCCTTGTAAACCTTTGGATTTTAAACATAAACTATGAGCTTACCAGCAAATGAGAAGAAGTAAGCAAACAAAAAATCTAGTGAAGTACTAAGTTTAAAAGAGATAAAATGTTGGCAAGATCTGTCACTATGCTCATCTTTCTTGAATGAGATTGGTGATATTAATTCTTAATACAACTCAGTATTTTTTACATAATAGACAAATGTTTTTGAAAAACTAGTTGAAACTCCTAGGTATGCATTGATACACACATTTTTTACTGAGTATATGATAATTTCAGATATGTGTTTACATACACATTTTGGCTCTGGATATTTTATGCACCAAGTTTTAGAAATCATCAATATACAATAGACAAGTTTATGTGCACTTGATTTTGTCATATCAACTCCACAAGGAGTTAGTCAAGTGTATAATCAATCCAGCTTTGCACTATATACTTATAGGAAAGCAAAACCACATTAAAATACAACATCAAACATATTTATATTTTACTGAGATTTCTCATTTCCTCTAAGAGATTCAAATGCTTAATTAAGTTATACAGTCGTTATTGGTAGAAGAATTTAACCAAAAGCATCAAATGGAAAAGACTTGTTTTTCTCCCTTATTTAGAGGTTATAATATGTTATAATTCCAGATTTACACACTATTTGATAGCAGAGCAATTTCAGCCAGCTCTGTACAGATATTTCAGGCAACTGTGGCAAATCTTTTCTCTTTGCCGTGGCCTGATGTAGATCCTTGAAATTTTAAGCAAACTCTGCCCTAAAGGAGAGCCTCCATTCTGCTATAGAGGCAGCAAATATGCAAATCAGAGAGTGCCTAGCAATTTTAAATGTGCAAATTCAATACTGCACTTTGTGGTCAAACCTTTGGTAAAGCTTCCCAAATCAATATTATGTTTCCCAGCATAGCTTGAAAATGCAAATCAAGAGACAGAGAAGAAGGTAACTTTTTTTTTTTTTTTTTTTAGTTTCTTGTCTGCGTATTTTAATTTGAAGAGAACTTTACTGATGTTACTAAACGTGAAAACTAATCAAATTAGATAGTTTGGGGTGTTAGTTTATTATTCTTCTTAACTTCCGCTACATTGATTAGTGCATTAAAATGACAACAGGGCTTTGTTGCTTTGAATTTTTACAGCATATTAGATCAGCTTTCATCACCATGAACTCATCTGTAACAAATTATAGGCAGTTTAATTTCTGTAAGCTGATTTGGCCAGTACTAATATGTCATAGAGCATTTTGATCCACAAGTTTTGAAACAAATAAAATTCTTTGTCCTAAATTAAATTTACATAATTTAATTTTTAGATTTAATTTAAAACTTTTAAAACCAGAGCGCTTTAGGAGCTAACATGAGGGGGTAATACTGTAAAAAGAAGCTCAAAAGAGGTACCCCCGGCCGGGCGCGGTGACTCATGCCTGTAATCCCAGCACTTTGGGAGGCCGAGGCGGGTGGATTACTTGAGGTCAGGAGTTCGAGACCAGCCTGGTCAACATGGTGAAACCCCGTCTCTACTAAAAATACAAAAAATTAGCCAGGCATGCTGGCGGGAGCCTGTAGTCCCAGCTACTCAGGAGGCTGAGGCAGGAGAATGGCCTGAGCCGGGAGGCGGAGCTTGCAGTGAGCTGAGATCACGGCACTGCACTCCAGCCTGGGCGACAGAGCGAGACTCTGTCTCAAAAAAAAAAAAAAAAAAAAAAAAGAGGTACCCCCAAATAGTTAAAGCATCTACTGGAGAGTCTGGCTTAAACCTTATAAGTTTATAATGAATTTTATTGTATTTTAGATATCATAGATTAATAGATAGATTTGTGAAAAATATTCCAAAATAGATACACTAATAATCAACAAATCAGTCATCTCATATAATTTAAGAACAGCAGAGTAAGATAACAAATGTAACTTATTTAGATATATAATTATTTTTAGTTTTAAGTACTGTGGTTAAAGTACTCAGTTTAAATACTTGTGAGGATCACTTAAAAATAGTGTTATTAATAATAAGTCCCATATGGTGAATTCTTACAGTGTGCAGATACTGTGCGAAATGTTGCACATAACTTACTCCACGTGGTCCTCCCAACAACCCTTTTAAGGATGTCATTATTATTATTATTCCCACTTTACAGATGAGGAAGTTGGGAGTTAGAGATGTTAAATAACAACAAAATGTCATACTCCCATGCAATGTCAGAACTGAGATTCAAAATCAGTTCTATCAGATGACAAGGTGCCTGTTTATAACCATTGTGCTGTACTTGTACTAATGATCCTTAAACTATAATCTGTGGATGCATAATAGGACAGTGTGAATATGCTGTCATCTTAATATTTTTGCATGAGTTAAACTACAGCTTGTTACGGTTGTTGAACTTTGTACATTTTATTCGTGAAGAAACAGAACTGAATGCATATGCAATGCCTCCTTCCTCTGCCACAAAACATTTGCCTTTGAAGTCGCCGCTTAGCTAGTTTGGATCATAGTCAAGCATTTAACAAAAGTTAAAATGTAATGCCAAACTTCATTGGTTGGATTTTTTATTAGATAAGGTAGAAATGAAAGCAGCAGGCAATTTAATTAGCAGTAATTTTTCTGGGCAAGTCATTACTTTGATGAACTTCAGAGCAATGTTTATGGCTCCTAATTAACCATGTTAGTCATTTGATTGAATAATCACTTTGGAAATGTTTCTACAATTTGATTAGAGTCTGACCCACTCTGATAGTCATAAATTAACTGATATCACTTAAGGATAACATGACTTTACTTACTTTATGGGGATAATCTCCCCTTAGCCATATTTTTTCAGGCTTCTCTGGACTGTATAAAGGACACCAATTTTAAGTATAGACCAGATTTAAACAATGCTAGCCAAGTGTATCCATTTTAAGAGCTAGATGTTAATTTTATTTACACTAGAGTATAAATAGTAACAGCAATTGGCAAAAACACAGTCGTATTCCATATATTTCTAAATTGCCATCCATTGCTTTTTTGAGTTCACAAGTTGGGCCTTTGGAAGTGTAATGGAGATTCTGGCATTAACCTTATTATATGTTATTAATTTATTATGAATTTTAAATCAGTATATCTTAAATATCATAGATTAGAATTTATTAAGAATGTTATAAAGTAAATATAGCAATAAACAAATCAGCCATTTGAATAGAGATGGTATTAGTGAAATTATCCATCAGATCTCAAATTTGATGTCAAATATCTAGTTTTCCAGGGTTATGCTAATTTTGTCATATGTTAAAACACTTTTATAAGGTGTTCTTTGACATTAAATAGTGAATTTCTCAGAAATGTTTGCACTTCCTTTCTCCCTCCTTTTCTCCCACTCTGGGAAGGAAAGACTGCATTTAGTCACACTTATATGTAATAGAGTTTAGCCTATCTGTTTTCCTCTGGCTGCCTCCAGAGTCAGCCAGCTGTTTTTATAGCCGCAATCCAGGTGTGCAGCAGTCAATAAAAGTATTTTGTGGCAGGGTGTCAACATTAGTTCAACAAAATGCTTGCCTCAAAGCAGCTGCTGAGCTGATGGCAGAGTTATTAACACTGTCCCTTCCAGTCCCAGCTGCTTTAAGGGACCTTACGTCTGGGAATAAATCAAAATAGCATTAAAAATTAATTTGAAGTACCATTGGTTAAGAAGTTGGGCTAAAATGGATTGCTAACTATTTGGTAACCCAAAAGATTAACTATACTGCAACCCTATTATAAATGCAGATATCAGGAAACAGTGTTAACTCTGTCTTTTATATGGTCAGAATTATATGCTTCATAATACTTCATATGAAGAAGGCATAGTATAATAGCATAATAAAACTTTTGATAATACATTTTACAGTATTTTCAACTTGAAAGCTTCTAAATATTTCCAATGTTGCTATATTCATAGAATGCTATGGGATTATACAAATTTATTTGCTAAATGTCCTGATGCATATTTAAAACTTGTGACCCTGTTTCAAGGACACCATCTCATTCATGTGGGTTGCTGTTTGAGCTGACTTTTAGCAAGGTTTATTTGGGTAAAACTTTGAATTCACCTTCCTATTCAAGAGAATCAGCATTCACCAAGATATATACTCTTCATTCTTTCATTTCATGTGTGGGCCCTGCCTGAAATGTTGATTATATGTTGACATGTTCCCCACATTGGAACCTGTGTCCGTTTCTGTATCTTCTCTGTCTGCACCCTGTCCATTGATAACCGCAGCGTTTCAGCTCCAGACTCTTTTTGACCAATATTGTTTCCTCTTTCAGAAGTGCCTAGCTGCCACTCCATTTATATGAGGCAAGAAGGCTTCCTGGCTCATCCCAGCAGAACAGAAGTTAAGTTGTCCACCACTGAAATTCCGTGTAAATACCGTTCAGAATAATCAGACATCCCAAATATGACGTCATTTAATTAATCATTATATTATTTGGGAAAAATCATTTATGTTCCCTAAGCAATTGTTTTAAGACTATCTCCAAAGTAAAAAGAAGATGTTTCAAGTAGTGGTATCTTGTTGTTAACATGAGTCATATGCGTAGAAACAACTGAAAAGTGGATTTCTGTGTTCTTTTTTGCCAACAACCACATCCTTTTAAAATAGAACATATGCTTTATAGATTAGCCCACTTTACTACTACTGAAATGTATCTTTGAGGAATATTTGGTTTTGCTTTTACAGACCTAGTCATAGTTTTGGAGTAAAATGCCATCGATTTAAAGGTTTTCACCTTTAAATGTTCTGGATTTTATATTTTTGGACAAATAATTTATATGAATGAGATTTCACATAGGAGGCCTAGAGAAAGAGTTTTCTCATAGACAGGCTTGTGGTAACCGTGGTAGGAAAGCTTTGCCTGTAAAGGACTTTGATACCTAAAAAGTAATGGTAAAAATGATTTCGTCTGGATATAATCCTCAATAAAGGATTTCTGAAATATGTGCATGGTTCCTAACCTAAACACTCTACATCTCTTTAATAGGATTGACTTGGATGCATTCTTTTAGGCTAGGTCTAATATTGGTTATTTTGTGTAAATGATATTAGTAGAATTTTAAAGGGTAGTATGAGATGGTAAATGTAAAATATTTGAAATTAAAAGTTTTGCACAAATGCAATGTAATTATTGTTGCTTCTGTTGTTAGTATTATATACCCACCATAAAGACCAATACATTTGAGAAATAAAAGTAAACTCTATGAAATTTATTCCTGGTAATCACAGATAGCAACAACGAAAGTTCACAGTGAAGGATATTTGAGAGAGGACATTATTATGAAAAGCTGTTGATTTATTTTGCATTTTTTTCTGTGGACTTACCTTACAGCAAAAAAAAAAAAAAAAAAAGGGAAACTTTTTTTTTCCTCTTATCTTGCTAATTGAGTACAGGAAGGTTAACCCATCTAAATATTTTTACAAGAAAGTAAGAGGATAAAATAAATCTGTCTCAGAGCATCAGACTAATAATATAATGTGAATACCAGTAATTCACCTTGCTTTCTCACTTTTTCATTGAACAATAAAATTTAGATGAATCTAAAAAAGGAGACGATACGTTATAAATCCTTGCCAATGTTTAGGTGAGCTCTGGCTTGAGTTAACAATGTAAATAACTAACTTTTATATTTCACTGTGTACTAGGCATCACTCTAAACTACAGCAACCCTATAACATGATAAGTGGTGTTACTGTCATCCCATTTAATAGATGAGGAAACTGAGGCACAGAGGTTAAATAATGTGTCCAGGGCTCAAGGAACTGAAAGGTGGTGGCAGAGTCATTTTCTATCACAATTTTTATGTTAAATGGTTATATTTTAAGTGTTTGTGAGCTTCATTTCTATCATGAATAAATGTATTCCTTTTTCATCCACAGGCTGTATGTTTGAAAAGGGCCCCAGGCAGTTTTATGATGACACCTGTGTTGTCCCAGAAAAATTCGATGGTAGGTTTTACACTTTGCCTCAAGTTCTGATTTTTTTAAAGATGGAGTGATTACCTTCGCTTCTTCTGAAAACAGTGGACATCCCTACTTAAAGATTCCTATGCACATAATTCATCATGCACTTAATTTTAGCCAACGTTGACCTATTACAATTTATCTCTTCCTTGCCCCAGTAGGAAACCTTTTCTTTTGTGTTAGGAGGGAGTTCATTTTTGGAGAAATAGACAAAGAGCATCATTCTTGCTGAGCTTTGTGTAGCGTAAGAGGGGGCTTTCCATTGCCCTGCTGAGCACATGCAGCTTGTTATTCGAGATTTATTGAAAGCTGATCCTGTAATTAACAAAGCAGAGCAGAAAACGTGCTGCTGTGGATGGACCGATGACTAACGCGGCCTCTCTTCTTTCATTGTTCATGGAAAGATGCATTATGGAACACAGGAACAACATAACTGCCCATTTAGTTAGTGATTGTTAGTCCCTTTTTTTTTTTTTTTTTAACTGGGGAAGATGTATGTTACTAATGTAGCATGACTTTGTAATTGCTTAAAAGGGAGTTAGGAAAGCATTACCTTTTTAATATCACTTGCTATTGCAATGCAGAGGTCTCAGATGTTAGAAAAGGGTGTCAAGTTAAATTGAATTTTTTTTTTGACAAAGGTGACAAAAGTTGGCATCTTGAGGAAGCTTGGGTAAAAAGTAAACAGTTAATTGATTTAGTGGTTCTTCAGAGTGGTTTTCATATTTCCTGCTTTGATCGTTTGACAGGAAACCAGCAGGGGCCCTGTGATTCACTGATTGCACAAACTTTGGGGGTCATGGCTATAATGACTTGGGTGCTCTCTGAAGTTTTAAATTGTCATTATTTAAACAGCAATGTACATGCTCAGATTGCTTTTCAATTTCTAATTAGTTGCTTGGAGACTACCCCATGTTCCCGAGCTTTGTGCTACCCTTACCCTTCTCAGAAGGGCTGGTAAGTCTAGGGAAGATCTGCTTCTTTATCCTCCTTTAGATTTCTAAATTCATTCAAGGTCAAAAAAAAAATTATAGGAATCACATTTTTGGTTTTATTCTACAACAGATGTTAGCTTTAAGCTTTGCATTTCAGAGGGGTGAGCCGTACTATTTAGCAACATTAGCAGAGCATCAGCATTCTTAAAATATAGCATTTTCTCTTAGACAAAGTATATAAAGCCTCTTACTCTTGGAATGACCTTCATTAGTTTCTTTCGTGTTTGGTGAGCTTCATATTTGCAGAGATCTTGAAAATTAGTAAGGGCATATAAGAAAGAAAAATATCTCAAAATTATGGACAGAATTACAATATAATCTGACAGGCCAAAGTCACACTAATATTTAGGGAACAAGCTGCCTTGATTATTTATTCCCTTCGACTTTTAAATACTCTTCAATTTTACACTAATAAAACATTTTTTGGAAGATAGTATTTGCCTTGTATTTTATAAGTAATGTAGAACAAGAAGAAAGAAAAATGAGGGGGTTATTTTTTCACTGTACATGGTCAGTGTGATCAGTCACATTTATAGGCAGAAGCAATATAGAGACTATAAAATGTAACAGTGTTTCACTCTATCTGCATAATTACTCAGTTACTCCCATAAAAAAAACATTGTAAATCTCAGAAGGAAAAACTGAGATAAATAAAACTGTCATTGAAATCGATATGAAGATACACTTCTATATTATCATGTTAAGACCAAAACAACATAATGATTTTAGCAGCTATTGACTCACACATTTTATATTTTGGTTTAGGTTTTTCAAATGTTGCCCTTTCTGTAATTATTTTAAGAGGTATATGTCTCTCTACTGACCATAGGTAAGTTTTAGAAAGTGTGCAATTTGGTCTATTTTATAATGCACACTTAGTATGACTACATAGGCTTAGATATATTTTGTCTGGATTGTTTCTTTAGCGGAGAAGAGCAATTTATGCACTAACAATGACATACTTGCAGGGCCCTAGACACTCAATCCCCAATGTGAGCAGTTCCACCTATTTTTGAGACATGTGGCTGGAGATGGAAGTAAATAATCAGAAGTCATGAAACTTTGTATTTTTTTTTGTAAAATTAATATAACTGACCAGATTTATACCAGAAGCATTGCAACATGAACACCTTTATTGCTGTGCTCTATTTAACAGATTTTTACACTAGATATGAATATCAAATAAATATAACACAAACTTTTTGTGCTTAAAAATACATACTTACAGAAATCTCTCGTGCATGCATTTTTAAATTGGACTTTTAGAAAAAACAATAGCAAGTTAAATTCAAGTGAGTGAAGTACAAGCAAGAGATAAAGAAAAATGAGAGAGAATTTTTGTTACCAGTTGAAAAAGTAGTAGCTTTAATAGGAAGGTATATGATGCGGTGAAGGAAGGGTAGTACTACGATAATGCAGTATGCCCTGAATTACCCACAAGATTTTCCTTATTTATATAAAGTGAAGATTACTTAACTCAGTTTAGGATACTATTAAATTTGCTTTGAAATATTTGCATTAAAATTTTCAATAGTTTTTCATGAGCAGGTCAATAAGATATTTATAAATTATAGTTTGCAGAATTTAATTTGTATGAATCAAATGCCCAGAGCTTAAGATTGATTATTCCCTCTTCAGTGTTGCCTAGAGCAGTGGGTAATAGCATTAACAATAAAAGCAAAGAAGTCTGATTAGATACGATGGTTTTTAAAGAAATCAATTTAAAAAAAAAGATAGTTCCACAATATTTTTGTAAGTAAATGATGTGTGTCATTCATATTGACACAGGATTTATTCTGCACCTGTGTTATATATAGTTATCTGTAAGTTCGTACAGCTTGCTCATTTATATTCAACCATTTAACTATTTTAAATTCCTCTTTAATGGTAATAATATATTTCATAAATGCCCATAAAGTGGTTGATTGTGGTTTAACCATATTAGTGATTGATTTAATGTACATTTTATGTAAGATAGCATAGTATTGCTAATAATAGAAACTTAAAAATGTTTTAATTTAGGAGACATCAAACAAGAGCCAGGAATGTATCGGGAAGGACCCACATACCAACGGCGAGGATCACTTCAGCTCTGGCAGTTTTTGGTAGCTCTTCTGGATGACCCTTCAAATTCTCATTTTATTGCCTGGACTGGTCGAGGCATGGAATTTAAACTGATTGAGCCTGAAGAGGTTAGTTTAATAGATTTTAATTAGGACACTCAGACATGTTATAACATAAAGAAACTGACACATTTGATTAATATACCAAAAATGTATTCTTAATCATTTCAAGACTTTAGGGAAACTTTCTGAATTAAAAAGCATGCAAAGATAAAACATGTCTACCTTTAAAATCACCAATGTATTGCGTGTTCCTTCCGGTTGTATACAATCCTACAAAATTGATGTTGGAGAAAATTAACCAGAGCATGCTTTGCACCTTTATTTAAGAATGTCTGGCTTCAGGGTTTCTAAAGGAGCATCTGAATTAGAGAAAAGAGGCAGGAGGGAGGTTTTATGGTCCTTAGGAGAGAGGAACGATGTCTGCAAAAGTCAACTGGTTGGGGGATGGGTGAATTATTCTTTCAAATTAGCAATCATTATTTGGACAACTTGGATTTTGTCATGAGGGTTGGAGAGGAGCATTTAGAGGCCAAAGTTATGTTCAAAAGAAGATTGGGGAAAAACAGCTGTGGCGGATAAAGGGATGCAAGGGCAACAGTGGAAAATTCTCAGCCCTTAAGTGTCTCTTACAAGACACAGGCCTGGTAGAAACATTTTCCTTTGTCCGTGACACTTGTTCCAAGTCAGCTGGACTGGCATACTCCATTGGAAGGTTGGGATGAAGTTTAAAATGTTGCCATAGCACATAAAAAATTACTAAAATAAGAAGAGCCTGGACAGAGATAATACTGTACAGAGAAATGGAGGACACCTTCAACTAACTTCAATTGTCCCCTCCTTCCCACTCCCCACATACAAATGGAGTATTTCCATGAAGAATTTCTCAGTTCAGTTTTTATTCTTCCCAGAACTAGCTTTAGGCTTAAGGCTACTATTGTTCCTGTAGCATAACTCATCAATAGCATTTTGGACTGCTGATGGAAAGGTGAAGTTAATATCAAATTGTTGTGTCTTCATTACTAAAGATACTTTCTCTGCTACTATTAAAATTGACTTTAGTTTATATCAGCCAAAAAAGCAATGGAAGATTTTTAGCTACCATACCTCTAACTGATTATATTAGGTATTGAATCTAAACACCTCAGTAATATTGAAAAATTCAGTAAGTTTAAAAAATGTTTGAACCCAAAGTGATTTTCATATACACTGAACATCCACACCCTTGACTACTGGGTCCATCATCTTGAATTTTCTGTCTTTATTAAACCACGTATTCAACTATAATCAGATAATATGCCCTAATTTGATGCCCAGAAGATAAGTTTACATAACTTCTTGAAATTTAAGAGATTATCTGACTCGAGAATGTACTGAAAGTATGAAATAAAAGGCACTGGTTAGAACAGTCAAGTCTCCTTCAGTTTATATCAATACTTTAGTAACACTAGAGGGTTAGTTTTGCAGTATCTCCCTTGCCCCACATCAAGCACGCACACACAGAAGACTCAATGTCAGTATTTGAAAATTCTCATTATCTAGGATGACGTTTGGGTGTTTGAATGCTGTAGTGTGTTTAAAATTAACTTAGCTGTCAAAGAAGATTAGTTTTTTCATAGATACTCTCACATGATGTAAGTGAAAGAACCACAAAAATGTTAAGCACTAACAAATTGAGACTAGAAGCATTTAACAAAGTAATTTGAAAGCCCTTTCGCATGATGGGAGTGTGTGCTCTTCACCTCATGGAAGATGTTAATAATCACTGCAAGAGTTGGTTCATGCTGGAACTGAGCACTTTCTACAGGGATTTGTATCAGTTAAACAGTTATTTCCCTTCACCTGTGATTAAAATGAACTGAGCAGAGGTTTTTGTTGTTGTTCCTGCCATATATTTGTTAAGATAGGGAACATTACTGAATTATGCCAGTATTTCTTGATCCACTCAGAAGAAGAAAAATTCTTTTGCAAATGATTAAGCTTTTTATATAGCAACTGTTGACTTTTATGATGTTCAGATTTGAGTAAGTAGGAGATTTGACTAGATGACCATTAAGTTTCATCAAATTCTGAGTTACTGTGATTTTTAAATGGAGGGAAGAAGTAGAATTACATCTGTTCCATACAACAGACTGACATTTAGACAACTCTTCTGTAGCAGCCTCATAAAGTTAAAAAGAGGCTGGATAATTCAGAGTCAGTAGAGCGTTTCCAAATAATAACCAACTCAATGGGAATTGTGCAATAAGCACTGAATGTCTCCTAAGGCTTTTGTTCAAAATGAAACATCCCATATCTGATTGCTGCATTGCTGACTGTTGCAATTACTTCCATCAGGCAATGACTGTAGGGTCTTGTTTAAATTTCTTCTTTGGAAAGGGTTTGTGAAATTTCTTGTCTTTGTGACCTGTGGTCACCCTGTTCCCTCTACTGCCTAGCAGCTCATTGGGTGCCTGTGTCAGCACAGTCCGTGAAAGATGTCTCTGAAGCCATCTTATTGGAATTACTGATGGGTTCCATTTCTTTATATTTCATCTTGCATTTTAAAATGATATTGAGTGAGACTCCAGACCTGCACAGATTATCTGCTCAGTGTGTTTAGGGTAACTTTAGAAAACGCATAATCTTTAACATGTCTTTTTCTTAGATATTTGAGATAATGAAATACTATTTTTGAATTAGTCATGTCTCCTAGGGAATTGTTCCAGGAAACAATTTTTTTTTTTTTTTTTTTTTGAGATGGAATCTCACTCTGTCACCCAGGCTGGAGTGCAGTGGTGCGACCTTGGCTCACTGCAATCTCTGCCTCCCGGGTTCAAGTGATTCTCCTGCCTCAGCCTCCCCAGTAGCTGGGACTTCAGGTGTGCACCCCCACACCCAGCTAATTTTTGTATTTTTAGTAGGGACGGGGTTTCACTATGTTGGCCAGGGTGGTCTTGAACTCCTGACCTCAGGTGATCTGCCCACCTCAGCCTCCCAGAGTGCTAGGATTACAGGTGTGAGCCACTGTGCCCGGCCGGGAAACAATTATTAACATAGAAAGTCGTCTGTAAGACTCAGTATAAAAGTCTTTTGATGAAATTGAAGCTTGTTGAGCTGGAAGAGTTACCAGGAAGTCTGATAGCCAGGCCCTGATTGTTGTTATCAGGTTCAGTGTTACATATTCAAGCGTGATATTTTAAAATAAGTTGATTAATGCTTGAACTATTACATTATCTTATTTAATTTATTTGACAATAAGGGTGAATGCCATAGTGCTATCATCTTTTTACTCTCTTCACTAACAACTCAAGTTTTCATTTGAAGGCGTATATAAGGAAGTCACTGGAAGTTTTCCCACCATTTTTCCCACTCCATATTGGAAACTATGCCTTGACTTTGAGTGGTGTTGGATATGGTGGCGATTGGTCGGTCGTATGTGAAGGCTGAATGAACTTTCTTAGTTGGTGGTTGGCCTACCTGGCCTGGAATTATTTACGCTGTTAATTTATAACTTTTGTCTTGTCTGCATCTCTTAAGCATATTGCTCTCTCCCATTTACCTCAACTTTATGAGGAATATGACACTAAAACAACTCTAAGACTACATTTTATTGTTTTTAAATGTCCACTAATACCCATGATGCTGAGAATGAACTGGCATGATAAGTATCAAACTCTGTGGTATTTTTAAAAATCATATTTCTCTCTCCAGAGACCTCCACAACATTGTATTAAAGTTGTTGTGAGTATGTGAGTATTTTATTTTCTAGGTGCATCCTGGTGAGTTTCTAGAAAATAATCCTTTATAAATGAATAAGGATTCAGAAATTATTGTTTAAGGAGATACTAATACTTTATTTTCACATCCCCTCCAGGTTTGCATATAGTTCGGCTGCTATGCCTATTAAAGGTTCACTGATGTCCATAGTTAGGTTTTTGAATGAAATATTCTTTAGAAAATGCTTTCATTTCTTATTGCCTCCCCCCAGCGCCCCCACCCCCGCTTCAATTCACTATTGCTCAGAAGATTTACATTAAAATGAAGTTTATCTTTGGGAAATTGAGATGTTCCTGCCACTGTGATTGTCTGCTGGGATATATGATGTTGTCCCTGTTACATCGCATCTCTCTACTCTTAAAAAACATACTGATGCATGTCATTAAAGTACTTTATTTCTTCATTCAGAGAATAAAAATTACTGAGAGGGAAAATAGCTAGGATCGGTATTTCTAAAGGAAAAAAAAAACCTGGAGAAAGGTTATTACTAATAAAGCAAAGAGAGACAGAATGATCTCTTTGAAAAGCAATCTATTTTAGTATATATGACATAGCAACAACTTGGAATTTTATGGAAATGAAGGCGCTCCCTAGCCCTATTAGATAATGTCCTCTTGGGGTTGCCTAGGTTTGCGTGGCAGCTGCAGTTTCTTCTCAGACTAATAAAAAGTGGAAATTAATGAGAGAGTGACTTTAGCTGGGGTAGGAAAAGCAAGCTACACTATTCTGTATACTGCTTTGGCTAGCCTGGGGTGGTGATGAGGTAGGGATATATATACATTGAGGAGAGAGGATTTTTTTTAAAGCTCTATTGAAAAACTCTTAGATACATTGCTCCTCCAAAGCCACATAATAAAAAGCTCTGAGTTTTTTTATTAAACAACAGAGTAGACATTCTGCTTTAGAGATTTTTGTTTGTGGACTCATATACATGGTGACCTTTTCCACTTCCTTCTTATTTTTAGCATCCAATTACCGTTCTCTAAATGAATGCTTAATTCTTCAGTTTGGTATTACCCACAGTTTTATTCGGCTGCTGCTTTAGGCAATAAAAAGTATTTGCAGTTCGGTTTATTAATTTGTGTACTGTTTCCTCTGCTACACACATTGTCACTTGTTCACTCTTTCATATAGTATTGAGCAGGGTATCTTTTTTCCTTTGGCTTATCATAACCTCAGTAAAACACCTTTACAAGGAGATCACTAAGCTGCTCTTTATCTATAGTTTTTGTCTGAAAAACCAAGAAGGATAAAACAGACAGTATATCTCAGAATGAAAAACGTGCCTCATTTTGGTGAACTGTAGCCTGTTCATTCCTGTTGTAAGAACATTTCCTTATTTCCATTTAATTTTGTATTCAAAACAATAGTGACAAATAATTCTATTGTGGTGTTTTAGAAGGATCACTGCACGCCTGGTTTAAAATGCAAACCAGGCCAGGCGCAGTGGCTTACTCCTGTAATCCCAACACTTTTGGAGGCCAAGGTGGGTGGACCACCTGAGGTCAGGAGTTCGAGACCAGCCTGGCCAACATGGTGAAACCCCACCTCTACTAAAAATACAAAAATTAGCCGGGCGTGGTGGGGCCCACCTGTAATCCCACCTACTCAGAAGGCTGAGGCAGGAGAATTGCTTGAACACAGGAGGCGGAGGTTGCAGTGAGCCAAGTTCGCGCCACTGCACTCCCAGCCTGGGTGACAGAGCAAGACTCTGTTTCAAAAAAAAAAAAAAAAGCAAACCAGGAGACAGGAAATCCAGATTACGATAGCTCTTGCTACTTTACTTATATCCTTGAGTTGGACATTTTTGTGGGTTTGGAAGTAATTAATTAAATAATTTTTATGAAATATGCTGATAAGTTAATACTTAACACTACAATGTAATTCTGTTTCGCGGCAGGTGGCCCGACGTTGGGGCATTCAGAAAAACAGGCCAGCTATGAACTATGATAAACTTAGCCGTTCACTCCGCTATTACTATGAGAAAGGAATTATGCAAAAGGTGAGCAGCTAATACAGCATTAAAATTCATTGAAATGTTGCACATTAATCTGAACATCATACTTTAAACGCCACATATCATTGCATTGCTGAAGCGAGTTTTTCACTCATTTTAACAAATGCTTAGCTCTTGGTTTTGGTATTACAAGCCTTTCTATGTATAAATGCCTAGACATTGTAGACAAATGTGTAGTGATATTGTATACAGAATAATAGGCTTTCTGGAAGGTCCTACTTTGCTGCACATGGTTAAAAAAGATTGTTTTAGTATTAATAGCACATCTGTCTTCAGAAGTTTTTATTGCACATTGTCTACAATTATATAATTTTGGAATGCTTTTGTTTATAGCAATAAAGAATCTTTAGAATAAATTTGTACTTTTTTCTTGTTTTGATTCTTAAAACAGACATTTCTTTTTCTCATTTGTGAAAACATTTTCTTCCTTGCCTCAAATCTTGCCTAGTTTTATCATCTGATAGTTTGACATCCTAAACCATTCATTAAAAATGAACATTTGATCTTATTTGGTTTGTGGAAGTTCAATATATTTTATTTCAAATGAGCTTCCCATAATATTTGAAAGTAGCTTTTTGTTTGTTTGTTTGTTTTGAGACAGATTCTAGCTCTGTCGCCTAGGGTAGAGTGCAGTGGCGTGATCTTGGTTCACTGCAACCTCAGTCCCCCAGGTTCAAGCAGTTCTCCTGCCTCAGCCTCCTAAGTTGCTGGGACTACAGGTGCGCACCACCACACCCAGCTAATTTTTGTGTTCTTAGAAGAGATGGCGTTTCGCCATATTGGCCAGGCTGGTCTTGAACTCCTGACCTCAGGTGATCTGCCTGCCTTGGCCTCCAAGGGGCTAGGATTACAAGCATGAGCCAATGCACCCAGCCAAGAGTAGCTTTTTAAAAAAGAGTAGAGAAAAAACAAGTGAATTACACTTAAAATAAAATACAACATTTTTGAAGAAAGGAATAAATAAATGAATGAAGATAAAACGTGGATATTTGTTTTTATTACACCCTTTAGCTTTGCAAGTGTACAGAAATCTAATTGCTTTGACTGTGAACCAAGTTTATGATTTACCTATTGTGAACGTTACAGTTTTATTTTGTATCATTTGTTTATTTTAGGGTTTGTAAACATAGTTACATGTTATAGATTGTGGCACATTTTTATGTCACCATAGTTTTACCCAGAAAAACTAGACCAGTTGCTACATGAAGCTTATTAGAGCAGCGAAAAATAGCACTGTTGACTTTCCTAGAACATTGTCTATTGACAAGAGGCATATTATCTCAGTGCCCTAGAATTTGCTGGCTCAGACGTTAGAACTTCCATGATCCTTAAAAGAAAAGGCTGACTTCGATTTTCAGTTGCTTCCTGTTTTCTCAATCATGCCTTCAAAATGTATAACAGTTTACTACCTGCTCCTCCTGTCTTTTTCATCTCAACCCTGGGGTCATTTCTAATTCCTCCCTTTCTCTCACCTACCTTTTTGTAGTAAGATCCTTCAAATACATTCCATTCCTTTCTTTTCACCACCATCTTCCTAATGCGGGGGCACATTGCCTGGGCTGTCACAGATGGTGCTCAGCAGTGTCCCCGGGCAGTATTGCACAGCAGTAACAGATAAGGCAGTCAGGAATTAGGTTTGAATGCTAGCCTCTCACCAGATTACATTCTTGAACAGATTATTTTCCTAGTAAATGGTGATATTCTTGCCTCATTAAAGTTGCTGTGATTATTAAATGAAATAATGTACTTGAGATACTTTACATTGTAACTGGCACAATGTAAAGTATATCTGAACTCCTGGGCTCCAGCAATCCTCCTGCCTCAGCCTCCTGAGTAGCTGGAACTACAGGTTTGCATCACTGCACCCAGCTAATCACATTCTCGGATATGTACCATTCTGATGTTCAAGTAAATTCTAGTATAGTCATTCAGAGGAAAACTATGCTGTCCTTTTTTAAATAGCAAAAACTATGATGTTGAATTATATATTTTAACATGTAGGAGAAAATATTTATATGGCTATATTTGTTCACTAACTTAAAACTTTGTGGGCATATGTGGTGTATATAATATAGAAAATTAGAAGATTAGAGAAAAATAAAAATAACTTACATCTGAACATGTTAAAAAAATTGAAAACTGGTAATTAATTTTAGTAATACGGAAGAAGTAAGAAACAATGGAACAGTGTATGTTTACCTTACAGACAATGCCTATGTGTACTTCTATTTCAAAATTAGGAAATGCCTAGAACAATATATACCAATATGTTAATGGTGATTATATTCTGGATGATATAATTATAGACCCTTTGTTTTAACTTAATTGATAATTTCTAATTTATCCTTCAGTATCCCCATATTACTTCTGAAATTTTAAGAGATAAAACATAATTTGAATATCCAGCCATTGAAAGCACAGCTCTAAAGCTATCTCCTTGTTTACTTTTGATTTATCTCCCTGGAAAAATTCCTGTTTTTTCTGTCTGTCTCAGTGTTGCATTTTGGCTATACTTAATGTACAGCATTTTGCACGTTAGTACTTCTGTTACTCATAATGGAAGACATCATTCCCCTTGGTTGGTTATCATCCCTTGTTCTAAACTCAGTAGCATTTAACATAGTCCAGCAAATGAAGTAGTAGCCCTAAAAATGTTTATTCAAAAGCAATACAGAAGGAAGCAGTGAGGAAAGGCAGAGTCCTTGAGAGATTGCATAAGCTTGATTGCATGTTACACATTTTAATTCATTTATTACATAATTTTTAAGTATAGCCAGTAGCAACCCGTCAAAGGAAGTCCAGTACTTAAAGCAAATGTATCTTCCTCCACAGCCCCAAACAAAACAAAGCACATTATAAAACACTCAGAGGTATGCAGGCCATTTATTTTATTTTATTTTTTCTCCAAATACTTTGAACAAAGAAAAAAATAAAGGAAAACTAGGATTTACTATCTCAGCTTTGTTCCTGATAGTGCTATTTTTATGTTTATGGTCATTTCATCATTTCACCTTTAAGATCTTAATTTTCTTTGTATGAAGGACTAAAGTAAATAAATGTATGCCAGACTCCTCTGTTTCTGGCACAGTGCTCTGTGCTGGAGACTTCCATCCCAACCTTGCAATGGGCTTTCTGAGGCGCCATTCCTGTCTCCATTTCACAGCAAAGGCCACTGAGAGGTAGTCTAAGAAACAGGTCCAAATTCATAAAAACTACTAAATGTTCATTCTTTCAAACCTAGGTACATTCAGATTATTTGAATTCTCTAAAGTGGTTCCTCTTACTTAAATTCAGGGCAAAAGAAACAAAAAATGTTCTAAATTTGAATTCAGAGCAGCAGCATTCATTGACAATTGTTACTTTTCCCTCAAAGATATAACAATACTTTATAACCCAGGAACACACTGTTGCCCCACATCAAAAATCAACTAGCAAATGCCTTGTTGATATACAGGAACATGGAGGTGTTGTGTCACCTTCAGCTTTCTAAAATCTCATACCTTTACACACACCCATACAAAGTGACTATCAAAGTTAATAGAAAGAACTGTATTCATCCACCCATCCCCCCACCCCGGGTTTTGAGAGCATCTCAGCATTGTCTATTAACAAGAGGCGTATTCATCTCACTCAGTTGTTTATAATTTTCTAGGGAAGCATTACTCTTCAGAATTTAAGTTTGGGGTATGTCATACCCTATAAATTATGCTACTTCTTTATTCCAGGCAGTTGTCACATTTCTTTTTCTCATTTCCTCCCTGTGCATTGTGTATTTTAAATTCCTTTCACTTTTTTACACCTCTTACTTCAATTTGACACTTTACACACATCCTTAACTCTGTCTAATGCATCTTGCCTTCATTTTTAAAAGTGATGTACCCAGGATACTGTCCTTTTGATCCATCTTTCATTTAAATGAGGCTGTGTATCCTTTCTTTCTTTCTTTCTTTCTTTCTTTCTTTCTTTCTTTCTTTCTTTCCTTTCTTTCTTTTTCTTTTTCTTTCTCTCTCCTTTCTTTCTTTCTCTCTCTCTTTTCTTTCTTTCTTTATTTCTTTCCTTTCTTTCTTCTTTCAACACACACTGCCAAAAAAGAAAAAAAGTAAAGAATCCATTTATTCTGTGAATCAGTGAATTACTAGTCTAGTCTTATTGGGAATAAAGCACATTTTTCTTTTAAATTTTGAATTTAGTTTTTCTACCATTTCAGATATGTAATATTAAGAGGGACAGTGTACCTTAAAAGTACAGATTTGTAGATACTACCTTTTAAAATGCAGAAAAAAAGCTTTCAATATGAAATGCCTGCATTAAATAATTGACTTTTTTTCAAAACAACGATGTAAGTTTACCTCTATATTAAGACAAGCAAATTCCTGTGCTTCCTAGCTATATCTGGAATTAATTAATTATTATTCAAGGTCAACATTTTGCATCTCCCTTGACTGAACTGTAGTTTATTCCACAAAGTAAAGACTTTTTTTTTTTTATGTGTATCTGCTATTAGTTGTTTGCTTTTTTGGGCCAGAGTTACCCATCCTTTCCTGTATATTAAACCACGTTTTTGGCTTTTTCCTTCCTGTCCTTCCCCATCTGGCGATGGTGAGGATGGGTTTTTCTCTTCCATGTTATCATCAGGTGGCTGGAGAGAGATATGTCTACAAGTTTGTGTGTGATCCAGAAGCCCTTTTCTCCATGGCCTTTCCAGATAATCAGCGTCCACTGCTGAAGACAGACATGGAACGTCACATCAACGAGGAGGACACAGTGCCTCTTTCTCACTTTGATGAGAGCATGGCCTACATGCCGGAAGGGGGCTGCTGCAACCCCCACCCCTACAACGAAGGCTACGTGTATTAACACAAGTGACAGTCAAGCAGGGCGTTTTTGCGCTTTTCCTTTTTTCTGCAAGATACAGAGAATTGCTGAATCTTTGTTTTATTTCTGTTGTTTGTATTTTATTTTTAAATAATAATACACAAAAAGGGGCTTTTCCTGTTGCATTATTCTATGGTCTGCCATGGACTGTGCACTTTATTTGAGGGTGGGTGGGAGTAATCTAAACATTTATTCTGTGTAACAGGAAGCTAATGGGTGAATGGGCAGAGGGATTTGGGGATTACTTTTTACTTAGGCTTGGGATGGGGTCCTACAAGTTTTGAGTATGATGAAACTATATCATGTCTGTTTGATTTCATAACAACATAAGATAATGTTTATTTTATCGGGGTATCTATGGTACAGTTAATTTCACGTTGTGTAAATATCCACTTGGAGACTATTTGCCTTGGGCATTTTCCCCTGTCATTTATGAGTCTCTGCAGGTGTACAAAAAAACCCCAATCTACTGTAAATGGCAGTTTAATTGTTAGAAATGACTGTTTTTGCACCACTTGTAAAAAGGTATTTAGCGATTGCATTTGCTGTTTGTTGTTTTATTTTGCTTTATATATGACTTGCAGAGGATAACCATAAAATGGGTAATTCTCTCTGAAGTTGAATAATCACCATGACTGTAAATGAGGGGCACAATTTTGGACTCTGGCGCCAAACTGAGTCATAGGCCAGTAGCATTACGTGTATCTGGTGCCACCTTGCTGTTTAGATACAAATCATACCGTCTTTTAAATATTTTGAAGCCCATTTCAGTTAAATAATGACATGTCATGGTCCTTTGGAATCTTCATTTAAATGTTAAATCTGGAATCAAAATGAAGCAAAAAATATCTGTCTCCTTTTCACTTTCTTCAGTACATAAATACATTATTTAATCAATAAGAATTAACTGTACTAAATCATGTATTATGCTGTTCTAGTTACAGCAAACACTCTTTAAGAAAAATATCCAATACACTAAATAGGTACTATAGTAATTTTTAGACATGGTACCCATTGATATGCATTTAAACCTTTTACTGCTGTGTTATGTTGATAACATATATAAATATTAGATAATGCTAATGCTTCTGCTGCTGTCTTTTCTGTAATATTCTCTTTCATGCTGAATTTACTATGACCATTTATAAGCAGTGCAGTTAACTACAGATAGCATTTCAGGACAAAATAGATGACTCAAACCATTTATTGCTTAAAAAATAGCTTACGCCATGCTATGCTATAAGCAGCTTTTATGCACATTGACAAATGAAGAGTAAGCTTCAGCTTGCTAAAGGAAACTGTGGAACCTTTTGTAACTTTTGGTGATATGGAAAATTATTTACAAACCGTCAAAGAATATGAGGAAGTTGCTGTATGACATAGTGCTGGCACTGATATTATCCATCATCTCTTTTTGGACACTTCTGTAAATGTGATTGGATTGTTTGAAAGAAGATTTAAAGTTTCAAAGTTTTTTGTTCTGTTTTTGCTTTGCATTTGGAGAAAATATTGAAAGCAGGGTATGTTGTTTCATTCACCTTGAAAAAACCATGAGTAAATGGGGATATAGAATCTCTGAATAGCTCGCTAAAAGATTCAAGCAAGGGACATGAATTTTGTTCCATCTATCAATAATATCCAGAAGAACAACTTTTTTAAAGAGTCTATAGCAAAAAGCAAAAAAAAAAAAAAATTCTAAACACAAAGTCAAAATAAACCTATTGTAAAAGCATTTCGTGATGAGCATGAAAAAGATTGTTTAAAGATGATCCCCCCAGCTACCCATTTTCCAAAACTACACAGATCACAGCTCATTTCTCTAAGTGGAGCAGTTATCAAGAAACCCAAACACCAAAATTGCTACTCTTCACATTTAATCCTACAAAAAGTACTCCAATTTCAAAATATGTATGTAACCTGCGATTTCAATGATTGTTGTTCATATACATCATGTATTATTTTGGCCCATTTTGGGCCTAAAAAAGAAAACTATGCCTTAAAAATCAGAACCTTTTCTCCCCACTATGCTTATGTGGCCATCTACAGCACTTAGAATAAAAACAGATGTTAAAATATTCAGTGAAAGTTTTATTGGAAAAAGGAATTGAGATATATAATTGAGATTTGGTGAAATTGAAGGAGAAAATTTAAGTGAGTCTTTAAAATATATTCTGAATGAAAACTGTATTGAGGATTCATTTTTGTTCCTTTTTTTTCTTTTTCTCTTTTCTCCTTTTTCTTCTTTTTAATAGTCTAGTTTTAGTCAGTCAGTGAGGAAGAATTGGGCCATGCTAACGTTATCACAAGAGAACAATGGCAGAAATGGTATTAGTTATATAATATTTAAGGACAAACTATATGTTTTGCTGTTTTAACGTAGTGACTCACTGAACTAAATACATAATTGACCAACATTAAGTGTATTTCCAATACAGAAGGGTTGAAAATATTACATTATAAACTCTTTTGAAAAATGTATCTAAAATTTTTTAAGTTCTGTTTTGATTCCACTTTTTGGTTGAGTTTTTATGTTTTTGTTTTCAGGTAGATTAATAAATCTGGCAGCTGATTTCTGCAAGATTCTTGTGTTTTGAATTTCTCATTGAATTGGCTACTCAAACATAGAAATCATTTGTTAATGATGTAATGTCTTCTCTCAGCTTTTATCTTCACTGCTGTTTGCTGTCTCTTGATGATGACATGTTAATACCCAATAGATTAATTGCAACAAACACTTATACTCAAATAACTAAGTAAAAATAATTTTTCTTGTTATGTCCATGAAAAGTGCTTCAGAATAAAAATCCACAAGACTGACAGTGCAGAACATTTTTCTCAAATCATGGGCGGATCTTGGAGGTCTAGTTTCCCGTAGATGCTGTAACCAATTACCACAACTTCAGTAATTTACACAAATTTATCTTATAGTTCTGGAGGCAGAAGTTCAAAAGAAGCCTTAAGAGACTAAAACCAAGATGTCCTTAGGTCTGGTTCCTTCTGGAGGCTCCAGGGGAGATTCTTCCAGCTTTCACTTCTAGAGTCTGCTGACATTCCTTGGCTCCTGGCTACATCACTTCAATCTCTGCTTCCATGGTCACATACTCTTCTACTATAGTCAAATTTCCTTCCTGCCTCTTATAAGGATGCTTGTGATTACATTTAGGGGATGCTCAGATAATCCAGGACAATCTCTCCATCTCAAGATCCTTAACTTAATGACGTGTGCCAAGTCCCTTTGGCTAGATAATTATTCATAGGTCCCAGGGATTAGGACATGGATGTAAGGGGTGAGGGCAGGGCTGTTATTCAGAACACCGCACGGAGGAGGAAGACTGTGTAGCAAAGACTCTAATTGATTTACTCAGGAACAGTGGAGTTCTGCTGAGGGATCTAGGATTTGAAAGTACTAGAGTTTGCTTTTATTTACCACTGAGATATTTTCCCCTTATTCTGCATAAATAATTTTGAAAACTTTCTATATTAAATTTCAACTATTCCACTAAAATGTCTGGTAATCACATCAAGCCTTTAGATTATTCAAATCCTTCCCCAGCCCCCAGGAAAACACTAAGTCATGAAACAGAAAAACAGAAGGTATGATAATAATAGTAATAACAGTTAAATCAGTGGTCTAATCCAGATTTTATTTTTTAATACATTTCTTTTGGTGTTAATATGGGTTACTATGTGATCTTATCATTTGCTAGTGATTATTACTTATTAGGTAAGAACAATGTGTAAAATATGTCTATTACTCAAAAGAACAATTGCAAAATGAGTCAACTTATCTTTATATAACCAGGAAAGAAATATATTGCCAGAAGCTACAGAATTTTGCCAGATGATAGGGATTTCTAAAATGAGCCACTTTGTCTATCATGCAGCCTTTTCAGAGCTTGTAATGAGAAAACATTACAGAGGAGAAGGTCATTTGGATGTTTGTTACTTGGAATCCTAGAAAACAAAAACTAAAATTTAAAAATAAGAAGTGAGTAAGCTATTTTCCATTTGCGATTTGGTATGGAGAAGAGAGGAAATAGAATTATTAAAAAAATACAAATTGGGTAAAAGTGATGGTGGAAAAAATATAAAGAAGGCAAATGTACATATTAAGCAATTCTACTAAGAATTGGAAAAATCAAGTTTCAAAAAGATGGTAATAGTTGGGCATGATACTAGAAAATTTCACCCAGTTTATTCAGAGCTCAACTAGTACTTTTAGGACTTCTTTTTTTATATACATGAGACTCACTTTGACATACTTAAAAAAAAAACAGTTTATGGAAAGTACAGTTTAAGAGGAGAATTTGATTAGACTAAGTGGATATCTTTATAGAAATATTAATGATTTCAGAATTTTCAGTTACAAGTGTATATACCGTGGCTATTGTTTATGGATTCATATGTAAGGTAGGGTCTTTTTTGCATATAGACTCCAGTATTAGTTACTTTCATTCTAAAATTATATTTATGCTTCTATGGGGAAGAAAATTTTTAATTCACTTGGTTGTATTAAAATTATACTTACGGTTTGAGAAAACATGCTATGAAAATCATGATTATAGCAAATTAAATATGCTCAAAATTTAAATCTAAAATAAAAGCCCAGAAACTGAAAATATTGGACTGTCGTGATCACTCTGAAAGGTAGCACATCTAAAACTGATAAACGTCATCTAAATTTTTGACTGTCTTCTAATCATCGTGTCATTTTTAATAGTTTATGACCACAGCACTCAAGTAATGTGTTTGCACTACTTTGCCATATATTATTCTTTTAGATAATTTAGATACCAGGACACCTGATAAATCCTTTTTGAGTTCTACGTTCTAATCTCTGTAAATATCTTGTTTCACATAAATCCTTCAATAAATGTATCATGGAGAAATTTGGGGAAGGGAACTAACTAAATTATTTCAGTGACTCCCACATGCCAGACAGCACAGATATGTGAATTATGTTACTGCCTCCAAATTGCTTGGTTTTGTCTGGTGAGAAACTGAAGCTAATGGCAAAACCAGTATGTCTTGGTGTCAAGATGTCGTGGTCACAGGCAAATCATGAACCCTACCTTTTGGGGAACTTGGACCTAGCTACTTTTCTGATTTAATTTCTAATGACAAAAATATCTATAATAATAACAGATTCTGCTGAAACACGGTGTTATTTAATTTTTTTTCTTTTTTGAATATTCCTTGTAGAAAAATCTAAAAAGAAATCAAGCACTATTTAAACAACAGCAACAATAAACTGAGTTGTTTTTTAAGTGTTTTTAAGCATTCAGAAATCAAACTGATTGAAGTACCTCTTTGTTTCTTTCCATTGGAGATGGGTACAGCTTAATGAAGAAACAGAAATACTAATCAAACTCTTCAGAAAGTTATATACACTGTCCCCATAATTTATATTATTAGACAGGACTTCTGAAAGTAATAGAATTTTCGGGAAACTTTTAAAGCATGGAAGATTCAAGTCAAATGATTCAGAAAAAGCCAAAAAATTGTTTTTAAAATAGAAAGTAAGACTAAAGGCCGGGCGCGGTGGCTCACGCCTGTAATCCCAGCACTTTGGGAGGCTGAGGCAGGCAGATTACGAGGTCAGGAGATTGAGACCATCTTGGCTAACATGGTGAAACCCCGTCTCTAGTAAAAATACAAAAAATTAGCTGGACATGGTGGCGGGCACCTGTAGTCCCTGCTACTCGGGAGGCTGAGGCAGGAGAATGGCGTGAACCCGGGAGGCGGAGCTTGCAGTGAGCCGAGATGGTGCCACTGCACTCCAGCCTGGGCGACAGGGCGAGACTCTGTCTCAAAAAAAAAAGAAAGAAAGAAAGAAAGAAAGTAAGTAAGACTAGAAACATAGAAATTATTGTATGAAAGAGTACTGTTTTAAATGACATTTCTGCAAAGGGGACTATGGCATTCTTGTACACATTTAAGTAACATTAAAATTATTTGTCTTATAGAAAGTTTAATGTGGGAATTTAATTGGCAATGTTGGTGGGAAGAAAAAAATTAAGATTACACATGTGACATTACTTTTTTTATTTTTATTTTTCTTTGAGACAGGATCTCACTCAGTCACCCAGGCTGCAGTTTCATGCGAACACGGCTTACTGCAGCCTTTACCTCCTCCCAGGCTCAAGCGATCCTCCCACCTTAGCCTCCCATGTAGCTGGGACCACAGGTGTGCACCACTATTCCCAGCTAATGTCTCTGTTTTTTTATAGAGGTGAGGTCTCACAACTTTTTTGACTGTTTTTTGTTTTTTTTGTAGAGATGGGGTATCCCCATGTTCTTATGTTGCCCAGGCTGGTCTTGAACTCCTGGACTCAATTAATCCTCCTGACTTGGCCTCCCAAAGCGCTGGGATTACAGGTGTGAGCCACCATGCCTGGCCATTACTTTTTAAACTGCAAAATACTATTCTACTTTCAGTGACCACAGAACTACTTTTCTTTATTCTTAAAAATATTTGCAAACATTACGTTCTTTAAACAAATATTTTTATACTTAAAAAAACTGCAGTAAAATGTATATGAAATACTACTCATCATTTTAACCAGTTTTAAGTGTACAATTCAGTGTCATTAATTACATTCACAGTGTTGTGCAACCATCACCATTATCTATTTCCAAAGTGTTTAGATTTTTTTATTCATAAAGTATTATCAAAAATGGTCAAGGAGACCAGGTGCAGTGGCTCATGCTTGTAACCCCAGCAATTTGGGAGGCTGAGTCTGGTGAATCGCCTGATGTCAGGAATTAGAGACCAATTTGTCCAAAATGGCAAAACCCTGTCTCTACTAAAAACACAAAAATCAGCCTGGCATGATAATCGGCACCTGTAATCTTAGCTACTCAGGAGGCTGAGGCAGGAGAATCACGTGAACCCAGGAGGCAGAGGTTGCAGTTAGCTGAGATTGCACCACTGTACTCCAGCCTGAGTGACAGCAAGACTCCATCTTTAAAAAATTGTTTTTTAGGGTCGAGCATGGTGGCTCATGCCTGTAATCCCAGCACTTTGGGAGGCTGGGGCGGGTGGATTGCCTGAGGTCAGGAGTTCAAGACCAGCCTGGCCAACATGGTGAAATCCCGTCTCTACTAAAAATACAAAAAATTAGCTGGGCACGGTGGCAGGCGCCTGTAATCTCAGCTACTTGGGAGGCTGAGGCAGGAGAATCACTTGAACCTGAGAGATGGAGGTTGCCGAGAGCCGAGATCGCACCACTGCACTCCAGCCTGAGCAGCAAGAGTGAAACTCTGTCTCAAAAAAAAAAAAGAAAAAAAATGTAAGTAAAAATAAATTTTAAAAATGGTCAAAGAAATGCTTTTTCATATATTACAATTAGTAATTTAAACATGCAAATTTATGCTTTCTAATAATTTAAGTTAATTGTAGTTTACTTACTAATAGGTTGTTCTTGATTTTATATTGTAGTTTAATAGCTTTATTTATTATTATTATTACTTTTTTTTTTTTTTGAGACGGAGTCTTGCTGTGTCACCCAGGCTGTAGTGCCATGGTGAGATCTTGGCTAACTGCAACGTCTGCCTCCTGGATTCAAGCAATTCTCTGCCTCAGCCTCCCGAGTAGCTGGGATTACAGGCGCCCCCCCACCATGCCCTGCTAATTTTTGTATTTTTAGAAGAGACAGGTTTCTCCATCTTGGTCAGGCTGGTCTTGAACTCCTGACCTCATGATCCACCCACCTCGGCCTCCCAAAGTGCTGGGATTACAGGTGTCAGACACCGCGCCTGGCCTGATAGCTTTACTAAGGAAAAAAATGAACACTGTATATAAATAGTGTTGTGTAAAACACTATTTTACATAGTTCCAATAGCCGTTGCAAGAAAAAAAGTTTAACTAGCTTATTGAATATTTTGAAATCACTCAGCATTTTATATTTATATTTACAAACAGCCCCTTAAACCACATCAAACAACAAACTGATCTTTTGAACTCGTGTTTCTTTAGTTTGAATTAATAAATTTGATTAACATAAAGACACAAACATATTGCATAGATTATTATTAAACTTTTTAGGACCGTAATAATTTCACATAACATTTTTTTAGGAAAAAAAATTCCAAAACAAACACGCTAGATCTAACAACAGTATTTAATTAAAGTAAAATTAGGCTAATGAGATAAATTGGCCCTCTCTCCACTATCCTCTTACCATATTATTGGTTTAAACATTAAGAACTTCCTAAATTAAAACAGAAGCTGAATATTTTTCTGTGACTTTTCAGACTTGAATGCCCAGATTTGAGTACATATGGAGGTCCTGGAACCAATCTCTAGCATATACCATGGGACACCTGTGGTACCAACCCTTAATGAGATGCATTCCAAGTGTGTTCATTGTTTCTGACTTGGCTTTATGAAGAGCTTGTTTTGCAGGCATAAATAGAAAATACTACAAATATAACTCATAAAATTGCCACTCAAATTATGTCACATGCTTACCTCTGAAAACCAGTATCAAGAAAATTATGAAACAGAATCAAGTGAAAAAAGACTTCTTCCCCTGCATTAACTGTTCACTTATTTTCACGAGAATCTGTGATTCTGTAGAAAGCTTGAGGCAGTATTTCTAAAACCAAAACAAGGAGAAATATGAAAATAAATATTTGGATAATTTACATCCTAAAGGAGAAAAACTGTACACTGATTCATTCATTGAGTGGATATTAATTCACTCATATTAGAACACACTCTGGATTATTCATTTCACTTTGTTCTATGTTAGGAAATCCATTTACTCAATCCTTCAGAATACCCAAATATGAATATCTTCCTAATCAGTTTTAAAGACCACTATAGCATCAGTGGACTGTGTGTTTTCTGGATCCAAATTCATAGGTAGATTCTATGGAAGATATAATAGAGTTATAAAAAGTGATCCCTGTCCTCAAACTAAGACTAACCCACATTGATCTAACACACACTTGGATGATATATGATGTCATATCTCATTTAGTGCTCAACAATGTGGTTTAGACCCTATATAAAAAGAGTACAGTAAATAACTAGCTTTAAGATTGCTGATGGCAGTGAAAAGCCTGGATACTTTTATTCAAATTCATGAGTGTTTAAGTTCAATCATATCTGTTGCTATCAAATAAAGTAATTAATCACTAAAGTAGGTCTACATGGCATAAAATGCAGTAGGATGTTGAAAATTTAAGTTAAAATCAAGGCAGGGCAGATCACTGACTCATTAACTTGTGGACTGCCTTGATCATGACCATCTTGATTAAAAGCATTTATCAACTGCCCACTTGCTGTGCACACGTACATACTAGGAATCCTCACTGTGTTCTAAAAGGGTCATTGTATTAGTGAGTGTTTGCTGGTTCCAAGCAACAATTACCAACTGGTTAGGAGGTTTTCAAAGCCAAGAGGCCCCATTTTGTGGATGCTGTGGAACACACCTAACAACTGGCCCCCTGCCCCGACCCCACCACCATGGATGCTCAGAAAGAACACTAGAAGTGAGTCACAGGATCTTTCCAACACTGAGGGATTCCAATCCTTGATCTGCCTGTCCATTGCAGTGACTATTTTGTAAAAGGAAGCTCCTAACTTGGTACTGCCTATGTACAACAGTTTGTCTCAGGACAGTTCCTGTTTACATCTATTTTCTCAGCGTATTGCTAACAGCACTCACTTTTACTCTCAAAGTTTAGAAAATAAATTGACACTTTACCTGCACCCTAGATCGGACAACCTGGTTGAAATGCACTTCATGGGTTGCCTTGCAGGAGAAATTTTATCATTGAATTATCACAACATCCTTCCAGAACAAATATCCCAAACAGGAAAACTTTTCTGTATCTGGTAAAATTAACCTTTTTTCCCCTTATTTATCTATGGTGACCCATAATAGCTTTCATCTTCTATTTTATCAGTCAACCAATTATGGAAATTTATAGCAATTAAGGACATATGTGTCTGAGTTTGTGTGAGGCTGAACTGGGTAGATTTTAAGGTTTATAAATTTTAGATATATCTTCATGAAAATGAATGTAGCATGGCTATGCCTGCTTTAAGTAGACAAAGAGCATAGCAGAAGGATGTGAATAGATGGCAAAACTGATGGAATAATGGAGAACTTGGCTTTAAAAACTCTTATTTATTGGTTATTCCTATTGATTCTTCCAGCAGGAGACAATCATAGGTCTATTTAGGTCACTGTTGCTGAAATCAATGATCACCAACTATCTTTCCATTCTTGTATTACTTCTCACAAGATTCAGAACCCAAACGAGAGAAACCAAAAATTTTCCCTTGATTTGTATCCCTACCCTGTGCCTATAAAAAGACATGGGGTCTTATCTTACCATCTCATTAAGCCCTTGCCCAATGGATGAGAGGTAATTGAAAACTTAAAAAGAAATAGAATTAACTCCCGTGTGTCAAGTCTTTCTCAAAGTCACTAAAAATAATATAATCCATCTTTAGATGTGGAAAACTGCTGGATATATAATATCCTCTTTTTCTTCCATTTTTTCAAGAATATTTTGATTCCTAAAGTATCTTAAAGCTTGCTGTGGTGGTACGTGCGCATAAAAGCAGTAATTAGTAAGAACCAGAAATATTTGTCACATTGCGGAAGAGTGTAATCTAAACAGAATAACGATGATAACAAAATAATGTACATGTACGATAGGTACTACATTGGATGGCCAGGGCTGCTGTAGCAAAGTAGCACAGACGGTGGTTTAAACAACAGAAAAGTATTACCTTGTAATTCTAGAGGCTAGAATTCCAAAATCAAGGTGTGAGCAGGGACGGTACCTTCTGAGGGCTGGATCTGTTTCAGGCCTCTTTATTTGACTTGTAGATGGCATCCTCTCTCTGTCTCTCTCATCTTCCCTGTACGTATTTCTGTTTCTGACTAAATTTCCCCTTTTTGAAGGACACCAATCATACTGGAATTCAGACCTACCCAAATCACCTCATTTCAACTTGTGCCTATAAAGACCCCTAGCTCTAAATAAGGTCACATTCTGAGGTACTGGGGTTAGGATTCCAACATGTCTTCTTTGAGAGACACAATACAACCCATAACAAGTTCTTAAATTATGGCCAAATGAAAGTGATCCATAAAAATGAAATGATTACCACCAGTATATTTGAGATTAAGAGATGAATTGCTAATCTATCTTTCTTATATTACATGACTAATATGGAGAAAGAAATTGTTTAAATATAACCAAGGCATCGTCCGTTATTCTCAATGGAGATGCTTGAAATATATTGTATTCTCATAGTCTTCTTGTACCTTCACTAACACTTTTCTTAAACATATATTGTATGAAAATAAGAATAAAGAAATTACTGACATTGTAAATTTAATGAAAATCTAATAAGAAAATGTAGGAATAATGAATTGGGAAAGGAATAATACAAAAGCAAAAAAAAAAAAAAGGTACTGTAATAAAGCTAGTGGAGTCTTTCTGTTCTCTGGTTTTTAGGACCTAGAAACTAGCTATGTGCCAGGAAGAAATCTATGAACAAAACCAGTATAGACTTTTCTGAGCTAAAATGAGAAGTTAGATGAGGAAATTTGCGTTGAGCACTACTTATCATTTAAGCACCATTGAGCAATAAGCAGCATGGATTTACACGGAACAAATCATGCCAAACAAATCTGATTGCTTTTTTTTTTTATTGAATTACAAGATTAGTGGATGAATGCAATGTGAGAGATGTAATACATTTGGATTTTAGCAAAAACATTTGATACAGCATCTCATGCACTCTAAAACGAATTCAAATAGTCAGGAATGTTAACAGCAAGGTAAGGAAGGGAAATTAAATGAAGGATTGCAAAGAAAAAGAAGTGATAATCAACCGTGATATGGCAGCTTGGGAACACATCATTATAAGGTACTATAGTGATCACAGGGTTTATTCAGTACCTATTAACATTCACACTGCTTTCTTGGGCTTGATAAGAAGAAACGGAATAAAGGACTTAGAATGCACCCCATGACTACAGACAATATATACAATCAATCCAGATTTAGAGAAAGAAGAAAATAGATTTTGCCTCAAAGATTTTTGCTGCTGTTGAAAGTTACTTATATTACTAACTCATTTATTCACTTCATGCCCTAAAATTCGGTCGTGGATGCCTTTATTTGGCTTTTCTTGTGTCTTAGGACAAGCCAATTTTTTCAGTCATCCAATCTTCCTGGTCTAATACTAAGGATCCATGGAAAAGATGTCAGAGGCACTCTTGGTTTCTTGACTTTTTAGTGATGAGGATACTTGGATTCCACCAGAGTCTGTGGATGCTTTATGTAAGATACTGCCCTCAAGGTGAAAGTTAAATATGATAATTAAATAAGGAGAAGGCAGTAGAAATATTCTAACCAAATTCACAGTTGATACAAGGTGCTACTAGAAGCAGTGAGGCCAGTAAAATTACACCAATGCCCCGGCACAAGTAAGAACTACATATATTAAATGCAATGCACAAGAGTAACTTGAAAAGGAGAGAAACACGCAGCAGCAATGCTAAGGATGCAACGAGCTGACAGGAAACAGCAACTTGCATATGAGTTTACAGTGTCAGGTATCACCCAAGAGATATAACACAATGTTTGATCTATTAGAAGAGGACGAACAAGATTCATCAGTTTCTGAATATAATATTAAATTTTCTTCTGGCAGGCAGAATTTATTCTCTTTAGAATCATTTCTTTCTAGAATAACAAAAAGGTACAGAGGAAAATCAGAGCATAGCAACCGGAATGATGATGAAGCGGCAGGATCAGCCTATGATGAAAAATCAAAATATGTATGGTATTGTTAAACAAAGGGGAAAGGAGCTATAAAGTCAGTCTGCAGATATATAACATCTGTTAAGGATAGTAGCAAAAGATAATATTTTCTAAAGGGCAGGAAAACATACAACTGGTAAAACTGGGAATAAATAAATTTATACCTACATTAGTAACAATTAAAAATCTTGGTGGGGGGAACAGGTTATGTCAGGAAAAAAGTCTTCATCAGCCTTAGATTAACGAATTGGCTTAAGAATGTACCATAAAATTAGAAATGCAATGACTTTCTGAACAAGGGTTTGGAAGAATACATGTGAATATTCTTGACAAACTAGTAGATTCAGTAATCTATTTAAATGAAGGTTAAATTCTAGTACATGCTTTTGATAAATCCACTATGAAAATAACTAATGAATCTGCACATTTGCCACTGGTTTGCGTGGTCCAGTGTCTCTCCACCAAAGCAATGGGTTATTTAGGCTTGACAATTCTTAAGCAGGGCTCTCTTTTGGATTGCAGGATATATAGCATCTGTAGCCCCTAGGTACTACATGACGGTAGGTCCCCCGTAACTATAACAGCCAAGCCCCTACACACATACACACACACCAAAGAGTTCTAAACGTCCCCGTGTTCACTCTCTCCCCACAAAAAAGCTCAAAACACTGTTGAATACACCATAGCAAACCCAGTAGCTGAGGTTTCCATGTTCAGGCTAATTGTCATATCTGCTTGGGAAATTCTAAGATGCTTATGATTATTCAAGAGTTAGAGTTCAATGTCACAAGAGCATTGCCTCAGGCAGGACATACCAAACCGTGCTAAGGGGTTTGCAAAAGCATGGTGTATTTTGTTCTTTCTTTACATATCCACTTGACTCAACTGCAGTCCTGTTTTAGTTTTCCTTCTGATGGTACAGTATCAACCCAGAACATTGATAATATTTGCTGCATAGGGGAAAAAATAAGCGACTTGGTAATCGTCTGCTGGCTGTTGGAGCTTCTGCTCTGAACTTAACGCTCAGCACTTTCATTCATAGTGATTGGCCATAGCATGTCACATAGCTATGTTTGAGTTGAAGTGAGTGGGGATATACAATCTTTTTGCAGGAATGGGCGTTTAATATGTGAAAACAATCTGCCATTATCCTTTAATAACGCCCTTTGAGTTTAAAGGAAAATAAAATTGGAATCCATCATAAAGTTTCCCATAGTGGAGATGACACCTTTAAAGGAGATGATGATGACTACACCGATATTCATAGTGAGAAATTTAAGAACACATGGATAGAACTGCTTTGCGTCTAGCCACACAGAGTTTGCTGAAGACAAGGGTGTCAACATTGCAAAACTGGAACTTGCCTTACTTCTCTATTACTTTTACTGAGGGAATTGTTTTATTGTGTTTATAAAACATGCAATTCTTAATTACTTTAATATAATTTATCGAGCATGCTCTGGACGTAACAAAGATAAAGAAGAGAGCACCTTCTCTTGAATTCAGTTAAGTAGACAAGAAAGACACAGAGGCCATCGATTATAATTCAGTGTAGGAAATTTTGTATTATAAATATCTAATAAGTATTTGAGTACAGTTATGAGAGCAGTTAATCTTGCTCGAATGTGAATATGTAGACATTTTTATAGATGAGTTGATATATGACCTGAAGATATAAATTTGATGGACAATTTCAGTTGGATAATGGGGCCGGGCAGGCAGAAAGAAGAAAGAGAGAGAAACAGAGAAAATCTAGGATTTTTAGATTCTTCTGGAAAACTTTCTTAAACTATGTACCCTAATCCCCAACTCCAAAGACAACAGAAATCTGGAGGTACACTCGTTCCGATCAAACTTACAAGATGATTTTAATTCATCTTTAACCTGTGTGAATGCCACCACCACTCCATGTTTTGAACTGGAGTTCTGGGCTGGGCTCTTTAACATTCAAATTACTTGGGGTTTTATTTTAAAATAGAAATTCCTGAGTTTCAGATGTAGCCCTTGGGTGAAGTTCAGGAATCTATCTCACATAATTCTACTGTAGGTGATTCATTGACCTCACTGATTGTGAGTGGGTGATTAAGGGAAGTATGCCAGGGGATGAGACTAGTGAAAGCTGAGACTAAAGCTTAAAAGTCTTTTGATGGCAAGGTAAAGAGCAGGGTTTATAGCCTATTTCTCAAGGACTATCCGCTTAATTAGACTCCTTTGAGTTCGGATATATTAATAATAGCCCTCAGGTAGTTTTTAAGAACAACATAGTTTAAGAATCACTTATTTGGGCCAATATTTCCCGAAACTGCTTGATCAAAAAATCACTTGTGGCAAATGTGAAAATAGAAATCTAGGACAAAATAAGTAATCTGGCACCTAAAAAGTGAGCCACAGAAGCAATTCAATAGAAATATGTAAGTGATAGACTCATGTCTGTTGGCATTCCATAATAAACAAGAGTGAATAGGGTCTGGACAAAGTTTGGAACAGTCAAAGCAAAAGTGTAGCTGGCCAAGGCTCATCAGTGGGTGAATAGAAACCAGTGGAACAGGAAGGATCACAACAGGGCCTAAAGACTGACTACAGCCAGTGTCAACACAGGCAGGCAGGCTACACCAAGGAAAAATGGAAGGAACCTTCTTGCCATGCACCAGATACTTCAGAACATAAGAGGCAATTTCTCCTCTGCGTGGAGAAGGCATGCTATGATAAAAATGCATCTAGCACTTACAGAAATTTCAATTCTAGGATGACTTGTTTGGGATCTAGGGACAAAGCCTTTTTGTAACACTTGGCTCTTTTCTCCGCCTTTAGGAGGCTTCCAGGTTTTGCTTTGCCTTGCCTTTTGAGTCACTGCCTTCAGGTCCCTGTGTGAGTCATTTTTTCTCTGGTGCCCATCCTTAGCTTTCTCCTAGTCTCATTTCATTTCATGCATTCCACCACTTATTCTGACATGTTGTAAAAACCTAAATCCTACCACCTACCTCCAAATTCTAATTCAAACTTCTAGTAAGTTTGAAATCTCAAACTAGATATTCCACAATATCCCCAAGTCTCTCACATTTAGTGTGTACAAAACAGAATTCAGCAATCATCTTGGAACACACTCTTTGTTCTACTGTGTTGGTCCTTTATCTCACCCTATGTTTCCTTCTCTTCTTATAGGCAACCTGCCCTTCTCAGATACAGAAATCTGGGGAGCATTTTAGAGCATCTCTTTTCATATCATCTTGTTGCTTTCTCTGACAACATCTTCCCAACTATTCTCCTTGCCTGAAGTTTTGTTCTTCTCTCATCTGTTCTTCAGAAATGCATTCAGAGACTTTTTCTAAAATCAGCATATAATCCTGTAGCTCCACTGTTTTAACCTTTCAATGGCTATAATTCTCAAAAGTTAAATCAAATTCCTTAGGATATTATTTGAAGGCCTCATTATTGGACCTATACTATCTTTCTAGAGGCATCCACTTTATTTTACACACACACACACACACACACACACACACACACACACACTCCTTCACTCCAGTGTTACAGAACAAGTTGTGGCTTCCTGAATGCATCCAAGTTTCCTTAATGTTTCTATGCTTTTGTTCATGGTCTTCCTTCTGTCTGCAATTCTTCATACTTTATCCTCTAAATCCTACTCATCTTTTAAGACATTTTCACTACATCTTAGATTTCCTCTCAGACCTTATCTCCAGGATAGATCAACTGATCTTTAGAAACTATGCATTAGCTAGTTTTATCAAAATCTAAAACACATTGTTATACTAAATAAAGCTAAGTATTGTATCAATCATATAATCTAGCACTCTCAATGCAGAGAAAAAATATTCTTGAATTAACAGATGAAAGATTGAGTGAATTAAGGAATAGATTATTTATTTAATGTCACAGCCAATGGGCTTGTCTTGGAAACACTTTGTAGTCTGTGCATCAGTCTGTTTTCACACTGTCGATAAAGACATATCTGAGACTGGAAAGAAAAAGAGGTTTAATGGGCTTATACTTCCACATGGCTGGGGAGGCCTCACAATCATGGCAGAAGGCAAGAAGGAGCAATTCACCTATTAAATGGATGGCAGCAGGCAAAGAGAGAGCTTGTGCAGGGCAACTTCCATTTTTAAAACCATCAGATCTCATGAGAGCCATTCATTAACACGAGAACAACATAGGAAAGACCTACCCATAGTTCAGTCATCTCCCACTGGGCCCATCCCACAACACTTGAGAATTATGGGAGCTGTTAGATGAGATTTGGGTGGGGACACAGAGCCAAACCATATCAGTCTGACAAATGACATCCAGGATGATCCCATGCACACCCAGTATATGTTGTGTACTAGCACAACATCTGAGATCCATGTTGTAAACCCTAAATTATTTGCTACAGCAAACCCAAATTGAAGGGAGAGAGCACACTAGATTCAGGGAAGAGACTTATGAGTGAATATGCCACCAGGGGCTAACCTATGAGGGTTATTCAATCATCCAAATCACATTGTGTCTGCTTATGGGATTTTGGAACCTCTAAGTTCAATTATTTTTATATTTGGTCCAATTTCCAAAGGAAATCATCACAAATCAATTTTTGTGGAAAGATTTTTAATTCATAGCTTAGTGTGCCCTACACTCCTTAGGACTGGATAACTGTGCCAAGTTGCTGAGGGCAGAGTGATTTACTCATTCAGTCAACAAAGATTTATTCACATGTCAGGCATATTCCAGCATTTGGGATACATCAGTTAAGACAAGAGACAAAAATGCATGTTCATGAGTCTTACATTCTAATGGTAAGACATGGAAAATATGCAATGAAATGAATAGATTAATTAAACAGTCAGTATATTAGACAGTTTTAGGTCATATGAGAAAAGACAGAACAGAGAAGGGTATGTGTGTGAGAGGCAGATACAATTGTAATTAGTGTGGACAGAGTAAGCCTCATGCAGAAGGTGACATCTCAGAAAATATTTGAAGCAAGAAAATGACTTAATCAGGTAAATATCAGGGAAGGAAAGCAGCCAGTTGAAAGAGGCTAAGATGGTGAATATCTGCCCTATAAGAAGAGCAAGGAGGCCCGTATGCCTGAAGTAGAATGAGGGTTGGGGAAAGTAGCAGAAAATGAGCAGCTGGAAAGATGTAATTGCCAACAACTGAAATGTTGAGAAGGGATCAGGCACTCAGTTTCAGACATGTTAAGTTTGAGATATCTACCAGACATCCACTGGAGGTAAAATTCATTCTTGGCTAGAATATTCGATATTTATAGGTAGATACAACCACCATTTTGTGTGATGGGAAGTGTTTGATTATTATTTCCTATGAAACAGTTAAAGTGGGAATATCAACACTAAGGAAGAGGAGTTAGCATCATGGAATATAAACTTGAGTTCTTAACATGTAAAATGGTATTAAGCTTGAGTTCTTAACACTTTATATTGTTACATTGGACTGGACTAACAAAAACAATACAATATTTTAACTAGTTTAAAAAAAGGCAGTTTGTTGGTATAGAGAATTAAAAGAGTTAAAAGGAAATGCATGATTCAGGCATGATTTGATCAAGACGACTAGTTCTGCAGTTCTTCCAGTCCTGTCCTACTTTTTGTGTCAGCTTCATCTTGGGTTGTGTATTAGTCAGGGTTCTCTAGAGGGACAGGACTAACAGGATAGATGTTATATGAAAGGGAGTTTATTAAGGAGTATTGAATCCCACGATTACAAGGTGAAGTCCCACGGTAGGCCGTCTGCAAGCTGAGGAGCAGGGAAGCCAGTCTGGGTCCCAAAACTCTCAAAAGAAGGAAAGCCAACAGTTCAGCCTTCAGTCTGTGGGTGAAGGTCCCAGATCCCCTGGCAAACCACTGGTGTAAGTCTAAGAGTCCAAAAGCTGAGCAACTTGGAATCCGATGTTTGAGGGCAGGAGGCATCCGGCATGGGAAAAAGATGAAGGCCGGAAGACTCAGCAAGTCTGGATCTTCTCACTTCTCCTGCCTGTTTTATTCTAGCCATGTTGGCAGCTGATTAGACGGTGACCACCCAGGATGAGGGTGGCTCTGCGTTTCCAAGTCCACTGACTCAAATGTTGATCTCCTTTGGCAACACCCTCACAGACACACCCAGGAACAATACTTTGTAATCCAATCAAGTTGTCAATATTAACCCTCATGGTAGCAAAATGTCTGTTAGTGTTCAAAATTTCACTGCCCTTCACTGGACTGTCAAGATGAAGGAACTCTTCTCTTCCTTCAAATCTCCAAACGCAAATCTTTGGCTTTACCTTGTGATATAGTTTGAATTTGTGTCCCCACCCAAACCTCATGTGGAATTGTAATCCTCAGTGTTGGAGGAGGGGCCTGGTGAGAGATGACTGGATCATGAGGGCAGATTTCCCCTTTGCTGTTCTCATGACCATGAGTGAATTCCCAGTAGATCTGGTTGTTTAAAAGTGTGTAGCATCTCCCCCTTCTCTCTCTTCCTCCTGTTCCTGAAACATAAGACATGCCTGCTTCCCCTTTGCCTTCCACCATCATTGAAAGTTTCCTGAGGCCTCCACAGACATGCTACCTGTACAGCCTGCAAAACTTGAGCCAGTTAAACCTCTTTTCTTTACAAATTACCCAGTCTCAGGTATTTCGTTATAGTAGCATGAGAGTAGACTAGTACACCTTGATTGGACCAACTTGGGTTATATGCTCTGCCATAGGTGAATCACTGAGGCAATGATAATGGAATTTATCTGATTTATTTATTCCAGTTATAGCCAATTTTTGGAACTGGGGATGGTTAATTCTAACCAAATTGATTGTCAATAAAGCCTTGGGAAAAAATGGGGGTAAGCCTTATGCATGTTGTGTAGGTACCCACAATATATATCTACTATGTTATATGAAATTTGAGATTGTGGATACATAACTGTTTACTTGAGATGGGCCTGTGCTGTTAGATAGAACCTATGTTTATTTCTACTGCAGATGGTGCATTGTACCTTTAAGTTAGGACATGAATATAGGATAATACCTGTTTTAAGTTAAAACCACGATTATTGGGTGGTTTTGCCCATCTTCATCCAGCTATCTCTTCCAAAGAAGATCAAGTATGCCTTTCTACATTGTTGATGATATGGTTTGGCTGTGTACCCACCCAAATCTTATCTTGAATTCCCACATGTTGTGGGTGGGACCTGGTGGGAGGCAATTAAATCATTGGGGTTAGGTTTCTCCCATGCTGTTCTCATGACAGTGAATAAGTCTCATGAGATCTGATGGATTTATAAGGGAGAGTTTCCCTGCACGAGCTCTCTCTTTGCCTGCTGCCATCCATATAAGATGTTACTTGTTCCTCCTTGCCTTCTACCATGATTGTGAGGCCCCTCCAGCCACGTGGAACTGTAAGTCGATTAAACCTCTCTTTCTTTTGAAAATCGCCCAGTCTCAGGTATGTCTTTACTCAGCAGTGTCAAAACAGACTAATACAGTAGGGCATACTCATAATTGTGTTCCTTGGCCAGAAGAAATTCTAGAATAGTATTGCCACTTTCTTTCAAATGTGTCTTCTGTTTTTACGTCATTAAACACTTTGTCTCCCTGTGCAGTACAGCATAACGGTAAAGAGCACAAACTTGAAGTCAGGTAGACCTGGGATCGTAGCCTGCTTCTAACACTCTGTATACATTTACCTAAATTACTCAATTTTTTTGAGGCTTGGTTTCTCCATCTGTAAAATATATTTAACAGTGCCTGATGTGTAGAGGAATTTGAGGATTAATAAGAAAATATACACAAAGGGATTGGCAAAGCACCTCCCAGGTAGCCAGAAGTGAACACATGACAGCTGCTGATGTGATTATTACTACTGCTTTAATCAAATTCAGAGAGTTGTTATTATGTTGCTCTCTCTATCTACTGGAGACATGCTTTTCTCAGAATAAAAAAAAAAAAAGACAGTTTTATGTACTCTGAATTTGGCGGATGTGTTCAGAGCTGTTGATTTAGTTGTGCAAATTACTGAAGTTTTCCCAGCACTGCTATATCTTGCTTTTTTGCCAGGATTGTGGTTTGTATTATGAAAGACTCAACCATATCTTTTTTTTCTTTTTGGAGAGTCTGTGGTATACGGTAGCAGTGACAGCAGCAAATCTGTTTCACTTTTTGTCCTCACTCAATGCTTTCCTTGGTTTAGTTAACCTCTTTCTTCTTAACTCTTCTTAAGAAAATACCTTATATGTCTTTTTAATTTTGCTTTCTATATATCTTGACACTCATTTTCAAGTATAGAAAACTAAATATTGTTCCTTGAGGAAATTTTTGCACATTTATCTTTTCGTTGCTTCATATTCTCTTTTTTTCTGTTCTATCCATGACACAAAGGAATAGCAAAACCATCACTCGTGTGCCAAGACATGTAGTTTCCCACTCAGTACTTTAGTTGTAGCAGAAAGCTATTTCTGGTATCTCTAATTGAATTCCGAGCTCCCTCCTGAAGCAGTAGAAGTGTCTCACAATCATAGGCTTGCTGAGTTCGTGTCATATCTTCTTTACTCAGTCCAGGGGGACAACACACCTCCTGGTTAGCGTGTCAAGTTCCTTCCACATTCTGCACTGACACACAAAGAAATCTGTGAATGAAATCTCTACTGGCTCATATCAGTGAAGTCTATAAAATTTAAGGAGAACAAAATAAAGAAAGAAGAATATAAATTTTAAGTGAATGCTAAAATGAGGTCAGCTGCTGAATTCAGAGAGCTGCTTATTGGACCTGGTAAAGAAAGAGCATGTTTTGTTGCTTCAGGGGAAGGATTAGTAAAAGTCACATATAACAAGTTTACCAAAAATAAGCTTATTCATTAGTGGGTTAATACAATATACAATAATAGATCAACTCCAGATACTAATTTCATCTTTCTATCTTTTCTCCCATTAAAAGTTTTGTTCTTTGCACCTACACCCCAAAATACCATTTGACCCAGCAATCCCATTACTGGGTATATACCCAAAGGAATATAAATCATTCTACTATAAAGACAACATGCATGTATGTTCATTGCGGCACTATTCGCAATAGCGAAAACATGGAATCAACCCAAATGCCCATCAGTGATAGACTGGATAAAGAAAATGTGGTATACATAAATAATGGAATACTATGTAGTCATAAAAAGAAATGAAATCATGTCCTGTGCAAGGACATGGATGGAGCTGGAAGCCATTATCCTCAACAAACTAATGCAGGAAAAGAAAACCAAATACCGCATGCTCTCACTTATAAGTGGGAGCTGAACAATGAGAACACATGGACACAGAAAGGGGAACAACACGCACTTGGGCATGTTGTGGGTGGGGGGCAGGGGCAGAGAAAGCATCAGGATAAAGAGCTAATGCATGCAGGACTTAATTCCTAGGTGATGGGTTGTTAGATGCAGCAAACCACCATGGCACATGTTTACCTGTGTAACAAACCTGAATGACCTGAACATGTGTCCTGGAACTTAAAATAAAATTTAAAAGAAAGCAACATTTCAAGAGAAAGCAAAAAGACAATAAAAAATTTTGCTCTTCGCGATGTCTCTTCTGAATTCTTCTTCTCCGCGTGTTTGTTTTGTTTTTTCTTTCTTTCTTTTTTTTTTTTAACTATAAATGTGCTTTAAAATGTCTTCTGTTTCAGGTGACTGGTGCACCAGACACATGTACTGGTTTTGAGTTGAAACAATTTTAGGATAAATAGTTGTGATTTTTAAATTCAAAATGGAATTCAGACTCTATTGGCCACTAGTAAAACATGAGTAGAAAGTAATCAACTAATTGTTTAGCTTTAACTTGGTTTATAAGTTTAGCCAATGAATTTATTACCCACGAGTAGTGTTTTACTAGTGGCCAATAGAATCTGAGCTCAGTTTGGAACTGAAAATCACAAATGCTATTTATATTATTGAGTCACAGAAGAAAAGTATTTTCTTCTTCTTCTTTTATAAAACTGGTATTTAAAAAATTTATTATTTAGTACCAGTTTGGAAGAAAGTATGGCTCAGATAGCATTCAAATGTCTCTCTGTGTTATTTTGCTCTTCTGTTTGTCATATATCAAGGACTGTTAGACAGCTTGATAACCTTATGGGTATATAATTACATTGTCAAATATTTATTCAGAATACACTCTGTATCAGATCCTGGCCAGAATTTAGAGTTTCTGTATTTGATTGGTACATTCTCTTCCACAACTCTATATCCTTGACTCCCATGGGGAAAAGGAAACACTGCAATGTAAGACTAGGACAGGAGTCTAACAGAGTAGATCAGCATAAGCTGAGATGCATACACATCAAGTTCAGAATAAATCCTGGGAAACTTAGTCCTGATCCTTCACACTACCTCTCAGTAGGGTGGTAACATGAAGAAGTCTCCAAATCAGGTGTTCTTCCAGATCAGTAATTACCTGGTTCTTAACTGGCTTCAGGGTAGTGCATCTATTCGTTTCTTTCTTTTTTTTTTTTCATTTCAAGTTTTAATCAAAGCTTGTATATAAGATTACTTTGTCCCTGCATCTTCTTAATTGTTTCTTCCTTGTATTTGCCCGTTTCCTTTCCTACTTGGTGAGATTTGGCTTTCCATTCAAGAATCTTTTTGCGGGACACAGGGAGGGGAACATCACACACCAGGGCCTGTTGGTGGGTGGGTGGGTGGGGGGCTAGAAGAGGGATAGCATTAGGAGAAATACCTAATGTAGATGATGGATTGATGGGTGCAGCAAACCACCATGGCACGTGTATACCTATGTAACAAACCTGCACATTCTGCACATGTATCCCAGAACTTAAAGTATAATAATTTTCTTTTTTAAAAGAATCTTTTTGTGGTCTTTGTCCAGTTTTAGCCTAGTGATAACCACCTTGCTGGGGTGAATGCCTCCATGGACAGCTGAGCCATTAGCTTTTTCCCGCTGTACCCATTCAATGTAGGTGACATATTTTTTCCTGTAAACCAGGACTGCTTTGCCAATTTGCTGACCTTTGTAGTGTCCTGGTACAAGCCTAACTTCATCATTCTTTCGGATGCCATGGATCGCACGTTGTACTTCTGTCTCAGCTCTTCAGAAAGTGGGGAAGACATAATCTTCCTGCGAATGTGGGAAGGTGCTTTGAAATGCCTTTTGCGGTTCTTGCTTCGGTCGGAAGTCACAAAGGGATTGAACTTCATTTTGGCTGCTCCCGCTTCAATGATGGCTGCAAAGGCACATCTATTCATTTCTAACAGTTACGTATCTTCACCTCTGTGTCATCCAGTGTAATAGATGCTCAAAATACAGAGCAGAATAAGATGAGGTCCTTGCTCTCAGAGTTTATAATGTAACAGGGGAAGCACGTCAATCAACTTATCATATAAAAAAAATACAAGACTATAAATGGAGTGAATAATTCTTTGACAGTTAGTGAGGAAGATAATACATGAGCTAGTGACTGAGTTATGAATAGAAACTCACTGGTGGTTAAACAGAGCATGATCAAAAACATGGACATGTGAAGCAAATAAAAATGAACTCATTTGCTAAATTCTAGAATTCAGGAAAGTAAATGAGGTTGACCAGGCAAAGTTGGTTAACTTAGATGTGAAATTTTAAAAGGAGGAAAATACGACCAATACATTCTAAGGAATATCATGAAAATTCAGGTATTGGTTGTGTCCATAGGAATAGTGTCAGGAAAGTCCACAATTTTAGTGACTAATGGAATTTTCCAGATAGACTACTAATGTTAATGTTATTCAGAATCATGGGAGTCTGTAATATGATTTATAAATACCATCAAGAGTAAAATGAACAAGATGAAAAAAGTGCTTCTACTTTCACAAAGAAGTAAATTAAATCAACTTCAGCTGTAAGTGGTGATTGCAAGATAGTTCTCTAAGTGATCTTGGACTGATCCAGCTCTCCCCACTTTCTTGCTTATGGTTCTCAAAATTAATCATAGAATGTGCTGGGAATGCAACATCTTGAGGTAGCAAGGGACTGGCTGGAACAGCCTAGGCTGTGTTTCAGTCCCCTAGGAGAACAGGATGTCTTCAACACTTCAGCCCAGCACATCCCATCACCCTGAGGTATAAAACCTAAGGTGGGCTGCTTTCTGGGGTTCCTCAGCTACAGTTCAGGCAGGGTATGTGCAGATGAGACTCCATCCATTTTTGACAGCTTTCCTGAGCACTGGGGGACTGAAATATGAGGAATTCTAGGTTTCTGTTGTTTTTTGTTGCCTATCTGTAAGAAATAAACTCTCTTCATATAATCTGTTGTGTGTGTTGGAGGGGTATTCAGTGGACTCAGAGAAGCTGGTAACCAGGGAGCAGCAAATCTACTTTACCCCCAAGCCCATAGATCTTAAAACTGATCTGTCCAGTTGGAGAAAATCATAGATGCCTGTGTTATTTAGTTGTATAAAGCTTCACGGGAGTCCCAATCATAGGATATGAAAAGATGGACAATATAAGGTAAATTTTTAAATAATCTTTATAATGACCAGATACAAAGAAGTGGAGGTAAAAGGTGAATTTGTTGATTGTAATTTGTCAGTTACCATTTTGTGTTCAGCTACTAAAAACCTCTTGCTAGAGAATAAAATTTTAATTGCACAGAATTATATAAAACATGCACTCCAGGAGTGTTTTTCAACCAGGAATTTGAATTGAGAATGAAAATAAAGAGATTTACAGACATTAGCTCCTTTGAAAACACAACTGGAGAATATAAGTAAAATGAACATAAGAGTTAATACAGGTAAGCCTACAGTGACTTTTTTCTTGAACTTGTTTGTGACCTTCAGCTTAGGCAGGTTAGCATTAGTACCCAGTGTCATCTGATAGAGATCCTTCAAATATCTGGAGGTATCTTCAGTGGCAGAAATGAACATGTAACACAGCTCTGGAAAGTCTTCTAAAATTCACGCTCAACTGTATCTCCCTCTTTTATCTGTATTCTGCATTGGTGTCTTATAACTGATTGAAATAATAAGTTGTTTAAATTTCACCGGTTACAAGATATAATTTAATAAAATAAATATATCATGCCTGTAATCCCAGCACTTTGGGAGGCCGAGATGGGCAGATCACGAGGTCAGGAGATTGAGACCATCTGGGCTAACATGGTGAAACCCCAACTCTACTAAAAATACAAAAAAAAATTAGCTGAGTGTGGTGGCGGGCACCCGTGGTCCCAGCTACTCGGGAGGCTGAGGCAGGAGAATGGCTTGAACCCGGGAGGCAGAGCTTGTAGTGAGCTGAGATCGCACCACTGCACCACTTGTCTGGGCGACAGAGCAAGACTCCATCTCAAAAAAATAAAAAATAAATAAATAAATAAATAAATATCAAGCAAATTGAAGAATCGTGTTCCAGTACCAGTTTGATAAGCACACAAGAGGACAGTGGAACAATGGAATTCTAAATTTCCTGTGTGTATAGATGTGAAGAGGAGAAGGTGTAAATCAATTGGCAGTTTAGAGCAAATCTTTTCGTTTGCATGTGGCCCAGGAAAGGTACTAATGAGTCTGTGATGGTTAATAATGAGTGTCAGCCAGGTGGTGGCTCACACCTGTAATCCCAGCACTTTGGAATGCGGAGGCGGGCAGATCACGAGGTCAGGAGTTCAAGACCAGTCTGCCCAACATAGTGAAAACCCATCTCTACTAAAAACACAAAAATTAGCTGGCCATGGTGGCATGTGCCTGTAATCCCAGCTACTCAGGAGGCTGAGGCAGGAGAATCACTTGAACTCGGGAGGCGGAGGTTGCAGTGAGCCGAGATCGCACCACTGCGCTCCAGCCTGGGCGACAAAGCTTTACTCCATTTCAAAAAAAAAAAGAGTGTCAACTTGATTGGATCGAAGGATGCAAAATATTCTACCTGGGTGTGTCTGTGAGGGTGTTGTCAAAGGAGATTAACATTTGAGTCAGTGGATGGGAAGAGGCAGACCCACCCTCAGTCTGGGTGGACACCACCTAATCCACTGCCAGTGCAGCTAGGATAAAAGCAGGCAGAAGAACATGGAAGGACTTGACTTGCTGAGTCTTCTGGCCTTCACCTATCTCCCGTGCTGGATGCCTCCTGCCCTCGAACACCAACTCCAAGTTCTTCAGCTTTTGGACTTTGGACTTACACCAGTGGTTTTCCAGGGGGTCTCTGGCCTCCTGCCACAGACTGAAGGCTGCACTGTCGGCTTCCCTACTTTTGAGGTTCTGGGACTCGGACTGGCTTCCCTGCTCCTCAGCTTGCAGACCATCTATAGCGGGATTTCACCTTGTGATTGTGTGAGTCAATATTCCTTGGTGAGCTCCCCTTTATATATACATCTAATCTATTAGTTCTGTCCCTTTAGAGAACACTGACTAATACAGGGTCTGTTAGTGTCCCCTATCTTTGTCATCTAGATGCAGAAGATAAAAGACATGAAAACCAATTGCAAAATTATCCTGGGCTGTGTTGACTGGGTGTTTCAGATCTGACTTGCATTTATTTACCTTTCACAGGTATATTAAGGCTCTTATGCATAGGCTGTAATATAGCCTTTTCATGCAGCTTCGAGAGAACGCAATCATTTTGTCTCTGGCATAAGATATATCCCAACTTTGTCCATGGGCTGGAGGAAATAAAAGGAGGATTTGTGTGAGGTTCATCACTTTGCTTGGAATGGATAGCTGGATGACTTAAGAAAGTTGACCAACAGTGATAGGTTACGGAAGAGGACGATAAACTGTATACACTGCTGAAAGAGTCTGATGCTCCTCCCTGAGCTTGGTAAGGTCCTTGGTCGAATCCTTAGTGTGACAAGCAGGGAGGCTGAATATGGTGAAGCTCTGAACCTGGGAAGTGGCCATGGGGAGGCTCTTCTTATAAAGGTATATTATTATTGGAAAGTTATTAATACACAAGGCACTGTGTCAAACTGATTTTGGCCCTGAAAAGGTAAAAAACAGAAAAGTATTTTCAAATCCATGTATGTTGTCTGCAGTTTCCCTCAAGAACATTTCTAGTTTTTGCTTTTGTTTCTGCTTTCACTTTGCCTTTGGAGGAAGAAATTCTGTCTAGTCCCAGCTTTTGCTATCTAACCTAGAAGTAATTCTGGAATAACCAACTGACAGCCTGTTATTGACCTGAACAATTTTCTATGTTCTTAAATGTTGTACAGTATAAATTTTATTTATTTATTTATTTATTAGACAAGGGTCTCACTCTGCCGCCCAGGCTGGAGTGAAGTGGCACAATCATGGCTCACTGCAGCCTCCACCTTCAGGCTCAAGTGATACTCCCACCTCAGCCTCCCAAGTAGCTGGGACTACAGGTTTGCACCACCATGCCCAGCTAATTTGTTATTTTTCTGTAGAGATGGGGTCTGGCTATGTTTCCTAGGCTGGGGCTAGAGCAATCCTCCTGCCTTGGCCTCCCAAAGTATTGGGATTATAGGCATTGAGCCATGAGCCAGTATGCCTGGCCGGTATAATTTTTAAAGATTATGTCAAAGTTAATTGTATAGATATCCTACAATTTTTTTTTTTTTTTTTAGAGACGGAGTCTCGCTCTCCCACCAGGCTGGAGTGCAGTGGTGTGATCTTGGCTCACTGCAACCTCTGCCTCCCGGGTTCAAGCAATTCCCCTGCCTCACCTCAGCCTCCCAAGTAGCTGAGACTACAGGTGTGCGCCACCATGCCCAGGTAGATTTTTTTTTATATTTTAGTAGAGACAGGGTTTCGCCACGTTGGCTAAGATGGTCTCAATCTCCCGACCTTGTGATCCACCCACCTTAGCCTCCCAAAGTGCTGGGATTACAGGCTTGAGCCATTGCACCCAGCAGATGTCCTGCAATTTATTTAACTAGTTTTCTAATATTTGGTATTTAGTTTTTTCCGGGTTGTTTTCATTTATTTTGCACCATTATGAAATATATATTTATGTTTGTATTTTTATCTGATAGTTTTTTGGCTAAATTTTTAGAAGGGAATATTCTGGGTCACAGAATAAGCTGCTGTGCCATTATTTAACTTTTGCCGATGTTCAACCAACCAGGAGGCAAATCATGTCAAGGTCATTTTAGAGAAAAATAGCAAAGCCATATCTCTGAATAAAAGGTAACCATGCAAAAACAAATCAATGAAATCTTTTTAGTTAAAGTAAGTGACTATGGGAGTTCAGAGTGGTTTATTGAATATTAGAGTCATTGACTTATTTCTAGCTACAGGGAGATGTAAATATACTGTGGGATTAGGAGAAACACTGGAAAAGGCCTGGGAACATTGTTTTCTTTCTACTCCTGGAGGAAAAATAATTTTTCTTAGAGTGAATATAATATCTCATATCCAGACAATCATAGAATCCCAATGTACTTCCAGACCTAGGCATAACTGTGGGCATGAGAAGGGGATAAACATAGTGGTGTAGCCATAGCAGGAGAAAGTGGAAACACCAGTTACGTGTTTAGATTTGATGGCAGCAACACAGAGAAAGAATGAGAGAAGGAAACAGCAGAAGGCAACAAGAACAACAGTCTAGTAGGGTATATAGAGAGACACAGAAAGTATAGGATCAAAATGAATATAAAAAGAAGAGTAGGCCAGGCGCAGTGGCTCAAGCCTGTAATCCCAGCACTTTGGGAGGCCGAGGCGGGCGGATCACGAGGTCAGGAGATCGACACCATCCTGGCTAACACGGTGAAACCCCATCTCTACTAAAAATACAAAAAAATTAGCCGGGCGTGGCGGCGGGCGCCGGTAGTCCCAGCTACTCGGGAGGCTGAGGCAGGAGAATGGCGTGAACCCGGGAGGCGGAGCTTGCAGTGAGCCCAGATCGTGCCACTGCACTCCAGCCTGGGCGACAGAGCGAGACTCCATCTCAAAAAAAAAAAAAAAAAAAAAAAAAAAAAAGAAAGAAAAGAGCAACCTTAATGTCCAGCATTGTTAAACTGTTAGAACTAATACAAATTTAGTAAAGCTGCAGGTTCCTAAATCAACCTACAAAAATGAGGAGCAACTTACAGTTGCTTGACACCATACTCTCAGGTCTTAAAAAGACAGCTTGTTTGTGTAGGAGATAATAAGATTCAACATGCAAAATTAAGGAGAAATGAGACAGAAAAAAATTTTAAATTTCATATTATATTTTTAAACCCCTGGGTCCAAGGATATCTGAAACCTGAAGATGTAAGTGCAGACTTCCTTGTTATACTAAGCCAAATCAACTCCCTTTACTTTGAGCCTGTGTTCTGCAATTGTTGGGTTGGGTACACTATATTTGTCAATTATGTCAACATAGTTAATCAAGTTTTTCAACTCTTCTATAACCTTACTGATGTATCTGCTTGTCCTATCAGTTGCTGAGAGGGGTATCTTAAAATCTCTCAATGTATTTGTGAAACTGACTATGTCTTCTTGTAGTTCAGTAAAATTCTGCATTACATCTTTTGAGGCTATGTTATTAGGTGTATACACATTTAGAATTATATTTTCCTAGTGCCTTGAAATATCTCTTCCATCTTTAATAATGTGCCTTGGCTTAGAGTCTGCAGTGTCTGATATTAGTGTAGCTTCAAGCTTCTTTTAGTGTTGCTCAGTAATTTTTATCATCTTTTTAAAATGTTTTTGAATATTAAAATTGAAAATGTCTCAAAAGCAGCATCGAGTTTAGTTTCTTTAGATTATTTTAATCTTCATTTTTAATTGTAATTTTAGTTCATTTACATTGAAAGTGTTTATATGACCTGTGTTTAAATCTAGCATCTTCCAATTTGCTTTCTATTTGTCATCTGTTCCATGCAAATTTTTGGATTAATTATTAAATTCTATACTCATTTGCCTATTAGTGACACATTATTTTACTATTTTTACTATTATAACATTCCTTAACATATTAATATCCATCTAGAGATTATGATACTCTCTAATGAAAGTCTAATGGAAATTAAGACTTTTACTATTTTCGGACAATGCAATGACTTCCAAACTGCACACATGCATGTGCATGTGTGCACACAAAGACACACACACACACACGCCTAAACATTGGATTTCTTTCATTTAGGTTTCCCTACAGCTTTATCCTTACTGCTGCTCTTCTACATATTCTTTCTTCATTTCTACGCTTCCCTCTTTCATCAGTTTCATCTGCCTAAGAACTTTCTTTAGTATTTCACTAGGAAAATGTATGGACTCTGAGGGTGTCTGGTCAGAAGTGAATACAGCCCTCTTCTGGAGATGCAGATGAGGGATCATTGATAGCTATGTCTAAGCTGTTCCAGTTGAAGAGTGGACAACAGTACACAGCCAAACCCTCTTTCGAATCTCTTCTGGCTCTTGACTTTCTACTACACTGCTATCTTTGAATGTTGGCCTCAGTCCCTAATATTACCTGTCAGACTCCCAGATCTTTATTTTGGATGCCTGGAATGAAAATTGCATGGCTTTATGTCTGGCAATTTACTTGACTTCTCTGTGGCTGAAACAAACTCAGAGGGACAAGATTAATCTGGTTAAACTCAAGAAATTGGAAGTTTTAGTGAACGATACTTATGAGATGATTTATATTGAACAAAAATTACCTTCTAAATAATGTGAATTCCCCAACACCATGCAAATTATAAAACATCTTTACTTCTGTTGTATGCTCCATTAATGCATATAATTAATTTGCTGTGAAAATACTGAATTATGTTGCTCATTTTATAAAATCTAGACCGTTTAACATTTTTAAAGATGGAATTTCAAATATGTTCATGTATACACATTCTAACTACAAAAAGTTACTGACGATTGTTCAATGGGTTTTGTCTACACTATTCAGTTATAACATTCCTTTGAGTGAAAAAGCATTTCATGTTCTCAGCATAAAGTTCTTTGTTACTGAGAGTGTGCTTTTCCCCTGTCTGAATAGCCTGAATTGAGTTTTATTTTGAGTTTTGTATCTGCTTCAAATATTGTTGGCACACAGGCAAAGCTTTATGAAAATACAGAGGTTGTAAATGCCATTTTTCTATTCTTGAAACATATGTCTGTAAATAACAGATGATTATTGATTTGTTGGTAGAAAAATGCACAAAAAGTTCCAGTACCTGACTGCCATATAAACTCATATATTTTTTATATGTAGCAGAAAAATAACAGACATTATATACTTTTCAATTCATAACAGTGGAACTGATAGTGTTCTTGTTCCCATGTGTCCTTCCATTTTGATTCTTGGATTAGTCTCATAAGTATGCCCCTTTCCAACTCCAGCTCTCTACCACATACCTTGACCTGAAAACAGGTAAGATGCTACTTTACAAAGCACTATACTCAAAAAAACCCAGCTGTGCTTTTAACAAGTTGATCTACTGAAGAAAAACCAAATGCAACTTATAGCAAAATATATCTTTATCTTTCTGAGTCCATCAGAGATGAAAAACAGCTCCCCTCTCCACCTTTTACCTAATCAAAAGCTTAAATCTGCTCACAGGCTTTACAGCCCAGCATTGTACTATTGTATATTGATTGCGCCAGAGGGCACCTCCTTGTGGAGAACAATTGATTTTTCTTTGTTAGCAAAGCGATTTTAATAGTTTTTCTACAGCCTGTCATGTTTCAAGGCCCCAGAAGCAAGATGCACCTGTTACTAGAACTTAGTGATCAATCGTTCAATCCACAGAAAATGTGCCTCTCTGCTCTGTGAAAACCCCTCCACAACAATTATTCAGAAGGTGACTTTAACTTGTTTTGATAAATATGCCGCTTGGGAGTCTCAGGTGGGTTGCTTAAGCATTTTTACCTCTGAGCCTGAAATTAGGTGTTTTGTTAAATTGCCATTAAGATAGCATAGTCACAAGAACAGATTTTTTGCCGTTTAATGTTACTTTAGCAGCTTCATGCCAAACTTCCTTGCCAAAGAAACTAGCCCAAAGTAAAGGTCATTGCTTTGAAGAATGAATGATGATAACAACTCTATTTGTATTGCCCTTGATATTTGAAAATGGCTCTTCTGGCTAATTGTGAGGCGTGACTAAATAGTCAAAGGTAGGATCTGTAGTTTAATTCTGCACAATTGCTATCTGTTCTCCTTGACCAGAAGTGACCACTGTTTCCTTAAGGTTATATAAAGTGTCTCTTATTTTTTTTTCCTCTTCATGAATCAAGCTCAAATAGTTTCTCTGTGTGTATGGAGGCTTCTCTGTGATCTATAAACATGTTAAAGTCTTTAAAAACTTCTTGAAAGCCTTTAAAAAGCTTGTCAGCACTATAAATAGCAATAGGTTATCTAGGTGTCCTAGACAACAGTATTATTAGCTATCGCTGGTTAAGACGTTGCATATATTATCTTAATCAACTTTCAGTCAAATCCTTTAGGGTGGGGTTTACACGTCATGCTTTATAAATTAGAAAATTTGAGGGAAATTTGTGAGAGGCTAATGTTATCAGGTTATATAAATATGGACATATGTGACAAAATCAGAATTAGGGCTCAAGTCCATTCTCTTAATCAATACTGTACTATTTCTCATCACTATGGTGAAAATATGACCTAGAAGGGTAGAGGCCTTGCTTGGATCTTAACCTGCATGAAAATCCCTGTCATCTCTAGAGTATAGAAGACAAAAGAAGACAAAATCTCTTCAACCCAGCAGACTTTTTTTTTTTTTTTTTTTTTTGAGACGGAGTCTCGCTCTCTCCCAGGCTGGAGTGTAGTGGCGCGATCCCGGCTCACTGCAAGCTCCGCCTCCCGGGTTCACGCCATTCTCCTGCGTCAGCCTCCCGAGTAGCTGGGACTACAGGCGCCCGCCACCAGGCCCGGCTAATTTTTTGTATCTTTAGTAGACACGGGGTTTCACCGTGTTAGCCAGAATGGTCGCAATCTCCTGACCTCGTGATCCGCCCGCCTCGGCCTCCCAAAGTGCTGGGATTAAGGCGTGAGCCACCGCGCCCGGCCTTTTTTTTTTTTGGTTTTTTGGGTGAGACAGGGTCTCTGTTGCCCAGGCTGGGGTGCAGTGGCGCTATCTCAGCTCGTTGCAGCCTCGACCTCTTGGGCTCAGATCATCCTGTCACCTCTGCTTCTCAAGTAGCTGAGACTACAGGCTTGCGTTGCCAAGCCCGGATAACTTTTTGTATTTGTTTTTTTCTTTTATTGTAGAGACGCGGTTTTGCCATGTTGGCTAGGCTGGTTTCAGACTCCTGAGCTCAGTGATCCGCCTTTCTTGGCTTTCCAAAAGGCTGGGATTACAGGTATGAGCCACACTGCCCATCTTACAGCAAACATTTTTTGATGTCTGTTGAATACCAGGCAACATGATAGACTTTGGGGTAAAGTAACAAATTGAGAAATACACAATCCCTGATTTCAAGAAATTGGTCATGAAGTGGAAAGAAGGAATGGTTACTAAGAGGCTCAGCAGAGGAAAACATGTCAGCCTAGAGGTAGGAAATGTTTCATGGAAGATATTGCTTCTGTATAAGGCCTGGAAATACAAAGAGGGCTATTATGGGCTGAATTTTGTCTCTCTACAAATTCATAGCAAAGTCACATGTGTGTCATATGTTGAAAGGATAACTCCTCTTGCCTGAGAAAGTGATTTTATTTGGAGAAGAGGCCTTTGCAGATGTAGTCAAATTAAGAAGTCATTAAGGTGGGCTCTAATCTAATCTGACTAGTGTCCTCATAAGAAGGGAAAATTTGGACAGAGAGACACAGGGAGAAGACCATGTGAAGATTGGATATATGTTGCCACAAGCCAGTGAATGCCAAACGTCACCAGCAAACCACCAGGAACTAAGGCAAAGGTATGAACAGATTCTCCTTCACAACCCTCAGAAGGAACCAACTCTTTCAAATAGACTTCTGGAAATTTGCTAACCTTGATTTCAGACTTCTGATCTCTAGAACTGTGAAGCAACAAATTTCTGGTTTTGAAGCCACCTAGTTTGTGGTCCTCTCTTACCGCAGCTCTAGCAAACCAATGAGAGGGTTTTGATAAGAATAATGGTAGAGAGAGAGATACAGAGCTTTGTTTTGTTTTGTTTTTATGTGAAGGAAAGAACAAGGAAAACTTGAAGACAAGGAAATGTTTGTAGTCTGAGGAGGCAGTAAGGAGCCTCTGAATGTTTATGAGTAAGCAGCAGAGTGGCATTTTCAGAACTGGGTTTTAGTGAAGTTACACATCACAGACAGGAAGACCGGCAAAGGCAGACTTAGCTCACCTTGAGACTGTTCTGTAGCTGCAAGTTACTGAAAAAGAAGGGAAGGATCCTTGATTTGAGATTATTTTTAAAACTGAACTTTCTTTAAAGAACTAATCAACTCTGACCTTTATGTTTGTAAACCACTGGAGGGGGGCGGGAAAATAGATGAGAAAACAGGTTCCAGTCATTTTACCTGAGGGATCAGAACCAAGAATAATGATGCAATATGTTAGATCAACAGAAGAAAAAAACGCTTTGAAAATGCTTCTGTCTTGTTCCACATGTTTAGGTCTCATGAAGTTAGAAAGAGCCCTTAGATGGTCAATCAGCGGATCTGGATTTTAGAATCAGCTCTCCAAAGAACTCTATAACCAGTTAAATAAATGACCCTGAATTTCCTGATTTCAGTTTTCCTTTTTCTTTTTAAACTTTTAAGTTCAGGAGTACATGTGCAGGTTTGCTGCATAGGTAAACTTGTGTCATGGGGATTTGTTGTACAGATTATTTCATCATCCAGTTATTATTAAGCCTTCTACCCATTAGTTATTTTTCCTGATCCTCTCACTCCTCCCACTCTTCACCTTCCAATAGGCCCCAGTGTGTGTTCTTTTTTTTAAAACATAAAAGAAAATGGTGAATATATTGGTGGTTACATTCCTTCCAGTTCTAATAAAGCCTTAAGGAATGTAGTAAGCTTACTTCCACTTTAGATGTGCGTTGTTTCATCTTGTTTCTCTTTCTCAGTGTTTCTATGCTGTATTAGTGCAACTAAACTTTTGAATAAAATTGAACTCATAAGAGTTTTCTCACTAAATCTGAATTTCCTAACCATTTGAAGTGCTCTTAGAATTATGTGTGGCCATAGTCCCAGATGCTATAAGCATACATAAATGTGTTAAAATTAGAGCAGAAGAAGGGAAAGACAGCAAATGAAGTTCAAGTCACATAATTTTTTTTTAAAGTAAAAAATTCAGAAACCAAGTAACCTTTCAGAAAAAAATAGAGGGTAGCTAAGAAGAAAAAGGTACAGGTGTAGGAAACGATGAAGGTCAGTGTAAGCAAGCGGCATGCAGGTGATGAACAGGTGCAGCAGGAGGTGGAAAAATGAGTGATCTATTATGGAAAAGTCACATCAAGGGTATGTTTCTGTCTCTGTTACCCGAGGAGACTAGATGCACTAAGTGAAATACATCAGTGCAGATTACTAACACCTTACCAATTTAAGAGAGGTTAACAGTAATAGAAGAGAAAGTGGGGATGCAGCCTTAAATGCTATTTTCTTAAGTGATGCTATAATAAGACTGAACAAATCATTTGCCACAGCAGTTAAAAGGAGTCAGGGATTAGCAAACTAGGGCCTGTGGGCCAAATCTGGCTGACTTCTGTTTTTGGAAATAAACTTTTATTGGAACACAGCCGTGCCCATTTGTGTACATATGTCTATGGCTGCTTTTGTACTACCATGGCAAAAATGGTTAAGTAGTTGCAAAAGAAGCCATACAGCTCCAAAAGCTGAAAATACTTACTATTTGGCCTTTTACAGGAAAAGATTTCTGACCACTGCTCTAGAGGGTTTCTAATATTCCTTTTAGAAAATTCTCAGCTCCTGGAGCTCCTGCTTGGGTTAAAATACTTTTTTTTTTCCTACCTATTAGCTCTGTGGTCTTGGACTTGACATTTACCACTCTTCAACTTTTAGTTTTCCTCATGTGTAAAACAGATATAATAAAAGTCTTTCAGAAATAGAGTTCTTGCTAGGACCAATGAAAGAGTCTAAGCACTCTAAGCACCACTGTGCTCAGTCCACGTCTATTTACACTACTGATTTGTTTCCATGTTTTTTCTCCCAGGGACTACTGCAGTTTCCGTCAACCAAGTTGACACTTCAGGGATACTTTTGTGACCACCAGGCATTACAAGGATCCTCAAAGTTCCCCAGGTATTTGTACTAGTTTAGAATAGAATGCCTCATACCATCATATTGTTTTAGAATTTGTTAGGTGCATACCAAAACACTACAAGTTGTGCTCCGAATTTTCATTTCTATTTATTTATTTTTAATTTGCATACATTTAAAGGATACAAGTGTAATTTTGTTACATGTATAAATTGCATAGTGGTGAAGTCAGGGCTTTTATGGTAGTCATCACTCAAAGAACGTATATTGTACCCCTTTCCAGTGACATTGCTCTTTGGGTATTAACTCAGAGTCATCTATAGCCATTAAGACCTAGGTAGAAATTCATAGTGTGGGGCCAGGGACAGTCTGACAGGAGGCTATCCTAAGAATCACTCTTTCCTTCTGAAAATAAAATGTAGTATGGAATCAAGTTCGTCATTGATAGCTCCCTCTTCTCTCGGAATGAGTTTTCATGTGGCACATTCTCAGTTCTCCATGCAAAGAGTCTTCCTAGTTACTCTTTATCATTTTGGCAGACGGTACCAAAAATATCAGAATTTCAAAAGATGACACAGCATAGGCTAAAGGTGGTGACCCTTTTGCCACTTCCTACTGTTTTAGTTCTTACACTGCTCAAAATAGAGATTCCTGAATATATTTAGAAATAGTCCCCTATATCCTTAAGATAATGCCAATTGCTAATATTTACTGGACAGTTGCTATAAGCCAGGTACTATGCTAATCACACTGATGTATTACCTTATTTAATTCTCTAAAAATTCTGAGGTATTGTCATAATTTCTACTTTATAAATAGAAAAATTACAGAAATGGCCTGAAGTCACAGTTCGTGATGGAACAAGGCCTTGAACCAGGGCTTTTTCATTCCAATGCCCATGCCCTTGAGCACAGCCTGTACTGTTTCTCAATATCAGTAATTGTTACGGGTTGAATTGTGTCTCACAAAACATGACATGTTTAAGTCCTAATCCCCAGCACCTCAGAATTTGCCTTGGCAAATTGGCAGAATGGTCCTGCCAACACCTTGATTTTGGACTTCTAGTCTCCAGAATTGTGCGAAAATAAATTTCTGTTGTTTTAATCCACCTAGTTTCTGGAATTTTCTGCATCAGCCCTAGAAAAACAGTACAGCCATATAAATAGAGAAACTCTAAGAAAAAAGATGATATACTATAAACAGAGAATCTAAAATGTAATATAGCCTAAGAGGAATGAGAGACTCCAAACATAAAACAACTTTGTGAGTGTGATGGTTAATACTGAGTGTCAATTTGATTGGATTGAAGGATACAAAGCATTGATCCTGGGTGTGTCTGTGTGGGTGTTGCCAAAGGAGATTAACATTTGAGTCAGTGGGCTGGGGAAGGCAGACCCACCCTTAATCTGAGTGGGCACAATCTAATCAGCTGCCAACAAGGCTAGGATATAAGCAGGCAAAAAAAATGTGAAAAGAGAGGCTGGCCTTGCCTCCCAGCCTACATCTTTCTTCGGTGTGCTGGATGTTTCCTGCCCTCCAACATCGGATTCCAATTTCTTCAGTTTTCGAACTCAGACTGGCTCTCCTTGCTCCTCAGCCTGCAGACTGCCTATTGTGGGACCTTGTGATTGCGTGAGTTAATATTTAATAAACTCTCCTTTATGTATATATCTATTCCATTTGTTCCGTCCCTCTAGAGAACGCTAATACACTGAGTAAGAAAAAGAAGAACAGGAGACCCAAAAACAAAGAAAAGAAAGAAAAAAGTAAACAAAGTAATCTGGTTGTAAAATGAGTTCGCTAGATTTCTGGTGACATCTGATTTTAATAGGATATTCATAAAAAATGAAAGCAGGGATATAAAACCAAAGTAAATAAATACTTATAACTCATTGCGAACAAGGTTAATATTTAGGGGTTTGGTGGTGGTGACTGGGGAGAGGAAATTACAGACAATTAAAGACCAAAACAAAATAAAGCTTGGATTTAATGTAAACCTCAAATTTAAAATAATATTCCCATGTGGCATCATAGAAATGGCATCCAAAAGAATAAAAGTAAAACTACAGCAATAATTTAGATCTGTAACTATAAATCGTCTGATGGAAAAATAGCTAAAATTGTTCTCTATTGAAATAGTTATGATTGTTACCTTTCTCATCTCAGCTGGTCTCCCTATTTCTAAATATTGGAATAGAGCATCAGGGTGTCCCAATTCTTCAGTGGGCTCAAACCAATTACTATTGGTTTTCATATGGTTCTGAATAATAGACACTTCTAATATGCAGATGCTTTCAGAGATTCATACAAATGTTAATGTATTTAAAAAACCTTTTTTTTTTTAAAAACCCTAGTTAATCCAAAAATGGACTATCTAGCTATGGAAATTGGAGTTGTGTATGCAAGAAGTGTGTGAATTATCAGGTGTGCAAATGCCCTGCATCTAAATCCATACTCTTTTATTTCTTCTTGCCTCTGTGGCTGCTTGGCTTTCTTTCATTCAGACCTTATCTACTTGACAAATCCTATTCTTCCTCTGAGGTACAGCTTAAGAATCACTTCCTCTGTCAAGCCTCCCCAGGCTATTATCCCATAGCCCTCATTGCTAATTTTCATCTTTGTGCTAACAGTGCACTTCTTTTATATTATTTATAAGAATTATATTTTTGTGCTTGGCTGTAGAATGTGGGCTCCCTCAAAGCCAGGGCCAGGTCTCTTCTATGTTTTCATACCTAACACCTAGCACAGTGTTTGGCTAAGTGGCTACAGTAGCCACTTACTGATTAATGAGTTCCATGGACACCTACAGCCCAGACAACCAAAACAAAAATAAACGGGTGGGACTACATCAAACTAAAAGACTTCTGCATAGCAAAGGGAACAGTTAACAGAGTGAATACTTAACCTATACAATGAGAGAAAATTTTTGCAAACTACATATTTGATAAAAGGCTGATTTCCAAAATATATAAGAAATTTCTACAACTTCATAGAAAAAAAAACTGTAAACTGATTTAAAAATGGGCTAAAGACTTGAATAGACATTTTTTTAAAATGAGATAAAAATGACCATACAGGTACATGAAAAGATGCTCAACGTCAATTAATCACTAGGGAAATGCAAATAAAAACTACAAGATATCACCTCAGACCTGTTAGTATGGCTACTATCCAAAAGTCAAAAGTTAACAAGTCTTGGCAAGGATGTGAATAAATTAGTGCCCTTGTACACTGTTGATGGGAATGTAAAATGGTGCAGCTGCTATGGAAAATAGCATGGAGGTTCCTCCAAAAATTAAAAATTGAGCTACCATAGGATTCAGCAAACTCACTTCTAACTATGTATCCAAAAGAAATGAAATCAGGCTCTCAAAGAGATATGAGCACTCTTATCATGTTCATTATAGCACTACTCACAATAGCCAAGATGTGGAAACAACCAAAATGTACATTGACAGATGAATGAAAAGAAACAAACGATGCTATGTACATACAAGAGAATATTAACTTTTCCTTCAAAAAGAAGGAAATTTGCTATATGCAACAACATGGATGAACCTTAAGAACATTATGTTAAGTGAAATAAGCCAGTCACAAAAGGACAAAAACTGCATGATTCTGCTTGTATAAGTTATATAAAATAGTCAAACTCACAGAATCAAGGAGTGGAATAGTGGTTGCAAATGACTGAGTAAAAGAAAAAATGGGGATTTGCTAATACATAGGTGTAAAATTGTGTTATTCAAGATGAATAAGTGCTAGAGATCTGCTGTACGGTATTGTTCCTATAGACAACAAAACTGTTTTGTACACTTAAACATCTGTTAAGAGAGTAGAATTAATGTTTGGTTCTTACCACCATACATTTAAAAAAGAAATTTAAAAAATTTCTTTGTGGGGCACTGTGGCTCACGCCTATAATCCCAGCACTTTGAGAGGCCGAGGTGGGTGGATCGCTTGAGGTCAGAAGTTAGAGAGCAGCCTGACCAACAAGGTGAAACCCTGTCTCTACTAAAAGTACAAAAATTAGCCAGATGTGGAGGCATGCGCCCGTAGTCCCAGCTACTCGGGAGGCTAAGACAAGAGAATCGCTTGAACCCAGGAGACAGAGGTTGCACTGAGCAGTGATGGTGCCATTGCACTCCAGCCTGGGCGATGGAGCAAGACTCCATCAAAAAAAAAAAAAATGCGTGAACATATGTAATTAGAGAAAAATATTAGGGAAATTGCAAAATAATTTATTAGCCTTATTCAGATCTAGAGATGATCAAGGATAAGCTCAGCCTACTCAAGCAGAGATAACGTCTGTGTGGAAACGCTAAATGTCTAGTCTGCTTCTATCTTGTGTTTAAAGGAGAATCCTGTTGAAAATGAAGCCACTATCATGGTTAAGAGGATTTGAAATCTAAGATCAGGAGTGACTGCTTTCGGTGAATACAAGTTTCTAAGACTAGAAGATGGACATTCTAAAGTTCAGAAAAAGTCACTTCTCAAATCACTAAGTTATGTTGCTTCCTTCACAATGTTGACCAAGAATCCCTTCACCCCTTTTCTTGTTAACATTGCAGTCAAACATTGATTATCATGCACTTTAATAAAATAATAGCCAAATTGTTATCTCATTTCTCTGCCTCAAGTCTGTTCTTTTCTCAGTTCACATTGCACACTGCCTGGCTTGGGCCATTCCTTGGTTCAGAAATCTTAAATTGTTCCCCATTTTCCTACAGACTAAAGTTTATTTTCCTTAACCTAGCCCTTTATTGCTCCTCCAAATTTACTCGTCTCACAAACCATCTTTCTAGCATCATTTCCAATAAAGTTATTTTATTTCATTTTTTTTTGAGTGGAGTAATTCATTAAATGGATCACTAAATCTAACTGGATTATTTTACTTTTGAATGAATGCTTTGACAGGGCTTGCCACTACCTGCCAGTGAAGGACCCAAGTTTCCTGGAAACTTTCCTTCTCTTCTGTCCCCTTGATATTTCTGAGAGTGACTTGGAAGATTCTCCCATCTTTGTGGTTCCACCAAAGTCTTTAGATTTGCCAAAGGAGCTGTCCTCCTGGTGCAAAGGGCCTAGAGAGTGGTATCAGTCACAGTTTGAACTATGTTCTCTGCTCTAGGATGTCACAGCTTACCCCAAATCCTGGGTGAATCAGAAGTACATTTATCTCATTATCAATCTCATATCACTTAGTCTGTAACACTCATGTGGCACTTATTATTATCTGTTTGCTAGTTTAATCATCCGGCTTGGTTGGATTATCTGCTATTAACACAGCATCGTAATTGCTTTCTTTATCACAGAAAGAAGGTTGGAACTACATTTCTCAAAATTGCCTTTTCTGTAAGGCGCCAGGTTAGAGTTCATCAACATGAAACACTTGACTGAAATTTAGAATGTGAAGAGCAGTGGCTGTTATTCTTCTCAGGAAGAAGCAGCCAGACATATGGACAGACGTGACTTGCCCTGAAGCTCGGATGATTGTCTTAGTTTGCTGGGACTGCCAGAATAAAATGTCACAGACTGGGTGGCTTAAACAACAGGCATTTATTTCACATAGTTCTGGAGAGGGCCCTCTTCCTGGCTTACAGATGGCTGCCTTCTTTTTTTTGAGATGGAGTCTCACTCTGTCTCCCAGGCTGGAGTGCCGTGGCGAGATCTCGGCTCACTGCAAGCTCCGCCTCCCAGGTTCACGCCATTCTCCTGCCTCAGCCTCCCGAGTAGCTGGGACTACAGGCGCCCGCCATCACGCCGGCTAATTTTTTGTATTTTTAGTAGAGACGAGGCTTCACCGTGTTAGCCAGGATGGTCTTGATCTCCTGACTTTGTGATCCGCCCGTCTCAGCCTCCCAAAGCGCTGGGATTACAGGTGTGAGCCACCGCGCCCGGCCGGCTGCCTTCTTACTGCGTCCTCGCTTGCAAGAGAGGCAGAGAGCTCTGTTGTCTTAGGACACTAATCCCATCATGTGGGCCACACTCTCAAGATCTCATCTAAACCTAGTTATCTCCCAAAGGCCCTACGTTAAAAACCATCACATTGCGGTGTTAGGTCTTCAACATGTGAATTTTGAGGGCACACACCGCATCCATAGCAGCTGAGATGATGACTGAGAACATTCCAGAGAGTCTTGAGAATTACATCACCTTTTGGGAGAGTTTTTGAGAACCATCCCTTCGGTGCTTTCATTTGAGATTGAACGTAGCAATTTTCCTGACCTTAGCTCCCCACCCCTCCCTATGATTGTTTAAATCTTTAGTTTCGTGGATTGAAATCCTTCAAACTTAGAATGCAGGGGGTAACTTTTGTTTTTATTAACTGAACTCTGATGGCTACATGAATCTTTCATAATTTAGAATTAGGATGTCCTATTGGAGTAACTATTTCTGTTGAATGTACAGCTTGTTCTATTCCAGCTTCTTGCCAACCCACACCTCTCGTTGTACCTCCTCTCTGTGACTAAGCAGATTGTTACCACATTTGCTGCTGGGTAAGGCAATCAAAGTCAATTTAACCTTGAGAACATTTGACACTTTGGCTGGAATCTCTCAGCGTAGTGGTTAACATATGTTGGCCTTAAAAGTACAGAAATGAGACTCCACTACTGTGATTTGTGCTATGGATACACTGTCTGTGTCTTCCATATTTTCTACTCAGCAATCAGCACCCCACTTCATAGCTAGCATCCTGAAATGTGTCAATCGCAAAATGGATTTTCCCTTGCCCTAGAAGGGAATCCCCATATAAGAATCTGAAGATACCTGGATGGCTTGAAAGCAGATGGGAAAAATATTGAAAGGAGAAATATTGGACTTCTTGCTTCAGTCAAAACATGATATTTCTAGCATCGCACTCTGGATCCTGACTGATGTTGTGAGAATGTCCTTCACAGATCTCTTGGACTCCTGCATGTCTTGCCAGTATGCCATGAATGCAAGGCACTGACTGCTCTTTAAGGGAACCATTTCCCAGGGCTGTGTTTACAGAGAGCATCCTCAGGGGATTAGGTAATGTCTTCATGACAAGCAGCAGGCTTGCTTACTGCTTACTGTGAAAATTGTAGATCTCCTAGGTGCAGTATTCCTCCTCTGTAACACAATCCACTGTGCATCTATCCGGGCATTGTGCGCCACCCCCATGGACTTGGGAGGGGGCAGCAAGAGAAATCGACACAAACATGTTGATGCTTATGCTGCTTGCTGTGCCATGCATGATTAATGAAGTCCTTTGTCTCAAAACCAGGAGTCTCCTGTCTCCTGCCAGTATCTATGAAGCAGAAACAGGCAAACTTATTAGTTTTAAGCAGGATAAAATCAAATTCCAGACCTGACAACTGGGGCACACAATTTGCATCTCACATACTAAAGAGGGGCACCCAGTTCCATGCTTTCTTTTTCTGTTAGGTGATGAGCTTCATGAAGACAGAAATTTCGATTTTATTTTATCCACTTTTGTAAGCCCAATAGCTTTATATATTTTGCAACTGTATCAGCACTCATTAAATATTTACTGAATAAATTAATGAAAGGTATGAATACATCTTGCTTTCAACACCTTGAAACATTCATTAGAATACCACAAAATCTCTGTGGAAATATAGATTAACATCCTTTATCTCTGAAATTCTGATTTTGTAATTTTGATTTTTTTAAATGTGAGAATGAAAGTTACTTTGTGAAGTAACTTGTAAGTTACAGGTTCTCAATATTAATCACCTACTTCTCTATCCCTTATTTCCAAATCATTCATTTTTTTAAAACAAACTATAAGCAATCTCTGGTGTCTGGATTTTTTTTTTATATTAAGAATTTCAACTTAATAATGCTCACAGATAGCTGCAGTTTCCTTAAAAGATTCTGACTCTCCTGGTAAGATCTCTGTGGAATAAAATCAGGCGTTTATAAGATGAGTTCAAGGAACTATTACTTCTCTTGCTTTCTTAAAGTAAAAGCATCATCGCTATCAACTACTATTAACTGAGAACTTTATATCTTGAATGGCATGGATGCTACCTCTTCTTTACCATTTCTGCATTATCATGCCGTTGGAATACAACTATCTTTAACTTTGTAAGTTATGATTCTTACAGTAATACAGTAACCGTATACGTTGTGAGTTTTCAGATTGATTTTTTTTTTCCCCAGACAGCCCAAAGACCCCCTGTAATTATCCCCAGAAATTCAGCAATTACGTATCACTGGAAGCTCCTGGTGCCCTCTGAAGCCTAATTGCCACCCAGTCTCTGATTCCACAGCTGGGAGTCATGGTTTCATGGCTCTGCCTTGGAGAGGCTGGCAGAAAGCCAGTAAAAGTAAACCAGTAGGTAGGTAAGAGTCAAGTGAAATGGGCCAACATGGTGGAGTTTGCCAACCTCTGAAGTAAGAGCTTAGCTCTTTGGTTTTGGAATGGCAGAATACATTTTGGTTTTAATTTTCTAATTTGTGGTTAAAAATGCCTCAAGATTTAGTCAAGGATTAATCCTGTGGTTTAACTTCCTTTTTCCTGGGGGTATGAAATGTTTGAGTCAAGCCACCAACCCATATCCCAGCAAATGAAACCTATTTGCATTTCTCATGTGTGTAAGCCTAGTAAATGTTGATTGCTTCCAGCTCACTGACACAGCAGCAGTGTGCTTTCCATTTTGTTACCAAATAATCAAACCTCAAACAGGCACTGTCTCTGGGCTTAACAGGAAGCATGACTCACACCTCTAACCACGAGAAGGCGAAACAGCAGTGATGCACTTAACTTGTTTAAAATGCTTGTTAGCATCAACTTTGTAACATACATTAGAAACAGTGGTCTTCCCAGCACAGTCTCTCCTGCCGAGCATGGTTAGGGGCTGAAGGGTAATTTTACTTCAATAAGAGAGTGTGTGAAATAACATACCGTGTTCTAATGGGCCCGGCAGAAGAACCCCACCATACGGATTTTATAATTATAGATTTATTTTTCTGCATCTCTGCTTATGTATCAGGATCTTTTTCCAGTCGAAATGCAAGAAAACTCCACAACCAAACAACAACCACCACCACAAGCACCACAAAAATACACCTCACATTGGCTTAAACAATACAGCTAATATTTCGTTAGTGGACTTTAGACAATATTTGAAGATCAGGCTTGTGCTCTGTATTCTCTAATTATCTCAGGCATTTTTCTCTTTCTTTCTTTTTTTCTTTCCTTCCTTCCTTCTTTCCTTTCTTTCCTTTTCCTTTTCCTTCCTTCCTTCCTTCCTTCCTTCCTTCCTTCCTTCCTTCCTTCCTTTCTTTCTTTCTCTTTTTCTTTTCTTTCACTGTTGCTGTTTGCTTGTTTTGTCATAGTAAGAAAATGGCCGCAGTGGTGTCAGGGTTCCTATCTCTAACCACAAGATCTGGAATAATAGAGCTTTTTATCTTTATTCAACTACTGAATAAAAGTATTAGGCTTTACTGATTAGACAAAATTAGGTCATTCACATCCCTGCCTCTGAACTAACTACTAATCACTGTGGACAATGTAGGGCTTAGGCCTGTACCCCTGACCATCCTGAACCTGTGAAAGCAAAGGCAGTTTACTGGATGAGGCCGCTTAGCCCTCTCCCATCACCCCCCAGAGATAAGAGAGGGCTTGTCCTGCCAAAGTCAGCTAAATCCAGGACACAACAGCATGGCAGTGACATGGTGATTCCAGGGAGGAAAGCCACAATGTCACTATACTGTGCAACCCAGTATTGGCCTAAATTGTGGAGCTTTATGTTGGTGACTCCAATGTTAGCAAAATTATCTTTGTGATTTTGCCAAATCTCCTAATCTGATTCCTCAGTTGTACGTCCATTTTCCTTTTACAGTGGATATTTCCTACAGAACTACTCCTGGGCTTTAGCTGTGTGTGTGTGTGTGTGTGTGTGTGTGTGTGTCTGTTTTAAATTTGAATCCAGTTTATGCAACCTCATTCCAACACCAAAAATAATTCAGTCACTTAAATGCCATATGGAATAAATAAATGTTTCAAAACAAATCAAACTTAATTCCCTGTAAAAATCCTCAGCATTGGTTACTCTGATTAAATATGTAAGGCCAGCAAAGGCCCAGGCTATTGGCAGGCTTATAAAGGAGAAATGAAAGGAATTAGAAAGCAAGAGACTAAAGTCACTTTATGAATTGATGAAGTGATGGCAGGAATGTTATTTTTATAATTTCTCAGAATAAAAAAAAAATACGGGTTTGCTGCCGAAAATTGGCTGGTGATCAGAGCCTGCCGAGTCACGCCAGGGCACATGCACTGTGTACGTGAGGGAGTAGATCATCCAGACTCTCATATTAGAAAATAACCAAAATTGGAGGGAAATCTTACCACTCAGTTCTATTCAATTCAAGAAACAAATATTGATTAAGCACTCTGGGAGAAGGGAGAGATTGAGTGTGTCATCAAGGAGCTTACTATATTTTAAAGGAATGATATAATTATCTAACAGTTAAAAAATTAAAAACACAAGTCACAAGTCTCATTTTAGAAGAAGGAGTTGATAGAGGTTGTCAGTAGTGATATCTACCCTGTATAAGGAAATTAATCAAATAAGATATCTGTGATTTTATGTTCTCAAAAGAAATAAAAGAGCAAGCTGTGAGTTAAACTTTATAATTTTAAGTTTACTGATAAAGTCAAAGAAGAAGAGAAAGAATTATTTATATTTCTCAAAATCTCTGTTCCTAAATGGCACAGCCAACATAAAAAATGGAGTTTTATATGAAACTAAAATATGTCACTTTTTCCCACACCATGTGGCTTCCTTAGGTGTCTTCTCTGGGTTAAGAGTTTGAACATCTTGGTCAAACATCAAAGTCAGATAGAAGTGAAGGAAAACTAAAGTCGTCGCCTCCAGGGAGATGTCATTGTGGAATGAATCTCTGGCCAGATTTTAATAACCTAAGAAAAGGAAATCTATGTTTGTAAATTGTATACATAAAATTTTGTTTTTCCTGTACCATCCTACAGGGAAAGAAATTAATCAATTTCTATGTCAAGATAAAAAGGGAGATCATTCAATATTTCTCCTGCAAACAGTTGTTAGCTTTGTGTTAGTCACCAGAGAAATGAAGTTCACTAAGACACAGTTGCTATCCTCAAGTATTTTATAATCAAATACTATAAACAAATTTATAACCAATTAAAATACAATGGGAAAAGTACTATAAAACAAATATTTATAATTCCTGTGAGAACAGAGATGAAATGGAAGAGAGGGACATTGTAGGATCAGGGAGATACACAGATGGTTATATTGAGGATTGAAGAAAGTACTCAGCTGAAAAGAGAAGGTAGAAGAGAATTCAGGCTGGAGACACTCCACAAAGATATAGAAAGAGCATTTCACCTTGGCTAAATTTAAGCACCCAGTAGGTTGAGATATGATTTAATTTGGCTATTTTTTTCTGCATGTCAATTATGAAACGCATCTAAACATTTTTGAATATGCATACCCAAGATAAGTGTATTTCTGTAGTTATCACTGCTGTTACTGTTGTAAATATAGGCAAAACTCAACCTGTGTCTAATTAAAAAATGAACAACAGCAATAATAATAGTAATAACAATAATTGCTACCATGTATTGATCAAGGAACTTTCTTCCAAACTATTTTAAATGCTTTTTGTGAATTAACTCATATACCCTTTGAAACAACCATATGGAATAGATACTACTATTAATCCTTTTTTTATTAATGAGAAAAATGCAGGTGTAAACACACATATTAAATTTTTCTACCCACACTCCATAGATCATCTTGCACACAAGAACTCTCTGCAGTAGATGTTATAGAGACCAGGTGCAATTATTATAGAGACAAGGTGTGGTAGTGACACGCAGGGCCCTGGTTGAGTATCTTGATGAATATTAGAGGTGCTTGAAAGTGCATGTGTTTGTGTGTGTATATGTGTGTGTTTAAGCATGGCAAGAGTCGGTATTAAATGTCAATGAACATTCTTTCCTGCCTTTGGTTTTTCATAAAGTGGTTTTTATTTTCAGTCCTATAATTAAACAGGTAACCTCTCTGGATCTTTATTATCTCTTTACTAACCTTGACCTTTATCTATTGCAGAATAAGGATGGTATTAGGGAGAAGAGATTTATTGGGTGCCAGAAACTGCAAGGGATAAAAAAGTAATTTCTTTTTCACCCATTGCTAGGTTCATGTGAAAAAAGCATGTGAATTTATTTAATGTAAGTTTTACATGACATGGGAGCCTTTGTAAATGAAGACCCAAGGAAACAGGAAAACCTATATATTTTTATGCTAGGTTTGATGAAGCGTGAATAGTTGCTTAGAAGTATAAATGAACAAAGTATGATCTAATGGTAATAAAGTAGGGGAATTTCGCAAGATCTTCTGCTTCAGATTCTTCTTCATGTCCCTGTGTCCTCAGAGGTAAAGACATTACTTTCCTCTGGGAATAAGGAGGGCATCTCTGGAATGAGGATCTTATGATTCACTCAGAGGAAGTTTAGATAATAATAATTATTATTTTTTTGAGACGGAGTTCCACTCTTTTTGCCCAGGCTGGAGTGCAATGGCGTGATCTTGGCTCACTCCAACCTCCACCTCCCGGGTTCAAATGATTCTCCTGCCTCAGCCTCCCGAGTGGCTGGGATTACAGGTGTGCACCACCACACCAGACTAATTTTGTATTTTTAGTAGAGATGGTTTTTCACCATGTTGGCCAGGCTGGTCTTGAATCCTGACCTCAGGTGATCAGCCCACCTCGGCCTCCCAGAGTGCTGGGATTACAGGCCACCATGCTCGGCCAGATAATACTTTTATGGCTTCCATCAGGGGACAAGTGTGGGAGAATGTGAGAGTGGCCTTTCTGCTTCTGCTGTTTTCTCAGATGCTGAGGTATCGTGTTTGGGGTATCATGTCGGGAACCCTATCAATAATAAGAGTTTCCTCATTATCTAAAATCAATGTTCTGTTCTGGTGCTTAAGATCATTTATATGGTATTTCTTAAAACCAATGACTTCATAAAGCTTCTAAAGTTGCAATTAATTAACTGGGCAACTGTGTTGTTTTTCTTATTTATTTTTCAAAATAACATTTTTTTCAAATCATATATTTGTGACATTTTCAATGTAGAAAATTCGAGGGAAAAGAAAAACATGATGAAAACATCATGACTGTACTTTCCCTCATCCAAAGAAAATATTTTGGACGTGATGTACTTCCGTTATTAAAGTATTGTTATCATTTCTAGACAGGTTTAGTCCTTCAATTAAGATCTCATTCTATCTCCTTATCCCTTCTATAGCTGCACACATTTTCTTTACATGTGGCAATTTAGTTTAATCTTTGCCAGATTTAAATACAGTAATGTAGCCAGATTTCACTTAAGACTACTTATTGATATCTAAATAAGTGAAAATTTCCAGCCCTTTGTGAGAAAATTTCTCATAATTTCCTTTGAAAGCCAACATATTTATGGGAGCACTTTGCTATAAATCTCCTTCTTTAATCTCTTTTAAATTAAACCTACATTGTGTGTTGAAATCTTTGAAAGTTATAAAAATAATTATTATCTCACTCATTCCACTGTAAAACATGGCTGCACCTGAGACAGGGAAACCAGTTATATAGACATTTAAGTGGAATAAAATGCACTAATGCTCTCATAAAAATAAGTAGGGCTCTAGTACTGAGATTAGTATTGGAGACAGAGAGACCACCAAAAGGATATGCATAGGTCAAGTAGATGTAAAATGCATTGTCTGATAAGTTTGTAAATGTCAACACTACACGCAATTTACTACTGGTGCTTCTAGGGAGTGGCTCTGTGAGAGTAGAGTGAGATGAGAGGAAGCAGAGAGCAAAAGTAGAGACAATTAACTTATGCGGAGGAAGTGTATGTTCTCAGTGTCACATAAAGAACTTAAGATTTTATATATAGGCACCAGGAGGCAAACTTGGATTTAAATTCAAATTAATTAACTTACCTGTATTTTCTTTATCTGGAAAAATAAATATTGTTAAGATTTATTGCCTAGAGTTGCATAGCCAATAGATAGCTCAGTCATATTCAAACCTTGGCATTTTAACATCAGATACCATAAACCTGATAATAACTTTATTATCGGGTTATCACAATAATAACTTTCCAAATAGTGGTAGAATAATTAATATAGTATAAATTATAAAGTTGGGAGCATAAGTTCTGGAGGGAAAGTGCTATTTTAAAAGCATGGAATAGCTTTAAGAATGGAGTCCTGGCCTGGCGCAGTGGCTCATGCCTGTAATCCCAGCACTTTGGGAGGCTGAGGTGGGCAGATCACCTGAGTTCAGGAGTTTGAGACCAGCCTGGCCAACGTGGTGAAACCCTGTCTCTACTAAAATACAAAAATTAGCCGGCCATGGTGGCGTGCTCCTGTAATCTCAGACACTTGGGAGGCTGAGGCAGGAGAATTGCTTGAACCTGGGAGGCGGAGGTTGCAGTGAGCCAAGTTCGTGCCTCTGCACTCCAGCCTGGGTGACAGAGTGAGACTCCGTCTCCAAAAAAAAAAAAATGGAGTCCTAAGGGTGACCAAGTGGTCCTGGAGATCCTTCTAGGAAGTTTGCAAAGTTGAAAATATTTTATTAATACTACCAGAAAGTTATCTGTTTTAGTACTAGAAAGGTATCTGCTTATTCCCTCTGTGTTAAAATTTGCATTCATGTTGCAAGAGCAATAGTGGATAACATTCCTGGTGCCTTAACACAAATAAAGGCAATGGCACCAAACTTACTGGCAGTCATTATTTTTTTACCACCATTCATTCACAGAGAGGGGGAAAAGACATACAAATTTTTTATTAAATCTCAATCTTTGAGTTCATGCCTATTTAATAGTGTTTGTGAAGAAACAAGAAGTACTCATAAAGAACATCTACTAAATATCAAGATAGGATAGTTATTTCAAGAAAATGCACTGGTACGATTGTTTCAGTTGCAAGCTGAACTTGCCACATTATTATTATTATTGTAGGAAACTGGTTTTACTTGAAAGTGGCTAAAAGACAAAAACTATGACTATTCACACTTAGGCAGTAGACACATTTTCTTGAAAATGGAAGAAGTGAGTTTGTAACTTCAGAGAAAATAATGGGCAGGTGTTTGTTGTCAATAATAAAGTTTAAGTGTTCAAGAGATAATAATATTTTGTAAAACTTGTATCCACCACTTTTTGGTACTTAAAGTCTTTTCTGATAAGATTGGAAGTGATATTAGTAGATGTGATTTCTAAAATGTATAATGAACTGTGTCAGTATTTGAAAGATCTGCTTAATTCAATAAATTAGTATGATCCAACTGGCCAATAAATTATGTTACAAAGGTTTGAGTGGATAATAGATATATTTATAAAGCATGATAAACGAATGAATGTTAATGCAATACATTCCCAAAAGGTTATTGATATGATTTCAGATACAACATTGTAACAAATATTTTTTTTTTTTGAGACGGAGTCTCGCTCTGTCGCCCAGGCTGGAGTGCAGTGGTGCGATCTCGGCTCACTGCAACCTCCGCCCCTCTAGGTTTAAGCAATTCTCTGCCTCAGCCTCCGGAATAGCTGGGATTACAGGCCCGTGCCACCACACCTGGCTAATTTTTTGTATTTTTAGTAGAGACAGGGTTTCTCCATGCTGGCCAGGCTGGTCTTGAACTCCTGACCTCGTGATCCACCCACCTTGGCCTCCCAAAGTGGTGGGATTACAGGCGTGAGCCGCGGCACCCAGCCACATTGTAGCAAATTTTTAAGAAGCTACTGCATGTTGAGTTTTGCTGTGCTATCAAAGAAGAATATTGACAATTATCTGAAAAGATTATTAAGATACTCTTCCATGTGTAATTATATAACAGTATGAGGCTCGGTTTTCTTTATTCATTTCAACCAGTACAACATATTTTATCAGATTAAATGCAGAAGCAGATATGAGAATATGATTGTATTAAGCCAGACAATAAAGAGATTCACAAACATTTAAAACAATAGCACTGTACTCATTAAATATTTCTGTTTTAGAAAATTTAGTTATATTTCATAAAAAAAGTGTAATTAGCAAAATGTGGGGCTACTGTTTTGTTTAATGATGAAATTTAAGTCAACACATGTAATTTTAGAATTTCCAGGTATTCTCAAGTATGACCCAAATAAGCCAAAGCTTTTATAGGTCCTTAATGACTTTTAAGAGTATAAAAGTATCCTAAGGCAATATAGTAAAGAACTATATAGTTAGATTTAGAGCTTCGCTGAGATGCTTAGTTGCTGTGTATCTTTTGGGGAAGTTGTTGAACCCCATTTAGTCTCAGTTTCCTACTCTAAAGATGGCCATAAGATTCATAACTACTTTTAAGGATAAAATGAGAAAACTACCATTCCAGAAATAACAATAGAGATTCTGAGAAGGGCTCTGATAAAGTAGGAGACAAAATCTGGAGCAATTCCCGATTAACTACATGAAGATACGGGAAGGGCGTAGACCGTGATGTGAATGGCAGTTTTCTGAATGTGATGACTATAAAAATTACCTTCCGTTTTATCATGATAAGAAATAGGAGGAATATATCTGGGTGCTGTTGTGGGGGTTATGATTTCTGGTTTGGACGTGTTGATTTTGTACTTACAGAAGATACCCATTTAGTGATCTTGATTTAGATGTTGAAAATATGATTATCTACCCAGAGAAGTGGACTGGGCAGGGGATATGAATTTGGTAGGTATTAGTAGCTTCAGATATAAATTAATGGAACAGGTAAAATTCCCAGGATAAACATGCATATAGATAAAAGAAGAAAATGGAGAATGAGTCTATCATTCTCAGAATAGGTAGGACAAGAAAAGTTTAAAAAGAATACTAAGAATGAATTATCAGAGAGGTAGAAAGAAAAGAGGATGTTTGGGAGAGTATGTGAGGAAACTTTCAAGGAATCAGTTTTCAATGCTGCACAAAGTTAAATAAAGACCAGAGGTGGTTCATTAGTTTGGGACAGTAGTTCTTTTATGACGGTCTAAGCCAACAGTTCTCAAATTTTAGCCAGCATCAGAATGAGCTAACAGGGCTAATTAAAAAAGATGATTGAGCCTCAGCCCTAGAGTTTCAGTAGGCCTATGATAGGGACCCAAAATGCGCATTTCTAACAAATTCCCAGGTGGTTCTGATGCTGTCAAGGACCACATTTGGAGAGCCATTGGTTTAGTCAGAATATCCCTGCCAATATTTACAGAGAAGCACAGCAGGGATGTGGAACTAGAGTTCAGGGAGGTTATTGAGAAGTGAGAAAGTGAACCTGGCAGTTTATTTTTTAAGAAATTCATCTATTAATATAGGACAGTAGTTGCAAAAGAAGAAGAATATGAGAAGGAGTATTTGAAACTAAAGTGAATAAATGGATAAATTAAATGGTTGAGACTTAAAATTATCTGTAACTGATGTTGAAGTAGACAGGAAAGTGATGATGCAAGAACTTGTGGAAACAGGTTTCAAAGTTCAGGTGTGGGGATTAACATTGAACAACAAACCATGCTGGTACAGTGAGGGCTACAACACATTACAGGTTTTCTAGCAAATGTTAGATACTCGCTTTCACAGTTAATATTTCAATAACCCTATAAGGCAGAGGGTAGGGAGAAGAAGAGACGTTTCTCTAAGATTCATGGGAAGGAGGAAAGAATGGCTTATTTATAGATAGGTTGATTGATTTCAGGTTTAAACTGAAAAGAAATTGTTAAAATTCAGAGAAGAGGGATGCCTTGGAATGAATCAATGGAGAAAGGTTTGTTTATGGTTTAAGGAGCTAGGGTAAGCAGCCTTTAGGATGGTCCCAAATGATCTTCATCTCATGATATTTATTGCCTTGTTTAGCTCCCTTCCTTTGAGTATGGGAAGAACCTAATAACTTCTTTCTATCAAACATCACAGACATGCTGGGGTGCTACTTCTAGGGTTAGATTATAAAAGACAGTCATTTCCATCTTGGGCTCTCTCTCTTGCTGTCTTTCAGATTGCTTGCCCAACTAGAAGAACATGTCAGGCATTTACTACCAGCCTGTGCTCTGGCCAGCTCTTGGCCTCACTGACTTAAACCTGTACTAGTATGTAATGCTGTTTTTCTCCCGAATGTAAAAAACAAACAAACAAACAAACAAACAAAAACAAAAACAGAAGGAAAGAAAGAAACCCAGTTATTAGATTGTGAGATTTCTTTTTGAATACACAAATGTAAGTTTTTAAGAATAAATTCCTTTATATTCACTGTGTTAAGGAAGTATATTTGCTGTTTTGCTATTTACATTTAAGATTATGAGACATTTCATGAAATCTACCTGCTTATCTCTTTTTGTATACTATTGATACATACAACTCTGTATGCAGTTATGGTGAAGCTATTTTTAGCATGTTTTTCATCCCGTAGATTCAGAGATTTGAGTCAACTAATCTGATGGATTATAACTATATATTTGTCTCCTTCAATTCTGTGCAGCCAGGTAAGAAGATACTCTTATGATTTGAAGAGGACTGCTATTTACCACCTAAGGAGATTTTTCCTCTATATTTTAATTAAGGTTTAGACAGAATAAAGTTTAATGTATCTTCTATCCAGTCATCCATCCATCCATCTATCTATTTGCTCAATATATATATGGTTATTGGATGTCAACTGAATCCAAGTGCACTTGTAAATGGACAGGTCCTCCTTTGCAGTCAGCTCTCTAACACCACCATCCTAAAAGATAGAAGAAAAAAAAGATTTTTAACAAAGGGTAAATAATATATCTTAACATTATGAATTCAATAGTATTTAAACTACATAGTTATTGGCAAATTTCCACAGAAAATAAACACCAGTGAGCTCTCTCTATTTTCTTCCCTTGTCCCTTCCTCCTTTCTTTTCTCCTCTTTCCTTTCTTTTGAAAAATGTATGCATCCTTGAGAAATAAACATGCAATAATGAGTTTACACTGGGTGTGTATGGGTGTGTGTGTATTTGTATACACTTGCTTTTTTAAGACCTGACAAATACAAGGAGTTACTAATCATCACATTACAAACATGTTCCTGAATCAAATATTCATAAGAAAGTAAAGATAGATACTTTTCTAGCAAGTGAAAAAATGTGCTATTCAGATGTTTGTAGCATTGAAAATAACACTCATCTAAATTGTTTGAATAAGGAAATAAACAAAAGTTCATTTTCATTCCACTGACTCTTTCAAAACAATGAAAGGAACTAATTTGTTAACTGAATTTTTATTTCATTCATCAGTTCTTAAAGGATTGAATCATTGGAAAATCAAGTATTTTGGTACCTAATGACTAATTTGGATGTAGGAAAAATGGACACTTTCCACGTTCAGTATCACTAACAAAACTGAACAGAGGGTTATCTGTGAAAAGCAGTTTCTCAGTAAACAGATTTACAGGTAGCCTCAACAAGAATCAATAATACTGTTAATTTTTTAGATAGCATGTCAAATTTAGGGCAAATGATGCTAAAAATATGTTAAAATAGTCCCTAGTCTCTGCTCTTATAAAAAAATGATCATAGCAGTTCTTTCTTACCATCAAAGCAGATGGCTCTAATGATTTTTCAAGCCATAGTTAATTCATTTGCAAACAACAGAGATCAGTTGGCAAATGTGTACTGAGAGTGAGACATTACTGTTCATAAATGCTCCCAAAGTTTGTTTTGTCCTGTCATTACTGGAAAATGGTGTTTACCTAAGTTAAATTATTTGTGTGAACCATTCCTGAGACAGTGCTGCAGTTATAATAAATTACCTGTAAAGTAAGTGAACATCACTTGGTTAATGTGGTCGTGGTGGTGCAATTGACCTCATGGAGTAAGTGAGTGCATCTGTGTTCTTTAAATTAAAATTTTATAAAAGAAACATCATGTCTTTTTCTATTTTGGAAATATATTTACTTGGATATGTTTAGTGTCTCCTCCAAGACACAGAAAGTAGTATATGTATTATCAATAATTTTGAATTAGAAATGTTATCATATAATTAATAAAAGTTATTTAATAGTACAAATATCAAATAAGAGATTATTGAAAACTTCTAGCACATGTCATTCAGGATAAAGCCAAATAAGCTAATTCATTAAAGGTTTTGAAACATACTAAAACATTTACAGAAATTTATTGGGCATTTTCTTTCAAGTTGTTCATAAGGTGTAGTTTTAACCAGAGAATAAACTATAAATAGAATACGTGCATTTATGTTTTTGGTAATATAAGCAATCTTTTGAACCTGAAATTGAGGGGTTTTTTTTGACAACTTTTATTTTCACAAAAGCTTTCAGTTGCTTTTATCAATATCTTTATGGCCTGAAGTTAGAAGGTGATTGGAGATTTTAATCTTGTCCATATTATACATTACAGACAGATCTGGGGGATAAATATTCTTTCCCAGAACAAGCATTTATCACTTATTGATGTGAATAATGTTTCCAATTAGGCCACACAAGCCTTGTTTTCTTTCTTAACTGATCTTACTTGAGCTAAAATATGTTTCATGATTTGTGATTGATGGTTTGCCAGATAAACCATTTAAAAGGTAGCGAAGATAGACAAAGGTGTTGGGATGCCTCTGACTATAATAAATAACATGAGATACGTGTTAAGAAAACTGTGAAATTAGATATTGAAGAGCATTGATGCTTGGGGTAGTAGATGCCTTGATTCAAACTGGAATTATAAGTAAAAGAAAGTTGTATTCTAAATTGCTTAAACCAAAGAAAGTTACAGGTGGTATTGGTGATGGCCTGCCATCTGTTTTTCATGTTGGAATAGTATAACTAAGTGTTCAACTAACTTTCTCCACCCCAAAAGATTTACTACACTTGCACTTTAATAAACACTTTGAATTGAAATGTCTGTAGTCCAGAATCCTGGAGAATCTGATATGTAACAGCCAAAATAGTATTCTTAATTTTCTCTATGTATTAAAAACATATTTATAATATGTAAAATAAAATATACTATCCTAGAATGTATACCATGGTTAAATAAATTAAAAGTCTTTTTCTGCACAAATAATCCTGTGATACTTGGGCATCCATATCTACTTTTGGAAATATGTTTTATTTTCATCCCTAATCCTCTTCTCTTCAAAAGAGACTATATTTTCTCATTAGTTAAGTTCATAATTTTTTTGTAATATTTTAGATTCTTTAAACAAACATTTGTGACCTTGTTTTCAGAGAAATCGTAGAAAACAAGTGCTCTACCTGTGAAGTTTGAAGAGTAGTGTTGGTTATTAAATAGTAATTTGGAAGTATGGTTGTTTGAATAAAGAAATCAGTTGTTTTTTCATTGTTTTGTTGGTATCTATATTTTCATCTTTAATATGACTCTTTGGGAAAAAATCTCCTTGTGTTTTAAGTATCTTAGCAAGAAAATGTGTTTGTTCTGAGTTTTTTTCCAACTTTTATCATTAATTAGCTTATTTAAAAATATTTATCAAACCTCCCATGTGAGCCAGGCATTGTGTTAGGTTCTGAGAATAAAATGCTGAACAAGAAAAGGTCCTGAAGAAATGTAGCTCAAACTCCTTTGGTCTACAAACCTTTTATACTACCACTTAACTTGCAAAGATGTATGAGTTTTTGAAATTTATCAAACCCCTTTACTTAGCATAGCAAGTGAGGCATGACCTGCCATACCCGATTACTGCATGTGACAAACACTGATTGTTTTAATGTCAAGACTGTCAGAGAAAATATGATGTATGAAAATTCCTTTCTTTAAAAATGTGTTATCATACCTTATGTAAAGAAAAAAACATAACCCTACAGAGAGAGAGCAAACTCTCTCTGTAGGGAAATGTTTAAAAGAGTGAGAGGAACTCAATATCAATTTAATATCATGTTGTGATGCTGAACCAATATTTTTAAATCTTGACTTTAACACCCACGGTGAAAATTGTAATTACTACCTAGGTGGTAACAGCTAGGAATCCTTGGCTCTTGGAATTAAGGTTTCCCTCCGAGAATGAAATTAGAACAATTGTCATGAAACCACTGAGATCAGCCATCTATAGAAATAACTGAACTAAAGTAATAATCCATGGCTGAAGAGTCTAGAAACATCTAATAATACATTTCCATGACTAGGGTGCTGGGTGGCTGCCATAGCATCGCTAAAGCTATCATATACTCAATTTTGTTTGACCCTTTCTGTAAAAAAATGTATGTTATCACAAGAGAACCTAGAAAAACAAAGAGTGACATAAAAATCTCCAGTTGTGAAGCAAGGCTAGTTTTGAATGTCCTCATTTTGGCCTGAATAGTCCATCCTGTTTATTTTTTTTCTTGCTTACCAAGGAGTTGCCTGAATTTGCTTACCTTTGTATCCTGGTTAAGACAGGCTATGACCACAACTAGATCACATCTCTAATAAGTGTTCTCTAATATTTTCAAAGATTGGATTAAGAGTAAATTTTGGATGGGGAAGGGGATTTGTGGCTTTTGGTCAAACTGGAGAGAGGCAGCTCTGCCTAGATAGCTGTCAAACAGGACATATCTGTGGGCCAAACTCAGTGTATAATCTCTGATGGATACTTTTAAACTGAAACAAGAATTTATTGAGAATCACATTAGTTAAAGAAGACTTTAGGATTTCCCTTCTGCTTCTGTATAAATGGAGAAAAAAGTTATGTGGTGATTAAAGTATATGTGTACGTATGTATGCATATCTATATGCATATGTGAATATGTGTGTGTGTGTTCCTATTTATATGTTCCCTGGGTAACAACTTTTTTAAAAAACCAGGAATATAGTTTACTCTCTTATTCTAAAGATGATACTAATTTTTATTTTATATCTGGATTTTTCTCAAATCAGTTCCTCAAGATAGTTTCTTCAACAGGGAATTTTTGAGCTTGTAAGCTTTTCAGGAGATCTTGTACTTTGAAGGTAATAAAATATTTTAGGTTAATTTGTGATTCTATTTCAAGTGTTCTCTGAATACTGAACAGAAGCTTTTCAGTTCTTCAGTTCTGAGAGAGCTCATTGATAAAGGTGAGGTTTGCATAATCTTAAAGGCAGGCAACTTCACCAAAAGCAAGCCTTGGGCAGACACTCTAAGGAGTAAAATATGCTTTAGTAGTTGTTGAGAGTGTAGATCTTGGGATTCTTCTCACATTTCCCTCCCGTCAATCCCCCTTGCAAAGTAAGAATGAAGTGGGGGTAGGAAAGAGGAGACCCTGAGCCCATGCCACCTGCAATTGTAGCCTGAGTGACCTCATCAGGATAATCTCCTTCTTCCTACTGCAATGATTGTTTCACAGAGTTTACCGCTGAGCCTTGCTTCCCAGGATGTTCTTCTACCAATGGAATTGATTTAGGAATTGGCAACCTCAGACAAAGAAACTTGGCTGGATGTTTCTGAGTGAATGGAGAGAGTTCCCCACTCCTCTAAGACAGCTGGCTACAGCCAGCTATTTCTGTCTTTCTGAATAGGATGGTATGTGGGTATGGGTTTTGAAACTGTGGAGCCATTTATGTAGCCTTAGAATGAAGGTAATACTATGCAAATCAATATATTAATGGAGACAATAAGTATCTTAAATGACACCCTTGAGCTGTTGAGTCAACCCAATATCTGAAGCCCGATCTACCTCTGCATCATCCACGTATATAAGCCAATCTCTTTTTCCTTAAGCTAGTTTGATTTTCATTCTCTGTTTCTTAAAGAAAAAAACAGTTAGTAAAATGAAAACTAGTCACCAGATATTAATGTGGTCTTTTTCTCCCATTTTATATTCAGATGAGTGTAGACTGCTTTGCATACATTGAACCTGTGCCCAAATGCCCCTTCCTGTTGTTTAACTTTGGTGAAGAATGGTAATACTTGCTCTCTGTCTTTATCTTAACGTTATAAGACACTGAAGGTGATTAGGTTTTTAAAGTTAAAAAAGTGAACATCATGAAATCCTTCCATTTGTGATAAAAGGGTTATAAAATATGCTCAAAAGAATATGAGTAACTTCAGTATACCGATAATTTACACTGAAGACTGGTTGAAAATCATTCATAGAGATAGATATTTGTAAGTAGATTCCCTTCAACACAACGACATTTGTCTCACTCTGAGTATATACTATTAATTCCTATTTCTTTGTGATTCTTTGAACTATATCATTCTCATTATGAGAAATGTCATGAAAAAAAAGGCAGCAAGCCTCTGCATGAAGAACTGTGAAATCCATTCGTGAGTAACAGCAATCAACTCGTTCATCTAACACAGTGCCCACAAGAATGATGCAAAAGTACAAAATGCAGGGAAAACAAGAAAATCTAAAACAGGCCTGGAGGAGATATGCCTTCTAACTTAGTCTGGTGGAAGAGAGGTCAGAGTGGTGTGTCTGGCACTATGACACCAGCAATGGTTTTAGTGGGGATAATTTAGTCCGAGTCTTCATGTCTGGTGCCAGAAAAGCAGCTGGCATCATGAAGGAAATCTATTCTAATGAAGTAGGAGAGGAGATACGGTGCCATTTAGCACAGAAAGGTATTGGTTTGCAGTTTCACTGTGGAATGAATGCTATGTGGCACCAGCATGCTGTCTGGCACCCAAACGTTGGCTTCCGATTTAAAACAGCTCTTTGTGTCCCTGTAAACAGGGAATTTCAGCGAGAAAAGACAGAACTAAGGTGAAATAAAAGCTTAAGAGAGGCAATTGGATCATACAACTGACATTTCATTAACTAAGGTATGAAAATTCTTATATAAGAGGAACAGAACATGCAAACATTTGACAAATTGCATTCTACTGTTGGGAAAACCTTAGTAGCGTCTCCTATCTGACTATATACAGTCAGGCAGGGCTCCTTGGGAACCACAGTCTCTGGCCAACTTATAGGTGATTGTTCTATTTTTTCCCGTGTTCCCTTCTCCTTCACACCACTATCTCAAGGCAACAGTTTCGTGTATAGAAGAAAACTCTGAAATATTTCACACACTATATTTACATGCCAAAAAATGGAATTTTAACAGCTCATTGTAGAATGTTTACAAGTCCAGGATATACACTGAAACAATGAGGAAAAACAAAGGCCAGGGAAATAAATAATAAGGTTTAGAATTATAAGCTAACCACTTCACAAATATAGCCTATCTTTAAATAGAAGTGTAAATTATCCTTCCAAGGATTCAACTTTATTTGCATATTACACTTTGACTTCTTTTCATTCATTCTCATTTTAACTAATCTCTCTCTGGATGAATTCTTGTTCTTAGCTGTTTCATATCCTTTTCTCTCTGTTGTTTTCAATAGGCTCGTATTTAGATGTTGATTTCAGGCCGGGCACGGTGGCTCAGGCCTGTAATCCCAGCTGGGAGGCTGAGGAGGGCGGATCGCGAGGTCAGGAGTTTGAGACCAGCCTGGCCGACATAGCGAAACCCCATCTGTACTGAAAATACAAAAAATTTGCCAGGCGTGGTGACAGGCGCCTGTAAATCCCAGCTACTTGGGAGGCTGAGGCAGGAGAATCGCTTAAACCCAGAAGGTGGAGGTTGCAGTGAGCCAAGATCGCACCACTGCACTCCAGCCTGGATGACAGTGTGAGAATCCAACTCAACAGACAAAAAAAACAGTTGCTTTCAATAATGAAAAGGTACTGTAAGGTAGCTCCAGGGACTTGGAGCTACCTTACAGTAGCTGAGAAGATATCAATTTAAATTTAGTGATTTATTTCTTTAAAAGTAGTAAGTAATTTCTGGCCGGGTGTGGTGGCTCACGCCTGTAATCCCAGCACTTTGGGGGCCGAGGCAGGCGGATCACAAGGTCAGGAGATCGAGAGCATCCTGGCTAACACTGTGAAACCCCATCTCTACTAAAAAATACAAAAAAGCCGGGTGTGGTGGCGCGCGCTTGTAGTCCCAGCTATTCAGGAGGCTGAGGCAGGTGAGTCACTTGATCCCGAGATCCGGAGGTTGCAGTGAGCCGAGATCGCGCCACTACACTCCAGCCTGGGCGACACAGCGAGACTCCACCTCAAGAAAAAAAAAAAAAAGGTAATAAGTAATTTCTAATAACTAAAAAAGGACATGATGAAATAAAATATTCTTGTTTCTAAAATATGCTAAAGAAAATAATTTATCAGTGATACACTCTGGCCTTGAAAGATCTAAACTGGAGAAGAAAAAATATAGAAATTAAGACAATTGAATTTATGGAAATAATCAACTGCTAATACAAAGTGGGGGTCAGAAAAAGTAATATTTTTCATTTTATAAATTTCATATAAATATATTATTTAGACCTTGAATAGAATTCCACAGTATAACTTTAAATTAGGTTGTATGGTTATTATTATCTCAATATTACTGATGGGAAAACTATTTGAACAAGCCTAAATAGTTCTGTCTAGAATAAAGTCAACATATTTATGTGCTTCTGTTAATGTGTCATGAATTATGCAACCTTTATGTTATCTGATTTGATACTTAGAACAACAACCTCTGAAACCCAGTGGCTTAATCCAGTAGAAGATATTTCTTATTTGCATTACATACCCAAAATGGGGTAGTGGGGAAGACTCTGCATATATTCAGAGACCTAGACTGATGGAGGTCCTCATCTTCATATTAGCTGCAATAATCATAACAGAGACAGAGAATAGAGAGAATTGTCCACTGCCCTTCAGTTTCCCATCCAGTATTGACACATGTCATTGGCCAAATCATATGGCCACATGTAACTTTAAAGGAGGCAGGGAATTACAACCTTACTGTGTGTTAAGGGAAAAAAAAGTAATAATATATTTGGAAAAGTCCTAATAATCACCACAATCCACCACAATCTTTATTATCCTCACATTACTGATAAAGAGGTTAGGTAACTCAGCAAAGACTATTTACACATTCCCTGATTTTTCTCTGCGATTCTTACCACTACACGGTCTCCTATCTCCTATTGATAGATGAGAAACATAACTTGATGCATGTAGGGTTTGAAAACACTACAACTAATTGCCACATAGGGTTTGTTTGCTTGTTTAAGTGACTTATAATTAAGGACTTAAATAATAACAACAGCACATAGGAACTTTTATTATATTATCTCTTTCAACCTTTATTCTGTAATTACTTTTTACGTGCTGGGATTTGAGACTTGGTGATTTTTTTTTTTTTTTTTTTGAGATGGAGTCTCACTCTGTCGCCCAGGCTGGAGTGCAATGGCGCTCTCTCAGCTCACTGCAACCTGCACCTCCCGGGTTCAAGCGATTCTCCTGCCTCAACCTCCCGAGTAGCTGGGCTTACAGGCACGTGCCACCACGTCCAGCTAATTTTTGCATTTTTAGTAGAGACGGGGTTTCACCATGTTGGTCAGGCTGGTCTTGAACTCCTGACCTCGTGATCCGCCCACCTTGGCCTCCCAAAGTGCTGGGATTACAGGCGTGAGCCACCGCGCCCCGCCCAGACTTGGTGATTTTAACTCATAATTTTTATATCCCTGTTACCCTTAGTTGCAAAGAATAATATAAGCAAATGAAAAACTGTCATCAATAAACTTAAATATGCAACACATAAGGAATTTGGAAACAAGCAGTTAAAGAGTTAAAAAGTTAAAGGAATTACAGTTGTCCCTCGCTGTCTGTGGGCAGTTGATTACAGGCATTCCAGCAGATACCAAAATCTTTGGATGCTTAAGTCCTTTATAGAAAATGTAGTATTTACATATAACCTATGCACATCTTCTTGTATACTTTAAGTCATTTCTAGATTAATTGTAATACCTAATACTATGGAAACAATTGTTAAATGTACTATTTAGAGAATAATGTCAAAGAAAAAAATGTCTATACATGTTTAGTACACATGCAAACATTCATTTTTTTTTCAAACATTTTTGATCTGGGGTTGATTGAATTCAAAGATGCAGAACCTGCTGAAAGGCAGGGCCAACTGTATATTGCTAGAGAAATCCCAAGACTGACAATCAAAGTATGTTGTTATTCTGCATTTAAAGCAAAACTCATTACTTATCCCAACAGAATCTGGGCTACTGAAGGACTCAAACCGTTAGAAAGAAAATCTTCCTCCAATGCACAACTCATATTTGGTCAAGAGGAATTTATTCGAGGAAGATTTACTAGAGAACAGAATTTTGAGAAACTCAATTAATTGACTGAGCAACTTTCTCATTGTCAGGGCAGACAGCCAATGCTCCTCCCATCCCTGGATGTTGCTGTGCTTTGAGCCTTGCTATAGTCTGAATGTTCATGCCAATGTGATAGTATTGCAAGGCAGGAATTATGAGAGGTGATTAGGTCATGAGGGTAAAGCTCTCATAAATAGGATTAGTGTCCTTCTAAAAGAGGCCCCTCGCCCCTTCCACCATGTGAAAACACCACAAAAACATACTATCTGTGAATCAGGAAATGGACCCTCACCAGACACCAAATCTTCTGGCACCTTGATCTTCGACTCAGGACTGTGAGAAATAACTTCCTCTGTTTCTTTTGTTTATAAGCCACCCTGTTCAGGGGATTTCAGTATAGCCACCCAAGCAGACTAAGACAGATTGATAATTATTGTTGCCCTTTGTCCCCTTTTTCAGATGGATGTTTTCAAAGTTATCCTGTTTACCCTCTACCATGGTATATTGATTGTGTTGAGGGAGTTTCATTATTTTTCATGGTTTATTGCATATTAGGATGTAACAACTGAACAAAATTTTGAATTGTCTCTTGATGGGATGGAGACATTTTTGGTTGTATATGTGATCGTTGCATCATATAAGGCCAGGCGGTTTTGCATGTTTATTTTGGGAGACTAGTGTGAGTGGATGTTAGCAACCAAGGAGCAGAACATAATAAAAACATATTTTTATTTTGGACTGCTGCCCAGAATCTCTGTGGGGAAAACCCCTTCCCTATTCTTAGTCCATGTGATTTTGATAGACTGGCAAACCCCACCCTTATCCTCCAGTTTCAAGCATGGGCAAAAGACCTAGGCTTGGCCAGGGAAAGTGTGCCATCCTCCTGACATAGTACTTGGTTCGAGGATGGATGTCAACACCTAAAGAGAGTGACTAGAGTTATCTCTGGGTAATTGGAGGGAACTCTTGGAAAAACATGCTCATTTCTATGAACTTGCCACCAGTAAGGACAATGTAAGGCTTGAACTATTGGTGGCCTTTTCGATTTTTATTCTAAAGGTTAAGATTTGTGATTTTGTAATAATACACATAAAATATTTCTATTCTGTAAGATTGTTATGAAGATTAAATGAAATGATGTTTATGTAGACATCAATCCATGGCTTTGTCTAGCTTAAAATACGTAAACATAAATGTTAGCTAAAGCTTTAGTATAAATATACAATGGGGATTTGAAATATACAATGGATTATGTCTCTATAAAATAGTGCCTATATTGTAGTATTCACTGCTTTATTATTTTCAATTATGGCTATGTTTCAATGATTCAGTATTGAACTAATCACTACAAAAATATTCTCCTCATGACATATAAAAGGCATGACAAATACAATGAATTTTGTACATCGGTAGAGATGCATTATACATGCTCATGATGACTCTAGGCCTTGCAAGTTATAAAAGTTGTTCAACATAGCCTTGGTGTTGAGTGTGTTTTATTCCATCCAGATGCTTTGAAATCACCATCAGTAGAATACATGTCGTTGTAAAATTGGTATTGTATAACAAGAACACCCTATCCCCTTGTATAGTGTTGGTATTTTTATGCATTTCAAAATTTCACCATGAGATTCATTAGGCAGTGTTAACGTACCCTGTGCAGAGGCCCGTTTTAGAAGAATAATTCATCTCTGTGCAGCTTTAACTTTATTCTCAGCAGTCTCTTGAAACACCATTGCCCTAATTTCCAGTCACTAAAAAAGACAGGTAGCAGATTAGGTGCTGGTAATAATTATCAAACGCAAGACACCTGCTGTTAAACTCAAACTACAGTCTCAGCTACCTGGGCAACATTTCTGATATAAAGCTGCTTTCTTCATTATTCTCCAAGAAGGAGACAGAGTAAGTCTCCACTCAGCTCCAAAAGTGACGAATTTATGTTGAGAATAGTAATTTAAACTGTGATCCCAAGCTACAGGGACTTTCAGGGTAGAAACACAGAATTAGACATTTTCATTGAAAAAATTTTCAGGAACTGGTGTTTGATATTGCAAACTAGAAAATTCGTTAAGTAGGCATTCACTAGAATTCTTCTTTCTGTAATTTACACACAATGACCAGAATCTGAAAAGTGAACATGCCGCTTTTGAGAGTCTTTGTTTTTTTTTCTATGCAACCTATGAATTCCATGTAAACATTCAAATCAAGAACATTTCGCATCTATATACAGACCATCCTCCATAAAATTCAGTCCCATTATGATTAAGGACTCAGGCTTTTTGTTTTGTAAAGTTAGAAATAAAAGGGGAAGGCCGGGCGCGGTGGCTCATGCCTGTAATCCCAGCACTTTGGGAGGCCGAGGCGGGTGGATTACCTGAGATCAGGAGCTTGAGACCAACCTGACCATGATGAAACCCTGTCTCTACTAAAAATATAAAAATTAGCTGGGCATGGTGACGGGTGCCTGTAATCTCAGCTACTCGGGAGGCTGAGGCAGAAGAATCGCTTGAACCCGGGAGGCAGAGGCTGCAATGAGCAGAGATCATGCCATTGCACTCTAGACTGGGCAACAAGAGTGAAACTTCATCTCAAAAATAAATAAATAAATAAATAAAAAGAAATAAAGGGGGAAAAGAGTAAATAGATATCCTAAATACCAGACTCCAGACTTTCAAATGCCACAAACAGAAACCCTTCTTATTTCCCAACGTGGGAAAAGTAAGTTTCTATAAAAACATTTTTAGATGACATGAATGTTTTTATGAGGGCTGATTTTGTTTCTGACTGTACAAAACTGGATCATACAGCCACAAAGAGGGCATGATGAGAGAAGAGAGGGAGGGGAAAGTAGAAGACAGAGATAAGATTTTTAATGAATGGTTCTTTTGCAGACAATTTTTTTTCCGTTTTCTCTTTGAGTTAGTCATTTAAGGATCCAAACAATGACATCAGAATTCCTTTCAGAATAGTCTAATTTGGATCATCAAAGCCACTGGATTCATGACGTCTTGGAGATTAGCTAAGGGAAGCATGTCCCAAACGCCTTTGACTTGAAAAAAAGCTTTCGGTCCAATATATAGCTCCACACAGTCTGTAGAATTTTAATTTTTAAAGTAATTTTTGGGTGACACGTAATAAATATATTTTAAGTAAGTAAATATATACATATAGTTTTGGGTAAATGAATTATTTAAAAATATAAAATATTTAAGTGCAACCTTAAGAACAGAAATAATACATAACAATATAAATTTCCACCTTTTCCATTAAAAATCAGTTTCTAAGAAAATTTTAATTTTATTTTAAAGGCCAAAATTTGTTGAAAAAGAAACAATCTAATAGTATGGCATATTTGGTTTTGTGAATAAATAGCAATTGAAATATACATTTAAAATGCATGTTATAATATGAAAAAAAGTGCTCAATTATGACCAGATGTGTAGAATTCTTGCTCCGTACTTAAAAAAAAAATGGACTCTTTTACCTTTATGATTATCATGTTTTGTTTCTGACTGCATAGATAAGAAGAGATTCAAATTGGTATTTGAAATGTCTGCAAATAACACATTGTTTGCGGGTTAATTTTTTTATTTCTCATGATTCAAAGCCATGTTTAATAATCATTACATTAGTTTATGCTTTTCAAATGGATTTTTGAAGTACTAAATACACACAAGAATTTTGATCTGATGAAGAGAAAATGAACAAAATTTGCAAAATTATATTATTATGTCCCTAGTTTCCTTATTGCATTTCAACGTCAGTGTTCCCTGTGTTTCCTGTCTTTAACAAATGGTCAGTTATGGATATAAATTAAACAACGTTTGACCTAGAATTTAAAAAAGCAATGTGCTGTTTAAAACTAATGTACTAGCTAGGAGTTATCAACTGAGTCAGAAACGGTAACTGAGTCATGAGCCAGCTCATCTGACTTCTCAGAGGACCATAAACTTTAGAACAGAAAGATGTCTGTTCTAAAGCAAACATCTCCTACATAATTATTTGATTTTTAATTTAAGTAATGGATGTTGCAATAGGTAAATTAATATTATCTTTGTTTTTTTTTTTTCTTGAGACGGAGTCTTGCTCTGCTGCCCAGGCTGGAGTGCAGTGCCACGATCTCGGCTCACTGCAAGCTCTGCCTCCTGGGTTCACGCCATTCTCCTGCCTCAGCCTCCCGAGTAGCTAGGACTACAGGCGCCTGCCACCACGCCCAGCTAATTTTTTGTATTTTTAGTAGAGACAGGGTTTCACCATGTTAGCCAGGATGGTTTCGATCTCCTGACCTCGTGATCCGCCCGCCTCAGCCTCCCAAAGTGCTGGGATTACAGGTGTAAGCCACCGTGCCCGGCCAGTATGATCTTCAGTTACATAAACTGGTAGACCTGAGGATCAATGGTTGGGAAAAACTATTGTGATCTAAGCTCTTCGGTTTCCCCAAAAGGAACTTGAGGCCCAGAGAGTTGATGCCTTCACTAAGTGTTTAACGGTAGTGTGATGTTTAACACAAAATGGCAATTTATCAATATTTGTTTGATGTTGTTATTATTGGTATTTATGGTTTTAAATTATTATTTATTTTTATTCATTTTGGTGTTACATTTTTGTTTCATAGTATATCTTTTATTGTTATCACATTGGAATAAAAAATAAAATTCAGTTTCTCTTCTTAGAATAATTATGCCATTATTACAGATATGAAAGGTCAAGCAAAGTGGGATTACTGGCATTTTCTGTTTATAAAGATTTGATAGTGTTTATTTTCTTTTTTGGTATTGTGCTAGGTGTTGTGCATAGCCTTTAAATCCTAATTATTTGACTGCTGTGTAATAGCCTATATTTTTAAAAAAATCTTGGAATTTCTGACATTGATTTTTCAAAAAATACATTAGTAATTTGGACTCAAAAGCTGATCTTAAAGTATAAAACAAACATGAAAGAAGAAATGAGATAATTATTAGTAATTTCTAACTACTCAATTCTTTGCACAAAGAAGATCCCAGATTTAGACAAGGTTTACATTTTCCATTCTTAATTTTATTTGTCTGATACACGTAATAGTGTATCAAAGTCAAATAGGAAAGTAAAAATCACAAATTATTTTAAACAGAGGGAATTAAATGCCTAGAATGGGTTGTGCACTTGATGAAAGATCAAAGGAACCAAACAGAGGTTGTTTAGGTAAGCCAGAGATTAGTATCAGCAGGAAGTGCTGCCATTCTGTAGTATGGAGGACCTCCTGGTATGGAGGTGATGTGGAATCTAGAAACCTGCCAGGAGGCTTGGCCTGTGCCAGAGTTAATGAGACTTACCCACTACTGAAGATGCTATCCAAGGAAATGAGAGAAGGACAGAGATACCTTGGCTTCTATCTTCCTCTGCCCTCCAATTTCCCACTAGTGCCCAACTTGACCCATGCTCAAACAGAAGCACCATTGATTTCCTCTGCCCGTTTCTTGTCTTCTGCATTGGAAAGTATTCTTGTGATACAATGCAGACATGCGGAAGGTTCATATAACACCCTGATTTATTTATTTATTTTGTTAATGGACTATGGAGACAATGTTAGCTACTTCTTGTTCTGCAATCACAACACACTTTACACAAAATATTTTCACACATTTCATGTGACATCCATTACTCACTTGAAGATGTCCCTTCCTCAATACGTTTTGATCTTCCTGAGTAAAGAAGCCACCCTTTCATTTTCAGTGCCAGGGAAATCATCTTGTAAATACCATGCACCATCTATGAACAGAGCTGTGGAACGTTAACCCACCAGCCCCTATAATTAAATGATGCCCGAATGACAAAAGCTAGAAATAGACGAGTAAATGTCCATCGTAATAACGCCTATGCCTCATAGCTACATACCTTCACATTCTGCTTCCCCTCAGAGGGTTTTTGCTAATGTCACTACTCCCCTCACTAGTAAGAAGCCTATTGTATTCCTTAATAAACTCAACCTCAACACCCAAACATAGGCCCTAAAGGGAAAAATCTCTATATGGGCCATGATCAGGTGATAAAGGATGGCTGCTACTTCACACACACACACATACAAATTAAAACGTCTTCCTCATTGCTAATTTTAGTATATTTGGTTTGATTTTATTATCTGAGCCAAGAGTTAGTTAACTGCCTGCTAAATTAACATGGCTTAACAAAGGACAAATATTATCCCACACCTGCCTTATGTTTGTTAGAGTTATGGCCTTTACTAGGCATCATTAGATTATAAACCAAAGTATATTGAGTTTTCCTCCCTCCATCAGTCTCAGAAAATATTTGTAAAGCATTAGGAACAAAGCGGGGTTCGAAGGTGTACCTTGGTGTACCCTTTCCTCACTGGCGTGCCTGGCTTTGACAGGTATATAGAAGGCTGACATTGAGGCCATTATTGAAGTATGTGTTCTGTTGACTCTGACTACAGATTTAGAGGAAGAGCTATAATCACTTTAAATCGCATTTCCAACAAATGTGTCCTAACTAAGCTCTGTAAATGAACATTGGACCACATAGTTTCTCTTCCATGCATTTGTTTATTCTGCAAATGTTTATTTGGTGCCTGCCCTTGCCCTATATAATAAGCTGAGAATACAAAGATGAAACAAAACCCTTGTGTTTGGTCCTCAAGAAGCACAGGTTGTTTCAGTCTCACCGAAAGTAAGACACAAAAACATTCATTTAAGTAGACAATATACCGGCTATTCTGATATAGGTATACACAAAATGCACAATGAAAGCGTTGATAACTCACCCAGAAGGTTGTCTTTGGGCTGATGGGGTGAGAAACATATTCTAGGCAAAGAGAAGATTTGCAAAGGCATGCAAGCACAAGAGAGCATGAGGTTATCAAGGAGCTAAAATTACTGCATTTATGGGATCAGGGGTTGGGAGGAAGTAATAGAGATGAGACTGAAGGGGTAAACTGAGGCCAAGACAAAGTTCCTTGTGTGCCAGCCTAAGGTGTTTGAATGTTTATCTTGTAAGTCATGAAAAGCCATTGAACATTTTGGAGCATGGTAAAAATATTTCAAAGATCTACCTGTTAACAGTGGGGGAGAATGGACTGAAGTGAAGATTAAGTTTACAAACAGGAAATGTAGTTAGAAATACATTTTACCAATCAATGAAGAGTCTTTTACTTAAAACTCACTAAACAGATATTACATTAAGCGATAGCCAGGGCTGGGTATGGTGGCTCTCGCCTGTAATCCCAGCACTTTGGGAGGCCGAGGTGGGTGGATCACGAGGTCAGGAGTTCAAGACCAGCCCGGCCAAGATGGTGAAACCCCGTCTCTACTAAAAATACAAAAATTAGCTGCACATGGTGGCACGTGCCTGTAATCCCAGCTACTTGGGAGGCCGAGGCAGAGAATTGCTTAAGCCCAGGAGGCGGAGGTTGCAGTGAGCGGAGATCACACCACTGCACTCCAGCATGGGCGACAGAACGAGACCCTGTCTCAAAAAAAAAAAAAAAGACATCCAGTATGAAGTCAGTCAGTGGGCCTACATAGAGGAACAAAAATGGTCACAGGCTCTACCCTTGTGGAATCACGGTTCAGTGATGAAGTAAGATACTGCAAAGGCAGTTGCAGTGGAGCTGGAGAAAGAGTTGAACATTAGAGAAGTGTGAAGGTGAATGAAACTGAACTTTGAGACAATAGTACATGGAAAGATGGATACATCTAAGATTTTTTATGGGTTGAGTTGTGTTCCCCATAAAAAAAATTTAATAAATTGAAGTCCTAACTCCTACTACTTCAGAATGTGTTTCTATTTGGAAAAGGGTAGTTGTAGATGCAATTAAGATAAAGCCATGCCGGAGTAGGGTGGGTCTCTATTCCGATATGACTGGTGTTCTTATATATATATATAAAAAAAAAAGAAAATTGGTGTATTAGTCAGGGTTCTCCAGAGGGACAGAACTAAGAGGATAGATCTAGATATGAAGGGGAGTTTATTAGGAGACATGACTCACACAATCACAAGGTGAAGTCCCACAATAGGCCATCTGTAAGCTGATAAACCAGGAAGCCAGTCCGAGTCCCAAAACCTCAAAAGTAGGGAAGCTGACAGTGCAGCCTTCAGTCTGTGGCCAAAAGCCTGCAATCCCCTGTCACATCACTGGTATAGGTCCAAGAGTCCAAAAGCTGAAGAATTTGGAGTTCAAGGGCAGTAAGCATCTACCACAGGAGAAAGACAGAGGCCAAAAGACTTAGCCAGTCTAGTCTTTCCACGTTCTTCTGCCTGCTTTTATCCTAGCTACACTGGCAGATGATTAGATGGTGCCCACCCGGATTGAGGGTGGATCTGCCTCTCCCAGTCCACTGACTCAAATGTTTGTCTCCTTTGGTAACACCCTCCCAGACACACCCAAAAACAATATTTTGCGTCCTTCAATCCAGTCAATTCGACACTTAATATTAACCATCACAATTGGATACATGCACACAGGGAGTACGCCATGTGAACATGAAGACAGAGATTGGGGTGACAGGTCTACAAGTCAAGGAATGCCAAAGATTGGCAGCAAACCACCAGAAGCCAGGGGAGAGACATGGAACAGATTCTGCTTCACAACTCTCATCAGGAACCAACCCTGCCAGCACTTTGATTGTGAACTTCTAGCCTCTAGAACCGTGAGACAAATTTCTGGGTGGCTTAAAAAATCCAGCTGGCGATACTTTGTTATGGCACCCATAGGGAAATAATACACACGATTGTCAGGTTCCCAGCTTGGGCAATTTTATTTCAGAGTAGGAAACATAATAGGACCCTGATTTCTTCCCTTTATGTGTCATTAAAAAGGGAGAGCCTTTTGTTTTTTCTTGCTTCCCTCATAAGTCCTGAGATTTTTGCTTTCATCATTGAATTTTTGCAATTCTTATTAATTAATTGTATTTGAAGTTGAAAAAGAACAGACTTATGATTTCTGGTGCCAACATTGATTCTTGTTTCAAACATTACTGGTTTACTGCAGTCAAACAATGAATCACTTGCAGAATTTTGTTAAAAAATCAGACAAAAATTAAGAAAATCTCTTCTGATTGTTCAGATTGTTCAATCTGTTCTGATTGAACTGATTGTGGGCCACACAGTTTTGGAACTAATAAAAATAAAGTGTATTCCTTGCTCATATAGTTATATGAACAACCTACCTGTATAAACTGTCAAGCAATTTGATGGTTTATTGCTTTATAATACTTTAAACTCCACCTTTATAAAAACCATAGCCTGTTAGCACTTTATCTTGATCTTTGCAGAATACTATGAAAATAATCATAAACCTCTGGGTGGAATAAACAATCTGCCTGTGACAATTGCCCAACTGCCTTCTGGCAAGTCTAGTCCTTTCTGCTCTCTTTAAAGTTTTAAAGTGCAAATTGCTTTGCAGCAGCAATATGTTCTGGTCAAAGTGAGGGGAAAAGTACGAGTCTGACTTAAAACTTGAGGCTGATGATTGAATCATCTGAACTTCATCAGTGGTTTTGTAAAATTGGTTCTTTTCTAGGGAAGCAGTTTTTGCCTATGAATCAGATTTTAAACTACTATTGCCTTCTACTACTCTTCAATACAAAATGGAAATAGGCAGAAAATACGGTGACTCACAATTTACGGTCATGTTTTAGAGAACACATTTGCTCAGCATATAATGTGGCTTGATAATATTACATGTCCCCAAAGCAAGCCAGGTGCTGTCCTTAATCGCTATATAAATATGAGGCACTTTCTACTAACATGAGGATGGATAGAAATTGGCCCTTTGTAGGGCCGGGCGCGGTGGCTCACGCCTGTAATCCCAGCACTTTGGGAGGCCGAGGTGGGCGGATCATGAGGTCAGGAGATCGAGACCATCCTGGCTAACATGGTGAAACCCCGTCTCTACTAAAAATACAAAAAAATTAGCCGGGCACGGTGGCGGGCGCCTGTCGGGAGATTGAGGCAGGAGAATGGCATACACATGGGAGGTGGAGCTTGCAGTGAGCTGAGATCCTGCCACTGCACTCCAGCTGGGGCAACAGAGAGAGACGCCGTCTCAAAAAAGAAAGAGAGAAAGAAAGAAAAGAAAGAAAGAAAGGAAGGAAGGAAGGAAGGAAGGAAGGAAGGAAGAAAGAGAAATTGGTCCTTAGAAAGAAAGAAAGAAAGAAAGAAAGAAAAAGAAATTGGCCCTTTGTGAGAATGTCCTCATGGAGAATTGCTTTCAAAGGACTTAAGAATTATAATGTATCATTAACTACTCTTCACACCCCAAATCTACCTTGTTTATTTCTCCTTTCCACTCCTATTATTCTTAGATACTGTTTGTATCATGCGGCAATTTTGTCTGCCTTTTAATGTTGGTATTACTCCATCTTTTAAAATTTGTTCTATTGGCTGGGCGCGGTGGCTTACCCTTGTAATCCCAGCACTTTGGGAGGCCGAGGCGGGCGGATCACGAGGTCAGGAGATCCAGACCAGCCTGACCAACTTAGTGAAACCCCGTCTCTACTAAAAATACAAAAATTAGCCGGGCATGTTGGCACGCGCCTGTAATCCCAGCTACTCAGGAGGCTGAAGCAGGAGAATCGCTTCAACCCGGGAGGCGGAGGTTGCAGTGAGCCGAGATCGGGCCATTGTACTACAGCCTGAGCAACAGAGCAGGACTCCGTCTCAAAAAAAAAAAAAAAAAAAAATGGTTCTATTATAATCTAATGCACATAAAGTATAGAGTCAGAGATTTAGAAAAATTGTCATATAGTACTAGGTCCCTGATGAAATAACAAAAATTAGTATCGGGTTTTATTTTCTTATTATTGATATTTGAGAACCTGCCCAATTATTTTGCCTGACCATAGTAACACATTCACCTCTTATTTATTTATTTTTCCACTATAATATGGCTTCTAATTTTTCCTAATAGCTAACTGAGGCCTTTCCTAGTCTTTTTTTTTCCTAGTCCTCTCTTCTGTATTTGCCATTTCTATTTCTCCTTCACTTGGCTTTTGTGATACGGCATTCTCCTGGGTCTTAATCTTTCTTACTGTTTTTTCTTTGTCTCTATCTTCTTTTCATCCACCTCAGTTTCTCATGCTTACTGGGTTATCTAATCTACTCACACAGTTTCATCTTCTAAGCTTAAATGCATGGTCCAAACCCCTCCCCAGATACATATCCTACAGTCTACTGGACATCAACAAATGACCGTCCCATAGAAAATTTACAAACAATATGTTGAAAAGCAAAATTATCTCCCCCTACCAAATTTCTTTCCTCATCCTATATTTTTTATCTCAGTTGATAGAATCATGGCCAGGAAATGTGGGCAAAAATTTGTAATAAATTTACCCCTCTCTCGTGTATACCAACCATATATAATTAATCACAGAATATAGATAATTTTTTTTTTTTTTTTTTTGAGACGGAGTCTCGCTCTGTCGCCCAGGCTGGAGTGCAGTGGCGGGATCTCGGCTCACTGCAAGCTCCGCCTCCCGGGTTCACGCCATTCTCCTGCCTCAGCCTCCCAAGTAGCTGGGACCACAGGCGCCCGCCACCATGCCCGGCTAATTTTTTGTATTTTTAGTAGAGACGGGGTTTCACCGTTTTAGCCGGGATGGTCTCGATCTCCTGACCTCGTGATCCGCCCGCCTCGGCCTCGCAAAGTGCTGGGATTACAGGCGTGAGCCACCGCGCCCGGCCGAATATAGATAATTTTAAAATCCTAATCCATCCTTTCTAATCCATCCCTACAGTCATCAGCTTAGTTTACATTCTCATTATCCCTTATCCATCTGCTGCTTCTTCATTAGTTTATTAATCGGTCTTATTTTCCCTTTCTCGTCCCAGTCAAATCCATCTTCAACCCAGCTGCTAGAATGATTCTTCAGAAATGCAGATTTAAACACATGGAACCCTGTGCTTAAAGTCTTTCAACGTCTTCTTGTAATTTAGGAGATATATCTCAAACTGCTTAACTCAGAGCAAAAGCTCTCTTCTCTGATCCTTGCCTGTATCTCCAGCGGCACCTCCAGCTAGCTGCTCCCTTGCACTTTATGCCTCAGCAATGCCAAACTGCTTGCATCTTTGTCAGACACCGTTAGCTCCTCTGTGCTGCATCTTTGCTTTTGCTATTTGGAAGACTTTCCTTCCCCCCCGTGACCTAGCTAACTTTTGAGAACTCACTCAGGTGTCACTTTTTTCCAGACACCTTTCATTGCAAACCGTCCTCTGTTCTCCACAGGGTATAGCAGTATTCAGTAAATATTTGTTGAAGGAATTACTCCACTTCATTTTGTTGATCTAAGTGGTGAACAATCTAAAAACATATCAACATAATATTAGAACTACTAATACTAATTTTCAGGTCAATGTAAAATGTGTATCCCCTGCATTGACTTATTCCATGTGGAGCTATGAAAGTGAGACTGAGCTCTTCTCTACTTTTGGAAAAATTGTTCTCTTAACCTTTGTATAATTATTTTCTCTTTATAGCATCATAGTTTATAGCATCATGTGCTATTATTTGAGTAAGCAGAAAATATTTGTATAAAATTTCTACAAAATATACAAATTATATGTCTTTGTTTAGGATTGGGGAATCAAATATTAAACTCTGTCTATAAGCTATAATCTAAATGTTTATTCTTCAGTTTTGACAGGCACGTTAATAACATTTCCAGCAGGCTCAGTGTTAAAACAAAACTATAATGCGTCATGGAGGTAGTGATAGAGATACTAATAGCTCTTTCCACTAATTCCTAATTATATTGATAACAGTATATTTTCTTACCATAGAAGACAATACCGGTGGGACACTTGAATTATAATTAACCTTATTTAGTTTACCTATTGGATTGTATCCTTGAAGTTCTTAGATCTAAGGAGACCTACCTGAAAGGTTCGTAGATTGAGATTCTCCTAAGAACAAAAGCAAAGACTATGGCCACTTTAGCGAGGATAGTGATGCTGAAGTAATTCCCTGAGATTTATTCCTGCCATTTCAATTAGATCAATGAGTTAACAGAGTCAGGGGCAGGTCTTTCCTGTCATGTGATGATTTGAGAATCATCACTTCTCAAAGGATTTTTAAACACAATTATGTCTTTTCACTATTTTTAATGGAATGGAATATTAGATACACAAAAGAATACATGCAATGTATACATGTAATTCATGGAGCATATTACTAAAGTGATAATCACTGACAGAGTGATTCTCATTGGTAAGAAAATCCTCTTAATGGAAACTAAATGTTGGGTACTCATGAACATAAAGATGGCCTATTAGTCTGTTTTCATGCTGCTGATGAAGACATACCCAAGACTGGACAATTTACAAAAGAAAGAGGTTTAATAGGCTTACAGTTCCACATTGCTGGGGAAGCCTCACAATCATGGCAGAAGGCAAGGAGGAGCAAGTCACATTTTACATGGATGGCAGCAGGCAGAGACAGCTTGTGCAGGAAAACTCTGCCTTATAAAGCCATCAGATATCATGAGACATATTCACTACCATAAGAGCAGCACAGGAAAGACCTGCCCCCATGATTCAATTACCTCCCACCAGGTCCCTCCCACAACATGTCAGAATTAAAAATGAAATTTGGGTGGGGACACAGCCAAAACATTTAATTCCACCTCTGGCCCCACCCAAATCTCATGTCCTCACATTTCAAAACCATTCATGCTTTCCTAACATTCCCCCAAAGACTTAACTCATTTCAGCATTAACTCAAAAGTCCACAGTCCAAAGTCTTATCTGAGACAAGGTAAGTCCGAGCCTTTAAAGTCAAAAGCAAGTTAGTTACCTCCTAGATACAATGGGAGTATAGGCATTGGATAAATACAGCCATTCCAAATGGAAGAGATTAGCTGAGACAAAGGGGCTACAGGCTCCATGCAAGTCCAAAATCCAGCAGGGCGGTCAAATCTTAAAGCTCCAAAATAATCTCCTTTGACTTCATGTCTCATATCCAGGTCACACTGATGCAAGACTACTATCAGGGGAAGGAGAGAAGAGGGCAGTGGTTGAAAAACTAACACTTGGGTTCTATGCTCAGAACTTGGGTGACCGGATCCTTCATACAAACCTCAGCAACAAACAATACACCCAGGTAACAAACCTGTACATCTACCCCTGGAATCTCAAATAAAAGTTGATAATAATAATAATAAATTAAAATAATAATAACAATCAAAATAACAACAACAACAACAACAACATAAAAATCCCCAAAGGATACTTGCGACGGCTGGCTTTATGCATCAAGTTGCCCAAGCTATAGTACCTGGTTATCTAATCAAACACTTATTTAGGGGTTTCCATTAAGGCATTTTATAGATGTGATTAACATCTATAATCAATCCACTTTAAATTAAGGAGATTGCACATGATGATGTGGGTGGGCCTCATCCAATTAGTCGAAGGCCATAAGAGCAGAACTGAAGTTTCCAGGAGAGGAAATTCTGTCTCAAGACTGTCTCAAGCTGCAGCATCAACACCTGCCTGAGATTTCAGCCTCCTGGTCTGTCCTACAGGTTTCAGACCCGCAGTTCCAACAATCATGTGAACCAGTTCCTTAAAATAAATCTCAAAGTCTCTCTCTAAAAAAAAATAAACATAAAGGTAAAATAATAATAAAAGTTCATAAAAAAGAACACCCTCTTAATGCCAATCCTAATTCCACAGAAGCAGTACAGTGAGCCACTTCAATTAATATTGAAACTGTAAAAAAGGGTCAATGGGAGAAACTCAGGGAGTAGCCATTTTTTTCACTGACATTTGTCTTCTTTTTATCTAGTATGAGTAATACTAAACTGGCAGAGAGAAATATGTGTGCAAATCATTCAATTAATTTCTTACTTTTTCTTTGTCCTGCTGTATAAAGGGTTTTTTTGTTTGTTTGTTTTGTTTTGTTTTGAGACGGAGTCGCACTCTTTGGCCCAGGTTGGACTGCAGTGGCGCTATCTTGGCTCACTGCAAACTCCGCCTCCCGGGTTCATGCCATTCTCCTGCCTCAGCCTCCTGAGTAGCTGGAACTGTAGGCCCCAGCCACCACGCCTGGCTAATTTTTTTGTATTTTTGGTAGAGACAGGGTTTCACCGTGTTAGCCAGGATGGTCTTGATCTCCTGACCTCGTGATCCGCCCGCCTTGGCCTCCCAAAGTGCTGGGATTACAGGAGTGAGCCACCGCGCCCGGCCTAAAGGGTTTTTTAAAATCATTATACTTTAAGTTCTGGGATACATGTGCAGAATATGCAGGTTTGTTACATAGGTGTATACGTGCCATGGTGGTTTGCTGCACCCATCAACCATCACCTACACTAGGCATTTCTCCTAATGCTATCCCTCCCTTAGCCCTACACCTCCTGACAGGCCCTGATGTGTGATGTTCCCCTCTCTGTGTCTACGTGTTCTTATTGTTCAACTCCCAATTATGAGTGAGAACATGCAATGTTTGGTGTTCTGTTCCTGTGTTTGTTTGCTGAGAATGGTTTCCAGCTTCATGCATGTCCCTGCAAAGGACATAAACTCATCCTTTTTTATGGCTGCATTGTATTCCATGGTGTGTATGTATCACATTTTCCTTATCCAGTCTATCATTGACGTGGATATGGGTTGGCTCCAAGTCTTTGCTATTCTGAACAGTGCTGCAATAAACATACATGTGCATGTGTCTTTATAGGAGAATGATTTATAATCCTTTGGGTGTATACCCAGTAATGGGATTGCTGGGTCAAATGATATTTCTGGTTCTAGATCCTTGAGGAATCACCACACTGTCTTGCACAATGCTTGAACTAAATTACACTCCCACCAACAGGGTAAAAGTATCCCTATTTCTCCATATCCTCTCCAGCATCTGTTGTTTCCTGACTTTTTAATGATCGCCATTCTGACTGGCGTGAGATGGTATCTCATTGTGGTTTTGAGCTTTTTTTCATAAGTTTGTTGGCCGCATAAATGTCTTCTTTTGAGAAATGTCTGTTCATATCCTTCACCTACTTTCTGATGGGGTTGTTTTTTTCTTGTAAATTTGTGTAAGTTCCCTGTAGATTGTGGATATTATCCCTTTGTCAGATGGATAGATTGCAAAATGTTCTCCCATTCTGTAGGTTGCCTGTTCACGCTGATGATAGTTTCTTTTGCTGTGCAGAAGCTCTTTAGTTTAATAAGATCCCATTTGTCAATTTTGGCTTTTGTTGCCATTGCTTGTGGTGTTTTAGTTATGAAGTCTTTGCCCATGACTTTGTCCTGAATGGTATTGCCTAGATTTTCTTCTATAGTTTTTATGGTTTTAGGTCTTACATTTATATCTTTAATCCATCTTGAGTTAATTTTTGTATGAGGTGTAAGGAAGTGGTCCAGTTTCAGTTTTATGCATATGGCTAGCCACACCATTTATTAAATAGGGAATCCTTTCCCCATTTCTTGTTTTTGTCAGGTTTGTCAAAGACCAGATGGTTGTAGATGTGTGGCATTATTTCTGAGGCCTCTGTTCTGTTCCATTGGTTGATATATCTGTTTTGGTACCAGTACCATGCTGTTTTGGTTGTAGTATAGTTTGAAGTCACGTAGTGTGATGCCTCCAGTTTTGTTCTTTTTCCATAGGACTGTCTTGGCTATATGGACTCTTTTTGGGTTCCATATGAAATTTAAAGTAGTTTTTTCTAATTCTGTGAAGAAAGTCATTGGTAGCTTGATGGGGATAGCATTGAATCTACAAATTACTTTGGACAGAATGGCCATTTTTACAATATTGATTCTTCCTATCCATGAGCATGGAATGTTTTTCCATTTGTTTGTGTCTTCTCTTATTTCCTTGGCGGTGGTTTGTAGTTCTCCTTAAAGAGGTCCTTCACATCCCTTGTAAGTTGGATTCCTAGGTACTTTATTCTCTTTGTAGCAATTGTGAATGAGGGTTCACTCATGATTTGGCTCACTGTTTGTCTGTTATTGGTGTATAGAAATGGTTATGATTTTTGCACACTGATTTTGTATCCTGAGACTTTGCTGAAGTTGCTTATCAGCTTAAGGAGATTTGGGGCTGAGAGGATGGGGTTTTCTAAATATACAATCATGTCATCTGCAAACGGAGATAATTTGACTTCCTCTCTTCCTATTTGAATACCATTTATTTCCTTCTCTTGCCTGATTGCCCTGGCCAGAACTTCCAATACTATGTTGAATAGGAGTGATGAGAGAGGACATCCTTGTCCTGTGCCAGTTTTCAAAGAGAACGCTTCCAGCTTTTGCCCATTCAGTATAATATTGGCTGTGGGTTTGTCATAAATAGCTCTTATTATTTTGAGATACGTTCCATCAATACCTAGTTTATTGAGAGTTTTTAGCATGAAGGGGTGTCGAATTTTATCAAAGGTCTTTTCTGCATCTGTTGAGGTAATCATGTGGTTTTTGTCATTGGTTCTGTTTATATGCTGGATTACATTTATTGATTTGCATATGTTGAACCAGCCTTGCATCCCAGGGATGAAGCTGACTTGATCATGGTGGATAAGCTTTTTGATGGGCTGCTGGATTCAGTTTGCCAGTATTTTACTGAGGATTTTCACATCAATGTTCATCAGGCATATTGGCCTGAAATTGTCTTTTTTTTTTTTTCGTGTCTCTGCCAGGTTTTGGTATCAGGATGATGCTGGCCTCATAAAATGAGTTAGGGAGGATTCCCTCTTTTTCTATTGTTTGGAACCCTTTCAGAAAGAATGGTACCAGCTCCTCTTTGTACCTCTGATAGAATTCGGCTGTGAATCAATCTGGTCCTAGGCTTTTTTTTTGTTGGTAGGCTATTAATTACTGCCTCAATTTCAGAACTTGCTATTTGTCTATTCAGGGATTTGACTTATTCCTGGTTTAGTCTTGGGAGGGTGCATGTGTCCAGGAATTTATCCATTTCTTCTAGATTTTCTAGTTTATTTGTGTAGAGGTGTTTATAGTATTCTCTGATACTAGTTTGTATTTCTGTGGGATCAGTGGTGATATCCGCTTTATCATTCTTTATTGTGTCTATTTGACTCTTCTCTCTTTTCTTCTTTATTAGTCTGGCTAGCGGTCTATCTATTTTGTTAATCTTTTCAAAAAAACCAGCTCCTGGATTCATTGATTTTTTTGAGAGGTTTTTCATGTCTCTATCTCCTTCAGTTCTGCTCTCATCTTAGTTATTTCTTGTCATCTGCTAGCTTTTGAATAGGTTTGCTCCTGCTTCTCTAGTTCTTTTAATTGTGATGTTAGGGTGTTGATTTTAGATCTTTCCCACTTTCTCATGTGTGGCAATTCCTCAAGGATCTAGCTTTCGAATTTGTTTGCTCCTGCTTCTCTAGATCTTTCCTGCTTTCTCCTGTGGGCTTTTAGTGCTATAAATTTCCCTCTAACCACTGCTTTAGCCGTGTCCCAGAGATTCTAGTACGTTGTATCTTTGTTCTCATTGGTTTCAAAGAACTTATTTACTTGTGCCTTAATTCCGTTATTTACCCAGTAGTCCTTCAGGAGCAGGTTGTTCAGTTTCCATGTAGTTGTGTGGCTCTGAGTGAGTTTCTTTTTTATTTATTTATTTATTAATTTTTTTTTATTATTATACTTTAAGTTTTAGGGTACATGTGCACATTCTGCAGGTTAGTTACATATGTATACATGTGCCATGCTGGTGCGCTGCACCCACTATCTCGTCATCTAGCATTAGGTAGATCTCCCATTGCTATCCCTCCCCCCTCCCCCCACCCCACCACAGTCCCCAGAGTGTGATATTCCCCTTCCTGTGTCCATGTGATCTCACTGTTCAATTCCCACCTATGAGTGAGAATATGCGGTGTTTGGTTTTTTGTTCTTGCGATAGTTTACTGAGAATGATGATTTCCAATTTCATCCATGTCCCTACAAAGGACATGAACTCATCCTTTTTTATGGCTGCATAGTATTCCATGGTGTATATGTGCCACATTTTCTTAATCCAGTCTATCATTGTTGGACATTTGGGTTGGTTCCAAGCCTTGCTATCGTGAATAATGCCTCAATAAACATACGTGTGCATGTGTCTTTATAGCAGCATGATTTATAGTCCTTTGGGTATATACCCAGTAATGGGATGGCTGGGTCAAATGGTATTTCCAGTTCTAGGTCCCTGAGGAATCACCACACTGACTTCCACAATGGTTGAACTAGTTTACAGTTCCACCAACAGTGTAAAAGTGTTCCTATTTCTCCACATCCTCTCCAGCACCTGTTGTTTCCTGACTTTTTAATGATTGCCATGCTAACTGGTGTGAGATGGTATCTCATTGTGGTTTTGATTTGCATTTCTCTGATGGCCAGTGATGATGAGCATTTTTTCATGTGTTTTTTGGCTGCATAAATGTCTTCTTTTGAGCAGTGTCTGTTCATGTCCTTTGCCCACTTTTTGATGGGGTTGTTTGTTTTTTTCTTGTAAATTTGTTTGAGTTCATTGTCGATTCTGGATATTAGCCCTTTGTCAGATGAGCAGGTTGTGAAAATTTTCTCCCATTTTGTAGGTTGCCTGTTCACTCTGATGGTAGTTTCTTTTGCTGTGCAGAAGCTCTTTAGTTTAATTAGATCCCATTTGTCAATTTTGGCTTTTGTTGCCATTGCTTTTGGTGTTTTAGACATGAAGTCCTTGCCCATGCCTATGTCCTGAATGGTAATGCCTAGGTTTTCTTCTAGGGTTCTTATGGTTTTAGGTCTAACGTTTAAGTCTTTAATCCATCTTGAATTGATTTTTGTATAAGGTGTAAGGAAGGGATCCAGTTTCAGCTTTCTACATATGGCTAGCCAGTTTTCCCAGCACCATTTATTAAATAGGGAATCCTTTCCCCATTGCTTGTTTTTCTCAGGTTTGTCAAAGATCAGATAGCTGTAGATATGCAGCGTTATTTCTGAGGGTTCTGTTCTGTTCCATTGATCTATATCTCTGTTTTGGTACCAGTACCATGCTGTTTTGGCTACTGTAGCCTTGTAGTATAGTTTGAAGTCAGGTAGTGTGATGCCTCCAGCTTTGTTCTTTTGGCTGAGGACTGACTTGGCGATGTGGGCTCTTTTTTGGTTCCATATGAACTTTAAAGTAGTTTTTTCCAATTCTGTGAAGAAAGGCATTGGTAGCTTGATGGGGATGGCATTGAATCTGTAAATTACCTTGGGCAGTATGGCCATTTTCATGATATTGATTCTTCCTACCCATGAGCATGGAATGTTCTTCCATTTGTTTGTATCCTCTTTTATTTCCTTGAGCAGTGGTTTGTAGTTCTCCTTGAAGAGGTCCTTCACATCCCTTGTAAGTTGGATTCCTAGGTATTTTATTCTCTTTGAAGCAGTTGTGAATGGGAGTTCACTCATGATTTGGCTCTCTGTTTGTCTGTTGTTGGTGTATAAGAATGTTTGTGATTTTTGTACATTGATTTTGTATGCTGAGACTTTGCTGAAGTTGCTTATCAGCTTAAGGAGATTTTGGGCTGAGACAATGGGGTTTTCTAGAGATACAGTCATGTCGTCTGCAAACAGGGACAATTTGACTTCCTCTTTTCCTAATTGAATACCCTTTATTTCCTTCTCCTGCCTGATTGCCCTGGCCAGAACTTCCAACACTATGTTGAATAGGAGTGGTGAGAGAGGGCATCCCTGTCTTGTGCCAGTTTTCAAAGGGAATGCTTCCAGTTTTTGCCCATTCAGTATGATATTGGCTGTGGGTTTGTCATAGATAGCTCTTATTATTTTGAAATACGTCCCATCAATACCTAATTTATTGAGAGTTTTTAGCATGAAGCGTTGTTGAATATTGTCAAAGGCTTTTTCTGCATCTATTGAGATAATCATGTGGTTTTTGTCTTTGCCTCTGTTTACATGCTGGATTACATTTATTGATTTGCGTATATTGAAGCAGCCTTGCATCCCAGGGATGAAGCCCACTTGATCATGGTGGATAAGCTTTTTGATGTGCTGCTGGATTCGTTTTGCCAGTATTTTATTGAGGATTTTTGCATCAATATTCATCAAGGATATTGGTCTAAAATTCTCTTTTTTTTGTTGTGTCTCTGCCTGGCTTTGGTATCAGAATGATGCTGGCCTCATAAAATGAGTTAGGGAGGATTCCCTCTTTTTCTATTGATTGGAATAGTTTCAGAAGGAATGGTACCAATTCCTCCTTGTACCTCTGGTAGAATTCGGCTGTGAATCCATCTGGTCCTGGACTCTTTTTGGTTGGTAAGCTATTGATTATTGCCACAATTTCAGCTCCTGTCATTGGTCTATTCAGAGATTCAACTTCTTCCTGGTTTAGTCTTGAGAGAGTGTATGTGTCGAGGAGTTTATCCATTTCTTCTAGATTTTCTAGTTTATTTGCGTAGAGGTGTTTGTAGTATTCTCTGATGGTAGTTTGTATTTCTGTGGGATCGGTGGTGATATCCCCTTTATCATTTTTTATTGTGTCTATTTGAATCTTCTCTCTTTTTTTCTTTATTAGTCTTGCTAGCAGTCTATCAATTTTGTTGATCCTTTCAAAAAACCAGCTCCTGGATTCATTAATTTTTTGAAGGGTTTTTTGTGTCTCTATTTCCTTCAGTTCTGCTCTGATTTTAGTTATTTCTTGCCTTCTGCTAGCTTTTGAATATGTTTGCTCTTGCTTTTCTAGTTCTTTTAATGTGATGTTAGGGTGTCAATTTTGGATCTTTCCTGCTTTCTCTTGTGGGCATTTAGTGCTATGAATTTCCCTCTACACACTGCTTTGAATGCGTCCCAGAGATTCTGGTATGTTGTGTCTTTGTTCTCGTCGGTTTCAAAGAACATCTGTATTTCTGCCTTCATTTCATTATGTACCCAACAGTCATTCAGGAGCAGGTTGTTCAGTTTCCATGTAGTTGAGCGGTTTTGAGTGAGATTCTTAATCCTGAGTTCTAGTTTGATTGCACTGTGGTCTGAGAGATAGTTTGTTATAATTTCTGTTCTTTTACACTTGCCGAGGAGAGCTTTACTTCCAAGTATGTGGTCAATTTTGGAATAGGTTTGGTGTGGTGCTGAAAAAAATGTATATTCTGTTGATTTGGGGTGGAGAGTTCTGTAGATGTCTATTAGGTCTGTTTGGTGCAGAGCTGAGTTCAATTCCTGGGTATCCTTGTTGACTTTCTGTCTTGTTGATCTGTCTAACGTTGACAGTGGGGTGTTAAAGTCTCCCATTATTAATGTGTGGGAGTCTAAGTCTCTTTGTAGGTCACTCAGGACTTGCTTTATGAATCTGGGTGCTCCTGTATTGGGTGTATATATATTTAGGATAGTTAGCTCTTCTTGTTGAATTGATCCCTTTACCATTATGTAATGGCCTTCTTTGTCTCTTTTGATCTTTGTTGGTTTAAAGTCTGTTTTATCAGAGACTAGGATTGCAACCCCTGCCTTTTTTTGTTTTCCATTTGCTTGGTAGATCTTCCTCCATCCTTTTATTTTGAGCCTATGTGTGTCTCTGCACATGAGATGGGTTTCCTGAATACAGCACACTGATGGGTCTTGACTCTTTATCCAATTTGCCAGTCTGTGTCTTTTCACTGGAGCATTTAGTCCATTTACATTTAAAGTTAATATTGTTATGTGTGAATTTGATCCTGTCATTATGATGTTAGCTGGTTATTTTGCTCGTTAGTTGATGCAGTTTCTTCCTAGTCTCGACGGTCTTTACATTTTGGCATGACTTTGCAGCGGCTGGTACCGGTTGTTCCTTTCCATATTTAGCGCTTCCTTCAGGAGCTCTTTTCGGGCAGGCCTGGTGGTGACAAAATCTCTCAGCATTTGCTTGTCTGTAAAGTATTTTATTTCTCCTTCACTTATGAAGCTTAGTTTGGCTGGATATGAAATTCTGGGTTGAAAATTCTTTTCTTTAAGAATGTTGAATATTGGCCCCCACTCTCTTCTGGCTTGTAGGGTTTCTGCCGAGAGATCCGCTGTTAGTCTGATGGGCTTCCCTTTGAGGGCAACCCGACCTTTCTCTCTGGCTGCCCTTAACATTTTTTCCTTCATTTCAACTTTGGTGAATCTGACAATTGTGTGTCTTGGAGTTGCTCTTCTCGAGGAGTATCTTTGTGGCGTTCTCTGTATTTCCTGAATCTGAACGTTGGCCTGCCTTGCTAGATTGGGGAAGTTCTCCTGGATAATATCCTGCAGCATGTTTTCCAACTTGGTTCCATTCTCCCCATCACTTTCAGGTACACCAATCAGACGTAGATTTGGTCTTTTCACATAGTCCCATATTTCTTGGAGGCTTTGCTCATTTCTTTTCATTCTTTTCTCTCTAAACTTCCCTTCTCACTTCATTTCATTCATTTCATCTTCCATCGCTGATACCCTTTCTTCCAGTTGATCGCATTGGCTCCTGAGGCTTCTGCATTCTCACGTAGTTCTCGAGCCTTGGTTTTCAGCTCCATCAGCTCCTTTAAGCATTTCTCTGTATTGGTTATTCTAGTTATACATTCTAAATTTTTTTCAAAGTTTTCAACTTCTTTGCCTTTGGTTTGAATGTCCTCCCGTAGCTCAGAGTAATTTGATCATCTGAAGCCTTCTTCTCTCAGCTCGTCAAAGTCATTCTCCATCCAGCTTTGTTCCGTTGCTGGTGAGGAACTGCGTTCCTTTGGAGGAGGAGAGGCGCTCTGCTTTTTAGAGTTTCCAGTTTTTCTGTTCTGTTTTTTCCCCATCTTTGTGGTTTTATCTACTTTTGGTCTTTGATGATGGTGATGTACAGATGGGTTTTTGGTGTGGATGTCCTTTCTGTTTGTTAGTTTTCCTTCTAACAGACAGGACCCTCAGCTGCAGGTCTATTGGAATACCCTGCCGTGTGAGGTGTCAGTGTGCCCCTGCTGGGGGGTGCCTCCCAGTTAGGCTGCTCGGGGGTCAGGGGTCAGGGACCCACTTGAGGAGGCAGTCTGCCCGTTCTCAGATCTCCAGCTGCGTGCTGGGAGAACCACTGCTCTCTTCAAAGCCCTCAGACGGGGACATTTAAGTCTGCAGAAGTTACTGCTGTCTTTTTGTTTGTCTGTGCCCTGCCCCCAGAGGTGGAGCCTACAGAGGCAGGCAGGCCTCCTTGAGCTGTGGTGGGCTCCACCCAGTTCGAGCTTCCCAGCTGCTTTGTTTACCTAATCAAGCCTGGGCAATGGCATGTGCCCCTCCCCCAGCCTCGCTGCCGCCTTGCAGTTTGATCTCAGACTGCTGTGCTAGCAATCAGCGAGACTCCGTGGGCGTAGGACCCTCCGAGCCAGGTGCGCGATATAATCTCGTGGTGCGCCGTTTTTTAAGCCCGTCGGAAAAGCGCAGTATTCGGGTGGGAGTGACCCGATTTTCCAGGTGCCGTCCGTCACCCCTTTCTTTGACTGGGAAAGGGAACTCCCTGACCCCTTGGGCTTCCCAAGTGAGGCAATGCTTCGCCCTGCTTCGGCTCGCACAAGGTGCGCGCACCCACTGACCTGCGCCCACTGTCTGGCACTCCCTAGTGAGATGAACCCGGTACTTCAGATGGAAATGCAGAAATCACCTGTCGTCTGCGTCGCTCACGCTGGGAGCTGTAGACCGGAGCTGTTCCTATTCGGCCATCTTGGCTCCTCGATCCTGAGTGAGTTTCTTAGTCCTGAGTTCTAATTTGATTGCACTGTGGCCTGAGAGACTGTTTGTTATGAGTTCTGTTCTTTTGCATTTGCTGAGGAGTGTTTTACTTCCAATTATGTGGTCAATTTTAGAATAAGTGTGATGTGGTGGTGAGAAGAATGTATATTTTGTTTATTTGGGGTGGAGAATTCTGTAGATGTCTATTAGGTCTGCTTGGTGCAGAGCTGAGTTCAAGTCCTGAATATCTTTCTTAATTTTCTGTCTCGTTGATCTGTCTAATATTGACAGTGGGGTGTTAAAGTCTCCCACTATTATTGCATGGGAGTCTAAGTCTCTTTGTAGGTCTGTAAGAACTTGCTTTATGAATCTGGGTGCTCCTGTTTTGGGTGCATCTATATTTAGGATAGTTAGCTCTTCTTGTTGCATTGATTCCTTTAACATTATGTAATGCCCTTTTTTGTCTTTTTTGATCTTTGTTGGTTTAAAGTCTGTTGTATGACAGACTATGATTGCAAACCCTGCTTTTTTTTTTGCTTTCCATTTGCTTGGAAAATATTCCTTCATCTCTTTATTTTGAGCCTATGTGTGTCTTTGCACGTGAAATGGGTCTCCTCAATACAGCACAGTGATGGGTCTTGACTGTTTATGCAATTTGCCAGTCTGTGTCTTTTAATTGGGGCATTTAGCCCATTTACAGTTAAGGTTAATATTTCTATGTGTGAATTTGATCCTGTCATTATGATGCTAGCTGGTTATATTGCCTGTTAGTTGTTGCAGTTAATTCGTGGTGTGGATGGTCTTTACAATTTGGTATATTTTTGCAGTGGCTGGTACTGGTTTTTTCCTTTCCATATTTAGTGCTTCCTTCAGGAGCTCTTGTAAGGCAGGCCTGGTGGTGACAAATCTCTCAGCATTTGTTTGTCTGTAAAGGATTTTATTTCTCCTTCGCTTATGAAACTTAGTTTCGCTAGATATGAAATTCTGGGTTGAAAATTCTTTTCTTTAAGAATGTTGAATATTGGCCCTCACTCTCTTCTGGCTTGTAGGGTTTCTCCCAAGAGATCTGCTGCTAGTCTGGTGGACTTCCCTTTGTCGGTAACCGGACGTTTCTCTCTGGCTGCCCTTAACATTTTTTCCTTCATTTCAACCTTGCTGAATCTGACGATTATGTCTTGGGGTTGCTCTTCTCGGGGAGTATCTTTGTGGTGTGCTCTGTATTTCCTGAATTTGAATGTTGGCCTGTCTTGCTAGGTTGGGAAAGTTCTTCTGGATAATATCCTGAAGAGTGTTTTCCAACTTGGTTCCATTCTCCCCATCACTTTCAGGTACACCAATCAAATGTAGGTTTGGTCTTTTCACATAGTCCCATATTTCTTAGAGACTTTGTTTGTTCCTTTTCATTCTTTTTTCTCTAATCTTGTCTTCATGCTTTATTTTATTAAGTTGATCTTCAATCTCTGATATCCTTTCTTCTGCTTGATCGATTCAGTTATTGATACCCGTGTATGATTCACAAAGTTCTCATGCTGTGTTTTTCAGCTCTGTCAGGTCATTTATATTCTTCTCTAAACTGGTCGTTCTAGTTAGCCATTCCTCTAATTTTTTTTCAAGGTTCTTAGCTTCCTTGCATTCAGTTAGAACATGTCCTTTTCCTTGGAGGAATTTATTATTACCCACCATCTGAAGCCTACTTCTGTCAATTTGTCAAACTCATTCTCCGTCCAGTTTTGTTCCCTTGCTGGTGAAGAGTTGTAATCCTTTGGAGGAGAAGAGGTGTTCTGGTTTTTGGAATTTTCAGCCTTTTTGCACTGGTTTTTCCTCATCTTTGTGGATTTATCTGCCTTTGGTCATTGATGTTGGTGACCTTCGGATGGGGTTTTTGTGTGGATGTCCTTTTTGTTGATGTTGATGCTATTCCTTTCCATTTGTTAGTTTTCCTTCTAACAGTCAGGACCCTCTGCCGCAGGTCTGCTGGAGTTTGCTGGAGGTCCACTCCAGACCCCGTTTGCCTGGGTATCAACAGCGGAGCCTGCAGAACAGCAAAGATTGCTGCCTGCTCATTCCTCTGGAAGTTTCTTCCCAAAGGGGCACTCACCACATGCCAGCCAGAGCTCTCCTCTATGAGGTGTCTGTCGACCCCTGCTTGGAGGTGTGTCCCAGTCAGGAGACACGGGGGTCAGAGACCCACTTGAGGAGGCAGTCTGTCTCTTAGCAGAGCTGGAGTGCTGTGCTGGGATCTCTGCTGTTCTCTTCAGAGTGGGCAGGCAGGAATATTTGAGTCTGCTGAAGCTGCACCCACAGCCGCCCCTTCCCCCAGGTCCTCTGTCCCAGGGAGATGGGAGTTTTATCTATAAGCTCGTGACTGGGGCTGCTGCCTTCTTTTAGAGATGCCCTGCCCAGAGAGGAAAAATCTAGAGAGGCAGTCTGGCTACAGCAGCTTTGCTGAGCTGTGGTGGGCTCCACCCAGCTCGAACTTCCAGGAGGCTTTTTTTTACACTCTGAGGGGACAACGGCCTACTCGAGCCTCAGTAATGGCAGACGCCCCTCCCGCCATCAGTCTCAAGCATTCTAGGTTGACTTCAGATCGCTGTGCCGGCACGAGAATTTCAAGCCAATGGATCCTAGCTTGCTGGGCTCTCTGGGGGTGGGATCTGCTGACTTAGACCACTTGGTTCCTTGGCCTCAGCCCCCTTTCCAGGGGAGTGAACGGTTCTGTCTCACTGGCATTCCAGGTGCCACTGGGGTACAAATAAAAAAAACACCTGCAGCTAGGTCTGTGTCTGCCCAAACAGCCGCCCAGTTTTGTTCTTGAAACCCAGGGCCCTGGTGGTGTAGGCGTCTGTGGGTTGCAAAGACCATGGGAAAAGCGTAGTATCTGGCCTGGAATGCCCCGTTCCTCACGACACAGTCCCTCAGGGCTTTCCTTGGCTAGGGGAGGGAGTTCCCCAACCTCTTGTACTTCCCAGGTGAGGCAACGCCCTACCCTGCCTCTGCTCACTCTCCATGGGCTGCATCCACTGCCTAACCAGTCCCAATGAGATGAGACAGATACCTCAGTTGGAAATGCAGAAATTACCTGCCTTCTGCATTGATCTCTCCGGAAGCTGCAGACAAGAGCTCTTTCTATTCGTCCATCTTGCCGGCCACACCTGTATAAAGGGTTTAATGTAGACTGAAGGTGTCCTCATTGTTTCCAACTAGTCATCTATTCCAACTACTGTGATTGTGTTCTTTTGGGAGTAAAGTGTCTTTTGGGTTGGGGCAAAATTAGCTTTTGGCAAGGAAGGTGGTGTTTTTATTGTCAATGCAATAATGGAAAAGGACAGTTAGAAAAGTTATCCCTCTGTCTCATGGCTGTCACTGTAGCTGATACTGATTTAAAACCTAAAATAGGTGCAGCACTGACCTGCTTCAGAATGATGCCTGTAGTGGCAGATGGTGGGATTCTGTTTAAACCAGATTGTTCATGCCCAATCTCATGCCCTTGTGCATTTCAGCTGCTATTTTTCATTTATTATAAAAATGCCATTATCTTGACCAGTAATGCAGTTTCTCAGATAGTTTGAAATCCTTAAATCCTTATTTTGTGGAGAGTCTGTGCTGGAACACCACCGGCTGTGCCTTGTGTGCATCACATTAGGCTAATGTAGGGTGGAAATAGCAAATCGACTTTGATAACGGATTTTCAAGTGTGCTCTTTGTGGATGAAATGCTGTTTCACTTATTATGATTTTTTCAGGCAGTAATTTATTTGTAAATGTCTTGACTGTACTTTAATGCCACTCTGTCTCTGGGGGTGAGTCTCTGTTACAACCAGTTATAGAGATAACAAGGTTAGGAATACATCCTCACGTGGTATTTGTCTAGGGCCTGAAACTTTTTTTGTTGTGACAGCCTGACAGGAACAAATGATTTGAAAAAATTTAGCAGCAGAAGGGTAGGGAGGCTACAAATTAGCATATAGTTGCCCACAGGCATTATATATGTAGGGTTTTATTTTTTTAATAAGGAAGTCAGAAGATGGCATCTGAACATTAAGAAACCATTTTAATATCTTTTCTGCTAATACTGTTGTGAACTGGTGATGGTGGGTGATAGTGGGTGAGAAAGCCAGAAACTGTTTCTTTCCAAAAGGTAAAAAATGTGAGTCAAGTATGTTAGATACTGTTATTATAGGGGTTCTTACTGACTTCTCAGATGGAATGAAAGTTCATGTCCATATGTCAATTGTTAGAGGGGTTTATGTTCTAGCCCAGAGTTCAGTATGCTTTCTCTGTAGAAGATCATAAACATTTCAACTTTCTTGGCCATATGATCTCTTATAATGACTCATCTCTGCTACTGTAGTGCAAAAGCAGCCATATACAATGCACAAGTTGAAGAACATGACTGTGTTCCAATAAAACTTTATTTATAAAAACAGGCAGTTGGCCACATTTGGTCCATAAGGCCATAGTTTGCCAACTCTTGTTCTAGGTTAAGTGAAGAAGGGTGTTTGAAACGCTTACACAATGCACTTGCTACTCTTTAAAATAGCTGTGAAGATTCCTTACCCCATATAATCTAAGTTATTCTGTCCTAGGCCCCTTCTCCACAGCTTTGTTAAAATTACAAATTTCATACACTTATCACTATCAACCTCCACTTCTGTGCATTACAAGTGATTTGAATTTAAAACATTTCTTGAAGGACATCAGAAAAATCTTTTAGTGCTGACAAATTCAAGTAAAGTCCTTTGGAGAGAAAGTTAGTTATTATTATCTTAGACAAAGGTTTGGGATGGAGGTTGATTGTATTTTCAAATAATAATCTTCAAGGGCTAAAGGTTTTGTTTTCCAAGCAGGTGGACTTACTTTGCTCTTTCTTTGTTTTTTTCTTTTTTCTTTTTTTTTTTTTAAGTTTCTCTCTCCCCTCCCCTCTCCCTTTGCCGCTTGACTGTATCATACTGTGTTACTGGTTGAGGAGGTGCTGCGTCACCTTCTGTATTGTTGCTTGATCTTTGATTTCCTGTGAAGCACAATGAATCTTACATTAGACTCTTCTGAGTCAGGTGGTGCACCATCTGTTCCCAGGCCTGGAAAACATGAGTAACACAGAGCAACAGAAAGCAACAGCTACCCCAGTTTTTAGCAGAATATTCATATTTACATAGCAAGAGAGAGGGAGACAATTCTGATTTTAGGCAGGGTAGAAGTTTATTTTTCTCACACTCATCGAATACATTTGACATAAAACCTTTATAAAAATTATTTTACACATTAGTACACTCATAGGATGGGATAGGTTTGAACCTACTTGCCTTTGTTGTTCTGGGGTGATGTTAGATTTAAGTGGTTGGGAATGGTTGTGTAATTGTACATAAGAGCTGCATTGCATGAGGCTACCCAGAATACACGAGAGCAGCTGGCAAACCTAGGTATTGAAGCTGATAGCAGGTAGCCTATAACAAATTGAAAGAATGAAGGCCAACCAGATCTGGCTGCCAACCTGTGATAGCATTTAAAAGGTTGAACTAAACTTCTGTTAAGAACATGAGAAGCCCATTACCGCACAGCTTTAAATCCCCGAGCTAAATAATTAACTATAGATGAAACTCTTTTAACTATACATTGCCCTGGTAGTACTTTATTCAAATTAAAAGCAAATCACTTTCATAATACACTCATCAGTTTAAACGCATGGTATACGCTAACATTATTAAAACATATGTCTGTCATGAATTAAAGCATTAAAGGCCCACCTCATTAGGGTCACACAGGTCCTCAATATGCCATAATGACTTCCCTAAATATATTATGTTGATTACAGAAAAAAAATAGCATACTTTTAGAAAGTATTTAAAATAATTCATTGATCATCCTGCACTGCTTTAGTTCTTACTAGATATTTTTAAGAACTGGCATTCAGTAGGAATCTAAAACACTGCCAAGAAATTGTAAAAAACTGAGGAACCTATAAAAATAAATGACACAGAAAGCTACTTAGGTTAACTCTATAAACTGCTGGCTGTCCCCTTCCGAAGTCTGTGGAATCACCAGGGAGTGGAAAGTTCTGTTTTATTCAATTGCTGAAGGCGCCTCCTTTCAGTATCAACCCTGGCACATCTGGTATCATACTTGAAGGCAAAACTTAACAATTTCAGTTCGTATTTGAAAGAGTATCAAGCAATGGTGGTTTATTCAATTTCAGGAGATTATGAGAGGGTAGACACTGTTGAGGACATAGAAGAATAGGTGTCTAGTCATCAGAGACAGTTTTGTAGATTTTCTTGGCTTCAGGAAGAGATATTTTGAGACAAAAATTGGACTATTTGGAGCAGCAAGAGGTAAAGAAAATGTGATGTCATGTTAGAGAAAAAGGGAAAGGATGAGTTAATGGAGCACTGCCACTTTAAAAAAATATTATTTTAGTATGATTGATCATAGCCTTACCATATTTTTCTACTTTGCCTTTTCATAACTAGAATTAATACAGATGCAGTCCAAGCTCAGCAAAAAACATTTCTGATAATGGGAATAGCTCTACTTCTGGAACCCCAAATGTAATCTTGACACGTTTATAATCACCTTTAAGAAATACAGAACAACAACCCAGTGTTGCTATAAACAGCATGCTATTTATTTTCAGAACTGAAAGTTTAGTGTGGAGCATGTTAAAATCCATTCTGCCTGTGTTGAAGGTATTTTTAGACTTCCAAAATTCATGTTGAAATTTTATGTGATTAAAAATATCTAAGCACTTTCATTTCCATCTTTTCACTAATATGTGGTCCTTCCGAGGGACTTATGAACTGAAGGCCTTTGACTTCTCTCTATGCAGTCTTTATGTCAAAAATATACGTGGTTCTTGGACCATAGGGTTTTTCACAACATTAAAAGAAAAATAGGTTTTCCAACCTTTGATCTCCACCCTGGTCTACACAGCTGTGTTTTTCATGGATCCAAGATCCACATTGCCAATTGGAGCAGCTTGTCAGGCACTTCCAACCCATTCCAGGAGAACACATTGCAGATTTTGCTTCCTGATTCCACTCATGTTTCCATTTGCTTGATATTAGTGGAATTCGAGGACTCCAAAATGTACACAAAACTCACAAATGTTGTGCATAAAGATTCAAAAATGAAGAACTGAAGCAATTTTCGAGCAAGTCAAACAGCAAAATAACTGTGACCTCAGGATTCATATCTCAGTACATCCTAAGATGATTTTTGACTTCTTGTGGGTCTCAACTGGTTTTTTGAATTTCTTTGCATCTGTTTTAGTGTTGAGATGAAGAATTCACTGTCCTGTCCTAGTAAGTACCACAGTGCGTATATTTGCCTAACTGGTACCTGACAAGTACACACTGCTTCCTCGTCTATCTTCTTAGCGATGGGTTTGCTTTGAGTACAATTGCTTTACATTGTTGAATCATGCTAGATTTGGTAGTTATAGCCAGAATTTTTCTTCCTTTGTAAAAATCATCTATAATTCCTTTATGCATACTTCCCTAAACTTATTACAAATAAATTTAATTTGGACAATTTCACAGTTGGAATTATTGGACTAGCTCTACACAGCAGTTAGAGCGAACCTCTGTGCTCCTCAGTCAGTAGCTCCAGGCTGCCTGTTGGTGCCTCTATCTCTTCTTACTAGTAACCTCATCTTTTCTTCATTTCTTTTTGGTCCAGTTTGAATTCTATGGTCCACGCTTTGAGTAACTCTCCTCCAGTGACATAAGCTCTCTTGCCTTTTCATTATATTCAGGCAAATAATCAACTGACCTCTTTATCTGTGCCAGTTCCTGGGTAGCAGAGCATAGCTAAAGAAAATAATACAAGATAATAGACTGATATGGTATGGTTATACCTCCTTATACCTTCCATGATTTCCATTCACTACCATATTCCATCAGTTTAACATGGTAATTATCTCTTGCATCCATTTATATTCATGTGTGCAATCACTATTCTAGTTAAAACCACCATTATTTCTTTTTCTATTCCTATAATTGTCAGCAGATGATATTCCAAGACCTACTCTTAACCCACTCTGATTCTTTTTCTCTAATACTCTTTTAAAAATTCATGTATGTTTAAGTGCCTCCCCTACTGTTAACGCTTGAAAGCTGCCCAATCCGCTTAGGATTAAAACCAAAATTTTTGACTTGGCCTCTATGATTCTGCACAATCTACCACTTCTCGGGCTGTCTGTACTGCACTGGCTGGCATCATCTTCTCATGATCTTTGGTGACCAGAGACCTCTTTGCTACCTTGAATGTTCTTACTCCTTTTCTTTTCCAAGGTAAATGCTATAAAACCTTCAGATCTTAACTCGGATAGCATTACAAAAAAATTGCTTCCTCCTGTCAACCCCACTCTATCTGGTGGCCCTCACCCAGTGACTAAATGACCAGGATTACAAAAAGGACATATCCTGGCCTCAATGTGGCATAATTCAGTGGTATAATTCATGTTCTCCAGAGCTCCCCATGGGGTGAAGTTCAAGTCAGTTTCCAGCTGAGACCACATTCTTGCTTAGCTTTCTTCCCTGCTTATCCTGATTTCCTGAGAACACTTCCTCAATTACTTACTCACACAAGAATCCTGATTTCAGGCTCTGTTTCTAGAGACCTCAACGTAAGGCAGCACTCTACATTTTTCCTTATTACACTATTCAGTCCTTTATATGTATATTTGTGTCTTTGATTTTTGTGTTGGCCTCTATATTGTAAGCTCATAAGGGAAGGAATTATGTGTGTTTTGCCCTTCTTATATATACAGTACCTCACAGAGTGCCATGCACATGGTGTTCAATATATAATATTCAACGAATCTAAGTATCATTATCCTGCCCCAGTGAGGGACAGGGTTTAACTGTAGGTTTCTGAGCAATTTCTGGCCATGATGAGTATTTGTAGGCACAGGGATTCCCACTCCAGGAAGAAAGTAAAATGAGAGGTCATGTGTTTATTCTTTGGTCTTTTTGACCTTTGAATCCTGTCTACCATGAGTTTAACATGGACATACCAAATCATGATTTTATCTTATTTTGGCTGACTAATTCTTGCATAGCTATATCAATATACATGTCCAATCCCTCGATATTAGCTAAACTCAAGACCTTTGCCCATTCTTATTGTCAATCCATCATCCAAACCGGTTCATTGATCAAACTGTGACATATTCTCCATGTCTGGAAGTATATGGAAATTTTTAAAGTTCCATGATTCAGAAAATAGAGACAACAGGTCAACAGAAATATGTTTATTTCTACAGAAAATTTAGCTTGCCTAGATCATTTCTGTAATTTTTTAAATCCTAAATTTTCCATTTTTGTTAGTGCTACTCTTTCAAAGTACCTATAAGCATATCTTTTATTAAGTATTTTATTAAAATACTAAATAATTTCAATCCAAGATTATTCTCTCTGTATTTCTGATTATAATATTTTCTGAGATTTTATATTTAGCATTAAAAAATTGGGGTTCTACTTAAATTACATTCCTCAAATATAATTATATTTAATTTTCTATGTGTTTCTCTGTATGTAAAGGGGAGAATGCTAAAGTTAGACCTTAGTTAATATGAGCAAATTGCTTTCAGTAAAGACGTTTTCTGAAGTAATAAATAAACAACTGCGAGGGGATGTTATGTATTTTTTTTCTTTTTAGTAAATTTTAGTAAATTAGATTTCCTGTGCCACCATTTATAGTCCCCCTAGTAAAGTTCCTTTTAACCTAATTCACTAGAGTGAATTATTGGGCATTGATTGAGTGAATAGTTATCAGGAGTCACAATCTGGCAGGTGGTGAGAAAAATTTTTATGAGAAAATGTTTGTAAAAATTATATGAGAAATATCTTCTCTTAAGTATGTCTCCAAGGTTGGTTATGAGTTTCATTATGCCATTGAAAAGAGAACCAAAGTTTCCATAGAACCACAGAATTCAGCAATCAAGTGAAGCTAGTTTTAGATTGTGAAGCACATGCATTAAACTCAGCCAATGCTTCATTTCACTGAAGTCACTTTTAGAAGCAATTGTTGCATGATTTTGGAAGGAAAATTTCATGGTTGGTCATTGAAAAGAGAAGAGAACAAACTGACTGATCTGTTTTTTAGAGGTTCCTCATTGCAGTTATCCTTATGTTATGAATACCCCTGCATGGTAATTCATCTTTACTTCTGCCCTTTTTCACGTTATGATCAATTAGCAGGCAATGGTAGAGCTGCTGATTAATTTCAGAAAAAAAGGTTTTAATAATTCTTGGATTCTAATTACTGAAAGGTAGTTAGGACTGGCATAAATTTCCACCTCCCTGGCATCATTTGGAAATACTTTTGCAAAATTAAATATATATCATTAGAAAGAAAAAGTAGAATAGAGGTCTTAAAGAAAAATAATATTTTAATAAAGTACTTTACATTTAAAATATAATTTTCAAAAATTTAAATATATTAAAATTTACTTTTAAAATATATTAATTTTAAATAATTTTTATAATTTTATAAGTATATTTATACTTAAAATATAATAAGTACCAACATAAAAGCTCCATTTGTCTTAGCTTCAAATTCAAACAATTCTTACATAAAATGTGATGGAGAGCTCATTAAGTTAACTAAAATCATAAAAGTATCCTCAGTAATTGGGTGATGGCTTTAACAGGTATTTGTCTCATACAAAATCAGAAATAAGACAACTGATTTCAATTTTGGCAGGAAAATATGGTAAATATTTAATTCTAAAATTTATATCTAAAAATGACCTACAGAAAGTTTCAAACAAGTTTTCATTAACAGATGATGGGGAAGGAAAGGGGAGTTCTATTGTGGAAAAGGAACAAAACATGTTTAATACACATCTTGCTGCTTGCATTTTTACATCTTGGACTTTAGGAAAGCCTTTTCTTTTTTCTTCTCTTTCTTCTCTCTCTCTTTCTTTCCTTCTCTTTTTTCTTTCTTTCTCTTTCTTTCTTTTTTTTTTGAGATGGAGTTTCGCTCTTGTCCAGGCTGGAGTGCAATGGCACCATCTCGGCTCACTGCAACCTCCACCTCCTGGGTTCAAGTGATTCTCCTGCCTCAGCCTCCTGAGTAGCTGGGATTACAGGCGCCTGCCACCACACCCAGCTAATTTTTTTTTTTTTTTTTTTTTTTTTTTAGTAGCGACAGGGTTTTCGCCATGTTGGCCAGGATGGTCTCTGTCTCTTGACCTCGTGATCCGCCCACATCGGCCTCCCAAAGTGCTGGGATTACAGGCCTGAGCCACTGTGCCCAGCCCACATTCATTTTCTATGTGGCACGGTTCTTTTTGAAATTCTTCTCTGATTCTATATGCACTGACATAAGCATTCTCTATTAAAGTTTCCCACCTTCTGTGCCATGCTTCTATGCTGTTTTGGGTATATGGAAGTAAATTCCAAACACACTAGTATACTGACCACAAAATTGGTGGAAACGATACTAGTGATCCAACAGCAACAGTGCTGTGTGACTTCTGATGCTACCATGCACGTAATTTTCAAACCAGTCAGCAACTGCACTGGCTTCTTCAGGCAAATGAAGCTTTAATTCATTAAAAGCTCCCAGAATGTCATCAGCTGGAAGGAATGCCAATTTAGGCAAATGATGCATTTTAAAGCTAAAGTTTTTGTTGTTGCTGTATTACATGGCCAATCTACTTATCTACAGTTTTCACCAAATGGATTGCGTTGAAAGGAAAAAAACAAACTTTATTGGTAATACTTTGAAATTCATTTTTAAAAGCCTTGATTGCACTTAATTCCAAATCTGTTGTTACAGTTTGGGGATTCAGTTGAAATCCATTTTCTTCTGTAAAGTTCACCAAATCTTCAAATAAGTGTTTATATAGTGCTTCACTTTTTTCAGTCATTAATACATAAAGGAGATAAGTTCTAGAATTTTTGAAACCAACAGGGGTATGAATTGTATATAGCTGATGAAAACAGTAGGGACAATTTTGAAAGTGTCATCCATTAGCCAAAGTGAAACATTTGCTAGTTTTTCTGCATTAGACTTAGTGGTAAATATAAGAAGTGTATTTTCTTTGATAGTCAAATCTCCAATCAAGAATACTTCACCATTTAATGTGTTTTATAACACTGGAGAAAGCTCAATATCAGCAAGTGTCTTTGGTTCGGAAAATTGCTGAGTTCGTCAAATCGTTTTTCTTCTCCAAAGGGGCATTTTTGAGGGCAAGCATGACACTATGCGTGTTGGGGCAGAAGCTGAATATGATTGATTTGTCAGGGGAAGATTTCTTGTACATTTCTCCTCACTTTTAACTTCTGTGATCTTCAAAAAACTAGCTGCACTTGTATTTGGAGGGTGGTTCTGGCTTACCAATTTTGTAAGTATATGCTGTTCCTATGTGATGGTTAATAGTGAGTGTCAACTTGATTGGATTGAAGGATACAAAATATTGATCCTGGGTGTGTCTGTGAGGGCATTGCCAAAAGAGATTCACATTTGAGTCAGTGGGCTGGGGAAGGCAGATCCACCTTTAATCTGGTGGGCACAATCTAATCAGCTGCCAGCGAATATAAAGCAGGCAGAGAAATGTGAAAAGGAGAGACTGGCCTAGCCTCCCAGCCTACATCTTTCTCCTGTGCTGAATGCTTCCTGCCTTTGAACATCAGGCTCCAAGTTCTTCAGTTTTGGGAGTCAGACTGGCTCTCCTTGCTCCTCAGCCTGCAGACAGCCTACTGTGGGACCTTGTGATCGTGTAAGTTAATACTTAATAAACTCCCCTTTATATATATAGTTTTGTCCCTCTAGAGAACCCAGACTAACACACCCTATGAAAGTCTGGTTATTGCTTGGCTGTCACAAGTAAGCAATTTTCTGCCTTCCCAGCACCAATAATAATTATCTTTTAAACTTTTGTCTTTCACTGTTAAATAGCCTTGTACACTTATCATAGCCTTTTTGCAAGGGAACAATTTTCACAAATCTCTCCATTGTGTTGTAAGAAATACAATCAGGAATGATATTCATCTTCCCCAATACCAAATCTGTATTAGATAGGGTTCCCCAGAGAGACAAAACCAATAGGACATACACACATAAATATATGGGATAAGACTTATTAGGGGAATTGGTTCACACAATTATGGTAGCTACAATATGTTAAGCCCATGACAAGCCATCTTCAAGCTGGAGACTCTGGGGATGCCAGGAGTGTGGCTCAGGCCTAAAGTCTTGGAATCCGGGGCAGCTACTGGTGTAAGTTTTGGAGGCCGAAGCCTCGTGAGCTTGGAGTTCTGATGTCCAAGGCAGCAGAAAAAAAGTCTGTCCTGGCTCTCAGAGAGGGTCAAACTCACCTTTTGTGTTTGTTCTTTCCAGGACCCGGTGGACTGGATGATACCATCCCTCTAACATTGAGGACAGATCTTCCTCACACATTCCACTCAGACTCACACACTAATACCTGGAAACACTCTCACAGACACACCCAAAATAATGCTTTATCAGATTTTGAGGTATCCTTTAACCCAGTCCAATTGACACCTAAAATTAAGTCCACAAAGCCACCCCTTTTCAATTTAGCACCCATACCCATCTCCTCAAACCATGCTTAACTTCCTAATACAGACTATAATAAGGCAATAGTTCCACCTAATATGATGCCACTATACTGTGATTGTGATTTTCAGGATTTCAGACTTTAGAAATTTTAGACTTTAGGGATTTTAATTTTTTAGAACTTCAAGATCTGGGATTATGGCATTCAGGATTGTGTCTTTTGTGATTACGATTCACACTGGAAAACATAGAAAACACTTACCAGAGAGCATCTTAATAGACATGATAACCTACAGATCCCATTTGGCCGGTTTCCAAATTAACAACATGGAGATGGTCTTGTGATTAGTAGCTGACATCCTGTTCCTGAGTAAAAAATCTTATTGTGAGTCCCTCAAACTGTTATACTGACGAATACGTAACCTATTGACACGGAATAAGACACTGGCTTTTTTCTGAATCATAAAGTTTTGCTGATTATCTTGCACGTGAAACATTTTAGCCTGTGTGTTGTCATCTGTAGCCAATGACTGTCACCTCTGTATTGTGCCCTCCAATAAAAAAGGACAACTTTGGTATGAGGAGTCCCCCTTCCTTTTCCTATACTTTCTTATAAAAATATTTCAACTTGTAACAGATTTTGGAACATGCCTAATTTTGTTGGTGTGTCTTCCTGGTTCAATCTTCACATTTAGCTAAACTTTTATCAATTTTTTTCTGCCTCAACAGCCTTCATTTTGGTCCACAGAAACTTTGTCTTGCTTCTCTTCTTTCTGAGTATTTCTTGGACTCCTGCATTTCCCCATGGTGTATCATTTTATTGTAATTGAAACACAGTGATTGGCTTTTGGTGTTTGCAGGTACAATCTTTGGGGGAGGAAATTCCAAAAAATAAAAATTCCAAAACCCTGTGATACTGTCAAATATATTGGGTAAGTGGTGAACAGATTATTCTTGATTTATACACTATTTGGTGCGGACTTTTTGTGATATTGCAAGAGATGATTGAAAATAACAAAAAATAATCAGTTAGCAATTCAACTTACTCTTGGTTATAAGTATGTTTTTACATTGATCTGTTAAATCAATTGTTAGGGCTTTCAGTATTCAATTGATAAACAGGTACGTACTGGTCACTGTGCTTGTGCTATGTGATTAGAGAGATACAAAAGAAATAAAGAAAACATGGGGTGCCTGATCACTGGTAACTTGAAATTCCTGCCAGGAGACAAAACTAGCATAGGTAAGACAGTAACAGAACAATAATTTGCCAAAGGGAAAATATATATTCTGATTTAGTTAGAAAAGGCTTTAAGCCAGAGCGAAATTCAAGTCAGTACTTCTGAGTAAATTTTATTTCTGTAGGCAGGCAGGAAAGAGGGAAACCTTCTATGTCTGGGAGAGCAGAAGTATGTAGTGATAAAGAACTGTGTGTAAGGACAGTTTAAGCAGTAGGACAAACAGGCAGTCATCCTGGGAACCTTTGCCTAAGTGGAGTTGAAACAACACTCAGGAGGAAAAACACCATTGAAATACAAAAAGATGGAGAAAGCTGATTTTTTCTAGACTTTCTTTCGGAGAGAATGAATACTCTATGTTCCTAGAAGAGTATTTTAATAAGAACTGGAGTTGCTATGAATGATCCTTAAACTTAGTTCTTCAGAGGATAGATTTGGTAGGTGTCAGGGCTTGTTTGTGGGAGTGGGATTGTAAGTTTGAGATGGAGCTAAGTTGCTTGGGACAATAGAAAAGAGTCTTTTTCCGCTCTTCTCTTAAAGTGCACCTGGTTTCTGCTCTGGATAAAAGTCACAGTCTACTATTTTATGAGGTTATTAAATTTCTAGCATGATTGGGGCAACCACAGTTTGTCATTGTGCATGCTTTGATCTTGATGCTATTCTGGATGAATGTGGAAGGCCACTATTGCAAAGACCGAGACTATTAAGGGAGAAGGAATGTATGATACAGAAGAACTTAAAAGCCGGGCAAAATGAGTTGTTGGTATTTGTCATATTAAGCAATGATGATAGGCACTTGGACGGAGAGCAGAGTAGTAGTTTGAAAAAGAACTTGGGCAGAGGGGATGCCAAGACAGAGAATAGCTATAAGGAGACGGGTTTTAAATTATGTCATTTATTTAGGTGTAAGATGATAAATATTTTGACAACAATAACGACTGTTAGAATGAAATGGAAGAGATAAATACAAAACATTGTTCAACTGATAAGTAGTAGGGCCTAGAAAGAGTGCATACAAATAGAGTGAAGTATTGAAGATGATTTTTTTTTTTCAAGTTTGGTTAAGAAGAGTCACATAAATATTTGGAAAAAGAGGCAATTTGGTGAAGTTACTGCTACACTTTGAATATATGGAATTTTAGGTTGAAAAAGGAATATTTATGCTTTTTTTTCTAATGTCTGCTAATTTGTTACAATCCTTACATAATTTAGCAATTGTACAATTTAAGAAAAGAATGATACCTCACAAGTGAAAAGTAGTTGTAGATAAATTCTAGGATAAATTGAATATGAAGTAATAGTGTTGTACAATTGTCTTGAAATTTAGCTTAGTGTAGTTGTTTTTAAATTTCTATCTTGAAAAATGATAAACTTTAAATGATTATAGAAAGAGTTAAAATCATGACAACTATTCACCATTTGATGATTGTTCTGTTTATGTCCCTATTTTTTAAACTGGTAAGGAAACCACAGTAAATAAAAATAAGATGTAAATAAAGATGATTAAATTATATCTAATTTATTTTATATAAATATATATTATGCTTAATTATTACTATAAATACAGCTACAAATTACTTGTAACCTGGTACATTTGTATCTGTGTGATGAATCCTCAAAACAAGATTTGCTGGCTCAAAATATGTGTCTTTTTAATTTTAGTAGACTTAGAAAGCTATGGCAATATATAATCTTACCCACAGAATGTGAGTACTTATTTCCATATGTAGCCTATTAGGTGTTTTCTTTCCGCCTATGCAAATTTGATGTGTGCAAAATGGCACATCACTGCATTTCTTTGACAACTAGCTATGATAAGCATTCTTTTACATTTATTGTCTATTTGCCATTTCTGTTTTTCGAAAGACCTGCTTATATTCTGTGTCTGTTTTTCTGTTGGATGATTTGTCTTGTCCTCATCTTATCATAAATATTAATATTTTTATTTTCATATTGTTAAAACAATTTTCTTTTAGTCCATTTCTTGCCTTTGACTTTGATACTTGTGTTTTTACATGATTTTTTAAAACAGTCAAATGTATAATTTTCATGTCTTTCAGTTTTTGTTTTTCTGCCTGGCAAAAGTTCATATTCATCTTAATGTTAGGCAAATATTTTCCTAACTTTTTTAAAAATTTTACAATTAACTGTTTTTATCATTTAGAACTTTATTTCATTTAGAATTTATGTTTGTTTATATTGTGAAGAAGTGACTCATATATTTTATTTTTGGGTGGATGGCAATTACATAAAACTATACAACAAATTAAAGTTCTTTTTAGTACTCATTAAAATGCCAAATATATAATATATTAACTTCCCAGATAAGTCTATTTCTCTAAAATACGTTTCTATAATCTCTAGTACGTTCACTAATTTAGCTATTTATTCTTGGGTTAATTCCATATAGCTTTGAATAAAGATTTATAATAAATGTTACCATATTGTAGAGTTAATTATACCTCATTTTTTTCAAAATTGTAAAGCAATTTTTCAAATATACTTGCTTATAACAAATGTAAAATCAGTTTTTAGAAACTCCTTTCCCTGGAATTTCTCTAAGGATTTTGATTAAAATTGCATTAAATTTATGTAATAGTTAGAACACATTTCAGTTATTCTGTTTCCCATTCAAATCTGTTTTATATTATATTTTTACAAGTTTTTATATGTATTATATCTATCTTCTTACATTTAGTCTTATGGATTTTATAATTTTGGCCATGAGATACAGAACAACAGATTCTACATCAGATACAGGACCACCTACTAACAGCCATAGGTTAATAAGATTAAGACTAAGACTGTCTATTAAGGTGACTTTACTGTTTGATCATCTGCACTAACAGAACATTATTATTCCAGGAAATTTTTGCTCAAGATAATAACATTGAGAATAATTATGTTATTTGTTTCAGAGATTTCCAGAAATTTCATTTGTTCAAATTCTATGCAACTTGGTCTCATTAGGATAAACAGCCTTCTTTTCAGAAAAATTAGTTTACTTAGTTGGGTTTTACTCTTTACGATTTGCTTCAAAACTGTCATTTTGCTTTTTCCATCAATCCTAAACCATTATATGATGATTCTACTAAGAGTCTGTGGAGGTTGTGGTCTCTCTTAATGCAGTAAACAATTAACTTGGCTTTACTTGATGAAAATTATTTTAACAGACTGGTTGGCCAGTTGACAGTCAACAGTTATTGTGGTTTTCTTCCCTATTTCCATTTTTAACTGCCTAATAAGAATATTTTTAAAAGCTATTGAGTTATTCACCTATAGTGCTAATCTCTTCTATTAAGTCTAAAATTTTTCAGAAGAATCTGCTGGATTTTTTTCCCAAAGCTAATCATATAATTGGGAAATAAAAATACTGGTTTTTTCTCAATTTCATATATTTATGCTTATTAAAAAGAAATCCTGCCCTTATTTTATTAAAAGCAAGGTGAATGAATACAGTGGCAATAATCATATTCATATTATTTCTGATTTTCTTTGGATTGTCTTTATCATTTCATAGTATAAAAATATTTAATATTAATTTTTATAGTTTTTGCATCTTAGTTTTTTTTCTTAGTCTTATTTTTCTTAGAGGTTTTGTTAGAAATGGTTAATACTAAATTTTAGCAAATGTATTTTGGCATCTATTAATATAATCTTATGGTTTTTAAAAATCTTTTCTTTTTTCTAATAATGTTAGACATTGCCCAGTGTTGAATAATGCTTGCTTTACTAGAATTATAATCAGTGATGGGTTTGATTTAATTTTTAAAGACTTTAATAACTTTATTTTGACATTCTTGAAGTTGCCAATATTTGACTACTTTTGATCTAAAAATGACAATTTTATATGGTTCAACCTAAATAGCAAGTACGAAATAACCATTAGGTATGATGAGTCTCTTTTCCTGTCTTTGACCTTGAATTGCTCTCTACCTGATGTTAATATTGCACTCCATTTTCCTTTTGTTTGTACTTCTATAATTTGTTCATTTTCTTGTTTTCAACTGGTCTTTGATATATTGTTTTACATGTGAGAATTCTAAATGAATGCTGCTAGAGTTCCTTATTTTATTCAATCTTACAGTATTTGCCATTGCCTAAATTCAACGCTTCATATTTACTGTGATAAATAATACTTAAAATATTTTTATTATATTTTAAGCTGATTATTGAGTGAATTTTGTTTTATTCCCTTCATTTCCAACTTTTTTTTCTTATGCTGACTTGACTGAGTTTCTTTCTGTTCCTCCTTTTCTCCCTATTTTAACTTAGAAATACGATTGTATTGCACATTCTATTACTAGTTAGATTCCCGTTGTAACCATATATGTAAATATATATCCACCATCTGAGCAACATTAAATAATTACTAGCCTGCACAGGACATTTTACATGACCAAAATCTCTACTGAGGAAGATGTTAGGGATGCATTTATTTATTTATTTTATTTTATTTTATTTTATTTTATTTTATTTTATTTTATTTTTTTGAGACGGAGTTTCGCTCTGTCGCCCAGGTTGGAGTGCAGTGGCGCGATCTCGACTCACTGCAAGCTCCGCCTCCCGGGTTCACGCCGTTCTCCTGCCTCAGCCTCCCGTGTAGCTGGGACTACAGGCACGCGCCACCATGCCCGGCTAATTTTTGTATTTTTAGTAGAGACGGGGTTTCACCGTGTTAGCCAGGATGGTCTCGATCTCCTGACCTCGTGATCCGCCCGTCTCAGCCTCCCAAAGTGCTGGGATTACAGGCGTGAGCCACCGCGCCCGGCCAGGGATGCATTTATTTAATGCTACCACAATTTCTAGGTTTAAGGAATTTTTATTTTTGAACTATGAAAAGTCTTTGAGAATCTTTATTTAATACTTTTGTTATAATTCACAGTCATACCGGTTTATATATATCCTCAAATTTAAATATATATGTATACATACACATATATGTGTGTATATATGTGTGTGTATATATGTGTGTGTGTATACATATACACATTACACATTGCTATATACACACATATATATATATATTGCTCTCCACTTTTTCATTTAATTTTTTTGTCTTATTCTGAAACTTTGTTCTTATTAATTTGTCATTTGGTAGGAGCATGTCTAGTATTTTCCTCAAGAGTTATGAATAATTACAGAAGGTATATACATTATTTCCTGCATGTCAGAATGTCTTTTTTTCTTTTTTGACGTAAAAAACAGTTTTATTTGACCTTTTTTTTTTTTTTTTTTTTTTTTTTTTTTTGAGACAGAGTCTCTCTCTGTTGCCCAGGCTGGAGTGCAGTGGCGCGATTTCGGCTCATTGCAAGCTCCGCCTCCTGGGTTCACGCCATTCTCCTGTCTCAGCCTCCCGAGTAGCTGGGACTACAGGCGCCCGACACCACGCCCGGCTAATGGGTTTCATCGTGTTAGCCAGGATGGTCTCGATCTCCTGACCTCATGATCCGCCCGCCTCGGCCTCCCAAAGTGCTGGGATTACAGGCGTGAGCCACCGTGCCCGGCTCTTTATTTGACTTTTTATAAAAAATACAGTGATTATAGAGAAAATAAAACACAACCTTTTCCTCCTTTGTCTTTAGATTTTATAGCATATTTAAAAAATATGAACAGAAGTATAAATCTTAGGGTGAATAGGTAAAAGTTGTGCTACTGATAAAAATGAGATCTGGGAAGCAAGGATGGGAAATGAGCTGAGGTTTTAAAAAAATTCTGACACATTAGAAATAGTTATCCTTATGATAATAAGAATTGTAAAGCCTCTATCTTTATAGTAATAAGAAAAATAAGAGTAACATCTCTGTTTGGAGATGACGGGATAAAGTTAACCACAGCAGAAAAGGCAGACCCATTTGAATTTTTTTTTCCTGTCATCTTTTTCTTCATGGAAAACAGTCTTCAAATGAGATGATTTGCCAGGCGCCATGGCTCACACCTGTAATCCCAGCACTTTGAGAGGCCGAGGTGGGCGGATCACTTGAGGTCAGGAGTTTGAGACCAGCCTGGCCAACATGGTGAAACCCCATCTATACTGCAAATAGAAAAATTGGCCAGTCGCGGTGGCAGGCGCCTGTAATCCCAGCTACTGGAGAGGCTGAGGCAGGAGACTCGCTTGAACCGGGGAGGTGGAGGTTGCAGTGAGCAGAGATTGCATCACTTCACTCCAGCCTGGGAAACAAAGGGAGACGTTGTCTCAAAAAAAAAAAAAAAAAAAAAAAATATATATATATATATATGTATAAAGTTATAATCTGATATTTACTTGCTTAAGGTTAAATTGAGACTCAAGTTTGCCGAGGAGTAATTATGAAGCCATTTCGCAGCTCTCACTGCGTTCCTGTCTCAGGCCTAGACACTGTTTAACTTTGTGTACTGGAAAAACTAGAACATGTGATAACAGAATCACTTCAATAATTACCAAGTTAATGTGAAGTCTTGGAGCCATGCCAAAACACATACATCTATAATATAGAAACTATAGACAAATACATCTGAAATTTCTTCTAAACAAAAACTTCTAAAGCGTATTGCTAGAATATAGTTATTTAATATTTAGAAAAAGAAATTGATCATGACTATGGAGCAGGAAAGACTTATGAAACAGTATTATAATTAACCTTATTTTAAAATTTTAATTGCATTATCAGGTGTCTGTAGAGAGAGTGCTTTTTGTATGAATATTGTATATACACAATAATGTATGCTAATTTGTAGTTTTAACATATCTATTTTGCTTTTATGTAAGAGTTATATCTTTGCTAAGAGTTTGTTTTTAGTTCTTTGTGTCTGAAAGCCTGTAAAATCAGCTTTATCTTTAGAGTTCAGTTATTTCATAAGTTGTGTCTAGATGTATCTTTTTTATTTATTATAATTTAGATTTGGTAATTTTTTTCCAAATTGAAAACTCGAGTTGATACTCAGCTATGCTGAGGTCTTACTATAGTGTTCTTACATCAAATACAATATTTAAAGCATATAGAAACATAGAAAAAACTAGTAAAATTTTGAACATATGATTTTGCTTTATTTTCTTCCTCCTGTTTTGGCTTGTTTAGAAGTAACACATTAGAGATTCAGTAGCGACACTGTTATTTTCTTCCCCTTTTTGAGAGAAGTAATTGTTATCCTCAATTTGTTGTTTGTTATTCCTATGTGGGTTTAGTCTGTCTGTATATTATGTATGTTATGTATACATAATAGAAACGTAGTATTTTATGGTTTAAAAAATTTGTGTGCATAGTATTATTGTATATTTATAATCCATATACTTGCTTTTTTCATATAATATTAGGTTTTTGAGATTTATCCATGTCGATTCATGTGTCAGTATTTCATTCATTTTAATTCAATATTGAGCTACATGAATAAATAGCAATTTAAAAATAGGCTGTTTAAATTTTTTCTGTAATTTTGAAATACATATTCCTGTACATGTCTCTTTATAGATATGTGCATGGGTTTTTCTTACGTTGAGTGTTTCTGTATTGCTTTTCTATAATCTTTGCCCACATTTTGTATTAACTTTTTCTTTGGGTTTAACTTTTTCTTCTTGTTTTGTAAATGTTCTTTATATTTTTAGATACTAGTCCTTCATTGTTTACATGGAATATTTTTTCTTCTAGTTAATGTGTTTATGGTGTTTACATCAATGGTTTGTGATTTTTCTTTGCCTACCCGTAGGTATAATTAATCTCAGCATAGCACAGATAGGTTTTGGAACCTTTCAGGCTGTGGGGTCCTGGAGAGCTTTCTGTAGGTTGTTCAGGTAGGAAAAACAGAATATTCTACTGGGCAATAGGGAAAAACTCCTCTCGGGTTAGCCCTCTTTAGTACCAAGCAGAAGAGAAATGGCTCTTCTTGACCATTGGGTCACAAATAAGTCAGTTTATGAGTACACCTTCTTCAAGATTTGGCTTATTAAATAGGGTACTCCCAGAGAAAAGCAAAGTGCGAAAACCACGTTTCCACTCCACAACAGAGATTCCATCAGTGTCTGCCACCAAAACTCTCAGTAGCCTTAACCCCAAGTCTGTTGGTCTATTGATTGTCTCCCAGGTGTTACCAAAATGAAATACCTAACTGTGCTTTTCTCTGGAGTATTTAACAGCAAGATTAATTTATTTGTTAAACCTCTTTAACAAGGAGCTGTGGAGGATGGGGCTGGGGATGTGAGCTCCAGTGGCCATTTTCCCAGAACCCTCTACTCCATATCCTGATTTCAAATTTTTATGAAATAAATATGTATTAAAGGTGCCTAGAAATATATTATCTCATTATCTTCAGGCTCATTATCTGCTTTCCTCTGACTTCTGAGCTTTCCCAATGTGCAATAATGAGATGGAAATTAATCCCAAACTAGCCATCCTTGTTTTTTCTTATTATTGTACCCCATTAAAATGTTTGAATTTTAGTGAGGTTACCATTTTTGACACAATAGTGTTTCTGAGTCACCTGTGCATTCCTGTTACCTATGGTGACAATCTGTCCCATTGCCCTGGAGATTCAAAGTGATGAGTTATAGGAAGATGTTTCTTAAAATAAGGGAAAAAGAGTTGGAGAGATTGGATTCTAATTCCATGCTTCTCCAATTCTATTGTGCATATGAATCACTAAAATAATCCTTTTTAAAAAATGCATATTTTAGGGTACAATTTTTGTAGGGTTAAGAAATTCACAATTTTTAATGAGCATCCCAAGAGTTTTGATATAGATGATCTGTAGATTAAAGTTTGAGAATCACTGCTTTAAAGAATGGCACTGAGCTTTGTTTGAAGAGTTCAAAAGGATTTTATGAAGGAAAAAGAGCTGTCTGAGCAATGGAAAACTTAGGTCATATAGATGCAAAATTTCTCCATCCAGTTTGTATACAGGCACTCCTGAGTCTGAGAATCACTGTGCATATGTGGAGGGTACATTCTAGGCTACTCATATAAGTATAAAAAACATATTTCTGTTTCTTCTATAAGATCTTTATGTAAAGTCGGTTCCCTCTTGCATATGGTCTATATTGTTCACTCATTCACTTATTCACTGTTTGCCTTGGAATTACCTTTGAGTTCCACTGTGATGATGACAGAATAAGAGATAGGGTAGTGCTAAAGACACATTTCTCCTTATTCCCATCATTTCCCAGCCATATTGGAAACAATTCTTTCTGCAAAATCCTACCCTTTTAATAAGTCTCAAGGAGGAAAGGGGGATTTTAAGGCCATGTAAGTTTGGCAAGCATTATATATTCTTTTCTGCTCTGACATATTCACAATGCATATCAGCATGTTAAAAGGCTCTGAGAAACACTGTTGTAAAATATCTGATCCTTGGTCACCATAATTTCATTCTGATTAACTTAAAAATACATTTTTAGGAAACATTTGTGTTTAATGGGTGTTAACGGTCTCAGTGTGTCCCCCTCAATTCTTATGTTGAAAACGTAATCTCCAATGCAACAGTGTGGGCAGGTGGGGCCTTTTGGGAGATGTTTAGGTCACGAGACTCTTCCCTTATGATGGATTAATGCCATGATAAAAGGGCTTTTTGCCCCTCAACCTACTACCGTGTGAGAACACAGTGCACTGCCCCTCCAGAGAATATAGCATTCAAAGGCCATCATGGAAGCAGAGAGCAGCCCTCACCAGACACTGAACCTGCTGGTATCTTGATCTTGAACTGCCCAGCCTCTACAGCTGTGAGAACTAAATTTCTATTCTTTACAAATTACCCAGTTTCAGGTATTCACTTACAGCAGCACAAAATGCACTAGGACAATGGGGCTTCTACTTAATTCAAAGGTGTTTGGTGATGGTAAGAAGAGTGCCAGCTCTAAAGCCTCAGATTTTGTTGTATTTTTCTTTGTCTTCTCAGTGTTCAATTCAGCATTTAGCTCATAGTAATCAAACAAAAACTTTCCTTAATAACCATTTGTTGAATAAATGAATATATTACATTTGTGTGGTGGATGTACACTACCTTGAAAAGAATGTAAAATCCTAAGTGGTAAAAGGAAAGAAAGTGGCAGTACTTTATCACATGGAATCAGCTAGTGTTTACTTGAACAATTCTGTGGATGGGAGTTCTGCTATTGGCTAATGTCATTTTCATCAAGGAGAATAATCTTCATATTGCAGTACAGTGAAAAAGTTATATAAAAATAGGTTTTATGATTGTTTACCATTGGGGATTATATTTTATAATTATATTATTAATTATTATAATTATATTAATTATTATTATAATTATATTATTAATTATTATTATAATTAATTATTATATTATTAACATGGTGTCAAAGTTGAAATCTTGCAAATATCAAAGAGCAGAAAAACTCCAAGCCATAGAATTGACATGTGACTATGACAAACTCTGGTCAAGTTCTTAAATGGATTAATAAACAGACACTTTATGAATCTAAGAAAAGAATGCAGTGATTATAGAATAAATTTACTAGAAACTAATGCCAGATCAGACTCAGTTCCTTTTTAGGCAGTGTTTATTTGACTAGAAAATCTGGGGAGTGCTCTACTCTAGATATATTATAGCTTGATTTTGGAAAAGCATTTGACATTTTCTCATCTTTATATTTAAAGACGAGTTGAAAGTAGAACTATGGGAAGAGCAGGCCTTGTTAGCAGTTTTACAGGGGTATATGAATCTGGAATAGCAGTGGATTACAAAGTATCTAAAATTGTTTTTATTTCTAATGACCTCATGGTTATTTACTATTCTTATCATTAAACCTTAAACAAGCTCCTCTATCTCTCCCACTTCCTTCTTGTCCTTCTTCACCTCTCCCTTCATTACCTCATTCTGCTCCTTTTAATTCTTCTTGTCACATTTCCATGTAAAATGGAAATCCTGTTTGGAATTACTTCTCTTTAGATCTTCCCAGTTAACTACTTTTGTTAAATCTAAAATGGAAAGAGTAAACTTCACTCTTTGATACACAGGAAATTAGAGGCTTTCAAATGCATTATAAGACAAGTTCTGTAATTTTGAAAAAAAGAGATTAACAGTTCATTTAATTGCTGTTAAATTAGCCAAAAAAGTGAAACATTTTTTGGAGTGTTATTCACAATAGTTAAATTAACCATTCAATTATTTGAGCTAGAGTAAATATATAAAAATATATCAGCATATCAATTTTCACAAATATGTTTGCACATAGAATTATATTTCCTTGCCACTATGAGCAGAGTTAATTACACATATGTGAGTTCTAGTTGAAGAAAGCCCAATGTACCAGAACGTCAGAGATTGCTGGTTTGGGAGTTCTATTCTTATACTACTAATGCATCTGAACATCCCTTTTTAATCTTTCATATTTTTTGCATGTAAAATTTTTAGAAGTAATTTAATGCCTTATTCACTTAATAAAGATATTTTGTATTATCGTTTTAAATAGGTGGTTAAGAGTCACTATAACTACATCAAAATATGATTCAATTTATAACTGCCTTATGTCACTTCTCAGGGAGCATTTGACTTCCTGGAGTGAACTAGGAAGCTGCCCTTGCAATTGTATCAGTGTATTTGCTCCCATCACACTCTCCCTAAACTCTCCTTTGGTCCCCAGTAGCTCCTGCATATTTTGAGACAGCATAGCACACTGGTTAGGATTCACAATGGACTCCAACAGACTTGAAGCCATGCTTTACTTATGTCACTTACTGTAACAGTGGACTTTATATGTCAACCTCACAGGATCATGGGACACCCAGACATTTGGTTGAACCTTATTGTAGTATATCTTTGAGGATGTTTCTGGATGAGAATAACACCTGAATCTGTAGAAGGAGTAAAGCAGATTGTCCTCCTCAGTGTAGACGGGCCTCATTCAATCTGTTGAAGGCCTGAATAGAACAAGAAAGGCTGAGTAAGAAAGAATTCTCTCTGTGTGCCTGTATGGGAGCTGGGATATCTGTCTTCACTTGCCTTCAAACTAGGACTCTGACCAGAACTTACACCACTGGCTCTGTTGCATTTTAGATCTTCACACTCATACTGGAATTATATTGGCTCTCCTAGGACTAAAATTCTTAGCCTCCATAATTGTATAAGCCAGTTCCTTATAATAAATCAATAATCTATCTAGCTACCTATCAATCATTTGCTAATTGATCCACACATCCTAATGGCTTTGTTTCTCTGGAGAACACTGACTAATACAATGACCATTTATTTTATTTGTGGCATGTAGCTTTTTCTTTAGTCTTCAGTTTTTTGAATCATAAATATGTGGTATACCACTCAAAATCTGCCTAGCACTCTGCCCACACTCCAGAACTGAAGTGCTTATCCTGAAGTTGCCTGGCAGGGTGGCTGCTGCTGACTCACAGATGAGTCCCCTTCCGGAGACTGCCCCTGCCCTCACGCAAGGCCTCAACCCTCCCTTGGTGCCACCCACATCCAGGAACTACCACTGAGGGTGTATATGCCCCCAGCCACTTTGCCACAATTTGCACAGCTCTGCAGTGCTCTCCCAGCTCCAGTGCTCCATCCAATTAGAAAGGGCTGAGACTTGTGATCATACCACAATACAACTTTTTCCTATCTTGCTAACCCCCCCTTCCATTACAGATGTTAATCCGGAGAGCTCTTCCCAATAAACTTCCTGTATTCTAATACCTGTCTCGAAGTTTACTTCCCAGGGTACCTGATCTGTAGCAGTACTTACCTCATAGGGATAGCAGTGAGGTTTAAATAAGGGAAAATCTTAATAAATGTTACCTGCTAATATCATCATTATTAATAAGGATGTATTGAGCTGTACTTTCAGCCCAAATGCTTTTACAGTTACAGTCAGATGCTCTATCTTAGTATCAGATTGGTGAGGGTTGAAATCTGATTCTGTCACTTATTGGCCATGTCATAATTTGCTTCACTTTCCTGTGTCTCAGTTTCTTCATTTGGAAATGAATAAAGATAATTCCACATTACAAAGTTATTTTGTGGGTTCAATGAGATAACTACATGTAAAGGGCTTAGAACAGTGCCTGGATCACAGGAAATTCAATGAATGCTAACTATTATTATAACTCCTATAATCATTGTTCTCTACTTAGCCCCAATAATGTAACAAGATGTCTCTGCCATAGCACTCACTTCAGGACACCTAGAGTTTGAGACATCAACTCTAGAAACTATCCTAGATAGATTATTTCTTTTTTTTTTTTTTTTTTTTTTTTTTTGAGATGGAGTCTCGCTCTCTGTCACCCAGGCTGGACTGCAGTGGCATGATCTAGGCTTACTGCAAGCTCCGCCTCCCGGGTTCACGCCATTCCCCTGCCTCAGCCTCCCGAGTAGCTGGAATTACAGGTGCACACCACCACACCTGGCTAATTTTTTTTTGTATTTTTAGTAGAGTCAGGGTTTCACCATGTTGGCCAGTCTGGTATTGAACTCCTGACCTCAGGTGATCCGCCCCTTTGCCTCCCAAAGTGATGGGATTATAGGCGTGAGCCATGGCACCCTGCCAGCTTGAGTAGATTCTAAGTCCTGGGACAGAATAGTATACTGGGAGGAAACAGGGGACGAGAACTTAGGACTACAAAACTTGGATCTAAAGTTGACTCTCTCAGGCATGTGTCTTTCATGAAAAACTTTGCTTTAGAAACTTTTGTTTTACTTATTTTTAAATAAATTTTTACTTTGGAATAATTTTTGGTTTACAGAAAAGTCACAAAGTACAGAGCGCCCAAGTTCCCTTCACTCTGTTTTATTCTAGTGTTCACAACCACAGTACATTTGTCAAAAGTAAAAAATTAAGTTTGCCACAATACTATCCACTAAACTAGAGACATTATTCATATTTCACCAGTTATTTCACTCTTGTTAGTTTTAGTTCCAAGATCCAATTAAGAATACAATATTGATCTTAGTCAATTGTCTTGTCTTCTTACTCTTTAGATTTGTGATAGCTTCTCAGTCTCTCCTGGTTTTTCATGAGCTTTAAAGTTTTGAAGAATACTTTTTAGTTATTTTCTAGAATGTCCCTCCATTGGGGTTGAAACGATGGGTTTTTGGGAAGAAAACCACAGAGAAGATATGTCCCCCTCATTGCATCATATCAGGTGGCACATGACATCAATATGACATCCCTGGTGATGTGAAATTTGTCACTTGATAAAGGCGATGTAGTTGTTCCCTAGTTCTGCTGTAACAAATTACCACAAGTTTAATGGTTTAAAATGACACACATTTATTATCTGATAGTTCTATAGGTTAGAAGTACAACATGGTTATCACACGGCTAAAATCAAGGTGTCAGCACAGCTGTGTTCCTTTTTGTGGGCTCTGTTTCTTTGCCTTTCCTAGTTTCTAGAGGCTGTCTGCATTTCACTAGCTCATTTACCTCCATCTTCAAAACCAGATTCAAAGCCTCTTCAGATCTCTCCCTGATTGATCTCTTCATCCACTTCCCTCTTCCCCTTTAAGAACCTTTGTGATTATATTGGGCCCACCTAGCTAATCCAAGATCATTTCCCTATTTTAAGATTATCTGATTAGCAACCTTAATTCTTCTTTGCCAAGTAACATAATATAATCACAGGTCTAGGGATTAGGACATGAATATCTTAGGGGAGAATTAGTCTGCCAACCACAGGTAGTGTCTGCAAGGTTTTTCTACAGTAAAGTAACTATTTTTCTCATATATATTTTTGATTCTCAGTTTCCTTATCTGTGGAAAAGAGGTGATAATCATGTTTCCCTCATCCAGACTGCTTGGAGGTTTAAATGACTGTAGTGAAAGTATCTGGCATATGGTCCCCCGAATGGTAGCTGAAGCTGAATCTAATGGCTATCACTCTCTTTCTATACCTTCTTCCTCCAAGGCAGGAATATGATTATTCTTAACTGTGAAATAAGTGTTCTTAATTTTGTATCACTTTTATTTGAGTACAAAATGTGTGAGATCCTCATTGGTACCAGGGAGGAGACCACATTTTACAAACTGTATCTAAAATATAGTAAGCTCTTTATTAACAATTCTGATGTAACCAAGGGGCTATTTACTTGTTTGTAAATATTTTTTATTTATATGCATATTCATTTATCCTGCATAGGGAAATGGACAAGGTAATACTGAATAAAGACTACTTGTTAATGATGCACTTTGGGTAAATACAAATATAGAATTCACAACGAAACAGGAATGTCCTTATCTAATAACAAAATGCTTTTATTTTTATCATGATTTTACAATGTACAAGTTATTTCCCTGAAAATAGTCTAAGACTTCACTATTTGCTACAGAGTGGAAGACAGAGAAAAATACAGTGCACTCATTGGTACTGAACTTGGAAGCAAAAACTGTTGACTTGTTCTTGGTTGGCAAAACTAATGGGGCTCATCTACAATACTCAAACTGGACTTTAGTTTGTGGGCAATCCAGTACAATGATGACTTGGTATTGGGGCTCAAGTGCCTATTCTTTCTATTCAATAACGTAAAGATAACACTAAGTATTAAAAATAAACTTGAAAAATTTAAATATTAAAACACTAAATATATATGTAAAGTATCAGACTTAAAGAAAGGACTGAACTTTCTTTTCAGATAAAGGAGGTGGGGAAGGAAAATGGATTTTTATTTGTCCTAATAAACACGCAGTGGAGAATGAGGTTTAGAACTTTGTAAAAAGGCTACATCTGTCCTGCTATGGATCTTTATAACTTTAGGAGTCCTGCTCCTTCAGGGAGGAACACGCCTATGTAGGACCTACTTGATGGTGACAGTTGTTTAATAAATACTTGTTGATGAACTGAATAACCACAGATGCTAAGGCATTTCTTGATTTATGGGGTGCTATCCAGCCATTTGCGGTTGCAGACGCCACCCTTACCCTTCATATTGAAAGTCTCAGGATGTTGTAGGAGTCAAAAGCCCAAGTTAGGTGGATAGAGAAGGGAGTTATATTTCTGCTTTGTCACTTTCAGTTACATGAACTTGAACTAACCACCTTACTTCTCTGGGTCTGTTGTAATAATTCTTGATACAGTTGGACAAGATTAGTGATATTTGAATCTTTATAACAGTGTTTTTTCAGGCTGACCCTTTTTAGAAAATGGAATTTTTTTTTTTTTTTTCTGAAAAGCCCTGTATTGAACACATGTGGTCCAGCAGAAGTAGAGCAGAATGCTGGCCTTTCTTTTCAGACAGACTTTGGAGCTCTTCCTGAAAACCAGGGCATCCACAAAACAGTTTTAATACTACCAAAATGAAAAGCTTCTAACAGTACTTTCATCTCTAGAGTTATCACCAGTCACCTAGGCCAGCAATTCTTACCCATGGAATTGTGATTTTTTGCTGAATCAGTTGTGTTACTAGTTGTGTTTATCGGCAAAAGAAAATCCAGTTGCTGGATCGACTTAATAATCTCAGTGGATTAATGCAATGGATGAGTTCTCTATTGCTGATTACTCAGCCACTCCAAGTTCAGTGAGTTACCAGAGAAATTTGTTATTTTTCATGATTCAGCAGGTCTGCTGGGCAGTAATCTGGTCTGCAGTGGCATGGCTGATTTCTGCAGCAAGCTGCGTGTCAAGGTCAAAATCAGAGTCACGTATAGGAAGGACAAGTCCAGAGTTACCATTAAGAGCAGCATAGCTTCCAACTGGTAATCAATACTCTCCTGTAATGTAGGTATTCCACCTAAAGGTTTCTTCACACATAATGAATTGTAACCTAACTTGTTGTGTAAAGTAGACTCTAACCCTCTCTTGTAAAGAGTAGCCGAGCCTCAGCCAATCACAACAGCCAAACTTCAGTCAACCACTCACAAGAAGCCGGCTGTTCAAAGCAGGATCAAATAAGGCAAATGCCCAGCTGTAACTAATAGAGCTGGTTCTGTACCGTACTTCCATTTTCTATACAACACTTTCCTTTTCCTATCCATAAATATTATCCAACCAGCCTTGGAGTTGCTCTGAACCTATTCTGGTTCTGAGGTCCACCCCATTCTGGAATTGTTTTTTGATCAATTAAGCCCTATCAAATTTAATTTGTCTACAGTTTTTCATTTAACAGATGGCATCAGAAGTGGGATTCAAAGTAGAGCTTCCTGGGACCCCCAGGAGCACTGACTGACCAGGTGAGACACCTTCCAGGGTCATCATGTCCATTGGTCACTTGCAGCAACTGGGGATCATGGATAAGTTATTTCTCAGATTCTGAAGTTTCATGGATTTGTGTTTTGAGCTGAGTTTGTTTAGGCAAATTTTGGATCTAAATTGAGTTAGGAAGTGGGCACAAAAACTGGAATGGGTCCAGGACTGGATCAGATACAATAACTAACTAGATTGGATCCAGTTAGAGGCCTCAGATGTCTGACCAGACCAGGCAGAAACAGGCAGTAAATGGCAGTCACTGCAGAGGGTACGAACTCCTGCTTTTGCAAATTTGCAGGAATTTTGTGTTCTAGTCTCTTTGTTTTTTTTCACTTGCAAGTCTAGGTAGAGAAAAATCCCTGACAGTGTTGATCAAGGGGATCTCAGAACCAATGCCAAGGTTCAGCATAAAAATGGGATCCGTAATTTCTGAAGAACTGAGTGCTCCACCTTCCAGCCAAGCCTACCTTTACGTGTATAGTTATTAGGCCTCAGAAGCAGATAATACTTACAAAAATGGCATAATCTTACTAAAGAAAATAATTTAAAATTACAGTGGAACATTCAGAATGAACAGCACTGTACTTTAAAAGTGAATTTAGAAATGAGGGCTCCCAAATTTGGATCACCCAGGGACCGCTACAAAAACTTCTACAAAAATTTCAGAGTTTTTATTGCCTCCTTTAAAAACTGTTTCAAAAGACAAATAAAAAGCTTAAATGACTAATTGTTAAAAAAAAAAGTAGAATCTGCTAACGTTTGGCTTAGCTACTATCCCATCCCAAAGGTGAAAAGAAAACTGCATAAAGTATTTATAGAAGGTGGCTCTCAGGTAAAGTAGGCTTTCTTCTTTTTCAGAGGTATCCACGCTGAGTCCAGGCATAGAAGACAGTTTTTGGTCCTATTTGTTAATGGCCTCCACCCTGAACTATGTAATTTTAGTTAAGAAATAAAAGCTAAGTCAAAAAGCTCTCCTGCTGAACTAAATCAGTCATCAAAATACAGTCATGTGCTGCTTAATGATAGGGATACATTTTGAAAAATGTGTCATTAGACAATCCTGTCATTGTGTGAACATCATAGAGTGTACTTACACAAACCTGGATGGTATAGCTTACTACACACCTACGCTGTATAGTGTAGCCTATTGCTTCTTGGCTACAAACCTGTATAGCATGCTATTGTTCTGATGTAATACAATGCTGAGTATTTGTGCATCTATGTATAGAAAAGGTACAGTTAAAATATAGTATTATAATATTATGGAACCACCATCATACATGCAATCCATCATTGACCAAAATGTCCTTATATGGCATTGTACACTGTCCTTACGTACACTGCCCTTCTGTACAATTATACAGCTTTCTGGCATTTAGCTGGCTATTTTGAAACCCTTGTGTAAAAAAAAAAATTACTTCTATAAAGAAAATCTCTATTTGTAAGAGTTTATATCTCTGTGCATTAGGAAGAGAGGAAGGATTGAGTAACTAGAAACTCTTACAGTGGAAAAGGCATTGATTTAAATTTACATAACAAGCCTTATCCTTGTTTAAGTTGCTTTCGTGGCATCTTGTTTTAACTAGGTCTTTACCTATGCCCTCCTTCCTTGGCTTTGGCAAATGATGGTATTTAGGCTTTAGGTAGAAAGCGGTGTTTGGAAAAGATGAATGGGCCCTTAGAAAAATGGGTGACGGTTTGTGACAATATCTGTCTGGGTATGACAAAGTCTCCTTTCCAGTGATAAAAGTTAATCTTTCCTCATTGCTGGATCTCCCTGGAAAGAGAATTAATGACAACTGAGTTTCTTTGGAAAATCTGTCTTTAGATAGGTACAGGGAATTAAAAAAGCCTTGCTTTGCTTACCTATTCATAGCAATAGTATGATAAAATGACGTATTTTAGGGTGGTATTTCCAGAGCTTCTTCAATGACTAGCTTAGTTTAATGAGCAATCCATGCATAATTCTTAGGAATGAGTAAATTATCTGAGTGTAAATGGCATAAAAGTTTATAAATGAACTTGTCATGGTTTCAAAAATATTTTTCAGTAATTTAAAATCTTAAAGTCATGTTAAATTAAGTAATACTCATTAAATATCTAAGTCATTTCTAAGTAAGTTAAAATACTGAAACATTAATTATTAAGAATAACTTTAAGTTTATATATTTTAACATTTTTTATATGATATAGAGAAGCTAAATATATTTGGGTTTATTAATCAACATAAAACACTGATTAAACATATATTTCTCAAAATTATGTAATAGCTTTCATCTACAAATACTGTTACAAAACAGTTCAAATTGCTTATTTTCTAGGTTCTTCACTGGAAATTAGTTACTAAGAGTTAAAATTGTAATTAATGTATACAATTAAAACTACTAAAAATAAGGGTAACAATTCTCTATGCAAAATATATAATAAAAAAGGAAAAATATGTTTTTGGTGAGAAAGGTTATAAAGGAGATATAAAAGTGTATTTTCTTTTAAAGTAATTTTATCTCAGACATTATTTAAACATTGCTTCAAAATAAACAAATAAAAAATGATATAGATAAAACTGAATGGACATAGAAAGTTTAAAAAAGGAAAAAAAGTTAAAAATATTGTGTGGCTAAACTAAGGATAAATAAATTCATTGTAAGAGTTTTAAAAACTGAGCCTTAATATCAAAAGAAAATTAGGGTGAAAATAAAATTTAGCTTTCTGTTTTAAGCAAGATTTTTGTGTTGTATTAATAAGAGATAATAAAAGATTTTTATTCACCTTTTGAGTAAACTGCAAAAACGGAGAGAGAGAGAGAGAATAAAAGAGAAAGAGAAACAAATATTCTGTGCCTTATTCTGACTTTATTAGGTCTTTTGATTATTTGGAAAACCGAGTCTCCTCTTTATCAAAGAGTAAAAGTTTTTATTTTTTAAGATGTTTTAATTATCACTTTGGTTAAATGACTATTATTTTCGGTGACATGTGATCCTATTTTGGTTAGGTATTTTAAACCCTTAATATATTTGGTAGACTTCCAAAAATCAAATTTTAAAATCAAAATTAAGTCTTTTTGATCTCAAACTAACTTTGAGATGTTCCAGAGGGCCCCGGGAGCATCCAAAAGAGATATATGAAAACCATTTATATGCTATGTTAACTTAAATGGAAAGTATTATCAAATAAGAAATGATACTTAACCTTTTTGGTTTGAGTTATAGTTGTATAGATATGTTATTAATACATGTTCCAAAATTGTATAAGCTCAGGATATGTTATCAGTCATAATTATTTTTATTACATTAAATTACTGTGGGCCATACAAATAACCAAATTTCCTTGCCAAATGCCTTTTTAACCATAACCATTTCAAGTCTTGTTGTCTGTAGTTAATTGTTAATTCCGATGTTTTTTCTGAAAGCTCTTTATAAACAATTACGATCTTAAAGTGTTATGTCTTCAAGGAGGTTCATGGAGAGACTGGAAATGACTCTGACAAGCACAGGTTGCTGATAACCTTAAGTTCATACCACTGGACTCAGTAAGAACTCCCAGAACTCTAATGAGGAAGACTGACTGGCTCATAAAACTGCTAACTCAAGCAGTATAAGAACTAATTAATTACCAAGGAAATACTGTGGCAGATTTTCATGCTAAGTCAGCCAGTACTAAAATTGCTAAGACAGGCAATTTGAGTGAACTTCGTGATCAAGTCAAATTACCTGTGTTAACCCATTTAATAAACAGTGCTATGAACCTGAATTACAGAAACAATGTTGATATTTTAGAGAGTGTAAATCCAGTGTTAAGCATGGACTCATGGAGAGCCTGGACAGCCACCTGGTCCCTTCTGAGTACTTAAAGCTTCCATTATTAAAAACTATGCACTTCATGATGACTCATCATAAAGAGACAAAATGATCCAAATTACATTAAAAAATATGGTGTGGTGACTGTTCTAAAATTGGCAAAATTACTATGACTAACGTTTGGTTACTCAAACCCTTCATTTTGTGAAGACATTCACAAGTTCAGGTACATTTCTGCTGCCTAATGATCTGTTTGAACATTTATAGAGGAATTTTTTTCAATTGTGATTTTCAATCCATGTTTTCTGGTTAGATAGAAGCTTTTCCATGAAAGAAGGCTGATGGTATAACAATAATTAAAACTGTTATTAGAAAATGTGCTTCCCTCATGGGATATTCTTGGAGAAATTTCCAACAACAGAGGTACTTATTTTACTGGACAAGTTGGAAAAGAAACAAGATATTACAGATAGAATAGCATTAGGTAACACTAACTGAATCAACTAGATTGTCTTGGTCAAAGGTACTTCAGATTGATGACAATAAGATCCACTTTCAGTAGAACGTGTAAGTTTTTTTTTTTTTTTTTTTTTTTTTTTTATTATACTTTAAGTTTTAGGGTACATGTGCACATTGTGCAGGTTAGTTACATATGTATACATGTGCCATGCTGGTGCACTGCACCCACTAACTCGTCATCTAGCATTAGGTATATCTCCCGATGCTATCCCTCCCCCCTCCCCCCACCCCACCACAGTCCCCAGAGTGTGATATTCCCCTTCCTGTGTCCATGTGATCTCATTGTTCAATTCCCACCTATGAGTGAGAATATGCGGTGTTTGGTTTTTTGTTCTTGCGATAGTTTACTGAGAATGATGATTTCCAATTTCATCCATGTCCCTACAAAGGACATGAACTCATCATTTTTTATGGCTGCATAGTATTCCATGGTGTATATGTGCCACATTTTCTTAATCCAGTCTATCATTGTTGGACATTTGGGTTGGTTCCAGGTCTTTGCTATCGTGAATAATGCCGCAATAAACATACGTGTGCATGTGTCTTTATAGCAGCATGATTTATAGTCCTTTGGGTATATACCCAGTAATGGGATGGCTGGGTCAAATGGTATTTCCAGTTCTAGATCCCTGAGGAATCGCCACACTGACTTCCACAATGGTTGAACTAGTTTACAGTCCCACCAACAGTGTAAAAGTGTTCCTATTTCTCCACATCCTCTCCAGCACCTGTTGTTTCCTGACTTTTTAATGATTGCCATTCTAACTGGTGTGAGATGGTATCTCATTGTGGTTTTGATTTGCATTTCTCTGATGGCCAGTGATGATGAGCATTTTTTCATGTGTTTTTTGGCTGCATAAATGTCTTCTTTTGAGAAGTGTCTGTTCATGTTCTTCACCCACTTTTTGATGGGGTTGTTTGTTTTTTTCTTGTAAATTTGTTTGAGTTCATTGTAGATTCTGGATATTAGCCCTTTGTCAGATGAGCAGGTTGCGAAAATTTTCTCTCATTTTGTAGGTTGCCTGTTCACTCTGATGGTAGTTTCTTTTGCTGTGCAGAAGCTCTTTAGTTTAATTAGATCCCATTTGTCAATTTTGGCTTTTGTTGCCATTGCTTTTGGTGTTTTAGACATGAAGTCCTTGCCCATGCCTATGTCCTGAATGGTAATGCCTAGGTTTTCTTCTAGGGTTCTTATGGTTTTAGGTCTAACATTTAAGTCTTTAATCCATCTTGAATTGATTTTTGTATAAGGTGTAAGGAAGGGATCCAGTTTCAGCTTTCTACATATGGCTAGCCAGTTTTCCCAGCACCATTTATTAAATAGGGAATCCTTTCCCCATTGCTTGTTTTTCTCAGGTTTGTCAAAGATCAGATAGTTGTAGATATGCGGCATTATTTCTGAGGGCTCTGTTCTGTTCCATTGATCTATATCTCTGTTTTGGTACCAGTACCATGCTGTTTTGGTTACTGTAGCCTTGTAGTATAGTTTGAAGTCAGGTAGTGTGATGCCTCCAGCTTTGTTCTTTTGGCTTAGGATTGACTTGGTGATGCGGGCTCTTTTTTGCTTCCATATGAACTTTAAAGTAGTTTTTTCCAATTCTGTGAAGAAAGGCATTGGTAGCTTGATGGGGATGGCATTGAATCTGTAAATTACCTTGGGCAGTATGGCCATTTTCACAATATTGATTCTTCCTACCCATGAGCATGGAATGTTCTTCCATTTGTTTGTATCCTCTTTTATTTCCTTGAGCAGTGGTTTGTAGTTCTCCTTGAAGAGGTCCTTCACAGCCCTTGTAAGTTGGATTCCTAGGTATTTTATTCTCTTTGAAGCAATTGTGAATGGGAGTTCACTCATGATTTGGCTCTCTGTTTGTCTGTTGTTGGTGTATAAGAATGTTTGTGATTTTTGTACATTGATTTTGTATGCTGAGACTTTGCTGAAGTTGCTTATCAGCTTAAGGAGATTTTGGGCTGAGACAATGGGGTTTTCTAGATATACAATCATGACGTCTGCAAACAGGGACAATTTGACTTCCTCTTTTCCTAATTGAATACCCTTTATTTCCTTCTCCTGCCTAATTGCCCTGGCCAGAACTTCCAACACTATGTTGAATAGGAGTGGTGAGAGAGGGCATCCCTGTCTTGTGCCAATTTTCAAAGGGAATGCTTCCAGTTTTTGCCCATTCAGTATGATATTGGCTGTGGGTTTGTCATAGATAGCTCTTATTATTTTGAAATACGTCCCATCAATACCTAATTTATTGAGAGTTTTTAGCATGAAGGGTTGTTGAATTTTGTCAAAGGCTTTTTCTGCATCTATTGAGATAATCATGTGGTTTTTGTCTTTGGCTCTGTTTATATGCTGGATTACATTTATTGATTTGCGTATATCGAACCAGCCTTGCATCTCAGGGATGAAGCCCACTTGATCATGGTGGATAAGCTTTTTGATGTGCTGCTGGATTCGTTTTGCCAGTATTTTATTGAGGATTTTTGCATCAATGTTCATCAAGGATATGGGTCTAAAATTCTCTTTTTTTGTTGTGTCTCTGCCTGGCTTTGGTATCAGAATGATGCTGGCCTCATCAAATGAGTTAGGGAGGATTCCCTCTTTTTCTATTGATTGGAATAGTTTCAGAAGGAATGGTACCAATTCCTCCTTGTACCTCTGGTAGAATTCGGCTATGAATCCATCTGGTCCTGGACTGTTTTTGGTTGGTAAGCTATTGATTATTGCCACAATTTCAGCTCCCATTATTGGTCTATTCAGAGATTCAACTTCTTCCTGGTTTAGTCTTGGGAGAGTGTATGTGTCCAGGAATTTATCCATTTCTTCTAGATTTTCTAGTTTATTTGCGTAGAGGTGTTTGTAGTATTCTCTGATGGTAGTTTGTATTTCTGTGGGATCGGTGGTGATATCCCCTTTATCATTTATTATTGCGTCTATTTGATTCTTCTCTCTTTTTTTCTTTATTAGTCTTGCTAGCGGTCTATCAATTTTGTTGATCCTGCAGAATGTTTTCCAGCTTGGTTCCATTCTCCCCATCACTTTCAGGTACACCAATCAGACGTAGATTTGGTCTTTTCACATAGTCCCATATTTCTTGGAGGCTTTGCTCATTTCTTTTTATTCTTTTTTCTCTAAACTTCCCTTCTCGCTTCATTTCATTCATTTCATCTTCCATCACTGATACCCTTTCTTCCAGTTGATCGCATCAGCTCCTGAGGCTTCTGCATTCTTCACGTAGTTCTCGAGCCTTGGTTTTCAGCTCCATCAGCTCCTTTAAGCATTTCTCTGTATTGGTTATTCTAGTTATACATTCTTGTAAATTTTTTTCAAAGTTTTCAACTTCTTTGCCTTTGGTTTGAATGTCCTCCTGTAGCTCAGAGTAATTTGATCGTCTGAAGCCTTCTTCTCTCAGCTCGTCAAAGTCATTCTCCATCCAGCTTTGTTCCGTTGCTGATGAGGAACTGCGTTCTTTTGGAGAAGGAGAGGCGCTCTGCTTTTTAGAGTTTCCAGTTTTTCTGTTCTGTTTTTTCCCCATCTTTGTGGTTTTATCTACTTTTGGTCTTTGATGATGGTGATGTACAGATGGGTTTTTGGTGTGGATGTCCTTTCTGTTTGTTAGTTTTCCTTCTAACAGACAGGACCCTCAGCTGCAGGTCTGTTGGAATACCCTGCCGTGTGAGGTGTCAGTCTGCCCCTGCTGGGGGGTGCCTCCCAGTTAGGCTGCTCGGGGGTCAGGGAGCCACTTGAGGAGGTAGTCTGCCGGTTCTCAGATCTCCAGCTGCGTGCTGGGAGAAGCACTGCTCTCTTCAAAGCCCTCAGACGGGGACATTTAAGTCTGCAGAGGTTACTGCTGTCTTTTGGTTGTCTGTGCCCTGCCCCCAGAGGTGGAGCCTACAGAGGCAGGCAGGGCTCCTTGAGCTGTGGTGGGCTCCACCCAGTTCCAGCTTCCCAGCTGCTTTGTTTACCTAATCAAGCCTGGGCAATGGCGTGTGCCCCTCCCCCAGCCTCGCTGCTGCCTTGCGGTTTGATGTCAGACTGCTGTGCTAGCAATCAGCGAGACTCCGTGGGCGTAGGACCCTCCGAGCCAGGTGCGGGATATAATCTCGTGGTGCGCCGTTTTTTAAGCCTGTCGGAAAAGCGCAGTATTCGGGTGGGAGTGACCCGATTCTCCAGGTGCTGTCCGTCACCCCTTTCTTTGACTGGGAAAGGGAACTCCCTGGCCCCTTGCGCTTCCCAAGTGAGGCAATGCCTCGCCCTGCTTCGGCTCGCGCACGGTGAGCGCACCCACTGACCTGCGCCCACTGTCTGGCACTCCCTAGTGAGATGAACCCGGTACCTCAGATGGAAATGCAGAAATCACCCGTCTTCTGCGTCGCTCACGCTGGGAGCTGTAGACCGGAGCTGGTCCTATTCGGCCGTCTTGGCTCCTCCCAAGAATGCCAGAACATGTAAGTTGACCGCTTATGACATAGTCACTGAAAGGCCCATGTTTCTAATAATAGAACCTCATGTATTTCCTGCTCTCCTAAACGCTAAAATCACGAAATGCTACAAGGCTTTAATACATTATACTAATGTGTGCTTTCACAAGGTAAGGAACGCTTTTCCTGATCCACCAACTGAGGAAAATAAGCTCTTCATGATCTAGAACCCAGAGACTGGGTCATCTAAAAACATATTCAGAGAAAGACTGCTCCTGCCATCCACACTGCAGCAAAATATCAGGGCCTCAAACCTTCAGTGCACATCTCACAAGTCAAAAGGCCCTCTGCAGACTCTTGGAACTGTACACTCACTGGAGACCTTACGATAAAGCTAGTCAGGGAAGTTTCCAGAAACAGAGGCAGCTTAGGCATGAGGAGCTGTCCCAAGATCATGAATCAAGACTTCTCTGCTATCATGAAACTCTTAGTTCTCTTAATTTTTAATTTTTTGCTTATGCCTACCTCTTTTGCTTGGCAGGTATCTTAGTTCATTTAGTGTTGCTATAGAGACATACCTGATACTTGGTAATAAGTAAAGAAAGAAGTTTTATTTGGCTCATGCATGGTTCTATAGGCTGTACAGGAAGCATGGCACCAGCATCTGCTCCTGGTGAGGGCCTCAGGCTGCTTCCACTCATGGCAGAAGGTGAAGGGGAATCATGTGCAGAGATTGCATGGTGAGGGAGTAAGCAAAAGAGAGGAAGAGGGGAAGTGCCAGGCTCTTTGTAACAACCAGCTCTCACAGGAACGAACAGAGTGAGAAGTTACTCACCCCCTCCCCTCCAAAGAGGACCTTAATCTATTCATGAGTGATCCACCCCCATGACCCAAACACTTCCTATTAGACCCCATCTCCTACACTGAGGATCAAATTTCAATATGAGATTTGAAGGGGACAAACATCTAAACTGTAGCATTCTGCTCCTTGACCCCTAAATCTCATGCCTTTCTCACATTGCAAAATGCAATCAGCCTTTCCCAATAGTCCCCAAAAGTCTTAACTTGTTCTGTAAGTAACTCTAAGTCCAAAGTCTTATCTGAGACTCTATGCAAGTTTCTTCCTGCTACCAGCCTGGAAAATAGAAAGCAAGCTATTTACTACTAAGATATAATGGTTGTACAGGCATTGAATAAACATTTCTATCTTGAAACAGAGAAATCAGCCAAAAGAAAGGTGTAACAAGGCCCCACACAAGTCCAGAAATTAGCAGGGCAGACATTAAATTGTAAAGCTCCAAAATAATCTTCACTGACTTCGCGTCCTGCATCTTGGGCATACTGGTATGCGGGGTAGGTTTTTAAGGCTTCTGGCAGCCCTGCACCTACCTTTGCTGGGTGTAGTCTATGTGGCTGTTCTAATGGTTTGGAGCCTGGTGCCTACAGCTTTCCTAGGCTAGGGTTTTATGCTGGCAGTGGTTCTATAATTCTGGGATCTGAAGGGTGGCAGTACTGCTCCTATTACCCTACTAGGCACTGCCCTAGTTGGGACTCTCTTTGGTTGCTCTGATGTGGCAGCAGCCTTCTTCCAGTGTATCCAGGTTTTTCAATATATCTATCCCTTAAGCCACCAAGCCAATGCAAGAATGGCTCTTGCATTCTGGGCACCTGAAGACTCTGCACCACATGGTTGCTGCCAAGGCTACTGCTTGCATTCTCCAGAGTGTCAGCCAGAGCAGTAGCTGAGGCTGTCCAAGTTGTGGCTGGAGCCAGAGTTGTTGGGATGCAGGAGCAGCATCTGAGGTGACACAGGGCAGTAGTGTCCCAGACCTGTCCCAGGAATATCTTCTGTACTCCTAGGCCTTTGGGCCTGTGATAGAAGGGGTGGCCTTCAGAATTCAGAAGATTTCTGAAATGCCTTTGGGGCCTTTTTCCCCCGTCTTGATTATTAGCACCTGGCTCCCTTTTATCCACAGTAACCTCTTTAGAAAATGGTTGCTCTACAGCACCCTTGGATGCTTCTCTTGAAGATGACATTTTCTTCTTTACCACATGGCCAGGCTGCAAATTTTCCAAAATTTTTTTCGCTCTGCTTTGCTTTTAATTGTAAATTTCACCTTTAACACATTTCTTTGCTACCATATCTAACTGGAAGCTGTAAAAAGCAGCCACACCACTTCTTGAACACTTTGCTGCTTAGAAATGTCATCTGCCAGACACCCTGGGTCATCACAGCCTTCCACAAGGTCTAGAGCATGGACACAATGCAGTCAAGTTCTTTGTGATGGCATAAGAGGTTGACCTTTGCTCCAGTTCCCGTTTTCTCATTTCTATCTGAGATCTTCTCAGCATTCTCTTTACCATCTATATTTCTATCACCACTTTGGTCACAACCACTTACCCAATCTCTAAGAAGTGCCAAACTTTCTCTTTTCTTCTGAGCCCTCCGAGCTCTTCCAACCTCTGCCCATTACCCAGTTCTAAAGCTGCTTCCACATTTTCAGGTATCTTTATTTAAATACCCCACTACAGGTATCAATTTTCTGTCTTGGTCCATTTTGTGTTGCTATAAAAAATACCCAAGACTGAGTAATTTATAAACAAAAAGGGTTTATTTGATTCACAGTTCTGTAGGCTGGAGAGAAAGCTTGACAGCAGCATCTGTTCCTGGTGAAGGCCTCAAGCTGCTTCCATTCATGGTAGGAAGTGAAGTAGAGCATCTGCAGGGATCACATGGCAAGAGGGGTTGCTGGAGAGAGGTAGAGGGGAGATGCCAGGCTTTTTTTTTTTTTTCTTTAGTTTTCTTTTTGTTTTTAACAACCAGAACTCATGAGAACAATAGAGCAAGAACTCAATCACATTTCTCCCTCTCACACCCTCCAAGAGGACATTAATCTATTCATGAGGGATCCACTCCTATGACCCAAACGCCTCCCATTAAGCGCACCTCTAAAGTTGGGGATTAAATTTCAATATGAGATTTGAAGGGAGACAAACATCAAAACCAAAGCAGCAGAAGAATGCTGTAATTAAAATTTCACAATCAGTAATATCTGTGAGTAACTTGACAGAGTGTTGAATATGTCATATCAAACCCAGGTCTTTATATGACTTAAGGGATCCTGTAATTTACTTTGTGGGTTACTTTAGTAACATCCTTAATGTAACTGTTGTTTGAATTGTACCAGTGGTAAGATTTCTCAACCAACTTGTTGGCATTCTCTGTTTTAATGGTATGCAGAGCCAGGACCAATGAGTATATCACAAAACAGACTTACTTAAATGGAGTTTTTTTTTTGCAAATTAGCTATATGCCATGATACCACAATGTTATTTTAACCTGTAATAATTCTGTCTCAGACTCTTGGCCAGAAGCTGTTATAACGTATATGTGAGCAATAGGTCTTTGTGTCCACTCAAGGGTTATACTTTTATTTATGGAGGATTTCACAGCCTATCTAATCCATGGGCAACGTTATGTCTTGTTGGATTGAAGATGAAGGGTCAATGTGGGTTTCAAATTCATCTCTGCTGCTCCAAATCAGTAGAAACAGAGTACTGGTCCACTCCTCTTATCTTACATCATACATTAAAGAGAACATTGTCAGGAGGTCTTCACCCTTCCGGATAGGCATCATTTGTCAGGCCTCCTTTTCCATGGCTTGGAGTAAATATATAATAAGTGAGGCAATAATTAGAGATGTATCCTTCATAATAGGTTCTATAGCAGATTCTACTGCAAAGGCTATAATTGCAGAGCAGACTTCTTTACATTCTCTTGTTAAAGTTGTACTAAATAATAGAATTGCTCTAAATTACCTGTTAGCTGAACAGGAAAGAATCTGCAATTGCTCAGACTTCTTGTTACACATGGAGGAATACATCAGGTATTAGAGACCTGGTTGCAAGGGATTAACAAACAGGCTGCTTGGTTAAAATGGGTAGACTTTTCATCTGGCACATTCTTTCATCTATTTCATTTTAGTTGGTTTGGTTTATGGGGAGCCTGGCTAAGCAGCATATTTGGTATTGTCCTTCTGATAGTTATAATAATAGTCTCTCTGGTGCACTGTATTCTCTCAAAAGTTTTAAATGTTTGCATGCAGCCATCTGTAGAATGTTAAATAGACATTCTTTGATTGGAAGATAAAAAGTTAAAGAAATGTGCGTTCATGAGGAGACCATAACCTATGAATGACATAGTGAGACTGGCAAGCTAAAATGATGGTAACTGAGACTAGTGCTAATGCCCTAAGTTTTGATCACTCTCACCTAGATGAGATCCTGATCAAAAGGGAGAAATTTTTAAACAAAATTATTGGAGGTCATTATTTTGGACTGAGCTGCTGCACTAGGCCCCAACAGACTAGACCAAATGAAAATGAAGTCACTCACGCTAAGTGCCACATCATAAAATAAAACTTTAAGGAAATAAATCTCAAAACAGGCCCATTTTTGTTTTCCTCTCTCAAACAGATTTTAGGATAGTAAGGAAGCCTCCTCTGCTCTCTTACAAAAAAGAAATCTGAAGAGACCTGATGCTCCCCAGCGTTTTTTCCTGCTGTTCGGTTTCCTTGTTCCCACCTACGAAACCCATTGTTCTGCCATTCTCCAAAGCGATTTGAGACTAAATAAGTCCATTTACAATGGTGACATCAATGCCTAAGGTTTTCTTTAATCTTTTTCAATTAAGAAGTTGACAAAATGGGAAATTGTTAAATTACGCTTGGCCAAAAGGTTTTTCAATACACAATAAACTGTAACCCAACTTGATGTGTAAACAGATTGCAACCTACTCTTGTCACAAGTAGCTGAGCCTCAGCCAATCACAGCAGCTGAACTTCAGTCAACTACAGGCAGCCAACTGTATAAACCAGGCTCAACTAAGGCAAACACCCAGATGTAGCCAATCCAGATGTTTCTGTACATTGCTCCCACTTTGTGTATGTTACTTTCCTTTTTCCGTCTGTAAATGTCATCCAATCATGTGGCAACCCTGGAGTCACTTTGAGCCTATTCTGGTTCCGTGGGCTGCCCCATTTTCAAATTGTTTTTTGCTCAGTGAATCTCTGTTAAATTTAATTTTTCTAATTTTTTTTTAACCAAAGATAATATTCAACAAATTTGTAGGTCTCTTTGGTGAAAACCTTACACACACACACACACACAAATATATACATATACACACAATATATAATATGTATATCTATATATGTACTAAAGTAAATATATATGATGCTGTATATGTATATATATTTTTATACACATTTCTAAAATTTTCATCCAAATGATTAAGATATTCACTGAATATTATCTTGTGGAATAAAAGTTGACTCTACTTTGCATACGGAAAAACTTGAGCCATCATGTTTATCTAGTTTCTGAACAAAATAGATACAAAGCTATACTTTTAACTAATTTTTTTTCCAATAAAGAAGATAATAAGTAGTATACTGGTAAGGCTCTTTCCTCCATAATATGTCCTTGCATTCCTCATGAAATCAGACTTTAGAGATTTCACTTTCATTGCTTCAGTCTTAAAAGAGGAAACATGTATCTGACTTTCTTAGCTCTTTTTGAGTTCTGAAACAGGAAAAATAAAATCAAAGCATATTGTTGCTATGTCGTTACATGTTAGAATTGGGCATAGCAAAATTACAATATTTTCTGACTCATCAAATGATAAATCCTAGTTTCAGAGTATTGGGAAAAACCACTTAGAAAAGGATTTTTTTCTAATTGTTGAAGGAAAATTCAGAAGCTAAAGTTGAAAATCCTAGTGATGGGCAAAAATTGCACAGGCTTGGTTTGATAGCTTTAATTAGTGATCTTGTAATTGGGTATTATGTCAGTTGTCATGTAGCTGGCAGCATTCACTGAGAACACATCTAAATCCCTATTCTTCCACTCCCTCTCAAACATTGTCATTCATTTGGGTGACAATTCATGAATAATATAATAGCCCTGGGGTACAATTAATTTTAGCAGTTACACAACTTAGTAAGAAAAAAAAAAGCATCACTGGTATTATGTGTGCCTTGAAGGTCAGATGATGCCACAATTTGCACCTTTGTTGCAAGACATGAAAATTAGCAATTAGCATAAATATATTGATTAACTTATGGGTAGTTTAGCCTGATATACTAATAAAGCTAATCATATTTTACCAGCTGTAAGCATCCTTTGCACCCTCTGTAATGCAACATATGATAAGTCTTCAAAAAGTGTGAATTGAGATACATTTTGGACTAATAATTATTATTGTATGAATTAATGCACTAGAGCAAATAAGATGGGTTCCTGCTCTGGAAAGCTTTAAAAATAACAATATAATTGAATTTATTTGGTACCACCCATGTTATATTAGTGATATACTTGTGTAGTCTGTCCCTTTTATTCTTCTCATATTTCTCCCATTCTTTCCATAATTAAGGCTGCTGTCTGCATTTAGATGCTCATCATCTTTCTTTTTTATTGTTGACATAATTTTATATTTATTTATGAGATTTATTTCATATTGTTGTTCAAATACCACCAGAGGGATCTTTCTGAGTTATTCATTTGACTCCTGCCACTCCGTTATGACTTTAGAATAGAGAACTAATTGAACTTTTGGTGAAGAGTACCAAGAATTACATTGTTGACGTTTCCTGGTGGTTAAATTCATTGCTCTTCTCTTGCCCTTGCAAGGTAGGTAAGTTTCCGTGTTGAATAGACAGCACACATTTTTTAAAAGAACTATTATTTAAGGTGTTAATAACTAACATCTATTGAGCACTTACTGTATCTCAATTATTGTTTAAAAACTTTACATGTATTGTCTCATTTAATCCTCTACACAGTTTTCTCAGAAAGTTACTATAATTGCTATTTCCGTTTTATAGATAAGGAATCTGAGGCATAGACAGGTTATTTAGCCAACGGCCACAAAATTATTAAGCAACGGAGCTGGGATTTGTACTTACACAAGCTGAATCAAAGCTTACACTTTTTCCAATAAGTATGAAGAAAGAAAGAGAGCAAGTAATGGAAAAATCCAGCAGTCACCTTTTAGCGTTATGTTCTCTGTAAATGTTTGTAATGCTAGAAGTTGTAGGCTAACTCTCTCTTTGGTATTTGGCTAATGGAGGCGTTCTTTGTTTTACTGCAATGTCTTTATTTTTTGGTGTTAGTTAAAAACTGAAGGGCGTAATCTGCTGTAAACCACCGTAAATAAGTATAGATCACTTTGCAGTCAAAACAAATGATAAATGTAATTTAAAGGCTAAAGTCAGTCACTGTTGTATACTGTGTAACGGAGATGTTACATGCACCATTTAACTTCTCTTAAGTAAGCAGATACTGTGGCCCATCTTTTCTTTTTCAAGGTTATGTGTAAGAATATTGTGCTTTGAAAAATAAAAGCTGAAGCTGAAGTGGACAGATTTGGAAAGATTTGTTTTAAAGAATGTATTGTCAAGTAGTATTCAGTAGGTATGCATTTCTTTACAAGTTGGCATCAGTTTTCCAATTGTTAAACTCTCTAATTGTAAGTCATGTGATGTTTGTTTCCTAGGCCATCAGCCTGGATTGTAAGTATTGTTTTTACTTGATCTGTCCAGTGGTGACACCAAATAAAACATCTGGCCAGAAGAGAATGAATTACAGGAGATTACAATTGCACAACTTTTGTTGATAAGGCACAAGTGCCAGGGTTGGACTGTGTTTGGGGGAATAGGGCAATTTTCTGTGTTTTAGTTTGTATCTTTTTGTTGCTGTTCTGGAAAGGGAGAAGAAGAAAAAACTGGCGAGAGGACAGGGAGAAGGACAGGAGATGTTGGGATGGGTTTGTTGGTAATGAGTAAAATGCAGAGAAGTAGTGACATTGTTGGGTGTTGATCTTATTGAACACTCTTCTGAGGGCTATAAAATCCTGAGGTCACACAGCTAAGAAAGAACAGAGCAATAATTTAAGCTCAAGCAACGGCAGCTAATATTGTGATCTTTATTTTAATACCCCAACTCTTAATTTGCAGGATATTGAACATTTGGGAATTTCCAGGATGTGGAATATTTCCTAATTTCCAGGAAATAACATTTGGCTAGGCATTTCACATGTATGATTTCATTACATCTTTACACCTGCCTTTCAGTTTTATTACCATTATATAAATAAGAAACTAAGATTTAAAAGAATCATGAAGGTTTTAAAATACTCAATGATTTGCCCAGTTTTTTACAACTGCTTATTGTCCAAGCCAAAAAAATTTGATTTCAAGGGTTTATTAAAGCATCTCCTTGTACTGTCACTAGCAAGAATACTCTAAAGACTTTTATTGTAGATCATCTATTCTGTGGAAGTCCCGCCTCCAGGGACCTGGTGTGAAAGTCAACCCAAATACAGTGTCCTAGTTAGTTCAACTCTGAAAACTATCTTTTACTATTAATTTTTATTACAGCTGCCTATTGCCTGTATCTAGATTACTGGGAAATTTAGAAGCAAAACAATACCCCACGAGCAAACACTTTTTGACTTGTAGTTTTTGGCTGATTACATTAAAATACAACAGAATAATATATTCATTCATTGAACCATGTTCTAAATAGTAAACAGATTTTATTTTATTTTAACCTCAGAATCTATCAATAAAAATAAGTAGAACAGCATATAGGATGACAGTTACCTGAAAAAAAAAATAAACTATCAATAAATCCCAGATGTGTTTCACATACACACAAGCAGCATTTGATGTCTTTGAAGCAATATGCACAGTAGACGACACTTTAACTTACATGCAATATATTATTTCACAAATACTCAAGCAATAAATGTGCCCCTATAAAGACCACTAAAAGTGAAATATTAACAGATGAGATCGTACTTATGGAATCAAATTTGTTTATCATTTTTAAGTAAACACTGAGAGCATTATAAACCCATTGATGCGTTTGGATAACACCTTTCACAGTGGTTCCTATGACAGTGGCTTTACAGGGATGCTAGGTTAGACAAACAACCGGGCAATTGAAAAAATATAACGTTGGCTATGAATCAAGTCAAGTTTCAACATCTGTGACTTTCGGAAAAGTTTGAACTCTCCCACTCTCTCTCTAAATGTGTGCATAATGTTTACTGTTTGTATACTTTTGTAAATTGTTTCAATAATCAATATATTAGTCAAGGAACTTCCTTCTATTACACATTGAGTAAAATGATTGTGATACATTTAACTATTGGGCTGTGGAATCAAAATGCTTGCGTTAAAGTCTGGCTCTATAAGGTAATAGATGTGTAATTTTTGGCACTTTACCTCAGTACCTCAGTTTATAGCTTAATCTGAAAAATGCGATGAAAATAGTAGTTGCCTGAAAGGGTTATTGTGAGGATTGAATTAGTATCTGTAAAACATATTTTACCTGCTCAGTAAATGTGAGCTTCAGTGATACTGATGATGATTACATTGCATGCATAATGATGTGTTCTACTTTTCTGAACATTGCAGAGACAAGAAAATAAAATTTGGGCTATTTAAACATTAGATACTATTAAAAACATCCCCTTTCAGCTTCTTAATAAAAATAATAGGAAAAACATTGAACATAACTAAAAATTATTTGAAATTAGCATAATACTAAAAAAAACTTTGACAAATACCTGATTACTATTGCAAACCTAAACAGCCAGATCAGAAAATCGAAATTTAAATTAAAAACAAAAAGAAAACAGAGTGCCTTGATAGTGGAGCCTGGTGCTTTAAAGCTTCCTTTGTTTTTTATATCATGAGAATTGTCAAGTGGCAAACTGCTCTGGGTAAACCTGGGCAAGTGATAGGATCATACGTTTAACTACTTGCCTTGTGGAGCCACAGAAATGGCTAGCACTGCATAGGCACTGAAAGATTAAATGGTGAAGAATGTTCCAAGGGGAAGGGGGCTCCAAAAACAACTATTTAGATTCTGACCAAATGGACGGAATTTAAAACATAGATATAGTGAGTATTTTCAAAATGGCCTGGAAAACACATTAAAAACAAAAGGAAAGATGTTATGAACATGTGAAACTAGATCTAAGGTTAGTTAAATTACTGTCTGTAATTGCTGTTACATTATTTGGCTACAAGTGAAAATGGTACAGTGTATATCTTTTGTTTGTTAATACTATAAAAACAGGCCAGGCCAGGTGCAGTGGTGCATTCCTATAGTCCCAGCTATTCTGGAGGCTGAGGTGGAAGGATCTCTTTGAGGCCAGAAGTTCAAGGCCAGTCTGCGCAACATAGCAGGACCCCCATCTCTTTAAGAGAAACAAAAAACAGGCTAAATCAAGAGGAGACATATGAAACAGAAGGAGAATCCATGTAATTTTAAACCCAAGGCTTTACATGATCAAAGTAGCATTCTAATTTTCTATTGATTATTATATTATTGTGAAAATTAGATACAATTTGGTATACAATTGTCTCAAATCTAATCATTCTTACCTACATTTCAAAGGCATCCACTTCATTCCAGCCAATTAATTTCTCACATTGTTATTAATGGTAGTCACCGTGTTGTACAATAGATCTCTTGAACTTAGTCAATTAATTTCATTTCCCTTTTGTCTGTTGGCTTCTTCCCTCTAAGTTCCCCCACCTCCCAGTTTCTACTCTCCAGCATGAGGGATAGTCATGGGCCCAGTCTCTAGAATCAGACAGCCTTGGTTTGAATTCCGACTCCTCTACTTAATACTGTAGCATCCTTGGACAATTACGTAACTTTCTGTGATACAGTTTCTTCAACTTTAAATGAAGCAAATGGTAGATCTTGCATCATAGGATTGTCAAGAGGATTATATTAGTAAATACATGTGAAGTACATAAAAACATGCCTGGGACAGAATAAGTGCTCAATAAATAATAGTCATTATTATTTTTCTGTGAGATGCATCTTCCTGGGGCCCACCAGTTTTCATTCTGATCCAGAAATTTGCACCAAGGCCTGCAATTTATTGAACTGGGGGGACTGAATTAGCTGTTTTTGTAGAGCTATATGTTGTCAGTTGTTTGGAGAGTAAATAAATTGCCCAGCAGTTGATGTCACACAGTAAGCATTCGATAACTTGATAATTATTAGAAATTGTTAACATAACTCCAAAGAAAGTTCAGAAATTCTGGTAAAAATTTTCCTTTTTCTGTAAGATACTTTGTGTACATCTTTTTTAGTATATATCTTTGAGCATAGTATTGTTTAATGTCTTTCAGATTTTTAAGCTTCTGAGAGAAGAGTCAAGTATTTTAGATATATTTTATTTTCCTTTTGCAGTGCCTGGAAAAGGGTTGAGCAAGTAATTGGGGTTTAATAAAGATTGCCTATCTGCATAAACATACACCAAAATGTATTCACATATCGCTGAATATTTTTTCCTAGATAACATTTTAGAAATTTGAATTTGAATAGGAACATATCTGTACTTTTAAAGTTTATTTAATAGTACCTATTTCTTTTTACTAATTATTAGATTTTTAGAATAAAAATATCTGGTCTTAAAAAGTAATGGCGATTATTGATCTTTTGATAAGCAACATAAAAACTGATCAAAATAACCTGAAAGGCCATTTTTGTCTTCTGGTAGCTTTATATAGTCATGGTCTAGTTACTTTTTCTTCCTTACCAATGTACAGCACCATTAAAAATAAATTATTTGGAGAAACTGGTGAAATTCTAATAATGTATGGAGTTTAATGTTAATATTAATGTCCCAATGTTGGTTTTTTTTAGTTTTGACAAGTGAACCCTGAAAATGTAATACGATAATATTAGGAGTACCTGAAGTTCAGGTGAGGAGTGGGTAGGGAGCTCTTTCTACTCTCTTTGCCATTTTTCTATAAATTTAAAATTATTTCCAAACAAAATTGTATTTTTAAAAAATGAGGAAGGAAATTGAATTACTGACAAGTCTGTTACTTATAAAAGCTAAATGTTAAACAATATGAAAAAGCGATCATTTAATATCCAGTGGCATATTCACTTAATAGAATATTAGGCAGTAATTAAAAAGTATCATTGCGAAAAATGAGCAAAATGTTAAATGATTTTGATAGTAAGTAGAAAAAAAGATTCAGACAGCAACATAATATGATTACAACCATATAAAACATGAGAATGAAAGCAAGTATATCAAAGTAGTCGTGCCGGGGCAGTGGGATTCTGACTCATATTTTCTTTTTGTCACAATTTTCTAAATTTCCATAGCTTTTACTCTGAATAATCCTCAAAGGTGAAATAGAAGCTCCAAATGACTAATTATACTACTAAGGATATGAATTAAGCCATGTTAAAGAAAAAAAGATATCTTACCATGACTTCCCAAATTTTAAAGAAAAAGTTTTTAATCACCAATTTTAGCAGGTATCTTAAAGATAACCTTATTCCACCAATGGCTTAGTCTTTTGTCTTGGATACTATATTTGCTTCATTCTTGTCAATCTTGAATACTTTCATCTTCCAAATGTCACCTCATGCAAAATTGATTAATTTACCTGTGTTCAGCTGGATGCTCTAAAACCTCTGTCAAAACTTGTTACCTGGACACTCTTACATAGGAGCAGAAAAGCAACTTACGCAAATTCAAAGTACTGCCGTGGTTTTAGATTCTGAAGAGCAAATTGTTACCAAAAAACAAAGGCAACCAAACGGGAGGCACACTGTGGTTCTGGAAGTGACTTTGAGACAATACTGATGGCTTTACTCTTTCCTTGAGAATATGTATTCTGACATTATTGACATCAGCACTTTTGGGTCTGTCCAGAGCCTAGGTTCTCTTGCTATGATCTCAGGACACCTTGCAAACTGCTCTTTTGTGTCCAGCGACTTTATCTCAAGTTCAATTTTTTAACTTATGGTGTATAATTTCATAATTTTCCTTTCCTATTCCAATTTTTATTATTTGATTGATTTCATTTAGAAAAGTAAGGAATAAGTAGAAACTATCTGAATGTATATAAATAAACATTATAATGGATGGTTCATAATATTCTGCTGTATATGGATAAATACTATATTATTTATCTGGTGCTTAAAATGCATTACAGTACTTGAAACATAAATGCAACTTCAAAATAAAAGCAATAAAATTGGGAGTTATGCCTTGTTGGCAGAATTTTTTCATATCCTGAAGGCTCCTATTTGGAAATATATTTGTAGTAAAAAAGGTGACGTCTATGATGTCTGTGTAAGTGTGAAGGGATGCTTGACAGAAAGAGACCTTGGAATATTCCCATTCCTCAAGGCTGAAGGAAATATATAAATATACATACGTGTGTATATATGTGTGTATACACACACACATACACATAAACAAAGACAGAATTCACCATCAAATAATAGGCAAGATGTGTCCTTGAAAATCATGGCAATAAGTTGCTTCTTCCTTGGAGGTGTTCTTCCATCCTTAAAAAGTGACAACAATATTATATTGGATCTTTTGTCAATGCTCGGATAGAACTTGGGCAAGATTTAGAAAATGGGCCTAATTTCAGAAACCCCTCTCTCCATGTTCAATGGAGAAAACATTTGATTGGAACTCACCACTTAAAAAGGGTGTGTGTGAAGGGATCCTTGGAAGATTTTCAACATTTGATGACATAGCTCCTTGGATGATTTTCAAGACCTGGAGGGGTCCATAATGAAGAATCATGCTGCTTCCATTAGTGTATTTTTCCTCTACATGTTTTCAGACAAAGCTGAGAATCTGTCCAATTTCTTGTTTGGCTAAGGTAGTCTTTATTTTAATAGAAAGGCTAGTCGACTTGGCACATTTGCAAATGACAAGAGCAAATGAAAGCTAGCAACATTTAGATAATTCTCATAGCCAATGGGAGATAACTTTGTGTATGTAACAGCTGCACTTTTTTTTCCACAGCAGTTTACCAAAAGGAGTAATATATTCTGAAAACAGTGAAAAAATTTTGTCTAGTTTTACAGTTGTTAATCACCATATGATTTTATAGCCATATTGTGAAAGAAATTTTGTTGGGATATGTGCATTTAAAAAGAGAATTGTACCTTTATATAGTTCATGCATCTTAACTAATATGCCACTCTTCTTTTCAATGCTATTGATATATTTAATTACTAATTAGGCTGATGGGTGAAGTATTAGTTTTGGAAATTCCACCAGCAATAATTGATTTATTCTTAATTTAAAAAGTGGAGAGTCTTGATATATCTTAATAACCAGATTTCATTTTCTCTTGAGACAATAAATATAGTTTTACAACATGTACCAAATATATTTAGGTATAACTGTTTTGAGAGTTAGAATGCTATCATTTACTAAAATCTGATGAATTTGTTTAACTAAACTTTGTTGCTATAATTATGAAAAGAGATGTTATTCCTTGTTAACAACAATAAGAACAAAAAAAAAATCCTGCAGAACTAAAAGAAAAAAAAATCACAAATTTAAAAAGTCATCTTTAAGGCTATATGATTTGTGGGGATTGACATAAAATTATGCTTCTTGATATTATTCTGTGACTCAGAATGTATCTAAATCTCTTTAGTTTGCATTAAAATACATCTTAAAGTGTTTATGTTAATAATTATTAGAAAATGTATATTAATTGATGATCTCTTAAAGTAATTTAATGAAAATATTTATTATTCCTACCCAATGAAATGTGATATAGTAGTAATTGATATGTAAGGGAAACAGGTATAGAATAGTGCAAATTTTAAGCTGATAATATTCAGGCCAAACATTTAAAAACTCTCTTTGTAGTTGATATTACCTTTAAGCTTCCATTATCACCCAAGACCAAAACATTTAGTTTCAGCATCATGATCAGAATAAAACCAATTACACATGAATGATTTATTATAAAAATGAAAGATTGTGGCCTGGCGTGGTGGCTCACGCCTGTAATACCAGCACTTTGGGAGGCCGAGGCAGGCAGATCACGAGGTCAGGAGATCGAGACCATCCTGGCTAACACGGTGAAACCCCGTCTCTACTAAAAATACAAAAAATAAGCCGGGTGTGGTGGTGAGTGCCTGTAGTCTCAGCTACTCAGGAGGCTGAGGCAGGAGAATGGCTTTAACCTGGGAGGTGGAGCTTGCAGTGAGTGGAGATCCCGCCACTGCACTCCAGCCTGGACTACAGAACGAGACTCGGTCTGAAAAAAAGAAAAAAAAAATGAAAGATTGCTTTGGTAGTTGTTACGAATTCATATATTCAAGGCAGACAGGAAACCAACAACATAAAGGCTCAAAATTTCTATTATTTCACGAAATGTTTCTGTTATACTCCAGTCAAAGCCAGAACCTCTGCAAATAGCTTATTTAAGACTGCAGTTGGTGAACATCCTTGCATCAAAGGATGGGTTCTGTGCAATCAATTTAGTTATGGCTGTCAGTATAACTCTGTTCAGTAGGGCAGTTCTGGTGAAACTATTCTCACTTTAAAATGGATTTCTACAGGTTCCAAAAAGTGGAAAAAAATACTTCGAAATAATTGTTAAGTCAGAAAGGACCTCCCGGGTTCTATTTAACAGAAATTATATGCCTGCTTCCACAAAAATGGATTTTCTATTTAGGTGAGCCATTCAGCTGAAAAATGAAATGGGCCATAATAGCATTTTTACTGCTTAAACTTTCATTTCAATGGCTCCCATGCTACTTTTCCCAGTAGAATGTGAATCCTTACACTCAAAAGCCAAAAAAGTGTGGGGGAGGGGAATCTGTTTTATGGCTTTAGAAATTATCGTTTTAAGTGCTGGCTCTAAGGTAGAGTTGCAATGGAATATTCCTTTAGCCAGTGGCACAGACGGGTATTTCTGGATGAGATTCTGCCCCCTTGTAGTGGAACGTGATGTACATTTTGATTCCCTGGCATGCCTACACTAACACCCATCTGTTATGATGGCATTGTTCCTAAAAAAAGGTGGTTTGCCAGGTTCCAGAAGTCCTAGGTGTCTGGCATATGTATACATTTCTAAAGGTATTTTCCAGAACTAAAAACAACAACAACAACAACACCACAAACAAAAAACCAAAAAACAAACCATGAGAGCTTAGTTAGGGTGCTTTCTCTTAGAAAATAGTTTCATTGGTGGGCTATTACAAGCAATTATGTCACTAATACATACATTTAGGAATAAGCACCCTTTCTTATGTTTAACACTGGAAAATCTCCATGTGGAAAGAAATTCATTGGGACTTTGAATAATAACTCATTTTACTTATAATCAATCCTCATTCATTGTAGCTGCTCTTATTCATGAATACCTATATTGTTTCATTCATGTTATTTTGATCAGTTCTACTAAGTATTCCGTAAGATGGATTGTTAGAGACTAGAACCTCCAGAAGGACTGCTGTGACCAATTTTGAGATGGAAATTCATACCCCATAAACTTGACAACATACGGTTGATTGCCTGAGGTTAAAGAGCCCAGAAACGGCTTAAGTTAAAGTCAAACGATGGAAATCCTATAGAGCTCTGGGGCCCACAGGGGGTGATTGGATAATTTGGTTACTGAAGAGAAGACATCCCGTTGCTTAGCTACAGGATTCTGGGTGGCAGCTCTTTTCCCTCTCACATTTCCTGGCGTTTTGTTTTTGTAAATGTAGTTTCTTGCAAATCAGAGTGTCTGCATTCAGATGTCCACATTGCAATTGTTTTGATTTGTAAAATGGAACAGTATTTGAGGAAGAAAAATACTAGGAGAGGTAAAATTTGGAAAGGAACTTCCCCCATGTACTTCACTGCTTAAACAGATTAAATCAAGTAATATAAAACATTGTAGAAACTTAAAATTGTGATATGCACTTTGCAAGATGCAGTATTTTGACTGCAGCACTGAAATCAGTTTCATTTATCTCTTTAAGAATAATAGCACAGACACCTGTTGCATACACATGATTAAAAACCTCTGATATTCAATCTACTTGTTGAAAAGAAGATTTTTTTAAAAAAATGCCAAAGATTGTATAGACATATATACATTATTTATTTATTCCATCTTTGAATACATTTAAGTTAAATTATCACATTTTACTTTGTATTCTAGTTTCTGTTTTAAATTTCTTAGCAGTAAGGCGTAAGGTATAAAGTGTAATAATTTCTAAAATGATCATTCCACAACCTATAAAAGTCATCATCATCTCATTATAATAAGTTATCTGTTTATTTTGTAGTGTTACAAGGTTATTGAATTATTTAGATTAAAATAGCAAGGGGTTTTTAATACAGTTCCATGGAAAACATACATGGCTATATTTAGAAAATCATTGATAAGTTGTGAAATCAATTCAAAAGTGTATAAAGCTTATATTTTTATAAGGTTAATGAGGAAATGTCAAAAGAGTCATTATGCTCTTCTATCTTTCAGATTTTCCTTATTTGGGGACAGGCTAAATATATAATGTCTTTGAATTTTTTTTTACTACTGTTTATTATGTATAGCTCTGGATAAAGAGTATTAAAACAAGGGTGACAGAAACCTGTTAGGCTAAGAAAGCCAATAAACTTTTGCATGATAGATTTAAACTATATGTTACCACATAACTTAAACATTGTAACTGATTTGGTTGTAAAAGAGACATTTTTTCTTAAAATTTTGAAAATAAAAAAACCTACAAGTAGAAATTAGTCATTCTGTGGGCAAATAAACCTAAGACTATGAGGCTGAGAAAGGATAAAATAATTGGGAACCTAGAAAAAAACCCTGAAATTGTCATCGTGGCATTAACAGTAACATTGTCAGAGTCCTTACCACATGCTGGGAAGCCAAAAGACAAAACAAAACAACAAAAATACACACAGACACACACACACACACACACACACACACACACACACACACACACACACACACAAATCAAGATGTCACAGGAAACTAGGACAATGCTTAAAGAAAGGTTTTATAGAGGATATGTGACTTAAATTGAGTTTTGACAGAATGCTGTGATTTTTGAGTAGAGAAATGAAGACAGATATTCCAATGAGAAAAATAAGAAAATTTCAATTAGAAAATAATGATAAAGAACTATTGAATCAATGCTCTACTATTGACATTTTCTTTAGAATCACTGAAATATGCATTAATTTCAATAAAGGATAAAATTATTGAACATGGTAAAGATAAGTTGCCTATCCAGAGACAAAATTAACAGCTTTCTTTGGACACATTGGGTCAAGCAGATATATACAGACAGATGCATATCCTTGTGATTTATGTTCCATTAAGATCATATATCTTTTTTCAGAGAATTTACAGAAAAGAAAAACACTAGAAGAATATACACTAAAACCTATATTTTATGTTTTATGAGCCTTTTTCTGTTATCCTTTTGGTCGTCTATATTTTCTTAAATGCCCAGCAATAAACATGTATATATTGTACAACAGTGTACATTTTTTATTTTTTTACCTTTAACGTTGTCACATTTATCTGGGTTCCGTGAAAGCAGTGAAACTAGCACTTGTATTTTTCTATAAAGTACTTACTTTTCTACTTGCTACCTGTGATTAAGAAGTCTAAGTATAGATGTCCAGAAGAGTACTGTACTATATTAAAGCTAGGTCATATTTTCAAATGTGATTAACATTCTTAATGCACTCTTTTTTTTTTTCATTTAACTTGCCTGGGTAAATTTGCATAACTAATGAAAGTTATACAGCCCACAACACAGCTCCCTATACCCTAGGTATTTCTATAAATATCTTTGAGGCTGTTTATGTTGAATAATATTTATGAATTATGAATGCTTTTTCTCTCTTTCTTCTTTTCTCTAGCCCACGCTTATACTGCAAGGCACTGTTAAAATAGCCTGCATACTCAATAAATGGCTTCTGTACAACAGCTCAGTAGAAAAACAAAAAACAAAAAACAACCTGGTGAGGAGATGACAGATGTTTTTCCCAGTTTCTTCCTCCAAACAAGAATATTAGGTATAAGGCTTTTTCCAGGAGATCTCTGTGGAAACCAATTTTTGTGTTTTATCTTGTGAGCATACCATTGAAAAATGTTATAGAAGCAAAAATTGACAATAATTACTATGGTATAAAGTTTAAAACCATTTTCATCAATAGGCTAAAAAATCATTCTGCTTTTTATGTTTTAAAAAAATTTTAAACAAGTAAATTAAAGTCATGCTCTATGAATGATAACTCTATAGTAATTTAGTATAAAGAAAGGTTATTGCTTTCAGTTTATACTCACAAAAACTTTATTTAAATGTCTTCCGTTATGTGTTATTTTTTAAAAGAATGCTAGAAAGGTCAAGTTTATGATATTAGATATATAAATGAGAATCTCTTAAGATACTTCTTATAATAAATACTTAGGGACTAGTATTTAATACATTTATTTGAAGACATTTTGTAGACTAGAATTAATAAAAACCTAAACATAATAAATCTATGTAGAAAGAAGCATTAAGATTTGAAGGGTGAGGATATAAAGGATGATGATGGGCAAATATTAGCAGTCACTTTTTATTTATTTCCTTATGGTGTTATTTAATTATTAGTTTAGCTTCATTTCATTTCTTTTCTTTCTTTTTAACTGTAGGATATGTATGTTGTAATCTCTGGAAATTTTTTTATTGTTTAAAAATGTCAACTATATTTTTCATTAACATTATGAATCTTTTTAAAGTAAAAAAACCCCCACTTTCCTACATTATTCTAAAGATTAAGACATTCTGAGGTGGCCATATTTTTTTGGGCTGGACCAAGTACTTCTGACAGAGAAGGGCATTCTGGTCCCAACTTATTTACACCCTGCTCTTTCACAGCAGCACAAAACAAATTAAGAGGTTTTAATCAACACAGAAAAGTTCTTTCCAAATCCAAACAGCTGGTCTGAATAATTTATTCACTTTTTATTTAAACAACCTGCTCTCATTTTTTTCTGATGTGTTATTTCTATTCTAAAAACTACAATGCCCCATCTCCAGGTTGCGAAACATGAGCCTGAATTCTCTAGTAGAGGGAAGTGTAACATGAAATGAATGTGTTTGCATGTAACAAATGAGGAGCAATTAAATGTTATTAAACTAATGAATAAAATCAAATGTCTATGGAGAGTCCCAGTACAATTCAAGACACACACACAGTAAAAGGACTAGCTGCAGGTTTTGCTAATGTTTCAGCTCAAGGGTGTATATTTTTATGTTTCTTTTTTCAATAGGTTAGGTGACAAGCAGAAAGTAGAAGACTCAGTGATATGAAGATATACCCTTTACTCTGAATTAGTTTGGGAGAAAAAAATGACAGCTATTTCCATGACAAGGTTCTTAGGAAGAACCTTGGATAACATGTCGAATACAGCTCCCCAGGCATCTGTTGGTTTTAAGGATCACGGTGCGTTGAGTGGAGTAAGAGTCTAGTGTTATGATAGACTATCTACTCAAGTGAACCATTCTGCCTCCCTCACTGTTATTTCAAGTGGATAATTCATTCTTCACTGTCCATCTGAAAACGTAGTGATGTAGAGTGGACAGACAAAGAATAGCAATGAGGCTGCTTTTCAGCTAAGGTGGGGCTTGTTCTATAAATCCAATATGGGGGCAAAATGCAACATGATCTTTTCTTTTAAAGCTGATAAAATGGCTTAGAGTCACTTGCCCTTCCAAAATATCAACTAAATTGGAAAAATAAGTGCTTAGACTTTCATGATGATGATTTGGAAGGCTGTCACTCATGTGGATGAAAATATTTTGATGTCCACTTTCCCCCTTTTCCCTACTGTGCCAAGTTTTATAATCTCATAGCTAGAGACTGTATGAGGGTACACAGTCTAAGCAAGGGATACTGTACAGTCGTGGTGGGAGAGAGCACAGGCATTGAATCACACCATTTTGATTTGAATCCAGTATCTATTACTTACTAGCTGTGGGATCTTCAGCAAGTTAAGTTACCATCTATAAGCCTTAATTACCTCTTCAAAACAGTGGGATAGTAATAGTGCCCAACAAATATAATCAAATGAAATGACAATTATGAAGCGCATGACCATGTACCTAGCATAGCATAAGCACATGATAAATCTTATTTTACCAAGCTATTTTTTTCTGGAGAAATGCAACTTCAACTCTCATAAGGACTTTGTAACAGAACTGTATACGTATCTTTCCCCCAGTTTAAGATATAAACTTATGGCTGATCTAAACATTCACACACAGACACACAGACACACACACACGTCGTTTCTCTGTGTCTGCCTCTATAGCGCTCTCATTCTCTTTCCTGTATACATACATGCACACATACACACATATACATATATAAGTGAATATAGTGTGTATTCTACATACATACACGTTTTTGACTATCAGATAAATATCTATGACTTCACAAAATTTGGATTTATGAGGTTGTTAAAAGGAACCACAGGACAACATTGGAGTAAGGAGAGAAAAGAAAGACATTAGTGTGAAATCAATGTCACAAATCACAACACTGGAGTGCAGTCAAGAAAGTTGTGTATGAAACTTGTTAATCCGTCTTCTCCCTGGAAAGCTTTACTTTTTCTGAGAGAACTTAATATCACCTAGGAATTATTATATTTTTCCGCAGTCTCCCCTGTTAACTAATTCCCTTGTTGCACACATAGAGGTACAACAGTTTAATAAAACAAAGAGTGACTTGACATTGCCAGCACAGGGTTGTTTGTGTTCACCTGTGACATTTACAAGTGAAGACATACAGAACCTTCTTTTGTTTCCTGGATAATCGTTCAGGTGTTAAAGAAGTTGATTCAGTTTTAAATGGCATGATTTTCTCAAGCCTTGGAAAAATAATTGATGGATTTTCTTCTTTTTTCATAGCTCAAGTATACAAACTGCAAAGTCATGTCTAACTGTTTAATTTTACAAGACTGGAAAATATTGAATTTAAAGCTTAGGCTTTAGTTTAGGTTTATTCCTGGTGTTCAACACTGTCTAAACTTTCACAGGCAAATCGGAAATGAAACACAATTGAAAGTAAACCATGCTTTTTCTGCCTGAAAGGGGCCTTAATATTTCATTTTATGTTTTCAAATGGAATCTAATGAGAACGTGATTTTATACAGATACCTTGTGTCAATTATTCCTTGTATTCCTTCTAAAGCGATCTGTGCATTCAACTTGAAGCTTCATTAAGGATCAAGCCAAGTAGTCTTTAAAAAGTACAGGGTTTTGGTGATAGACAGATGGTGGCTTTCATGATGTCAGGAAGTGTCAGATATTATCGTTGGCTGCGGGATGGTGGCTACTATCCAAACAGATTGGGAAACAGACAGAAAGAGCAAGAACACCATTTGTTTTATTTAGATACATTGTGAACAGAAGGAAGCAAGACAGAGCATACTTTTACACATCTTTTTTCCACTCCTTGTGAAAACAGTTTAGGATTTGTTATGTTATATTAGCCCTTTCATTATGCAAAAACATGTGAAAGCCAGAGACACTGGTAAAAGAATTTGTCTCATTGTGATTTTCTATGAAGTTTGTTTATTTTTATTCTTACAGAACATGGTTTTTTAAAAAATTTCCTTTCATTGGCAATATTGAGTGCTAGAAACAGAGGGAGCTGAGATGTTGCCCTTTAGAAGTGCTATACTGTTAAGAGAGTATGAAGTGAGTATTGACTTCATGATCCAGAATGAGGGCTTCTCAGAGAACCTTATCAAAGATTCAGTTCCAAAACTGAACTTGCTTGTTTGTGATGAAGCTTAGTTATTTCTGTAAGGATTTAATTCACATTGGCAGCCAGAGGGCAGCATCAGCTCCAGACAAATATGCTGGTCCAGTTACATGAGCAAAGCTGAGTATTTACTCAGCAGTAGACGTAGGCATCAGGGCACTGTAGCATATTGGTGGGGGCCTTCCTAATCTTCATTTAAAAGAAAGTGAAAATTTGCTAGCATATTCAATAGATAAAACACCTTCAAACTTTGCTTTCTGAGAGTTACTTATATTTACCTGTTACCATAATCTTCTACTTTATCCCATAAGAGGTAACCAAATTTTTGACATTTTGATGTATCAGAGATCTGGTGCCACAATCTGCTGTACAATTGTGTCCCCAAACCAGAGTGAATATATTGGAAATGTGGTTCCTAATGCAGCTCCCATATATTTGAATGTGAGGGGCCAAACTAAATAAGGAAGAACACGTTGCTCATAAAAACCAGTAGTATGGTGTTATATAGAATGCAAATATTTAGGACCCGGAAGGACTTTGGAAGAACATTTTAGATTAGTGGTTTTCACCCAGTGCTTCAGAAAGTTCCAAAGTTTCATGCAGGCCCTTTATGGGCTGTGCTAGAGGGTGAGTAAAAGGTCAAGACTCCACTCCACTATCTCGGCTTCATCTCAACAGCTGTGTCAGTGATGTGGCTTTCCAGCCTAGGGACAAACAAGGATTGGAATCTTGGCTTAAGAGATGAGCATTCCTGTAGTAGAAAAGTGTAAAGCATTTGGCTGGGGCTGAGTTGGCATGACTGTATTTTAATTGCTCCCTAAGTTCAAACAGGAGTCAAATTCCAGAATGAGGTTTGGGATAACTATGTTACAAGGTAGAATAACCTTCCTCTCACCTCCTTCCACACCCCACTGATATTTGAGGCCTGAACATGATCAATATACCCAGAGGCTTTAAAGAGAAAGGAGAGCCTGAAAAAAAGTAATCTTAGCCCCTTCCTAGGACCCCCTAAAATTGCACAAGGCTGTACTTCAGTCAATGCTGTCTAAAGCACTACAGGCACCTCTTTTGTAAATGAGCTACTCCACAGCAGCATAAGAAATATTGTGAATTATTTACTGGGGGAGTCTTGAAATCACAATATACATACTGAATAATAACTAATAGTTTAATCATGTGTTCATTAAAAGGCAAAACAAAACTCTCACTTTCCTTTGGTTTTTGAGACAAGCCCATATATAAAGGGGAGAACATCCTGAGACACCTGGTGGAAAGCTGGTCTCTGGATTGTGGGAGGGACTGAAGTAGACTGAAAAGAAGGGTAGCATACACCCTTCATGCTAAGGGCATCCTGATTCAAGAGTCAGTCAGTGAATCTCAAAGAATTTCTACAAAGTTTTGGTTTATGCAGTAAATTTTATTGCTTTACATGAAATTAATCCTTGTTCTATCTTGGAAAGAATCTGAAGCATTTGACAGGTTAAAATTATGTTTCTCCAGAGCATGAATTTAATATCAGCCCTGGTTAGAAGTCATGAACTGTTGCAAGAACTCTTGTAAAGAGAAGTGTAATGTTAGAATATATGCTGAAGCCAATAATTTATATCATGGAATTAAAATATCTGGGAGTCATCTTAAATCTCACTTGGACTTTCAGCAGTAGTACACATTGAATCTATATTTTGGTGGGCTATCAGAAGAGGAAATATTTGATACATAATTTATTGCTCAAATGTTATTATTAGGTTTCAAACAGCTAAATGGAGAATTGTGTGTAAATTAAGATGTCATTGCATTAACAGTTCAACTTCTTATTTAAAAACGATGTTGGGGCTTGTTTCAGTGTACTTTTCTATGAAGTTTATTTTTAATTTTACAGAATGTAATTTATTTAAAAATTTCCTCTCATTGAAAAATATTGAAAGCTTCGAACAGAGAACTAATTTTAAGCTCTGCAAAATATTATTTCCTCCTAATTTTAGGAACAGGAAAAAAAAACCGCCTTACTTTACAAAAATAGACAAAAATTACTTGCCTAAGCTGCTTGGTGTTAGTCTCACAATTTCTAGAGCTGCAACCTCTGACCGAGTATTCATTTTTCAAATCACATAGATAATTCCGTATGTCACCATCCAACCCTCAATACATTTATACACACTCACTTGTTTAAAACAACATTTTGAAACGCATGGTCTGTTGTCATAACCTACCTCTTGTGGCTGGAGATTTCTAAATCCCACACACCTACCTAATAATGGCATGAGACTGTTCTGTTGTATGATTGATATATATGTATATCTCATATGTAAATACATATCTATGTACTTTTTTATTTTTATAACACCAACTTTGTCTTGAAGTACTTGTAACTTCAACCATAAAATTTATGCCTTTTTAGAGACAGAGGGAGAATTATAGACGCTGACACTCATTTTTGGATCTCCCCAGTTTCTGAGAGAAAGAGCTGAACTGAACCACTGCATATTGAGAAGGAAGAAAACCCTGAAATTCATTCTTAATGTAATATGCAGAGAAGACATATTAACTCTTATAGCAAAAAGAAAATTCATCTACATTCTTATCATTCAAAACAGCCTAAACTGACATTTTAACACATTTCCTTATGGTCTTTTTCTGTTTTTGGCAGAAGTGTGTATCTGTTTTTTTAAAAAATTAGTTACATCATACTATTGTATACAATTTAAAATACTATTTTTATATTGGACTTTTAACAGCATTCTTGAGTAGTGGAGTTTGTACTAATTAATTTTTATGCTTTTTATTGTTATTTCTTCAATATTCAATTTCCCCCTAATTTTATATTTATCTTATAGCCAGAAGAAAGTGTTTAAAATAATGAAAATAAGAAAATCAATATGGCAGCAGTTTTCTAGGTAGATTTGAGTTAGAAAAGTAAGGAAACATGAAGCTATTTGGGATAGTGACTCTTGGTAGGAACTTGGGAGAATGAACATCTTCAGCATCTTCAAATTGTAACCTCCTGCTGATAAAGGGTTCAAGTGATGTCAGTAAGATCTATCCCCCTTGGTTACGTTTTGTCTTGACTTTCTTCTCAGACTCGATGGAGGAAAGTTATATACTTCAGGCTCACAGAACTGCAACACCAGTTCAGAAGAATCTGTTTCCCCAGTAACTCAGAATTCTGTAATTGAACTGTGTTGACACCGATTGACTTGATTTGAGTCCTGTGCCCACTCTTGAGCCAGGAGGGAATGAGCTTGTAGACATGTTTTGTAGACATGTCTTGTAGACAGGAGAGAATGAGCTGACTGGTTTTGCCTATTTCATGTATTCAAATCCAATAGGTATTCATGTATTCAACTTCACGTTTCATGTATTCAACAACTTCATATATTCAACTTTATATTTCATGTATTCAACTTCAATAGGTTTTGCCTATTTCGTGTATTCAACTCCTAGACCCTAGGGGTGAAGTCTAAAAAGCATGATTGAGAATGGAATGAAGAGTTTACTCATATCAAAGTTCATGTAGTAACACCATAAGAAGAAGAAATGACTGCTGGGAATAAAAACTAACAAATTCCACTAGAACTTTTATGACAACACACTCTCCTTAATGTCTTCCTATCTCATCTACATACCCTCATGTACTTCCTATCTCTTCCCATGACTTCAGTGGTTTTAAATACATAGCTATGTTTTCAGTGCATTCCCTTTTTGTCTCTGCTTATCTGACTATATCCCTTAGGCAACTTGATCCACTTTGAATGCCTCAATCAGAATATATACATATCAAATATTTATTTCTATACCAGCATTCTCTCCTCAGGAGGAGCCCTGTCTATCTATCTAAAAGACATCTCTATTTGGATGTCCTGCCCTAAAACTTCACAAGTTCCATAGTGAAAATCTTACCTACCTTTATAAATCTGTGTTTTTCCTGTTCACCTTCTCTTAGGGAGTGGCACCTTCTTCCCCATTTTTCCATGTCCATTACATTTTAAATCTTACTGCCTTGTTATCCTTTGATATTATCAATGTCTCTCCATCTCCCTTGCCACTATTCTATTTTTCCTGTGCTGCAGTACTGGTTTTCCAGCAGGCTTAGCTGAGGCTGGGTCCATCTTTCCCTCCTGCCAAAATTAACTTCCTAAAATCTGATCAGGTCAGTTCCTCTTGAAACCCACAAATGATTTTCCATTGCTCTCGGAAGAAGACCTATTCATATTGTTTACAGGAGACTTTTATGCTGTAGTCTCTCCTTATGTCTCTAGCCTCATCTCTCTTCATGCAGGCCCTGAATTAATGGGCCACACAGGACAACTTGCAGTGGCTTGAGTGTGTTGCTTTTTTCTTTAATTACCTCCAAGCATTTGCATGTATTATCACTTCTGCCAGGGAGACCAGCATATTAGCCTGATTACTTTCTATTCTGAGGTCATTTCCTATGGATAAGCTTTTCTGGTCACCTCTCACACCTACTCTAAAGGCAAGGTTATATGCTCCCTGTCACCTACCCTGCCCCATTGTGGGAGAGTTTTGAGACCTTTTTGTAATTTCTTCCTTACTTGGATATCTTCCCCAGTGGATTAAAATCCCTGAAGATGGTGACTGTGCCTTAGTCAAAGTTGTATTTTCAGCATTTAGATGGTGCCTTGTGCTTAATTATCTCCCAAAATAATGTTTATTGAGTGGATGAAGGCAGTTGTTACCCCATGTTACAAACAACAACCCCAGTCACAGAGAAGTTGTGGCTTTTACAATTCAATCAGTGTTTTAATGTGAATGTGGCTACAAACAAGTATTTTAGCTTTATAGTCAGCCTGTTAAATTTCTCTCCGCAGATTTTTGGGGCAAAGTCAATCAGAGTGGTCCTGCCGAAGAGGATTGTATTTTTGTATCTTCAGGAGTTTATTGGCATCAAAATGAGGTAGCTTTTTTTTTTAGAATTATGTATGTAACATCAGTTCAATAATGATAGATTGATTAGGTTTCATCTCTGAAGGGAGCTGATAGCCTAACACGAGGGCAGGAATCATTACCTTTAGCTTGTCATTAATCCTTATGAAATATCTTTTCCTATAGTAGTAATTGCTCTTATAAATTGAAAGTGGAAATATATTTATGCAAGGCTGAAGATTTCTGTTTTCTGCTATTTCAGGTATATGTGCAAGGTATTTCTAGAGACTTAATGTTCTGTACTTAGGCTTATCAGATTGCTTAATACAGGTTTCCACACTCAGTCTGTGTAGTGGATAAGATTTCCTCCTTCATCACTTCTAACCCTGTGATCAAAGCAACAATCAAAACCCACTTCGTGTAAATGTTATTCTGAAGAACATTTGTACCTTTTGCAACAGCCATTCTGCCTTATTACAACATAACTTAGTTGAAATTTCTGGTTATTTGTTTATATATTGTGAGGTTTCCTTATAAGAGGATTTTTATTCTTACGGACAAAAAGACATGTAACGAGAGGAAAAAATATATTCTAAATTAGGCATCTACTTGATAGTTTGAGGGGTATTTCATTTATTGATTTTAACACCATCATTTTTATTTGATATAAAGGTGAGTGGTGATTAATCTATATGAGCAAATGTAATGAAATTAATAGATTTTTGTTTAAGAGACTATCCATAATTGCTGGCTTAAATGATTAGGGTTTCTACAGATGTGTTATGAGAGTTTCTTTCATGTGTAATGGCAAATAACTGAAGGCTACATATTTAAACTATTATTTGTGACCAACTAGACTCTCCTATCTAACCCTACCTGTGGTCAGTAACACACATTGGTGACACAGCTGGCCACCTAATAGGCTGTGCAAGATAAAACTTGATGGGTGGAGGAATGATTAGATACTTAATTTGGTCACCTTTGCAATAAGTTCTAAGCAACTGAACAAACATTCTTAGATTATAGAACTTGAGTTATATCAATTTCTGTGGGCAGGGACAACACTTTCTTTGGAAATCTTTCTTTGTAAGTGGCCTCCATGTAACAGGAAAGCGCATTCCCTACAGGTGCCTTTCTTTTCCTTTATACTCAAGTAGAAGCGGGAATAGAGTTGATGGGCCTGTCACAAAGACTAATATTAATGTCACATAGGATAGGAAAGTAAACCAAGTAAATCCATCTGTGTCTCACATTTGGTATACTACTACACTTGGAAGAAATATGGAGGTTTCTAGATGTCCTGCTTTGAGAACTATTAACATAAGTTTGAATTTAAATTGTATGGGTATGCTGTTCCCCACTGTCATTAAGCCAACTTACTTGACTTATGAGTAAGTTAAACTATTGCTCCTTTCCATCAAGCCAGCCATGCTAACATGTGACTCAGTCAGCCATTATTAATTTTTTACCAAAAAATTACCTATGTACAAATCATTTTCTTTTATGTTTTGCTTTCAATTGATTTCCAATTGGTTTACTGAATGTGCTGAGTGATTTTTAGATTATAATGTGAGGGCGATTACTTCAGATTCTTATAATCTCAAAAGAACTTCTGAAAAAGTCATATGCATTTTTAGAAAATATCAGTGATGATGATAAGAAGAGCACTTGAAACAGTATTAGGTATGAAGTCAGACAACTTGTGTTTGAATTGTGACTCTCCCAGAGTTTAGCTACTTGTTTTCATACAAATTACTTAATCATTCTAGGATTTAGCTCTCAGAAATAATAGAAACAGCCTTAGAGGAGAACCATGAGCATGAAGTTTATGTGAAAATCCTTATTAAAGTGTCTTGCCCCTGGTAGATGGGCAATAAAAACATATTTTTGAGTTAATTGTTAAATTAATAACTGAATTAAAGAAAATAGGCATCCCAGCACTTTGGGAGGCCGAGGCGGGTGGATCACGAGGTCAGGAGATCGAGACCATCCCGGCTAAAACGGTGAAACCCCGTCTCTACTAAAAATACAAAAAATTAGCCGGGCGTAGTGGCGGGCGCCTGTAGTCCCAGCTACTCGGGAGGCTGAGGCAGGAGAATGGCGTGAACCCGGGAGGCGGAGCTTGCAGTGAGCCGAGATCCCGCCACTGCACTCCAGCCTGGGCGACAGAGCGAGACTCCGTCTCAAAAAAAAAAAAAAAAAAAAAAAAAAAAAAAGAAAATAGGCATTATTTTAAAAGACCAATGCAAAAAAAAGCGATGCACTGAGGATTAAACTGCAGTTGAAGTTAGTGTAAATGAACCTGAAATAATGGAGTTACACAGAGTTCAATTTTAAATTAAGATCAAACTACCCTGAATTCCAGAGGTTTTATTAAACCTTTCCATTGATGTTGGCCTTAATAAGTAAGTTTTTGTACCATATTGAGGAACAGAATTTAAATTTTCAATACACTTAATAAGTTGGAAAAATAAAATGTCACAAATGACAAACTGAATTTTTTAATAGACTTATTTGTACAGCAAGTACTATAGAGAGAGAGAAGATCTAAGTATTAATAATGATAAGACAAAATAAGACCCCTTGGTTATGGTATTCTTTCTGTGAGTTACTAATATTATTATAATGGCTTTTTATGTGGGGTATTGCAGAGGGATATGAAGCAACAAAAGCACTTATGAGAATTTGTCATTATAAATTACCACTTCACACATTCTTTTATACACTTTTTGCTTTTCTAAATACAGAGAACCCACTGTGTGTCACACAGTGTCCTCAGTTCTGGGAATATGAAAGCAAAGGCAAAAACTGGTTTGTTGACCTACCAAAACTATAATCCAGGGAAAAAGAGCTATTAAAATATTTTACAAATATAGTAAGTTTGATGAAAAGAAAACAGTACTAATAGCACAAGTAAGAGATCAAAGACACGGGATAAAGTTCCCCGTAGTGTGAAACCTAAAGACCTCGAGAGAGTGGGTATCAGCAGTGTGAATCATGTGTGTGTGTGTATATATATATATATGTATATATATATATATGCACGTGTGTGCGTGTGTGTGTGTGTGTGTGTGTGTGTGTGTGTGTTTAGAAAGAGAGAGACAGACGAGGGTTCCATGACAGAGTAAAGTATATGTTCAGAGACCTGGAGATGAGAGCACATGTCTATGGTCTGGAGTGGAAAGCTAGAGATCAGGTTAAAAAGTAATCAGAAACAGGCTGGGCGCGGTGGATCACGCTTGTAATCCCAGCAATTTCGGAGGCCAAGGTGGGCAGATCACCTGAGGTCAGGAGTTCAAGACCAGCCTGACCAACATGGAGAAACCCCATCTCTACTAAAAATAGAAAAAATTAGCCGGGTGTGGTGGCGCATGCCTGTAATCCCAGCTACTCAGGAGGCTGAGGTAGGAAAATCACTTGAACCCAGGGGCAGAGGTTGTGGTGAGCCGAGATCGCACCACTGCACTCCAGCCTGGGTGACAGAGCGAGACTCCATCTCAAAAAAAAAAACAAACAAAAACAAAAATCAGAAGCAGTTACTGGAGGGAACTTTAAGCCTTCAGAAGCATTAAAGATATGTGTAAGGAGATGCTACTCATGCATTTTAAGCAGGACATAATATTGTCATATTTGTTTTTTTGGTTGTTGTTGCTGTTAAATTCAGTCTTGATGCTTTACAATTTGTTAAAGAAACACCTGTAAAGACCACACAAATAACAAATGGAATGCAGCACCTGGAGAAGTTAAAAAAAAAAAAAAAAAAAAGAGCATTGCATATTATTTAATAAGTTAAAAATATTTTTTAAAGAAAATATATAATGTGGGGAAAAGGCCACCATGCTCTAGGATGGTGGTTCTCAAACTATCTGTGGTGGAGGACTAGCTTTCTTTTTCTTCTCTCTGTTGTTTCCAATCTGTCACAGACTGACACTTTTATGAAATACAATGAAGATGAATTACTTAGAAAATAAACTTTAAAAGAACAGATATACAAAATACGAACCTCATTTTTTTTTTATTTAAGTTTTAGGGTACATGTGCACATTGTGCAGGTTAGTTACATATGTATACATGTGCCATGCTGGTGCGCTGCACCCACTAACTCGTCATCTAGCATTAGGTATATCTCCCGATGCTATCCCTCCCCCCTCCCCCACCCCACAACAGTCCCCAGAGTGTGATATTCCCCTTCCTGTGTCCATGTGATCTCATTGTTCAATTCCCACCTATGAGTGAGAATATGCGGTGTTTCCTCATTTTTTATCATCAGATTCAACAAACACAAAATTGCATTTTTATAAATGCAATCAGAAAATAACAGGAAAAGAGAGAAGAGTCTCAAAAAACTGTACATGTTGCTCATTGAAGGTATGCGTGGAGGTGATTAAAATTTCTGTGCTTACCTCATTGCAGACCAATAAAAAATGGGACATGGATCACACTTTTAGAGACTTTTGCTTTAGGAATTAGTTTACATACTACTAATGATATTAACTTTGTCTCCAAACTTGTTAAGGGTAAGAAGGCAAGAAAATTAGTATCAACAACTGGGATTTGGATACTATGTAGAAAGATGTGAAACTAAGGAAAAAAAAGAAAAAGAAAATTCTAAGATTTTTGCTTATATAGCTCCCTTATTATCAAGTAATATTAAATTTATTTTTTAAATAAAAATGGCTTTGATGCCATTTTTCCTGTCATACAACCCTCCCAGGCTAAAGGGCATTAATTACATTGACAAACTTGTGTTGGCAGCAAAAACCAATGGGTTTGACTTTTATCATTTTCTAGAACATTACGTTATAGTAGCCATTTTGTATCGCCTAATATTTCTCAGTGTACAGCAACATTCTGCATCCTGAGAAACTTAACATGGAAAAAGAGTGATTTAAATATTTAAGTAATATTTGCTTTTAATATTTTGAATAATAGGAAACAGGAAAGAGATTTTCAAATGAGCAGATAAATAGATGTATGGATGGCAAAGAAAGTTAACAATTAATTAAATTTATATATAAATAGTAATAGAAATGAAAACATTAAATTTACAGTAGCAGTAACATGCATTAATTCGAAACTATTCTATTTTTCCTTACTCATTCATTACTTTACATGTTAACTCAACTCATCTTTATCGAGCATCTAATATAAGCCTACAATTGTGTTGGGAGCTATGATTATTAAAGAGATGAACCCCTACGTGAAAAGTGCTCATAATATAAGGAAGAGTGGAAAAAAACATATAAGTGATTGCAATCTGATGGAATAACCATGAAGAAGCAGTGTCTGTAATAGAAGTTGTTTCAGGAAAGGTTCTTGAACACTTCCATACACTCTTCTAAAGACTAGGCAGATATTATCATGGAAGTCTGAGGCTCTGCAATATAAAATGATCAACATATGTATTTAAGGCTCTTGCACAATTTCTCAAGGTCGTATCATTTTCGCCAGCCAGCATTCTTAGACTGGGCCCATACCAATTTTCACTTTCCTTCTTTTTCTACTGGGACATTAGAATTCAGTAATAACCAACTAGTTACAATCAACTAGTAATAAATATAATGATAATGTTCATAAAAATAACTGTGATTTATTGATTGTCTATTATGGGCCAGTCACTTCACAATTTTTATTTAATCCATTCAAAACAGAGATATTATATCCATTTTAGAGATGAGGAAAGTAAGGTAATCGGCCTAAGATTATACAGCAGTTCTCTGGCAAGGTGAGAAGTCAAACCTAGACAATTCTGCTGCAGCATTCTTCAGCGTAATTCTATAGACTTCCTCCTCCCTGAGGCCCAAATCCTTTGATTGGTGCCTACCTACATTCCAACCCTTTGCCGCAATAGAACAATATAAACTTATAACTTTCTTTTTTCTTGGTGTTGTCTGGTTTCTCCACAAAGACTCAGTCTAGTACATTATGTTGTAGAACAGATGAGCTAGGCTTCTCTAGATCTGAGAGATTATTTTTGAAAGTTGCAACTCATTCAAACCTATTTTTGAAAGAAGGCAAAACCTAAATCTTGAATATAACCATTTTACTTACTTTTGTAATCATTAAGAGAACATAACAAATAAAACTGATGTTTTCTCATTGTTCTTCCACAAAACATTGAAGAAAAATGCTTAAAAAACTTTAGTTAAGCCCTAGTTTGCCTGATATATTTGTATGAACACTTGTATTCTCAATGTTGTGTCTGGCAAGCATTGGGCATTTTAAATTAATGAATTTCCTGACCACTTAGGGAGAAGATTTAAAACAAAGTTTACTCTCAAGATGTAACTTGAGACTGAGTTATACCACTGTTTTATTATTCCTAATGGCACTGAGTCAATCCACAGATATTTCATCCTGCAATTTTCTACTGTTTTGAAAATGCATAATATTAATCATTGTAATACTTTATAAACTGACCATAAACCAATGTTTATAGTCAGTTAATCATTGTATTACTTTGCTTTAGGTAATTTAGTACATTACCATAATGTAGCAATCTACTTAATACAAATTTTAAAGTGAACACAATGAAGTTGTATAGCATTAATATATTATGCATACTAACCTGAAATTTTGAAATACGACCGATGTTTGGACAGAGTTCAGATGTTCTATGACTTTGGTTTCCTCTAGCTTTGCTGAGAAAAGAGTAAAGACTTAATGAAGGTCATCAGTAAACTATTATTCTACTTCTAACTATGCATCCCTTTCTCAACCTGCTTTAGGCCACCATTTAGGAATCTACAACTACTTATTGTTAAAATACTAATAACTCCAATTAAGGGAAGCCTACTCCAAGTTTTAAAAATATCAGTAAGTTTGGGAGTAGGTGACAATAATGTCAATAAAGTGAGATAGTGCTTCTCTTTTAAATGACTTCAAGGAATTTTTTATAAGCACTCTTAAAATTAACACAATCATTTCAAGAGAGTGAAATTGGACGTCATCTTTGTTTTGAGAACTAACATTTATTGAGTGGCTACTATGTCTCAGGAACCGTGCTAAGTACTCTTTTTTTCATTATCACCTTTAATCCTCATTATAGGCCTGAGATAAAGATTGCATTTTTGGGACATAAAACTTGGAAATCTTTGATTAATGCCAAGCTGTGGTATTAGTTGGGATTTTTAGAAGTGAGTAAAGACATCTGTATAAATGTAGACCTTTCCTCCACTGTTCATATGATATAAAGAATATGAATCCTATAGACATATTAATGCCTCTCAACTGTGAAAATCTCAGCATAGGTATTTAATGGTGTTCGCACTGATAGGAGTAGATGGTAGATTCAAGGAATGAACAAAGTATTCACATGAATTAGAGAATGGCTGCATATATGAAGCCGTCTTGTCACCTCCAATGTTGATGAAAATCAGTCAAGTAGTTTCTAGACATCAGATGAAGAAATAGACTCACTTCAATGACATTTGCAAAAGAAAATGTTGGTGTGTATAAGAAAAAGAAGGAGGGGCTTCTTCTCTGGTCGCTGCAGTTATTGTGGTTCACTTGCATTTAAAAAATATTTTCACTGTTTTCAAGTGGTTAAGTTCTCTCAAGATTATTATTGCTGAAGAGAGACACTTAGAATTTTAATCATTGTTCTATCAGGTGAACAATCTTTTAATTTTTTTTTTTTTTTTGAGACAGAGTCTCACTCCATCGCCCAGGCTGGAGTGCAGTGGCGCAATCTCGGTTCACTGCAACCTCTGCATCCTGGGTTCAAGCAATTCTCATGCCTCAGCCTCCTGAGTAGCTGGGACTACAGGCACATGCCATCATGGCAGCTACTTTTTTTTTGAGATGGACTCTTGCTCTGTCACCCAGGCTGGAGTGCAGTGGTGTGATCTTGGCTTACTGCAACCTCTGCCTCTTGGGTTCAAACAATTCTCCTGCCTCAGCCTCGTGAGTAGCTGGGATTACAGGCACGTGCCACCACACCAAGCATATTTTTGTATTTTTAGTAGAGACAGGGTTTCACCATATTGGGCCGGCCGGTCTTGAACTCCTGACCTTGTGATCCACCGCCCCCATCCTTCGCCTCCCAAAGTGTTGGGATTACAGGTGTGAGCCACCATGCCCGGCCTACTTTTTGTATTTTTAGTAGAGCCTGGTTTTCACCATGGTGGCCAAGCTGGCCTCAGACCCCTGACGTCAAGTAATCCGCAGGCCTCGACCTCCCAAAGTGCTGGGATTATAGGCATGAGGAGCCACCATGCCTGGCCTCTTTTAACATTTTTAAAGCAGAATCTGTGCCCTGTATCTTTTTAAAAAATTTTCTTCATCAGTCCCTATCAGAATGTGTTGAACACTGGAGAAGTGGAACACGTTAATTTAATTAAATGATTGGAAAAATGTGTTTCCTTTGGTGTGTTTTCATTTTCTATTATAAAATAAAAGTTTCTGTAATGAATGTACTTGTTCTTAGAGAAAATAAACAGAACAGGTAGAAACTGCTTGAGCACTAAGAAAAGAAACATAGTGAGGAAGCAAATCCAGTGCTTCCTAAACTTGCTGCACACTAGACTCACCAGGAAGTCTTTAAAAAATTTCAAAGTCAAGACCGTAATGCAGATAATGGAATGATTTTCTAGCCGGTGGGTGGGTAGTAAGTCAAAGGTGTCAGTATTTGTTGAAGTTCCCCCATGATTGCAACAAGCAGGCAAGTTAGGAACCCAATGAGCTATTTTATCATATGTAATGGGCATCACTTTTAAACTTGGCTTTATTCTGTTTAAAATAAATCCTTCTTAGATTAAATATTTTTATGTAATAGTTTTGTTCAAATATATACATAACAATGATTGAGTAGAGATTATATAATACACTGTGTATCTTATGCATAAATGTTATAGGTCTAGGTTCTGAGACTTAAATTTCTCTCACTATACGTTAGGGGAAAGAAGACAAAAACAGACTATTTGCAGAAACATATCTTAGTTTAAATGATAAGGTTACTGGAAAAAATACAGAGTTAACAATAGAATATTTAATGTGTTTTCAATAATGGCAATACTCTGTTAGACTTCAGCACTAATGTTTTCCAACTATTAGTTTTGATTGTGAACTATTAGTTTTCATTCTATTTTTCAAAAGAAGCTTATTGAGAATACCCAGAAAAAGCAAAATTGGTAAACAAGGAATCAAACTATTTTTTTCTCTTTGCTATATGTTTCATTCCAGTGTTTTGGTTAACAAAAGTATATGCTGAGTTAATACAATCACACAAATATTAATAATATAATATGATAATACAAATATTAATAATAATATTTATAATCACCAATACACTGGCCATTTATTGAGCATCTATTTTAGGTTCCTTTTATGAATTATTGCCAATCTTGAAATTGACTGTATTAGTCCATTTTTACGCTACTGATAAATGCATACCAGAGACCAGGAAGAAAAAGAGGTTTAATGAACTTACAGTTCCACATAACTGGGGAGGCCTCACAATCATGGTAGAAGACAAGGAGGAGCAAGTCACATCTTACACGGATGGCAGCAGGCAAAAAAAGGGCTTGTGCAGGGAAACTACCCTGTATAAAACCATCAGATCTCATGAGACTTATTCACTATCATGAGAACAGCATGGGAAAGACCTGCCCCCATTACTTAATTACCTCCCACCGGGTCCCTCCCACAACACGTGAAAATTCAAGATGAGATTTGGGTGGGGACACAGTCAAGCTATATCATTGACCTTGATATTCACCCCTTGTATTGAAAAGAAAATGGCCATCCAGAGCAACTGGCTTACACAGCACATAAGTGGCAAAGCTGGGATACCAAGCTAGAGGGCTTCACCTCAAAAGCGTATGATTTTTGGCTTAATGAATCCTGTGTCTCTAGTCACAATAGCTAAATTTGTTCTGCTTTCATCCACATTTACACTTTCCTTACAATATGTGTACCACTTTATTTTCTTAGTAGACCAGGAAGATAGAGTTCTAGGAGGCATTACTTCTGGCCCAAATGAGATCATATCAAAATCAAGAAAATCAGGAAGAGGGGTGTGTGTGTGTGTGTGAGAGAGAGAGAGAGAGGAAGAGAGAGAGAGATTCCTTAAGTGTGCAAATTTTGAGTCCAGTTTTACACATAGAAGGGTGAGATACAAACAAACATTGCATGCCAGTGGGGATTAAAACTGTAGAGCTTTTGGAAATTGGCTCCTCCCTGTGTTTGCCAAAACCAGTCTGGTGCTTTGTGTCACACTTCCCTGCCATATGCAGGCAGGCTGGCTCTTTTCCTAGGGAAACTGTTTATTTTAAAACCCACCCGAAAGATACTATTCGGTAACAGTGGTTATCTCTGTTTTCTACCATAGGAGAACCTAATATTTTGTAATTGTACAGTCTAATGGCTTCCTGTGTTCAAGTGACAAAAATCCAACTCAAACTAGCTCAAGGCAAAACAACCACAGCAAAAACAAAACCCAGCAAACAAGTTTACTGGAAGAATTCCTGGGTAGCTCAAACACTGAAGGAAGTTCTGAAGAAATAACACTGCTTTAGAGCTCTTAGCTAGATCAAGTGAAAGTCTCGAGGCTTTTTATTTTCTGTTAGTTCTCGTTTCTTGTAGCCATGTGCATTCATCTCATTCCTTTCTGTTCCCCAAGTACTGAGGAGTGCATGTGGAGGGTTCTGGCAAGAGGCCCAGGGGTTGAGTGAAGCTTCATGCCTATATCATTTCAACTTGGAGATCTGAAGGAAGGAGCTCTCACCACCCTTCTTCCCAGAAGGGTAAAGAATACCAGGGAATGCCTTTGCTTGTTCTGGCTTAGGTCCCCTGCTCTCTCCTGGACATGTCACAGTGGCCAGGCCTGCACTACATGCCCAATCCCCAGAGTTTCGCGATTGGCATTCCCTCCAGAGTTGAAGCAGAAGAAAGCCAACCCTGAGTGGAAGGGAAAGAGTTTGCTCCAGAAGAGAAGGAAGAAAGAGTGCCTAATGAACTAAACACTCAGTGACAATTACAATGATATTTCATTTCTCCTTATTACTTTACCTCCCATGGAACCTGATAGATAAGTAACAGATTTGGCTTATAAGGCTGGTGCTTTCCCTTCCAATTCAAAGCTGATTGAGGACGTAATTATGTTGTTGAACAGACAAACTACAAGTGATTAGAGTGTCTAGTGGCCATTTTAGTTTTGAATGGTAGATAAACGTACAGAAATTGGAGTTAGAATTGGGGTAAAGCCAAGGCCACTCACTTGTATTGATGTTTCATAACTTCTCTGAGCCGCATATGCTTCAGAAAATAAATGGGAGAATAATGGTACCCATTGGGTAGTATTTTACATAGATTCAACAAAATCATTTTATTTTATTTTATTACAGAAGGGGTTTCATTATGTTGCACAGGTTGACCTCAAACTCCTGGACTCAAGTGTTCCACCCACTTTAGCCTCTGGATTTGCTGGGAATACAGGTGCTTACCACTATCCCCAGCCTAAAGAGATTATTTATAAAAGCTTGTAATCAAAAACCTGCCATAGAGTAAATATTCAGTGTGTGTTAAATAGCAATAAAAGCAGTTAACAGAACCTAACAACAACAACAAAAAGAATTCTACAGTTTAATCATGAGGTAGAGATTAGAGTGAAATGGTCAGTTTTAATATACTCACAACAGACCACATTTTATATGTGTGTATTATAGATACACACATATATACATACATTCAATATACTAGTTTAGAAGGTGAGCAGCTTATTTTAAGTCATGTGAACAAGGTATGTAGAACTTCAACAATTGCTATTAATGTCAGTTCTGTTTTGATGTTTCACATATCACTGGCCAGAACTTGAACTTTTATAGTTAAGGTTTTGCATTTAAGTCTTTCCTTTTAAAATTATCTTCCATATCCATGTATATTTATGGAATCCTGGACCTTGTTCCCAAAGCTTCCCCTTTATGCAGAATATTCTATAAAAATCACTTGCTTTATTTTAAAAAGTATAAAAACTCACATATTATAAAACTTTCAAGGACATATTTGTATTTTTCTCAACTCCTTGCATGATTTAAATTACTTCTTGGTAAATACATGAACAATATGGAAAGAAGAGTCCATTTGATATTTGTAAAAAATGAATGGAATGTACCGTGAAAACAGTATATTTTAAAAGTTTCATGCGCAGAATTTATTTGACTAAGCCTATGAGAGTATTGAATTAGTGCCTTTGTAAAAAATAATTCTACTGGGGAAAAAAAGAAGATCTTACCAAATTTTAAAATTAGACAGCACTTTATTTTATAATAAAACATTATTTAATTTTTAAGAAAAATTATAATTGTTGACCACCAGATGGCTCCCATATTTTTAAAAATTCAGCAGAAAGAGTGGAAACTGTTCAAAATAAACAGATTTCAAAGAAACAAAGGTAAAGAAAATGATATAACCTGTGAAAGTTTTAACCACCTATAAAAATAATTTAAGTAACATAATTTTTAGAAATTTCTTTCTCTTAAAAAAAAATCCATTATTTGTGAACAGCAGGCACAATATACCCTTCGAATTTATGCCAATCTTTGAAACTACTATTTTTCTGTGTAAACTACTACCCCATAGGTGCTATTATTCTCCCCATTTGTTTGCCTCCTCTTTAAGTATCATTCCACCAGACATATAACAATAATGTCACATTACAAATCAAGGTTCTCCATAAAAGCAAAATAATTTTGACCTGTGTCAGCAATGGAGCCAATTCACGATGTGGGATGCATTATGCATCACAGCTCAGCTACGATGTTGCTGGTGTCATGGACAAAGTTCTAAAGGATGTGTTTTACTCATCTTAATATGTAAGCTATTAAGATAATAGACCCTGCACTTGTCACTCTGACAGCTTTTTTTAAAGGCTAAGCTGCCCAATTTGTCTTTCATTAAAAGCTCTAGTACTGTTTAGTGATATGCAGTCACTGAGCCATTGAGCTTTCAGAGTGTACGATTCTATTTTGAGAAAAATTTTGTCAATAAAAAAGGCATATGTTTCAATGAGTCATCTTAACAGAGCAAACTCATAAGAACGGGTTGACCTGCACTTCCACCCCGCTACTGAGTTTTCCCTACCTTTTCTTGTTAGCACAAAGCTTGCCCTGGTACCTCGTGCCACAGGGAAACCAGAAATATGGAGACAAGGTCTCCTTAGCCCATATGGTTTTATTTGCGTTCTGCTGGCACAGTTATAGTCATACAGTAACCAACATAAATTTTTAGTTTTATTATCACCTCTAAAAAGAGACAGAAATGTGAAAATTGAAGCCAGAAGGTTTGTATCACAGGATTAATTAGGCAGGGCCAAGTGGAGTCTCACTCCTCCTGGCAGCGAGCGCCTCAAGAAGGTGCCTGCCTTCAATTACGGAGCACACAAAGCAATTAAAAACCCTGTTTCTTTTTCCTGAGGTGTTACTTGTTACTTGATAAATCTCTTTTTTAAAATTCTCTGGGGATCTGAATTGGCTAGAGGTGCAATCTACCGGGGTAGATATTCATGAAAAATTGATTTAGCTCTAGCCTAAGTGCAATAGGTTTAAAATAAACCTGAAAGGAATGAACAGTGTGTTTCTTGGCTGACATTTTATTGGCCATTTTTTTTTAATGCACAAAAGACTAGATAATTAAGAATTGAGACATTATGGATCTCCACTAGGAGATATGAATCGAATTGGTCAGCCGTCCCAGGCATTTTATCCTAAGTCACAGTGCACATTTGATTAACCTTTCTTATGGGGTTATTTGTACATTCTATGGACAACACTGTGGTGTGCATAAGTCAGATTAAGTGCATGCCTCCCAGAACCCACATTCCCTTTCTAATAGAGAATTGGCTTGGCATGAAATTATATCTTTTTACCTGATTTACGGCCTAACCCAGAGGGATTTGAAACTTGGATCTATTGTTTTATTTCTCCAAAAGGAACTTTTCTTGCTTTTCACTGTTATTTTTGAGAATTACATTATTATCTTAACTCTGGAATGATTTATAAATATTCAGGAGTAAGTTTCAATTGTCTTCTGTACAGCTAGTTTTGTGGACTGGGATTTTACCAGTAGTACGTAAATCACCTAGCTAACCCTTTCCTCTGAAACATAAATAATTTAAAATATGCAATGTGTACAGTGTATAACTGGTACAAAGAATAGTGCTCTATCCAGACATATGAGCTTAAGCTTTATCTGTGATCTCATGCTTCCTGTTGAAAAGAGAAGCAAAAAAATTTTTTTTAATCGATAGACAAAAGACCATCATTGTAAATAGAGGAATGAGACTCTACTTTCACTTAAAAAGTATATTAGGTACAATTTAATACAATAATAAAGACAGCAAAAGATTTTAGTGTATGTTATTTTCTGTGGTGTGTATTTCTAAATTAAAAATATTAATTTATTTCAGAAAATTAATTATGATAAAAATAATATTTTATCCTCTCCTTACTTTCTTTTTTCATGGTATTCTTTCTTTTTCTTAAGTTTAAACATAATGTAAAGGTTAAACAAATTGTTTTAAAAGGAAAATTTAATAAATGCCAAATAGGAAAAAATTTTAAATGGTGATTATATTTAATCAGAAAAATTTTGCAATGTTTTAGTGAAGATAATTTTGATAAAATATAACCTTGGAAATCTAGATTCTAGTTATTAGAATTTTAATTTAAATTTTATTGAACTTTTTGCTTATGGATGATTATTTATCTATCTTTTTCCATTTCTTAAGAAAAGCATGTTATTTTTTCAGGCTTCTGGCAATGTATTTTTACTCTGTTGTGCTGTGATAATGGGCCTAAATGTCTACGGGAAGAAAATGCTAGAATGGCATTATGTTAAGAAAGGGGAATAGGTGCCAGAAAATAATGCTTATGTTCTTGTATGTTTACTTTAAGTCTGGATTAAAAGTTTCAGCAATAGGTACCTAAATGAAAATATGATACATTTTGCCATAGGTCTTACTAAAATTGATTAATTTGTCTTTTAGTTAAAACAGTGTGAAGAATTCAGTCAGTGACATGGTAATTATTTTTATTGAGATAGTGGCTTTGGGTTGGCCTTTGGGAGCTAGGATAATTGTGGGTTTAAAGTTCTTTTATGATATTAACATTTTCTCTTCTCCTTTCAGCTCTCTACTATGTATATTCCTTTCTTTAAAGTTCCCCAATATGGTTTATTGAGTCCCCAGATGTCCTTGTGATTCCCTTCCCCTGGTATCCAAACCTTTGTATAATCCCATGCCCTTGGGTGGAGATGGGATTTGTGACTATAACAAGTGTTACACCAGTGGTTAGATTATAAGACAAAGGTGATGGGATTTTGCAGATGCAATTAAGTTTCCTAATCAGTTGACTTAATTAAAATAAAGGTTATTCTAGATAGGCCTATTCTAATCAGGTGAGCCCTTTAAAAGGGGATCTACAGGTCAGAAACTTAAAGTCACAGAGATTCTCTCTCTGGGCTTGCAGAAGCAAGCCCTGTGAGTCCTACAGCAACAAGGAAATGAATTGTGCCAACAACCAGTTGAGCTTGGAAGAGAATCTTCCAAGCTGCAGACCTCACTGATTTCATGATTTCAGCCTTTTACCATGAGCAGTAAACCCAGATAAGCTAAGCCATTGCCTGGACTCCTGACCCTGGAAAACTCTGATATAATAAAATTTACTGCATGGCAACAGATAATTAATATACCCAATGATACTATTCATGTCCTCGACATCTAGTTCCCAAGTTTTACTCAGGGTATTAATATCACGGTATGTCAATTAATGTTGCGGATCACACTGGGCAAATGAGGAAATTTGTGACTTTCTGTAACTAGTTAAATCAGTTTCTCAAAGACTTTTCTAATATGCATGGTGAACCTCTAAAAAGGATCAATACAGGCAGTATGTCCTGCACTTCTTAAAACTTTGAACCATTTTTCTCCCATGTGGCTACTTCAGAAAATCGTGTTCCATGGAATCTACTTTAGGAAAGAAAATTTTGTGTCGATTCATCATACTAGTTTAAAAATCATTACCCTGTCTCTCTAAATGAGAAATCTGATACTAGAGCTGATTAAAGAAATTAATTCAGGTTAAGATTTTAATAGCTGTTGGTAGAACAGTGTGCTAAACATTTTGGAATATTTTTACTTTAATATAACATTAAAGTAACAGGACTTTGACCAGAAGAAATTAATCTCCAATAATGGAGATTTTAATAAATTTCAAAAAAATTATTTTATTGTAAAAGTGTCACAATTCAAAAATACAACTTGAATTAAAGTTCTGTACTCTGATTTCTTCCTTGCTAAAGCCCCATGTGCGTTAACATTTGGATTCCTAAAGTAGGTGTCTGACTGTGAGAAAACACGTAGGTCATCCATGTTGTTCCCAAGATTCCATAGTGTTTTCTCTTTTTTTTTTTTTTTTTTGAGAGGGAGTCTGGCTCTGTCGCCCAGGCTGGAGTGCAGTGGCGGGATCTCGGCTCACTGCAAGCTCCGCCTCCCGGGTTCACGCCATTCTCCTGCCTCAGCCTCTCGACTAGCTGGGACTACAGGCGCCCGCCACCACGCCCGGCTAATTTTTGTATTTTTCTTTTTTTTAAATGGAGACGGGGTTTCACCGTGTTAGCCAGGATGGTCTCGATTTCCTGACCTCGTGATCCGCCCGCCTCGGCCTCCCAAAGTGCTGGGATTACAGGTGTGAGCCACCGCGCCCGCCCTGTGTTTTCTCTTAATGAAAAGGATGGAGAATGAAAGATGTTGCCAGAGAAGATTTTCCTTCTCTTTAGCAGCAGGGCTATTCTTTAAGTCTGGCTGCCTCTTACCTGATAAAGTTCCCAGTGAGTCCATTTGCTTCCCTTACCTCTTAAATTTGCGGGTTCCCACTGCGCCGTTTGAGATCATTGCCCTGAAATCAATGTGAAGAATTTCAACAACCTTTTCTGCTTTTTTTCTGCCTCTGGAGACTAAAAGATAAGTCTGAAAGGTTGCAAAAACAGAATTAATGGAAATGAGTATCAATTAACAAAATTTAACTGAATTAATTTAAATATACATCTTTTACTTTAATCTCCATTATTAATGTCCTTCAGCCTAGTATTTAAACTATCATTATAATATTATTAGGCTCATTGATAGAAATCTGGAGTCAGTTTGTTGATAAGTACCTCTACATCTTATCTGGGATTTACATAAGAAAAGTAATTGCTTAAAACACTGGAAATTTTTTTGTAAACTCAGAATCTTGGAGAGTTTATCCCTATTTTAAAGCATTTTTAAATTTCAAATTTATCTAAACGATTAAGTTGTACAAAGATTCCAGTGCCTTAGACACTTCCTTTTCACTTACATTCTTAATGGTGTGGTATTATTTTCAGATACAGCAATAATAATTCTCTTCATCCCTGAAAACCATAATGGATTAGAAAATACATTTCTTCCTACATACTGATGCTATGATGTTATCGTTATAAACCAGAGGGTGCTCTGTAAATAAAGGAAAATAAATTGGACTTTATGGTAACTCCAACTCAGGATTTCTAAAATCTGGCACCATTGACACTTTATGCCAATAATTTTTTGTTGTAGGGGGCTGGCCTAGGTATAAGAGGATGTTTCGCAGCATCCCTGTTCTCTACCCACTAGACACCGGTAGCACCCCCTCCTTCATTTGTGACAAACAAAAATGTCTTTAGATACTGCCAAATGTGCCTTGGAAAATAAAATCTCTCCCCAGTTGAGTTTAATTGATCTAATTTTACAGTCTTTACAATTTGTAGATTGATTGGCTTTCTTTTAATTTGGGGAAATTTTGATTAAGATTTTGAAAAATTTTATTGTTATTAGTGATTTGGTGCTAAGTTGGCCAGTAGCACAAGTAGCATTGCAATTGTGTTTTTATTTGTTGGTTTTAATCCATGTTAACAGTTAGTATACAAAACTAAAATCTTTTAGCACTTAGTGAAAAGTGTTCAAATATTGCTATCTGGCACATATTTTTTGATGCATCTATTTAAACTTTGAAAGCATTTGCACTTATTGTGAAAGTATTGAGGATGATTAGGGAGTTTGGTAACTGGTAGGAGTTGAGCCAACACAGACATTCTGTATTGTGGAAACTCATTGCCCTTTATAGAAACTTCCTGATTCTCTCTGCTTTGGCTAGAAATCAATGAATGGACATTTGATAGCTAGAAATAATTACTTTGTCAGTGTTCCCTTTTGCTTACTTTTCTTTAACTGCAGCAGGTGGAATTGAACAAGTGTTGCTTATGCATTTTGAAAAAAATCTGCTCTGGCTTGTGCTTTAGCCTCATAAGATTATTTTACAAACAAATTATTTTACATGTTCTTGTTAACTGGTCCTAGAATCTTACTCCATTCTTCATGGCTTCCTGAAAATTCAAAGTTCAAAGTTCTGAAAGTAGGAAAAGAATAGGATGAAAATTCCCAGCTTTGCTAATTTTTGAAAGGACTAAGTTCAATAATGGAGACAATGCGTCACCAAAAAAAATTCAGAACAAGTGGAATTAGGAACTCAGAGTAGAGGAGGGCTACAGAAAAAAAAAAAAATTGGCCAGTGGCCTAACTCACCTAAGTTGGAGCATACTGATTTCCTCAAATGCAAGACTGCCAGGAACAAGGAAGGATGCATCTCCTTTTTTGAAGGTTTCTGTAGGAAAACTGCCTTCACTCTGAAGAATGGTGTAACAAAACTTTCACTTCACATCCTCTGGGTAATTTTTCCAAGGTCCCGCCCCACAGTACCAGGGCATCTGGATCAGGATGGCTTCTGCATCAAACTACATAGTGTGCACAGGAAGCTATTCTCTCTAATCATCCTGTCCTGTGTTGATCCCAAATCACTAGTCTAGAATCTTTCCCTGCCTTGTTTGCCTTTTTGGTGCTATTTTTCTTTGCTATTCCATGATCTTTCATCAAACATGCTTCCATATCTTTGAAACACTCAGAGACAGAACCAGGTACAAGCCATTCTGCTCCCAGGAAGCTGTTATGCATGTGTGTAAATTCATTGATGAGCAGACACATTTGGGAAGGGCATTATCTGATATCACCACAATCTTACAGAGCCCTCGGAAGCTTGTCAAGCAAACATTTTTGTATACTCTCATATCAGCAAGTAGATATTTCCTAATTCTTAATATTACTCAAGCAATACTTCCAAAAATAAGTCATGTTCTACCCAAAAGGTAAATACCATTGTTCACCTTAGAAGAAACTGCCTAAAAATTTAAAATACAGATTTTTTTGAGCTATAAAACCTTAAGATTAAATTTTTATTATAGACTCGATTACATGATTTAAACAAGGCCATTTTGATATGTCAGGAAATAAATTCCTTTGAATCCATGATTATTCAGCTCAGTTTTACAAATTCTGCTTGACAGCAAGTGTTATTTTGAGGTTATTGTGTGTTTGAACACTAGCCATAGTGCCTAAATGGATGTTCTTTGGTTTGAGGATCCTTTCTGGAAAGAGTTAAATATTACTCATATTTTTCTCTTACCATAACTTTTATATTTCTTTCCTTCTCACCATCATTTAATGATAATTTTAATGTTTCAAGATTTCTGTCTCTTATTCCTTCTCCCCACCACACACACACACACACACACATACACACACAGAGTGAGAATGAGAGACAGAAAGAGATATTGAGCTTCTTCATGCCAACTTTCCTGGCTCTTCAAAAGAACCTATACTCTCTGTTCCTCTCTACTCATTCCCTGTCATTCTTCAGCTACCTCTCTAATTCCAGTCTGGCTTCCTCCCTAACAGTTTGAAATTCTATTTTTGCTAAGGCCACCTTTATCTTCTATGTCATTTAATAGAACAAGTAACTATGACCTATATCTCATTTGATCTCTCATTGGCACTCACCTGTGTGGTCTCTCTCTTCCATTGGCTCACAGGTCACTGACTGTCTGGATTTCTTTTTACTTTGATGAACATATTTCACAGATTCTGTAGCTGTCATCTTTTTCTCTGTCTGGCAATTTTGGAATTCCTAGGATTCTATTCTAAGCCTTTGCTATGGTTTGAATGTTTGTCTCCACTGAAACTCATGTTGACATTTAATTGCCATTGTAAAAGTATTAAGATGTGGGGCCTTTAAGAGGTAATCAAATCATAGGCAGCACCCTTATGAATAGATTAAGGTCCTATCATCAGAGTTGGTAGTTATCTCAAGAGCAAGTTGTAATAAAGCCAGCTCAGCACCTTGTACAATCCCTTTTGCATGTGCTCACTTGTCCTTCCACTCTTCTGCCATGAGATTACACAGCAAGAAGGCCTCACCAGATGCTGGCACCATATGCTTGGACTTATCAGCCTCTAGAACTGTAAGAAATAAATACATTTATTTTCTTTATAAATTACTCAGTTTATGGAATTCAGGTAACAGAAAACAGACTAAGATAGCCTTTTTTCTTTCATGTCACATATTGATTGTCTTAACCATCTCATGGCTTCATTAACCTCTATACACAGCTGACTCCTATTTTAATTATCTATTATTTTATAACAAACCACTCCAAAAGTTACTGGCTTAACTATTTCATTATTTCACGCTATTTTTAGTGTTGACTGGACTAAATGGGGTTGCTTGTTTCTTATAAATTGGATTTGGCTGCATCATCTATGGGCTCAATTGTGCTGGGACAGCCAAGATTTCCCATTTACCTGGCAGCATTTGATGCTGGTTATTGGCAAAGAGTTCGCTTGAGACTGTCAATTGGATCATCAACATGTGTCCTATACATGTGGCTTGGGTTTCTCACAGTATGATGGGTGAGTTCCAAGAATTGTTCCAAGAATGAGAAACCTTAGAGGGGGACCTGGATGCTGCAATCCTCTTAAAAAGTGTGTCTGTAACTGGTATATCATCACTTCCACCACATTCTATTTAAGCTGTCACAGGGCCAACCCAGATTCAAGAGGGAATGAAAATAAATGCCACATGTTGATGGAAAGAGTAATAAAACGTGTTTGGTCATTTTTAGCCCACAACAGTGATCCCTCAGTCATAAATTATTTAAATTCATTCTACATGCAAAATACCCTGACCATTCCCCATGACCCTCAAAGTCTCAATTTGTGACTGAATTAGGTTCAATGTTCAGCATTCCATTATCTAAATCAGATCCAGGTGTGAATAAGGCACCTCAGGCTACTCTTGAGATGAAGAGCTATGAACTAGAAAACAAGTTATCTGGCCCCCACAAACTCAGTATGTAATAGTGAGACAAGGACAATAGAATTTGATAGACACGCATTCCAAAAGTACAGTGGCAAATAGCAGCCACTGGTTCATAAACATCCTGAAATTTAGGTGAGCAGATGTGGGTTCCTTGGTTAGGGTTTCCTCCAGCTTTCTTGGGTTGATTCTCTCTGCCTCTTAGCTTTTTCCTCTGGGCTTCTGGCTCTTCCATATGTCTCTCTTTTCCCTAAGAAACAGCCCACATGTGTAGCTGAGTGACTTTCTCAGGCTGTGTTCTTTTTGTTGAAAATTGAGTGTCTCAAAGATCTCTTAATTTTTGAACTGTCACTGTTTTTCTTTGTTTGTTTAGTACAAATTGGTACACTTCCTATAGATACTTTGTGGTTTTCCTGAGTATAAAAATATAAGCCATTTTCCTGGACAAAAGCGACACCAAAGTTTCTTTATAAAAGGCCTTTCCCTACTTTGAACAGAGAGTTATAGAAGCCTCATTGTCTAGAAGAAAGTTTCAAAGAGGCACACCTGAGTTTTTTACAAATGTCAAATCCTTCTGAGTTTTTAACAAAAAGTTCTTATAGCCACATATCTGAGATCTTGACTTTGAAACTGCACATTTACTGACAGTGCCTTGGATTTGATCTTTGTCCTAAAGTAATTTCTTACTTTGAGAGACTTTTGTTGAGGGAGACTGGGAATAAGAAAAATTCCCAACAAGTCTTGGTTAAGAAATACTCCCTCTAGATCCTGTTTGAAAGCTATTTTTTTAAGTTCCTCTCTCTACATATACCTTATTTTATTCAGGAAAAACAGTTGGCACTTTCACTATTCTGCTGCTCAATAAAATAAAAAAAATTTTCATTTGCTTTATTTTCTGTTTTTTGTGTCCACAAAAAACATAAGCCCTCTTCCTCCTTTCCAGCATCAAAAACATTTTTCTCCCTATCATTCCATTTTTCACTAGCAGTCTGCTTTGGACTACCTTCTATCTGCTTTCTAGGTCCAAAGCCAATGCCAAATGTTTTAGCTTTTTGTTGTTTCAGCACCTCACTAATTTCTGTTTTGGTTATTATTGCTGTGTATTACTGCAAAATTCATGGCCTAAAACAACAACCATTTCATTATCTCTCATGGTTCTGTGGATTGACTAGGTTCAGCTGGGTGGTTCTTCTGCTCAATTGCACTGGAACATCTAAATGGTTCACTCAAATGGCTGATACTTGATGCTGCCTATTCGCTGGGACAGCTGGGGCTGTCATCTAAAAGTGAACATCCATTTAGCCTCTGGGTTCTGGAGGAAAGTGTCCCAAGTGTGAGCATTTCAAGAGAGAAGCAGCAGTGCTTTTAAAGGCTGGGCCTAGAACTACCACAACATCACTTTTACATCACTGTATTGATTAAACCATCATAGGGCCAGCTAACATTCAAGGAGGAAGATAAATAAACTCCATTTCTTGATTTTTTAGAGTGACAATTTATGGCTATCTTTAATCTGTCACAACTTGCAAATGTCTATAACAAAATATTTCTCTTGAGCTCCAGACTGGTATACTCTACTGCCTGCTTGACATATATTCCTGGATGCTTCATAGGCGTGAGGGCTGACTTCATGGCATGTGACATGTGCAGTCGCACAGGACCTCACGTTTTGGGGATCACACACTTGGTTTAATGATCTGCTATTGCAGTCTTAAAATTCATAATAATTTTTGTATAAGGAGCTCTGATTTTTATCTTCTACTGGCCCTCTTAGGTAGCCAATCCTGACTGCTATCTTTAAGGCAACCTCTTCTTTCTTCAGTGTTCCTTATCTAATTAAATAGGAATAAATATCCTCAATATAAAATTCAAGACCAAATTTGACTTCTTAACTTTTGCTTGCAAAGCACTTAGAGCACTCTTGGTTATTGCATTTATCACACATAGAATTACTTGTTAAAAATTTGTCATTTCTAGAAAATAGATTTATCATCTCATGAGGCAAAGGACCTCTTTACTCTATTCATGTCATATTTGCAGCATTTATAAAGAACCTGGCAATATAAAAATCTTGGTATGTTTTGAATGAATGTAGAAACAAATAAATTAATTAAAAATGTGTCAGATTTTAAGTAAGGGAGATTACCCTTGAGATAAAAACACAAGTCACATAGATTGTATAACTGAAATAAGTTTGTGGTGTTTTCAGAAATAATGATAAGGGCAGTATCTATCAGATTTTATGACACAGCAGCACTGGTGGCTCTGAGGGAAACCAGCTTATTTCATAAAGATGTGGGATATAGTTATGATACTATTAATTTTTTCTTTTTTTGAGACGGAGTCTCGCTCTGTCATCCAGGCTGGAGTGCAGTGGCACGATCTTGGCTCACTGCAAGCTCCACCTCCCAGGTTCATGCCATTCTTCCACCTCAGCCTCCCGAGTAGCTGGGACTACAGGCGCCCACCACCACGCCCAGTTATTTTTTTGTATTTTTAGTAGAGAGGGGGTTTCACCGTGTTAGCCAGGACGGTCTCGATCTCCTGACCTCGTGGTCCGCCTGCCTCGGCCTCCCAAAGTGCTGGGATTACAGGCGTGAGCCACCGCGCCCAGCCGATACTTTTTGTTTCATGTCTTGATGCCAGAAAATACTAAGTCAGGAAACAGTGATTTGAGGCAAGCATCATAAATGCAGGAGGATATTCAGTGGTTCATGGATGGAGCCAGATTCATGGAAAACATGATGCCAACATGTTAACAAATTAATTACCAACTCATGGAGAAAAGGAGACTGAGAAACAAGTTTGATAAACTCATTTGTATTATTACAGTGATAATTATAAAAAACAATAGAGGCCTTCATAAAAGAAAAGGTTGGGTGACTGAAAAACCTAGAAGCAAGACAAAGGAAAATTGAACTAATGTGAAGTAATAATGCATGAAAGGCAAGAAAGAAAACTGATTTCTAACAGAACGTATCATAATATGAAAGGGCTAGATAGGCATTTAGACTTTGAGGACTGTACTTTTTATTAAAAGGCTGATTTCTCAGAGCTCTGTTACATGCAGGCAATAGGTGGATGCTTTTCCAACTTCTTTTTTCATTGTGCCTGAAAAGGGTGGTAGGTTATGGTATGCTAAAGCTTTATAAGCCCATATGTCATTTGACTCTCTTTAAGATTGTTTTTGATCAGAAATTCCATCATTACCATTAGAATAAAAAATAAAGTTCGGTTTATGTCTTTTAATTCTTCAACTTTCATTCTTTAGTTTATCATAAACCACGTAATCTTGAAAAAACCTCCTTCACTTTGCGCATTTTTCTATCCTCAGTTTTGATTTCCTGATGTTAAATATACTGAGTCGTGGTCAGCTTTGCTTCCTCCTTCCCTCCCTTCCCCCTTCCTTCCCTTCCCCCTTCCTTCCCTTCCCCCTTCCCTCCCTCCCTCCCTCTGTCTCAACCTTCTTTCTGTCTCTCTCTCTCTATTTCTATCCTCTTTCTCTCTCTTTTACTTTCTTTCTTTCTTCCTTTGGATACATGCTACCTTCTTCTGTACATAACATGAGTTTTGTTCTGTCCCATTCTTTAGAAGTTTTCCTGATGATAAGTAGGGCTCTGGTAAGGCTCATGTGGAAACATCTGATTGACTAATTTAATTAAGTAAAATAAATAAATGGCCTAAGTTAAAGTTCTGTATGGTAGGACACTTAAAAGAGAATAAGACTGTTCACATTGGGACATCTTCATCTCTCCAAGATTTTCCAGAGGACAGAGTTCCTAATGCTGTGTTGCTTTTTGGAATTCACTAAAGATGGTCCATACTTTCTAAATATTTGATGCTTCCCATTTTAGCTTTCTTTCTCTCCCTTGTGTCCATATGTAGGATATCAGTGAAATACTTCAGCATGATCCTCGAAAAAATAATTTTAAAAAGAATATTTTATTATGATTGGTGTATGACTGAAAAAAGTATATTCATAACTAGTGTTTACATCTGATTGTAAGGAGATAAACGTCCCAATGCTTTCCATATTCAAACTTAATTTCGTAGCTTCAAATTTCTAAATTTGATTTAAATTTAGAAATGCAAACTTCTAAAATTATGTGAATTTATGTAGATATGCAAGGAATAGGCAACTAGCATAATATAAATAAACATGGACTGCATACTGTAGTTTCTTTATTTGTCAAAGAAAAGCAGTTTATTATTTTTTTAACTTTTAGGTTCGGGGTGCATGTGCAGGTTTGTTATATCGGTAAACTCGTGTCATAGGTGTTTGTTGTACAGATTATTTCATTACCCAGGTACTAAGCCTAGTACCCAATAGTTATTTTTTCTGATGCTCTGCCTCCTCCCTTCCTCCACCCTCAGGTAGGCCCAGTGTCTGTTGTTCTCCTCTTTGTGTCCATGTATTCTCATCATTGAGCTACCACTTATAAGTGAGAACATGTGGCATTCACTTTTCTATTTCTGTGTTAGTTTGCTAAGGATAATGGCCTTCAGCTCTATCCATGTTCCTGTAATGGACATAACCTCATTCCTTTTTATGGCTACATAGTATTCCATGGTGTATATGTATCATATTTCCTTTATCCAGTCTAACATTGTTGGGCATTTAGGTTGATTCCATGTCTCTGCTATTGTGAACCATGCTGTAATGAACCTAAGTGTGCATGTGTCTTTATGATAGCACAATCTATATTCCTTTGGGTATATGTCCAGTAATGGTAGTTCTGTTTTCAGGTCTTTGTGGAATCACCACACTGCTTTCCACAATGGTTGAATTAATTTACACTCCCACCAACAGTGTATAAGTGTTCCCTGTTTCTCCACAACTTTGCCAATATCTGCTGTTTTTTGACTTTTTAATAACAGTCATTCTGACTGGTGTTAGATGGTATTGTGGTTTTGATTTGCATTTCTCTAATGATCAGTGATATGGACCTTTTTATTACATGCTTGTTGGCAGTGTGCCTGTCTTCTTTTGAAAAGTGTCTGTTTATTTCTTTTGCCCACTTTTTAATGGAGTTGTTTTTCTTCTTCTAAATTTGTTTTAGTTCGTTATGGATTCTGGTTATTAGACCTTTGTCAGATGCATAGTTTGCAAATATTTTCTCCCATTCTGTAGGTTGTCTGTTTACTCTGATGGTAGTTTATTTTACTGTGTAGAAGCTCTTTAGATTCATTTGCCAATTTTTGCTTTTGTTGCAACTGCTTTTGGTGTCTTTGTCATGTAATCTTTGCCAGTTCCTATGTCCAGAATGGTATTGCCTAGGTTGTCTTCCAGGGTTTTTATAGTTTTGGGTTTTACATTTAAGTGCTTAATCCATCTTGAGTTGATTTTTGTAGATGGTAGAAGGAAGGGGTCCAATTTCAATCTTCTGCATATGGCTAGCCAGTTATCCCAGCACCATTTATTGAATAGGAAGTCCTTCCCTATTGCTTGTTTTTGTCAGTTTTGTTAAAGATCAGATGACTGTAGATATGCAGCCTTATTTCTGAGCTCTCTATTCTATTCCATTGGTCTATGTGTCTATTTCTGTACTAGTACCATGTTTTGGTTATTGTAGCCCTATAGTATAGTTTGAAGTTGGATAGTGTGATGCTTTCTGCTTTGTTCTTTTTGCTTAGGATTGTGTGGGCTATTTGTGCTATTTTTTTATTCCACATGAATTTTAAAATAGTTTTTTCTAGTACTGTAAAGAATGTCACTTGTAGTTTGATAGGAATAACACTGAATCTATAAATTGCTTTGGGCAGTATGGCAATTTTAACAATATTGATTCTTTCTATCCATGAGCATGGGATGATTTTTCATTTGTTTGTTTCACCTCTGATTTCTTTGAGCAGTGTTTTGTAATTCTCATTGTAGAGATTTTTACTTTCCTGGTTAGCTGTATTCCGTAATATTTTATTCTTTTAATGGCAATTGTGAATGAGTTTGCATTCCTGATTTGGCTCTTGGCTTGGCTGTTGTTTCTGTATAGGAATGCTAGTGATTTTTGTAGATTAATTTTGCATCTTAAAACTTTGTTGAAGTTGTTTATCAGTTAAATAAGCTTCTGGACTAAAACTTTGTTGAAGTTGCTTATCAGTTAAATAAGCTTCTGGGCTAAGACTATGGGGTTTTCTAGATATGGAATCATATTGTCTGCAAACAGGGATAGTTTGACTTCCTCTCTTCCTGTTTGGATGCCCTTAATTTCTTTCTCTTGCCTGACTGCCCTGTCGAGGCCTTCTAATACTATGTTGAAAATGAGGGTTAGAGAGGGCATGCTTGTCTTGTGCCAGTTTTCCAGCTTTTGTCTATTAAGTATAATGTTGGCTGTGGGTGTGTCATAGATAGCTCTTATTATTTTGAGGTATGTTCCTTCAATATCTAGTTTGTTGAGAGTTTTTAACATGAAGGATGTTGAATTTTAATAAAAGCCTTTTCAACATCTGTTGAGATAATCATGTGCTTCTTGTCTTTAGTTCTGTTTATGTGATGAATCACATTTATTGATTTACGTATGTTGAACCAACCTTGCATCCCAGGGATAAAGCCTACTTGATTGTGGTAGATAAGTTTTTCTGTTCTGCTGGATTCGGTTTGCTAGTATTTTGTTGAGAATTTTTGCATCAATGTTCGTCAAGGACATTGGCCTGAAGTTTTCTTTTGTGTGTGTGTGTTTCTGCAGGTATGGTAACTGGATGATGCTGGCCTCGTATAATGAGTTATGGAAGAATCACTCTACCTCAATTCTTAACACATAGTTTCAGTAGAAATGGTAACCGCTCTTCTTTGTACATCTGGTGAAATTCAGCTGTGAATCTGTTTCAGGGCTTTTTTTTTTTTTTTTTTTTTTTGTGGGTAGGCTACTTATTACTGATTCAGTTTTGGAGCTCATTATTGGTCTGTTCAGGTATTCAATTTCTTCCTGGTTCAGTCTTAGAAGAAAAGCAGTTTCATATGGAATTTGATACATGATACAACTCAAATAATAATTTCACTCTGTAGCACTTTATGAACTCTTCAGGTGTCTAAAATAAATTATCCTAGAGACACAGTCTAGCTTACTTAAATATGCAGAAACATATTGGAGTATCTTGTGGAGGAAACTATTTTGGAAGATCATTTTAATCACAAAGATACTGTCCAGTTATTTACTATTTACTTGGCAAACACGGAAAGGTTGGACAAAGGCAATCTGTCTTAAACTGCAGTAACCTAGTGACACCAGATTCCCTGTTTAGAAGAAAATAGAAAAGGGCATAGAATTAAAATAGTCTATTTTCTATGGGTGGGATCTCAGAGAATACATTAACACATTTTATATGGAAGTTTCACATTAAAGTTACCCTTCCCCAGTCTACCATCCTCCAGTAGAAAATCAATAGGCAAAGCTTAAAGTATCTTATCATTTCCTGAAATATGAAGCATATTTTAAGATTTCTTCAAATCAGTTTTCATGAAAAGATCTAATTAAATAAAATGATTTGCTATTTTTCCAATTGCTAGACCAATTATTAATTTAAACTAGAGCTATATTTTTATGACAATTACCATAGAATAAGATGGATAAATGATATTTTTATCTACTATTTGATCAAAATTCAATGTGCAAAATGTTAACAAAATAACCTTTAGAAATATGACATTCCTAATCACATTCCATAGCACTGAGATTCCAAATTACTTTAATCAACTAAGCAACATCAAAGTGAAAGTAACAGATTAAATGGAAATTAGAGTGCTTTAATGTAAAGATCTTTTGAAGTTACAAATAAACGGACCTATGAGAAAGGAAAAGAGGCAAAGTAAGAGAGAAAATAAGCTGCTGCCATACCTAATTTCAGGGAATAAAAAATTACCTACTAGAGTAATCTCAAATATTTTAATTTATGGTAAGACTTGAACTATATGAAAAGTAGCATATAATTTCTCTGATCTCTAATATTCTTTCTATATGTAACAGTTAATTTTAGGCTTTTCTTTAAAAACTCTAAACACCTCCAGCTGGTTTTGTAACTGGTCAGTAATTTGGTTAGCAACAGTGACGCTGAAGCTGTCTCCTGTTGGATATAATCATGAACATCTCTTCCACACGTTGTATGCAGTATAAAGGTCATCATGGGAATATTTTCACCATGGATATAAGCAAAAGCTATAAATAAGGCTTCTCTGCCACCCCAGAGAGCCAAGTATAATACATTTACCATCATTAGAACTGACTAGCAGGTACAATAGATGCATACTCTGTCACTGACAGTAAAATATAGTATCTTCGTTATGCTTAGAATCTTTCAAAGTAAATTCTAATGAAATTTATAGCAAGATATTGGTAGAACCTTCTCACTCAATGATGGCTGGAGAAAACCAAACAAAACAAGGCCACTACTCAAGCAATGGAGAGAAAAATTTTCTAGACTTTAAAAATATTTTGTCAAAAATTTTCTTAGGCACCTGTACGTTTCTTTCCTTCTGCATGCAAACAATGCCATGTTTTAAAGTTTCTAAAGAGAAATTATAAGTTTGTTAATTGTTTCATATTACAGAATTAAGATTTAAGGCTGGCTGATAACCTTAAATACAGTAGCAATAGGGATGTCATTTCCAACAACAACATTGGCTATATAATGGAAATAAAGGTCTAACATAGGTGATCTGTGAAAACTATATAGTTCTGAAACTATGTATGCTTTGTTCAGGAAAAAAAGCTTTGAAATTTTCTTAAGCGTAGTAAATTTTGTTTATTGATAGCAGTATTTTTTTAGTTAGTTCTATGACTACGTGGATCCTTGGAGCTACGTGCGGTGTGTTTGGATGCTTTTCGGCATTCATTTCCTCATGTGTGGTATGTGTTTGTGTTTGTATTTGTGTGTATGGTTTGGTTAGAAGTTTTTCCTGTAGGAGAAGCCTGCTATAACTCATGGATCGTAATGTTAGAAGTTCTGTGTTCATGCTTAATTGAAGAATGTGCTAATGCACTCATACCAAAGAGCCAGAATTAAATTTTCCATAGAAAATGGCATACTCCTGTGTGGTAGTTAAATCTTTCCTGTTGATTTATGAGTATAAACCCATGACTTTGACATTATAATGTTTCGAAGTTACTTATTGTATAGTTTTGTCTAATTTTAAAACTAATAGTAATTTTAAAAACTACTGACCTATATAGTCACAAGTTTTCAGGTAAGGGGAAAGCATCATTCAGAATTCTGAAACATAAAATCATTTGTGGAAGTGCAAATTGGTAGACAATTATATATAAATAACTGCAAATGTATGCATGGCATAGAAATGCATTCTTAGAAAATATCGGTGATTGACATAATCATTTGTGCATAAAATGTTTTTAAACACATTGTGAGACAAGTAAAAGAAATAAGGAGATAAGCTAAACATTGAAAAATGGAAATCAGTTAAGTTTTAAAATTTGTATGGTGGAAAATTATAGAGGCAAGTTTTAAAAATGGAGGTAATGTAAAGATGGCTTTAGAATGTAGACTCTGAAGATAAGCATAGGTTTGAACTCCAACTTCATCATCTTTTGACTTTGACCTTCAGCAAGTCAATTCAAAGCTTTAGATCCCTGAAGTATAAAAGATCGTTTAGATGAGTAAGAACAAAATATGTGTGTGTGTATATATATATATATATATATATGTCTTTAACATTGTTCATTAAGTGCATATCATAAGCATTTAATGAACAAGAGGTGTTATATAGCTTATTTTTAATATTTAGATATATAATTAAAGGCTATTAAATATGAAAAATGTTATAAATATAAACACAAGCTATAAAATGATAAGTATAGTATGGATGCAAATGTTTGCATTTAATAATGTGTACATATGCTTTATTTCAGAAGGTATACTATTCAAATATGTTTCAAAAGGATGGGAAAATATTTTAAAAATGGTAGTAGAATAAATAATTGAAGTTTTTTTTCTTAAACACTTCTTTACTTTCTACTCTTGACAATGAGCATGTATTATATAATGAAAAAGTAGAAATCTTCAAGAAAAAGATAGTTTTTTGATGTATGTATTCCAACTTTCTTTGGTACATTTTTTTACAGAGGAGGACTTGATTTGAATACAAAAACAAAAATTCTAGTATTAATAACTGCTTGAAAATAAACAAAACATTTTTTGTAAAATTCTTAAGATGTGAATTTAAAAATTCTCTAAATCATAGAAACTTTATGACAAAAGCTACTTGATATTTTATACTTGTACAGGTTTGGCCTTAGCTAAAGTTATAAATAATTGTTTGTCACATACTTAACACAAAGCAAACTTGTTATAAAGATTTACTATTTTATTTTACAAGTTCTTGTTAAATTCACCCTTTCTAATCCAGTCTGCAGTATTGGAGAAAGCAATGGCATAAGATGAATGAGAAAGCATAATCACGTGTTCACTGATGGCTCACGAACCGGGCAGATGACTTAGTGTAGTTGGATTTGCCTTTATCAAGAGTGAAGCTAGAAGGTTTGATAAAATAATTGCATAAATCTTCAAGGATAATATTTTTCTTCTCATTCAAGTTAACATGTAATCCGAAAAGGACCATCTACAGTGTGCATTCTAATTTCCAAGAAGTAGAAAAAGGTGTCTGAGACAAGGTTTTCAGAGTAACTTCAATGTTTTTATGTTACTGGTAGAGGAACATTTTTCAGTGACAAACTGTTATAATTTATCAAATTATTGAATTTTCTAACTGGAAACAATTTAGTATGAAATCCAAATGTCTCACTTTGCAGATGAGGAAATGGAGACCCAGGGTGATAAAGTGACTCACCCAAGGATGCACAGCTAATGGCAGGATGCTGCAGGGGCCTGGGGCTACCCAGAAGCTAAGGCCTGGTTTTTTTTTGTTAGTTTGTTTTTCATTTTCTTTCCCAAGTACCTCACACATTTTTCTAATTAAATCTTTATTTTTATACTCCAGGTGTCTTCTAACAAAAGGTATAGCTAACAAAGGTATTTAAACTGTCTACTTAAGAGTTTTTGCAAATGCAAACTTAAAACAAATAGCCATGCAACAATTTGGAGATGAGTTTATCTTTCACTTGAACATGCAGCTGCACAGCTGAACTCTGAACTTCTATAAGTGGATTTTGCACACGTAGATCCTCGGTTCAAATGCAACCAGCTTACTCTTCAAGTATCACTCATTTGAGCTTTTTAGCAAAGATCTTTTTAAAAACTTTATTAGTATTCACCACCTGCCTAGTAATACTTTTGGATTCTGGTTGCCTGTTATTTAACTTAGATCAATGGATTTTTTAAGGAAAATTGTATATCAATAATTATATAATATTTAGATGTTTAATTCTAATAAGCATACATTATAGATTTGAGGACAGTTTAAGTGTTACTGGCACAAAAGAATGTATAAATCTTATTACTAATACTTCAGTCATATATTTAGTAACTATAATATAAAAATATAACTAGATATAGTTAATAATGTTTAAAAAACAATGCTTTTAAAAAGCGGCCAGTGGAACTTTTTTACATTGTGTGTATTTAAATATAAATAATTTTATTATATAGTAATGCATTTTCTGTGCAGAATATTTAGAAAAGATAGATTAAACAAAAATGAAGAAAATTCCCTGTAATTGCACTGCCCAGTGAATTAATAGTAATATATAGCTTACTTAAAAAAGATACTGCTGCTCAAAAGTCTTGAAATAATTAGAGTGATTATGTATATGCATATACTTATAATTTATCTCCCATATATGATTTCATCATGGTAGATAAATTAGAACTATTTCACTAATAAGAATAGTAATATATTTTCCTCATTAAAAATATCTTTTTAAATTATTGCTATTGCTATTTTAAATCTTAGACATAATATTTTGTGATTTAATAAGTTTTTGGCATTTCTGTATTTTCTAGGTAATAAAGATGATTACTATTTCTGATGCTCTATTTTCTAGCCACTTAGTCCAAGTGATATTTTGTAACTTCAAGCTAAATGAGGGTCAACTCTTTAAACATCAAATGTGATATTAAACTATAGAAGGCAATATGTTCTAATGTGTTTGTCAATATATTCCCTATCTTATTTTTAGTGTAAGCTTTTTTCCTCAGATAAAGCCACCCCACACAAATATATATCCTTTAATGGAAGTATCTGTCAGATGCATTAGAGCCATTCTTGTAAATATTTATCAAAGCTACATTTAAAGTATGGTACTTTCTTAAACCACTACTCATAACCATTTGAAACTGATATGGTATATTGAGTAAATAGAGAGTTCAATCTATTTTAAATGGTATGTTAGTTGCCTAACAAACTGTAAAAGCACTTTTAGAGTAGTAAGAACCTTGAGTGTATTGTGAAAAATGACATAAAATCTTCAACAGTCTTTTTTTTTTTTTTTTTTGACATGGAATCTCGCTCTGTCGCCCAGGCTGAAGTGCAGTGGCGTGATCTCGGCTCACTACAACCTCCGCCTCCTGGGTTCAAGCCATTCTCCCGCCTCAGCCTCCTGAGTAGCTGGGATTACAGGCACCCGCCAATATGCCCGGCTAAGTTCTGTATCTTTGTAGAGATGAGGTTTCACTATGCTGGCCAGGGTGGTCTTGAACTCCTGACCTCAGGTGATCCGCCTGCCTCGGCCTTCCAAAGTGCTGGGATTACAGGTGTGAGCCACCACACCTGGCCCAACAGTCTTTTTTCTAAACTTGAAATATTTTACTTATAACTTAGATGGTTTATCAATGATAATATTAAAAATCATTCAAAACTATAAAAGTAATTTGAAATAATCTCCCAGAGTGACATTTTAATGTTGGTTGGATAAATACTGTGCTTCTTCATATGGTCTTTCAAATTTAATTCTTGCTACAGAGAAAAGAATAAGATGTTAGTTAATTTAATAAGAACATTACATGCCATGTTAAAAAATGAATTAAAAGAACAGTAAAACTTCAACATTCTTCATTTTTCAAATATTCTTATTCTATTGAAAATTAAGGTTTGTTCAAATTGTATCAAATTATTTATGAGAAGTCTCCTGTTAGATGTTGTTTATTTTTATGAGAACGCATATTATCTACTATCTATATTTTGCTATCTAATTCAACAGTTAATCTATTGCTTTTTAAGTACTTACAGTCCATCTGTAATGCCATAGCTGATTTTTATATTCTTAACAAGAAATCCTACTTCTGCAAATAAATTAACATGCTATTTACTTAACTATTTCTTTTCCTCTAATTTTATACTTGCTCTATTTTCTTATTTATTCATTATTCATCTATCACTCTTCATTCAGTAAATAATTATTAGGATATTATTGCATGCAGAAATGTATGGGAAACAAGAATAAATATTCAAGGTCCTCTCCCTCAATGAATTTACATTTTAATAGTAAAGATATGATATGTAGTTGACATACACATCTTATTACTGAAGTAATAAATGTGAGTGTGTTATAAAAATTTTTGTACTTTAAGATTTTTAAGCCTGCTAACTCATATTACTTTTTTTCAACCTACCACCGAGAACACTTAGAAAACTTAAAATACTAATCGGCACAGCGTGTTTTATTCTTTTCTAAGCAGGAATACCAGCATAGGAGCGTGTTTTATTCTTTTCTAAGCAGGAATACCAGCATAGGTTCTTTCAATCTCTCCATTGTTGTGCAGATCTTGACAGAAACCCACCACACTTTTGGGGCCAGGAATGCTATCTAAGAAGTACAAAAGGGCTGGATATACACTAGCATCATAACTCAAAAATTATGTTAAAGCATTATTTCGCAAAGAATGGTATGCCTATCATTGGTGATGTGGGATATATCTAGATCATGGAACTAAAATATATAGCCCATGGGCCACATCTAGCCTGTTTTTATAAATAAAGTTTTACTGGAACACAACCATGCCCATCCATTTATTTGTCTATGGCTGTTGTACTAGAACAGCAGAGTTGAGTAGCTGTGACATAAACTACTCTGGGTCTAAAAAAACCCTAAATCATTTGTTGCCAGGCTCTTTACAGGAAAAGTTTGTTGATCCCTGGCTTAAGTAACACATATTTATGACTATATATTAATTTTATTGTTTAATGGAATCTCTGTGTGTGTGTGTGTGTGTGTGTATCTCACACATACATATGTAATACCAAACTGTGATTTCAATTTATTATTGTTTGGGATAAGGCTAAATATATTTAAGAATAAATATGAGTTGAAAACATACATAAATAATGATACATTTCATACACAGATGTAACAACTATGAAATAAGATTAGATCGAGACACTCATCTTAGGAATAAACTTTCTGTAGCGTAAAATCCCTTGATTCTACATTAGTTAAAAACTTGTCAGCAGACAACAGGAAAACCACAGAATTATAATTTGAAGACCAAAATTTCCTCTTGAGGGGAAATCTGGAATTTAAACTATCTACACCAGATACACCTCTCCTCCTTCTTCCCTCCTCCCTCCTTCATTCCCACACAAGTGACTAGACACAAGAATGTACATACAGATGGTTTCTGACTTGTGATAGTCTGACTTACAATTTTTTGACTTTATGATAAGTTTGGATGTGACCCATCATGGAGCATCTGTGTGTAAATACTGAAGAATACACATAGATATAGAAAAAAAGAAGAAAGGAAGAAAGGGGGGAAGGAGGGAAGGAAGGAAGGAAGGAAAGGAAGGGAGGGAGGGAGGAGGGGAGGAACGGAGGGAGGGGAGGAAAAAAGAAAGAAATTTGTCAGTAATATATAAATATTATTTTGTGTAGGAAAATGTTTTTTTCTGAACACACATAGTTTCAGCATTATATATTTTTATAAATATCCTAGGCTATACTCTCAACCCGATTCTGTAGGCAATATAACATTTTAAAGGTATTACCTGATCTACTCAGAATTTCCAAGCTAAGGTATATTTATATCAATAAAGAATGGGAGGTAAAATATATGCAAGTTTTTATTAAAACCTAAGTCTATATTAAGCAATTCAAGATTGAGTTAAGCTTAAATCTCAATTTTAATTATTCATAAACACTCATAAATGCTCCAGAGCAAAGGAGAGAAAAATCCCTACCTCGGGTCCAGTTAACTTGACCTTTGATCACTATCTATGGTAGGAGTCACTGTTCTTTAGTATAACTAGAAGTGAGGAAAAGGACTTTGCCTGCCTGCTTCAGTATTCCTAGCACCTAAGACAGTATTGACACGTGGTGGCACTCAGAACATTTGCTAAGTGGTTGCATTAGGATGTTTCCATTTTTCTTGCCTTCTTTTTCTTTTCAACAGATTATTTAACTAGAAAGAAAACCAGTTTCTTCTAGACCTGAAAGTTTATTATGAGCAAATTAGTTAATGGCTTTTCAAAGATACTTTAGAAACACAGGGTGATAGTTCATCAAATATAAATACTTAAGCTTTTTGAAAATAAGAATTATAGACATGGATGCGAAAAAGGAAAAGTCAAAAATGTTTGACCTGCAAAACTATGTAATTTGAGGTTTGGCTGATACGGTAACATTATTCGATTTCTTCCCAACTGATTCGGCCCTCTCTGCTCTTCCAGGTTGCTGGAGTAAATGCATCCTTGACCCAAAATGAAATGTTTCATCTACTTATTTAAAGGCTCTTTAAAAAATGACTTTGCTTTTAGCACTCAGTGTTCCCCTCTGAAATACTCTGCTGATTCACAAAGCTGTCTGAGAAATTCATGATGTCGCTGCAATATCAGCCTGAATGAGGATAAAGTATCCATTTGGAGATCAGAAAATTTACTTTATTGGCTAAAGGGGTACTCCCCTTTGGTATAAAGAAAGGCATTAGAAAATCTATTAAGGCTGAGTTATGTTCTGCAGTCACCATCTTTTCTTGTTACAATTAGTATTTCATTTTAATTGCGCTGCTATATAATTTCTTACGAAAAGATACTCAGTGTGAACTCTGAACAAGACTCTTTTTTTTTTTTTTTTTTTTTTTTTTACCACAATAGACCATTTTTCCATGGACACTTTTCTACTCTTCCTTAGGTTATGAAGTGAGGTACAGGGATTTTTTTTTTTTTTTACTTTATGTGTTATAAAGGGCATATTTTAATTGTTTCTGCTCATATCCACCTCTTTGGTCGTTTTTCTTGTTGCTACACCAGGAAAATGACATATGCATCCTTTTCAATCAAGCTGCGTTTCGTGATGCCTAGCAAATTAGATTTGCGTTGTCTGTCATTTATGTGGCGGTTTCATCTAAGTGGTCAGAGGAAGCATGTTCTTAGCTTCTTTTTATAAAATGAAGATAGTTTCTCCCTTTTGAGAAAAATAATAGCTTTTATTCTTCTTAAGGACATATTCTGTTTTTCACCTTTCTTTGCCTAACACACATTTCTAAGAACTCTTCTACATAACCTCTCTCATTTTCTCACAATATATTCATTTATTGATAGAGCAATTACTGAGCACCTACTATGTGAAAGGGCTGCTTCTCTGTTGTTTTGGCTATGTTAGTTAAAATATGAACAAACATTCTCGGCCTTAACAAGCTCAGAATATTTGATAAAGACAGACAAGTCAGCAACTAACTTCTGCTCAAGGAGTTTTGGGAATGATTTCTTCCCCCTGTCACAGAAGCCCTGGAAATTAGAAGTGAGCCTTGAGAGACAAGACATTGCAAGCCGAGGCGACAGTTTTAGCAGAAGCATCATGTCCTAAAAATGAAAGCATGGGACATTAAGCCCTGACCCTCAATGTGACTGTATTTGAAGATGCTTTAGGGAAGAAAGTAAGGCAAAGTGAGGTAATAAAAGGAGGCCCCAGTCTGATAGGACCAATGTCCTTATAAGAAGAGGAAGAGACAGCACAGATCTTTTTCTCATATATGGTCAAAGGAAAGGCCATGTGAGGATACAGCAAGAAGGTGGTCATCTACAAGCCAGGAAGAGAGGCATCATCAGAAACCAAACCTGATGGCACCTTGATCTTGGACTTCCAGCCTCCGGAAGTGTGAGAAAATTCATTTCTGCTGTTGAAGCCACCCAGCCTGTGGTATTCCATTATGATAGTCAGAGCAAACTAACAGGTTTGGAGTAAAATCCTCTCGTCATCAAGTTCCATATGTCCTCTTTATTCTCTCTTAGGGATCTGGCCGTCTAAGTTTGAGGTCTGAGAAATTAGGAAGCTTCTATTAGAATATAATTCCACTCAACTTCTCACAGTAGGGGTGATGAAAGTGAGGAGGAATTTAAAGAGATATTTGTGCAGACAGAAAGAACTGGATTTGGCATGTGATTGGCTTGAGAGATAAAGGAGAGAGACTTGGTAAAGACAACACCTCTTATTTCATCTGTAGTTCTTAATCTTCATAATTATTTGCTGAAAACATCCTCTTTAATATAATGAAGCACCTGTGTATCTGTCAGTGAGGTATGTGGTTTTTCTATCATGGACCTAGCATCGATTAGGCTTGGTGTTTCTGGCTTCTGTGACTGCACTGTCCTATTTCTCTTTCAAATCTTGGGCATTGCCTCCCCCCACCCCCACCTTTTTTTTAATCTGATTCCTTTTATTTTAGCTTAAGTATTTTTATTGCCTTAATAATATTTAATATTGGTTTCATTTCAATGGATGATAGCTAACTGTAAACAAAGTAGAATTGGTCATTAACAGAGAAAATAGATACAAATCTTACAAATTTTTGTTTAACAAAAAACATCTGTAATATCTTGTGATTGTCTATGATGTCCTCTGGAGTATACTGGTCTTTTGTCTTTGCTCCCTAGTCAAATGATTAAGCGTTCTTGGCTCACTACTCTGTGTTAGCTGTTCTGCGTATTTTGTTTATTTTATTTTTTTTAAATTTTAGATTCAGAGGGTATGTGTCATTTTTTGTTACATGGATATTACATGAGAAATGGTGGGGGATGGACTTCTAGTCTACCCATCACCCAAATATTGAATATTGCGCCCAGTAGGTAATTTTTCAACCATCACATCCCTCCCTCCCTCCCTGGAGTCCCCAGATTCTGTTTTCCCCAAGTTTATGTCTATATGTATCCTTTGTTTAGCTTCCACTTGTAAGTGAGAACATGCAATATTTGATTTTGTGCTTCTGTGTTAGTTCACTTAGGACAATGACCTCCAGCTCCATTTATGTTGCTGCAAAGGACATAATTTCATCCTTTTTATGGCTGCATACTATTCCATAAAGTATATATACAAAATTTTCTTTATCCAATCAGCTATTGGTGGACACCAAAAAACATGTTGTTTTTTGACTTTTTAGTAAAAGCCACCCTGAATGTTCTAAGATGGTATCTCATTGTGGTTTTAATTTGCATTTCTCTGATAATTAGTGATGTCGAGAATTTTTTCTTGTGTTTTTTGGCTGCTTGTATTTCTTCTTTTTAGAAATACCTGTTCATGTCCTTTGCCCAGGTTTTAATGGGGTTGTTTGCTTTTCTTGTTGAGTTTTTTCAGTTCCTTATAGATTGTCAAAATTAATCCTTTGTCAGAGGCATAATTTGTAAATCTTTACTCCCAGTCTGCCTTGTTCCTGTTCTTAGAGGACATGCTTTCCATTTTTCCCCATTCAATGTGATGTTAGTTGTGGGTTTGCCAGAGATGGCTCTCATTATTCTGAGGTATATTCTCTCTATGCCTAGCTTGTTGAGGGTTTTTATCATGAAGTGATGTTGGATTTTATCAAATACTTTTTCTGCATCTATTGAGATGATAATATGGTTTTCGTTCTTAGTTCTGTTTATGCAGTGGATTACATTTATTGATTTGCATATGTCAAACCATCCTTGCATCCCTGGAATAAAGCCCACTTCATCATGGCAAATTATCTTTTTGATGTGCTAGGAAAGGTCATTTGCTTCTAAGATTTTTATTAAAATTCTTTTTTTAAACTGCAATATATAAATCTATAGTCCTGTATACTTAAGTTACACTTACACAAATGCCCTCTAGATTTTTTTAGTTAAATGTCTTTCCAGCAATATAATTCATTGCATAACTTTCTATAGTTGACAAAGTATCTTCATATATACACTGTGCAGTTTTTCCACCCAATACTATAAGGTTGGTGGTATTAATTCCATTTTACTTGTAGGATGCTGACCCTCAAAGAGGTCAATTTTTCAAGCCATAAAATTAGGTATGGAAGCAAGAAATACTCAGATATCAACCAGAGAGCTATTTAAACTTGTTCAGAACTTCTCCAAGCAGTCCAAAACTGGTCAAGACACTTCTAAAATGGAATTTGGAGTGTTGTCAATGTTACCTGCCAATGGTCTCCTTTTCTCAAATTCCTCAATTAACAAGGCTATTATTTTCCTAATCGGCCTGTCATCAAGTCCAATATCTGGAAATTAATCAGTAGTTGTTGAGAGTGTGGTGAAATGAATAAGTAAATGGTTTTCTTAAAGTTGATTCTCTCATTTAATGCCTATATAAAATCACATACAAAGTCATTAATCAATATGATACTTCATTCCCACTGCCGCCAGCCAAGATACTAGAAAGAACAAACAAGGGAACTGGCATAAAGAAAGATGGACTTTTGTATCCCTGTTTAGTAAGGAATATCCTATATATTTTTAAATCCAGTGGCAAATTGTTACAAGTATTTAAATTTATCACCTAGAAAATGTAATAAAAATAAAATCTTAATTTTTGATCCTATGCTGTTTTCTATTTACAAGCACATTAATTACCACAGAAAGAGCAATATTAGTAATGTGGTTTCTCATATTTGTATTGGTCTTTCTACCAATTAAACTTAAGTTTTTAAAAAAGACACAATAATAATATAAACTAATATGTGTGTTTTTTTTAAAGATTTAGAAAGTAATACTGGTGACTAGTGACAATGATATAAGGAAGACTAAACATTTCTTAATCACAATAAATGTTTACTCTGGTCTGGAGACCATTTCTTATTTGATCATCCTCGGAAAATATAAAATGTCAGGGCCATTATTTTTTATTAACTGGATCTGGCATGGACATAAATAGTAAATTGAACTATCTTTTTTGTGGTGGGAATGGAGAGAAACAGGTTGAAAAAATATTCAGACAAAATATATTACATATAGATACTTATAGATGGGTGAAATTGATTTTAATAGATTTTTATTTCATAAATAAAAATCTCAGGTAATTTTGGTAAAACACAAATAACCTGTCTTGTCACAAAAGGAATAGTTTGTATGTCTGGCTCATCACAATTTTAATTGTAAATCTCAGGAAATGCAGAATATGACAATTAAGTTAGGAAGTGCTCAATGGATTGCAGAGTAGTAAATTTTATTAAATTTCTTCATAAAATAACATTGACAAATAATCTAATACAGAACTGTTTGTGCATTACTGGGTATTGCTGAAGGAAAAAATAGGCAGTTCCAAATTCACTCAGAAGATGAGTTCTACTAGTTTGTTCTCAGTCATTTACATGCTATTCTGTGACATAATTTTTTAAACTATTTGGTTCTTTCCACAAAAAAAGCAGAGCTTTATAAGAAGCAACATATTTAACAGCAGAAAGCTAGTATTTCAGTACACTGTAGGATGTCAAATATAAATCCGTTTATAGAGAACATTAGCTTAATATTTTAATATACATTATAAAATGTATTTGAATGGAAGAATACTCATAGAAAGAATATAGGAATAATTTCATATAAAATGGAAACTAGAAGATTTTGAAAAAGAGAAGGCTTTTGGGATTTATTTCCTTTTTCTTTAGCTGGCATGATTTTTGGTGGTGTTAAAAGTCTCAAACAATGTCTTCTTTGTATGATGTGCTGAAAGAGCATTATGTATGGGATGTGTACATGTCTTTTTATATGTCAACAGTGTCCCCAGGAAAGCAACATCCAACCTCAGCTCCACTAAAAACCAGAGTCACACTGTACTGTATATTAGATTTAATAATTCAGGCTCAATAATATAGTGTCTTATGCCAAATATTGTCCACTAATATCCAAAAAGTAACCTAAACCACAAACCAGTCTGAGCTCTCGCTTTTCACAATTACTTCCTGTCACTATCATTAGATATCCACAACATAGGAAAAATCACTTTGACATAGTTACTCTAATATTAAGACAGCCATAATGCACTGGTTTTACACAAGACTCACCCAAGTTATACTATGGAGTAGCTATCACAGGTTTTAGAATGCTGTGGTGCATACTTGCTGCACAAGCCTAAGAGATGGAGAGAGTAAATGTGAATCCCCAAATTGTATATCTTCCATTCACATCAGACCCACGACTTTCCTTATCATTTAACTGGACATGGATATGATAATATGTTTATATTTGCTCCCAGAAAGTATATAAACTGTGATTCTAAAAGTTGGATCACTACCCCAATGGCACCAAACTAAAAACACATTTAAATTGTTATTTTTTCTTAAATTCAACTTAAAAGTATAAATGTACGTGTGGCATGACTGTTGAAAGTAATGTTGCCTCTTCAGGATTTCTACAGTAGTCCCTGATTGTAATATTTATTCATTTGGGACACTTATTTACCAAAATTATTCTTTACAGTTTTATGTTTTCATGTGTCACTGTCTTGATTAGATAATAAGCATGAAGCTGGTTAACAAGCTTAACCATAGCCTTACTTGATTGAAATCCTTCTTTGAGCTTGTCACACAGGTTATGCACATTGTAGGTCTCAATAAGAGGTTAATTTCTCCAATTTTTTTAGAATAAAAAAGTTGAAAATGACTCATCAGCTTTCCCTTCTTTCTTGCTAAAAAATCACAAAAATAAATGTGCAAACAGTATTCCACAGGTGAAAAAAATTCGAGTAACAAGTAAGACAAACAGAATTGCATTATCAGAAAAGAACAGAGAAGACTGAAAAAGTACAGTTTAATGCATATGAGTAAAGTGTATGTTTCAAAACATTTGTATTATTGGTTACATTTTTTACCTCTTACTTTTTATTTTTGACCTTTCATAGGTGTAGCCAAAATGAACTTTGATGAATAGGAAAAAAAGTCAGAACAAGATTTTTATTTATTTTTGTAGTCTTTATAGATTTTAATATCTTACAATGCGCAGGATTTCATATAGATACTCTAACCTATATTTTTATTCTTTGCAATTCCTCCTTGGTTAATAGCCATAAGGATCATTTATGTACTTATGCAGTGTTTTTACTGTTTCTATATACCACCCAACCTTGCTGGTTTTCCCCTATCCCTATGAATTTTCCCCTATCCATTTGGATTTTCCCCATTACCTCAAAATTTTCAATGCTTTATCTTGCAGAATCGTTCGGTTTTGTCATAATTTCTAAATAACTGAATCCAGGTGGAATAGAGATCTTTAGGTAACATAAATCATCCTCTGTAGAAGCAGTTTCTATTGGTTTATTAGTTTTCTTTTGTTGTCTCACTTTCACCTGAGTTAAATATGTATCTTGTAAACATATTTGTTGTTAGCACAGTGGTTTCCCATGACAAATCCCTATAGTATCAATACATTCCTTTCCATGTCCACTGCACATAATTTAGCATTTCCAAAATGGATATAAAATGAAATCATTTTAGAATACATTTCAGTCACCCAGACAAAATTGATTTAAACTAATATCTCTGACTATATAAAATACATTTACTATTATTCCAACATGCATTAAAAGCTTAGAACTATGTGATAAGGAAGATGAAGAGAAAGAGAATGAGGAACAGGTTGGGAGGAGGAGATGAGGGCATGGGGAGGACAAGAGGAAGAAGAAAAAGAAGTCAAAAGAAAAAGACAGTTATATGTGTGTGTCTTCGGTTCATAACAAGGTTAGTTTCAAAATGGTATTTAAATCCATTGTTTAAAATGTGGACACCTTTCTCCATAAAAGTAAGAGAAAAGTATGGGCAGAAGGTATCAAACTTATTCAGATTAGGGTAAGGCCTCGTTTGATAGTGAAAGAATCAGATTTGTAGGAGCGGGGGCTGTGACATCAGTTCTTTCATGACCCCTGAGGAGAGGAAGGGATGCAGGGAGGCAGAAGGTAGAAGTTTTGGTTGGGTTGGGGGCACAAACTCTGCTGAGGGGTGGGAGTGGTGAAGGAAAGACAGCACATTTGGGGCATGCAGAGTGGTCTTTAGTAATGAGTCTAATAAGACAATGCATCAGAATAAAACAGATCATTGTTGTGTCAAGTACGGGATTTGTAAATTGGAAATTAGTTAGTTTCTGTTCACTACCAGGGAAGTGGTATTTTTGTAACCTAAAAACTAAGGACTTCTGATTCAGACAGACTTGTGTTTTGGTTTAAGCATTGTTGTTTATCAAATATGTATTCATAAGTAAGTCAAACTCTCCAAGCTTCAGTTGCCTGATCAGCAAATTAGAGGAAATATAAAATTTACCAGTTCATTGTTACAGCTTAGTCATGTTCTTACCATCCCTGATATCTGTCTAATATTTATTAGGTATTCTTTCTATTATTATATCTCTAAAACATATTGTTTTTGAAAAATTTGTATATACTTTATGTACTTTGAATAAAATTTAGTTCTCTAGTTCCTCAAAATAGGTAACAGTTTTAACATGAAAAAAAATCACTAAACCTCTTTCTATTCTCTGTATTTATTGGTGACAAATTTTTTAAATTCTTTTTTGCTTGGAGAATAGATTCTATTAAAAATAATTCCATTTGCCTCTCTTAGGGGGTAAGAGGCCATTTATACTTCAGGGTATGATCTTTCAAGACAAAGGTTCATTAATTTTCGTTGCAAGGGGAGAGAAAAAAGGCCCAAATGTAGCCCTTCGAACCCATCAGATCATTTTCTTGATGGCCAATTCTTAACCACTCTCAACCCAGTTTCCCTAACTCTAAAAGGGTATTTTACCATCCTTTTAGGCAGGATATAAAGATTAATTAGTTAAGATTGCAAAGTGCTTTAAGTATGAAATGTTGTATGAGATAATAGGATAAATATTAATAATATCCTGCTAGAAGTACAGAGACAGCCATAGTTAGGTAACTAAGAAAAATAAATTGCAGTGCTTGGTATGAAATTGAAAATCACTAATGGAATGAAAGTTTGTTCATACTGGGAGCAGTGTTGCATCATGTATAATGTAATACCAGGTCATTTTCAATTGTTTTAATTGCCATGAGCAACTGATCTTTAGAGCTGTTCCTGACAAGCTTTAGCATGGCCCTAATGATCGTAAAACGGTGCCAAAGACCAGCATTATCCCCTATTGAACATTAAATGGTATCGACCCTCTTCTCTGGGTCCATCACTCAACAGACTCCTTAAAGTAATTCATGACACAATTAACATTAATTAACTTTACGAAAACCCCTCAAACTCTCTGCTGTTTTAAGACTTCAGACATTGGAGAAAGTAAAGAGCAACTAACAAAAAAGTTGTGAATCCTCTTGTGAGAGCCATCAATTAGGATAAGTAAAAGATTCCTAAATTTTTATAACCCTCATTTATCACTTGCCACTCCTGATGAGTTTATCCTGTGCAAAGATATCTTTAAAGCCATTCAGTTCAAAAAGAACCATTCATCTCTGTACTTCACATCCACTTTAAAACTGAGAGTGCAAGCTTCCAAATTCATGTCAGAGTAAACCAAGCAACACAAGTGATTACTGGGCTCTACAGAAATGCTACCCAAGTATGTCTCATGTATGCAAGGAAAGACTTTAGCCTTGCCCTTTTCATCTCTATTTCTACAGAACTCTCCTACGGGGATTGCGTATTAGTTAGGGTTCTCTAGAGAAACAGAACTAATAGGATAGATGCATATATGAAAGGGAGTTTATTAAGGACAAGTGACTCACAGGATCACAAGGGGAAGTCCCACAATAGGCCCTCTGCAAGCTGAGGAGCAAGGAAGCCAGTTCGATTCCCAAAACCTCAAAAGTAGGGAAACTGACAGGACAGCCTTCAGTCTGTGGCCAAAGGCCTAAGAGCCCCTGGCAAACCACTGGTGTAGTCCAGGAGCCCAAAAGCTGAAATACTTGGAGTCCAATGTTCGATGGCAGGAAGCATCTAACACGGGAGAAAGACAGAGGCTGGAAGACTCAGCCAGTCTAGTCCTTCCATGTTTGCTTGCTTTATGCTAGCCACACTGGCAGCTGATTAGATGGTGCCCATCAAGATTGAGGGTGGGTCTGCCTCTCCTAGTCCACTGACTCAAATGTTAACCTCCTTTGGCAACATCCTCATAGACACACCCAAGAACAATACTGTGTATCCTTCAATCCAATCAAGCTGACACTCAATATTAACCATCACAGATTGTATTCCTGCTCTACGTTCAAAGTGATCAACAAAAGCCTTCTCTAGAATATCAACCAAAACAAGAATCTACCATTCCTTAGGTGTGTGACTCTTTATACGTATGCTCCATTTAGTCTATACAAACCTATAAAATAGACATTGCCATAATTTTAGTTAAACTTGATAATGTTATAATAAAATTTGTTCTTATTCCAACCATCTAAACATAATTGCTCATTGATGAGAGAGCCAGGCCTCAAATTCAGGTCCTTTTAAACCCGAATCTATACCCTTTTTGTTTTAAAGATACGAAGGATAAGCATTTACTGTATTCAAAGCATGGGAGTAACTGCATCTGGAGCAAGATCTGAGATACATCACACAGCACTAACCTTCAAAGAGAAAATAAGCTGGTTTTCTTTGCTAGATGAGAGCCTAAGAGGGAAAAGGGTCAGAGAAAGCTGGAATATCTATTTAGAAAGTGTAAATTCACTGCCAGATCCACTAGCTAGCTCAAAACTATCCTGGAAGAGGTCTTGTTCCTCTTAGTTGGAAAGAAAGCAGCTCCTTATTTTGTATACCCCACTCATAAGCCACCAAGACCTTTAGAACAGGGGAATCTTGTTTTCATGCACTCATGGTATTCCTATGGTGCTTCACACATGTCTTTCAATTCTAGGTCATTACTTTTTTGGAATCTTCCAAGAGGATTATACAAGCACAAACTGCCTGCATTATTCTGTTGGTTCTAAAGCCCCAAAGGTATCAAATCCATGTCATTTTCATTTCTCAAGAATATTCAGTATTAAAAAATATATATACTTCTAGCTGCATTCGTAGAAACTACTTCTCTGTTGTAAGACTCTTGTTCTCCAAAAGTAAGTTAGCCAGATTTCTCTATAAAGTCCAAGTGTGGTATATGAACAGCTCCAAAAGGTTATTCTAGTTGTTAGAGAACCCAGTTTTTTTTTACAGTTTTTTTTAAACTTAGAAATAAAAATAGAAACTAAACTGTGCACCCAGTCCAAAATAATAATGTAGCAAACTGTAAAAATATTTCCGGGTCTGTGACTTTGTTTCAGATTTTAAAAAAGGAGCGTGGCTTACACATTGTGGGTTTTGCCCTATTACAGATTTTCTTCATATGTTATTATTTTTAATATTTCTGTTCCTAATGACAGTGTCTTGACCCACTCAAGCACTCTAGTCAATGCCTGAGAATATAACTAACATGCTTGTGCAGAGCCTGAAGATAAAAATTTTCTCTCTTACATTTAGGAATTCTAATTTTCTAAATGTTTTTAAAATCCTAGATATGAGCAAAGGGTATAGAAAACTTCTTATGAAAATTTAGCTAGGTAGACTTTAAAATCCCTGGTCTATAAGCTTACATTTTATAATACTGATGGATTGATTCTTTCATCCAACACATATTGATGAATGCTGATAATTTTTCTGGAGTTCTGTTAGGAAGTAGAGACAAATGAGGACCAAGATCCAGCCTCTTTTGAGAAACCCACAACCTATAAACAACAATTAGAATACAAAGTAATAAGGATAGAGATAGCAATGTGAATGAATATCGTGATGGCAGAGCAACACGAAGAGATTACTTTCCTTGACAGCCCAGGGTGGTCAAGGAAAGCTTTCTGTTGGAGTTGTGCCTCAATTTCAAAGGCAAATAGAAAGGCATAGGGACTTTTACAGTCCCCGGCTCCAAGAATAAGGGGATTATTAGCATACTTGAAGATTTATATTCTTTTAAGTAATTTCTTATTCAAATAGAATTGGTAACCATGACCATATCCAATAATTTAGTAGGAATTTCTACTTCTTAGGAATATTTACTTCCCTTCAAACCAAAGGATGTCTGGATGTTTAGGGGATCATGGTCTGATGCCAGTCATTATCCTTTCTTCTATCATTACTTTCCAAGTCAGCAAAATGCCAGTCATCAGTGTTACATAAAGCTTCTTCTAGGCAGAGGATGGGCACATACTCAGGGACTCTCTGTTTTTTTCACTTCATGGTGTTAAAATGGGATGAGAAACCAAGTCATACTTCCCTCCCATGCTTCAAAGTCCAAATCATAAGAGTAAGCATCATCCATCCTTTTGTATTTGAATGGTGATACAAAAGATATAAAAACATAGTGACTCACCTTAGGAAAATCATAGCCCAATGGAACAGATAGACACACAAAGAGATAATAATGCATTGCAAATCATCTCTTGGTGTAGACATTTACAAAAGGCTATGTTAATATACTTTTCTAGGTATTAGAGAGAGTTACTTTGAGGAGGTAACAGCCCACTTGGGTCTCTAAAGATGGGCTTAAGTTTTTGATGAGGGATGGGAAGAGAATTTTAGGCATACAGAGCAGTCAAATTAAAAAGCCAGAGGTGTTAAAATGTATATAGTTCCTTCAGAAAACTTGGAATATGATGTATACAGAAGGGAAGTTTATAGTGGAAAATGAAGCTGTAAAGATCATTTGGGACTAAGTTTTGAAGGCTCTTTTATGCCATCATAAAAAGGTTACATTTTATCTTGAGGGCAATGAAGAATGAACAAGTTTTAAAAAAGTGATAGTGTCAGGTTTGCCTTTTTAAACATCTCCCGGAAAGAGGATGGAGGTGGGATGGAGAGCAATGTGAAGCCGATTGCCCTGGAGCTTTGCAAATTGTCAAATTCTAAACAAGCATTAGGGGCTGCCCAACACTGACCTTGTCAACTCTGTACTGAGTGTAGAGTATCAAGGAGGACCCCCAAATCATGCTTAAATCGATGAGAAAATTGTTTGGTCATTTATTCAACTCAACAGTATTTTATTGGATTAAGTACACACAGATAACTTCTCAAAATTAGTAAATATTGTTAATATTTGTAAAAGATATTCTATTTCCTCCCTCCTCCGAACACTGACACCAAGCAGATATGCAAACATATACATGTTTGCAGTGGCAACATTGAAATTTTTTCTTCTAAGTATTTTACTCACCCATTACTTAGTGGTATCTCACTTGAACAGCTTTTCTATTCTTTATGTATCCTAGGCAGTCCTTTAACTCTGTCTAGCCCTCTGTTCATTTTCCCCAAGGTTTACAGTAAATGAACTTATTAATTTTATTTTTTTGAACAATACAATTTATTGTACATGTTACCATATGACCTAGAACTAAAAAATGTCAATGATAAAATTATTCCGTTTCTTATGAGATTTTAGAAAGTGCTGGAGAAAGTACATGTACAAGTGTCAGAATTGCCATCATCTGGCAATAACAAATTAAAAATACAGAGGGGCAAAATGTTGCATATGAGATAGTAATGAGGACTAGAAAGTTAATGGAAATTGAAACAACCATATAAAAACAATTAAAGTAACAATAAGACACCACAACACGAAGTCACAAAATAGAATATATTTTTGGGTAGGGTTACTAAGTGTTTTAAGAATGTTCCTTTTGCACATATTAATTTATAAATTCAATACAACATATATGGGTTTTTTGGGTATAACTTAACAGTTTGAGTTTAAAGTTTATATAAGTTAAAATGCATAATAGCAGCCAATATTTTGTTAAAAAGATAGATTACTGTATAATTCCTCACTAGATAAGAAAAACTTACTTTAAACGCGCAGCAATTAAGGCAATATGTTTTTGGCAAAAGAAGAAAAAGGGTATCTATTAATAACCAAAAATAGCCCAGAAACAGTCCCTTATAAGTGAAATTCAGTGTATACTAATGGTGGCTTTTCAAGTCATGGTGGATAGAAAGGGCTATTCAATTACTGCATTGAGGACATCTTGCAATTTTGTTGGCCAACATAGGATAGGCCAGGATACACTGCAGTAGAAAATTATCCCTAATATCTTAGGTACTGTAATCAACTCTGTTGGGGCCCAGCCTAGATATTCTTTCCAATAATGTGCTCTTTCCCTGATACTGTGAATGTTGGTTGCTTAACGGCTCTCAACTGCACCCTCTCAGCAGATAAGAGGCACCTTGGATGTTTCCATTAAGCACTTCAAGCTGAGTGTATATGTCAACTAACTGCATCTTTGCTCAGGTGACTTCTCTATGCTATGCTTCCTTCCCTCTCTTAGAGTTTTTACTCCAAGGCACTCACTCAATAATTCCTTCTACAAGCATCCTCACTAAAGGCTCTGATTCTCAGGAACCTGACCTAAAATGGCCTAATATAGCGAGAGGTTATTTCTCACTTATAAAATGCCAAATGTGATTTGACAGAGGCTCATTTCTATTTGGTGCCTCCGGAATTCAGGCTTCCACCAATTTGTGACAACACTATCTTAACTGACTAACGTAAGTCATAACATGACTTATAAGTCCCTGTATTGCAGAAAGAAAAACAAACAAGAGTGCATAGAGGACCTCTGCTTACTAGTCCTAAGTGACAGGACTAAATAACATGCCATTTCTTCTCATTGTCTGTTGGCCAAAACTGAATGCACAGAGACTGGGGAGTACAGCACAGGACAGAAGATATTTAAGCCCCACTGTCTTTGCCATAGCAGTCCTTTTTAAACAGTAAGTTAAAGCTTTGTGTGTGTGCACATGTGCATGCATACATGCATGTGTGTGTGTTCTACAATCCTGGTGAAGTAAAAATTATCAAGTATTAAAGTAATTACAGTCAGATGTCACTTAACAATGGGGATACAATCTGAGAAATGAGTCATTAGGCAATTCCATCATTGTGTTTACATCATAGAGTGTACTTACAGAAACCAAGATGGTAGTTTACCACACACCCAGTCTATATTGGCTACAAACCTATACAGCGTGTTACCATGCTGTATAATATACTGTAGGTAACTGTAACACTATGGTAAGCATTTGTATATCTAAACATGGGAAAGGTACAGTTAAAATAAGATAAAAAAGGTATACCTGTATAGGGCACTTACAATTAATAGAGCTTGCAGGATTGGAAGTTGCTCTGGGTGAGTCAGTGAGTGAGTGGTGAGTGAACGTGAAGGCCTAGGACATTACTGTACCCTACTGTAGACTTTATAAACACTGTACACTTAGGCTAAGCTAAATTTATCAAATTGACTTTCTTTCTTCAAAGAAATATCCCCATGCTTGCATGTGCATGCATACATGCATGTGTGTGTGTTCTAAAATCCTGGTGAACTAAAAATGATCAATTATTAAAGTAACTACAATCAGGTGTCTCTTAACAATAGGGATTCGATCTGAGAAATGCATCATTAGGCAATTCCATCATTCTGTGAACATCGTAGAGTGTACTTATGGACCTGCCTGAGGCTGTTTTACAGTTAATACATTTTTAAAAATAAGTAGATGCTGCATACTCTAAAATAATGATTACAGTTACAGTATACTAAATATTGGGTGATAGGAATTTTTCAGCTGTATCTAAATCTTAGGGAACCACTATCTGATGTGCAGTCCCTCATTGACCAGAACCATCATTATGTGGCACATGACTATACATGTAAACAAAGGAGAATATTTTCAGAATTTTGATGTCAGGACAACATTCTTAAGTAAAATATGGACTCTGAAGACTTTCAGGTAAAAAAATTTGGATTTCATGAAAATATTTATGAAAAGACAGACATGGACATCTGAATTTTATAATGTAAAATTTGTGGAGCGTGTAAATATTTTATGCAAAATATTAGAGCAAAAAGACTAATGATTCCATATAAAAATAGGCAAAGGGTCTGGCTATTTCTTGTTTGTACCAATTCATTCCTTGTCTTTCTGCTGCAAACTATGCTTCCCATGCACCCTTATATCAGGATAATATATAGGTATGTTGGCTAATCCAAGGCATTGGTAGAAGATTGCTGATGAGAAGAGATGAAGGCTTCAGATATTCCTCCTTCTTTAGTGTTTTCCATTAAAAGGTGTATCTCCACTTCTCCTGACAGGTAGCTTACATCCTGATTGAAGCTGCTGATAGATAGCCCTGGCTTCTGTATATAGTAGTCCCCCATAATGCATTGGGGATGCATTCTGAGACCCCCGGAGGATGCCTGAAACCATGGATAGTACTGAACCCTATAAACACCATGTTTTTTTTTTTTAATCTGATAACCTTCCCGGCTACTAAGTGACTAATGGGCAGGGAGCCTCTACAGTGTGGATACACTGAACAAGGGGAGTGTTCAGGTTTTGGGTGGCGTGAGATATCCTCATGCTACTCAGAACAGTGCACAATTTGAAACTTACCAATTGTTTATTTCTGGAGTTTTCCACTTAATCTTTTTGGACCATGGTTGACTGCAGGTAACTGAAACCACAGAAAGGGAAACAGCAGGAAATGGGGGACTACTGTATTGCTACCAGATACACTGATGGCCCATCAGCATAGGTAGATAAACTCAAACTCAGTAACAAGCAGAAAACTGCAAATAAAATATTTCAAATCCAGTTCAGTTGTCCCACATCCATGTTATTAATACATGTTTTAAAATGCACACTTAAATATGGCTTGCTTCATTTTCTGTATAGTGTACTGTGTTAGTCTAGGATCTCTGAGAAGCAAAGGTCATAATAAGATTAAACACATAAGGGTTATATTAGGGAAAATACTTGTGTGTGGAAAAAATGGGCAGTCTCTTGAGTAAGGCTGGGAGTGTTGTCAAACCACTATATATTTCTGACTCTGAATCACATGGGGAAGAAAGCAAGGTTAGGTGGTATACTAGTTTCCTAGGACTGTCATGACAAATTATCACAAACTGAGTGTCTTGAAACAGCAAAAATATATTCTCTCTCAGTTCTGGGGGCCTGAAGTCCAGAACAAAGGTATCAGCAGGGTCATGCTCTCTCTGAAGGCTGTAGGGAGAGCTCTTCCTAGCTTTGGGTGGTTGCTGGCAATCTTTGACAATCCTTGGTTTGTAGCTGCACCATTCTAATTTCTGTCTCCATCATCACATGATTGTCTTTCCCTTGTGTGTGTCAGTGTGTCCAAAAATCTGTCTCTCTATGAGGACATCACTAATTGCAGTTATGGTACACTATAATGAGCATGACCTCATTTTAACCTGATGCATCAGCATAGAATCTATTTCCAAATAAGGTCACATTAACAGGTATCCAGGGATAGAAACTCAACATATCTTTTGGGGGGATGCAGTCCAAACAAAGAGAAGTGGCAAGGTAATCACTGAGTAATTCTTGAGCCAAATCCAGCAGCTGAGATCCTGGTTCTCCCAAGCACAGATGTCCATGAGTGTCCCTATTGCATTCAATCACTGGCCAGTGAGCAGCCTGTGGGAAGTCTGGCCTCTGTGCTAACCTGGTGATGAATTTCAGAGCATGGCAGCTGGATCCTTGGTAAATTATGTTCTCTGTAATTGGCTATCTGCAGCATACATTCTCATGGCCACCATATGTACCTTTCTGCAGCATTGTGTATTTTTAAACATGTACAACATATTATTGTCAAATAATATCAGAAACTTTATTTTCAAGAAGTTTCTTTTAAGGTATCTGCAAAGTTAATTGGTACATCAATTGGCAGGTGCAAGTTAATTTTATGGGTACTTAATTACTAATTTCCTATGCAAATCAATATTTGAACTTTTAATTCTCAATTGAGCATGCATCAAAAGGGTATTTTAACTGCTCAAAGTAACTGCAAAATTTCTAAGTGTATTTGCATGCGTCTGTATAAGCTCCCTCTGGTACTGTCACTGTGGTCTCTGGTCTCTGGCTTAGAAGCCTAACATTGGTAACACCGTTTGATAGGTAAATATGTTAAAATCAGAGGTTCTCTTTTTTTCTGAAAATATGATCTTTTTTGACAGGCTCCAAAATATGTTTATTTCTTTAAAAATTATAAAAACATAAATTGGGCCGGGCGCAGTGGTTCACACCTGTAATTCCAGCACTTTGGGAGGCCAAGGTAGGTGGATCACGAGCTCAGGAGTTCAAGACCAGCCTGGCCAACATAGCGAAACCCCGTCTCTACTAAAAATACAAAAATTAGCCAAGTGTGGTGGCACGCGCCTGTAGTCCCAGCTACTCGGGAGGCTGAGGCAGGAGAATTGCTTGAACCCAGGAGGTGGAGGTTGCAGTGAGCCGAGACTGTGCCATTGCACTCCAGACTGGGTGACAGAGCCAGACGCCATCTCAAAAACAAAAACAAAAACAAAAACAAAACAAACAAACAAAAACATACATTGTATAAAAATTCTAAAGCTGATAAATAGAAGGTGAACATTAAATCACATATAAAATTATTCCCCACCCACATACATACATATACATATGTATACATAATATATATGATATATAACTATCTCTATCTACCTATCATCTATATACTGCTGTGTTGTATCTATCTTTACAGAAAGCATGCATATATGTGTAAATTTATATGTATTCCTTCATCTCTATATAATTGGAGGCCATAATACATTCTGTTTTGGCTCTGTGGTAGTTACAATCCTAGGATAACCCTCAAGATTTTTGCCACTGGTACCTTCGCCTCTCAGATATTCAGTAAAATACTCATTTAGTTACTGCTGTGAAGGGGTTTTATAGATGTAAGTAAGGTCCCAAATCAGTTGATCTTAAGGTAGGGAATTTGTCCTAATCATATCCCTTTAAATCTGAATCTAGAAGTCAGAGATGGGAGAAGTCAGAGATTCAAAACATGGCTGGAAGATTGAAGGGCTCCTTCCAGGAGCTGAGAGTGTCCCCAGCAAAACAGGGGGACTCAGTGCTGCAGTCACAAAAAATGAGTTCTGCTACTAACAAGAATGAGTTTGGAAATATACTAAGTAGTTCCTTAGAGCCTCCAGCCAACACTCTGATATCAGGCTAATCCAGTGACACTTTGCCAGATTTCTGACCTACAAAATCCTGAGCCAATAAATGGGCATTGTTTTAAGCTGTTAAATTTGTGATAGTTGTTACACAGTAATAGAAAACTAATATAGTATGTTGTTTTTAATGCAATAATATAGCATTTCTAGTTTTCCACTTTATACCTCTGCTACGTTATTGTTAAGTTTCATATCATCCTCTGTAAGTCTCAATAAAATTTCTTTTTATAAACAATTTCTATAAACGAAATTACTTGAGTAGAGATGTATCCATAAAAATTTTAAGGTTTTCTATTCAAATTGCCACAATTGCTTAAAAAATGTACTTACATTAATATCTATATCAGAAGAATTTAAACATGCTCATTTTTCTTTTCTATTTGTCAATAGCACAAATTACAATTTTTTTGCTCAGCTGAAAAATGATATTTCATTTTCTTGGCTTATATTTGTTTGATGACTAAAAGTATATTACATACATCTATTAATTATTTATATTTCTTATTTTGTGTCTTACTGATTCATTTTATCGGTTTTTTTATTCTTATTAAATGAATAAAAACTATTTAGAAGTAATATTTACTTTTTCACTGTAACATATGTTGGCAATATTTTCTGTCAGTGTGTCATTTGCCTTTGACATTTATTCTTCTTAAAAAAATTTTAACTATAAGAACATTTTAAACAACTTGTAGTGAAAAAATATTTATCAGTCTTTCCTATACAATTTTTGCTTTTGGAGCCCTTTTAATTCCTAATTATTAAACAAAAATTTATACTGAATTTATAACAAAATACTTACAAAAATTGTACCTTACATTATGCTTACATTTTTTACATGTTAAAAATTTCTTGATATAAGCATGTTTCCGTAATACATTTTAAAAAATTAAGGATAACTTTTTAGAGCAGTTTCTGGTCCATAGCTTAATTGAAAGGAAGGTACAGAGATTTTTCATATACCTCCTGCCCCAACAGATGCATAGCCTCCCCCATTATCAACATCCCCCATCAGAGTGGTACATTTCTTTCAACTGATAAACTTACACTGACACTTCATTATCACCCAGTCCATAGTTTACATTAAGATTCACCCTTGGTGCTGAACATTCTATGGGTTTGGACAAACATATAATGACATGCATCTACCATTCTAGTATCTTACAGAATAGTTTCACTTTTCTAAAAATCCTCTGTGCTCCACCTATTTAGAAACTTCTCCTTAAGTCTTGACAATCATTGTTATTTTTATTCTCTTTGTAATTTTGCCTTTTCCAGAATGTCAAATAGTAGAAATCATCCAGTAGGTAGCCTTTTCAGATTGGTTTCTGTATTAGTCCATTCTCATGCTGCTATAATGAACTGCCCAAGACTGGGTAATTTATAAAGGAAAGAAGTTTAATTGATCCATTCAAGTCTTCTTCCACATGGCTGAGGAGGCCTCAGGAAACTTAGAATCATGGCGCAAGGGGAAGCAAACCTGTCCTTCTTCACAGGATGGCAGGAAGGGGAAGTGCTGAGCAAAGAGGGAAATGCCCCTTATAAAATCAACAGATCAGATCTTCTGAGAACTCACTCACTTTCACAAGAACAGCAGCATGGGGGTAACTGCATCCATTATTAAATTACCTCCCACCAGGTCCCTTCCATGACACGTGGTAATTATGGGAGCTACAATTCAAGATGAGATTTGGGTGGGGACAGAGCCAAACCGTATCAGTTTCTTTCACTTAATAATATGCATTAAAGGTTCCTCTATGTCTTTTTATATAATAACTTGATAGCTAATTGTTTTTAGTGCTGAATATTATTTCATTGTCTGGATATACTACTATTTATCTCTTCATGTACTGAAAAACATCTTGGTAATTATCAATAAAGCTGCTATAAATATCCATTATAGGTTTTTGTGTGAATATAAATACTCAACCATGTGGGTTTCTACCAAAGGGCATGATTGCTGCATTGTATAGTAAGAGTATGTTAATTTTATTAGAAACTGCCAAACTATTTTCCTAAGTGGCTATCAGATTTTTGCATTCCCACTAGCTTTATATTTATGGTTGGTTTCTTCTAGAAAACATGTTGCAGAGTCTTGTTTTTTGATGAACTCTATTAATCTCTGCTTTTTAGTTGGTGTTTTTAGACCATCAAAGTTCAAAGTACACACTGATGTAGTTGGATTAATATCTACTGTATTTGTTACTGTGTTCTATTTGATGCCCTTGTTTTTACCTATTTCTGTTTTTCAATCTTTTTTTTCCTTTGTGGTTTTAACTGATCATTTTATATTGTTCTGTTTTCTCTCTTTTCTTAGCATATCAGTTATATATATATATAGTTTATATATATGTTTTACTTATATATATAAGTACTTATATATGTTTTACATATATATGTTTATATATATAAGTATATACACACATATATAAGTACTTATATATAAGTACATATATACATATATACACTTATATATAGTATATATAATATATATAAGTATTTATATAGTGTATACATATTATATATATACTATACATACTTTATAGTATATATACTTATATATAAGTAAAACATATATAACATATAAGTAAAACATATATAACATATAAGTAAAACATATATATAAGTAAACATATATAAGTAAACATATATATAAGTAAACATATATATAAGTAAAACATATATATAAACTATATACATGTAAAACATATACATATTTACATATATATATATATATATATATATATATATATATATACACACACACACACACAGTTTACTTACTTTAGTGGTTGCCCTAGAGTTTGTAATATACATTTACAACTAATCCAAGTCTACTTTCAAATATCACTGAACTGCTTCACAGGTAGTGTGAGGTCCTTGTAATAACAAAACAATCCTAATTCCTCCCTCTGGCTCTTTGTATTATTGCTGTCATTCATTTCATAAGCATACATAAGGATACCCATATACATATAATATATACTTAAGCATACACAATCGAATACGTAGTTGCTATTATTTTTAACAAACTGTTTTCTGTTAGATCAATTAAGAACAAGAAAATTTTTTTTACCTTCATTTATTTTTTCTTTAATGCTCTTTATTTTTTTATATAGATCCGAGTTCTTTCCCTACAGTATTTTCTTCTTCTCTAAATAAATTCTTTTAACATTTTTCACAAGGTGGGTCTGCTAGCAACAAACTTCCTCTATTTTTGTTTGTTTGAGGAAGTCTTTATTTTCCCTTTACTTCTGGAAGATAATTTCATAGGGTACAGAATTCCCATCACTTTTTATTTCTCTGAATACTTTATAAATATTTTACTCCACTCTCTCCTTGCTAGCATGGTTTCTGAAGAAAAGTTGTACATAATTCTTATCTTTGCTCCTCTCTAAGTAAGTTTCTCCCCCCATCCCACCCTCCAGGCTGTTTAAGGATTTTTTCTTTAATTTTCTGTAGTTGGAATATGATATTCCTAGGTGTAACATTTTTGGCTTTCTGTCATTTATTCTGCTTGGTATTCTTTATGCTTCCTAGATCTGTGGTTTGGTGTCTGACATTAATTTGGGAAAATTCTCAGTCATGGTTGTTTCAAGTTATTTCTTCTGTGTCTTTGTCTCTTCTTTATTCATCCCCATTATGCTTATGTTACAACTTTTGTAGTTGTTCCAGTCACAGTTCTTGGTTGTTGTGTTTTTTTTCTTCTTTTTTTTTTTTTTTCCAGTCTTTGTTTTCTTTGTTTTCCAGTTTGAGAGGTTTCTATTGATACATCCTCAAGCTCAGAGATCCTCAGCCATATTCAGTCTACTGATAAGGATTCTTCATTTTTGCTACAGTGTTTTTTATTTCTAGCAAGGTTTTTTTTGGTGGGGGTTCTTCCTTAGGATTATCCTCTTTCTGCTTGCATTGCCCAACTGTTATTTGCATGCTATCTGCTTTATCATTTAGATCCCTTGGCATAGTTGTTTTAAATTCCTGGTCTGATAATTTCAGCATCTCTGCCATGTCTGGTTTTGCTACTTATTCTGCCACTTCATACTGTAGGTTTTGTTTTTGTTTTTGTTTTTGCCATTTAGTGTGCCTTGTAAATTTTTTTTTTTTTTTGGTAGCAAGACATAATGTTAATGGGTCTTTAGTAATGTAATAGTAGGTTGTAGCCTGAGGTGAAGCATTCTATAGACCTATAACTAGGGCTCAGTCTTTAGTGAGTCTATGCCTCTGGACTGTGAACTTCACAAGTGCTTCTCACCACTTCCCTTCACCCTGAGGTGAGACAGGATGGCTAGATTGGACTGAAGTGTGTATTTCCCTTCCCTCAGGTGTGCCATGCTCTGATAAAACCCCAGGAGGTTAGGCTCTGGTAAAATAGGTTCTTCTGGGGGCAGGCATTATTAAGAAGAATAGAATTCCTCAATATTTTAATGTTCTGTAATACAGATGAAAGTAGATGTTTGTCCAAGAATTAAAATAACTATTACAGTGTTTGGAAGAAGAGTTTTTTTTTTTTAAGAAGCTGATGAGGGGGTGGAGCCAAGATGGCCGAATAGGAACAGCTCCAGTCTACAGCTCCCAGTGTGAGCGATGCAGAAGATGGGTGATTTCCGCATTTCCAACTGAGGTACCGGGTTCATCTCACTGGGGAGTGTCGGAAAGTGGGTGCAGTGCACTGAGCATGAGCCGAAGCAGGGTGAGGCATTGCCTCACCCAGGAAGCACAGGGGTCAGGGAATTCCCTTTCCTAGTCAAAGAAAGGGGTGACAGACGGCACCTGGAAAATCGGGTCACTCCCACCCTAATACTGCGCTTTTCCAACGGTCTTAGCAAACAGCACACGAGGAGATTATATCCCGCACTTGGCTTAGAGGGTCCTACGCCCATGGAGCCGTGCTTTATTGCTAGCACAGCAGTCTGAGATCAAACTGCAAGGTGGCAGCGAGGCTGGAGGAGGGGCGCCCGCCATTGCCGAGGCTTGAGTAGGTAAACTAAGTGGCGGGAAGCTCGAACTGGGTGGAGCCCACCTCAGCTCAAGGAGGCCTGCCTGCCTCTGTAGACTCCACCTCTGGGGGCAGGGCATAGCCAAACAAAAAGCAGCAGAATCCTCTGCAGACTTAAATGTCCCTGTCTGACAGCTTTGAAGAGAGTAGCGGTTCTCCCAGCACACAGCTGGAGATCTGCAAATGGACAGAGTGCCTCCTCAAGTGGGTCCCTGACCCCCAAGTAGCCTAACTGGGAGGCACCCTCCAGTAGGGGCAGACTGACACCTCACACGGCCAGGTCCTCCTCTGAGACAAAACTTCCAGAGGAACAACCAGGCAGCAACATTTGCTGTTCACCAATATCCGCTGTTCTGCAGCCTCTGCTGCTGACACCCAGGAAAACGGTCTGGAGTGGACCTCCAGCAAACTCCAACAGACCTGCAGCTGAGGGTCCTGACTATTAGAAGGAAAACTAACAAACAGAAAGGACATCCACACCAAAACCCCATCTGTACGTCACTATCATCAAAGACCAAAGGTAGATAAAACCACAAAGATGGGGAAAAAACAGAGCAGAAAAAGTGGAAACTCTAGAAATTAGAGTGCCTCTCCTCCTCCAAAGGAATGCAACTCCTCACCAGCAACGGAACAAAGCTGGACGGAGAATGACTTTGACGAGTTGAGAGAAGAAGGCTTCAGATGATCAAACTACTCCGAGCTAAAGGAGGAAGTTCGAACCCATGGCAAATAAGTTAAAAACCTTGAAAAAAAATTAGATGAATGGCTAACTAGAATAACCAATGCAGAGAAGTCCTTAAAGGACCTGATGGAGCTGAAAACCAAGGCATGAGAACTACATGACGAATGCACAAGCCTCAGTAGCCGATTCGATCAACTGGAAGAAAGGGTATCAGTGATGGAAGATCAAATGAATGAAATGAAGCGAGAAGAGAAGTTTAGAGAAAAAAGAATAAAAAGAAACGAGCAAAGCCTCCAAGAAATATGGGACTATGTGAAAAGACCAAATCTACGTCTGATTGGTGTACCTGAAAGTGACGGGGTGAATGGAACCAAGTTGGAAAACACTCTGCAGGATATTATACAGGAGAACTTTCCCAATCTAGCAAGGCAGGCCAACTTTCAAATTCAGGAAATACAGAGAATGCCACAAAGATACTCCTCGAGAAGAGCAACTCAGTTTTGAAAAGATGTCAGTACTGTTTAAATTGGTTCTTAGGTTCAGCAAAATCTCTATAAAAATATTAGAAAGCTTTCTTTTTGAAGTTAACAGGATGATTCTAAAATTTATATGGAAATGAAAAGCAGAAATGAAATCATCAAGAAGATAAAGAAAGGGGGAGGACATGCACGGGCGGGCATTTTTTAAACTTATAAAACTACAATGACGAGGAAAGCGTGACACAGCACTGACTATACTAATAAATCAATGAAATAGAAGTAAATCTGTATTTACACTCTCTCTTATTTAGAATAAAGCTGGCACCATAACACAGGGAGGGGACAGATGGTCTGTTTAATAAATGGTGCAATGTCAATTGGATATACATGTGACAAAAGCAAAATCTTGATTCCTCTGTCATTTCATAAACGAAGTCAGTTTTGGATGGATTACAATCTAAACCTGAAAGGTAAAACAATAGAGATTTTAGAAAAAAAAAAAAAGATACCTGACCTTTGAATGTGGAAAGATTTTTTAAAATCAGAAACAAGCAGCATTAATCATAAAGAAAAAGTGGACAAATTGGACTGTATTAAGATACAAACTTTTGTTAATCAAGATACTTTTAAAGAGTGAAACAACATACCACATTGTGGAAGAAAATATTGGAAATACATATAGTTGATAACTCATAAAAATATAAAGAATTCCTGTAAATCAATAACAAAAAGATAAAAAAATTTCCATTCTGTAGGTTGTCTGTTTACTCTGATTATTTCTTTTTCTGTGCAGAAGCTTTTTAGTTTAATTAGGTTCCATTTATTTATTTTTGCTTTTGTTGCATTTGCTTTGCAGTCTTAGTCATGAAATCTTTGCTTATGCAAATACTGAGAATAATTTCTAAGGTTATCTTCTAGAATTTTTGTGGTTTCAGATCTTAGATTTCAGTCTTTGATCCATCTTGAGTTGATTTTTGTATAAGGTGAGATATAGGGATTCAGTTTCATTTTTCTACATGTGGCTTGCTGGTTTTCCCAGCATCATTTATTAAATAGAGTGTCCTTTCCCAGTTTATGTTTTTGTATACTTTGTCAAAGATCAGTTGGCTGTATTTGGCTTTATTTCTGAGTTCTCTATTCTCTTCTGTTGGTCTATGTGCCTACTTTTATGCCAGTACCATGCTGTTTTGGTAACTATAGCCTTGTACTATAATTTGAATTCTGGTAATGTGATGCCTCCATATTTGTTCTTTGTGCTTAGGATTGGTTTGGCAATTTGGGCTCTTTTTTGGTTCCATATGAATTTTAAAATTGTTTTTTCTAATTCTGTAAAAAATGATGTTTGTATTTTGATTGGAATTGTTTTGAATCTATAGATTGGTTTGGGATATTTCCTTTTTCATGTATTCCTGGATGTATGTTCATTTTCACAACATTGATTCTTCTAATCCATGAGCATGGGATGTATTTCCATTTGTTTGTGTCATCTATAATATCTTTTGGTAGCGTTTTGTAGTTATCCTAGTAGAGAACTTTTACCTCCTTGGTTAAATATATTTGCAAACTGTGCATTCAACAAAGGACTAGTATCCAGAATCTACAAGGAACTCAACAAACTTAGCCAGAAAAAAACAAATAACTTCTTCAAAAAGTGGGCAAAGGGCATGAATAGACATTTCACAAAAGAAGATATACAAATGGCCAAGAAACATTAAAAAATCATCAAAACATCACTAATCATCAGGGAAATGCAAATTAAAACCACAATGAGATACATCATCTTACTCCTACAAGAATGGCCATTATTAAAAAGTCAAAAAATAATAGATGTTGGCATGGATGTAGTGACAAAGAAACACTTATACACTGCTAGTTGGAATGTAAATTAGTACCACCTGTGTGGGAAACAGTATGGAGATTGTTTTAGGAACTAAAAGAAGACCTACCATTTGATCCAGAAATCTCATTACTAGGTATCTACCCAAAGGAAAAGAAGTTATTATATGAAAAAGATACATGGACATATATGTTTATAGCAGTACAATTCATGATTGCAAAGATATGGAACAAACCTAATTGCCCATTGACCCATGAGTGGATAAAGAAAATGTGGCATATATGCACCATGCAATATTACTCAGTCATAAAAAGAAACAAAATTAAAGAAAACCAAAAACTGTACATTCTCACTTATAAGTGGGATGGCTGAATAGGAACAGCTCTGGTCTGCAACTCCCAGTGAGATCAACACAGAAGGTGGGTGATTTCTGTATTTCCAACTGAGGTACCTGGCTCGTCTCACTGGGATTGGTTAGACAGTGGGTGCAGCCCACAGAGGGCAAGCAGAAGCAAGGTGGGACATCACATCACCAGGAAGTGCAACGGGTTGGGGAACTCCCTCCCCTAGCCAAAGGAAGCTGTGAGGGACTGTGCTGTAAGGGATGGTGCATTCCAGCCCAGATACTAAGCTTTTCCCATGGTCTTTGCAACCCACAGACCAGGAGATTCCCTCGGGTGCATACACCACCAGGGCTCTGGGTTTCAAGCAAAAAACTGGACAGCCATTTGGGCAGACACCAAGATAGCTGCAGTTTTTTTTTCATACCCCCATGGCGCCTGGAACGCCAGTGAGACAGAGCTATTCACTCCTGTGGAAAGGGGGGCTGAAGCCAGGGAGCCAAGTGGTCTAGCTCAGTGGATCCCACCCCCATGAAGCCCAGCAAGCTAAGATCCACTGGCTTGAAATTCTTGCTGCCAGCACGGAAGTGTGAAGTCCACCTGGGATGCTTCAGCTTAGCTGGGGGAGGGGTGTCCACCATTACTGAGGCTTGAGTAGGTGGTATTCCCCTCACAGTGTAAACAAAGCTGCCAGGAAGTTTGAACTGGGCGGAGCCCACCACAGCTCGGCAAAGCTGCTGTAGCCAGACTGCCTCTCTAGATTCCTCATCTCTGGACAGGGCATCTCTGAAAGAAAGGCAGCAGCCCCAGTCAGGGGCTTATAGATAAAATTCCTATCTCCCTGGGATAGAGCACCTGGGGCAGGGGGTGGCTGTGGGCACGCTTCAGCAGACTTAAACGTTCCTGCCTGCTGGCTCTGAAGAGAGCAGTGGATCTCACATCACAGCGCTTGAGCTCTGCTAAGGGACAGATCTCCTCCTCAAGTGGCTCCCTGACTGCCGTGCCTCCTGATTGGGAGACACCTCCTGGCCGGGGTCGACAGACACCTCATAGAGGAGAGCTCTGGCTGGCATATGGCAGGTGCCACTCTGGGACAAAGCTTCCAGAGGAAAGAACAGGCAGCAGTCTTTGCTGTTCTGTAGCCTCTGCTGGTGATACCCAGGCCAACAGGGTCTGTAGTGGGCCCCCAGCACACTCCAGCAGACCTGCAGGAGAGGGGCCTGACTGTTAGAAGGAAGACTAACACACAGAAGGAACAGCATCAACATCAACAAAAAGGACATCCACACAAAAACCCCATCTGAAGGTCACCAACATCAAAGACCAAAGGTAGATAAATCCATGAAGATGAGGAAAAACCAGCACAAAAAGGCTGAAAATTCCAAAAACCAGAATGTCTCTTCTCCTCCAAAGGATCACAACTCCTCACCAACAAGGGAACAAAACTGGATGGAGAATGAGTTTGACGATTTGACAGAAGTAGACTTCGGAAGGTGGGTGATAACAAACTCCTCTGAGCTAAAGGAGCATGTTCTAACCAAATACAAGGAAGCTAAGAACCTTGAAAAAAGGTTAGAGAAATTTCTAACTAGAATAACCAGTGTAGAGAAGAACAAATGACCTGATGGAGCTGAAAAACACAGCACAAGAACTTCGTGAAGAATACACAAGTATCAGTAGCCAAATTGATGAAGTAGAAGAAAGGATATCAGAGATTGAAGATCAACTTAATGAAATAAAGCATGAAGACAAAATTAGAGAAAAAAGAATGAAAAGGAACAATCAAAGCCTCCAAGAAATATGGGACTAGGTGAAAAGACCAAACCTACGTTTGACTGGTGTACCTGAAAGTGACAGGGAGAATAGAATCAATTGGAAAACACTCTTCAGGATATTATCCAGGAGAACTCCCCCAACCTAGCAAGACAGGCCAACATTCAAATTCAGAAAATACATAGAATACCACAAAGATACTCCTTGAGAAGAGTAACCCCAAGACACATAATCATCAGATTCACCAAGGCTGAAATGAAGGAAAAAAATGTTAAGGGCAGCCAGAGAGAAAGGTCAGATTACCCACAAAGGGAAGCCCATCAGACTAACAGCAGATCTGTCTGCAAAACCCTACAAGCCAGAAGAGAGTGGGGGCTGATATTCAACACTCTTAAATAAAAGATTTTTCAAGCTTGATAAGTGAAGGAGAAATAAAATCATTTACAAACGAGCAAGTGCTGAGAGATTTTTGTCACCACCAGGCCTGCCTTACAAGAGCTCCTGAAGGAAGCACTAAATATCCACTGTACAAACATACCAAATTGTAAAGACCATCAACGCTATGAAGAAACTGCATCAACTAACGGGCAAAATAACCAGCTAGAATCATAATGACAGGATCAAATTCACACATAACAAAATTAACCTTAAATGTAAATGGGCTAAATGCCCCAATTAAAAGACACAGACTAGTAACTGGATAAAGAGTCAAGACCCATCAGTTTGCTGTATTCAGGAGACCCATTCTCACTTGCAAAGACACATATAGGCTCAAAATAAAGGGATGGAGGAATATTTTCCAAGTAAATGGAAATACAAAACAAAACAAAAAAGCAGGGGTTGCAATGATAGTCTCTGATAAAACAGACTTTAAACCAACAAAGATCAAAAAAGACAGAAAGGGCATTACATAATGGCAAAGTGATCAATGCCACAAGAAGAGCTAACTCTCCTAAATATATATGCAACCAATACAGGAGCACTCAGATTCATAAAGCAAGTTCTTAGAGACCTACAAAGAGACTTAGACTCCCACACAATAATAGTGGGAGACTTTAACACCCCACTGTCAATATTAGACAGATCAACGAAACAGAAAATTAACAAGGATATTCAGGACTTGAACTCAGCTCTGGACCAAGCAGACCTACTAGATATCTACAGAACTCTCCACCAAAAATCAACAGAATATACATTATTCTCAGCACTACATCACACTTAATCTAAAATTGACCACATAATTGGAAGTAACACACTCTTCAACAAATTCAAAAGAATAGAAATCATAACAGTCTCTCAGACCACAGTGCAATCAAATAAGAACTCAGGATTAAGAAACTCACTCAAAACTGCACAACTATATGGAAACTGAAAAATCTGCTCCTGAATGAATACTGGGTAAATAATGAAATTAAGGCAGAAATAAATAAGTTATTTGAAACCAATGAGAACAAATACACAATGTACCAGTATCTCTGGGACATAGCTGAAGTAGTGTTTGGAGGGAAATTTATAGCATTAAATACCCACAGGAGAAAGCGGGAAAGATGTAAACTTGACACCCTAACATCACAATTAAAAGAAGTAGAGAAGCAACAGCAAACAAATTCAGCAGCTAGGAGAAGACAAGAAATGACTAAGATCAGAGCAGAACTGAAGGAGATAGAGACATGAAAAACCCTTCAAAAAATTAATGAATCCAGGAGCTGATTTTTTTTAAAGATAAACAAAATACATAGAACACTATCCATACTAATAAAGAAGAGAGAAGAATCAAATAGACACAATAAAAAATGACAAAGGGGATATCACCACTGATCCCAAAGAAACACAAACTACCATCAGAAAATACTATAAACACCTCTACGCAAATAAACTGGAAAATATAAAAGAAATTGATATATTCCGGGACAAATAAACCTTCTCAGGACTAAACCAGGAAGAATTCGAATCCATGAATATACCAATAACAACTTCTAAAATTGAGGCAGTAATTAATAGCCTACCAACCAACAAAAGTCCAGGACCAGACAGATTCACAGCCGAATTCTACCAGAGGTACAAAGGGGAGCTGGTATCATTCCTTCTGAAATTATTCCAAACAATAGAAAAAGAGGGAATCCTCCCTAACTCATTTTATGAGGTCAGCATCAACCTGATATCAAAACTTCGCAGAGACACAACAAACAAAGACAAGTTCAGGCCAATATCCTGATGAACATCATGAAAATCCTCAACAAAATACTGGCAAACTGAATCCAGCAGCATAACAAAAAGCTTGTCCACCACAATTAAGTTGGCTTCATCCCTGTGATGCAAGGCTGGTTCAACATATGCAAATCAATAAACATAATCCATCACATAAACAGAACCAATGACAAAAACCACATGATTATTTCAATAGATGCAGAAAAGGCCTTTGATAAAATTCAACACCTCTTCATGCTAAAAACTCTCAATAAACTAGGTATTGATGGAACATATCTCAAAATAAGAAGAGCTATTTATGACAAACCCACAGCCAATATCATACTGAATGGGTAAAAGCTGGAAGCATTCCCTTTGAAAACCGGCACAAGACAAGGATGCCCTCTCTCACCACTCCTATTCAACATAATATTGGAAGTTCTGGCCAGGGCAATCAGGCAAGAGAAAGGAATAAAGGGTATTCAAATAGAAAGAGAGGAAGCCAAATTGTCTCTGTTTGCAGAGGACATGATTGTATATTTAGAAAACCCCATCATCTCAGCCCAAAATCTCCTTAAGCTGATAAGCAACTTCAGCAAAGTCTCATTATACAAAATCAATGTGCAAAAATCACAAGCATTCCTATGCACCAATAATAGACAGAGAGCCAAATCATGAGTGAACTCCCATTCACAATTGCTACAAGGAGAATAAAATACCTAGGAATATAACTTACAGGGGATGTGAAGGGCCTCTTCAAGGAGAACTACAAACCACTGCTCAAGGAAATAAAAGAGGACACAAACAAATGGAAAAAGACTCCATGCTCTTGGATAGGAAGAATCAATATCATGAAAATGGCCAGACTGCCCAAAGTAATTTATAGATTCAATGCTATCCCCATCAAATTACCATTGACCTTCTTCACAGAATTAGAAATAACTACTTTAAATTTCATATGGCACCAAAAAAGAGCCTGTATAGCCAAAACAATCCTAAGCAAAAAGAACAAAGCTGGAAGCATCACACCACCTGACTTCAAACTATACTACAAGGCTACAGTAACCAAAACAGCATGGTACTGGTACCAAAACAGATATATTGACCAATGGAACAAAACAGAGGCCTCAGAAATAATGCCACACATCTACAACCATCTGATCTTTGACAAACCTGACACGAACAAGCAATGGGGAAATGATTCTGTATTTAATAAATGGTGTTGGGAAAACTGGCTAGCCATATGCAGAAATCTGAAACTGGACCCCTTCCTTACACCTTATACAAAAATTAACTCAAGGTGGATTAAGACATAAACGTAAGACCTAAAACTATAAAAACCCTAGAAGAAAACCTAAGCAATACTATTCAGGACATGGGCATGAGCAAAGTCTTCATGACTAAAACACCAAAAGCACTGGCAACAAAAGCCAAAATTGACAAATGGGATCTAATTAAACTAAAGAGCTTCTGCCCAGCAAAATAAACTATCGTCAGAGTGAACAGGCAACCTCCAGAATGGGAGAAAATTTTTGCAATCTATCTATCTGACAAAGGGATAATATCCAGAATCTACAAGCAACTTAAACAAATTTACAAGAAAAAAATCAAACAACTCCATCAAAAAGTGGGCAAAGGATATGAACAGACATTTCTCAAAAGAAGACATTTACGCAGCCAACAAACATATGAAAGAAAGCTCATCATCACTGGTCATTAGAGAAATGCAAATCAAAACCACAATGAGATACCACCTCACACCAGTTAGAATGGCGATCATTAAAAAGTCAGGAAACAACAGATGCTACAGAGGATTTAAAGAAATAGGAATGCCTTTACACTGTTGTTGGGAGTGTAAATTAGTTCAACCATTGTGGAAGACAGTGTGGCGATTCCTTAAGGATCTATAACCTGAAATACCATTTAACCCAGCAATCCCATTACTGGATATATACACATAGAATTATAAATCATTCTACTATAAAGACACATGCATACGTATGTTTACTGCAGCACTGTTCACAACAGCAAAGACTTGGAACCAACCCAAATATCCATCAGTGATAGACTGGATAAAGAAAATGTAGCACATATACACCATGGAATACTATGCAGCCATAATAAAGGATGAGCTCATGTCCTTTTCAGGGACATGGATGAACCTGGAAACCATCATTCTCAGCAAACTAACACAGGAATAGAAAACCAAACACCACCTGTTCTCACTCATAAGTGGGAGTCGAACAATGAGAACACAGGGACACAGGGAGGGGAACATCACACACCAGGGCCTGCTGGGTGGTGGGGGGCTAGGGAAGGGATAGCATTAGGAGAAATACCTAATGTAGATGATGGGTTGATGGGTGCAGCAAACCATCATGGCATGTATATAGCTATATAACAAACCTGCACATTCTGTACATGTATCCCAGAACTTAAACTATTTTAAAAAAATACGTATTGGGTATAATGTACACTACCAGGTGACGAGTTCATTAAAATAGCAGAATTCACCACCACATAATTCATCCATGTAACCAAAAACCTCTTGTACCCCGAAAGCTATTAAAATTAAAAGAAAAAGAAAAATTAAAAGAAAAAGAAAGAGAAGTGTTTGTTGTGATCAGCCATTAAAAAAAAGAGAGATAAAAAATGCATTCAATTTTGGATTTTGCTTGTTCAAATCCAAAACACTAGAGTTGGCATTATGTAAAGAGGTTTTCTAAATAACCAATAAACAAGAAAATATGCTCAAAATAATTTGTCATCATGGAAATGTACATTAAAACCACAAGTATTGTACATTTATCTGAAAATGTTTTTTCAGTTTTTTATAACTTCCCTATTGCTATTGATCCAATACTCAGAACTGTGGCTTCTAGAATTAACTGCAATGCATTCTAAGGAAATTTTATAAAACTTCAGTGTTGGTTTACATATTATACTTTTCCAGATTCAAAGCACTACATTGTGAGGTGTTGCAAGAAAAGATCTAATTAGGAGCTGTGGGTGATAAATGTCTGGGTTAATTGTGGCTTATTGCCTATTGTCTACTTTTGAATGACAAGTTATATAGTTGCAGTAGCTGTAAAATTTCTTTCCACTTTTAATTTGTAAATTCTTAATTTTGTGGGGCATTCAATTGTTAGCTTTGATTTACTGTATTCTATTGTTTTGAATGAATCAAACATAGTACTCCATAAAACAAAACAGAACACCACCACCACCACAATTAGATACATCTATAAATGTACCAGAATGAATAAAATTAAAAAGACAGAAAAATATGAGTAATCGCTGGTCAGCATATGGAGAAAATGAAAACTATCAGATGTTGCTAAATGAACTCTACACTGCTGCAGCCAAGATATGGAAACAACACAAGTGTGCCCATCAATGCATGAATAGATAAAGAAAATGCGGCACATATACACAATGGAATACTACTCAGCATTTAAAAGGAAGAAAATTTTGTCATTTATAACAACATGTATGAATCTCGAGAACATTATGCTAAATGAAATAAGTCAGGCCCAGAAAGACAATTACTGCTTGATTTCACTTATATGTGGAATCAAAAAGACTGGAACTCCTAGAAGTAGAGAATAGAATGGTGGTGACCAGAGACTAGAGTATGGGTTGTGGGGGAAGAAAACTGTGGGGAGAAGGACATTAAAGGGGAGATGTTAGTCAAAGCATAGGAAGTTTCATCTGGACTGGGGGAATAAGTTCTAGTGATTTATTTGCACAGCATGATGACTATAGTTAAAAATAATGTAGTACATATTTCTAAGTTGCTAAGAGAGTTGATTTAAAATGTTCTCACTAGAAAGAAAGTGTAAGTAGGTGAGGTGATGGATATGTTAATTATCCTGACTTAATCATTCTACAATGTATACATGCATCATAACATCACATTTTATCCCATAAAATATTTGCAATTATTAAAGTAAATAAATAGATAAATAGATAAAACTGTTGCAGCCACTTAGAAATCTATTTGATAGTGTTTATAAAACCAAGCATACAACAAACTCTGTTACTCCAGCAATTTTCATCCTGGGTGTGTAACTGAAGAGCATTATTTCCTTATAGCCAAAAGCTGAAAACAATTCACAAATTCATCAACAATAGAGTGAATTGTGGTATATGCATATGATGAAATGTTATACAGCATATGAATTTCACATAGCTAATGTTGAGTGAAAAAAGCCAGAGACAAAATAATACTTATATAAATCTATTTGTATAAAGTTAAAAAATGTCAAATTAATTAATGGTGTTAGAATTCAGGATGACAATTACCCTTTCCAAGGTAGTAATGACTGGGAGCAAGCCTGAGGGGTTTTCTTGCAAACTAGTAATATTACAATTCTTGACTTAAATTCTGTGTTTTCAAGTGCACTCACCTAGTAAAAAAAATTACTGAGATAAATGCAATTTGCATTTCTTTCTGTATGTCTATTCTTCTTCAATTAAAAAATATTTTTTAAAAATCATGTCTCAAGTAAATTAGTACCTAAAAGAAAGTATCATCATAATATGCTACTTGCCTTGGGTGTGTAATGTTTACACAGGCATAACAAAAGGAATTTTCGATATTTATTTAACCAAAAATTTTAAATGTCCTGATAGTATGGCAAGGTGGGGAAGTATATTGTGTGTGTGTGGGGGGGGGGGGGCGTAATTTAGCACAGTGGTCTTCACATTGGGATATTCACATCTTGTTGTATACAAACTCTTAACAACCTTTATGTGACACCCTAGGGACACTCCCAGTAATAACTGGGTGAGATTTTAAGGCAAGTGGATGTCCAATGTTATGTACCTGGAAGAATGTCTCATTAAAATACTTGATTTAGGCTGAGAAAAACCCTCAGTTGTATTAAATTATATATCAATCAAGTTGAAACTTTTGTTTTTACATTACTAACCAAATTTAGCAGGGAACTTCAGCATACTGTATAGGTTTTACACTTATTTATAAAGTGACAGAGCATAAGAATAGAAGAAAACATGGGTAATTGGAAAATAGTATTGGTTTACCAGCATTCATCTCTAGTGGTAGTTCTGTCAGAGGTGAATATACCTTATCTGTCAAATGAATACTTTCCAATTATATGATCTGTGAGTCTCTTCCAAGGCTAATGTGCTCTGATTGATTGATATACACAGAGAACTTTGACTGTGGGTCCCTTCCAAGGCTAATGTGCTATGACTGATATATACAGAGAACTTTGACAGAGCAGTACGTTTTAACAGAGGCTTCTATTTAAGTGTTCACTCTGTGGGAGATAATGCCAAAATAATTAATACTCATTTAACTGATTATAATGTGATAATTATATAGGAAAAAACTCTTTAGCTGACATATGATATTACTTTAAGATAAATAAACTGATGTATAAGACTAATTTGATTGATAGTTTTAAAGATAAAGTAAAGAAAATAGAGCTGTTCTATATATTTAGATGCAATCTGTTTCAGGTTACATAAACTTAAAATAGAATACCATTAGGTGAAATTCCAACTGTGCATGCATACTTACTTGTAAACATTCAGAAGGGACAAAAGGAATGGGGGAATCATACAGGAAATTTGGTATTGTCCATGATATTTGTTTACTCTTGCTTTATTTCAAAAATGGTTTGAGGTCTTTATTAGGAAAGATGAACATAGTAAATGAACTAAATGTGAATTGGGGAAAGGTTAACATGTTTTATTTATACATATGTATTTTTACCAAGTATTTAGGATATATTTAAATGATTAAGAATTATTTTAATAAATACTAGATTGACAGTTATAAGAAGGTCTTAGCACTTGAGGGAAATAAATATAAGCCAGTGTATTTGGGAACATATATTTATACTTTGGAATGCAAACAATAGTCTATTAAAATTCTCATTTATATACTCAAGCAGGTTTCTGGGCTGGATAGATTTTTTAAATTTGTTTCACAATTGTTAATCTTATGTTCTACAATTTCCTTTGCATTTTGATAATGCATGTATAATGCTTTGCATTCACATATACATGATGACATTATGGATCAAAAGTGAGACCACCAGGTATGGTAGATTGTGGCTGGCTGAGGACACCCTATTTACATACCATTCTCCAAAGTTATTTCTGCTCAATCTCTGAAATAATCTGCTTTGTTTTAACTAAGGAGGTGATTTTTATATCATTACGTTCTTAACTATGACTTTATTTAATACATTTGAAATGTACAAGACTTTAAAGCACCACCCTTAACTCCTACATTTTGGATGCTGCTGACCTGTCATGCAGGCTGAGTGACCAAGGCCTCTGTCCATCAACATATTCTACCATCCAGGCCCCAAGGGACTGGAGTAAGCCCAAATCACAGCTGATCCCACGACTTTTGAGCATCTGGAAAGCAGTATTTTTTCTTTCACAATGGAGCAATCTGGAAAGTTGTGAGGTGTTATTGCAGCCATCTTATGACTATGAGAAATGAAGAAAAGAGGGGATGAAGACATTGATGGAAGAAACAGAGCCTGGTGACAGCTTTTAAAGTTCTCCTTATAATCTGTACATGGAGCTGAGCTTGTTGTGGATTTTTTTGTTGTAGGAAAAAATGATTCTCCATCTTTAAAAATAGTCTAGATAGGATTTTTTTTTCTTTCAGCTGAAAATAAGTCTGATTTTATGCAACACATTTTTCTTCTGCACATTAATTTATTAATGAATGAATATTTATTGGAATGCTTACTATGCTAAAGGCACCATTATGGTTTCTTGGATTAGTCAGTCAACAAAAATAGACAAAAATTTATTGCCTTGTGGATTTTTAGTACATGGGGCAAGGTAGGCAATAAACAATAAAAATGATACATAAGTAAATAATTTAATAAAATGGAGAATAATACCTGTCATGGTAAAATAAGAAACTGAGGAAGGTAGATTGAGGATGCTGTATGACAGTGGAGGGCAGCAAGTTATCAGGTTGTAATTTTATAGAGTGGTGAAAGTAATTATTTTTCTTCATTTGAAGGTTTTTTTGAAAAAATCTAAAGTCAGAGTTATATGATTTAAAGATTGTATTGCTGTCTATCTTATTCCTTACATCTAGTAGAAATTGTTTTATAAATTTGAGAGCTCCAGTATTAAGTGCATATATGTTTAGGATTGTATTATTTCCCTGTTGGACTTGGGCTAATCCTTTTATTATATAATGTCCCACTTTGTCTTTGTAAACTGTTGTTGCTTTAAAGTCTATTTTGTCTGATATAAGAATAGCTACTCCTGCTTGCTTTTGGTTTCCATTTGCATGGAATGTCTTTTTCTACCCCTTTACCTTACATTTACGGGAGTCCTTATGTTTTAGGTAAGTCTTTTGAAGACAGCAGATACTTGGTTGGTGGATTTTTATTCATTCTGCTATTCTGTATCTTTTAAGTGAAGCATTTAGGCCATTTACATTCAATTGTAGTATTGAGATGTGAGGTACTGTTCCGTTCATCATGTTAGTTGTCTGAATACATTTTGTTTGTTTTTAAATTGTGTTACTGTTTTATAGGCCCTGTGAAATTTATGCATTCAGGGGATTCTATTTTAGCATATTTTGAGGTTTCGTTTTAATATTTAGAACTCCTTTTAGCACTTCTTGTAGTGCTGGCTTGGTAGTGGCAAATTCTCAGCATTTGTCTGAAAAAGACTTTATCTCTCCTTCATTTATGAAGCTTAGTTTCACTGGATACAGAATTTTTGACTGGCAATTATTTTGTTTGAAAAGGTTAAAGGTAGGACCCCAATCCCTCTGGCTTGTAGGGTTTCTGCCCTGAAATCTGCTGTTAATCTGATAGATTTTCCTTTGTAGGTTACCTGATGCTTTTGCCTTACAGCTCTTAAGTTTTTTTCTTTTGTCTTGATTTTAGATAACCTGATGACTATGTGCCTTGGTGATGATCTTTTTGCAGTGGATTTCTCAGAAAAAAAAATTGTAAATTCACTCTTTTTAATGCACAATTTGAGAAACACACATAGTTTTGTAAGTGCCATCAAATCCAATATCTAGAACACGTCGATCACTGTGCCTTTTTGTAGTCCGCTTCTGCTCCACTTTCTGCCCTGAGAACCTCTAGCTTATGTTGTTTTTCATTTTTTATTGTAGTAAAATACATGTAACATAAAATTTAACGTCTTAACTATTGTTAAGTGTACAGTTCAGTGGTATTAAATACATTCATAATGTTGTGCAACCAGCACCACCATTCATCTCCATAACCCTTTTCATCTGGTAAAACTGAAACTCTATGCCCGTAATAACTCATTTTCCTCTCCTCTCAGCCCCTGGCAATCATCATTCTACTTTCTGTCTTTATAATTTTGATGACTCTAAGTACATCATGTAAATAAAATGATACCATATGTGTCTTTTTGTGACTAGCTTATTTCACTTAGCACAATGTCCTCAAGTTTCATCCATGTAATAGCATATCAAAATGTTTTTCCTTTTTTACATTTTAGAATTATATTCTATTGTATGTATATACCATACTTTGTATATCCACTCTTTTTTTTTTTTTTTTTTTGAGACAGTCTTGCTCTGTCACCCAGGCTGGAGTGCAATGGCGTGATCTTGGCTCACTGCAAGCTCCACCTCCTGGTTTCACGCCATTCTCCTGCTTCAGCTACCTGAGTAGCTGGGAGTACAGGCGCCTGCCAAAATGCCTGGCTAATTTTTTGTAGTTTTAGTAGAGACAGGGTTTCACCATGGTAGCCAGGATGGTCTCAATCTCCTGACCTTGTGATCCACCTGCCTCAGCCTCCCAAAGTGCTGGGATTACATGTGTGAGCCACCACGCCTGGTCCACTCATTTTTTAATAAACACCTTAGCTACTGTAATATATGGGTCTACATATATCTCTTCAAGTCTCTGCTTTCAATTCTTTGCTGTATATACTGAGAAGTGGAATCATTGGATCATATAGTAATTTTATTTTTAATATTTTGAGGAATGACCTTAATGTTTTCTACAGTGGCTTTACATTCCCACCAACAGTTCTCAAGGGTTCCAATTTCTCCACATTTTGGCAAGTCTTGTTATTTTCTGGTTTTTTGTTTGTTTGTTTGTTTGTTTTGATGGTAGTCATCAAGAGTGTGAGGTGGTATCTCTTTGCAGCTTTGATATGCATTGCCCTAATGATTAGTGATGTTGAGCATCTTTTCATGTGCTTATTTGTTATTTGTATATCTTTTTTGGAGAAAGGTCTATTCAAGCTTTTTGTCCATTTTTGAATCAGGTTGTTCTTTTTTTTTGAGTTTTAGCTGTTCTCTGTATATTCTGGATATTAATCCCTTATCAGATATATACTTTTCAAATATTTCCTCTTATCCCATGGGCTGCCTTTTTTTTTTTTTTTACTCTGTTGACATTATCTTTTAGTGTACAAATTTTTAAAGTTTTCACGGAGTTCAATTTGTCTATTTCATCTTCAGTTGCCTCTGACTTTGGTGTCATTTCTAATAAAACATTGCAAAATCCAATGTTCTAAAGTTTTTGTCCTATGTCTTCTTCTAAGAGTTGCATAGTTTGAGGCCTTAAAGGTAGATCTTTGATTCACTTAGAGTTATTTTTTGTATGTGGTGTTAAGAGTCTAAATTATTTTACATGTGACAGTCCAGTTTTCTAACCACCATATGTTGAAATGTCTCTCCTTTCTCCATTGAATGATCTTGTCACTCTTGTCAAAAATCATTTGACCATGTATGTCAGCATTTATTTGTATGCTTTCTATTCTATTTAATTGGTATATATTTCTGTGTTTATGCTAGTACCACTGTTTTGTTCTATTTCACTGGTATATATGTTTGTGTTTATGCCAGTACCACAGTTTGGTTAACTTTGCAGTTAAATTTTAAAATCAGGAAGTATGAGTCCTCCAGTTTTGTTCTTTTTAAAGAATGTTTCAGCTATTTGGAGTCCCTTGGGATTCCATGTGAATTTTAGGATAGGTTTTTCTATTTCTACAAAAAAAAAAAGTCATTGGGATTTTGATAGGGATTACATTATTTTGTAGATTACTTTAGATAGTATGGATATCTTAATAATATTAAGTCTTCCAATCCTTGAACATGAGATATGTTGCCATGTATTTATGTATTTAATTTCTTTCTGCAATGTTTTGTATTTTCATTGTAAAATATTTCACTTCTTCATTAAGTTAGTTCCTAGGTATTTTTTTTTGATGCTATAGTAAATTGAATTGTTTTCATATTTTCCTTTTCAGAATGTTTAGTGTTAGTGTATAGAAATGCAACTTATTTTATGAGCTCATTTGGTGTCCTGCCACTTTGCTGAATTTGCTTATTAGTTCTAACAGTTTTTATTGTGGAATCTGTAGGGTTTTCAACATATAGGATCATGTCATCTGTGAAAAGAGATACTTTCACTACTGTCTTTTAAATTTGGGATAGTTTTATTTCTTTTTCTTACCTAACTGCTCTGGCTAGAATTTCCAATACTATGTTGAATAGAAGTGGTGAAAATGGGCATTCTTGCAATTTTTTTTCTTTGAGGAAAAGCTTTCAGTCTTTCACCATTATGTTACTCACAGTGTATTTTTCATACATGCCTTTTATTATGAGATAGTTTTCTTCTATTCCTAGTTTGCTGAGTGTTTTTTATCATGGAAGATTGTTCGATTTTTTCAAATACTTCTTTTACCACAATTAATATACTCATGACTTTTTTCTTCCTTTTGTAAACATTATGTATTATATTGATCAATATTTATATATTGAACCATCCTTACATTCCAGTAATAAATCTCATTTGGTCCTGGATATAAATATATCCATGATCTCTCTCTCTCTCTCTCTCTCTCTCTCTATATATATATATATATATATATATACACACACATATATATGTACATATATATGTGTATATAAAAATCCTCATTAAAAATCCTCATATATATATATATCTGCTGAATTATTTTAATGAGGATTTTTTTTTTTTTGCATCAGTGTGCTTAATAGATACTGGTCTGTAGTTTCCTTTGCTTATAATATCTTTTTCTGGCTTTGGTATCAGGGTAGTGCTAGCCTCATAGAATTACTTAAGAAGTATTTCCTTCTCTTAATTTTTTTTGGAAAAGTTTGAGAAGAATTTGTGTTAGTTTTTTAAATGTTTGGTATAATTTGCCTGTGAAGCTGTCACATCAAGGCTTTTCTTTGTTAAGAGATTTTTGATTACTGACTTAATCTCTTTGCTAGTCATAATTGTAAATAGATTTTCTATTACTTCATAATTTAATCTTCACAGGTTTTGTTTTCCTAGAAATTTATTTCATCCAAGTTATCCAGTTTGGATATAATTTGTACTATACAAATTGTACAATTTCTCACAGTGCTCTGTAGAGTCAATAGCAATGCTCCCCACACACACAGTTTAATTTCTTATTTTACCAATTTGTATCTCTATCTTTTTTTGCAGTTCACCTAGTTAAAAGTTCATCAGTTTTGTTAATATTTTTAAAGAACCAACTTTTGGATTCATTGATTTTCTCTATTGTTTTTCTACTCTCTGTTTTTAAGAATCTCTGCTCTATTCTTTATTTTTTTATTTTTTATAATTTATTATTTTTTTCTTCCTTCTGCTAACTTTAATTTTTCTTCTTTTTCTACTTTCTTACATTCTAAACTTAAGTTGATGATTTGAGCTTTTTCTTCTTTTCATTTAAAGAATATAATTGATGTAAATATTTTTATTCCTTATATTTTGTTTCTAATATTTTTCCTAAAAGATCTCTGTGAATCTCATATTTTTGGCAATGTTTTTCTGCAAAGTTCTACTGATGGCCTTCTAGGAAGTTCACTTGGGATAAACCACTTTCTTGTAGTCCATAGAGAAGAGGTACTGGTATTTGTTGATCTTTGTTAGAGAAACTCATTGAAAAGCATGATCATCTTCATGGAGGAGACCATATCTTGCCTGCTTAGTCTATCAGGCATGCTTCAGCAGCTGCTCTAGGTCTCTCAAATCATGACCTCATACTGTCTTGCCTTTAGCCACAGTACTTTGCCATTAATTCAAAATTTCGATCTTCAGTTAGGCTAGTAGGGTTTCTGGTTCATGGCCACTTGCTGGGACATCCTGCAGAAGTAAGACTCACATCAAAGAAGATGGTACTGTGGTTCTCAATGGATGTCGCCTCCACAGCTCAAAGAAGCCAGGTAACATAATGGAGGGTGTGGGTGAGTTAACACCCCAGTGACAACTTTCATCAGTGAAAGACCAGCAATAGAAAGGTGAGTTAAATATATGCTCCCTCTTTCTTGCCTAACAGAGAATTATGAGAATCAGCAGCTTTTCCATACCACCTTACTGTAGACGTCAGTGTAATGGAGCAGCCAACTGTGCTTTCTGTGGAAGCTGTGTCAGTTTCTTGATGTTTCATTTTTTGTTTTTCTTCATTTCCCTTTTCTTCCATCTTTGTTTCTCTGGGGTTACAAATTCTCCATAAAAGTATTTGATTTTTGCCTCAGGATTTGGAGAAACTGGGCTAAGATACAATTACTGCATATAATGTGGAGAAAAAAGTTATATCCAAAAAATGTATCTTAAATTTCCATAATTCATATTTTGCAATTTCAACATTTTCACATCTCTAAACAGTAACTCTGGAAGATACAGTTTTCCTAAATACAAACTAATTTTGTGAAGTGTCACTCTTCAAAAACATGCAAGAAAACTTAAACATAATTTCAATAGTGATATGGCTTGGCTGTGTCCCCACCCAAATCTCATCTTGAATTGTACTTTCCACAATTCCCACATGTTATCGGAGAAACCTGGTAGGACGTAATTGAATCATGAGGCAGGTCTTTTCTGTGCTGTTCTTGCGATAGTGAATAAGTCTCACAAGATGTGATGGTTTTAAAAACAAGAGTTTCTCTGCACAAGCTCTCTCTCTTTGCCTGCCACTATCCACATAAGATGTGACTTGCTCCTCCTTGCCTTCCACCACGATTGTGAGGCTTACCCAGCCGCGTGGAACTGTGAGTTCTCCATTAAACCTCTTTCTTTTGTAAATTATCCAGTCTTGGGTAAGTTGTTATCAGCAGCATGAAAATGGACTAATACAAATAGCATTAGTATTTTCCCCATACTTTAGATATTTATTTAAATATTCTGGAAGTAAATGTTGGAGGTAGCTATTGGAATTAAGTTAAGCCTTGAGATATTGATACTAACATGGGAAAGTCATGGTAGATTTTAGAAACCATGTTCAATTCCATGCTCACAAGGGGGTGCCAGGGTGCCTCTCCAGTGTAGGTTCTATGGAATGCAGAAATGCAGAGGAAATATCTGTTACTGGAACTGAGGGATATTTAGAGATGAGAGTTCCAGGTAGCTAAAGTTAGTAGATGGTAGAAGATATAAAATAGCAAGGTCCCAAAAGAAAGAACAAACTAAACAACCAAAAAAAAAAAAAAAAGACAAAAAGAAAAGAAAAGAAAAAAAACCCTACTTTAATGCCATGAGATTTAAGACCCTTAAGATGTATGGGGATAATCGTTTGAGCAAGAAAGTAGAATATGGTATGAGCAAATATAGGAAACTGGATTTGCTGCTTTTATGTGCAAGATTAGATTCGATCCTTCAGAGATGAATTATATCCATAACCAAGAAACATTCTTCTTTACTTTTATCGGTAAGCTATTAATTATCAGATATTCTCCAGTGGGTAATATATCTATAACTTTGTGATGCTAGATTATTTCTATGCCTACAATTGAGTTTATTTGAAATCACAAACTTGTTTTCAACACTACCCTCTCTCTCCCTTAATTCTCCCCTGTCCCCATGCCTTCAATTCCTACATTTTAAGTATTGCCATTCTTTTGTTGTTTTGCTTCATAAGGTTTAGAAGTGTGGTGGTATAGAGCTTCAAACAGCATACAATTGATCATAGGATTCAATCTAATGTTATAAATTTGTTACTGACAAAGCCGATTCAGCAAAATAGGGTATTTTCCTTTTCCATGACATGAAGCCAAAATGCAAAACCAAAAATGAGCATCAAGTAGTACAGGCTTTATTTGATGGCCATGGAACTGAGAAGCAGTAACATGGCTGACAAACCAAGGGGTGAGAGGTTTAAAATATAGGGTTTCTCTAATGAAGGGGTTGGACCTTAGAAGTGAGGGCAGGAATATTTACATGTTTCCTGGGACAGGCAGTGAACTTTCCAAAGCCAGTAGTGCCACCTTTCTTTTAGTCTTTTTATGACTTCTTCTGGTCATTATCATAGTGATTGTCAAGGCAGCACTGGCAAGAGTGTCATTTAGCATGGAAATGAGATTATAATGAAGCCGGAAGTCTTTTTGCAGTCCTTTCTTTGGCTGTCTTCGTTCTAACCAATCTCAGCTGGTCTGATTTTTACAAAGGGAACATTTTATAGGAGGCATCCTGTTTTTAAAGAAAAGCAGAGTTAGGGTGGGCTAGAAATTCAGCTATGTTACATAGGCAATACACCAGGTAACAAATGAATAATGATGTTATTTGAGAATTAATTTCTGGATGTATGATTTCAGTTAATTTTGCTGATGAGTTGTTGGGGGCTACAAAAATCTCCCAATATTTTTGGCCTATGTATCCGCCATAATCAAGCTGATACAAAGAGTGGGTTATTATCTTGGAATTAGGAGTCAGCCTGTTGTCACTGTGGAACTCTTCTTGTCATACAAAGTTGACAGCTACCATAGCCACATGTGCTTAGATCTGTTCCATATACAGGCAGACTGTTAGAATGAGATGCTCAAATTTGTTTTATTAGACGTAAAAATTACTGAGCATTTGGGGTTTAATATTTAAAATATAACTTGAGTCTGCTGGGTCTTTTGTTACTATGGGCTTAGAATAATGACTTCCTCTTTTTCAAAAACAATATTTTAGTAGCTTATTGAAAAACAACTTACAAAGTCTATTTCAAAAGCTATTTGAATTAGAACCTCAAGATTCTCTCAAATATAGTTTGATGAATAAAACACAATTGACAATTAGTCACATATGGAAGAAATTTTCCTCCTAATAAATACATAAAAGATCAACATTTCAGAGTAAATAAAAAGTAAAGCAAACTATGTCAACTCCATTATTTTTAGAATTCATGTCAAGATTCAGATTATACCCACAACATTTTTGATTTCTGTCTTTAAAACTTACACAATGGAGAAATTGCTTCATAGGATGGGTCATTGAAATGAGAACTCTGCAAGCAGTTGAGACTTAGTGGGTTTTTTACAAAGTATTCCACAAAGTTCAATGCCTTTCTTTTCATGTATCAATCATTCAACTGAGCTGAATGTTATATGGAAAATTGTTCTGGGCTTGAAAAAAAATATCCTGAGACCCAAGGGAGACTTTCATATTTGGAAAATATACAGATAAGTGAGAAAGCATGATGATATGGAAGCTGTAATGACTATAAAATAAAGAAAAATAAAATTAAATCACAGTTCTCTCTTTACATTTCTTTTTTCTGTATTCTTTATACCACATCGCTATTTTGGGTGACATTAGAATCAAGGATGCAATATTTATAGGAGGATGTTACTCTAGTGATAACATATTACAAAAAACTTTGGCAACAATCTAAGACACAGCAGAGGAGCTGCAAGATAACTATTTTTGTAATGTTTAAAATTATACTAAATTAAAAAAATTGTGCTTCAAGCTTTAAATAGCATGGTGTAGTCTAACTGATCAGAGCATCAGATTCTGATAATTTATTACATGGAATGCAGAACATGTTGACAAATAATATTTATATATAAAAAGCAATTTTAGGCCATTTTAATGTAATTCAACATCAAAGTCATTTTTCAATGGATTCTAGTCTAAAAATAAAGGGCTATAAAACGAAACTCTATATTAATAACAATAATTCAAAGTATTAGACTTCTGGAAAACAACAGCTAAATTAAACACGTGTGTGTGTGTGCACGGACACACATGCACACACAGACACACACACGTACAATCTCTAGTGCAACATTCATTCAATCCTCTGAGACATTCCTATAAATCAGACTTGGATTATACTGCTGTTATGTAACCTTTTTTTCTTATTCTTTTAAACATTTTTTAACAGCTCTATTGAGATATTATTCATATAACATGGAATTCATCTGTTTAAAATTAATTTAATGGTTTTTAGTATATTCACAGATATGTATGATCACCACCACAGTCAAATTTATTTTTGTTACCTTAAAAAGAAACCCCATCCCTTATTGCCCATCCTCATCCACCAACCCTAAGCAACAACCAACCTGCTTTCTACTTTCTGTCTCTATAGATTCTCTATTCTTAACATTCATATTAATGCAATCCTATATGTGGACTTTTGAAACTGGTCTTTTACTTAGACTAATGATGTCAAGATAGCATGTATTAGAACTTCATTCCTTTCCATGGCCAAATAATATTCCATTGTATGGATAAGCCACATTTGCTCATTCATTCATCAGTTGGTAAACATTTGGGTTGTTTCCACATTTTGGCTATTGTGATTAATGCTGCTATGAGCATTAGTATACATGTTTTTGTGTATGCATATGTTTTTACTTCTCTTGAATCTCTATCTCTTTTCAAACTCATAAATTTTGTGGGAAAAAGAGAGAATCTTTCATTCTATGTGAAACTTTTGTATACAAGAACAACACAAAACAAAAACCTGTTTTCTTACATAAATTTCTTTCCAGGAGACTACCATCAACAGGCAGTTACTTAAACTTTATTTGCTAAAATTGCAAGATATTTGTTGTTACATCTCCCCCAAAATATAGTTGGCTAAAATTTCCAATGAAGACACGAATTTCCCTTGGTAAAATCTTTCTACCCTTTCTCTTCATGGGATTCATCTCTTACTCTAAAGGAATTTTGAAGGAATCTCAAGACAGGAAACAAAAAAAAGGAAAATATTTCCAAAACAAAAAATGTTGATATTTATGATATTTTTGACCTCTATAATAAATTCCATTTGCCTTTGAGAGGCTCAGTATAAAATAGAAAGATGCTCATGGAATAGTTTTTGGTGACATCTATTGCCTAGTTCAAATTGTACTTAGCTAAATGTTTTATTTCCCTCGACAATTACATCATTTTATGTGTGTATGGTCCTCTACATTAAAATTTTTTGGTAATAAATCTGTTAGATATTCAGGTTTAATTGAAGTAACTGTAAATTCTTTGTTTAAATTCAAGGGCAGACCTTGGCCCTTAGCATGTAATTAGTATTTACTTTACATACTGGAAGTTATAATTAGAATCTTTGCTGGAGCAAGATGATTTGAAATATGACCAGTGACTCTGACCATAGCACCAGGAGAAAATAGTGGTGTGTGTTAAATTTCCACTTGTTTTACTATTATATTTAATATCTTTCAGGACTTAATGTTGTATTATTTACTGGAAACAAGACACTGAATGTAGTTTCTTCAATGTTTTTGTACCAATAATAATGCTATCAAAGATCAATCATGTCTCATAGAATAGTAAGAATTATTAACCTTGAAAAACAGAGTAAACAGCTGTACTTTAAAGAGGATTTTGTAAATTTGGGGTCCTGAATGAATACTTTTCCAGTTTTTTTTCTTAATTTTCCAAATAATGGTTTTATATATATATAATATATATATTTATATATATATATACACACACACATATAATATGTACATACCATACTGCATATATTAATATGATAATAATATATAATGAATAATGCATGTGTATATTTAACTTAAAATGTAAACTTCTTCTCTATTTCTATTCCTGCTTCTCAGAATTCTTTATGTTTTTGACTATCAATAGATAAGGACATACAGGTAAGCAAGGGAAAATAATAATTTTGAGGCTTCTCTGCCATGAAAAGAATCAAAGCCTGGCATCTTCTATGTGAAATATATTAATTCACTTTGAAAAGAAATGTTGGTTGCTGTTGCTGCAAATACATACAAATGCACACACACACACACACACACAATTTTCAATATATTTGTGAAAATTACATTTATAATTTTATGAAATAAATATTAATTCCTAAATTATTGAAGAAATCAGTGATTGTTTCACAAATTCGATTTAAATATAACAGAGTAAGACTAAACTTTACCTAATTATTTCTAGGTACTGGGTAATAGTTATGTGTGTTTTGTATCTATTGATTTAATTATATATAAACATACATATACATTAAATTTTATTTAATATTGGCAATCTTTTTATTTTATATATTTTTTAAGTGAGTAAAAACTTTCAGATAAAAATGTTAAAACTGAATAAATTGTGATGATTGTTGCACTCACTCAATGTTGTTATTAAAATCATGGAATCATTTGAGATAGGTAAGTTTTACATGTGTAAAACATACAGCAACAAAGTTTTTTTGGAAACTGAATTGGTAGTCATTATGAGAATAATTCTCATCTATTTTCTGTTGATAATTTCCCAGAAACTGTGATACTCTTTATGAATCATCTTATAAATTACTCATAATAATCTCTAAGGTAGGTGATATGGTTTGGCTGTGTCCCCACCCAAATCTCATCTTGAATTATAGTTCTTGTAATACCCATGTGTTGTGGGAGGGACCCGGTGAAAAGTAAGTGAATCATGGGGAAAGTTACTTCCATGCTGTTCTCGTGATAAAGAGTGAGTCTCACACGATCTGATGGTTTTATAAGCATCTGCCATTTCCCCTGCTGGCACTCATCTCTCTCCTGCCACCATGTGAAGAAGGATGTGTTTGCTTCCCCTTCCACCATGATTGTAAGTTTCCTGAGGCCTCCCCAGCCTTGTGGAACTATGAGTCAATGAAACCTCTTTTCTTTATAAATTACCCAGTCTCAGATATTTCTTCATAGCAGTGTGAGAATGGACTAATATAGTAGGTACTGTTAGTTTTTAGAGATGAGGAAAGTAATAGGCAGAAAGTTAATGCAAATTTCTCAATGTCATGCAAGTACTCAGTGATATAGCTAAGAATGTATATACTTCCTAAATGTGTGGTCATTTATACCACATAGAAATTACTCAAACTAAATTATAACATTCAATTAAAGTCAAAGCAAATAATTTTCCAATGTTTCTTAGTAACATCTTTGAGCAGCTGATTGCATAATACCTGTAGCTCCATTACAAACCATTCTCTGGACATTCTGGTATGTAATAGGATATTTCCTTTCATTTAAAAAAGCAATTTAAGTTGGTAATTCTGTGAATTTCTGCTAAAACCATCCTATCTGGTACTATGCGGTTTTTATTAATGGTGAAAATTCTTCCAGTATTTAGATGAAGCAGAACAATAAGATCTGTTATTTCTGTTAAATTGTATGTTTAGTGTTTCAGTGATCTAATAGAAGTTTAGCTATTGATAGTTACAGCAAGCATTTGTCAAACGACTTTATTATCTAATTAATAATTACCTTTAGGGTGAGCATGTTTAGCATGGTTTAAGGAGAGTGGACTTTGTCACTGCTTTCTTCAGGGAGACAAAAAAACAAAGAAAGAAAAAATAAAGTGAAGAAGAAGAAGGAAGAGGTGGAGGACAATGAAGAGGAAGGAAGGAAGGAGGAGGAGGAAGAGAAAAAAACAAACACATTGCAAAGAAAGAACAAAGGTTTGATCTCCTATACTGGAGCTGGTATATGTATACAACAGAAAAATACAAAACTGGGTTGGAATAGCTACTATTTATCAGCCCTTGAGACACAGAGTCCTCATTTGGGAAACAGGACCGCAAACATCTATCTGGGGGATTTGTTTCAAGGTTAAGTAAACAATAAGAATCACCAAGATCAGTGCTGGTATAATAGTAGGTACTCATTCGTACTTATTAATGATTAGAATAGATTTGAATACATTTGGATTCTCCTTTTTGCATCCATAGGAGTATGTGCATGCCTCTGTCTGTCTGTGTGTGTGTGTGTGTGTGTGTGTGTGTGTGTGTGTATGTTTAAGTGAGGTTATTTGCCTCACTTGAACAGATAATCCTGGAAAGATAGAATTTTAGTTTTTAAAATATTTTTTTGGCCGGGCACAGTGGGTCACGCCTGTAATCCCAGCACTTTGGGAGGCTGAGGTGGGTGGATCACAAAGTCAGGAGTTCAAGACCAGCCTGGCCAACATAGTGAAACCCCGTCTCTACTAAAAATACAAAAAAAATTAGCTGGACATGGTGGCAGGTGCCTGTAGTCCAAGCTACCTGGGAGGCTGAGGCAGGAGAATCACTTAAACCCGGGAGGCAGAGGTTGCAGTGAGCCAAGATAGCGCCACTGCACTCCAGCCTGGGTGACACAGCGAGACACTGTCTCAAAAAAAAAAAAAAAATCTTGAATTGTACTAATAAATAATATTTCAGTATTGAGTTTTTAAACAGTAATGCCCCTGTAAGGAGAAACTAATATAAAATTTTGTTTTTACATTTAAAATTGTCCTTATTCTTTATACCTTGTGGCTGCATAGGCTGGGAAATCGAAATAGAGATGTTACATAAATGAGTAAACATTCTCTAAGGATAAACAGAAATAATAAAGAAAGATACTCTTTCCAAGAGGGCAACATGAACTGACTCTGATCCATTGGAAGTTAGGCAGAGAACATGTGTTCACTCTTTTTCCTCATCATGGGGTAGGTCCATCTGCCAGTTTTCATTTGCTTACTTATTAAAGAATACATGGTGTCCGCAAAAGTTATAAACAGAAAGGAAGACAAGGTGAAAGTCACTGGCATTCTTCTTGAGTTGTCTGATATAATGTGACCTGATGTTACATGAAATGGTGAAGTGATACAAGAAGAGAAGATTCTGAAACAATGTCAACCTTCTGAAGGACATGTACTTTTTTTTTCTATTTATAAAGAAAGGGAAATTGTGAGAGTAACATGATTGCTGGGATGAATCTGGGTTCTGCTCTTGACTAGATATGTGTGACCTTTGGCAAGTTACTTACCTGTTTGAGCTTCATTCCATCTCTTTACATTTAAAACGGAAGCATCTGTTTTACAAGGTGGCTATAAGAGCTCATTCATTCATTTATTTAGCAAATATTTATTGATCATCTGTCAAGTGCTAGGCTCTGTGTTAAGCCTGGGGAATAACGTACGAATAAGAAAGAAACAAAGTCTATGCCCTTGTGAGTCTGTATTATATTGGAAAGAAGCATTCATATATAAGTGAATAAATCAACACAGAAGATAACTATTATAGAATGTGGTAAGTTCCATGAAGGAAATACGAGAAAGGGAGATCAATTCTAGTTAGAGTTCAGTGTCAGCCTCTAAGCAAAGGTAACATTTGACCTAAGACTAGAATGATAAGGAACATTCACATGAAGACCTTTGAGAGGAATTCTTTAGGCAGAGGGACCTGCAAGTGTAGGGCCCTGGTGGCGGAAAAAGCCTTCCTAGATTGGAGGAAATAAACTGTTGCTTTTGGAATAGAGAAACCTGAAAACATGGCCTGTGTGGATGTCAGGATTGCTATGAACTAGTGGTTACTCTAGGCTTTTTATTACATCTTCTTTTGAATTCAGTGTTATTGAGCTTATATTCTTTTTGTTTCTCATTGTACGTTTGGTGCGTGAGAGGCAGATAAGGTGTCTTTTAAATTCACAAGTCTCCAGATCAAGAGGAGCCACAGGGAGGAATGGTACCTGAGAATGTTCATCCACATTCAGACCTGATTCAGAACACAAGACTCTAACCATGGAGATTAATGCCATAATTGGATAAAAAGTGACCAGAGACTGTATACTAAAGGAACAGAGTGTATTTTGCAAATGGATTGGATGCAAATTGCTTTGCACAACAGGCAGACTGTGATAGATTGTTTTGTAAATGGCAGTAATAACCATCCCATGCTCCTTTCTAATAGGACTTTACCATTCTTATTAAGAGGTAGGACCTATTTCCCCTTCTCTTGAATTTGGGCTGGCCTTGTGACTTGTTTTAATGAATAAATGTGCAGAAATGACTGAAACTGCCTTGAGAAGATGAGAGGCCACACAGAAAAAAGAACCTGGATGATAAAAGAAAAAAGAGAGAAAGCAGGGAAAGAGAAAACCTGCTAGTCTCGAGCAACTTCAGCAATTACACCTGCAGCAGTAGACATGTGAGTGAGGCCATCTGGGATCCTCCCACCACAGTTGAGCTGTCAGATGACTGCAGCTTCCAAAATGTTCCAGAAAAGACTAGCAGGAGAGATTGCCAAGCCAAATGAAAACATAAGAAATAATAAATTGTTGTTTTGAGCCACCAAGTTTTGAGGTTTATAACTTGGCAACGAATAAATGAAAAATAAGTAAAGAATCACCCCCCAAAATTGTAAGGAATACTGATATTCAAATTTAGGTGACAACTGGATTTACATAAAAGTTCAAGAAATTATACTTCTGTAGGGGTGAGTCAGAGCCATTATTATAATTTCATTTTGTTAAAATTCAAAAATGCCTAAAAATACAGATAAAATACTGGCTATGTTAACTCCAAATTAAAATACTTACAACTGATTATTAATGGTCATATGAGCCAAGAATTTAACAACTATTTTATAGAAATTAAAGTAGAACAAATAGTAACAATTTAGAGGAAAATAACTTCTTATTTTATTGAATACTTCGTTACTTAGTACCTACCATATGGCTGGCACTGTTCTAAGTGCCTACCATGGATTAATTTATTTAATCTAATAAAACAATATTAAGTGTATAATATAACTCCTATTAAGAAACTGAGTAACTGAGAGGGTAACTGATTCCACAAGTTTACCAGCTAGTAAGTGAAGGTGCCATAATTTTAACCCAGGAGGCCTAATGTCAGAGTCTGGCTCTCACCCTCTGTGCTATGCTAAGGGTATTGAATTTTATCACCAGTATTACCAGTGTCAGTAAATGCTGAAGATAGAAATGGGGTCTGCTGGTATCACAACTCTCACTAAATTCCATGAATCTGAACTTTGCCTTTACAGAGTGTCTAATGTGACATATACTCTTATCATACATTATTTGAGGTTTTTCTAGAATAACACTGAAAACTGCTTTGACGGATTGACAACAAAGGTTCACTTTGCTGATAGGCTACTTAATATTTAAACTAAAAGATTATCATGGCCTTGATTAGAATATGAACTAAAATATTGAGGAAGGGATTTTTTGTTTTTTCTAAAAGTGAAACAAACAAGATTTAGCAACAGATGCAGTTACAAGAGAGGATTGTTTCCTTTGCTCTTCTTATGTTGCCAGCTGGGAATTGCACCTGTAAAGTCCCCCAACATCTTCAACCTATTTCATCACTAGAACCTCATTAGATTATCACTGCCTTATTACTAGAATATCAGGTTCTGAAAAATGGACTTGCCTACTTTCTCAACTTTATTAATTGTAAATGATTGTTACCTCTTTGGGAAGCAGAAAGGTTTGTTTGATATAATAAAATGATTAATTTCTTGATGCTTCAGTAAAGTTACAACATAGTGTCCTTTAAGTGGGGTTAGGTTATGTCTTCTGCTATGCTTCACAGAATACTGGTTTATAACAATTAAGATCATAATCAAATTTTCATATTTAATTGGCATAAGTAATCCATTAGTTAATTCAATATCAGTTCACTGAGAGTGGAAAACTGAATGTAAATCAATTTGAAATTGAACAATTCAGTGTTGGCAAGCTGGAGATTGGTTTATGATTCCTAGTTACTATAACTGGGAAATTCTGATTCTTAAAAATAAAGTTTCAACATTTATGGAAGAAAATTTAGAAAATACAAAGTATTATGTTACCATAGGTGACCGATGAAACAGCCGTTCATTCTAAAGTACCTCACCACATTTGAGTGTACCAACAAAAATTAATCTAGTTCATTTATTTGGTAGATAAATGTACTAAAACTTTTCTGGAGATTTTTAATAAAGTATACACAAATCATAGTTTGAGTGTTACTTTACCATCCAATTTGCCAGCCATGTAAACCTACTAGTTTTTCCCTGCTTCTAAAAATTTTTGAGTATCCATAATCAATGCTTTTAAAGTGTCTCTATGTTTCCTTTCCCTAGTATAAATTTATGATTTGCAGGGCTATGCATTTACTCAGAAAATCCAGGTTAATCTTTATCTTTTTGCCTAATACTGATAACAACTTCTTGATACTTTTACACTAAAAAAGAAGAAGAAAAGCAAATATGGAACCAATTGGTAACAAAGGTGATATTTCACAAAATCATCAATAGAGATTATTGATGTTCATTGAATGTATGCTGGCAGATTTATTAGAAATTCAAAAATCATTTATGGATTTTTGCTCAAATAATGAGCAACACTTATGCCAGACACTGAGATTAACAGAAGAAAAAGATCCAACTGTCAAGCTATTTCCAGTGTACTGGAAGTAAAACAGTGCTAGCTTTCTTTGTATGTGTACAACTCACTGTGGTAAGAGACCAGTTCTGTATATGGAGAACATATATGAGTTTAGTCCAAACTACTTCAGACACTTCTGTTCTATAAGATGATGGTCCAGCTTCAGGACAGAGATTTTATAATTTATTTTCAGCTGCCTTTCTTTTTTTCTCAGGATAGTTATCGTGCTCTGTATTGGAGTTGAGGTTATATACAAAGTAAGCTTGTATAATAGTTACTCAAAACCAAAGAAAACATTAAAGGCTGTATAATGTTAAATTTTTATGTCGCTGGCTAAGAAATTGATTAATAAGTGGTCATACTGCTTCAGTCTTTAGCACATTTAATATGAAGGCCATCAAAGAAATATCCTTTCACATATCTACAACTTTATAGCTACAAATATCAGAACCATTTAATTTTATTAGACAGCTAATTACTTATTTATGCAGTTTCCATTAAAATTAGAAAGTTATGCTTAGAAAATCTGTACATATTTCCTTGAATATTATTGATAAAGGAAATTTTAAGATCTGCCATTTCAATATTCTAATGAGGTTGTTACATATAATAAAATACCAGGTAATTATTGCATAAAAGTTTATTTTTAGAGCCCTTTATAAAAATCTAATTATTTAGATGTGAATTCTGATCATACTAAACAAATGTTATTCTTTCCCCATCAGATTACAAGCTTCATTAAAAAGAATGTATGCCACTCTTTCTTTTCTTTTTCTTTTCTTTTCTTTTTTTTTTTTTTTTTTTGAGACAGAGTCATGCTCTGTCGCCAGGCTAGAGTGCAGTGGTCCGATCTCGGTTTACTGCAATCTCCGTCTCCCGGGTTCAAGCAATTCTCCTGCCTCAGGCTCCCGAGTAACTGGGATTACAGGCGTGCTCCTCACACCCAGCTAATTTTTGTGTTTTTAGTAGAGATGGGGTTTCACCATGTTGGCCAGGATGGTCTCGATCTCCTGACCTTGTGATCCACCCGCCTCGGCCTCCCAAAGTGCTGGGATTACAGGCGTGAACCACCGCACGCGGCCGCTACTCTTTATTTCCTCCTGTAACACATTTAAGGCCAAGAATAAAGTAGATAACTGTCTTGGACAGTAATCTAATTGCCCATCACTTTTTCTCTAAAAACAACCTGCCTTTTTTAAAGTGGTCAATTCTTGGCCTCCTTTTTTCTTCCTTGGCACAGTTTCCCCTGGCTACCATGGATGAGTCGGTCCCAGGGAGTGGGAGGACATGTAACCCAGACTGGACTAATCAGCATTTTTCTTTAAGACGATGGCTGAGACAGATGAAAGATGAAGTTCTCTACAGAGAGAAGAAATGGTCGCAAGTGAATCCAGGTACTCATGGTAGCCACGTTTTCTCACGGGTGTGGTGGGATAGTAGAGGAAACTCACCTGCAGAGAGTTAAAGGACACACACAGAGAAGAACAGGGCTGGGAGATCAAGCATTCTGGAGTTCCTGAGCTTTTGGTTCCAAACATGTCTTGAGGATAAATTGCATTCCTGAACTTGAGTTTCGGGAGATATTATGTTACTCAATTAATGAATTCCCTCTTTAGCTCCTCAACTGGGATTTTGATATCACCAAAACAACTATTCCTATACACCATTTTGTAAATATTTACGAGTGATGATTGTTTTGTTTTCACTTTCCCTAAGTGGAAATATAGATGTTTATGACTAGTTAACCAGGATGTGGCAATGTTTTAGTAATTGTAACATTATAGAAAGCTGTGAGGATTTATTGTAAAAAATGAATGTAAAAAATGAGTACTTTTTTTAAATAAAATAAATCTGCGATTTAGTTATTAGAATAGACATGCTCAATGTAGGAAGTCTCCCTAGGAGGCAAGATATTTATTCTGATGGTATAGTAATTGCTCCAAACATTTATGAAAATACCTTTCTGGCTTCTTTTCTTAAAATTAAGTATACTTCAGAAAAAAAGCAATTTACTTTTTTTTAGCCTTTTTTTTTTTTTTTAAGAGATGGAGTCTCACTGTCACCCAGGCTGGAGTGCAGTGGCATGATCTCAGCTCACTGCAACCTCCGCCTCCAGGGTTCAAGCAATTCTCCTGCCTCAGCCTCCCAAGTAGCTGGGACTACAGGTGCACGCTGCCACGTCCGGCTAATTTCTTTTGTATTTTAGCAGAGACGGGGGTTCACTGTGTTGCCTAGGCTGGTCTCAAACTCTTGAGCTCAGGCAATCCACCCCCCTCGGCCTCTCAAAGTGCTAGGATTACAGGCATGAGACACTGTGCCCAGCCTTTTCTGACCTAATTTTTAACACCAAACATTGCTGTTTTGCTTCTTTGTCTAATTTACTCACAAGAATTTGGACTCATATTTGTCTCTTGAGTTGGGTAAATGGAGTCATCGCTCTGAAACTATTTTTTTTTTTGTAGGAATGAAGACTTTAGCTTTCTTTTTTTGAACATATCATTAACATTAATTTTGAAATTTCCATCTTTAAAGTTATCTCAAGAAGCTTATGAGATATTCTGCAAAAGTGATCTCTTTTACATAAGATTTTGTTGGGCAAACTACGCATTCCCCCACTCCACTCCCCATTAGTTGAGTTGCACTAAAACTCCTATACCCATTCTAGAGATAGCTTAATCTGGTTGCACATTATAATACAGTTTGAAGAAATGTAGATATCCCTCATTGATTAATTTCCAATGTGCTACCATTTTTAGAGAAAAGGTTGGAAAAGGAATTCTAAAAAATGCATTTACATGACAAAATCATATTATTGTCAATAATTTGGGCAAAAATAACTTCTTTATTCATCTCTCAAAGAAATGATAATCAATCAATGGTTTACTTGTTTAAAATCAGAAACTTTGGTAAATCTAAATGATAGTATAAAATAATATAAATTATATCATTTTTATCATCCCCCTTTTATCAAGAAGAATTTATTTTTAAGAAGTACTTACTATATAAGGACCCATAAACTGCAGATAGTTATATTAGCCATTCAAGTTATTTTAAGCTAGTGATCACATTGTTTTTAATTATATCAAAAGAGTGATGCTTATTAAAATTGTTCAAAACAGAAGTAAATAATGAGAAGCAGCTTGTTTTTCTGGATATATTAAAAATAATGCATAAAGCTAAAGGAAATAAAACAGTATGAAAATAGAAACTGAATAAGTAGACCAATTAAACTAAAGTAGAATGGAAATTGATCCTATATCATAGAAAAATGTCCAGGGTATGTTACTGCTGAATGCAAAAAGTTATATAGAATATTAGATATTCTATACCTGTAGAAATATATGTAGAACCATTTATGTATACATAGTAAGTGTTCTAGATGTTTGACCACTCACATATTATGTTAATAAACTCTGGGGAGTGGGATTCCAAGTTGGTGGAATTTCAAGTGTTTACTTTTATCCTTTCCTTGTGTATTGGTTATTATTATTATTATTAGAGATGTGGTCTTAAACTCTTAGACTCAAATGATCCTCCTATTACAGCATCGGTTAGTTGGTTTTTGTCTTGAGAGTCAGAGGGAAACAACTGAGAATTTGTAAAAAGAAAGAAAAGAAGAAAGAGAGACAGAAAAAAAGAAGGAAGGAAAGAAAGAGAAAAAAGAAACAAAGAAAGAGAAAGAAAGGAGAAACAAAGAGAGACAGACAGGAGGGCTGGAACAAAAATTCAGAAGAAATTTTGACCCCCTAGCATTTCTGTTCTTTGTCAGAGTCAAAGTGAGGATATAGAAGATGTTCTCAATTTTGCCACGTGTGTGTTTAATTTTATAAAAACTTAATTTGCCACAGTAAATTACATTAAGGATTTGAACCTATTAATCTTCAAGTTACTTTAAATTTCCTTTTCCTCTTTTGCAGTTGGTTTCTAAACATCTGTATCATATATCTCTTTGAACTCTCAGAGCAAATTCTAACTTTGAAAATTGATTTCCATTTAATTTATTGAAAGACTAGATAGAAATGAGAGAGTGATTGTTATAACCTTTTGACTTTCAATGGTTGTAACCTATCAAGCATTGTTTTTATTTACTAAACTTCACTAGGCATTTTAGGAACCAAATGCTCTGATGGTATGTGTCTGGAGTGATTTCCTGTTTACTCTGGCACAGTGATATCTGAGCAGTTCAGACTTCAGTGGGGAAACATCGCAGGCTGTGTGATCTAACAGCTTCTTCCCTGTTCTCATACTTTTGCCAACAGTGAAGCTGATGCCATGTTTACTGCTCAGTATTTGAGCTGTGACACACTGTACAAACTGTGGTATCACATTGGCCATCTGAGTTTTCTCATGTGAATTGCAATAATCTTTTTATGGCTATTTAATCATATTGAGTATATTAAAAAATCTGTTTTTTTGTCCACCTGAGTGAGTTGCACTCAGCACTTGTCATTAATATCATTTTTTAAATGATATTATGGTACGTGGTTTGGGCATGTGCCACAAAGGAACTCACTTTACCTAACAGAAATTACAACCACTCAGAACAAAACTTTCCACATTAGCTGTGAAACTATGGTACTAGAACCGTAAGAAAAAAATGTAGTTTATAAAATTTTTAGTTCCTGAATTTTTTGAGTGCTCAAAATAATAGTATATGTATATGTGTGTTGATGAAAGCTGTTTGGATATAAATTAATATTTTCTATTACCTCATAAATTTTTCAAGAAGGCAGACTAGATAACCATTTACTAGACAAGCTCCTAGTTTCATTACCAAAATTTAAACACTTCTATATCCAGTATTAAAAATAACTAAAATTTTATGGAAATTTTATGACATTGTGTACAGTCTAGGCCCTGTGCTAAAGTGCAAATACCCCAGAAAAGCACAAAATCCAAATTGTTATTAGTAATTTACTCTCTAGAGTAAATCACATTATTCTGTCCTTTATGAGTGAAGGTTCTGACAGAAAGGGAATGTAGAGAGACCGTGAGAACCCAGAGTGTCTATTAAGAACTGAAAGGGTGTCAAGAAAAATAGGAGTGGGATAAGTGGGCCAGGAAGATTGGAGGAGGAAGAAAGAAATGGAAGAAAGGCTGCTTCTTTAAAAAAAAAAAAAAAGAATAAGTATTTTATTTAGGGTTTCCCCTGAAACAGACTCTGAGATAACAGTTGAAGTGCAAGTAGTTGATTTGATGGGCAATAATTTGGGAGGCACTGGAAGGAAAATGGGGTGAGAGAAAGGGGAGAAGGGGCATTTAAGGCAGCAAAGTGAGAGACTAAGACTTGCTTGCAGGTATTTTGTTGGACAAGTGATCATAGGAAACAGGAGTGAAGGACATTGGGTGTGAAAGGGGAAGGTGGAAAAAAACCAATACAAACATTGATTAAGGTGGCCATGGTTATGAATGGCTAGGACTCACTACCTCAGGATCTTCTGAGGACCCTTCTGAAACACATCTCAGAACTGTCCATTTATCTCTCTAGAAAATCAAATGGATAAACATTGATTCATTAACCTAGCACACAACACAGTGTGTGGGGAAAGTATATCTCAGTTTTGGAGTCAAATGGAACGGCTTTTGTATCTTGGTACTGCCTACTTACTAGCTACATGGGATCATTGTAATACCTTCCTGAAAATTTTATCTTATATCTGTAAAAGACGGAGTAATATTGCCTATTTTTCTGGTAAAAACCCTGATAAATTACCTCAGAATTTTTCAATAATTCTTCCAAACTTTTATCTCAAATTATTTTTGTCTAAAAATAGCAAAGAGAAAAATCTTTTGAGACTCAAACCTCTCTCGTGAGACAAAACTGAAATTCAGTTGTTGAACACAGCTACTAACTGTTTTACTAGTTTATCTTATATATCTTTAATAGAAGCAGGAACGCAAAGGAAAGCATTGAAAAATGGCGTTAAATAATGACATTTAACCGCAACGGTACAAACTGGATTTATTTTCAACATGCACATGGATTTGTAAATATAAACATAGATAGTATTTTATTACTTTAAATATATTTGAATTACTTTGTGAATGAGTTTGTGAAAACTTTTTTCTCATTTTGCCACTTCTGAGATGATAGAATGGAATTATGGCCTGAAGTATTATGTATGTACAGCCTTGAAAGATACCTAAGAGGTGAGAAATCAACACTGATCTTTAAATAACATGTGAATGAAATCACTAAATCATAATGAAGCAAATTTTGATCAACAAAGTCTTTTACATTATTATATTGGTCTCTCTGTTTTTAATATGAAGGATTTCAATTATGTATAAATAGATGCTCACCCATTTTCTCGGAACTTACTGGCAAAGGTGAGAGTTAGTACAAAATCCGTGAAAAGTCTTTCATGGTAATTACTCCCTTTTTCACATCTCACAGTAGGAGGAAAAGTCCACTCCCAAAGGGCACAACACCTTCCCTCCACTGTCTCACTCACTGGGGAGCGTTTGTGGGATCACAAAGACCTTTGCTCCAGGGTAAAGCAGCTGTTCTGGGTGCTTGCCAACTGAAGTGATGGTCTAGCAAAATCTGTCAACAAGGGAAACATGCCACATCCTCATACTCATGTGGCTGCCTTCTCTTTCCCTATTTGGCATACCCCTTGGGACACTGCCTTATACAAAAGACCAAGACAGGTGACATACGTGTCAACATATGGCACTGCCCTCCTGGGGTAATGTACATGAAAGCATATGGTGCTGCTCTCTTACTCGTCAGCAAACACAGGAAGGACTCTGTCATAGTTACCCTGTTTATTTTCCATAAGGTTCTGAATTGTCCCCGAAAGGGGATAATTTGCATTATTTCTAGATATAAGGAAATATCACAGCTACATTAAAGAGCAGATGGTTGTCTGATTCTTGAGAAATACATATGTATATAATATTTTGTATCTATAGTTTATAAATCTTTCTGCATATTTAGAACTATATGTTCTAAATAAATGTATTTCTAAAGAAGTAAATGGCTATAATCATATATGTGTATATATACATATACATGTATGTCATATAAATAAAATCACACATACACATTCTTAGTAAAAAGATTATCATCTTTTTCTTATAAGTGCTTCGTTTTTAAGTGTTTCATTCTGACATATATTATAAAAGAATTTTCAGTTCGTTGGTCTTTTTTATGTTTTTACATCCAAGTATTTTCATTTGCTCTGGCTAACTCATTCTCACTCTATTGATTTTAGTTTAAAACTCTTCTTTCAGGAAGTCCAGTATCCTAAGTTAAGAATAAATTTCTCTTTTGGGGCCTTCTAAAACTTGGCTCTTCCTTGCCATTGTACTCACCGTCGCTTAAACACTTGACATTACTAACCACAACACATAAACATGGGGAAGAGATGGTCTCCCTTTTTTACCAGGGTGTTTCTCCCATGATGAGCATGGGTTCTAGCAAGAGGTAGGTGGTTAATAAATATTGAATGAATAAATTTAAAAATGCATCCACATAGGTAGGAAATTATGAAGACAGGAAAAGGCAAGGGTAATACGAAGAAGAAATTTAGCAGTAGAAAAGTCAGTATCTACTAAGTGACTTGATGTGGCAATTAAAGAACAAAGCAGAATCAAGAAGGAATCAGATATTTTTGGTAAGGGTGGAGAAAGGAGAGAGGCTAACAGTTTCCTTGGCCTGCTGTCTTCAATGACCCAATCTGATTACCTCCTTTGTTCCCAGTATTTGGGATGAATTATATCATGTTATTATAAGAAAAACAAACATGTTTTGTTACCACCTCCTTTTTTCCCACCTATCTGATGATCTGCGGTCCCTTGTTGACCTGCTCCAATGCCAATTCATTATCTGCTGTTGACAAACCAAATGTAACATTAGCACCCCGAAGACCACAACAGTTGAGACTCTCCACTGAGACATAAAGATTTTCCTATCTCTGGAAGATAGTGTTCTTTCAACTTCACGGAGCTGCCCTAGAAAGTTGCTCAGAATAACATCATTCTAGTCTCCAAAGCCTCCTCTTTCTTTGCCCTTGCTTAGACTCTGCTTTTGGCAAACTGTTCATTATTTGTTGAGGGAAGTTATTTCAAATCCCAACATAAGTATTTACTAGAAATACGCACTCTGTACCACTTTAATTACGTCGAACGGTATTTAAAATACTTCATTTAAACGTTATGATTTTGTGAAAATGCCAAACGCAATGCCTAGCACATAACTGGCACTTTATACACATTAATGTCCTGCCTACATTGTTTGAGAATTATTATCTATGTACCCTAATCATGCCTTCAAAGTTCTTTATAGAATAGAGATGGGCAAGCTCTTTTTGTTAATTTCCAGATAGAAAATATTTTCAGCTTTGAGGACCTTGCACTTTCTTTCATTGCAAAACTAAAGATGGATAATATGTAACAAAATTGATGTAGTTGTGTTCCAATAAAACTTTATCTACAAAAACAGTCAATAGTCTGTATTGGCCCATGGACTATAATTTGTTGATCACTGTAATAAATGCTTTGATGTCCCAGGTAAAAGCATGTGACATTTGACACATTGTTAGGCCCCTAAGAGACTTTAACTAGATAGCTAAGCAGTTGTTTGTTTATGTGTGGGACTGGATGGGGAGTATGAAGTAGGATTGATGAGTGCATTTTCTCATGTTTTCCAGGCAGCATTATAATTCGTTGATAGTTTTTTTTGTTTTTATTTGTTTCTTGTGGATAGCTGAGCTGTATTATACAGTTTAATAGCAGTAGTTGATGGGGTGTGAGTTTTTTTTGTTTTTATTTGTTTCTTGTGGATAGCTGAGCTGTATTATACAGTTTAATAGCAGTAGTTGATGGGGTGTGAGCTGTCAATTATATTTTAAAAACCCACAACATTGTCATCAAGGAATAAGTGCCTTATTGAAAGCTTGCTATCCTTGACTTCTTTAAATCAATTTTATTAAAGATGAGTGATATTTTATATTTACATACAATAAAATGAACCCATTTTAACTGTACTGTTTGATAAGTTTCGACATATTTACACAAGTGATCATTGCCAAATCACAATACATACCACATTTCCATTACTCCAAAATGTCCCCTTTATGCTCCTTCCAAACCCTAGTTTAAAACATGCATGGATCTGCTTTCTGGTACTGTAGATTAGACTTGGCTTTCCTATAATTTCATAGGAATGACATCTTATAGTATTAATTGTTTCATGTCTTGTTTCTTTTACCTGGTATAGTATTTTTGACAAGAATACATGTATGTACATATAATTTGTTCCCTTTTAATACTTAGCAGTATCCAAATGTATTAATGTATCAGAATTTACTTAGGCACTATATTAGTCAGTTCTGCATTGATATAAAGAACTATCTAAGACCAGATAGTTTGTAAAGAAAAGAGGTTTAATTGACTCACAGTTCTGCAGGCTATACAGGAGGCATGATGTAGGAGGCCTCAGGAAACTTACAATCATGGCAGAAGGCAAAGGGGAAGCAAGCAGATCTTCACATGGCAGCAGGAAACAGAGAGAGTGAAGGGAGAACACACTTTCAAACAACCAGATCTTGTGAGAACTCACTCACTATCATGAGAATAGCTAGAAGAAAATCTAATCACCTCCCATCACATCCCACCCCCAACACTGGGGATTACAATTCAAAATGAGATTTTGGTGGGGACACAGAGCCAAACCCTATCAGGCACTCAGCTACTGATGAACATGTGGATTTTCTCCAGTTTGAGGCTATTATGAATAAATCTATAAACATTCATGTACAAACCTAGAAGTGGAATTATTTGTTTATATGGTAAGTATATGTTAAACTTTTTAAGAAATTGCCAAACTGCTTTCCACAGTAGTTTTATCATTACGTTACCATCAGCAGTGTATGACAATTTCATATGCTCCAGTCTCACCAAAGCTTGATATTATCAGCCTTTTTACTTTTAGCCATTTCTAATCATTGTGTAGTGTTAACTTATTGATTTTAATTTACATTTCCCTGATGATAAAAATAGTGAACACCATCTGATGTGGTTATTTGCCATTCATATATTTCCTTTTGTGACATCTCTGTATTTTTTGTCCAATTTTTGATTGAGTAGTTTGCTTTTTTATTACTGAGTTGTAAGAATGTTTGAAGTATTCTAAACTCAAGTCCTTTCTCAGGTTTATACATTTCAAATATTTTCCCTCAGTGTGTGTCTTGCTCTTTCAATCACTTAATGGATTCTCTAAAAAAGGCAGTTTTTAATTTTTATGAAGTCTAATTTATAAAAATATTTTTATCTTAAAAGGTTTTTGAATCTTTTTAATAAATCTTTGCCTACACCAAGATTGCAAGATTTACTCCTATTTTTTACAAGTTTTATATTTTTAGCTTTCAAGGTTAAATCTATGGCCTATCTCAAGTTAACTTATGGGTAGGTTGTGGCATCATTTCACAATTCATTTTCAAGTAGATATTCACTTGTTCCAGCACCATTACTTGAAAATAATATTATTCCCCCATATAATTATCATGGCACCTCTGTTAAAAATGAATTGATGATGTATGTGTGGGTCTTTCTGTGATTTCTTTATTTTGTTGCACTAATCTATATATCTATATGTAAACACTACACTGTATTGATTGTTATAGCTTTATATAAAATTATGGCATAAGGTACTGTAAGTTTTTCAACTTTATTGTTTAAAAATGTCTTTTGACTCTTATAGATCAATTTCCTCTCATATAAGTTGCAGAAATAGTTCGTCAGTGGAAACTGACGAACTGAGTGTTCAGTCAACGAACATAGTATGTATTTCTATTAATTTAGGACTTCACTTTTGACCAGCAATGATTTACAGGTGTCTTTGTAGATACTGTACCAATGTTCCTAAGTGTATTCTAAATATTTCATGCTTTTTGTTTCTTTTTGTAAATTACATAATTATTGAAAATTTAGTTCAATTTTCAATAATTAATTGCTACTACATAGGAACACAATTTATTTTTACATATTGCCTTTTTATACTTCAGTCTGCTTAACTCATTTACTAATTCTAGTATTGTTATTGTAGATTCCCTAACATTTTTTATGTATGGTCTCGTTGTGGAAAAAAGACAGTTTTAGTTTATAAGTTTTTTTTCTTCTAGAAGTTTTATGGTTCAGCATGTACATTTATGTCTACGGCCTATTTAAATTTAATTAATTTGTATGTTGTTGAGTACCACTGAAGTTATTTTCTTCCCTTTTATTTATTTTTATTTTTTGCCTTATTGCAATGATAAGGATCTTCAATGTGATATTGAATAGAAGTGGCAAGAATGGGCATCCTTGTCTTATTTTCAATGTTAGGACTTCTACTATTAAGCATAATGTGATATGTAGGTAATTTACAGATGTCCATAATCAGGTTGAATATGTTCTTTTATTCCCATATTGCTGAAAATTATTTTCATAAATGATAATGAATTTAGTCACGTGGTAATCATATGGTTTTCCTTTTATCCTGTTAATATCGTGTATGATATTGATTGGTCTGAAGATATTCCACATATCATGCCTTTGCTGATTTCTACTTATTTTGTTGAAATATACTGATAGCTCCTTCAGTTGACTCCTGTATCCCTTCAACATATCCTCTGGGTTTTGTTGTCATTCTTTACCCATTTGTGGCGCTTTTTGTGCATGTTGCCCTTTCTGGCACTACAACATTCTCCAGGCTCATCTAGTATAATTTTGTGCTCTAGCTCTACTGCCAGCTATTTCTACCATGCATCCTGGTTTCTTTGTTGGATAAGAGTAATAGAAAGCAAGATCTGAACACTAGGTATGCTTATTGCTACTGGGTATCATTGCGTCTAGGTCCTTTCAGCTGACATTTCAGATGTCTATATTAAATATATGTATATATGCTAACCCACAGATATGCACATATCAATAATTATTTCTAGATGTAACCATCTGTCTTTGTGTCTATATCGAACTACACATAAGTCCATACTTATGTCTCCAACTCTAATCCATTACCACATGGTTCTTCCTGGTGTCCTCTTCTTATTTATCTATAAATTCCCACTCCAACAGTAAGAAACCTGACTCATGCCCTCTGACAACCATTTGCTTCATTGCTTAATTCTGGTATACGTGCATAGTGGTTCTACAATTATTAAACCTTATCTGAAAGGGAAACAATGTTATCAATTAAAGTAGAGTGTTTACGTAAAAATGCTTTTGTCTATAGTGTTGCAAGCTATACTTATTTCCAAGGTAACTTAAATCTGCACCCTAATACCCTAAACTTTTTTTGAGGAGGTTTCATATAGTTGTAATATATTTAGATTCTTTTGTCAAATTCTGCATTCTGTCTGAGATCTCTGGACCTCTTTAATAATTCTCAGGAAAAAATTGCATTCATTAAGATTTAATCTTTGTTCTGTGATGCTCTATGGATTTTGACAAATGGGTGGTATCAGGTATATACTATTACAGTATCATACAGAAAAATTTCATTGTCCTAAAATAATCCTCTATGTTCCACCTACTAAAACCTCCTTTCCTTCCCTTGAGCTCTAGCAACCACTGATTTTTTACATCTCTGTAGACTTTCAATTTAACAGAAGTTTATTAATTAGAATTATATATAGCCTTTTCATCTATGTCTTTTCATGGCTTATTTTTTTTTCTTCCCTTTTTTTAAATTCCTTTGTTTCTTATTGTATTGGCTAGAACTTTTAGTACAATGTTGAATAGGAGTGGTGAGAGGGGACATCTTTGCCTTATTCTGATTTTAGGGGAAAATCATCCAGTTTTTCACAATTAGCTGTAAGTTTTTGTTGTCATTCTTTATCCATTTGAACATGTTTCCTCTCTGTTCCTTGAGATTAAGAATTATCTTAAACGAGTGTTAAACTTTATCAAATGCTTTTTCTGCATCAAAACACATGATCGTATGATGTTTCTTTTGTTTGGTATTGATGTGGTGAGTGCATTGATCTATTTTCAAATATTGAAGAAGCCCTGAAGACACAGAATAAATTCTACTTGATTATGTGTATATGTATGTTTTTACACAATGTTGGAATCAATTTGCTAAAATTTGTTAATAATTTTTACATCTATTTTCAAGAGACAGAATTGTCTACAGAGTTTTTCTTTATGTAATGTTTTTATTTGGTTTGGATATTAGGGTATTGCTGGCTTCATAGAATGAGATAGGAAGGGTCATCTTTGCTTCTGTTTTCTGAAAGAGATTGTGGAGAACTGATATCATTTCTCTCTTAAATGTTTTGGTAAAATTTGCTTGTGAAACCATCAAGGACTGATCCCCCACTACTCACTTTTTAGTAGCAAATATGAAGTTGGGGGGAGAGTGTATAATCTTATGATAAAATCTCAGTCTTTTAATGGATCTGTGTTTCTGGCTTGTGATCTGTACTACTATTTCTTCTTGTACAGCTTTCTCTACTCTGTAGGTGAAACAAGAAGGGTAGAGGTGGCCAGAGTCAGAAAATAAACTTCCCTCATGGCTTTGGGACAAGGCTCTGGTGTAGCCTTTCCTACTGAAGAGTAGGCATTTTCTGATGGAGAAGTCTGTGTGCATATTTCACAATGATTACCCTTCCTCTCTACTGCCAGAGTCATGAAGGGATCTTTCTTGGCTCTTCAATGTGAGAACCTGATGAAGTTACTGTATATAAATTCTTCTGAGAACTTCAGCCCCCAGGAGTTTCTCACACTTGCTCTAGTGCACCCTTACTTTCCAGCAATTCATCAACATTTCTATTTAAGTATTTGTATTAGTCACGGTTTTCCAGAGAAAGAGAAATGAAAGGAGATGTAGATATACAATTGGCCCTTTAACAACAAAAGTTTGAACTGCACGGGTCCGCTTATTTGTTTGAATAAGTATATTGGAATTTTTTTTTGAGATTTGTAACAATTTGAAAAAATTTGTAGATAAACCATATAGCCTAGAAATATCAATAAAATTAAGAAAAAGGTAGGTATGAAAAAGATATGTCATGAATGAATAAACTATATGTAGATTTTTTTGTCATTTACTATTATAAAATGTATACAAACTTATTATAAAAAGTTAAAATTTATCAAAACTTACACACATACAATTACAGACCAAATATGGCATCATTTGTAGTATAAGCAAATTTAAAGGTGTAATATTAAATCATAACTGCATTAACAGTAGTACATACTGTACTACTGTTATAACTTGGTTGCCACTTCCTAGTGCTACTGTAGTGAGCTTAAGTATTATAAGTATCTGCTAAAACCATATGTTACTAATTATCTCCATGTGAGCAATTCATGTCTGTAGTAAATGAAATATAGCAATAAAAAGTAATCTCTCATGGTTCTCATATATTTTTATCATATTTAGTGCAAGACCATAAACTTTGAATAACACCAAGAGATACATACTAAGTGCCAGTAGTGATTCTGAAAGTACTTCCAAGAAGCAGATGAAAGTTGTAATACAATAAAAAATGAACTTCTTGATATGTACTGTAGATCGAGGTCTGCAGCTGTGGTTGCCTGCTATTTCAAGACAACAGTTGTTATAAAAGAAGGACAATTGTTAAAAAAAAAGAAAAGAAAATTAATGCAGCTACACCAGCAGGCATGAGAACCTTGCACTTTTTGATAAACACTTTTTAATCATATTGAAAGAAGACATTTATGCAGCCAAAAAACACATGAAAAAATGCTCATCATCACTGGCCATCAGAGAAATGCAAATCAAAACCACTATGAGATATCATCTCACACCAGTTAGAATGGCAATCAATCATTAAAATGTCAGGAAACAACAGGTGCTGGAGAGGATGTGGAGAAATAGGAACACTTTTACACTGTTGGTGGGACTGTAAACTAGTTCAACCATTGTGGAAGTCAGTGTGGCGATTCCTCAGGGATCTAGAACTAGAAATACCATTTGACCCAGCCATCCCATTGCTGGGTATATACCCAAATGACTATAAATCATGCTGCTATAAAGACACATGCACACGTATGTTTATTGCGGCATTATTCACGATAGCAAAGACTTGGAACCAACCCAAATGTCCAACAATGATAGACTGGATTAAGAAAATGTGGCACATATACACCATGGAATACTATGCAGCCATAAAAAATGATGAGTTCATGTCCTTTGTAGGGACATGGATGAAATTGGAAACCATCATTCTCAGTAAACTATCGCAAGAACAAAAAACCAAACACCGCATATTCTCACTCATAGGTGGGAATTGAACAATGAGATCACATGGACACAGGAAGGGGAATATCACACTCTGGGGACTGTGGTGGGGTGGGGGGAGGGGGGAGGGATAGCATTGGGAGATATACCTAATGTTAGATGACGAGTTAGTGGGTGCAGCGCACCAGCATGGCACATGTATACATATGTAACTAACCTGCACAATGTGCACATGTACCCTAAAACTTAAAGTATAATATAAAAAAAAAAGAAAATGCAGCTTTTATATGAGTGCAGGATTGCTGTAAGAAAGGCATACCTATAGACTCAAATATGATTTAAGAAACAACAAAGTCATTACATGACAAAACAAAAGGAAGGTAAAGATCTAAAGCTGAAAAATTTAACACCAGCAAAGGATGGTTTGATGATTTTAGAAAAAAGTTTGGTTTAAAAAATATCAAGATAACAGGAGAGGCAGCTTCTGCCAACCAAGAGGCGACAGACAAGTTCCCAGATGCCATTAAGAAAACTGTTGAGGAGAAAGAGTATCTGCCTGAACAGGTTTTTAATGCAGATAAAAGTGCTCTAAAAATTATAGCCAATTTCTCCTGTCCAAATTGTAGCATATGTCTCCTGAAATACATAAAAGTGCTATGTTGTGTTCGGACTCTAGTTTTTACGAAAGAGTTCAGAAATTGTCTCTGGGCAGAAAGCCAGGATGAAAAATTTTCTAGTTTTCTATATGTTTATTTAGGAAAACTGATGTTGGAACTTAAACTCCAATGTATAGTATTAAGAGGTGGGACCTTTAGGAGATGTTAAATAGTGAGGATAGAGCCTGCATTAAGGGGATTATTGACTTTATAAAAGGGCTTGAGGGAACTAGCTAGGCCTTTTCTGCCCTTCTCTTCTTCCTCCACGTGAGAGGACAAAGCAAGAATCCTCTCATCAGGCACTAAGCCTGCCATGATCTCTCAATCTTGCACCTAGTCTCTAGAACTGAGACAAATAATTTCGTATTATTTATTAATTACTCAATCTGTGGCTCTTAAATAGCAGCACACCTCATCTTTGACTTTAATGCAATGGGGTACAGTGACAAGTGTCACCCACATTATGTCTACTAAATACTAATACTGTGAGATGTCCCATTATATAGATAATGTTGCCTTGCCCAATAGGTGTGAATATAATGCATTCTGTAACTTCACTTTGGGGTGTCATTGATTATTAAGGAAATTTTTAAATCTGGTTTAACCCAGGGGTTTCCACATTTACTTGGTCAAAGTCCCCGTTGTGAAACTTCCACTCAGATAAGAATAATTTAGAATGTTTAAATAATGATAAGTAGGAAAGTAGACAAAAGACAGTCTAATTGATCTACTCTTTTGAGGAAGTAATTTTTTAAAAGTCAAAATAGGACTTCACTTCTAGGCCATGAATTTCAGAGGGGACACAAACATAGAAACCATAGAATGCAGTCCCTGACCCCTGAAAATTTATGTCCTTTTCACATGCCAAATACATTTATTTCATCTTAATAGCCTGAACAGTATTAGCTCATTCCAGCATCAACTCAAATGTCTAAAAAGCCCAATATCTCATTTAAATATCATCTAAATCAGATATGAGTGAGACTCAAAGGTGTGACATCCTGAGACCAATTCCCTCCAGCTGTGAGGCTATGAAATCAAACCACTTATGTGCTTCCAAAATAAAATGCTGTAATAGGCACAAGATAGACATTCCTATTCTGAAAGAGAGCAATAGGAAAGAAGAAAGTGGCTAACAGGTCCCAAGTAATTCCAAAACCCAAGAAAGCAAACTTTAAATCTTGGGACTTGAGAACAATCTTTGACTCTATGTCCTGCTTTCCAAGACCTCAGGTGGCTCCACTCCAATGGTTTTGGTGGACACAGCCCATACAGAAGCTCTCTCTGATGGGAGTTTTATGCTTGGGGCTCTCTCAGCCTGATGTTGCATGCTGGTGGCTCTGTGGTCTCAGAGGCAGAATGCTGAGTAATGCAGGAACTTCCTGGGGGCAGGCAGATTACACTGGACAACTTTCATCCTGGAAGGAGTCACATTTTATTCTTATGGGAATAGACACTTTATCTGGATATGGATTTCCCTTCTCTGCATAAAATGCTTCTGTCTACACCACCATCTGTGAAGTTACAGATGATTTATCCACCATCATGGTATTCCACACAGCATTGCTTTTGATTAAGAAACTCACTTCATAGTCAAAGAAGTAAAACAATGAATCATGCTCATAAAATGTACTGGTATTTCCATGTTTCCTCACTATTCTGAAGTAGCGGGCTCCATAGAATGGTAAAATGGCTTTTTGAAGGTGCAAATACGATACCAGCTAGGTGACAATACCATGCAGGGCTGGGACAGCGTTCTCCAGAAGGCTGTATATGCTCTGAATCAGCGTCCAATAGATGGTACTATTTCTCCTATTGCCAGGATTCACAAGTCCAGAAACAAAGAGTAGTATCACTCACCGTTACCCATAGTAACCCTCTAGCAAACATTTTGCTTTTTGTTTTGTGACTTTGTGCTCTTCTAGCCTAGATATTTTAGTCCCAGAAGGAGGAATGATCCTACCAGGAAACACGACAATGATCCCATTAAATGGAATTTGAGACTTCCACCTGGCAACCTTGGCCTCCTCATGCCTTTGAATCAAAAGGTCAGGAAAGCAGTTACCATGTTGGTTGGGATGATCTGGGCTACCAAGGGGAAACTGAATTACTACCTCACAACGAAAGAAAGAAAATAGTATGTCTGGAATACAGGTGATCCCTTAGGTCATCTGTTAGCATTACCCTGCCCTGTGATTAAGGTCAGTGGGAAACTACAACTCAACTCAATCCAGAAAGGACTGTGAATAGTCCAGAGTTTTGTAGGAATGAAGGTTTGGGTCACTTTTCCAGGTAAAGAATCATGACCAGCTGAGGTGCTTTCTGAAGGCAAAGGGAATACAAAATGGACAGAGGAAGATAAATTCTAGCTAAGACCATGTGACCAGTTACAGAAATAATGACTGTTTTTGTCATTAGCATTTTCTTCTTCTTTTGTTAAGAATATATTTCAGTGTGTATATACGTGTATTAAGCATATATCTTTGTTTCCTTTCCTGTCTTATTTTTTAATCATGTAATATAAGATATATTGAGTTTATGTCACTATTTAATTGCTGTTGATTTTATGTCTTCATATTTGTTACAGGATATCAGGTTAAGAGTAAACATGACTCATGGACTTCACCTAGTGTTCTGGGGAAGGGATTTAGAGTATTTGGGGTTGTATGCAAAATAGTGGTGTTATGCTAGGCAGGACTATGACCTTGTTATTGTTTTTATTTGGTGATTAAGTATGATTTAAGGAGATGCATATGGGAGCCAAGTTGACAAGGAGAAGATTTGTGGTAGTTAATTATCGGTGTCAAGTTGCCTGGCTTAAGGGATACACAGATAGATAGCTGTGTATGTCTGTGAGGGTGTATTCAGAAGAGACTGGGGTTTGAATCAGTGGACTGAATAAGGAAGATCTATCTTCATCTGATGTGGAAGGACACACCTAATCAGCGAGGGCCTGGATAGAACAAAAAGGCAAAGAAATGACAAATTTCTCTCTCCCTCTTTCTATTTCTCTCTGTCCTCTAGCTGGGACATCCTTCTTCATTTGCCCTTGGACATCAGAATCCAGATTCTTTGGCCTTTGGACTCTGCGTTTACTGGTGGCTCCCCAGTTTCTCAAGCCTTCAGTCTGAGACTGAAGGCTAAACCATCAGTTTCCCTTGTTCTGAGGCATTTAGACTTGGACTGAGCCATGCTAACACCTTTCCTGGTTCTCCAGCCTGTCATGGGACTTCTCAGCCTCCATATATCATGTGAGCCAACTTCCTTAATAAATCTCTATCTATCTATTAATCTCTCTATCTATCTTCTGTCTTTCTGTCTGTCTATCTGTCTGTCTGTCTGTATGTATGTGTATCCATTCATGTATCTATTATCTGCTATTGGTTGTTTCTCTCTGGAGAAGCATTACTAATATAGGAAGATTCCTTAAACTTTAAACATATGACTTCAAGAATTGGAAATTAAGTTTAGAGTATGTTTAGTAAAATATCCTTAAAATTTTATTGCTCTTCTTGTAAAGAAAATTTGGGGAATCAATTCTGCTTTTATTTCCTTCTATTTTTTTCATTGTACATGCTGCTTTTCATGTACAAAAGTTACAGATGTCTGTATTCATTTTTCCTCTTCCACTCTCTCTGCCTAATTTATTTATTTTTTTAACTTGCATGGGTAAGCCAATTCATATTTCTAAACTCTCTTTCTTTATCCGTACAAGGTCAAAAACTCTATTTTGATAAAGCTTACCACTTTGACTGTTTTTCTTTCTCTATCCATTCTTCTTTGTGTCAAACTATTACAGTACACATACTTTTGTTTAATTGACCCTAAAATGCTATCTTTCCCTTGATGTATTCAAGTATCAGGCAACTTAAAAGTTACTTAGATATATATTTATGACAGATGTTTGATAGCTCACTGTCTCCTCATTGGCCTTTCCATACTCTCAGACACAAGACTCTGTGAAAGTACTGTATCTATCAGAATATTGTCTCACATTTGTATTCATTTATTCTTGACCCTAGAGCTAAGTTAGTTGACTCATAATGGTTTGGTGTCTCTTTAACATACAACTATATCCTTTTTAGTAGTGATTTCATTTCCAAATAATACTTAAGTGGTCTTTATTCTTGGCCTGCTGACTGGTATAACTGCAAAGCCAGTCAGAGAACATCACAATATTCCCCAGCAAGCTTTTTTGAAATAAATCAGAAGTGGCTGCATAGCTAAAGCACATATAATGTTCTTTTGTTGCTTATATCTGAATAACCATCCAACACATCAATTCCCAAGCTCTTTTAAATCATAGTTCCAAAAACACACAGGTAGTTTTTACTGAATTTGCCTTTGTGTTTGATTCTCATAATGGATTTGTTCCTTACAGGATTGGCCCTGAGCTCAATTGCAATGCACATTTAGTTTATCTTGGGTACACCTGCCTTCTCCTTTTCTTTCTTTCTTTTTTTTTTTTTTATTATACTTTAAGTTCTAGGGTACATGTGCACAAATTGCAGCTTTGTTACATATGTATACATGTGCCATGTTGGTGTGCTGCACCCATTAACTCATCATTTACATTAGGTATTTCTCCTAATGCTATCCCTCCCCCCACCCCCAATCCCATGACAGGCCTCAGTGTGATATACCATCTCACACCAGTTACAAAGGGAATCATTAAAAAGTCAGGAAACGACAGGTGCTGGAAAGGATGTGGAGAAATAGGAACACTTTTACACTGTTGGTGGGACCGTAAACTAGTTCAACCATTGTGGAAGACAGTGTGGCGATTCCTCAAGGATCTAGAACTAGAAATACCATTTGACCCAGTGATCCCATTACTGGGTATACACCCAAAGGATTATAAATCATGCTACTATAAAGACACATGCACGCGTATGTTTATTGCGGCACTATTCACAATAGCAAGGACTTGGAACCAACCCAAATGTCCATCAATGATAGACTGGATTAAGAAAATGTGGCACATATACACCATGGAATACTATGCAGTCATAAAAAAGGATGAGTTCATGTCCTTTGTAGGGTCATGCATGAAGCTGGAAACCATCATTCTGAGCAAACTATCGCAAGGACAGAAAACCAAACACCACATGTTGTCACTCACAGGTGGGAATTGAACAATGAGAACACTGTCTTCCCCTTTTCTTTTTTTTTTTTTTTTTGAGACGGAGTCTCGCTCTGTCGCCCAGGCCGGACTGCGGACTGCAGTGGCGCAATCTCGGCTCACTGCAAGCTCCGCTTCCCGGGTTCACGCCATTCTCCTGCCTCAGCCTCCCGAGTAGCTGGGACTACAGGCGCCCGCCACCGCGCCCGGCTAATTTTTTGTATTTTTAGTAGAGACGGGGTTTCACCTTGTTAGCCAGGATGGTCTCGATCTCCTGACCTCATGATCCACCCGCCTCGGCCTCCCAAAGTGCTGGGATTACAGGCGTGAGCCACCGCGCTCGGCCCCCCTTTTCTTATTTTACTTCCCCAACTGTGGGTACAGCCCTCTCTCTGTGTTTACTCCTTGCTCCTCACTGTTCATCATAATCTGCTTTCTGGAAAAGAGTTCTTCTATTTATTTTTTAAAGTATATTTAGTTCAATGCATTATATATAATGGGGGCCCTTGCACTGAAAACAATGATTGCCTCTAGTGATACTATGAGTGGCTTTGTTCCAGGCCACAGAAGTTGTGGTAAAAGTGAAATCAGTGTTTGAAAAGGTGAACCAAATGTGAGGCTTCTGAATACCCTAATAAATACATCATTTCTGGAGCAGTGTTTGGCTTGATTCCAAGTAGTTCAGTGACAGGTTTGCCTGAAAAGCATGAGATGATATCTTCCTTTTGTTCCCCAGTACCTTTTCTATTCAAAGTGACAATACCAAAATTCTAGTGAGAACACTTTTTTAGGAAGAATATATGCTATTGTTAAGATCATAGATTCTAAAATCAGCTGACCTAAATTTCTGCTATGACTTTGCTCTTTTCCAGACGCATATTTTTTGGCATGCTATTTAACTTTGCTAACTTGCACTTTCCTCACCCAAAAATGGGACAAATTATTGGAGATGTCCCATGGCATTATTTGAGAATTAAATGAGAGAACTCATGTGAAACAGTTAGCAAAACACTTCATAATAAATGCTTGACAAATGATAGCTATTGTTATTCGAATTCACATATTAATAATAACTTTTTTCATTGAAAAATAAATTCCAAGTCTTCAACTAACACTGAGTAGGCTTTGATTAACCCCCATCACTGTGAGTAATTGGAGATACATTTTTGCCCTTTGTATTTTTTTCTTCATATCATGATGCTGATGGTTCCGTATTTATTGACAACACCAAAATCTGTGCTCAGCCTTTTTTGGAAAATGGACTAGTCACAATAATGGTGTAATTTCAACTGAACCAGTAACTCTCATACAAAATTATCATTGGAAATTTTTTTTTTTTTTTTTTTTTTTTTTTTGAGACGGAGTCTCGCTCTGTCGCCCAGGCTGGAGTGCAGTGGCGGGATCTCGGCTCACTGCAAGCTCCGCCTCCCGGGTTCACGCCATTCTCCTGCCTCAGCCTCCCAAGTAGCTGGGACGACAGGCGCCCGCCACTACGCCCGGCTAATTTTTTTGTATTTTTAGTAGAGACGGGGTTTCACCGTTTTAGCCGGGATGGTCTCGATCTCCTGACCTCGTGATCCGCCCGCCTCGGCATTTCATTCAACATTATTGTTATCTTTCAATCATAAAATTGATTTCTGAAAGACCACAATAGATATATATATTTTTCGACATTTCTATTCATAAGTAACTTCTAAATCCCACTTGAGGGATGTCAATCCTACAAGAAAAAGGTACTTGGTTAAGTGACATAACTAATTAGTGGCTGATGTTGTATGACTAGGAAAACAGATGTCATAAATCCAGGTCATTATCACCTCTGGCCTAATATTCTTTTGATTAAGTTTTTAATTTATGTTTCTTGGGTCTTGAGAAAAAGAACATGTTGATTGTTATTAATTATTTTCCTGTTGTGGGGACACTAGAAACCAATTAGGAACACAAAGAGCCAGGACTAATACATCTTAGAATAATAATAACAAGGAGGGTCAGTTTCACACTTTGCTTAAGTCCTCTCCTATTTATGGTCTTCTCCTTTTTCTTTACCTCCCTTTTTACTTCTTAGCGCTCTTTGTTCCCTTTATAATGCTTTCTTTCTTCTCCAAACACATATCCCATGCCACGACATAATTGTTCTTGCTTTTTAAATTTTTTAATTGACAAATAATAATTGCATATATTTATGGGGTAGAATGTGATGTTTCCATACATGCATACAGTGTGAAATGATCAAATCAGGCTAATTAGCACATCTATCACCTCAAATACCAATCATTTCTTTGTGATGCGAATATTTAAAATCAATTCATTTAGCTATTTTGAGATATACATTATTATTATTAACTATGGCACCCAAGCTGTGCAGTAGATCACCTAGACTTTCATTCCTCTTATCTAAGTGAAACTTTGTCCTCTTTGACCAATATTTCCCCTTTCCCTGCCAACCCTCTCCCCCAGCCCCTGGTAACCACTATTCTACTCTCTACTTCTATGAGTTTGACTTTTTTAGATTCCACATATAAGCAAGATCATGCAGTACTTGTCTGTTTGAGCCTGGCTTACTTCATTAGGTTGTCCTCTAGGTTGACCCATGTTGTTGCAACTGACAGAATATCCTGCTTTTTAAAAGCTGAATAATATTCTATTGTGTATATATACACCACATTTTAAAAAATCTATTCATCCATTCATGGGAACTTTGATAATTTTCATATCTTGGCTATTGTGAACAGTGCCGCAATGAACAAAGCAGTGCAGATATCTTTTTGGCACATTGATTTCAATTTCTTTGGATAGACACCCAGAAATGAAATTGCTGGTTCATACAGTTGTTCTATTTTTAGATTTTCAAGGAAACTTTATGCTGTTTTCCCAAATGGATATACTAATTTACAATACCACCAAAAGTGTGCAAGGGTTCCCTTTCCTCCACATGTTTAGGTCTTAGTATTATTTTTTCTTAATCACCTCGCCAGTTCCAGCTCCTTTTATGAAAGTATCAATATCTTTTGTTTCTTTGAGGTTGTTATGGTGGGATGGGGCTGGGTGTGTGTATATGTTTGCTTGTGTGTGTATATGTAAGTAGATATATGTGGATGGCAGGAGAGTGTTTTTCCACCAACCTACAAAAAATTTGTTTTCAGGGAACTACTCTTCATATTTCTTCTTTTTTTTATTATTATTATATTTTAAGTTTTAGGGTACATGTGCACAATGTGCAGGTTAGTTACATATGTACACATGTGCCATGCTGGTGTGCTGCACCCACTAACTCGCCATTTACCATTAGGTATATCTCCTAATGCTATCCCTCCCTCCTCCCCCCACCCCACAACAGTCCCCAGAGTGTGGTGTTCCCCTTCCTGTGTCCATGTGTTCTCATTGTTCAATTCCCATCTATGAGTGAGAACATGTGGTGTTTGGTTTTTTGTCCTTGCGATAGTTTACTGAGAATGATGATTTCCAATTTCATCCATGTCCCTACAAAGGACATGAACTCATCATTTTTATGGCTGCATAGTATTCCATGGTGCATATGTGCCACATTTTCTTAATCCAGTCTATCATTGTTGGACATTTGGGTTGGTTCCAAGTCTTTGCTATTGTGAATAGTGCCGCAATAAACATACGTGTGCATGTGTCTTTATAGCAGCATGATTTATAGTCCTTTGGGTATATACCCCAAAAACTAAGTCTGCTGAAGAACTATGTGAGAGAGGAAGTTGAGAAAAGTGAGTGTTACTCCACTGTATGTTATCTTTATTGTTTAGGTTGAGTAATTTCTATTGTTGTCTCTTCAAATTCACCAATTCCTTCTTTTGTTCTCTTCATTCTGCTGTTTAGCTCTTCCATTGAGTTTTTAATTTTGGTTATTGTGTTTTTCAATTCTAAAAGTTCTAGTTGGTTCTTCTTTATATCTCACTTTTTTTTTTCTGAGACTTCCTATTCTTTTTTTAATAATATTTGATTGGTCATTGAAGAATTTTTATGATGGCTGCTCTAAAATCTTTGTCAGATATTTCCAAAATCTATGCCATCTTACTGGTGCTGTATTTTATTGTTGTTTCTTACTGAAGTTGTGATTTTTCTAATTTTTGGTGTAATGAATATTTTTTATTGTATCTGGGGGATATTTTGGGCATTTTGTTATGAGATTCTGGATCCTCTGTTTAAGCAGGATGTTTCTGACATCACTCCGGTTAAAGAAGAATGCCATTGCTTCATTAATGCTCAACGGGAGTAAAAATCCAGTTTCCCCAGTTACTCTCCATTGATACTCTGTAGAGGAGTATGTAACTCATTGCTAGTTTTTATATGGCCTCCACTACTAAGGAGGCCTCATTACTTTCAGGCAGGGACAGAAGAACTGTCTCTCCACTAGCCTTCTCTGACACCTCTTTTGCAAGCAGAAAGTGTGTCTCATTACAACTGGGGGAGGTTGGAAGACTAGGCTCTCCATTTGTCCTTTGCTAGCAGAGATGCAGAGATGAGTTTGAGGGCTGCAGTATTTTCCATGGTGTTGCCTAGAGTAGAGCATTTATTATTTATTGCTAGACTGCCTCTTTCCTTGTGCATTGACTTAAAAGACCAGGATTTCTTGGGACTTCTTATTTGTTTTTCTCTTCCTTTTTTTTTTTTTTTTTTTTGAGACGCAGTCTTGCTCTGTTGCCCAGGCTGGAGTGCAATGGCACAATCCTGAAACCTCCGCCTCCCAGGTTAAAGTGATTCTCCTGCCTCAGCTTCCTGAGTAGCTGGGATTACAGGTGTCTGCCACCATGTCTAGCTAGTTTTTGCATTTTTAGTAGAGACAGGGTTTCACCATGCTGACCAGGCTGGTCTCAAACTCCCACCTCAGGTAATCTGCCCACCTTGGCCTCCCAAAGTGCTGGGATTATGGGCATGAGCCACTGTGCCCAACCCTCGCTGGTGTTTCTGACTTGCCAGTCTCTTGAATACCCAGTTCAGGGTATATATATGGTCAAAAAACAAACAAACAGACAAACAAACAAACAAAACCCTGTAAAACCACCATGTCATTTCTTGGGTCTGAGTTCTTTAGCTAGTATTCTGCCTTCTCTCTAACTTTCAGAGTCTTATTATACTTGTTTTATATATAATGTCCAAGATTTTTAGTTTTTCTTAGCTAAAGGAGAAACAGGGAAGAATGCGTTAAATGTATTTTGCCTAGAACTGGGAGTCCCCAATGTCTATAACCCGTAAGTTAAGAATAGTTTTTTACATTTTAAAATATTAGTAAAAATGGAAATAACAATAGCATTTTATGACATAAAAATTATATAAAATTCAAATTTCAGTATTCATAATTGAATGTGTACTAGAAACTGACAATCAAAAAAGAAAATTTTGGGGGTGTTGAATGCAGTACTCAGAAATATCTTATCTGAAGAGTAGGGAAAAACCAAACTTAAACCAAAAGGTATTCTGGTTCTTCCTTTAAAAAAAAGATTGGGAAAGAACAAAATATTTCTGAGTAACAACCCCATTGCATAAAAAAGTTCAAGTATATTTATAGAAATACAAAATTAGCAAGCACTCCACAAGATAAAATTCAACATGACATAAATGGGTGACAGATATAAAAAATGATATGGGTGACAGATATAAACAAGTTTCAAAAAAATTTATAAAGATGAAACAACAACAATGTCTTTGATCAAATATACATTGGATAGAATTAAAGGCAGATTAGACTTTGCAGAAGAAAAAATATGATCTGGAAAAATACAGCAATAGAAATAATCCAGAATAAAGCACAAAAAAGAATTAAAAATGCAAAACATTTAAACCATTATGTTAATGGGAATAAATGATACCAAATGTATACAAAATTTTCCAGAAAATTTAGGAAGAGATTAGTTTATACTTAGTATATAAGTCTGACCATATTCTGATACCAAGATTAAAGATGTGAACAGAAAACTTCAGACCTGTGTATCTAAAACAGTGATACAGAATTTCCTAAAAATACTTTAGCAAATTAAATTCACACACACACACACACACACACACACACACACACACACACGATTAATACACCATGGGGCTTAATTTATAAATACAATACTGGATCAACATTCAAAAATCAATGTAAGCCTCCATATTAACAGAATAAATTTTTTAAAAGATTACTTCAATAGGTGCAGAAAAACATCTGGCAAAATCCAACATTAATTCCAAGAAAAACTCTCAGCAAACTAAGAATATGGGAAGCTTCCTCAACATGATAAAGCATATCAACAAAAATCCTACAGGTAACATTATATTTAATGACAAAAGACTCATTGCTTGCCCCATAACATGAGGACTAAGACAAGGTTATCTGTTCTCCTCACTCTGTTCAATATTTCACTGGAGTTTCTAGCCTGTGCAATAAGGCAAGTAAAAAAAAAGAAAGTATCTGAATTGGATAGGGAAAGTAAAACTGTCTTATTTTTACAGCAATATGATCATTTCTGTAAAAAATCTGCTTGAAACTATAAAAAAAGCAACTTAAGCATATACATTTCAACTTTCAGCAGAGTTGAAGGATATAAGATTAATGTATAAAAAATTAATTGCATTTTTATATACTAGCAATAGGAACTGAAATTAAAATTGGGAAACAATACCATGAAAACCTAAAACACCTCAGGAAAATATGAGTAAAGGTTCAAGCTGTACACGGAAACTGAAAATATTGCTGAGAATATAAAGAAAAATAAATGAAGAGAAATACTGTGTTTGTATGTAGAAAGACTCAATATTGTTTATGTCATTTCTCCCCAAATTGATACATGAATTCAACTGATTTTTATTCAAGTCTCAGGAGGGTTTTTTTTTTGTGGATATTGACGAACTCATTGTAAAATCAATAGGGAAATAAAATGGACCTAAAATAGCCAAAAACAATCCTGAAAAACAAAGTAGGTTTGGAAAACTTGAAATATTTAATTTGAAGACATATCAAAGTTACAATATTCAAAACATTGTAGTGTCAGCATGGAGATAGCTAAGTTGATCAATATCTCAGAATACAGTGTTGAGAAATAAACACACATGTATATGGTCTATTGATTTTCAACAAATATTCAAAGCTAATTTGGTGGAAAAAAGAATAATTTTTCTCAGTAAAATGTATTGTGAAATAGTTATATTTTTGTAAGTCTAAAAAGAAAGTTTGGTTCATACCCTACAGAACATACAAAAATTCATTAAATTACTCACAGACCTAAGTGTAAAATCTAAAGCCAAAAAAAATTATAGAAGCAAGCAGAAAATCTATTTGGTTATCAGTCAATCCAAAACCACAATCTATAAAACAAAATTTGATGAATTGGACTACAACAAAATTTAAAAAATTTTCTTTTCATGAGTATATTTGTCCATTTTCGTGCTGCTGATAAAGATATACCTGAGACTGGGCAATTTACAAAAGAAAGAGTTTTAACGGACTTAGAGTTCCACATGGCTGGGGAAGCCTTACAATCATAGTGGTAGGCAAGGAGGAGCAAGTTATGTCTTAAATGGATGGCAGATGGCAAAGACAGAGAGCTTGTGTACAAGAACTCCTCTTTACAAAACCATCAGATCTCATGAGACTTATTCACTATCATGAGAACAACATGGGAAAGACTTGCTCCTATGACTCACTTACCTTCCATTGGATCCCTCCCACAACATGTGGGAATTCAGGATGAGATTTGGATGGGGACACAGCCAAACAATATCAACTAGAAGCAGCTAATAGAGTGAAAGGACAAGTGAGACTAGGAGAAGATAGTTGCAAATCACATATTTAATAAAGACTTTATTCAGAATATATAAAGGGTGATCAAAACTTCATAATAAGAAAAGAAACACTGCATAATAAAATGAATGAAAGATTTAAACAGATCTTTCACCAGGGAAGATGCATAGATATCACATAAGCTCAAGAAAAGATGCTCAACCTCACTAGTCATTAGGAAAATGCAAAGTAAAACCACCTTGGACATTTCTTCATACCTATTAGCATGTCTAAAATAAAAACAGTGATAAAACGAAGTGTTGGTGAGAATGCTGAGTAATTCAGCCCTCAAAAATTGCTGATAGGATGCAAAGTAGTACTTGACATGGGACAACAGACATTGTTTGATTGTGTTTTACAGAGTGAAACATAAAACTACCATATGACCCAGGTATTTCACTCCTACATGTTTACCGAGATAAATGAAAGCATGCATCCATAGGTACAAAGACTTTTATAAGAATATTTATAGCAGTTTATTTATAATAGTAAAAAAATTGGCTAATAATCTGAATTTCCATCAATAGGTAAATATGGAATACAACGCAGCAATAAAAATGAATCAACTATTTGTACACAAAGCAAAACTCACGAAAAGAGCCAGACAAAAGGGTATGTATGGCTTGGGTCCATTGATTTTAGAAAGTGTAAACTCATCTACAGCGACAGAAAGTAGATCAGTCATGTTCTGTGTACATCAGGAATAGAGGATGGAGATAATGGAGAGAAATTACCAGTGGGAATGGAGAAACTTCTTTCGAGAGTGATGTTCATTGATTTGATTGTGTTGATGATTACATGAGATGTATTTACGTCAAAACATATCAGATTGTACACTTTAAATATATGCAATCATTTTTTCAGTTATACCTCAATAAAATTCTTTCAAGGCAAATAAAACATCAATTGGAAATGAGAATTCAGAACGTAATTGATAGAACAAAAATAATGCATTTCTCTCAAAAATTGAGGGATTTCATTTACATGCAGAGGAGGATATGTTAGCGCTGTGCAGGGATGCTAGCCCAAATAACAGAAACAGAAGTAAAAAAATACATCTGGCAACCCTTCTGTAATAACCTCACTCAGGTAGAAACAGGCTTCTCAGTTAAATCTAGTAGAGCACAAATCTCCATTTATGAATATTTAATACTAGTAACCCACACTATTAACTTATTTTAGCATGTTAGTAGTAGATAGGCTTTTTGAGTAAGTGAAGAGTAAAAAGCTATGGCATTTTGTGTTATTAAGCTTCAAAAAAATAAAGTTCTGTTAAACAAAAGTTTGCAGGACATTAGGAGGCTGCAACCTGACCTCATACCATACTGTTTTCTTTTTAAATTTTATCTTATAGTAATTTAATATTTATATATATCTATTGAGTACAAAGTGATGTTACATTTATGAATGCAATGTGGAACAAATAAATAAAGCCAGTCAATATATTCATCACCTCAAATGCTTATTTTTTGTGTGGTGAAAATACCTGAAATTTGCTGTCTCAGCAATTTGGAAATTTTTTAATACAATATTATTAACTGTATTCACCACTCTGTGCAATAGAACTGAGGAAAAAAAAAAAACCCTTTCTTCCGGTAACTGAGATTTTGTTACCTTTGACCATCATGTCCCAATTTTCCCAACCCTCAACTTCTGCTACTACCATTCTACTCTCCACTTCTATGAGGTTGTTTTAGATTCTGCAAATAACTGGGAATATTTGTCTTTCCATGACACTGGTTTTCTTTTAGAACAAAGCTTTTCAATTCCATCCATGTTGTTGCAACTGACAATATTTCCTTCTTTTTAAAGACTGTATAATGTTTCTTTGTGTATGTATATTATATATTGTTTTCTTTAATCATTTATCTGGATGGACACTTAGGTTGATCGGACACTTGAGTTGATTCCATAACTTGGCTATTATAAATGGTGCTGCAGTGAATATGGGAATCTAAATATCTCTTCAACAAAATTAGTTTAAATTCTCTTGGTAAATATTGAATAGTGGGATAGCTGGATCAGATGATAACTCTATTTTTCAGTTTTTTGAGGAACTTGCATACAGTGTATAAGGGTTTCCTTTTCTCTACATTCATGCCAACCCCAATGTTTCCTCTTTTGATGATAACCATTCTGAGAGGTGTGAGATGATATCCTATTGAGATTTTAATTTGCATTTTCCTAATGAGTGGTGACATTTTTCATGTCTCTTTTGGCCATTTGTATGTCTTCTTTTGAGAAATATCTATTTAAGTCCCTTCATTTTTCAATTGGGTAATGTGTTTTCTTGCTGTTGTTTGAGTTCCTTATACATTTTGGTTATTAACCCCTTATCATATGTATGGCTTGCAAATATTTTCTCCCAATCTATAGGTTGTTTCTTTACACTGTTAATTGTTTCCTTTGCTGTGTAGAAGATTTTTTGTTTGATCATTTCATCCTTTTAGAATCTCCTTTCCACAGGGTAGTGGTTAAGTGCATTTACTTGGAATGAGAATATGTTCAAATTTCCAGTTCCTATACTTACTAGCTGTGTGGTGTGGAGGAAAGTTGTTTCACCTCTGTTTCTCAATTCCTCCATATGTATTCTGGGTGTCATAATGTCACGTTAAATGCTTTGGGTGGGGTTAATACTGATAATATAGAAGTGTTTATCCAGTGTCTGACTTACATTGAACACAGTGTGTGACAGTTATTTTATTAATACTCTAACAGAAACAGTATGCCACGGTAATATTTCCAGTGCTTCAGTAATACATACATAGCACAATCTTTGACAGGCATTGTTCCCATTCATTATTTTGTTACTCATTAACTTTCACTGCAAATTAGAAAATTATTTCTTGTACAGAAATATAGACATATAAGTTGTCTTAAACACTAGAGCACAAAAAAGGATTATTCACTGCAAAAAAATTGAAATTAACTTCAAATAATGACAGATAATTATCTCATTTTTTGCTAATTTGTTTGCCTTTTTTTTATTTAGTAAAGCTTTTTTACATAACCTACATTCAATATTATGAGAAAAAACCACATGCAGATATAGGTACTTGGTATAGTTTTTTTCTCTCTTTAGCCTATTAAATCTTTACTTTTTTGTAGATATTTTTAGTTATTACAGTGGTTACCTGAGTAGAATCTGAAAAATTAAATAATTCCTAAATTATGCGTTTTATGCCTGTGGTTCACTTCCTGCTCTCTAGTCTGTTTAAAACAACAAGCATAAAAACTTCCCATTGAGGTGAACTAAGTTTATAAATGTTAAGTTTGCAGATTCATCTCTTTTATGATTCAAATATTTTGAAATGTCAGTAGTCTCTAAGTTTCCACCATGATGTAATGAAGGTCATGCCATAATTTCCACAGCTATAATAACAGTCTTAGAAATTAGATGTGGAGATATAAAAGTAAGCAAAAATAAAATAGACTCAAATTTTGTGATGGACTAATCAAGCTCACAAGTCCTGTGGACTTGTCAGGTTTTTATTTTTATTTGCTGTAATGGCAATGTCAAGTATGCATACAGCTATTTGTAATTTGAAAAGACATAGTCACCATGAATTTGTTTTAAAGTTTTTTTTAATTTGTATAAATTTATGATGGTACCATGGAATTTTGTTACAGGCATAGGTTGCATAGTGGTCAACTCAGAATTTTTAGGGTATCCATCACCTGAATAATACTCATTAAGTAATTTCTCATCATCCCTTCCCTCACGTCTTCACCCTTCCAAGTCTCCATTTTCTATCATTCCAATCTGTATCTCCATGCGTAAACATTTTTTTTTTTTTTAGCACCCACTTATGAGTCAGAACACGTGATATATGACTTTCTGGGTCTGGCTTATTTTACTTGAGATAATGATATCCAGTTTCATCCATGCTGCTGCAAAAGACATAATTTCTTTCTTTCTTTTTTTTGAGACAAAGTCTTGGTCTGTCACCCAGGCTGAAGGGCAGTGTTGCAACCTTGGCTCACTGCAGCCTCAACCTCCTGGGCTCAAGCAATCCTCCGACCTCAGCCTCTCGAGTAGCTGGGACTACATGTGCATACCACCACACCCAGCTAATTTTGTTTATTTTTTTATAGAGATGAGGTCTCAATATGTTGCCCAGGCTGGTCTTGAACTCCTGGGTTCAAGCAATCCTCCTACCTCGGCCTCCCAGAGTGCTGGGATTACAGCGTGAGCCACTGTGGCTGGTCAATTTTGATATTTTTTATGGCTGAATAGTATATCAATGTGTATATATATCACATTATCTTTATACAATCAACCATTGATAGACACTTAGGTCAGACACCTGAATTTTTTTTGGAAGTTCGTTACTTTTAATTTTTAAATTTTTTTATTTTTATTTTTTGCAGAACGTGGAGGTTTGTTACATAGGTATACGTGTGCCATGGTGGTTTGCTGCACCTTTTGACCCATCCTCTAAGTTCCCTTCCCTCACCCTCCACTCCCAACAGGCTGTTGTGTGTGTTGTTCCCCTCTCTGTGTCCATGTGTTCTCAATGTCACCATGAATTTGGTGGCCTTTAGCTGTTATTAAGAATTTGACATGTGCTCCAATCACATTAGCTGTAATAATTATCACTAAACCCAAATATTATTGGGCTGCAATAATGAGTTTTCTTGTATAATACTCAAATATTATATAAATTTGAGTGGACGTTATTCAATCCAAAACATGAAACTCAATAACACCACAGTAGATGAGAAATGACCTCACTAAAGCAGTGGTGTCAAAGATCATAGAACATCTTTACATACAACACATTATTTTTTCCTTTAGCTTAAAAAAGGGGATGATATAGATTTTTTCCATATTCAAGAAATGTGAAAACTTAATACGTTAACATCTGGTTATGGATAAATATGTCCACATTAAGAAGATGATTTTTTGAGATCTAATTACAGTTTTTATAATTCTATAGTTTTTAAGATTACAGTTTCTAAAATGCGTTTTTCAAATGTATAGCATAATTACAAATAGGAATAAGAAAGCTAATCTTAATCTACCTAAATCTTCTCTATTTAATGACTTTGCTTATGTAAATGTTTCTAATTATACTGAAATATAGTGTATCATTTCATAACTTTGCACAAATATATTTAATATATATATCTTTCATAACTGAATTTTATTATTTAATAACTAAGGAATAGATTGTTTTTAGCTGAAATGTATCTCAACTTAAGAGACTGCGTTTTCAATTACCCTAAATAAGTGTTTTAATATATGTATATACACATATATAAAAAATATATAATATATCATGATGTAACACATAAATAACGTTATACTGCGGGGCGAGGTGGCTTACGCCTGTAATCCCAGCACTTTTGGGAGGCTGAGGTGGGTGGATCACAAGGTCAGAAGATCGTGACCATTCTGGCTAACACAGTGAAATCCCATCTCTACTAAAAATACAAAAAATTAGCCAGGCGAGGTGGCAGGCGCCTGTAGTCCCAGCTACTCAGGAGGCTGAGGCAGGAGAATGGCATGAACCCGGGAGGCAGAGCTTGCAGTGAGCCGAGATCGCGCCACTGCACTCCAGCCTCGGTGACAGAGCGAGGCTCTATCTCAAAAAAAAAAAAAAAAAGTTATATTCATATAATCTTACATTAACATATCAGTTGTATAATACATTAATTTATAATATATATTTAAAGGGTATTTAATATGTATATATAGTATGATCAAATAAAAGTGCAATTTAGGCCAGGTGTGGTGCCTCACACCTGTAATCCCAGTACTTTGGGAGGCTGAGGTGGGCGAATCACCTGAGGTCGGGAATTCGAGACCAGCATGACCAACATGGAGAAACCCCATCTTTACTAAAAATACAAAATTAGCTGGGCATGGTGGCACATGCCTGTAATCCCAGCTACTAGAGAGGCTGAGGCAAGAGAATCGCTTGAACCCAGGAGGTGGAGTTTGAGGTGAGCGGAGATTGTACCACTGCACTCCAGCCTGGGCAACAAGAGTGAAACTCCATCTCAAAAAAAAAAAAAAGTGCAATTTAATGCTGCTTCAGTGTCAGTAAATTAATTTTGACATGGCAACATATTTAACTGAAGATATTAGTGAAAGGGAATAACTAACAAGACCAATACTGTCAATAATAATATCATCAACTGAATTTTGATTGAATAAATCTTCTGAAATTTAAATGAACTTAGTAATACATCATAAATATATGTGTTTCAGTAAACTTGACAATAAGAAAGGTAAATTACCTACTGTTAACCTTTAAGAGAAGAAGGAGACTGAATTAATAAAGGATTATATGTATTAAAAAATGTAGACTTGGCTGGGCACAGTGGCTCATACCTGTAATCCCAGCACTTTGGGAGGCTGAGGCGGGCAGATCACAAGGTCAGGAGTTTGAGACCAGCCTGGCCAACATGGTGAAACCCTGTCTCTACTAAAAATATAAAAATTACCCGGTTGTTGTGGTGGGCACCTGCAATCCCAGCTACTCATGAGGCTGAGGCAGGAGTATTGCTTGAACCCGGGAGACAGAGGTTGCAGTGAGCTGAGATCATGCCACTGCACCCCAGCCTGGGTGACACAGCAAGACTCTGTCTCAGAAAAAAAAAAAATGTAGACTTCTACAGAACAGAAATAAACATGTAAGTTGAATAAGAATCTACATTTATAATAAAATCTTTCTAGGTGAGTCATGTGATTACCATGTTTTATTAAATGAGCAAAAGTGGAAATGAGATAAATGAATATATGCAAAATGCAGATGACTGGTAGTCCAATAAGAGAGCATTTCCTAATTCACAGTGAGTACAAATGGACAAGGTTTCAGTGGCATTGTCACATGCAATGTCAGATACTGTATTACCTGAACAAAATGATGTCTTGCCTAGGAAAATTATGATGCAGTAATACTGTTTTATGCTTACTTAACATTATAGACTAATTATACTTTTAACAGTAGGAGATTTTAAGCATAAAAAATCACTAAGAATATAGGAAGCAAACATATTTTCTTTTCACGTAGTTAGCATTTTATGACAGGAAACAATGATAGCATATTGTAAACATCTTTTGCCTACCTTTGTATTTTAATAGTTCAATATAACCACATTTCTCCAAAGACTCATTCTATTATTGAAAGATAATGGTGGGAACCAACTTAAGAACATGTAAAATGCAAGATTTTTTAATCAATGAGAAGCTATTAATTTAACCAACCCTTCCTGTAATAATATTGAGACAGACTGTCTGCCTGTTTTTACATTATAGCTAGCTTTGCAATCTGTGTAGAATTTAATGAGGTGTGTAATTTTTGTGAACTTATTGATTCTGAGGGATTCAAAAATTTTAATGCTACTGAACTTTGGTATTTTCACCTTTCATTTATCTTAGATAAAGAGAATTATATTTTAGTGCCAGCTGTTGATCCCTTTGTACTGCTCTTACTATACATGAACTACTTTTCTCTAATGTACATGGAAAATATCTTTGGAAGATTAGACAATGGAGTTTGCTCCTCTCCCTGTTAAAACTCTTCTCCATACTTCTATCTTCAGATATATCATAGTTCCAATTAATTTTTTCTTTTGAGTTACATCATTGAGTACTCCTAGATTTGCGTTTAGATCATTATGTCTTATTTTTGCTGTGCAAGAACCACATATCTTGCCTCTTGACAGTATTTTTGTGCTCTGGAATGTTAGGAGTGTTTCTGAGCCATTTAAGATGCACCCAACTAAATAGCACAAACCATTATACTCTATTATTTTTGGTAATCTAAGAGGTCTGATATAGTGGAATATGTCAATAAATTATATTAAAAATAAATCTCTCATGTAATCTCAAAACAGTTATAGGGCACTGCATATTGTAAATTGTAATAAGCCACAGCACAGTATTTAATGGTAATTTTTCCAGTGCAAACTATATTATTTTGGTAGCATTTGCTTTGTTTTATAACAGATATTTGAATGTAGGAAGATAATATCTATGATATTTCCATATCTATAACCCCCATTAATATATATACTTAAATTATTTGAGGAAAGGCTACAGAAATTCTCATTCACAGGCTGTCCAAAATTAAACTTAGTGGCTGCATAGCACCCACTTATTATGCTAACCTTAGAAGTCTCTAATGAGAAGAGACTGCTGAAAGAAAGGCAGAAACCAGAATAATCTTGATTTTATTTATTTAACTTTTACATAGATGGATTCCGGGTAAATTTTTATTTTAAGGAAAAAACAAGGTAGAGCAAAGGCTGTTTTCTTGCTTAAAAGGTTTGAAAACCTTTGGATTTGCAAATATTGATACCTATTTTGATTCCTTGAGGATCCATAAATTAAAGGTAGAGTAAGTAGTCCAGAATGCATACTTAGATACAGATGGCCAGCAAACTGAAAAACCCACATGTGTCTAATGGAGAGTTGATGGTTTTTATGTTTGTTTCCTACTTATAACCAAACACTGCCCTCTATTTCATATTGACTCAATATGATCAATAACCGTTAGTCTAGGATCTTGTCTAAGGCATTTCAAAAGTCAGAGAAAATTGCAGCTACTTTTCATTCTTCATGTGTCCAATTGTACAATTTTTCAATATTCTTTAAGTATATTTTTTCTTAAAGAAATTAGATTATATATATATTTTTAACAAGCATTATGTACTCTTACTCATCATTGTTTAATGGACTCATAGTTCCACATGGCTGGGGAGGCCTCACAATCATGGCAGAAAGTAAAGGCCCAAAGGTATATCTTACAAGGTGGCAGGCAAGAGAGCATGTGCAGGGAAACTGCCCTTTATGAAACTATCATATCTCATGAGATTTATTCACTAATTCCCAAGAACAGCACAGGAAAAACCCACCCCTATGATTCAATTGGTTCCCATCAGGTTCCTCCCACAGCATGTGGGGATTGTGGGAGCTACAATTTAAGATGAGATTTCGGTGAGGACACAGGCAAACCATATTGTTTCACCTCTGGCCCCTATCAAATCTCAAGTCCTCACATCTCAAAACCAATCATGCCTTCCCAACATTCCCCCAAAATCTGAACTCATTTCAGAATTAACTCAAAAGTCCATAGTCCAAAGTCTCATTTGAGACAAGGCAAGTTCCTTCCGCCTATGAGCCTATAAAATTAAAAGCAAGTTAGTTACTTTCTAGATACAGAGGGGGTACAGGTATTGGGTAAATACAGCCATTCTAAATGGGAGAAATTGGCCAAAACAAAGGAACTACAGGCCCCATGCAAGTCCAAACTCCAGCAGGGCAGTCAAATATTAAAGCTCCAAAATGATCTCCTTTGACTACATGTCTCACATCCAAGTCATGCTAATGCAAGAGGTGGGCTCCCACAGCCTTGGGAAGCTCCTCCCCTGTGGCTGTGCAGGGTACAGACCCTCTCCCAGCTTCCTTCACAGGCTGGCATTGACTGTCTGAGGCTTTTCCAGGTGCACTGTGCAAGCTGTAGGTGGATCTACCATTTTGGGGTGTGGAAGACAGTGGCCCTCTTCTCACAGCTTCACTAGGCAGTGCCCCAATGAGGACTCTGTGTGGGGGCTTGCACCCCACATTCCCCTTCAGCACTGCCCAAACAAAGGTTCTTCATGAGGGCTTCACCCCTGCAGCAAATTTCTGCTTGGACATCCAGGTGTTTCCATACACCATCTGAAAGCTAGGCAGAGGATGCCAAACCAAAATTCCTGACTTCTCTGCACCTGCATGCTCAACACCACGTGGAAGCTGCCAAGACTTTGGGCTTGCACCCTCAGAAGCCAAGGCCCGAGCTATAACTTGGCCCCTTTTAGCCGCAGCTGGGATGTAGGGCACCAAGTCCTAAGACTGCATAAAATATCAAGACCATGGGCCTAACGAAATCATTTTTTTCCTCCTAGGCCTCCAAGCCTTCATGGCTGCCATGAAGACCTCTGACATGCCTTGATTGTCTTGGCAATTAACATTTGGCTCCTTGTTACTTATGCAAATTTCTACAGCTGGCTTTACTTTCTTCTCAGCAAATGGGTTTTTCTTTTCTATCACACTGTCAGGCTCCAAATTTTCCTCACTTTTGTGCTCTGCTTGCCTTTTAAATATAAGTTTCAATTCCAAACCATATATTTGTGAATGAATAAAACTGAATGTATTTAAGAGAATGCAAGTCATGCTTTGTTGCTTAGAAATTTCTTCTGCCAGATACCATAAATCACCTCTCTCAAGTTCAAAGTTCTACAGATTCCTAGTGTGGGGCAAAATGCTGCCAGTCTCTTTGCTAAACATAGCAAGAATCACCTTTTCTCCAGTTCTCAGTAAGTTCCTCATCTCCATCTGAGACCACCTCAGCCTGGACTTTATTGTCCATATCGCTATCAGCATTTTGGTCAAAGCCATTCAATAAGTCTCTAGGAAGTTCCAAACTTTCCCACATCTTCCTGTGTTCTGAGCCCTCCAAGTTTCTAGGACGTTCCAAACTGTCCCACATTTTCCTGTATTCTTCTGAGCCCTCCAACCTGTTCCAACCTCTGCCTGTTACCCAGTTCCAAAGTTGCTTCCACATTTTCAGGTTATCTTTACAGCAGCACCCCAGTCTACCGGCACCAATTTACTGTATTCATCTGTTCTCACACTGCTAATAAAGACATACCTGACAGTGGGTAATTTATAAGGAAAAAGAGGTTTAATGTACTACTCACAGTTGCGCATGGCTAGGAAGGCCTTACAATCATGGCACAAGGCAAAGGAGGAGGAAAGGCATGTCTCACATGGTGGCAGACAAGACAGCATGTGCAGGGGAACTGTCCTTTATAAAACCATCAGATCTCGTGAGACTTTCTATCACGAGAACAGCACAGGAAAAACCTGTACCCCATGATTCAATTACTTCTGACTCGGTCCCTTCCATAACACATGGGGATTATGGGAGATACAATCCAAGATGAGATGTGGGTGGAGACACAGCCAAACCACATCAGATGTCTTTAGTTACCTAGATTCTTTTGGGAAACTGATAGGTTAGAATTCATAATGACCACTCAAGTGTGTCATGTATAGTGTATTAATTGTTCCAAAATTTGTTTTCTTTTAATGATGCAAAAAAGATGAATACATAAGAGCTTTGGGAATTCAGAGGCAGGAAAGGCTATTTCAATTTTGGGAAACCAGAGAATACTTCATGGAGGAGGTAGCCTATTAATGTTTAATTTAGTTTGTCTTACTCTAAATGAAACAGATCATGATATAAAAAGCAGTGGTTCTAATCGTTATGCGTTAAGAGTCCCCTAGAGGGCTTTTTAAAACACAGATTACTGGGCTATACTCCTAAAACTTGTTATTCAGTAGGTTTGGAGTAGAAATCTAAGAATTTACTTTTTTATCAATTTTCCAAATGATGCTGATACTGAACATCTGGCTGCCACACTTTGAGGACCATTAGCATAAAAATAGACAATGAAGTCTATCTTTTATATATTTTAGACTATATTATCTAATTTTAGTTCCTGAGGAAAATTTAGGCTTAATATTCTCAAATGGTCTCCTAACTCATTTCTATTTTTCTTCTCTGTCATATCCACAAAACTGAGTCTTTACTTCGAACTCTCTTGAATTGTGACATTAGTCCTCTTTTGGTTTTGTTTTTCAATTTACTCACATATTTTTGTAATTTTTTTCTAATGACAGTTTGTATTACTTCTATCATTTCAAACTATGTTCTTAACTATAGGTTCCTAGATGTTAAGCTGAGAAGAAATATTATTTTTTTTTGGTATCAAATCAAAGGAAAGACCTACACTTTTTCATTACAACTGTATATGTACTTGTCTTATCCTGGTTTCCTCAGAAAGCAGAGCCTGAAGCAAGAGAAAGTGTTACTCCTTCATTATGGAATACCAGAATGCTGCCCCAGGAGCAGAAAAGGGGGGAAAAAGTAAATGTTGCCCAAAACGTGAGAGCAAGTAAGACAATGTGTTTTCATCCTGACCACCATGTGGGTATCAAGCACAAATTCTCAGTCTCCTGACACCATCTTCTGAGAGGTCTCATACATGACTAATTTTCAGGGAAGTCAAGAAAAAAGCAGAGGAAGGAAAAATAATATAATCATCAGCTCCTTTCTGCCACTGGTCAAAGTGAGCCCACAGGGAATTAAGTTCCTCTACACTCCCTAATTGTGCACATGAGATCACCAAAGGTTTCAGTGACCCTGTGCTATTGTCAGTAAGGAAACCCCAGGCCCCAGGACTACTGTTCTTTGTGCCACAGAAAGCTCATGGAGAAATAGGCTATTCCTAATGGCTGATAAGAATACAAATGGCCAAATGCCCAACAGACAGTTTAGGACAAAAGAATCTGAAGTGGTTAATGACAGGGTCTATAATACTGTTCATTGTAGAATATTATCTTCCCTGTCACTTCTGCTCCTTTATGAGGGTGGTGAACATGTTGTTTTTGAAATTCATTATTGCCCTGACTTCTAGGAAAACAATCTTTATTGTCTCTGCCCTTCTCTCTGTGACTGCCTGTATTCTTCATACCACTTTTCCTTTATATATCACTTAAATATTGCTTGGGCTACGACCTTTAGCCATCTTTTCTTCTCACATTTACTTCTTTCTGATGATCTCATCTACTCATATTGTCAGTGGACATCTATATGCTCATGCCTGCAACTTGTATCTCCTGTTCATATCTCTTTATGGAGTTGCAGACCTATATATCTAATTGCCCACTGCCTATTGTTGCATGGATGTTTACTAGAAATTCAGCATTTTTTAGGTTTAACATACTGTCTCCCTTCCCTGAAGATCTGTTTCTCTTGTATTTCTTAACACATCATCAGTCTACACCAGCCCCATCCAGTCTTCATGTAGTCGAGATGATAATTTTTTAAAATTTCTAGAATCTGTTTAGTTCCTTCCACCCTCAGTACCACAGCCTATGTGAGTCACCATCATGTCCAGCTGGTATTACTGCCAGAGACTTCTAATTGAATGACTTTCTTTTAGCATCCTTCTTTCTTTTCCATTTTTGAGGGACTCGCTCTCTTGCCCAGGCTGGAATGCAGTGACATGATCATAGCTCACTACAATATGGAACTGCTGGGTTCAAGTAATCCTCTTGCCTCAGACTCCTGAGTAGCTGGGACTATAGGTGGGAGCTACCATGCCCAGCTAATTATTTTGTTTGTGTGTGTGTGTGTGTGTGTGTGTGTGTGTGTGTGTGTGTGTGTGTGTGAATTTATTTTTTAGAGATGAGGTCATGGTATGTTGCCCAGGATTGCCTGGAACTCATGGCCTCAACCTATCCCCCTCCCTTAGCCTCCCAAAGTGCTTTGATTACGGGTATGAGCCACTTCACCTGGCCTAGGATCCCTTCTTACTCCAATTCTAAACATTGTTCAATTGTTCCCCATGGCCTTAAGGAAGAAGAGCAAACCTGCAAACCTTTTGGCCTGTTTTTACATGACTTGCTTTTTGCTTAATGATTTATCTCATTCATCCACTATTCCCAGAGACTTGTTCTGAGCCGCAGTCAAATTAAATGATATTCAGTTCCCTGAATCTACCACACTCTGACTCACCTTCAAGTCTTTGTGATTCCTTTTGCATGAACCAACATGAACTTCACTCTTTACCACACTCATGGTTATTGATTCTTTAAGATCTATTTTTTTTTAACCGGTCCCACCTTAATGGTCCTGTGTCCAACTCAGATTTGTTCATTCATTCTTCTTGCATTTTTGTTTTAATTTGTTTGCCTACATTGCACTGTGCCTACAATAATCAAAGAAGACAGCTAGGTAGTCTGTATTCTAATCTGCTATTTATTATGCATCATTCTCATTTAAATTTTAAATTCCTCCATGGCTGGAGCAGCCTTATATGTATATTCAGGCCCATACGTGGCCAATATGTATTTGAATAAGCTAATAACTAATAGTCACATTCACTGACCAAGTAATTTGCTACATATATTGGATGAGTTATTGCATATTATCTCCTTTTTTGGCTGAAGAAACTGAGGCTCAGAAAGTATAAATAATTTGCCCAAAGCCAAACAGCTAGTAGGTGACAGAGCCAGATTCAGCATCAGGCATATCTACTTCCAGAATATTTGTCTTTACTATAGAGCTATATTAAAAGTGTAAGAATTCAAATCCCAACTCTGCCTCTTGCCAAAATAAGGCTTTATTTGACTTCTCTTAAAAGCTGTGTCTCAATCTGCTAAAATGGATGGCAATCCAGTGCATGTGATGTGATTTTTTTAGATAAAATATGCAAACGTATCCTTCCAACATGTAGTTTTTAAAAAAACATTTGTCATTATTCTTATTATTTTACTTATTTACTTAAGTATCAGAAAGCAAACATGAGAAGCATAAAATGTACACCACCTGGGATATCATGAATAGATATAAAAATTCATATTTCATCAGGATTTAACAGAACAATAATCCTCTACTTTCCTAACAATGTGGGAAATGAATACGATTGTATCATGAAATATTATATGCATTAGAGACATTTTATTTGAAATTTATAGGAAATTACTGTGGAAAACTAATACTAAAGTGGAGAATCTTCAAAGACAGTGGATCTTTTTATTGTAACTCTACACTTACAGATGAACTGACAAAAACAAAATTGTGTTACATTTACCTGGGTTGAACACCAAGGGGGGGCAGTAAAATAACATTTAACATGGAAGGCCTGAGGAAAACCACCTAAGGCTGCCTTGCACTTTTTGGCATGCATGTTAGTCTTTATTCTTGATATGTTTTTCTTAGGAGGGCGAAGAGTAATACATTGTACCGTTTGTTAGTGATTTTCAACAATAGTCTTCTCTTGAAGGATTAAGTATACATATATATGAACCATCCAACAACATATGATAAGTGAAACATATTTAACAAGCCTAATTTTCTTTCTGATTTAATAAGACACAATAAATGGAAACTGTGCAGTCAGAATAATGAAAAGAGGACATAATTTATCTCATTCTGTTGGTGTCCTTTCTATGTTCTTTTGTCCTTTGATTGCACTGGTGGATAATATTATTTTGTTCCCAAGGAAATATGTCCCTTTGATTAGGTTGTAGATATTCTCTCATTTGTCACTGTTCTATCAAGCTATGCCATGTAACAGCAGGAACTCTTGATTATTTAATTGCTTGTAAGAACTCATTAAATTCGACTATCAATCATGGGACATATGGTAAACATCACCCAATAGCGTGAGAGGTTGTAGCAATGATCTGTCACTAGGGCAAACCTTTTTTACAGCAATGCAGACTTTGGTTTGGTTGTCTGATGGTGATTATTTTTAATTGATATTGATTTACAAGGGAGGGTTCATCTATAGTAGTCTTAATCCACACTTTCAAGTTAATAATATAAGCATTTATAATTTTATTAGAAACATACTCAAATGAATCTTTTCTGCTTTGTACCTGATTTTCTTCTGTAATAACTGAATTTATTCTTTTATAAACAGTGCATAACAAATTTTGAAATCTATATTTTCTCTTGATAGAATTCAAATAGTACTCCTTAATAAATAGAATTTACAAAGTTAATATCAATACCTGGATATCATCAGTTGTGGGGAAACAATATCTGTACAAATTATTTCTGAAATAGTCCTTTTCAAATTAGAGAAAATCAGAACAGCTATTTTGCTAGGAGCAAATCTGTGTGGTTTAAACTATTCTATCTTCTATTAAATGAAAATAATTTTTAATAACGTGGATTTACAGTGAATCATCTAGCGATCCATTGTATTGTCTTCAGAAACTAGGTATAAAGCTAAATTTAAAATTACATTCTATATCATTAGTCTGTTTCTTAGAAACTCATGCATCTGGTGGTTATCAGCTGCATGTAGGGGTGAGAAAAAATAAAGCTTTAATCTTCCTGTTTAGATGAATTAATACACTTTGAAGCCATTAGAAATTATAACTCTAGCAGCCTTCAGAATTACCTCCCAAAAAAAGAGCCATGTACACATGTAGGACCTTGTTTGGATTCAGTTTTGAACCTCCTCAAGACCTCCTTCAGCAAATCTCTCTGATTGCTACTTAAATTGCAGAAACAGTTCACTGTGGTTTGTCAGGTCCTTCTAGGGAATTAGAAAGCTTAGAAGACATTAGAACTCTTTGTCCAGGCATTCTGGCATAGAACTGATTACTGTGGAGGTGAATTTCAAAATGTTGAAGACATTTATTACTGCTTTTAAAATACCTTTGGTGCAACGGGATGGATAGGCCCATAATATCAGAATAATATATAAACAGCTACTTATGTTTTTCTGCACTGGAAATGATTATATGTAACTTGGTTAAAATTGTGGGACGAAGGTTCTATGAGTATAGAAGCACCGCAAGGGCAAAAATGTGGCCACAATTTCACCCACAGTATTTAGAAAGATGATACAGTAGGTATTTAATAAGTATTTATTGCATGAATGGATAAATGAGTGAATTACTCTCATACCACTACATCTATACCTAAAAGTTTTTCCTTGGGAGAAGAAGGATGTTTGTTTTTTAATTTCTGTACATAATACTAAGACTATTAATAATTTTTCTTTATAGTAGGCTAACACGTTAGGAACAATATTTCATTTAATCTAGTTAATATTGATAGAGTGATTATATGTGCTAGGTACTGTTGTAAATACTTTCTCTGTATTATCTCATTTAATTATTACTATAAGCATATATGGAGTAGGTGCCATGATTTTTTATTTCTGTTTCACAGGAAAGGAAATAGTGGTTTTGTGAGATTAAGCAATTTATTTAAAGAAGAACAACTAATAAGTGACAGAGTCCAGGTTGGAATCCGAGTCTGCCTGACTTTTAAATCTTCACTCGCAGTTTCTTTTCTAGAGAAAGTAAATGTGGGGCCCTTGCACTGCTACTCTCCTCTTTCACTCATTGCAGATTGGTTATGCCACATGTCCTCAGAGTCCTTTTCAACACAGGGCTCTAGGTAGGCAATACCCTTTGTATTGTGAGTAAAACCATTTTGCCATCTGTATGTTGTTCTCCATCACTCTTAACCTCTAACAATACAGGCACAACTGAATTTATCAATCAGACCTGCATAGAAAAAACACAATTATAAAGTAAATGTGAGAAACAAAGATAGTTAATCAAAATAATGTGTGCAAAAACATGAGTGGCTGGACTTCTTCCACTTTCTCTGTAACATTAGGGATCCCTGAATATACAAGACACATAATAACCATTTCTCAGCTCACATCAGTTAAGGGCTGAGCCTAGAGAAGAATTCTCAACTGTGAAAGACATTTTGTCTTAACCAATTTTTGTTAGTGAGTTGTGACTAAACACATCCCCATGTCTGAAGACCTTATTTTATTCCCTTTCTCTGACTGCTGGGAAAAGCATTAGGCTTTTCCTTTGAGGAGAATAATTCTTATGTTCTATTTGTTGTTTGTTTTTTCCTTTACATTGATCTATGTGTGACCTTATCAGTTATACTAGAAAATTTACTGTTATTTATCTATGAAGTTAGTTCTGGCATTAATAAGAGTTTTTCATTTTGTGCCCTTACAAAATGAGACTTTCTTCTTGTCACAATGATATCATTTAATCTTCTATTATAATTTATATCTTTATATGTCTGTTGCCTCTAGTAGACACTGAACTTCCTGCGGGCAAAAAAAAAAAACAAAAAAAAACAAAAAAAAGAAAATCAAAAAACATGTCTTGCTCATATTTGTACGAGTTGAAAAACACAAATTTCATTTTGTAGATTCTAATATTCTTTGATTAAATGAATGAATTAGGGGCACAACCTGGGGTGTCTACCTATATTCTATGACAGTCCATATTCCACCTTTTATTTCAGTTCTCTAAATGACAGTTTACATGTCACCACCCTATCTTTAGATTTTCCATAGCATATATATTTTAAAAACAACAAGCAAATGTTCATTAAATTAAATGGAAGCTATTTTCTAATCATTGATCCAAATATTGAATCTGTCAAACTTCTGGATGAGTTATTTAAGTCAAATACGCACATCCCCCACAATTCCCAGATATCTTTTTGTTGACTGCACAGAACTATTCTGTAGCTATAACTAAGAACATTTGAATTGCTGGGGGTAACCAGTATTCTTACTAGAACTAAGTAGTACAGTCTAATAAATCTATATAAGTTCTCTATCTGAAACAAACTTACGGTTTACAGTATCAAGAAACAAATGCTGCCATATGGAACAAGTGAAAATGACAGAAAGAATACAAGGAGGTCCTGTATTCATAGCACACTCTGTGATGTACTTGTCTTTTTATGATTAATTTAGGCATTTTCACTAATAGATTCAAAGATAATTGCCAGATAAACAGCTGTGCTATCCCTATAACAGGAGAGGAAATGAGTAAGGGATATTAAATAAGGAAAAATGTTTCTCAGGTGCATTAATCTGGAAAATGGAGCTCATTGTAAGATGTTCTGTCTTCCTTGGTATTTGGATTTGAAAACTGGAATATTAAGGTTTAAGGACATGATAGGGCACCATAAGAAGGAATAATCTCCTTATGAAACCAAGTGATTATAACAATATGATTATTTATGAATAAAATATTTTTGCCTTTTAATTATTCAGTCTTTTACTAAAACCCATGTTACACATAAGAGGAGAAGTTTAAAATAATGTTTCCAGAAGTGTAAAATCCTGAATCAAAACAACATGTTTTAGAAAATATTAGGAATACAGAACACTAAAAATAGAATACTCATAGTGTCCTCATGCATTTTAACTCATTGCTTTCATTGATCTTAATTCTTTTTAAAATTTGAAGTAGAAATATTTCTGATTGACTAAGTATAAAGTGCTGAAACCATCAATTACTTCAAAATAGTTTATTTTATAACCTTAAATTTTTCACTCAAATTCCCATAAAATACATCCTGTTTGTAAATCTGGAAGAAGCGTTCTGTACCATCAAATTTTTAAAAGTTGATTTGATGCCAAATGTAACTAGACAATTAAATTCAGTAGTTGCCGTAACAGATGAAGTAATAACTTAGATGCTTTGTTAACATCTGTATAAAACTGTTTTCCAACTGTAGCTGTTTGCTTCACTTTTCATGAGTGTAGTGAATCACTGTACTTTTAACAATCTTTGCTCATGTAAACTATTAACTCAGGTCCTTAAAGACTTAGTGTATTGATGGGAACTGCATTATACTAATTTTATGACTTTCAGATAGGCTAGTGCCAGAGAGGTCAGCTCAAGAGTAATGAATGCCATTTTAAAATACCAAGAAGCATGATTATTTTCATACTGATACTGCCGTGGAAAAACACCAAAGAGGTTGTGAGATTATACCACAAAGTACAGAAACTGTTCCAGGAAGTAAGTGCATAAACTCGGCTGTGCAAGTGTACAGAAAAACCCATTAAAACCCATTAAAAAGACCCAAACTGTAGACAGAAGATAAAAAAGGATTGATCAGCTGCATCCATGAAGGCGATAGATTGTCCATTTATTAATTAAAAGTATATTTTATATATTGTGATGTGATAAATAGTTTGACTGTATAGGTTAATTCCCTCAGATCTGTGCCGAGGGCTATTAGCATTGATAAATTATGCACTATGACATTTAACATTTCTGATAGACGGTCTTAAGGAGTGCTGTACCTGCAGATCTGCATCTGGTATTTACACAGCAATTTAGTCTAGCTATAGTTATCTGTGAAGCATTTTGAATACAAGTGGGACTATACCTTAAATAAGCATTTGCTCTTGTGGTTGGGTGATTTTAATTCTAGAACCAGAATTAAGTCTCTTGAACCATAACTGTCTTGATCACCACAAAACACAGAGTACTTCTACCTTACATAAACATTATTGAGTCCCATTGGAATAATGAATTTAAATATCCCAATGTATCTTGAATCCATATGCATAATATAGAAACCTATTTTTTATTTTTATAGTAATAGGGTGACAATATCAATTTATTTTTATAAATTAACATAAGGGCATTATTTTAAATTTTTTTCTGTGTTTTTGTACTTTCTAGGTTATTTTTAAAAATACACTTCTTTATTAACCTTACAAAGATGCTTGGAAAATTTTCTGTGTTAAGTAAAGTTTTAAAAATCTGTCAAAAAATTTATCTTTAAGGGCCTTTCTTCAAAGGCTTTCTATGTACAAATGGCCCATTTGGGAAAAATAGAACACATAGTGAAGTGTAATTTAAAACTGAACCAAACAAAAAATCACCAGGCAAAATTTGAGAGTATTATCACATATATGTAATACTTTTCAATTTACAAAAGAACTTTCACCTTCGATATCTTTATCTTGCCAACAATTCCATAAGACATAAAGGAAAAATATTTCAGCCATCATTGAGAGGATTAGAAGAACAAGACTTCACGAGTTTAAATGGCTCACCAATACTGATAGGTTGGAAACCAATGACCAGAATTCAGGTTATTGAAGTCCTGTTTATGTCTGTTTCCATTATAAAACAATGTCTTTTTAAATTCAAGGATACACTGAAGAAGACGCAAGGTTAATACTAGCTATTGAGTTTTAAGTGTGCATCAGGAACTTTATATAGCCTCTTTTATTTAATCTCATAAAGCCCAGATTCATTTAATTAACTATATAAATTATCCCAGTCCATGAAAACTCACTGTTGGACTTCTGAAACAGTGGTTCAACCCTGGCTATCCAATAAGACACTCATGGAAAATATAAACTGTAAACATGTGGGGCTATACACTTATGGCAAAGATAGAATAACAGGACCTGGATTAGTCTTCCTTTCTGAAACATCTGTAATATAGGACAAAATATATTTTAAAAAATAGTTTTTAAGGAATTGAACATCAGATGATTAAGAAAAATGATCCCTGAAATAAAGGACACAAATGGGGGTGTCCCAGCTTAATATCCTCAGAGAGTTTTCTGACAAAGAGGAGGATCCAGGCAGAGTCTGGTGGACTCTCTGAGTTGAACTGATGATGCTAAAAGTTCAGCAAAGATAGCTAACGTTCACAGGACAGAGTACCAGAGAGGAGAGAAATGCGTATAGAAAGAATTCCAGGGATTTGGAAAAGGCCCCTTGATCAGGGCATATATGTATGAAAGGCTGGGTAAAGAATCACTCAAAGGATTAGACAGAACAACACTAGGAGTTTATACAGGGCTGAAAACAACAGCTTTTCTCATTAGCCACACGAAAAAGCATAATTCATGAAGCATTGGATAAGGAACCAAAAGAGTCCCTCAGTAGTGGGAAATAAAGTAGCCATGGATTAATGCTCTGATTCATCTTCTAAAAAATCTTAAAAACAAGGCACTAAAGGATCAAATTATTTCTAAGTAACTTAACTGTGTCTTACAAAATGGATCAATGATTTTTTTAGAAGTTCGAAACTATCCAGCAGCTATTAATACAAGGTAAAATTTGCCATGGTTGTTATAATATAACATCAAGGGGCATGCAAAGAAGCAAGAAAATATGACCCACAATGAAAAGACATTATGATAGAAACTATCCAAAATGAAACACATCAAGAGAGCATCAGTAAGCTGCAGGAAAGTTTTATGTGGCCTGATATGGTATTTGGAGTCCTTGGAAGACAGAAGATCAAAAGGCAGCAGAAAAGTATTTGAAATGATAATTGCTGAAAATTTTCCAATTTTGATAAAACCTACAAACACATGGATTGAAAAGCTCAATGAACCTCAATCATAAGAAACATGAAGAAAAGTACAGGAAAAGAAGCCATTATCAAATTGTATAAAACAAGCATTAAAGAGAGACATCATAAAAGCAGCCAGAGTGATACGTGTAATAAGATGCATTATATAGAGAGGAACAAATTTCTCATCAAAGTAATGCAAGTGAGAAGACAGTGGAGCAACGTTTTTGAAGTACTAAAAAAGAAAAAAAAAAGGGGTTGTGAACCTACAATTTGTTACCCATCAATAATACCTTTAAATACAAAGATAAAGTATTTATCAGACACACAAAAACGGAAAGAATTCATAAATAGCAGAAATGCATTATATAAAATATAAATGGAAGTCCTTCAAGCAGGAAGAAAATTGACACATAGATCAATAAAAGGAATGAAGAACATAAAAATGGTAATCACATGGGAAAAAATATACTTAAAAAATATATACATTTCTTAGTAGATAACTGGCTGCTTGTAAAAAAATAAAGACAATGTGGTATGGGGTTTATAACATGTAGAAGTAAAATGTATGACAATGCAAAAACTAGGAAAGGAGAAAAAAATAATGTCATTTTAAGGGGCTTATATCATATATAATATTGCTTGAAAGTAGACTGTAATAAGGTAAAGATGTGTGCTACAAATTCTAAAATAATCGCTAAGGTAACAAAGTAAGAACCTTTAGCTAACAAGCAAACATAGGGAGAAAATTAACAATAAATAAACCCAGTAAATTCTAACTAAGCAGAAAGAGAGGAAAAAAGGAAGAACAGGCCAAAAAATAAAAAACAAATAGCAAGTTGACAGATTGAACCCTAACCATATCAGTAATCACATGAAATGTAAATGGTCTAAATTCTCAAAATTAAAATATAGAGATTGTCAGATGGAATAAAGAAGCAACACCCAAAAATAGGATGCTTAAAAAGAAAACAAATGAAATACAAAGACACAAAGAGGTTAAAAGTAAAAGGAAGGAAAAATAAATACCAAGCTAACACCAATAGAAGAAAAGTAGAAAAATTCTAACATCACACAAAGTAGACTTTAGAGCAAAGATTATTACTAGGAACAAAAGGGTCATTTTATGATGATAAAGCGGTCAATTAATCAAAGGAATATACAAATTTAAAGCATTTATGTATGTATCAAACAAAAGTCTTCAAGATACAGGAAGCAAACACTGATAGAACTGCAAGAAGAATAGACAAAATCACAATTATAGCTGATCAATATCCCTCTCTCATAAATGATAAAAGTAGACAAAAAATCAGTAAGGATATGAAGAAATTGAACATCACTGTCAATCAATTTGACCTAATGGACATTTTTAGAAGAGTTTACTCAACAAGAGCAGAACATTCATTTTTGGAAAGAGCACATGGACAATTTACTAAGATAAGCTGTACTGTAAGACATAAAACTAGTCTCATATTTCAGAACAATCAAGTTATATAAAGAATGCTCTGTAGTTATAATGAAATTAAACTAGAAATTAAAAATAGAATGATATCTAAAAAGTTCCAAATACACATAAATCTATAAGTTAAAGAGGAAAATTAAAAACGTTTTTGTAAGTAAATGAAAATGAAATTACAACACATAAAAATTTGTGGAATGCAATAAAAGCAGTACTTACAAAAAAATTTAAAACGCTTAATGCCAGAAATAGAAAAGAAGGAAGGTCTCAAATCAAGAGCTCCAGCTTTCACCTTAAAAAACTAGAGAAAGAACAAAAGAACTCAAAATAAAGCAAACAAAGAACATAATATCAGAGCAACATTAATAAAATAGAAAGCAGAAAGACAATAGAAAAAATAAATCAAATATTGATTCTTAATGAAATTAACAGAATTTGTACACCTCTAGCCAGACTGCTGAGAAGAAAATGGAAAGGATACAACATACCAATATCAGATATGAGAGAGATTATGATGTCACTACAGATTCCATAGATATTAGAATTAAAAAATTACAAATAATTTTATATCAAGAAAATCTCCAGTTTAGCTGAAATACACAAATTCCTTGAAATACACATACTACTAAAGCCTACTGAAGATAAAATGGATAACCTGAGTAGCCTTACAACTACTAAAGAGATTAAGTTTATGGTTAGAAATTCTACAATGGCGACTCTAGGCCCAGCTGGCTTAACTGACAAATTCTAGCAAATATTTTAAAAAGAAATAATACTGAATATGTGTAAAATCTTTCAGAAAACTGTGAAAAAATTATTTCCTAACTTATTCTATGAAGCAGTACTATCCTGATACCAAAATCTGAAGAAGACTTTACAAGAAAAGACAACCACAGACCAATAACCCTCTGAACATAGATGCACTAATTGTGCACAAATTTTAAACAACTCAAATCTAACATTAGATGAGAGAAATAATCCATGGTGGCTAGGTGAGTTTTCTGTCAGGAATGTGGATTGGGTTTAACATTCAAAAATCAATGTGATTTACAATATTAACAAATGATTTAAAAAGTTCACCGAAAAAATGTAAATGCCTACACATCCTGTTATATCCATATCCATACAATGAAATACTGCTCCCAAATAAAAATAAACACTTAATTCATACATGAATATTAAAATAAACATGCTGAATTAAAGAAAACTTCCTAAAAGAGAACATATCCTACGTGATTTTATTTACCAAACGTTTGGAAAATGCAAACTTATGGATAGTGGCAGAATGTATATTAGTGGTTTCATGGGGAAAAGTTGGGAGAGGGGGCATGGGGGATTTGGAAAGAGCTTGGAGGAATAGATTGCAAATGGGCACAGGGAAACTTCTGGAAGTGGTGAATATGCTCACTCTCTTGGTTTCGGTGATTGTTTCATAGGTGCATGCACATAAATCTTATCATATATGCTGTTCTTTACATATTCACTGTATTTCAATAAAGCTGTTTTTTTGTTTTGTTTTGTTTTGTTTTTTTTTTTTTTTTTTTTTTTTTTAAAGAGACAACTATAGAATCGCAACGTCTGTCTGACATGCAGTATCAGAATCCCCAAAATCATGGCGTGGACCTCAGTGTTAGCCCCATTTGGCTGAAGGGAGTCAGTCTTTAGCATTCACCCCTCTTGCCCACCAATTTCCAATTGTCTTATCTGATTCTGAGAGGGGAATAAATTTTATTTTCTCAACTTATTTAAATAGCTGTGAGAGTCAAGCTTCAAAACAATTTTTCATGCTTCCTTTGACTCAACTGTTGCACACAAAAATTACTTACAGAAATTCAAGAAGCACCAACTGACTAGTAAATATTTATTTAAAAACTTTATGGGAGGGCCGGGCGCGGTGGCTCACGCCTTTGGGAGACACCCAGCACTTTGGGAGGCCGAGGCGGGTGGATCATGAGGTCAGGTGATCGAGACCATCCTGGCTAACATGGTGAAACCCCGTCTCTACTAAAAATACAAACAAATTAGCCGGGCGTGGTGGTGGGCGCCTGTAGTCCCAGCTATTCATGAGGCTGAGGCAGGAGAATGGAGTGAACCCGGGAGGCGGAGCTTGCAGTGAGCCGAGATTGCACCACTGCACTCCAGGCTGGGCGACTGACGTAGGCTCCGTCTCAAAAAAACAAAACAAAACAAAAAAAAAAACCACTTTATGGGAAATTATGCTTTTTAACAGGATTGATACAGTGTCAAAGCAATTTCACTCAACATCAGTATGTGGACATTGCACTAAAAGAAATGTACAAGCATTATCATAGTAGCACCAAACTGTAACCAATGTGTCCATTATATAGCATGGGTAAATAGTAATATATTTATGCAATAAATTCAGTGTGGTAATAAAATACTATATAGCCACTCACAACAAAAATGGATGAAATTTACGAACATAATTTTGAGGGAAATAAGCCAGCACAAATGGCACATAACATATGGTTTCCTTTTACATACATTTTAAAAATGAGCAAAATCATACAATAATGTTAAAAATCGAGATAGTATAAGAAGAAAGAGGCTTTAGCAAGCCAAGATGGCTGATTAGAAGCAAGGGTGATCCACGATGCTCACCAAGAAGAACAAAAATGGCGAGTGAATTCTACACCTTCAACTGAAAAATCCAGGTTCTCACATTGGAACTGACTAGGTGGTTGGTGGGACCCAGGGAGAGTGAGGAAAAGCAGGATGGGGTGATGGCCCATCCAGGAGCAGCATGGAGTCAGGAGAGCCCCTACCCCCAGCCAAGGGAGGCAGCAAGCGATTGTGCGATCCTGCCCAGGAAAGCACGATTTTCCTATGGATCTTTGCAACCCGCAGATCAGGAGATCCCCTCAGGAGCCCACACCATCAGGGCCTTGGGTCCAAAGCACAGAGCTCTGAGGACTCTCAGCAGCCATGTGGACATGCACGGAAACCCAGGAGTTTTTACATACTCCCACCCTGGGAATTCCTGTGAGGCAGGAGATCTATCCATTTCCCTAGAAGAGGGGCCCATGCCAGGGAGCCAAGTGGCGAGGTTCAGTAGGTCCCTCTGCCATGGCACCTCACAAGTTAAGACTCACTGGCCTGGAATTCCAGCCGGCCAGTGGTAGCAGGCTGGAGACTGCCTGAGATGACTGACTTCCCAGGTGGGAGGGGTGGCTACCATCTTGGCAGCTCAAGTCAGCCCTTCTACCTTGTCAGCACCAAGGAGTCTGGGTGTTCAGGACCAGGAGGAATTCCCCACAGTGCAGCACAGCTGCTGTGGCAGATCATGGTCAGACTGCTTCTTTAAGTGGGACCCTAATCCATCCCTCCTCACTGGGCAGGGCCTCCCCATGGGAATTTCAGCAACTCTAGCCAGGGTTTTAGGAACAGAACTCTGATCTCCCTGGGACAGAGTCCCTGGGGGGTATGGCAGCCTTGGTCCCTGAGGTGCAGCTGACTTAGCCTTTCCTGCCTGCTGGCTCTGGAGAGTCCAGGGGGTTGACAAGGGGGGGTTCCCCCCAGTGCAATGCATCTGCTCCAGAAAGGGGCAGCCAGACTGCTTCTTCAAGTGGGTCCCTGAACCCGTTCCTACTGACTGGGTAAGATCTTCCAATGGGGGTCTCCAGACATTTCCTAAAGGAGTGTTTGGGCCAGCATCAGGTTGGTGCTCCACTGGGATGGAGCTCCCAGAGGAAGGAGCAGGCTGTCATCACTGCTGTTTTGTAGCCCTCACTGGTGATACCTCCAGGTGCAGGAGGGGTACCAGGCGATTAGGGTCTGGAGTGGACCTGCAGCAATCCACAACAGCTCTATGGAAGAGGTGCCTAACTGATAAAAGAAAAACAAACATACAGAAAGCAACAACAACAACATCAACAAAAAAGGCCCCACCAAAACCCCATTCAAAGGTAAGCAACGTCAAAGATTGAAGGTAGATAAGCCCACAAAGATGAGAAGCAATCAATGCGAAAATGCTGAAAACTGGCCGGGTGTGGTGGCTCACACCTGTAATCCCAGCAATTTGGGAGGCTGAGGTGGGCGGATAATAAGGTCAAGAGATCGAGACCATCCTGGCCAACAACCCCCGTCTCTACTAAAAATACAAAAATTAACTGGGTGTGGTGGCACACACCCATAGTCCCAGCTACTTGGGAGGCTGAGGCAGGAGAATCTCTTGAACCTGGGAGGCAGAGGTTGCGCCACTGCACCCCAGCCTGGTGACAGACAGAGACTCCGTCTCAAAATAAATAAATAAATAAAACATAAAAATACAAAAAAATTACCCAGGCATGGTGGCACACACTTGTAATCCCAGCTACTCAGGAGGCTGAGACAGGAGAATCGCTTCAACCTGGGAGGTGGAGGCTGCAGTGAGCTGAGTTTGCGCCACTGCACTCTAGCCTGGGTGACAGAGTGAGACACTGTTTCAAAAAAAAAAAAAAAAAAAAAATATATATATATATATATATATATATAGTTGAAAACTAAAAAAGCCAGAGTGCCTCTTCTCCAAACAATCACAACACCTCTCTAGCAAGGCCACAGAACTGGGATGATGGTGAGATGGCTGAATTAACAGAAGTGGGCTTCAGAATGTGGGTAATAATGAACTTTGCTGAGCTAAAGAACCATGTTCTGACCCAATGCAAAGAAGTGAAGAACCATGATAAAACATAACAGAAGCTGATAACCAGAATAGCCAGTTTAGAGAGGAACATAAATGACCTTATAGAGCCGAAAAACACAACAGAAGAACTTCACAATGCAATCACAAGTATTGACAGCAGAATAGACCAAGTGGAAGAAAGAATATCTGAGCTTGAAGACTATCTTTCTAAAATAAGACAGGCAGATAAGAATAGGGAAAAGAGAATGAAAATGTATGAATAAAATCTCTGGAAATATGGGATTATGTAAAAAGACCAAAACTACAACTGATCAGGGTACATGAAAGAGATGGAGAGAATGGAAGCAAGTTAGAAAACATACTTCAGTGTATCATCCAGGAGAACTTCCTCAACCAAGCAAGACAGGACAAAATTCAAATTCAGGAAATCCAGAGATACTTCATGAGAAGATCAACCCCAAGACACATAATTGTCATATTCTCCAAGGTTGAAATGAAGGTAAAAACGTTAAGGGCAGCCAGAGAGAAAGGTCAGGTCACAGTGGATCTCTCAGTGGAAGCCATACAAGCCAGAAGAGATTGAGGGCCAATATTCAACATTCTTAAAGAAAAGAAATTCCAGCCCAGAATTTCATATCCAGATGAACTAAGCTTCATAAGTGAAGGAAAAATAAAATTCCTTTCAGACAAGCCATTCTTGAGGGATTTCGTCACCAGCAGGCCTGCCTTGAAAGAGCTCCTGGAGGAAGCCTCAACACATAAAGGAAAAACTGTTATCACCTACTACACAACACAGTGAATTACACAGACCAATGACACTATGAAGCAACTCCAATAACAAGTCTGCAAAATTAACCAGCTAGAATCACAATGACAAGATCAAATCCACACTTAATAATATTAACCTTAAATGTAATGGGTTAAATGCCCCAATTAAAAGAGAGAACAGAAAGCTGGGTAAAAAGACAACGTTCATTGGTGTGCTGTATTCAAGAGACCCATCTCATGTGCAAAGACACACATAGGCTCAAATAAAGGGATGAAGGAAAATTTTCCAAGCAAATGGAAAGCAGAAAAAAGTAGGGGTTGCAATCCTAGTTTCTGACAAAATGAACTTTAAACCAGCAAAGGTCAAAAAAGACAAAGAGGGGCATGACATAATGGTAAAGGGTTCAATTCAACAAGAAGAGCTATTTAAAATATTTATGCACCCAATACAGGAGCACCAGATTCATAAAACAAGTTTGTAAAGACCGACAAAGAGATGTAGACCCCCACAGAATAATAGGGGTTACTTTTATACTCCACTGTCAATATTAGACAGATCATTGAGACAAAAAATTAACAGAGACATTCAGGACTTGAAATCAGCTGTGGATCAAGTGTATCTGATAGATATTTACAGTACTGTCCACCCCCAAACAACAGAATATACATTCTTCTCATCATAACATGGCACCCAGTCTAAAACTGATCACATAATTGGAAGTAAAACACTCCTCATCAAATGCAAAAGTACTGAAATCATAACAGTCCCTCAGACCACAGTGCATTCAAATTAGAATTCAAGATTAAGAAACCCACTCAAAGTCGGGTGTGGTGGCTCACGCCTATAATCCTAGCACTTTGGGAGGCCAAGGCAGGCGGATTGCCTGAGCTCAGGAGTTTTGAGACCAGCCTGGGCAACATGGTGAAACCCCATCTCTACTAAAATACAAAAAGAAATTAGCCGGGTGTAGTGGCATGTGCCTGTAGTCCCAGCTACTCGGGAGGCTGAGGCAGGAGAACTGCTTGAACCCGGGAGGTGGAGGTTGCAGTGAGCCAAGAGTGCACCACTGTACTCTACCCTCGGTGACAGAGCGAGACTCCATCTGTATTTAAAAAAAAAAAAAAAAAAGTAAGAAAGAAAAAGAAACTCACTCAAAACCACACAACTACATAGAAATTGAGCAACCTGCTCCTGAATGGCTCCTGGGTAAATAATGAAATTAAGTCATAAATCAAGAAGTTATTTGAAACTAATGAGAACAAAGAGACAATGTACTAGAATCTCTGGAATGCAGCTGAAGCAGTGTTAAGAGGCAAATTTATAGTACTAAACCAAACCCTAAAGCCAGCAGAAGACAAGAAATAACCAAGCTCAGAGCAGAACTTAAGGAAATAGAGACACACAGAAAAAAACCCTTAAAGAAAAAATCAACAAATCCAGGAGCTTTTTTTGAAAAAATCAATAAAATAGATACACCACTAGCTAGTCTAATAAAGAAGAAAAGAGAGAAGATTCAAATAAACGCAATCAGAAATGAAAAGGGGGATACCATCACTGACCCCACAGAAATACAAACAACCATCAGAGAATACTATAAAACCTCTATGCAAATAAACTAGAAAATCTGGAAGAAATGGATAAGTTCCTGGACACATACACCCTCCCAAGACTGAACCAGGAAAAAGTTGAATCCCTGAATAGACTAATAACCACTTCTGAAATGGAGGCAGCATTAAATAGCCTACCAATCAGGCAAGAGAAAGAAATAAAGGTTATTCAAATGGGAAAAGAGAAAGTCAAATTGTCTTTGTTTGTAGATGACATAATCCTATATCTAGAAAACACCATCGTCTCAGCCCAAAAGCCTCTTAAGCTGATAAGCAACTTCAGCAAAGTCTCAGGATACAAATTCGGTGTACAGAAATCACAAGCATTTCTATACACCAACAATAGAGAAGCAGAGAGCCAAATCATGAATGAAAGCTCACAATTGCTACAAAGAGAATAAAATACCTAGGAATATAGCTAACAAGGGAAGTGAAGGACCTCTTCAAGGAGAAATACAAACCAGCGCTTAAGGAAATCAGAGGGGACACAAACAGATGGAAAAACATTCCATGCTCATGGATAGGAGGAATAAATAATCATGAAAATGGCCATACTGCCCAAAGAAACTTACAGATTCAATGCTATTCACATAAAACTACCATTGAATTCTTCACAGAATTAGAAAAAACTATTTAAAGATTCTTATGGAACCAAAAAAAAAAGAGTTTGTATAATCAGGATAATCCTAAGCAAAAAGAACAAAGCTGGAGGCATCATGCTACCTGACTTCAAACTATACTGCAAGGCTACAATAACCAAAACAGCATGGTATTTGTACAAAAGCAGCCACATAGACCAATGTAACAGAATAGAGAGCTCAGAAGTAAAACCACGCATCTACATTCATCTGATCTTCGACAAACCTGACAAAAACAAGCAATTGGGAAAGGATTCCCTATTCAATAAATAGTACTGGGAGAACTGGCTATCCATATGCAGAAATTGAAAGTGGACCCTTTCTTTACACCTTATAAAAATTAACTCAAGATGGATTAGAGACTTAAATGTAAAACCCAAAACTATAAAAAACCTAGAAGAAAATCTAGGCAATACCATTCTGGACATAGGCATGGGCAAAGATTTTATGATGAAATCACCAAAAGCAATTTGCAACAAAAGCAAAAATTGACAAATGGGATCTAATCAAACGAAAGAGCTTCTGCACAGCAAGAGAAACTATCATCAGAGCGAACAGACAACCTACAGAATCGGAGAAAATTTTTACAATCTATCCCTCTGACATAGTTCTATTCTCTAGAATCTACAAGGAACTTAAGCAAATTTACAAGAAAGAAACCAAACAACCCCATTAAAAAGCAGACAAAGGACATGAACAGACACTTCTAAAAGAAGATATACATGTGGCCAACAAACATATGAAAAAAAGCTCAATACCATTGGTTATTAGAGAAATGCAAATCAAAACCACAATAAGATACCATCTCATGCCAGTCAGAACAGCAATTATTAAAAAGTCATGAATGAACTCCCACTCACAATTGCTACAAAGAAAATAAAATACCTAGGAGTACAGCTAACAAAGGAAGTGAAGGACTTCTTCAAGTAGAACTACAAAGCACCGCCCAAGGAATTCAGAGAGGACACAAACAAATGGAAAAATATTCCATGCTCATGGATAGGAAGAATCAATATTGTGAAGATGGCCATACTGCCCAAAGTAATTCATAGTTTCAACGCTATTCCCAGTAAACTACCATTGACATTCTTCACAGAATTATTGCTCTCCACCTGGGAATAACTTGTCTGACTTACAAGCCAAGCATCTTCTTGTAAACTGAAAATCTATCATACAGTAAAGATTATGGGCCTTGGTTTTTCATGATCACTACAATGTCTAAATAACAGTTTTATCATTGACATTCATTATTTATATATAAACAACTACAGAACACCTTTTTTTGCCTTCTCCTGTCATTTTTTTCCCATTCCACTAACCTCTAGAAGTTTAAAAGATAAACAAAGATCTGTTTTTTAAAAACTGACACATTTTTCAGTAAGCATAGCTCATTATTTTGAAAAATACATGCTCAAGGTTACATGAAATTTATGTAACCTTCATGAATCAAACTGACTTACATACACTTTTTTGATATAACATTGAGTTTGTGAAAAAAATTAATGTGGAATAATGTTCAGTAAACTACTTTAAATAATCAGTTTGTTTTTTAAAAACCAGTGTCTTGAAGCAAAATTCCAATAACTATATAAATAACACAGACAGACTATCATGATAATGCTCTCCTCTGAGGATACGTTCTGGAGCATCACTGGTCAACTCATACAGTTGAATATCTCATGCATTCCTCTGAGAATTTAGATGTTATTCTGAAGTATTGTTTATCATCGGTTAGCTACCTTTTTCACTGTTAGCAATGAATCATGTCAAATTTTCATTAGATCCTGGTTGGTTAGATTCTAAGGTTCAGACTCAATTTAGCTATTTTTAGAAAAATAATTTTTTATTTGGATTTTAAGACAAAAATTACTGACTTTGACTTTATTTTTTAATCTGAGCTGCAGTTCAGAAAACAATTCTAGATTTTAAAAACTTACCTTCCTGTCGTTGGAAACGTCTGAGCATATTGGGTTTCCTATCCTGCTTTAATCTGTTATTTGCATTTTAGTTCCTTGAAGAGTGGGCCATACTTCAAGGGTGGCCTTGAAGGTGGTGGTAATGATGGGTTGAAATGTCCAGAATACTACATTAGGGATCAGTTTCAACATTGTTACTTATACAACAGGCAGCTCATTTCATTTATATAATCTTCAGTTTTCTTACCCAATGAAAGTAGAAATAAAATGAGACAAAAGTAAGCTCCTTTCTAGCTGAAAAGTATGAAGTGTTACCTGATTGATATTGTTCCACTGCTTTGAGATTCCTTTGATGATGAATTTATTGCTATGCTAGTTAAGTAATGGATGTTGATCCTAAGGCTATGGAGCAATGTTTTTCATCTTTATCCCTATTCATTTTATTGCATTTATTAGGTTTCAGATAGCTTTCTGGGATGTCAAGACAATATACTGAGCACCTTTCCCTACATGTCTTTGGCTTCAACCATGTGCACATTCAACACTAAAATACACTACATTAGGGCTGAGCACAAGAGAAATCTGGTTGTCCTTATCTTTAAGTCTATGAAAGCCTTTGATATGATAACATTTTGACAGTTTTACCTCCTTTGCCTATCTCCATTTTATCTGTTCTTCATTTGGTACATTCTAGCTCCATTTCTTAGTGGCTCAGCTTCTTATAGCTTTATATGGCTCAACTTTAAAATAAGGATTACAAAATCAATTTCAGAGGATTATTGCATGGACTATATATAGTCACATATAAATTACCCAGTAAAATAACTGGCAAATAATAGTCACTTAGGCCGGCCGCAGTGGCTCACGCCTGTAATCCCAGCACTTTGGGAGGCCAAGGCTGGTGGATCACTGAAGTCAGGAGTTGGAGACCAGCCTGGCCAACATGGTGAAACCCCATCTCCACTAAAAATACAAAAATTAACCAGGCTTGGTGGCACACACCTGTAATCCCAGCTACTTGGCAGGCTGAGGTATGAAAATCTGTTGAACCTAAGAGGTAGAGGTTGCAGTGAGCCATCATAGTGCCTCTGCACTCCAGCCTAGATGACAGAGTGAGACCTCATCTCAAATAATAATAATAATAGTAATAGTCACTTAATAAATGCTTAGAACTTCTGAAGATGGAAGGAGGCATAGGAGAGAGAAGGAAAGAGAAGGGGATGTGGGAATAGTAACAAAAAAGGATTATTATTCTAGGAGCACAACAGTTTGTCTTTTTAACTAAGTTGATTTTGAAGGGAAAATTCTTTGTGCTAACACCATGTCAAAATATCCAGAATGTAATATTTAAAATACATGCACAAATGCTCCTTCTCACATGTCACAAAATTCATTTTTAAGTTGATTTTTAAATGTATCTCAAAATACATTTAGGATTTTAGTCTATCTTTGAACCTATCTAATAGGAAAATGATATGAAATTGTTACGTTGGTAGGGGCAATGTAGGTAAGTGATGAGTAGAACTTAACAAAGCAGTACTTTATTATTGTAAAAAGCTAACTTTTTTGGCAAAAAGCTATAGGCATTAAAAAGGGGGAAAGTAAGAAGAAAATGGAGCAGGAGAAGGAGGAGAAGTAACAATGAAAGGCAGCGATGTTCAAGAGAGCATCCCAGCTTGTATAACAGAAAGAAGTTCTGAAAATCTTCATTTTTGCTCACTATGCTTTTCACAAGCTCTTTCTTTTCTGTTGATAAGCCAAGTGTATTTACTCCATTTGATTTTTATACAAAACTTGATGAAAAATTGTTTCATTGATAAGCCAGGAAGATATATCTAAATATACGCTGGTTCTCTTAAGACTCTTCACCTGAGTTATTATGTGATATGTCTTGATGCCCCTGAACTTTGTCCTGCTTTGGTTTTATAATAAAGTTGCCATGAAAACTCGTCACATCTGTTGTTATTCCTCCAGTTTTAGGATTTATAGTAAAGGTGAAAAATCCACGGAGCTATATGGATCCTATTTTAATTTTCGATCAAAAGTTTGGTGGGAAAATATGAACCTCACAAATCCATATGCAATAGGTAGATTCAAATCTTCAGTTTTGTAATATTTGAAAAATTTGATATAAAATCATATAGCCTCAAATAGAGTGCCCTTAAGAATTGTGTTTGCTAAAACTAGATGTTGTAAGTCCTTCTACTTTTGAAACTGAAAAGATGTATTAAAAATAAAGAACAAAAAAAAAGAATATAACTTTTTTAGCAGCTATAATGAGCTTGGATTTACATGTTTCATATCTTCTTCCAGAAAAGCCACACAAAGCTACCTATACGGATTACATCTTTAAATAGAATATTAATGAAACACAGGACTTCTCCTCATTATATTCCAAAATACACATGAAATAAAAACATATATTGGAATTTTAACTAAGAATACATGGATAAAATCACAACTAGATGAAGTAAAAATAGATAAATGTTATTATCCAGAAAATTTAAAGAGCAAGTAAAAAATGTAACATACAGATGTTCTTGCTTAATGGTAAATTTATCTCAGTTTGTACCTTACTTCAAATGTTGTTCTCCTGTGTAGTATGATTCACCATGTCTATGCAGTATTTCAAAAACTGACAGGTTTAAAGTATGGTATTGGTATACTATAAACTTTTATATCCAACATTTTAATTCTATGTTTCTAAATTTTAACGACCTTTTTGGACAGTAAGGTGTGATATCATTCAACATTGTGCTATTCCACCAAATATTTATGTTCAGTATCCAATATGTGGTTTTGTTAAAATTAAGTATGAATCTCCTGTAGTGGTACTTATCTGTTTCTAAAAACAAACAAGCACAATTAGGAAATTTAATAACCCCTCTTTTTAACCTTGTTAATTATAATGAAATATATACATACAGAAAAAGCCTATAGTATTTGTAAATTCTTACTTTATGACTTTTAACTGCGTGAACTTGATCCCAGAGTCTTTCATCTCTAAAATGAGATTAACAGTAGCAAACTTGCAGGTTTTTCTACAGATTAAAAGAGGTATCATGACAATGCCTAAGTATGTAAATGGTCAAATGATGGAAAGTCTTAAATTTCTGAATTACATTACTTTTTGAATAATTCCTCAAAATTGGCTTCTGGCATATCCTTACTATAGCTTATTCCTAAAGTCTTGGTACAAAAATTCCTTCCATGGGAGATCCCAGCCTGCATGTGGATTATGACAGCATATGATAACCATCAGGCTAACTGCTATTAAAATATGTGGGAGTGTGATTCTAATAGAGCTGGAAAGAGTAAAAGAAAGAGAGTGAATTAGCCTTAGAGTGAGTATTAGGACAAAGACCCTGATAAAGAGGACACTAAAAGCTAGCATTTTTCATATGCAGTATAAGTAACTGAAATAAATATTAGAGTTTTATTTGGCACATTTTTGGCACTGTTTCTCCATTTGTTATCTCTAATGGGTACAGGGCATGGCCCTATTAGAATACCATAAGATGTTTTCATAGCACTGGGATGGAGCTCAAGTAGGATTTGAGTGTGAGTGAGGAGGATGTTGTCAGCCACGAAACAAAATGAAGAATTTACTTTCTGTGCATTCATCAAGGAGTTAAAAATAGGTCAACATTTATCTTTAAAATTCTTAATTTTTTTGGGTTCCTTTCATGTTCCTTGTTTGGGATAATGCCATTTAAAATGACATTACTACTTTTGATCAGGATAATACACGATATTAAGAAAACTAGATAAAATTCTAATATGTTATAGCTAATAAGTTTTAAATTGTATTATTTTAATATAATTAGTTATATTTACTTCTGGTAATGTGAGATAAATGAAGAGTTTTCATAGTCATCAACTAACATTACTTTATTAACAATAATTTTTGTTAGTCTTAATCAAGTAGCATTTAGAATTTAATATGTGCAAAATTTTATTGCATATTAAATGTCTGCTTGGAACTGTTTTATCAAGATCTTGATGTTTAAAACTGTATTAAAATATAACCTAGTATTGTACACTACACTATATTAATGTCTTTAGAGACATCTTCAGAATTGTAATATTGATTGAAAACTTAACAAATATTTATTCATTCACTCTAGAGTATGATGTGATAAACAATGATAACCAAACCTCAAACCTTAAATCTGTTACATAGTAATGTCATTTTAATTTTTGACCCTTTACAGTTTTATTTATTTTAGTTGATAAATTAAAATTGCATATACTTATGGTATACAACATATATATGTTACATAATAATTTGTTGGGAAAGGAAATCTGAAAAAAGAGAAGTGAAGGAAAAGGAAAGAGGAAGAAATGGTATTTTGGGTTTTATTTTTTTTTTTGGTGGTCCCTAGGAGTCTGCATTCAGATGACGCCTAGGAGGACAGTAGAAGCAAGTTTACATTTCTGATACTGATTTTAATTTAATCTTCCTTTTTCCTATTGCATTTGTGTATATTCAAATCAAGAAAATCCAGAATTTATTATAACTAGAAAATATCTATAATAACTGATTATCAGTATTGCAAATATGACTCTGGAAATTACATATAGGAACACAAAACCTGGTGGAAATATGTCTGCATATATTAACAGAGTGAGTAGTTCAAGCTTTGTTAAAACTTTCATTTTGACTGAAGACTGTGACATAAAATTGAATATTCTAATATTCTTTGCATCAGTATTGGCAGTTACATTTTATAAAACAAAATGACAATGCAAAACAGCAGGTAAAAAAAATTCCAGTGGAATAATTTGACATATAAATAGTCAATGAATGCTTCATAGTGAAAAATTCACTGTATAGTATTAGAAGCTGAAATTTCCTAACAATGATTTTTTATCTAAATTATTTCATGCTATTCCAATATTTCTGATCAATGAAAATAAGTTCCTATATATTGCCAACATATAAAGACTACTTTTGCATATATGTGAACATGTGTGTTTCTATCAGTTTCAATACAGGATATTTGTTGGGTATGAAATTTGATTTTATCTTACTTACAGACTAGTAAGTTAGCCTGTAGCTGTTTCATGTATGCTGATAGAGGCATGAAACTTCAGGCTAAGAGAGAAATATTTTATTATTCATGGCACTGAAGTCAACATGATCATCAACATATTTGCATTGGTTCTTCTTGCCTCAAGTTCCACATGGGTAACATGATGTGGCCCAGATGAATACTATATGCACAGTGGATTTCTGTTATAACTCATGGAACACTAACCTTGGGACATCTATCCCTTTTATTATGAAATAAGAAAGCCTGATCTTTGTTGGTGGGGAGGGATTGTGGAAGGAGATGTTCACATATATTTTAAGGTTACCAACTACATGGACCTCTTCAGAAGAGGCCTAGGTTAAAAAGTAGTCATTCTACTTCTACCAGTTCACAAGAGCCAAATGTGCAAATTTGTCCCAAATCCACATTCAGGGAGATTATCTCAGTGGCTTGAGATGAGCCATGGTGAGAGTGCTTACACCAGGGATACCATTAAAATTAAATATCAGAGCTTTCTTATTATTCCCAGAGAACTGGTTGTTAAACATTTACCAGCATACCACCGTACCACTATATGTGTTATTGCTTTTTTAAGACAGTAGTTTGGGGATGATGTATTTAATAATACGTACTAATTCTAACCAATTTTCAAAGAATCTCTGTGAGTGTGTGTGTGTGAGAGAGAGAGAGAGCCAGAGAAAGAATAAGGGAGGGGAAGTTCCAGTCAAACAGCTTAACAACTGACACAAAACTGCATCTCAGAGGGTCTCAAGGAATATTCTGTAGGCTGAACCAAAAGAACAAAGACTTTGAATGGAATAGTTTCTTAGAAAGCAACGAACTGCTTTGGAAGCTGAGAAAAACAAAAATGTTATTTTCAAAACATACATTATAGAACTAAAATTTAGAAAGACCAAATTAAAAAGAAAGCAATTAAGAAAACTGGCAACTCTGTAGGTCACATGGTTTAATGCTGTCACTAACCTCACAGGTAGACCCTGAGGCTCCACTAACCCTTGAAGACATTTTTGGAAGAGTCCCTAATAGTAGAAACTGGATTTTAACAAATCACATTATTCTTATGCTAAAAGATAAGGGTTCAATACCCATGTTGAGCAAAAAGTCAGCATTATCTTCTAAATTACGTTAAGAATGAGTCATTCATCAACAAACTATTCTGAAGAGCTAAGAAGATTATTTAAAGTTTTTCTTTTCACTACTTTCAACAATCTGTCTGTCTGTCTATCCCTTGTGTCTATCCCTACTTCAACTCCTTACCAAAACCTTTAGGATCTCTGTTTTACTAACTACACCCCATTTAACTATTTACATTACTTCACTGAATTCTGTATTCTCCCAAGAAAACCATTCCTCTTTCTTTAGACCATGTATCAGAATGCACCAAATCAAAGTGAGTTTTATTTTATGTCTTGGATGACCACATTGCTAGCAGTTTGCAACTCAAGAAAGACAGAAATGTTGTTCAAAAACTTTCACTTTTTAAAGAAAAATATGGTGTAGCGGTCCATGGTATTAGTAACAGAATTGTAGTAGAAACTTGACTTTCTTAACACAAAAGCCAGCCAGCCCTCTTTGCTTTCAGTACAATTCTTTGAAGACCAGCTTGAACTTCTGAGGTCGTGGGGCTGAGTATGTGGACAGCAGCTTGCTGGTTTTTATCTTTAAAATCAACATTATCTCAAATTATGAAAGGTTTAAGAAAATAAATTTCCAAGTGTGACCTGTTTCACTCTCTTGAAAGAGTTTGAATTTTCATAAATTCTACAATGAGTCACTAAGCATAAAAAAACCCTGACATCTATTGGTCATAGTTTTGGAAAAAGGGGGATCCCCTAAGCAAATCCCAATTCTTTAGAATGCATTAATAAATGTAAACAGGATGTTTCAGCACAGAAGGCATAAAATTGCCTGATATATGCAAGGCATATCTTTAACGGTGTTTAAAAAGGAGCTAAACATCTCCCTGGGAATTCTGAAAACATTTATCTTTTAAGCAGTTATTTAGCTTCACAAGTCTTTGTTGTTTAACAAGCTGGAGAAAATAGGTCAGCTAATGTTATATTAATCAGTAAATTAATATTTTAATTTGAGTTCTTTCTAGTTAAAATGCTTGCAGCTTTTCCCTTTTGTTTTTCCTACTTCAGCAATGATGTTAAGTGATATCATTATCATATTGTACCTTGGGGTTGTGAGATAACAGGGTCCAGCAATAGCTTTATTCTTAGAAGAGTGAGAGTTTTATCGTATCACTTCCACATTTAAAATGACAATCCATGGCTTCTGTGTAACAAAGTGTCTTAGAGCTGAGTCATAGAATTCTCCAAATTATGCTTTTGAATTCATATTCTAAAATCATACCTTACAAATCTGAGTAGATAATACATTTTGATTAGTAGAAATCCTGTCTTTATTCTAGGAGAAAGAAATCTTATTCAAATTACCTGAACAATATAAATGTAAGTTTCAGCTTCTATTTTCTTGTTTCTTGTATCAACCAACAATTCAACAGTAAGTTAGATTCAAAGGGTTTGATGGCCTATTATCTGTAAGTGAATAAAGATCCAGTGAAGTTTTACAGTAGATATTTAACATAGGCTAGATATTATTCTTTTACATTTCTCAAAAACAAAACACAGAAAACTCTATTCATGTTTTTGTTTACTTATTGTACGTTTTGAAGAATTAAAACATACTAGCAGTTGCATAAATTTGTATGATATTATTTCTGTGGTGATCTTAATTTTTCTTTTATAGCTGTTGCTGTGACATTTTGAATCCAGATCTGGCATGATTAATGGAGAGACTGGCCATGCTGCCTCAAGACAGAGTAGCTGCAGCCAGTGATGGAGAATGTGGCTGATGTATATACTCTAGTATACTCTAGCATTCTTCTTAAAGAAAGATACAATACTCAATCTTTCTCTGCTTTGCTGTAATTCAGCTGGAGTTTATTTAAAAAAAAAGAATGTTAAGTAATTTTATGGTGTTGAAAATACATATGTATTAAAATATATGTAAGAGCAGTGAAATAAAATGTAAACGTATAGCTAGGAGGTATAGTAAAACCTATCAACAGGAAAATCATCTAGGATTGATGTGTTTCCATCTTAGCCTTTATTTTCATGGACACATAAAATTTTGAATCCTAGATATGTAGGTCTACAAAGTTGTTAATATGAGCTTTAGCATAACCTAATTGCAGAAAACTATACCCCAGTTAGAAAATATATGCTTAACTGGTTTAAATTACTACTCAATGCATTATTTCCACTTGGTCCATATCTGCTCCATGGTTCTCTAGTGTATTTTAAGAAGAAAAGTTCCAATCACTTTGCCAATGTGAAAAAAGCCACATAAAATTCTCAAAGAAATATTCAGGCTTATAATCTAAGAGGAAGTATAGTCATTAAACCCACAAAGACTTGTTATATAGCTATAATATTTTAAACATTATTATTGTTTACATTATTAATGTAGACAAATGTTAGAAATTACATGAACAGAATGTTGAATATGTAGAATCCATATGAAGTTCATATGGTTAGATGTTCTCTTTAGTCTGGTCAATCTGCTACATCTGGTTTTCATAGGAAAGTTTTAAATAAAAACAGTAAGTAAATGGAGATATAGGAAATCAAAGATTGATATAAAAAATCATATATATATGTATGTGTGTGTGTGTGTGTGTGTGTATATATATACATATATATATATATATATATATATACATATATATATATATATATATATATATATATATATATATATATAAAAAATACAGATTCATAAACATTTACCAACAGTGGTAATTAGCTCTGAGAGGGGAAGAGAAAGTTATTTACAATTCGGGGCCATGAATTATGGACCAGGTCTTCTGCTAGACACTTGATACATATACCAATAATAACAAAATACCTAATATTTACTGAATGCTTAATATATGTTGGTTCCTGTTTCAAGCATTTCATGTTTTCAGCAATTAGTTCTCACAATTCAGTGGTTAGAATGTTATTTACTATCCCTTTATGCCTTTGAGTAAACCAAAGGAAAGGGGTTAAATTGCTTGTCTAAAGTTCAGTGTATGGTGTAGCTGGGATTAGATGCAAGTTCTGGTTGTGACCTACATGATGTTAAATCAAATTTACTCTAAAGTTGCCTCCTTACATATTTTAAGTTTCTCTGAAAATAGTGAACTATAACCTAAATGGAAGTGTAAACAGACTGTAACCTACCCTTGTGCCAATCACTGAGTTTTGGCCAATCAAAGGGGGCCAACTACTCAAACCACGTTCAAAGAAGGCAAATGCTGAGCTGTAACCCGTCCGGCTGTTTCTGTACCTCACTTCTGTTTTCTGTACGTCACTTTCTTTTTCTGTCTATAAATCTTTTTCAACTATGTGGCTGTGGTGGAGTCTCTCTGAGCCTACTCTGGCTGGGGAGGCTGCTCAATTTGTGACTCATTCTTTGTTCAATTAAACTATGTTAAATTTAATTTCACTAAGGATTTTCTTTTAACATTGATTAATCAGTAGACTTTCTTGATCTTTTTTTTCTTTTTTTTGAAAATGATGGTGAATGAATAGAATAGACGTTAATTTAATTTAAAAATGTGACAGTTTATTCCTGAATAATTACAATTCCCTTCTTTGCACTTTTCAGAATTTCTCTGCATCCAAATTTCTATTTTTTCAGAAATAGAATGTGATTGCTAGGCTCATGCTATGTGTCCATAATTGAGTGATCCACTCAAATGTGATGAAGGGATAGATCACATGATCTCGTGGACTATCTCTTTGGGGGCTCTGCTAAGGCATTATTACTAAAAACTGGGTCCAGGTGGAGAAAATTATTAAAATGTCTTATACCGAGGGTTTAAAGGAGTTTAGAGAGTTTCAGAAAAGATTTCATGGAAATAACATGTGAAATGAATGTTAGAGAATAAATATCATTTTATAATTCACATAAATAAAACTATACAGACAGACAGAGTTCTGAAACTTATATTGGCTAATAATCTATATGTGAAAGTAATTTCAACTGTGCCATATACAACTAAGTAAATTGCAGAGGAATAAAAAGTCTTGCCTAATCTTGGTCTTAGGGAAGTCTTCCTAAAGAAGTTGCAGAAAAAAATCTTATTTATGGCAAATGAAAACCAGGGATATGACACCAAGGAAAAGAATTTTAAAATATATGTTTGGCATGGTAAGGAAGCTAAGTGTATTAGTCCAGTCTCACTTGGCTATGAAAAAATTCCTGAGACTGGGTAACTTATAAAGAAAAGAGGCTGAATTGGCTCACAGTTCTGCAGGCTGTACAGGAAGCATGGTGGCATCAGCTTCTGGGGAGCCCTCAAGAAACTCACAATCATAGAGGAAGACAAAGGGGAAGCAGGCCATGTTTTACATGGCAGGAGCAGGAGGAAGAGAGGGGAGGTGCCACACACTTTTAAACAACCAGATCTCTAGAGAACGCCCTATTCAGTAACAAGGCGGATGGTGCTAAACCATCTGTAAGAACTCCACCCCCATGATCCATTCACATTCCACCAGGCCCCACTCCCAACACGGGGGATTACAATTTGGCAAAGCATAAGGCCCCAAGCCACATAAGTGAGAGTCAGCAAACTTCTTCAAGCTGTATATCCAAACATACAAATCATGTGGACAGTTTGAATTACCAAATATAGAAAATAGCATAAATATATTTTTATGTATAAGTAAAGAAATAAAAGGAGGCATTGGTAGTGTTACGAAAGACAAGTGATTATCAAAAATATGCCAGCAGATTTTTTTAAAAGATCCATCTATAAAACCCCAAATGAAAAAAATACAATCATTGAAATGCAAAAGATGAGTTGAACAGCAGATTAGACATTACTGAAAAAAGATTTAGTGGACTTTGAATAAATTCTCTGAAGACGACCTTAAACAAAAATTACAGTAGCCTTGATTAAAAAACACACACACACACATTTAATGAATTTCTGGGCTTGAAATAAGTAAGAAAATCTCCCAAAATATCTCAACTATACAAAATCCTGAGCTGACACTAGAACATAGATGTAGAGCTATGAATAGATGTGAAAGGCAAGGCTGCTGGAGAGAAGAGCCCATGCAAGCATCTCCATCATGGAGAGTAAGCCTTGATTCAGCTGTAAAAAGGAAGACACACCCTTTTCCAGACAAACAAATGCTGAAAGAATTTGCCACTACCAAGCCAGCACTACAAGAACTGCTAAAAGGACTCTAAATCTTGAAACAATTCCTTGAAATACACCAAAATAGAACCTTCTTAAAGGATAAATGTCACAGGGCCTATAAAACAATAACACAATTAACAAACAAACAAACAAACAAACAAACAAGGTATTCAGGCAACAAACAGCATGATGAATAGAACAGTACCTAACATGGCAATACTAACATTGAATGTCAATGGCCTAAATGCTATACTTAAAAGATACAGAATGACAGAATGGATAAGAATTAACCCACCATGTTTCTGCAGTCTTCAGGAGACTTGCCTAATACATAAGAAGTCACATAAACTTAAGGTAAAGGAGTTGAAAAAGATATTCTATGCAAATGGACACCAAAAGCGAGCAGGAGTAGCTATTATTTTATCAGCTAAAACAAACTTTAAAGCAACAACAGTTAAAAAAGACAAAGAGGGACATCATATAATGATAAAAGGACTAGTCCAACACGAAAACATCACAATTCTAAATATATACGCACCTAACACTGGAGCTCCCAAATTTATAAAACAATTACTGCTATAACTAAGAAATGAGATAGATAGCAACAGAATAGTGGGGGACTTAAATATGCCACTGACAGCACTAGACAGGTCATCAAGACAGAAAGTCAACAAATAAACAATGGACTTAAACTATACCCTACAACAAGTGGACTTAACAGATATTTACAGAATATTTTACCCAAGTGCAGAACATACATTCTTTTCATCAGCACATGGAACATTCTCCAAGATAGACCATATGATAGGCCACAAAACAAGTTTCAGCACATTTAAGAAAATTGAAATTATATCAAGTACTCTCTGAGCCCACAGTGGAATTAAATTGGAAAACAACTCCAAAAGGAACCCTAAAAACCAAGCAAATACATGGAAATTAAATATCCTGCTCCTGAATGATTATTGGGTCAATAATGAAATCAAGATGGAAATTAAAAAATTATTTGAATTGAACAATAATAGTGACACAACCTATCAAAACCACTGGGATACAGCAAAAGTGGTGCTGAAAGGACAGTTTACAGCATTAAATTCCTACATCAAAAAATTGGAAAAACACAAATAGACAATCTAAGGTCACACCTCACAGAAATGGAAAAACAAGAACAATCCAAGCCCAAATGCAGCAGGAGTAAACAAATAATGAAGATCAGAGCAGAACTAAATGAAAGGGAAACAAACAAACAAACAAAAAATGAAACAAAAGATAAATGAAACATAAAGATGATTTTTCTTTGATAAAATAAATGAAATTGATAGACCATTAGTGAGATTAACGAAGAAGAGAGAAGATTCAAATAAGCTCAATTATAAATGGAATAGTAGATATTACTATTGATATCACAGAAATACAAAATATTATTCAAGGCTACTATAAACACCTTTATGCACATAAACTAGAAAACCTAGAGGAGATGGATAAATTTGTGGAAATATATAACTATCCTAGATTAAACCAGGAAGATGTAGAATCTCTGAACAGACCAATAACAGGCAGTGAGATTGAAATGTCAGTGAAACAACTGCCAACAAAAAATGTCCAGGACCAGATGGATTCACAGCTGAATTCCATCAGTCCTTCAAAGAAGAATTGTACCAATTATACTGACACTATTCCAAAAGATAGAGAAAGAGGGAATCCTCCCTAAATCATTCTATGAGGCAAGTATCACCCTAATATCAAAAACAGGGAAGGACATAACAAAAAAAGAAAACTACAGACCAATATCCCTGATGAACATAGATGCAAAAAATCCTCAACAAAATACTAGTGAATCGAATCCAACAGCATATCCAAAAGATATTCCCACCACGATCAAGTGGGTTTCATACCAGGGATGCAGGGATGTTTTAATGTACGCAAGTCAATAAATGTGGTACGCCACACAAACAGAATTAAAAACAAAAATCACATGGTCATCTCAATAGATGCAGAAAAAGCATTTGACAAAATCCAGCATCCCTTTATGTTAAAACCCTCAGCAAAATCCGTACAGAAGGGACATACCTTAAGGTTATAAAATCCATCTACGACAAACCCAGAGCCAACATTGTACTGAATGGGGAATAGTTGAAAGCATTTCCCCTGAGAACTGGAGAAGAACAAATATGCCCACTTTTACCACTTCTATTCAGCATAGTACTGGAGGTCCTAACCAGATCAATCAGAAAAGAGAAAGAAATAAGGGACATCTAAATTAGTAAAGAGGAAGTCAAACAGTTGCTGTTTGCCGATATAATCATACACCTAGAAAGCCCTAAAGAATTCCCCAATAAGCTGCTGGAACTGGTAAATAAATTCAGCAAGGTTTCAGGATACAAACATAATGTACACAAATCAGTAGCTCTGCTACACAACACAGTGACCAAGCTGAGAATCAAATTAAAACTTAACCCCTTTCATAATAGCTGCAAAAAATAAAATAAAAAAAATAAAATACTTAGGAGTATACCTAACCATGGCCGTGAAAGACCTCTACAAGGAAAACTACAAAACACTGCTGAAGGAAGTCATAGACAACACAAACGAATGGAAACACAGTTCATGATCATGGAAGGGTAGAATCAATATTGTGAAAATGACCATGCTGCCAAAAGCAATCTACAAATTAAATGCAATTCCCATCAAAACACCACCATCAATGTTCACAGAACTATTTAAAAAATCCTAAAATTTATATGGAACCACAAAAGAGCCCACATAGCCAAAGAAGGACTAAGCAAAAAGAACAAATCTGGAAACATCACATTACCCCACATCAAACTATAAGGCCAGAGTCATCAAAACAGCTTGATATTGGTATAAAAATACCCACATAGACCAATGGAACAGAATAGAGAACCCAGAAATAAAGCCAAATACGTACAGCCAACTGATCTTCCACAAAGCAAACAAAACATAAAGTGGGAAAAAGACACCCTACTCATCAAATGGTACTGGGATAATTGGCAAGCCACATATAGAAGAATGAAACTGGATCCTCATCTCTCACCTTATATAAAAATCAACTCAAAATAAATCAAATACTTAAATCTAAGACCTGAAACCATGAAGATTCTAGAAGATAATGCCAGAAAAACCCTTCCAAGACATTGGCTTAGGCAAAGACTTCATTACTAAGAACCCAAAAGCAAATGCAACACAAAGATAGATGAGACTTAATTAAGTTAAAAAGCTTCCGCACAGCCAAAGAAATAATCAGCAGAGTTAACAGAAAACCCACAGAGTGGGAGAAAATCTTCACAGTCTCTCTCTCTCTATATAAACACTAATATCCAGAGTCTAGAAAGACCTCAAACAAATCAGCAAGAAGAAAACAAACAATCCCCTGAAAACATGGGCCAAGGACATTGATAGACAATTTTCAAAAGAAGATATACAAATGGCCAACAAGAATATGGAAAAATGCTCAATATCACTAATTACCAGGGAAACAAAAATCAAAACCACAGTGCGATACCACGTCACTCCTGCAAGAATGGCCATCATCAAAAAAATATAAAAAAAAAGATGTTGATGTGGATGTGATGATAAAGGAACACTTTTACATTATTAGTAGGAATGCAAACTAGTACAGCCACTATGGAAAACAGTGTGGAGGGTCCTTAAAGTGCTAAAAGTAGATCTACCATGTGCTCCAGCTATCCCACTACTAGTTACTACCCACAGAAAAGAAGTTACTGTATGAAAAATACACTTGCACGTACACATTTATAGCAGCACAATTTGCAATTGCAAAATATGGAACCAGCCCAAATGCCCATCAAACAAGTGGATAAAGAAACTGTGGTATATATGTATGATGGAATACTACTCAGCCATAAAAAGGAATGAAGTAACATCATTCGCAGCAACTTGGATGAAATTGGAGACTATTATTCTAAGTGAAGTAACTCAGGACTGGAAAACCAAAGATTGCGTGTTCTCACTCATGTGGGAGCTAAGCTATGAGGATGCAAAGGCATAAGAATGATACATTGGACTTTGGGGATGGGCGAATGGGTGTAGGGTGGGAAGGGATAAAAGACTACACATTGGGTACAGTGTATACTGCTTGGGTGATGGGTACACCAAAATCTCAGAAATCACCATTAAAGAACTTATTCATGTAACCAAACACCACCTGTTCTCCAAAAACCTATTGAAATAAAAATAAAAGAGATTTTTTTTTTTAAAAAAAGGAAGAAGAGCTAAAGTGAGACACCCACAGCAAGCCATTGCCCTGGAAGAGAGCCAGAATGTTCCCAAATTGGCAATATTCTTTTGGTTCCTGACAGAAGTAAATGCAAGTCGTTTCTTCAAGAAAGCATTCCTAATTTGCCTTGAGAATTTCTGAGGGTTTAAACAAACATACAAACATACATAAATAATTAAAAGCTCACATTAAAACATCAGAAAACACACAAAAAGGTCAGTAGTTCCCAGAGATTAGCAAGGAGAGAGGATTAAATAGGCAAAACAGAGGATTTGGGGGCAGTCAAAATACTCTGTATGATGCTATTTATAACATGTAATTAAACATTCGTCTAAACCTGTAGAATTTACAACGCTGAGCTTGAACCCTAATGTAAATTATGAACTTTTGATGATAATCGTGTGTCAGTGTAGGTTCATCAGTTGTAACAAAGGTACCACTCAGGTGGGGGATGTTGATAATGAGGGAGGCTATGCATTTGTATGGGGCAGAGGGAGTATGGGAATTCTCAGTACTTCTGCTCAATTTTGCTATGAACCTAAAACTGCTCTAAAAAATAAAGCTTATTTAAAAAATTAGCAAACACACAGTAAGGATATGGTAGTTATACCCTTAAAGATTTCATATGCTGAAATTAACACATAATAGAAAAAATAATGTCTAAGTAGAAGCTGAGCTTAGTGGCGCATGCCTGAAGTCCCCACTGCTCAGGAGGCTGAGGCAGGAGGCTCCCTTGAGCCCAGTATTCTGAGACCAACCTGGGCAACAAAGCAAGACCCCATCTCTAAAATAAATAAATAAATAAATAAATAAATAAATAAATATTTTAAAATATAAGATGGAGTCACAAAAATGAACAAAAAATGGCAATATATAAAATGACCAGGTAGATTTGAAGTGGAATGGCTTCAAACTTTTAGAATAGAAAATGCAATTTTTATAGCAGTTATTTAATAACTGAAAAAAGTCTTAAAATAAGATCAGCTGCAGATCAGACAGCTGAAAAGAAAATCAAGACTTACAATGTGTTGGGACATAACCAAAGTGAAATTAAGAACGAGAAGGACTAACATATTCATCGTCATCATTCCGGAGGAGATAGTAGAGTCAATGGAGGGGGAAAGACAGTAGACTATTTGAAGAAATAACCATTAATACTTTCCAGATGTTAACAAAAGATATCACAGATACAGTATGCAAAATATTCAAGATGATTAAGACAAACGAATTCATTCATGGATACCTTGTAGTAAAACTGCAGAAATCTTTAAGACAAAAAAAGAGAAAAATCTTAGAAGTGTCAAGAAAGAATAAAGAGATGACCAGAAAGAAGTTACAAGTAAATTTACAGAATACTTCTCAATAGCAGTAATGGAAACCATTTGGCAGTGGAACTCTCTCTCCACAGACCTTAGAGAAAAGTATCAATATAAAATTATATATAAAATAAAACCATGTTTAAGAAAAATTCAAAAACACAAACATAAACTAAATAATTATCAACTTATTCTTAGTTATAGAAATTTCTCAATGATGTATTTCAAGAAAAAATGGGTGCAGAAAGTATCAGATGGAAGAGGGAATACTAAGCAAATAAATGTTAAACAAGCTGTGAAGTTTAAATATTGGTTGTAACATCATAACTAGATGTTTATCTTGTTCAGTTAAAAATGAGATCTAAAAATCTTGAAATAGTACAGTCTAAAGCAGAAAATTCCGTTAGATTACATTAAAGTCCTTAGAGGAGGGTAAAGGTTTATTTGATTAAAACAACCACCTTACAATTTCTAGAGAAATTCGTAAGAACACAGAAATAGATTGCCGAACTTTCTACCTAATACAGGGGGGAAAATCTAGTAAGGAAAATAAATGTGAATAACTAAAACCAAAATTTAAGTGGGGAAATAATAGAAAGTAATGACAATGATTTTTTTTAAAATAAAATATTGACTTTAAAGATTGTCAGTTTGGTCTCAAATATTTGATCATATTGTGTTTATAATACATAAATTTACAAAATAGGCAGGCTGAAAGAAGTGTTGAAAAGTAAAGGCCAGGCTAATATTAATACAATTACTGGTGTAGCAATTAGACCAAAATATTTTATAGCTAAAACAGCATGACAAAAGGGTATTAGTATATATTAATGGAAGCTTGAATTCATTGAGAAGATATAACAATTCTAAACTGGTATGTGCCCAATAACATAGGTTCAAATCATATAAAAAAGTGACAAATGTACAAAAAGAATTTGAAAAATTCACTATCAGAGCATATAATTTAATGCAACTCTCTTCCTACTCAATATATTAAACTCAAAAGAAGAAAGATTTTAATATTGGAAATATTAATCTTAATCCAAAAGTCCCATATAAACCCTGCACTTAAATGGAGAATATATTTCTTAAAACACAGAGTACTTTACCAGCATTGACTGCAGAATAGTCCATAGAGCAAGTCTCAGCAAATTTCAAAGCTGACATTCCTATATTACAGCATAATTTAATTATAAATCAGTAAAATAAAATACTCTAAATATTTGGAAATTTAAACATACAATTCTTAGTAAGTCAATAACAAAGAAGAAATCACAATGGAAATTATTCACAATTATTTAGACCATCAAAATAATGAGACACTATAAATGACTTTCAGCCTTGCCCTCTCTCTCTCTCTATATATATCTAGATATATACACACATGTATACACACTCTGTGTCTCTCTGTATATACATACAAACACACATTCACATGCACACATACGTATATAAAACTGACATTTCAGATCATAAGTGAAAATATGATAAATGCATTAAATAAGAATTCAGTAAAAGGAGCTTCGATGCTTGTTATTGTTTTGTTTGTTTGTTTGTTTGTTTTTTTGAGACAGAGTCCACCTCTGTTGCCCAGGCTGGAGTGCAGTGGCACTCTCAGCTCACTGCAAACTGCCTCCTGAGCTCAGGCGATCCTCCCTCCTCAGCCTCCCAAGTAGCTGGGACCACAGGCACACGCCACCACTCCCAGCTAATGTTTGGTACTTTTGGTACAGACAGGGTTTCACCATGTTGCCCAGGTTGAACTCGAGCTCATGAACTCAAGCAATCTGCCTGTCTCAGCCTCCCAAAGTGTTGGGATTACAGGCGTGAACCACCACGCCTGGCAGGTGCTTGTTATTCTTGTTTGTCCTTCTTGAAAAAATAAACCAATAAAAAGGAAATAGGATCCTTGTATCGTACCATAGAAAAATGTTCAAAATATTAAGAACATCTATGTGGAAATTAGTACAAGAGAATATATGAGAGGATCTTTATAACATTAAGATACGAAGTATGTTTTTAAAAAGATACAAAAAATCCCAATCCATAAAGCAAAAGGTTGGTGCTGTATATTCACTAAATAAAATCTATACATATTAGTTAAGCTCTTAGCTAATTGAAAGACACGATGAAGAGAATAAAAGAGAAGCCACCACTTAGAAGATATTCTTTATAGTAATCAACAAAAGATTAGTATCTAGAACATGTAAAGATTTCCCAACAACCAATAGGAAAATAAATTAAAAAAAAAAACAACTAAAAGTATATTGGTCAAAACATACAAATAGGAATCTTGAAGAACTATGAATGATAAATAATTTTAGGAATGCCATTCAAATCTAATTTTTAGAAATCAGAGAAATGCAAGTAAAAACTGCAATATATTAGTATTACACACCCACCTGTTTTGAAAACCTTAATTTGGACTCTATAAACTGTTGATAAGGACATGAATAAATAAGGGTTCTCATACATTGCTAGTGGGGACATAAATTTGTACAACCACTTTGTCAAGTATAGATTCAACGTTATCTATATTGGTGTTTGTATTACTGTTAATTATTTATTAAACTATATAAGTGTGTATTATTCACTTTTTTTCCTATGGTATATTTACAATGTGAGCTAAGATATTGAAGGATAAACAAGAGTTAGCTAAATGAAAGTTGGAGCCACACTTGTAAACAAATATTTGCAATAAAGCCAACAATTGAAATTTATTATAAACATTTTTCTAATATATGAGCTATGTATCACTTAATCTTTTCAGCAGCCCAAAGAAGCAGGTATTAGTTTACTTACATTCCCAGATGAGGTAACAGAAGCAAAGAAAGGTCAAATAACTTGCCTAGGAATATATCACATTTAGGTAGTAAAACAAGAATGAGAACTCAGGTGGTCTGATTCCAGAGTCTACTCTGTTCACCTCCTCTTTTTGCCTCTCAAAGGAGTACTCAGTCCCTATGCTACCAAAGTTTTCAATAGCTAAATTAGAGAATGCAGAGTGTCAGTGTGAGCCATAATGCATGCTTAGACAGTTGTTCTGAGTCTCTACCTGGAATATTTCTCTGCATCACAGGTTTAAGGTTCTTATCCAACTAATGTCACAAAAATCTCTCCGTGTAAGGCAATACTGACTATATAAATATTTAATTTCAGTATCTAGGATTTTTTTGTAGCTAAAGTGTCTGCTTTCCAGTTTTATGATACCTTGGAAGATAATTAGTAATTATGTGGTTGTTTGGTGATCATGAAATCAGAGTGAATGCAGATAGATATTATTGAGGGATACTCCACCCATGCCATCAATGACTAGGTGAAAGATCTACTGATAGAGAACATCACTCCATTCACTGCAGTGCTTTTCAAAGTATCTGTGTATTGACAGAATTTTAGCTTCAAGGTCAAGTACTCAAAGAAACATTTGCTTATACTCAAGGTTACATTTTCTGACTGTTCATTCTGTATCTCTAGGACACAACACAGAGCCTAGCATATAGTAGGTACTCCATAACTATGAACAAACACCCATGCTCTTCCTCTTGTCACCCTATAGTTAGAGTTTCAGATTTAATGGAGACTTGTCTCTCCATCTCTTCATCTATTGCTCTTTCCTTCATAATACATTTGTTTTCCTAGTGGGAACCATATCTTGATGATCAGCTTTAATTTTTTTTAATAACAATCAAAATCCTGTTTTGCTTCCAGGTGATCTGCTACTATTACCTTGCATAGACGTAGACGTAGCTGTCCTCCAAGCTTCCCAAGAACACGCTAATGAATTTTCTTTTAAGATTTGGTTATTGTCATTCACCAAGTGGCCATTTTTTCAAAGCTGTGCCTTAAAAAGCATCCTATCCATTTGGCAGCCAGAGTCATAGTGTTCCTTAGAGAACTGAAGAGGAAATGGAAAGGACATTCATGCGCCAAGAAAAAAGTTTGACAGAATGGCCATGGGGAGTTGAGAACACAGGGGAAGAGGTCAGTGTGAGGTCTGGCTGGAAGCAGTACAGCAGAGCTATGCATTCAGAAGAGAAATGGTGTTGAACCAGATAGACATTTCTGGAAGCCTGGGGGCCGAGTTCTAGGTCAGAGAGACTTTAGAAGCATTGTTAATACAATGCTTACTCCCTAGTTGACTTTCACAAATATTTGTCTTATAAATTCATGTTTTGATATGAATTGGATAGTTAGACATGAAAGAAAGTGCATCACAATCAGGCAGAAACATTGAGAGGCATGGGGAAGCAGAGGAAAATGACACAGCATTTGACTCAGAGAGAATGCCCAAAATACCAAGAGTTGAAAAGTATGTTGTACATTATATAGAATGAAATATAGTTCACTGGTACTTGTGGTTGGTAATGTGTGGTTACTTGACATCACAGGCAACCCGACCGACGCATAATGGGAACTGACTTCACAAGATCAACCACAGGTCAAGAGTGTAGTTGCATCTTCTGGGTTCCCAAACTTATTCTTAACAAAAGGTACACTTGTGTCTAAATTCTACATTGACTCTTTGATCTGAATCAGGCTGTTCTCAGCAGGTCCTTGCACCCCCACTATGAGAAAATGTATCCTTTACTGTGTTTGAATTCAAAGCAAAGTGAAATTTGAGTGGTAAAAAATAAAAAGGTCCTTCCAGCCCCACAGTGATTTGAGATTCCTACTTTTCAGACTACTACATGCCATAACTAAGTCAATATGTGATAAAACACATAGGCAAAATTCTTAAAAATATCTATTGTGCAAAGATGCTAACAAGAAGGATAAATGATCTATTTAAGATAACTATGGCTAATGTATTAACAAAAATAAAGTTGGAAATTATTTTGATATGATAATTTTTGTTCTTAAACAAGAGATGTACTGTTGTGCTTGCCATTTAAAAAAATAACATTTATTAAAGTTGATACTAAAATCCCATATTTCCTGGCTTCTGCATCACTCTTAAATAATATAAAAAATAATATCCTTGTAGTTTCATTTGCGGTTGAAAAAAGTGTTTGACTCACTAAGGTTGAATGTCAGGTAATTTCATTTAATGTTCACTTTTAAAAGAGGAAAGGTGGAGAAAGATTTAGATGAAAAGTAGAGTGTGTGACCTTAGAAATGTATTTATAAGGTCTGACTGCAGCAGCCAAAAATAATAACCATTGAACTTAGTGAATAATTTAAGGCCAATGAGCTAACAGTGATCTTTGCAATGAGATATTAATACGTAAATATTTTAGTCAGCTTTTTCACACCCGGCATAAAAATGCCTCGTATTTTATCTACAATCTTATTCTAAGTGAAATTTCTGAGAGACTTTGTGTTCTCACTGAAGTCTTTATATACACATTCACACATTATAATTAAATGATTTTACTACGCAAATACATTCAGGAAAAAAGATTATGTTTTCTAAAATATGCAGTGATGATACCTAAGGCCATGTTTCATTTCACACATTGGGACACCGTGATAACTAAATTTAGTTCCTTTATCTGGGTCTATTTGCTGTGACAGTGTAATTTATCGAAGATTAGAATCATTTGCTTTTTAACCAATACCTAGCCTTAAAGAAATATTTCTAAAGTTGATCAACAGGCATAAATATTTCTGAACCTGCAAAACCTATTTCCTGCTCACACATCCATAGTATACAGATAAATATTCATGTAATTATATCCACATATAAATTAATATGGGTTAATTCCTTTGTGTTAATTTGATATTAATAAAACAATGACTCTAGTTTTCAGGCAAATGATTTAGTTTTGTCAATGCGTTTACTTGATAGTTACTTTAAGGTAGGAATATTTGATAGAAACTTAAGATGGGTCTCTACTACTGTACATGGGAGAGTGGAAAAACAAACCTAGAAAAAGCATTACTGGGGAAAAGTCTAGAGGTTTAAATTGTGACCCTGCTCAGTCACATATGGAGCAAGTTACTTCATCTGTCTCAAATCATTTTTCTCACCTTAGATGCAAAGATATCTCTGGGTAATTCATAAGGTCCTTCAAATTGCAATCATGAATGAGTAAACTGTGGTGACAACCAAGTCCCCCCAAAATTGTAAATAAATGGAACTTTGAAAATGCAATCATACTTTAATGGCCATTTAAACATAATGTGATATACACTATGAATTTTCATAGGCTATAAACATGGCCATATAGAAAATGCAACTGTCTTTATTGAAATCCATAACCAAATTAAGATCATACAAGCCCAAGTAGAGGAAATGTTTTTATCAATGTAGAGTTTTTTCCATCAAACAGGTTTGCCTATGTCCACCCCCATTTTTCTTACCTGAAAGAGAGCCCAGGTAGTAGTTCAGAGAAGCACCTGCTGAGTTACCTTAGCTAGAATTGCTGGAGCTATTTGCATCCGTTGGCCTGGGATCCATTTATTAGGTCCCTGTAGGTTACTACCTTTTCCTTAGTCTACCCAACCTCTTCATGTCACCAGATCTCTTTGTTCCCTTTTGATTTCTTTCTCAGAGCCACAAATTTTTTTTTTTTTTCATAGTCTGCAGAGCTGTTTGGGAGCTACAGGAAAGCAGCGTGTTCTATTTCTATCCATCTCTGATGAGGTACATTATCCCCATGTCAACTCTATAGCTGTTGTACTCCATTTGAGTCCTGGGAACTCTGTAAGGCTTGTCATGAACCCTAGACTTGTTCTGGAAGTCAAAAAACAAGTTTCATTCTTTTTTAGGATTCCAAATATTTGAGGATTCCATTTTCTATCCTCTCTGAAAACTTGAGCCTGGAGGGAAGAGAAAATTAGAGGTCTCTTATCAAGGCCCTGCCATTGTCTAGGTTTTATTCTTCCCTTCAAATAGTCCCTTCTCTCCCAACATGAGAACATTTACCTCTTTTCTGGGTAAGTTCAGCTTTCCATCTACTGTTTTCTATCTCTTTTTATATCTTTCAGGTCTCAGCCTTTTGAAACTCAAAAGAACTAGTTTCCTGTAAATCAAAGCATTTCCTCTCAAAGCTTTAGTATCTTTCTTGACTTTCAAAGATTGTTTTTGAATCCAAAATCAAATAATTTGACTTCTTACTTCTCTCTGGATTTCTGTGTGCCTTCCTTCTTTTCCTTTGTCTGTGCACTATGCTGAATCACTGGAGGAGTCTGTGATAACCATGATCTATACTTCAAACTTGTGTGACTCAGAAAAAGACATCACCTCTGGGTGGATGCAGTAGAAACCACACAACATCTGGGTAGACTGGCCTTCTATGTGCAATGCTTGGCAATGGGACACTAGCTTTTTTTTTTTTTTTTTAATACAGTGAAGGTTTTAATTTCTTAATAGTTTTAGTTATATATGTCAGGAAATGGAAGGCCACTATTATATTTATTTCATTTTTTAAACATCATAGTATCTATCATTTAGATGAATAAATACATTACCAAAAGTGAAAACTTTTATTATTCTGAGAAAATAAGGTCTGTGCATTTGCTGCTTAATTTTTAATAGCCAATTGTTACTTAGAATTAATTTAAAAGTTCATGTAGTCATATATATGAATAAATATTAGTGGTATTCCTTAGCTTTTAGCAAGGAAAAATTCCCTTCCTCCCAGTCATTGCGGCCACAGCAGAGGATTGGTGAGTGGCTTGGTGAGTAGGGTAGGGACCAGATTCCAGCCCACTCAGATCTCTTCATTTCCTTTGTACAGGGCCCTATAACACTGACATAAACTGCATTTTTAGAGATAAATAAAATGCAAGAGGGAAAGCATTTCTAGTAATATTTTAGAAGTTTATCCCACTACCTATATTTGGTGAAAGTAAGGTAAATTTGAAGTTAGTGGAGCCCAGGTAGTAATATACAATTGTGATTTGGAACATGTTGTAAGAAAAGTAAACTACGTCCCACTGAAAAATGAAGCCATATTTTAATGAATGCTCCCAGAAATAGGAAAATGTATACAAATCTTAAATTGTCAATTACTCAAATATGTTAAGCAAATGCAGTCAAATTTTCAAGTGGTAGAAATAATTTTCCTATCCTCTCATCATCTTCAATTGTTTAAATATTATTCTGGTTTAATTTGGTCACATTTGCAAAAACACATCTGCCAATACTTACTAGATAAGGAAAACTTTTTTTAATATCTTTCAGTGTTTGTGGCATTCATAACTGGGTATACATCATTAAGAATGTATCTAATATAATTAAGTAAGGAATTCTGAAGCCAGATGCAAGCAATATTTACAACTCAGTATGAAGTTATGCACAACATAAATATATCACAGTCTCTTTTACTTTCATAATGTACAGTTTTGAAAAATGAAACATGGGCTTTAGAATATTCTCCTTGAGCATGTGCCATTAGGAAAACTACTTAAACCAATGTATATAGATCAAAACAATTTGTATAGAATTTTATTTCATTGATTATCAATCCACTTTATTTGAACAGTACTAAGATCAAAATCATTTTGCAAAAATGACTGTAAACCTGATAAAGTAGTAGCACTAGAGCACTGTGTTACACTGAAAGTATATTTAAAAGTGAAAGTAAATCAATAATAATTATACCACCCCAAATAAATTATCTTTTCTTATTAATACTGTGATTGTAAAAAATGTAGTATAGATGGATTTTTTAAAGAACACAATCATCTATTAAATAAATTTGTCAAAAGTATGTTATTCCACTAATTTTCAGATGTCAACTTCAATTTTTAATAAGTGAGAGGAGGGCTGTAGAAATAAAGCAGAAGACAGCAATGAAATAAAAATGAGAGGTTTAAAAATTATTTTGCTAGTGTTCTAACTTTTTTCACAATTAGTGAATGAATAAAATATGTAAGCAAGACATTAATTATTGGATATAAATAAAGATCCATCAGCATGTGATTCTATTGAAGACATATTAAATAACTCAAGAAGTGGATTAGTATCTGTAACCTTCTTGAAAATTTCTAAACCATCTATTTCTACATCCTTACTAGCATTGATTGAAATCAGTTGAATCAGTAGTTTATGTTCATTTCCTTTCATTTGCTGTTATTTTACACAGGGGAATATTTGCATTTGCATTGTATTCCTGACATAAGTAAAACCCATTTCAAAATTCATACCTGCTTTAATGTGGTAGTATATTTGTATGCAATTGCTTCCTCTAATAAGTCATCATTGTACAGGAATGTTGACTCTAAGAATCTTGCTTTAATAATCCAAGAATAGTTATTTTAAAAGAGTAATAGATAAATAAAAGAACTACAAATGAAACCTGGCAGTTAAAAAGAATTGTATTACTTTTTACCTAAATATTAATCTCTAGGGAGAAAAATAAAGAAAAATGGAGAAACTATAGATTAAGAAGTGCATTAAGGTATTCATTAAAAAGGCATTTAGTGAAACAACCAGAATCTCAAACACGAAACCACTCAATAATTCTAGTCTTGCTGCCTGGTCTAATGTAATGCTGTAGATGGGATTGAGGTGATGGGGAGGAAGTGTCTACACCACATGTTGAGCAAAATGAAAGGACCTAAGCTTCCCTGGCTTTCATTTAGTAACTTCCTGAGCAGAGTAGATATTTGTTTCTCTAATCAATTGTTCTTTTAAAATTATTTTCTTCTTAGTTTTTGTTTTTATATCTGATGGAGGTATCATTTTTTCTACATGAAATATAAAGGAGTGGCTTTGTGGCTAATTAAAGCACATTTGTTGTTTTAGGTTCCCAGAGATAGGTTTTTGTGTGTGTGTGTGTGTGTGTGTGTGTGTGTGTGTGTGTGTGTGTGTGTGAAAGTGCTATCTATCATAAAGCTATGTAAAAGTTACTCTGTTTTGACAGAAAGTTATTATTTTTTAAATGCATATATACTGCTAGTGAAAATAAATACATTCTTATTATCCAATCTAATTTACAACATTGCAGTGTTCAGTTCATATTTTTCAGTTGAACTGGTTCATATAAAGAAATTTACTCATCTTTTTTTCAATCCCTGTTTTGTATGGAATTAACAAACATAACATTCACACTAGGAGTCTTGAGATTTATATTTTAATATTTTGCATTGCTCATTTTGAACATGTTTGTCTATTCTATCAGATTGAAGAATAACTTTTGAGATAAACGGGCAAGTCTAGGTAATCTTGAAATCCATCTAACTCGTGAAACTACTTCTCAAACTCTACTGGGACACCCAGCCCCTATTTTGAACATCCCTAATTATAAGTAAATGTATTTTCTTATGCTGCAAAATAATCTGAAACTTTTATGCAATGAATCTTGTTCTTTCACTTGGAGTCTCAAAAAATAAATTTAATCCCTTTTTCAAACACATACTTTTAGGAGTTTAAAAACAACTTTTGCATCCCCTATAAATGTTTTATTGATCAGGCTAAATATTCCCCGTTTTTTCGAACTTTCCTGACATAGAATTCTTTTTAATATTTTCTTCATTATCCACTATACTTGCCACATCATTGTTCACTACACTTGCTCTATTTTGTTATATTAGTTTCTAAATGTGTTATCAGAAATATGTAAATGGGATATTTTAAATGTGCATTATGATATCAAGTATAATATCAGCTTCATTTTCTAGCTACCTCATTATAATTAAGAGCATCGTTGCATTATAACGTGATTTTCTGCAGTCCTATCATTCAGATGGGTTACTATGAACTTTCTAAAACCCCTCTTTTTTATAGGTTCTCACTAAACCATTTATCTCTCTTTTTTTTTTTTTTTTTTTTTTTGAGACAGAATCTGGCTCGGTCGCCCATGCTGGAGTGCAGTGACATGATCTCGGCTCACTGCAACCTCCACCTCCCAGGTTCAAGCAATTCTCCTGTCTCAGCCTCCCAAGTAGCTGGGACTACAGGCGTGTGCCACCATGCCCGGCTAAGTTTTGTATTTCTTTCTTTCTTTTTTTTTTTTTTTTAAGTAGAGATGGGGTTTCACCATGTTGGTCAGGCTGGTCTTGAACTCCTGACCTCAGGTGATCTGCCCACCTCAGCCTCCCAAAGTGTTGGCACTGTAGGTGTGAGCCACTGCACCTGGCCCATTTATCTCATATCTGATTTAATGTGGCTTGTACTTAGGAAGCATTAATAAGGTATTTCTGGGGCATTTACTGCTCATCGAAAGTGAGATTGTACATTACTTTTTTATTCCTTGTAAATGTGGTCCTGATAGGCTCAGGACCTTGATCTAAAATTAAGTTTTTCAGTCAGGGCTAAAGACTTAAAGAAGGGTTAAATAGGTAGGGAGGCATTTGTGAACTTTTATTCCTGATATCTTGCCAATTCTGTTTGAGGAAGACCACAAATTAGGACAGTACTCTTGGAACACAAAACTAGACAGTTTGTTATTCTTTTTGGTTATAGGTAGAATAATTACTATTCAGTTTCTTTATACAATTATAGTTTGCTATGCAAGCCAATATGAATATTAATCAACTTACATTCATTAGGAAAATAAGAAACAATATGTTGTGACCAGTAAAAACGGGCCCAGAGCAAAGATAAATGCCCTCCTGTTCCCTACTCCCTCTGCCTTAGACAAAAACAAAATTACCATACTTCTTCAGTGAGTGAGGGTCATGTGTTTGGCTACGGACGTAGGAGACTGGGATGAAGGCATTGAGGCAAAGAGGGTGAGCAAGCTTTTTCCTCAGTAGTGGAAGGAAGCTTACTAAATGTGGCTCAGGGATGTAGGTACAAAAATTTTTATAGCTTCGGTGTTTTCCTGGAAGTTCAAAGTGGCTGCTGGATTGAAGAGACTCTGAGCATTGCCTGGGGACGCTGACTGTATGGACCATGGGGGTCCCGTGATAACACATCAGCTGAATTAGCTTCATTTTCCCCCAAGTAATGAGATCTGGGTTCTAGGCAGAATTAAAAGTATGATTGTATTTTCTTTTGTTTTGTTTTTAAACAGGCCAAATTGAGTTATCTTTTCTGGTACTTCACTAATCTATTTTTTTTTTTCACTAACGCTCTAAACTCACCACTTTTGGGGAAAAAATTACCTTTTTTCCCCCTTTCTCATAAAGATTAAAATCCTCAATATAACAGTTTCCCAGAGGCCTTGCTGTTCTCATTTCAAATAATATCTGAAGTAACTAGTAACTTCACTCTAAAAAATCTTCCAGATGATTAATGCTCGCAGGCCTGAAGTTATATTTTGTGCTTTATATGTCTTTAGTAAAAAGCAAGCCGTGTACATTTTTCTTTTAAGACCTAGGCAAGGGCAAATTTCTATATGTCTATTTTGGGTCACAGAGAGACCCGGAAGCTTATTACTTCAGTTTGTTTTCCTCTAGGCACTGTCTTTATCCAAGTATTTACCTCACCATCCAAAGCATTCACACTTCAAAAATGTTTAACTTAATTGTGTACAAATTTGTTTAAAACCTAGCATTCTTGAAGAGTAAATACCAATGAAAAGAATAAAATACATATGTGCATATCTGGTATAGAATAACTAGAAGGAAACTAGATAATCTTTCAAATATTTCCAAACTTATATTCCATTATTATCTTTAGTACAGGAAGGTACTAGGAAGTTTTCTCATAAAGTAAGAATCATAGTAGACAATGTCTTCCCATTTTTAACTTTTCTTGTAACAAAATTTTCCCACTTGTCTTAGATGGTATGAATGAATTAGCTATTCACATGGGTGCCTACAAAAGTAGACAAAGTTTTTACATTTGTAACCATAGTCCTTTAAGTATTAGGTCTAATTAACTTTAAAAGATTATAATAGCTGTAAAACAAGGCAATTAGGCAAATTGAAGATATATTTCAGGAGGTCAACAAACTTTTTCTGTAAAGAGCCAGACAGTAAATATTTTCAACTCTGTAGGCTATACGGTTTCTGTTGTAACTACTTAACTTTTCTTTTGTAGCAAGAAAACAGCGATATATAATACATAATGGAGTGGATGTGGCTGTTTCCCAATAAAGCTTTATTTAAACAAGCAGACATGGGCTGGAGGTGGTAGGAGGGCCATAGTACATTGAAGTGGGCCTCAATGTAGCTGATATTGTCATCAGAAAAATGTTTCAACATTGTCAGTATAGCTTCATAGGTATTCTGTTGTACCTGAAACAGTTTAGATTCCATAAGAGGCAAAAGAAAATTCACTTTCAGCTCATCATTATGTATTTTGATGTGAATAACCATTTGTCTTAAATGCGAATTGAAGTGTGACAACCACATTTTTGTATTTTTAAAATTAAATGAAGTCTGTGCTGAATGAACTTTTGAAACATAGAGATCAAATTTTGCCTTATCCTTTCTTTAAAACAAATTATTTTTGCTTCATATTTATTCCATTTCCTCTTTTCTGTTCCCAGTAGACTTACTCATTTTCTTATGCATAATAGGGCCAGATAAATAATCATCCTAAAATTATTCATAAACAGATTTTTAAACATTATAATTGATTAAAATGTTTTATTCTGGGGGAGGCAAAATGGTAGCAGATTGGAGTATTTTGATATTCATAGGAACAGTAGTCTTAAGTTTCAATCCCATATTTAATTCTAGAGAACACACATCATTTTATGAGAAATATACTGATTAATTTGATTTTTCTTTCCCACACATAGGTATTCTTTGAAAAATTAATAAATATCTATAGCACTCTGCTGTAAATCCTGAGAAAAGGGAACATGATTCAGGCAGGTAAAATGCATTAAATATTTAGAAATGTGATTTTAGTGACAAAACAAAATCAAACTAAGGAACAGAAATGCCTGAAAACAAATGTCTAAATGATATTACCGGTGATGGGGTTAAATTTAATGTGGAGATTTTTATCCTGAAAAAGAGTACTGGAAGCCATTTTCTTGTTGAATTATACTCAAGGAAATAAGTTTTCTGGTTTTTGAGTATCACATCTTTTAAAAAGTTATTTACCCATCTTTTGTATTTATTCTTATCTGTCATGCCAATAAAATTACCATAATTTTTGAATTTACTTCTTTTAGAATATAAAATGCAGTCATAATTCTCTCTAAAGTTTTATGAATGAGCCATGTATTTTTGTGAGTGAAATAATAAATAAAATTTAGTTAGCTTGAATTTTTAAAAGTTTAAAAATTTAAAAAGATTAAATTTTTTTTTTCTTTTGGGAGAATGTTCTTGTAAAGCAACCCATACAGGTTCATGAAAATACTGAACGCTACTTAAAATCAACTGAATATGGGAGTTCTCCAAAAAATTGAAAAGTAGAACAACCATATGATCTAGCAATCCTACTACTGGATATATACCTGAAGGAAATGAATTAAATATTTTTAAAAGATATCTGCACTCATGTTAATTATAGCATTATTAACAATAGCTGAGATATGGAATCAACCTAAGTGTCCATTGATGGATGGATGAGTAAAGAAAATGTGGTATGTATACACAATACAATGTTATTCAGGCTAAAACAAAATGCAGTCTTGTCATTTGCTTCAACATGGATGAACCTGGCAGATACTGCTAAGTGAAATAAGCCAGGCATAACAAGACAAATACTGCACCATCTTATTTATGCATGGAATCTAAAAAAATTGAATTCATAGATGTAGAGAGTAGAATGGTGGTTATCAGGGGCTGAGGGGCAGGGGTTGCTGAGTTGGGCTTGGGAAAATGCTGGTCAAAAGATACAAAATTTCAGTCGGATAGGAGGAATAAGTTCAAGAGATCTATTGTACAACCATGGTGACTATAGTTAATAACAATATACTGCCTTCTTTACAAATGCTAAGAGAGTAGATTTTAAGTGTTCTCCTGACAAAAATGCTAAGTAATAAGGTAATGCATATACTAATCAGCTTGATTTAGCCATTTCATAATGTGTATATATGTCAAAACATCATGTTGTATGTGATAAATAAATGCAGTTTTGTTTGTCAATTTAAGTAGAATTAAGTTTAAAAAATTAAAATATCAAAATACTTCAAAATAAACCTAAAAATAACATAAATATGAAGTTCCTGACATGAATGAGAAAAACACAGTAAATAGCAAAGTTGCTAAAAATATTCTGGAAAACATAAGAACTTCACTTTGATGAACTAAAAGAGAGGAAGAAAACAATGTTGACTTGTTTTGTAATTTATATTCGAATTACTTAGAAAACTTATTTTAACAGTAACAAATCATAACATAATAACAGTAGTTTCTTTCTATTGTATGTATTAACTGTCAGGCACTCTACTAAATGCTTTACAAAATTATCTCTGATACTGAGTGAAGTTTAATTTTCCAACTATAATATCATAGTCAAAAATTCCTATTATTAAAAAAGACTCCATTTTAATTTTGTAATTATACTTGTCATTCAAGATAAAATAAATACATTTTAATAGTCCTGTAACAAATAGAGCAACATCCAATTTCTTGAGAGATGATATCCGAACTTCTGCAGATAATCTAGAATGTCCTAATTGTTTAGAAAACTTCCATCTAAGGATTATCTTTATTTTTAAATGTACATAATCCAAGTTTCTCTAAGATACTAACATACATTCTTGAATATCAAATATTGTTGAATGGAGGCCAGTACCTCAGTGACTCACTCAAAAGAGAATCCCTATAAATCAGTGCAGTTGATTGGCTTGGAGAAGGGCTGTTGATTTTAAAATCCTTTCTTCTTTGTATGCAAATGAGATGTTATGTGTTGACTTTGAATACAAAGGTGGTGGAAGGCCAAAGTTGAATTAGGTGTTATTGTAGGGTAATATCAGGGTCTGTAGTCCTTTTTATTATGCTTGGAAATACATGTTCTATACCAAGTGCTAATCCTCATGAATGGGGTTGTTTTTAAAAATTTTTTTTGTATTATACTATCTGGAAATAACCTCATTTTTAAAAAAGACTAATGAGTCAATCAAAAGTTACAGCTGATCCCTCCTGAAATTTCTTAAGTTCTATCACTGTAACAGGACCATTTTTAAACTGGGCTCAGGCTCAGATGACATATGATCACTGCCAGCTGCATCAAGTGGCAAAGTCTGGGTAAAAATAAGTTATTTGACCAGAACAGCCGAACAAAGCTGAAAATCTTCTGACACCTGATCCCTTCAGCAGCTGTGGAAATCTATTGAAAGGGCTCTCTTTCTAATGCATTTGTCAGAATGCTAATTGGAAAAATGACTTCATGTTATGAGTCATACAGTCACCTCTATGGACCTCATTAGACTTAAATGAGCATACTCAAGTCCAGCGCAATCATTCAGTTCAGCCATATGTTGGTAAAGAAGATCTCTCAGTAGTTGGGCTCCTGGCCAACTGTGAACGTTGTCCAGTGAAGAAATGGGGGGAAAATTGAATGGAGATATTTATGGCAGATATAGGTATAAGGCATTATACTTCCCGGAGTAATCCAAAATATGTGTTTGGAACTATAAGAAGTTCAAACAAGCTAAGCCAAAGACATTAGACCAAATTTTATGGCACACATAAAACGTGCTCTGATGCAGAGGGAAACTCAAAATTAACTAAGACAAGGACTTAGCGTCTCACAATTTAGAAAGGCAGATAACCACAAACATAGGTAAACGATAGGAGGGCTATGAAAAATGTTTAACAATAATGTGCCACTTAAGATCCTAGAGGAAAGTCTGGAAGTAAGGGATCAATTATGATTGTGTTAGGTGGGGAGGAGTAGAGGCTGGAGGAGTGAGGAAACTTCTTAGAGCAGGCAAAATGTGACCTAGGACTGCAAGGATGGAGACAAATTCTGGAAGCACATGTGGGCCTTGGTAGATAAGAAGGAAGTAGATGGGAAGGCTTTTGCAGTAGCAGATACTGCCAGGGAAACAACAGCATTGACAGGGAACAGACGATAGACAATTGTGACTATCATAGAACGTATTGGTTCAAAGCTGCTTTGTTGCTGATAGGACAATAATGGCAGAAAAGTTTTTAAATGTCAGCCTAAGAAACCTCTAGAATAAAGCTAGGTAATTGCAAAAGATTTAATCAATGGTTTTAAATGAAAAGCAGTTGTCTCTAAACGTATAGAGAATAACATTAGTTTTTCTACAGGTAATTGAATGCTTACAATCTCTTCATAGGTGTGTATATGTGCAATGCAAAATGTACCACATCATCAAATCAATTAAACACTTTGTTAGACTCTCTGCTACCAAGAAGGATAACTGTCTATCTAAACTTTTTTTTAATTTTTAATTTTTCTGGGTACATAATAGGTGTATATATTTACGGGTTATATGAGATATTTTGATACAGGCATGTTTAATAATCACATTAGGGTAAATGGGGATATTCATCACCTCAAACATTTATCCTTTGTGTTACCAACAATCTAGTTATACTCTTTCAGTTATTTTTAAATGTACAATTAAATTATTTTTGACTATAGTCACCCTGTTGTGCTAGCAAATACTAGGTCATATCCATTCTTTCTATTTTTTTTTTCACTTGTTAACGGTCCCCACCTTCTTCCCTACCCACCTCACAGCCTCTGGCAAACATCCTTCTACTCTCTGTCTCCATGAGTTTAATGTTTAGCTCCCACAAATAAGCAAGAACATGCAAAGTTTGTCTTTCTGTGCCTGAATTAACATGATGACCTCCAGTTCCATCCATGTTGTTGCAAATGACATGATCTTATTCCTTCTATGGCTGAGTAGTACTCCATTGTGTATAAGTGCCACATTTTCTTTATCCATTCTTCTGTTGATGAACACGCAGGTTGACTTCAAATCTTGGCTATTTTGAATAGTGCTGCAATATATATGAGAGTGCAGATACCTCTTTAATATTCTGATTTCCTTTCTTTTGGGTATATATTCAGCCATGGGATTGCTGGATCATATGGTAGTTCTATTCTTAGTTTTTTGAGGAACCTCTAAATTCCTCTCCATAGTTATACTAATTTACATTCCCACCAACAGTGTACTAGGGTTCTCTTTTCTCTACATCCTTGTCAACATTTGTTACTGCCTGTCTTTTGGATAAAAGACATTTTAAATGGGATAATATGATATTTCACTGTAGTTGTAATTTGCATCTCTCTGATGACCAGTGATGTTGAATACCTTGTCATGTACTTGTTTGCCAATTGTATGTCTTCTTTTGAGAAATGTCTATTCAGATCTTTTACCCATTTATTAATTAGAATTGGATTATTAGATTTTTTTCCTATACAGTTGTTTAAACTCCTTATATATTCTGGCTATTAATCCTTTGCCACATAGGTAGTTTGCAAATATTTCCTCCCATTCTGTGGGTTGTCTCTTCACTTTGTTGATTGTTTCCTTTGCCATACGAAGTTTTTTTTAAACTTCATGTGCTCCCATTTTTTCCATTTTGGTTTTGGTTGCCTGTGCTTGTAAAGTATTACTCAAGAATACTCTACAAGGCCAGTCCAATGTCCTGGAGAGTTTCCCCAATGTTTTCTTTCAGTAGTTTCATAGTTTTCAGCCTTAGATTTAAGTCTCTAATCCATTATCATTTGATTTTTACATATGGTGAGAGATAGGGGTCTAGTTTCATTCTTCGGCATATGGATATGCAGTTTTCCCATTTGTTGAAGAAACTGTCCTTTCCCCAATGTATGTTCTTGGCACTTTTGTCAAAAATGAGTCCACCTTAGATGTATGAATTTATTTCTGGGTTCTCTATTCTTTTCCCCTCATCTGTGTGTCTATTTTTATGGCATTACCAGGCCTTTTTTGATATTGTAGCTCTGCAGAATAATTTGAAGTTACGTATGTGACTCCTCTAGTTTTATTCTTTTTGCTTAGGATAGTCTTGGCTATTCTGGGTCTCTATATAAATTTTAGAATTTTTTTATTTCTGTGAAGAATGTAATTAGTTTTTTGTAGGAATTGTATTGAATCTGTAGATTGCTTTGGGTCATATGGACATTTAAATAATATTAATTATTCCAATCCATGAACATGGAATATCTTTCCTTTTTTGTGTCCTCTTCAATTTTTTGCATCAATGTTTTATACTTTTTATTGTGGAGATCTTTCATGTCTTTGGTTCAGTTAATTCCTAGGTATTTTATTTTATCCATAGCTATTGTAAATGGGATTATTTTATTGATTTCTTTTTCAGATTGTTTGCTATTGGCATTGAGAAATGCTACTGATTTATGTTGATTTTATATCCTGCAATTTTACTGAATTTGTTTATCAGTTTCAACAATTGCTAGGTGGTGTCATAGGATTTTTCCAAATACAAGATCATAACCTCTGCAAACAAGGATAATTTGATTTCGTCCTTTCCAGCTCGAATGTCCCTTATTTCTTTTTTAAGTCTGATTGCTCTAGCTGAGACTTCCACTGCTATGTTGAATAACAGTGATAAAAGTGGGCATACTTGTCATGTTCCAGATCTTAGAAGACAGGCTTCAGATTTTTCTCATTCAGTATGATACTAGCTATGGGTCTGTTGCATGTGGCTTTTATTATGTTGAAGTATGTTCTTTCTACACCAAGGGTTTTTAGGGTTTTTCTTCTTTTTTTTTGTCATGAAGGAATACTGAATTTTCTGCGTCAGTTGAAATCATCATATGGATTTTGTTCTTCATTGTGTTGATATGCTCTATCACATTGATTTGTGTATGTTGAGCTATTCTTGCATGCCTGGGATAAATCCCACTTGTTCAGGATGAATAATTTTTTAACGTGTCGTTGATTTTGGTTTGCTAGTATTTTGTTGAGGATTTTGCATAAATATTTCTTTTTTGATGTAGGTGCTTATAACTGTAAACTTTCCTGTTAGTACTGCTTTTGCTGTATCCCATAGGTTTTGGTATGTTGTGTTTCCATTTATCATTTGTTTCAAGACAATTTCAATTCCCTTCTTAATTTCTTCATTGACTGGTCAGTCAGGAGCATATTGTTTAATTTCCATGTATGTGTATAGTTCCCAAAATTCTTCTTGTTATTGACTTTTAGTTTTATTCCATTGTTGTCAGAGAAGATGCTTGATATTATTTCAATTTTATTGAATGTTGTAAGATTTGTTTTGTAACCTAACATATGATCTGTTATTGGGAATAATCCATGTGCTGAGGAAAAGAATGTCTTCTGTAGTCATTGGATAAAATGTTCTGTAAATATCTATTAGGTCCATTTTGTCTACAGTGCAGATTAAGACTGATGTTTCTGTTTTGATATTCTGTCTGGAAAACCTTTCCAATTCTGAAAGTGGTGTGTTGAAGTCTCCAGCTATTATTGTATAGGGATTTATCTTTATCTTTAGCTCTAATAATATTTGCTTCATATATTTGGTGCTCCAGTGTTGGGTGCATATATATATTTACAATTGTTATATCCTCTTGCTAAATTGACCCCTTTATCATTATATAATGACCTTTTTTGTCTCTTCTTATGGTTTTTATCTTGAAATTTATGTTTTCTGATATAAGTACAGCTACTTCTGCTTTGTCTTGGTTTCCTTTGGCATGGAATATCTTCATCTCTGTATTTTCAGTCTACATGTGTCTTTATAAGTGAAGTGTTTTTCTTGTTGGAAACAGATCATTAGGTCTTATTTTTTGGAATCATTCAACCACTAAATGTAATTTGATTGGAGAGTTTAGTTCATTTACATTCAGTGTTATTATTGATAATTGAGGATTTCTGCCATTTTGTTATTTGTTTCCTGGTTGTTTTGAGGTGTTCTCTTTCTTCTTGTCTTCTTTTTTATTGAAGGTGACTTTCTCTGGTGGTATGATTTAATTTCTTGTTTTTTGTTCTTTGTATATTTGTTGTATAATTTTTGATTTGAGGTTATCATGAGGCTTTCAAATACTATGTTATAACTCACTATTTCAGCTGATAACAACTTAACACTGTTTGCATAAGCAAACCAGCAAAAAGAAAGCTAACAGAAACTTGACAACTGAACTTCTTCCTCCTGCGTTTTAACTTTTTATAATTTCTATTTATATCTCGTTTTACTTTCCACGTCTTGAAAAGTTGTTGTAGTTATTTATTTTGTATTGGTTCATCTTTTAGTCTTTCTATCTAAGATAAGAGTAGTTTACTCACCACAGTTACAGTGTTATAATATTCTGTGTTTTTCTGTGTACTTACTATTACCAGGGAGTTTTGAACCTACAGATTATTTCTTATTGCTCATTAACCTTTTTTTTTTTTTCTTTCTGATTGAAGTATTCCCTTTAGCATTTCTTGTAGGACAGGTTTGGTGTTGATAAAATCCCTCAGCTCTTGTTTGTCTGTGAAAGTCTTTATTTCTCCTTCATGTGTGAAGGATTACTTTAATCAGATATGCTATTCATTGGTAAAAGGTTTTTTCCTTCAGCACAATAAATATGTGATGCCACTCTCTCCTGACTTATAAAGTTTCCACTGAAAAGTCTGTTGCCAGACATATTAGATAGGTCTGGACTAAATGCTCCCTCTGTGGGTAGGCATTAGCTGAATTCAGCTTGGTTTTGCTTGTGATAGGACAGCACTGAGTTCAGTGCAGAATCTCACAATTATTGCACTCTCCCTGTCTCAGGCACAGAGATTCTCTGTCAGCACCATGTAGCCACTGCCTGGGGATGGGAGAACGGTACTGTAGGCAATTCAGGGCTATCTTTCCTATCCTCTTCAGTGCCTTTTTCAGTGATATAAAGTTAAAGCCAAGTACTGTGAGTGCTCACCTAATTTTTGTTTTTTATAAAGGTGCTTTTGTTTTGTGTAGATTGTTGTTAAATTTAGTGATCCTCCAAGGGACAGGGTTGTCAATCAGTGGAGTCTTGTTTGGACAACTTGATTTTCCTCTTCTAAGATGGAATACATCAACTAGTTGATTGAATACATCAACTACCAAGGGCCCCCAAATTCTAGTAAGAACTGTTATTTCTGTTAATTATAAACAACTCAAATGAGCAAACATTTGTTGAAAGATTATTTTCATCAAAATTTTATGTGTTAGGGACATAATGATGACATAAGAATACAAACACATAAGGTAACAACTGCTGCCTTGTTTGTTTGTTTTTTTTTGGTCTTTATTGCCCTAAACTATGGTCTAAGTCCAACCTATTCTCTGCTGATAGAGTAAGTCCTAAACAAGGCCAAGCTGTTAATTTGGAGAACAATGCTACTATCTCTTTCTGATATCCACTGCTGTCACCATTAGTCACAAAGACATTATGTCTCAGACTATGCCACTTTTTTATCCCGATTCCCTGGCTTTCTGGATATACTGTTCATTTCAGTACTTTTGAGTATGCCAATGTTGTTCAGCTACATTTAGATGGCCTGCATATTACAGGTAAAGGGCTGGCTGGAGGGCAGAGAACTTTACCGCATGGTTTAATTTAATTTTTTGGCAGGATGTATATATCCACTGTTGTTCTCATGTTCCACTATTTTCTCCTCAACTTGACTTTTTTAAAAAAGAAAACTATTTAAATTAGGTATAACATAAGTAAACATAGGTACATAAAGACTGTCACATAGATGAAGTTTCATACGGTGAACAAGGCCACGTAACAATCACTCAAATCAGAAAATAGAGCATATCTAGTACTCCAGAAGTCTCTCTCTCCATACTATCTCCCAGTCCCTACATTCCATCTTAATCCCTCCGCTTCACTCACAGTGTAATTCCTATCGTGACTTCTACAACTATAGTCAAGTTTTCACTGTGTTTGAACTTTATATTAATATAAATGAGATCCGATATCGTATACTCTGTTGTGTCTGAAATATCTTGCTCAACTTTATGTTTGTAAGATTCATCCACATTTTGTGTATAGTTATCATTTGCTCAGTTTCCTTTCTATAAGTACACTATGTAGTCATAGGGATATATAATTTTGTTTTAAATTTTGCTATTATGAACAATGCTATAGTGTACATTCTTGTCTATCTTTTTTGGTGCACTTATGCAGTCTTCTATACCCAGAATTAGAATCGTTGAGTGAAAAGCCATGTATTTTGAGCTTTAGTGCTTACTGCCAAACAGAGGACCAACATTACACTCATTTACACTCCTAACAGTATGTATGAAAATTCCAGTTACTGCACGTCGCCTTCAAATTAAATATTGTCAATCTTTAACTTCAGCAATTCTGATGGGGTGTGGTGGTATCTCATTACAAATATAATTTGCATTTTTCCAATGATAATACTGGACATATTTTTTAGATTTAGATTACTTAGAAGTATGTTGCTTAATTTTTAATTTCTAGTTTTCTTTTTGTTACTGATTTCTAACTTAATTCCTCTGACGTCAAAGAACACAATTTAAATCATATAAAATTTGTTGAGATTTTCTTTATGGGCCAGCATTTGGTAATGTTCCATGTCCATTAGGAAGCATGTGTTTTCTCTACATGTTAGCTGAGTATTCTATATAGCTTTATGATCCATGTATTCAATGATGTTCAAATTTTTTACAGCCTTACTGTTTTCTGTGTCAGTCAGTTATACTGACAGAAATGTGGGAAAAATCTCCTGGTATAATTATACATTTATGTAACTCTTTGATATGTATTTTTTCTCTCTTAAAGATTTTCAAGAATACAATACATTGTTATTTACTATAGTCAACATCTTGCACAGCACATCTCTTGAACTTATTCCTTCTATCAAATTGAAATTTTCTAGACTCTGACCAACAAGCATGTATCTTTTTACTTGTTTTATATATTTTAAGAGTAATTAATTTAACATCCTGAATTAATTGATATTTGTTATTGTAAAATATTAATTTTTATCTTTGGAAATCTTTTTAGCTTAAAGTTCACTTTGTTGAATATTAGTATAGCTACAAGCCCTGTTTTGTTTACTTTTTTATATGGTGTATTTTTTTTTCCAGAGAGTTTCCTACTTTTATGTGTTTGAATATTTTGTTTATTTCCTTTCTAAACAATGTATACATTTTTTCAGTGTGATAATGCTTCATTTTAATTGGACATTTTAACTCACTCACGTAATATAAATACTGATAACTTTTCTTTAAATATATATCTTAGTACACTATTTCTGGAGTTTCTGCTTTGTTTTTATTTCTTTTCCATTTTTTTCTAGCCTCATTTTATTTGATGATTTTATTATTCTCAATATTCTCTGTTTGCTACTTAAGAACTTTTGATGGTCTTTGTATGTTTACTCTGGAATTACAATATGTGTCACTGACATATAAATGTCTCTTGTTAACTGTGTTAATTGGTACATTTGCCTCTTTTCTGACAGTAAGAGATCCTAGAACATTATAATCCGTTTATTTCCTTTGACTTATTACTTATGTTGGGGCTACTAATTTTGATTATATTACTATTATTGCTTGATAAAGCCAGTATTTATTCATATTTATGATTACAATTAACATCCTCATTACACCGCATTCCTTTCTCAAGGAATATTCAAAATATAACATTTAGTTATATTTTGGGGGTAATTTTTTCTACTTTTAGAAATAACTCTGGGTGTCTATTTTCTGTTGGCTTTTTAAAACTTAATTAAGGATAATTTTCAGGTTATATTGTTGAGAAGTCAAATCTTTTATGAAGGCAATTTTCCTTGTTTTCCTTTCATTACTTTTTACATGTCCTTTGTCATTGTATTTTCAGTAGTTGTGGTAAGATGTGCTTAAGTGTGGTTTTCTTTGCATTTACTCTGTTTGGGGCTTAAAGATTTCCTTGCAGGTGTGGTTTGATGTCTTTCATCTACTTTGGAAATTTTCCAGCCATGTATTTTTTTAACAATTGTTTTTGCTCAGATGTCTCCTCTTAGTTTGAAACACCAATTATACACATGAAAGCTTACTTTTTTCTCTGATTGTTTTCTGTATTTCCTATTCATTTTATTGCTATGCTAAATTCAGAGTTTTCTTCTGATATATTGTGCAGCACATCAACTTTCCCTTCAGGGAATTTAAATCTGCCATTGAATCCATTTTCTGAGTTCTTATTTCAATTTTATTTCTTGAATGTATGTTTGGTTTTCTTTCAAACATGCTAAGGTCTTCTCAAAAAATAATTTCCAGTTCTCTAATAAAATTATCAGTCTTGCTTATCTCTTTAAATATTTTAAGAATAAATTTTCCAGTTTTTGACTAACTCCCATCTTAAAATCTTGTTGGCCTGTGTTTATTACTCGCTTGTTCTTCTAGTTAGTGTTCGTGGTGACTGGTCTCCTGCTGTGCATAGTATTCTTTTTTTCTACAGTTCTTGTTATGCAAAGTTTTCGGGGCTTGGTGTGGTGGCTCATGCCTGTAATGCCAGCACTTTGGGAGGCTGAGGTGGACAGATTACTTGAGGTCAGGTGTTGGAGACCAGCTTGACCAAAATGATGAAACCCTGTCTCTACCAAAAAAAATATAAAAAAATTAGCTGGTCATGGTGGCGAATGCCTGTAGTCCCAGCTACTTGGGAGGCTGAGGTGGGAGAATCGCTTGAACCTGGGAGGCGGAGGTTGCAGTGAGCCAAGATTGCACCACTGTACTCCAGCCTGGGCAACAGAGTGAGACCCTGTCTCAAAAAGTAAATAAATAAAAAACTAAAAATAAAGTTTTCAGCACAGGCCATGTTAAAAGATTGTTACAGTAAATATGCATATACACGCTACCTATATTTCACTATTAACATTTTAATATGTTTACTTGATTACTATCACATATCTATCGTTTTATACATTCCTCTTATGCCCATAGCTTATTTACTATCAATTATAAAGTTGAAAATATCAATATTCTACTCCATTATATTTTTGACACACATAAGATTAACTATAGTTCAATATTTATAGATTTTATATTCTTTTTGATAAGACTCTAACATAATAAATTAGATTTTGAGATTTTTTTAAAAAGTGTCCCACATGACTTAAGCCCATATCAAGATACGTAACACTGTCATCTCCCCAGAGTGCATTCATGACCCTTCCAAATCAATCTCTGACCCCATTTTAAATCTAAAATCATATTTTGTTTTTATTCATAATACATTTGTTGTAGCTTTTTTGGAACTGTATAAAAATAGAGCCATATAGTATGTGTATTTTGTGTTAGAAGGCTTATATCACTCAAAGTTTTTGAGTTTCATACATGTTTTTACATATATCAGTAGTGTCTTCCTTTTTATTACTGAGTAGTAGTCCATTGCATAGGTGTATATTAGTTAATCTGCTCTCCTATTGACAGATACCTTGATATAATTAAGGTTTTGGAAATTATGAAAAAAATTTGTGTGAACATTTGTCTCATGTTTTTCTGTGCACATGTTTTCATTTTTCTTGGGTAAATTCCTAGACTTGGAATCATGTGCTTTGGTTTATAAGAAATTACCAAGCCTTTTTCAGGAGAGTTTGTATCATTTTGCATTCCCACAAATGTTTATATGAAAATCCTAGTTGCTTCATATCATCACCAACAGTTGGTGTCTACAGTCTTTATTTTTATTCATCCCTGTGGATATATTGTGGTATTCAACTGCAGTTTTAATTGGCATTTGCTTGATAATTAATGATGTTAATCACTCTTACATGTTTTTATTTATAGTATATATGCCATTTAAAAAAATTGTGTGGTTTGTCTTGTTGAGTCATATATTTTATATTCTTCCTGCCAGTGCTCAGTCATACCCTGATTAATATTTATGTTTTGAAAAGTATTTTCTTCAAAAATTGTTGTAGAAATAATTAAATGCCAATGATGATATTACCTTATTACAGACACAATTTCTATTTGTTCTCTATTAATACTTTGGGCTGTTGCAATCTGAAAACGATTTAATGCCATTCTATAGAACAAGATGATTCTAAACTGGGCTACAGTGCCTGCTGGAAATAATCTTTTGTCATTGATGTTGTTGCAGTAGAGGGTTTCACCCTAAACCAAAAGGGTTGCACCACTAAATCCTCTCTAATATGGGACCTAAACTCTCAGATTTGTCTTACCTACACTAATCTGTTTCTTTCTTATTCTCTGGGTTGTATTCAGCTTAGTAAGGTATTGTCTTCATCTCTATACTCCCTCTTCTAGACTCTGTTTTGTGATATTGAAATTAGATATCTGCAAAACACATTTCTGCCCTGCTACCTGCCTCAATAACTGGCTCTTCCCAAAAGATGCTCTAGAGAAAGACTACAAGCCTGGAGGAAGAAGAGGGACTTTCTTGTTCCTGTTTTTGCGGCATCCTGTGAGCTCCTTATCTGCTTGTAACATTGAGTCACTGCAGCAATGTTTCTTTACCCAAGCAGGAAAAATTTCTTCTTACACCAGCAGCTACATCTGGTTTGCCATTTTTCCAACCCTTGCATAATCAGTTTCATTTTGTCTCACTCCTAGAGAGACCAACACTAACTAACTTGGTGTCCTATTTTTAGAAGTCAGGATTCCAGGCTTATAAGATTCCAAGATTGGAGACACCAACATTAGCTGTGCAGGACCTCTTCATCAGAGGTTTTAGTCTTGGCTTCTTAGGGTCCTTTCCTATAAACTTTAATAACTTAAATATAATTTATCTATCCTTTCAACTCCATATTTGTTAACTATTCTTTGTAATTGCTACAATTATGATACTTTAGAGATCTCATTTTAGGCTTTCAGATAACCAGTTAACGATTATTTATATTAAGTTTTCTCTTTTCAAATAACTGGTATGGTTTCTGTTTGCTGAATGGACCTAATATAGAAATTGGTATTAGGAGTTGCCCCAACAAAGAGATGCAAATATGAAGTTGTAGGATATGGTTGTTCATGTTATTGGGCTTGAAAGTGGGTTGAGCTCCTTTCCAAGGGGAAATTGGCTGTTATTTATCCACGGTAGTATTAAACAAACCACTTCTTGTAGTGGATTGTACTGAAATGCCAACTGATGCAGGAGTTTCTGGGGAGTGAGTGGCTCCTATCCCTGAGTGTGTTAGTTTGTACTGATGAATGTGAAGATCATTGTGTGTAATGGTTTTGTCTGAGCTCTCTCGAGTATTTACAAATATAAAATAAAAAGCTTCAGTGTTTAATCTGTGTATTTGTATTGTATATATTAACTATATTCTTTTCATTCTTCTCTTTTTTATTTCATTCAAATTAAACTGAAAGCACTGAAATTTGTTCTTTATATGATAGGATATTTGGATGAGTCCAGGACTGAGATGGGGCAGTAATTAACACAGCTCATTATAATTTATTTTTCTAGCTCGTATACTCTAATGTCCCTGTATCAATTGTTTATTGCTACATTACAAACCATTAAGATGTAATAGCTTCAAATAACAATTTATTAGCTCATGAGTTTGTGTTTTGGCAATTTCTGGTGGTTATTGCTAGGTGTCAGCTAGGTCTCTCTCTCTCTCTTTCTCTCTCTCTGTCTCATATATACATGATCTCTCATGCCCTAGTTTTCTACATGGTGGTAGCAGCGTTTCAAGACGGCAGATGAAGAAGCTGTGAGATATCTTGAGGCCTAGGCTCAGAAGTTACACAGCGTCACTTCCTCTGCATTCAGTCGGCCAAGGCTAGTCACAGGCATAATCCAGATGTAAGGGGTGAAATAATAGATTCTGCTTTTCATGGGTGTGATAAAAAACATATTGAAAATGAGTGTGCACACATAGCTGGGAATAATTTATATGGCCATATTTGCAAATAAACTACCATAATCTCATTCTAAGAAGTGACTGACATCAGCTTATTCTTTCACTATTTATTATTTCTTCATCTCCTCACTTCTATTCTTGTGCTTATAGATTTGTTACTGAAAGCATGCCCTTTGATCCATGTTCAAATGCTTTGTGAATCTCTCCCTCAGGCATACATTCCTAGGAAATCCAAACTCACATTTAACAAGCTCTTTACCTATAGTATGCATGTATCCAGGAATATTAGTAAAAATATTTCACAACTATTTAATATGTTATGACTATTTAGAAAGGATTCCGCCCTATAGAGTTTAAATATTATCCTTGACTTCATGTGAGTATTTAAAGTTGCAAAACACACACATACACGCCCGCCCACCCCATGCTTTCTCATCTCATTTTCATTCATGACAGCAAATCCCACGCTGTCTCTAACTGTGCTTAGTAATTCTGCCGTCATTTATTCTTAAACGCTTGAGTTGACTGTTTTGTAGTTGTTTCTTTAACCTTCTGCATCAACCCTTTCAATTTTCCCATTGTCAGCTGATAACTTCACTTTTTATTTCAATGATAAAATAGCAGTAAGCAGAAGAGACATATCTTATCTTTTCCAACTCCAGTTCAACTTTCCATTCCTCTTGTTCTAATGAATAAATTCTTTCTGCTTCCATCTCTAGCCACTTCTGTACTAAATTAAATTTCTTCTTGTCTCATCAAAGATTTTCCTTATCATTTTTTTCACTTCTTCCTGTCCTGCTAGATTATTTCATCAAAATACAAATACATTTCAATATATCTTATTACTAAAAAACAAAACCCACAAAACTTTCCCGAACCCGTTTGTCTAAATTCTTTCCAGCTCTTGCCCATTTATCTAATCCTCTTTTTAGCAAAACTCCTTAAGATAATTTTATACACTGCCTGTTTACTTATTTTCCTTCACTTTCTCTTAAGTTTGGTGAATTAGATTTTCCTCTCCACTACTCTAATAAAATTCCTCCAATGTAATTGAAAATTCAATCTGTGTTTCTTCTAATATGACTTAACAGATGCAGTTCAGTTCACTACTTCTTGAAACACGTTTTTGTTGTTGTGGTTGTTGTTATGTTGTATTGTGTTTTTGCTTGGCTTTTATATCATACTCTGGTTTTCTTCCTGGCTGCAACTTCTTATCTTTTGCTAGACCTTCTTACTAGTTTGGGTCACTAAAGGTTGGAGTGCTCCTGGGCTCAGTTCTTGAGTTTTTTTCTCTTCTCTAACTGTATATACTTACTAGTGATCTCATCTAGCTTTAAGGCTATAAATACCATCGAATGTCATCATCATTGACTCCAAAGAACACATCTTTAGCCCCAATTTTCCACCTTGAGCTGCAGACTCATACAGTAAATACCTAGTGGGCATAATTTACTCCAGTCTTCCTAATTCGGTAAACAGCACTATTCTTCTACTTGCTCAGGCCAGATTTAGAAGTGATTCTTAACTGCCCTTTCCTTCATCACCCATAATAATATATTACCAAGTCCGGGCTACTACTTTCAAATGATTTCTGACATGTCCATCATCTTTCATCTGTAAGAGCTTGCAGGTTCTACATGTATCCCTAGAACTTACTCTTCATATCTCCATATAGTAGCCAGACAAATCTCCAAAAATTCTACTTCAAATCTCATCACTCCTCGCTTTGTAAGTCTCCAGTACTTCTCCATTACATTTACAATAAAATCCAAGCTCCTTAACAAAACCCACAGGAGCCAAAATGAAATCACCCAGCCTACTCTTTGGATCAACTCCCATCACTCTTTTCTATTCTCACAGTTCTCGAGGTACTGTGGAATTCATATTGTTCCCTAAAAAATCCAAACTAATTCCAACCAAAGGTGCTCTACCTGCTGATCCACCTGCCTTTCTACTTCTTTATATTTTTCATGTCTCTTCTGAAATGTCACTCTACAAAGAAAACTTCCCTGATCGGCCAATATAAATCATATAGAATTGTTCCTATCTTTTATATATTTTCCACAGGGTCCATATTATTGTTATTTAGTTGTTCATTTTCTTGTTTATATTCCATATCTTTCTTAAAACATTTTTCCTCTAAGATTAGTATTCTGTGTTTTTCACTGTGGTACCTACACATTAAATGCTAGCACATAGTAAATGCTAAATTAATATTTAAAATGAATGAAATAAATAAATATCGCAGTTTGGAATTAAAATTGAAATATTAAGGAATTTTTAAATAAGCCCCAATTAACTTTATGTTAAAGTAGCAATATAAATGATTTTCAATTCTTTTTTCCCCTCCTGTATCTGTGTTGTAAAGCTACATGGTCCAGCTTATTTTCTGTAGGACTTTAATAACTGTCAAAACATTATTATTTAGATAGGCATCAGAGTATGCTTACAAATTAGCATCTGTAGCCTATGAAAGGAGTTTTTAAAATTCAATATAAAGCTATTTTTTTACAAAAGAGATACCTGCATAAAAAGTGGGAGTAAAGATTAACAGTATCCACCCAAATCCACATTACCACAATTTTTAAATAAAATTATTAATTAGTTAAAAAATGAAACATTAATGTAACTTAGAACCAAATGTATAACACTTTAACTTAAAGGTTGACTTATTTATTTAACATGTTAATGAAGGGCCCAATACATGCTATGTATATTTGTTGTTACTAGATAAACATTCTACAAAACATATGTAATCCCAATTTTATGGAGTTCCACCGTTAGTTATGAGGAGACAGACAAACATCAATAAATAAAATTGATAATTTCAGACATTAAAAAGTGCTATGAAAATAAAAGGGTATCATGTATTAAGATTTTAATTGAGAACACTGGGAAACCTTTAACTTATATTACTAAAAGTTCTTAGTCCTAAGTTCAACTTTTTTGCACTGACATTTTCATATTATTTTACACATTATGGGAAATTCAACAACAATCACTTAGATCTGTGATGTGCTGGCACTAGCTAGTGCTACCTCCTAAGACCCAGGTGTACATATCTCCTTCCAATTATGAGGATTTGGTAACTTGAAATTACCCATGGTACAAGTATGTACACCATGGAAACTGGAAAATGGTATAAATAATATAGGTTATTAGCCTAAGTAGATATGGGCACATTGTCAACTATTTTTGCAGAGAGATAGATATCTAATTGTTTTGTTTCTTATTCAGTTTATAGATATTTTCAAGGAAGTTTAATGATTGAGAAGCTGGATTATAATTATTTCACAAAAACCCTGTTATACTATCCATAGAATAAGAATGCTATTTCATTGACATGTCATTTCTAACTTTTGGAAGAAACTATAATTATTGTTAAATTAGTGGTGGCTTTTTCTTAAGTAGGTTTGACTGTGGTTATTTTGTAGGTAGGGTTGTCTTTATTGATTTGTCTAGGTTCAACTTGTACAAACTTTTTTGAAAAAACTGAACTATCAAAACCTCTGTTCAGAGAGTATACCCTGAAAACAAATCTTCAGGCCTCAAACAAAAATAATATAGAGTATGAGTAGCCTGTGAATCACACAGGAGTTTTTTTTTGTTTTTTTTTTGTTTTTTTTTTTTTTTTGAGACAAGGTCTTGCTCTGTTGCCCAGGCTGGAGTGCAGTGGCGTGACCTTGGTTCACTGCAACCTCCGCCTCCCAGGTTCAATCAATTCTCCTACCTCAGCCTCCTGAATAGCTGGGATTACAGGTGCACCCCACCAGGCATAGCTAATTTTTGTATTTTTAGTAGAGATAGGGTCTCACCATGCCGGCCAGACTGGTCTCGAGCTCCTGATCTCAAGTGATCTGCCTGCCTCGGCCTCCCAAACTACTGGGAATTTTTTGAATTAATTAATCACAAAAGATATGATAACATCCATGGCAAGCAAGAAAACTGCTTCTGGATGGAAAGAACATCTTGCTAGAATTGTTAGCTTCACTTATCTGAGAATATTACTTTGACTTTTGTGGAGCCATTCAACAACAGGCTTGCTGATTTTGTATCATTCCTTCCACTAACAAGAAAGCATTTGCCTGATGCAAATGCTTCAGGCATCAGAAACAGAGTTAAGACATGTTAGGACTACAAATTTCTGGAAAAGAGAAAAAAAGTAGCTAGGCCAGGGGAGACATTAATAGCTACAGAACAAACTTGAACATCAAAAGCACATCAAATAAAAAGACAAGAACTCTACTGAGTTCGTGCAGAAGCTGACAGTCTTCTATGAGTTGTGGGAACCTTCATAGAAGGCCACACTAATATAGAAAAAAAGCTGCCAATTAGGGCAGAATATTTTTACTTTTCCCCTTACTTTAAATATATTATTTTTCTTTTGATTTAAACATGCATAAGTCATGTTAACCATAGTGTTAATTACAGTGTTTCTTTGAAATAGCAAATGTGCAGAACATTTCTATGCAGATATGGTTGCCTTTGTATTTTACATCTGAAAGTACAAAAACTACACCTGGAGAACTCTCACACTAAGCTATTTTTCTCCTTCTTCATGATGCCAAGAATCCATAACATGCAAGGGATTCTTTGAAATAATTCTATATGTATGTATGTGTGTGTGCTTGCATATGTGTATTTATACATACATATGTGAATATAATGTATACATATGTCTACATTTTAATAGTTATGAAATTCTAATATACCAGTTATAAATTCACTTACTGTAATTTCTTCTATAAACAGCTGTTACTAAATTGTCACATCTTCTAATCAATGATATTTTAAAAAACAAAGAAAATGTATTATTCCTCTTTCTTTAATGTGTCTTAACCATTCAACTCTTTAGTGACACAGCACTACAATTATAATTTTATTCTTTGTATTTAAATTTCAAGCATACTAAGGTCATTATTATTATTATAGTATCATCATGTATTTAGGAATATTTTTAAAATAGCTGTTTATTTTGCTTGGCTAGCATATCTAGAGAAATATTTTGATTTTATAAATTTAAAAACAGTGCATGTTGCAGTAAGTAGGGTTAAACTTTAAAGAAATTGTGTAAAATAAGAAACACTTATTGAGAGAATTATTTTTGTTTGTGATAAAGGAGTTGACAAGAAATATCTTCTCACCCATCACAAATCTCATGGCTGAGATGTCTATAACAGAAGACACATTAACAAGAGAAAAGCACATGAATTTATTTAGTATAAATTTTATATTACACAGGAGGCTTTAAAAATGAAAACACCAAAGAAAGAGGGAAAACTGTATTTTTATAGATATTTGTGCAACATGATTGCAGGACAATGGTATGATCTAATGGTAATGAAATGCAGGGGCATTTAAGAAATCTTGTTTGTTGCGATTCTCTTCTCCCTGTCCCAGTGTCTTCAGAGATAAGAGTATTCTTTTCCTCTGGGTATAGAGAGGGACTCTCTGGGATGAACTAGTTCAGAAAAAGGTCAGTCAGTTTTTATTGCCTGCTTCAGGAAAGAAAAGTGGTTGATTGAGAGTGGTGGCTCATGCCTGTAATCCCAGTACTTTGGGAGGCTGAGGTGGGAGGATCGCTTGAGGTCAGGAGTTGAGACTAGCCTGAGCAATGTAGCAAGAACCCAGCTCTACCCAAAAAACTAGGTGGGTGTGATGGCATGTGTCTATACCTCAGCTACTTCAGAGGCTGAGGATGGGAGGATTGCTTGAGCCTAGTGAGGCATAATTGTGCTATGACACTGCAGCCTGGGTGACAGAGTGAGACCCTGTATCTAAGAAAAAAAATAAAAAGGAGAAAAGGATGGAAAACATGTCAGAAAGACTTTCCTGCTCCTGCAGTTTTCTCAACTTCCTTTGGCTTAAAATATTCAGTATGCTAAGGTATCATATTTTGGGGTAGCATGTCCTGAACTCCATCAGTGAACATTCCCCTTTGAGGAATGATTTCTATAACTATTTGAAAAGCTAACTAGTTTGATCTCCAACAAGTATATGTAAAATATTATGAGTAAAACTTCAAAGCTATGTTTTTTCATCTTTATCTATTAGGTCACCCAAGGCACATATTTCTTCCTGTGACTCTGATATTTATAATGAAGACAGCAGTTTCATAACTGACAAATACTAAAATGGAATCAGGAGAGTAAAATAATAAATGTCTCTATTTTTACCTTGCTTTTCTGAGCCAGTAAGAGAAGCCTTCATACTATAATACAGTTCCCCCCAAAGTCTATTTAGATTATGTTGCCAAACATATAGCACAGAAAACTGTTTCTACCAAGTTATAACTACTTTTAAAATAATTGATCAAGTTAGAATGTCTTTTATGAATTATTACATTTAACATGCAACCTAAATAGTGGTTCTATCAAACTACTTTTCCTGACTCCTTGTAAATGGCGAAATATATTAAACTTTTGAAAATATAAGCTTTTGCATGTCTCATAATAGCAAATCCCAACCCATATCAAAAAAAAATAAAGAATGGAGAGAGAGAAGAAAAAGAAAACAATTCCACAAAATTCACAAAACAGTTTGTCTTAAATATTTATTATATTGGATGAATTGTATTTGCCTAGTATTATGGCTATATCCAGTTCAAGGAATAGAGAGATGAAAGAAATTGTCTATTTTCTTAAATACTTACAGAAGAATATTGTACTTTGTCTACCCCACCCTCAAATGCGTGTTGACACTTCATAGCATTTTTTTGACACTTAATCTTCCTCACATAGCACTTTTTTGGCCTAAGGCCAAAAAATGTCTTCATTGCCTTCAGAACTAGGTACTTTCTCTTTTGTTTCATTTCTGCTTTTATTTCATTTGTATACATTTACAAAGTATAATAAACCAAACGCCATATATTAACCTTCATTAACATATTTCCATCGGAAAACTCACACCATGTAATGACTACATTGTATTCTGTCAATTTTATAAGTTCAGAACTGTAAGAAATTGCCATAGCCCTGCATTAATGTGGGAAATCCTCGAGTGCACTTAGCTATTAAACCAAAATTTCAGCTCTATGCATTGAATTAAATGATAAGAGTGATAAATCAATTACCACAGAAGAGCTTTTAGTAGATCACATGATTATGCCGTTTTGAATGAGAAGACAAATCACTGACTTTATAAAGCACTGATCAAACCTGAGATACTTGCAGGGTGGAAAAAAAATGAGAAAGCAAATGTAGGTAGAAATGGGTGGTACATGTAATCCCCTGTCAGATGAAGACCCAAAGTGGAAGATACAGCAGGCTGGTATTGTATGCATGCAATTTTACATGCTAAGGTTTAAATGTGATTATTATGTAAAACACACAGTGCAGTGCTTGGAAGACAGTAGGTACAACAGCCCCAGTGAATGTGAATAGATGTGATTAGAAAGAGAGGAAATTGCATAAAACTCTGATCGAAAGCAATAGAAAAGTCCAATTTGCCCCCACAGGCCTACTTCAGTGGCTTAAACACCAACCATCAGATTAATTCATTGTTTTCAGGGAAACAAAGGTCAGAATTCAAATGTGCTACCTGGGCTTCAGAACTCTAAGAAATTGCCATAGCCCTTTATTAATGCAAACATTACCAAGATGACAGGCTTCACCAATGAAGACATCTGCAGAACTGAAGATGGAGGAAACAATAGAGAAAGGGGCTTGTAAAGGAAACTTCAACAAGAAAAAGCACTCTCTGCATAAAGGCATTCTGGAAACCCATTGCCTTTATAAAGCCCGATGGCCCTTTGTGCTCTGACATGCTCCATCTTCCCATTTTCACATTTTGCTTTCCCTTAAGCTACACTTTCTTTTTCCTCCACAAAAGTTATTCTCAAACAGCAATGGAACCTTAGTTTACATGCGAATTGTATGCAATACAAGTAGGAGAAAAGAAAGTATAAGAAGGGAAATATTAGTAGAGAAAAGAAGGAAGGAGAGGTGGTAGAGGCTGGAGGACAGGCTGACAACTGAACAAGTCAGAAAATGTGTATGTAGAGCCAAACTCAGCAAAACTTTCTAAAACAATGATTTCCCCCTGTTTTCCTAAAGTCCTACACTGTGTGGCATGCAGCTAAGCACACACTACTTAACCATCAACATCCTTTAATAAGTCTCTCCTTCCCCAGACTTGTTTTTCCCTCATCCTTATTTCTCCTGTCATTTTCTGGAAAATTCTTCTTATAATTCAGTACCCTTAGTGCTACTTATGTCACTCTATATGGTGTTAGTCAGTATAAGAAATCAAACTCACAAAAATTCTCGTTAAAAATAGGGGGAGGAGGCAAGAGAAAGAAGAAGAAAAGAAGCACAAATAACTATATTAATTTTCATCTTTTTTCTATATTCCCATACCCAACATGATTACCTTCAAATTAATAATAATACTAACCACAGTGAAAAGAGTTTTCTAGCTTTTTAGTGTGTTTGCATTGTTCATTTGGTTGAGGTTCCTAAATTTCTTATTTAGTATGAATACAGCTTAATGTTTTTGAAGGTGTGATTTTTTGATGGTGAGAAAGAAAATTTATGTTATGATTCTATATTTAATCAAAATTACAGTAATCTGTAACAATATACAAGTTTGGATAAAACAAAAATAATCTGGTTATGACTCGTATTTTCCCATCAAAAACTAGTATTATAATTTAGTGCTACTATTAATTTTTTGAAACATGAAGAAGAGCAATTAGCAACATTTTTAGTGTTTATCTACATGTATGTTTATGTATAATGTGTATGTATATGTACATGTATATGTATATACTTTTTAAAACTTCTAAGTGTAATTCAGTAAGGCTACATTGAATATTTCTTGTCTAAATTCTCAAATAATTCAGTGTTCTATACACAGAAGGAACTCAAATGTTGGTCCACATAGTATTAGCAAATTTTACTTTCAATAATCTACATCAAAAGGAACTTTTTATCTAAAAATTAAATCAATTTTTAGGAATGCAAGTTCTGCTTTTAATGTCAAATCCACCATGTAATAACTTCAGAAACTATTTAAAGTCATCTGTTTCAAAATTTAACTATCAGTCAAAACTTGTTTGGAACATCAACGTTATTTTTAATATATTGCTAACACTACTTAGAATGCTTTGTACAGCACATTATGGATGTGTCTCTCATAGTGCATCATCTACCGCACAAAATTGATCGATGAAAGTGGTTTCACTGCTTTAAATATCAATAAAAGTTGACTTTGGTTTAGACATTCTAGAACTGTGAACTTTGATGCAATTTTATTTTTTTGGTTCAATTAAACCATTTGCCTATATTCCCTCATGTGGTATTAACCACTGCTGTGCATCATTCCAAGTGCATTTTCATATAGCTATTATTCTAGTTAATTTATCTTGTCTTCTAGACAAGAATTAAATATTTATCCACTTGATATTTCAGTTAACTTGCATTCTCAGAAAGGATATGTAAGGTTATAGCAATGCCTACCTGTTTCTCAGAAATCTCTCATAAACTCTTTCCAGTATTATGCAACAAGTCATAATACATAACCATGTTCTTTTGCCTATGTAATGTTGATAAAGTCTTGACAATTGAATACTTCTTCACAATAATTTTCTGATAATTTTATAACTTTGTAGTTTAAGAATATGTTATTATGTTTTATATAATTTATTATAGCCATCTGTTTGAATATATTCTCATTTTTTGTTAGATTACTCAAATATTAACAGATTTCATGTAATTAAATGTACATTTACCCTTTAAGATGGAATTAATCGTGCATGCATTGAAAACATAGTTCTGCTGATATAAATAGTAATTATAATATTTTATTAAAAATTTAAGACAAAACTATCAAGATTGTTGTGATATTTATTGTCTCATGATTAGATAGCAGAGTTAAATTCAACAAGTACAATGACTGTTCAAATGCATGGAGTATTACACTCATAGCCAAAGTTTAGATGCATCTTTGGCTGGAAAACTGCAGCCTCAATATGTGTTCTTGGTATTTGATGAATCCTTGTTTAAGAATCTAAGTCAAATTTACTTTGAAATTCAAACAAATCTGAATATATATTGAGAATTGGCAGCATAGGTATTCTGAAAGTTTCTCACAAGATAATAAGCTTCTTAATTAATGGTAAATTGCTATTTTCAAGGATAAAGATTCAGAATTGGTGGGAGTGGGGGACAATATTCGATACTGCAAGATGTTTACTATTCAGATTGTCCCACACTTAAGCTTCCATTGATAGCTGACTTCTAATGTAGAAATCTCCAATAAACCATGAGAAAAAAATTAATGAACTCTTTGACTAAAATTTAAGCAAGGCTAAGCTCCTGAAACTGGGCATGACTACTTACAACATTATGCTATTGTGTGTCTCCTAGTTATTAAAATAGTACAGGAAACATGTAGCATACCTGTTTGGAGGAAACAATTTTCACCTGACTTAAAGCTGGCAACCATCATTCTCAGCAAACTATCGCAAGAACAGAAAACCAAACACCGCGTGTTCTCACTCATAGGTGGGAATTGAACAATGAGAACACTTGGTTGCTGGAAGAGGAACATCGCACACCAGGGCCTGTCGTGGGATAGGGTGAGCGGGGAGGGATAGCATTAGGAAATACACCTAATGTAACTGATGAGTTAATGGGTGCAGCACACCGACATGGCACAGGTATACATATGTAGCAAACCTGCATGTTGTGCACATGTACCCTAGAACTTAAAGTATAATAATAAAAAAAAGAAAAAAGTCCATTATTTTCATATGAAAGCATTACTCTTTCATGGAATAGAATAAACTTTGCATAGATTTTAAGATAAAGCAAAGTCCACAGAAATTGTAGTTGTTACTTGCCTCTGGTTGCAGGAATGTGTTAGTAGAAAAGTTTGAGGAGCCGTGGTCAAGATTAAGAATATCAAACAGCTAAGAATGCTGCTGATAGAAAACAAAAGGTACATTGCTGAATGAGGTTTGATGTAAATTCATTAAGACAATGAACAGATTGAGATGAAGCTGCTTTCAGCAGAATCTGTAGGGAAAGTAGGCAGTATTCCTTTGTGATTTCAGTGATCTAAATCCGTGGCTTTTGCAGCCATATTATGAACATACAGGATCTTGTATACCGGAAGTCAGACAAAAGAGAAGAAAAATTTACATCATATGCTATGCTGAAGAAATAGTTCATACATACAAAAAACAACTAGCAGTCAGCGGTTGGCAATTGAAATTTAGGAGGTAAACAACACTAACTGTTAATTTTATCATGGCCCTTTATTTCCTATAAAGCTTATGTGGTCCATAGCAACACAGGTTTCACTGATAATAGCAAATAAACATTTAGCACTGTGGATGCAGTCACAAGCATTGAGATAATTTTGTTATAAACACATAATAATATGCACAGATGCATCTTTATTTTATTATATTATCACAAAGCATGTGTACATTTTATGTGAAAAACATCTTTTCATTATAGAGTTAATTCTGCAAAACTGAGTATCTTTTTTTTTCTCATTCAATTGTTTTATTTATTTGACACTAACGTTAGGCACCTATCAATGTGCCAGGCTCTGAGGACAAAAATAAATAAGTAAATAAAAAATAAATTAAACAGAAAAGACGAATACTTGAATTCAACAAGTTTATACTAGGGATGCAGTTAATTAGGCAGAGGGAAATCATACAATTATAATTGTCTCCAAAGGATCTGCTAGTAACTGAGAAAAGTTAACAAGTGGTCTTAAATTTCACGTTCTCCTGGCTAGCAGCTGAGGACAGCAACACGTGTTGGTGAACAACAGCTCTTAGAAGAAATAAGCAAGCAGACAGGCAGGAAAGATCTGCACTTGATGCTTAAGCATCCTTTGCTTCCTAATGTCGGAAAATATGTAAAGGGTGCACCTCTGCCACAGCTATTGGGCATCTCAAATGCGAAAAAAAGACCTAATTTTGACTTTGGGAGAAACTATTCTCACATGCAGACAACGACAGGGAAACGTGGAAGTACTCAGCCTGAAAAATGTATTCTGTGAAATACTCAGCAAGTTTGAAAATGTGTTTAGAATACAAATGTCTGTTATGAGTTATTTGACAGCTATCTTATCACTGATACAGAAAATTAGTTAAAATCCACAGCTTCCAATCTACTAAGATTAAAATTCCAAATAGAAGTTAGAAGATTTGGATTTTAAACTCGAGTTTATTCTCAGACTCCCTTTTAATATTTGGTAAATTTTTTTAACCTTTTTGGTTTCAAGTCTTCTAATTTTCCGAATGCTAGATTATTATTAAGAACTAATGAGGCCTAGATTCCATAGCTAATGTAAGAACGCTTCTGTAAAGACTCGATTACAAACCCAGTTTTGGAAAGATCTGGTCAATAGTAATAAAGAACCAACCTATCTGATAAAAACATTTTAACTATACCCAAATTCAGAACTTGCCCAAAAAGAAGCCTGGAGCCAGGATGAAATCAGGAATTCATAGTGTCCAAATTATAATACTTATGAAAATAACTTATATTTACTCAGAGAAGTGGTTGTTAGACTTTAACGTGCATCAGAATCACATGGAGGCTGGTTTAAACACAGATTGCTGGAGACCATTGTCAGAAATTTTGATTCAGGCGGTGGGGGGGATGGAGACAGACTAGGAACTAACAAGTTCCCAGGGGTAAATGATGTTAATGGTCCAGGATCCACACTTGAGAACCACTGAGTATTACTGGTAGGTTCTCAACTTACTTTGTGCAATTAAAAACAAAAAAAAATAAACTTAGAATACAATTATTATTTGATTTCCTCTCTCTGTATCTATTTTAATACAGGTGCATGCCATATATACATATAGATATACTATATACATATGCATACATATTTGTATTTATAATTTTATATATTGTACTTATTTGTTTCTATTTTAACCACTCAGGGACCAATTCCCCTGAGGTTAAAAAATATACCTTCAGTTAATGTTTGTTGTTAATTAAAATAATTTCTGAATGTAAGGGTCATAAGAGGTACTTGGCCGTCAATGACATGGAACTGCCATGACATGCCATTCAGTGAGTCAAGAAAACACCAATTCTTATTCTTCATACCAAGAGTTTAAATATAACTGACTGCCTGAAAATATCAATCAGGTGGAAGATGAGAAAATTTAAATGCTAGTATTTATGTTTCTGACCTTGGGAATTTCATTTTTTCATAAATCCAGACACCTCTATGCCATTCTAAAAGGCTTGACTTTTAAAGTAACATTGAAATAAACCATTTGTCAAAATGGATTATCTATAATTGATCGTTCTGTTAATGATTTTAGAACCTTCAAATTTTTGTATATAGAGTTTTTATAGAATGAGACACTCATGTATTGGCTTACTGACATATCACAAAGCTTAATACAATTATAAATTTAGAGTAAGTGCCCAAATTTAGTCATTTTTAAAATTTTTCCTGAGCACTGGCTTAAAAAATCTTATACTTTAAATCTCTTTGCATGTTTGTGCATGTATTTCATAAAGTATACATCCATGCATTTACATAATTATACAAATAAATGAAAACAAAAAATGAAAAAACATATTTGAAAATCTTTCTAAGAAGTCCATTTAGATTGTAATATGAAACAATGTGTCAGAAGTATCTCCTACCTTTCTAATTTTCTTATGTTTGTACCTTGTGTTATTTTTCATATCAGTAGCTGTGATTTATACATTTAAAATTTTTATGATATTTCTTTTTTTGTCATTTGTTTATTATATCAGCATATATTGTGGGAATATTTTCTTTGGACTTTTTTTTTTTTTTTTTTTTTGTAATTGACTAGCTTTCATCTCGGTTTGTGAAAGAGAACCAGCTGTTTTCTTGAAAGATAATTTTCTGAAGCTGTTGTGGGCCATAATTACACTGCAATTACACAGCAATATCCATAAAAGCAGATGAGGATTCTATGTGTCCTTTTACCTCATTAGAGGTTGCAGAAATGATAGATGCAGCCTATCCTAGTTTGACTACTGCCCTCTATTGGCAAAATCAATTTTTGGCATAATCCAAAAGATAGAAGCAATAAAAACAGAGATAGACTGTGCTTGTTTGCTTTTGCTTTGTTTCGTTTTCAAACCATAGTAGTATATTGGGTCACCAGTTTAACATTATCAAATATTTCAAAAACTTTTTTTTTACAATTACAATTTAAAACATACTTTTAAAACCTAGCTACTTAAAATTACTTAAACTAGTGTTATGTGAATTGGGGCTTTTTTACAGCACCAAACTACAGAGCACTAATCTTTTCTTCCTCACTGGAAACCTACTTGATCATATCCATCTTTTCAGTACAGAATCAGTTGGATCTTTTCCTTGTTCCCAGTATGAATCCTCCTCTTTGAAGCAACAGTCTCCAAGCAAATTGAGATTTTTTTTTTTTTTTTTTCCTCCTGAGATGGAGTCTCACTCTGTCACCCAGGCTGGAGTGCAGTGGCGCGATCTCAGCTCACTGCAACCTCCGCCTCCCGGGTTCAAGCAATTCTCCTGCCTCAGCCTCCTGAGTAGCTGGGACTACAGGTGCGTTGCCACCACGCCCGGCTAATTTTTGTATTTTTAGTAGAGACGGGGTTTCACCACATTGGCCAGGCTGGTCTCAAACTCCTGACCTTGTGATCCGCCCACCTCAGCCTTCCAAAGTGCTGGGGTTACAGGGGTGAGCCACCGCACCCTGCTGAAAATTGACATTTTTAAGTCTTTTACTATTTCCAAAATCAGCAATTAATCAAACCTTTATTATCACCATGACAAATAAATATTTGGTCATCTGCAGAAGAAAAATTTACTCCAAATAAATTGCTGAGAAAAAGAATTTTCATTTTAGGACAGGCAATAATATTTTCCATATTATGATTGAGAAAGAAGATGTAAGAAAACCAGCTTCACAAAGCAGCTGAAACTATCTTGAGTGTTGCATTTAATGTGTGTTCTATGGTGGGAAAGGTGCACATGTACAAATAAACATCATCTTTCATGGATCTTTGATTCTGACTGGCAGATGAGGAATATAGTATTTTAATAACATTTATTTTGGCAGAAGTAGAAGGAAGTAATCTAGTTTTGTAACCAGTTGGGCAACCAGAAAAAACAAATCTTCTGTGAGTCCTTTTATGACCTTCTAGGAATGAGAACTTTTGAAAGACTTGAACATTTTTAAAAGTAAAAATAAGGTTTTTTCTAAATTTCACTTTCTTGCACTTATACCAGGTAGACTGCTGTCTTCCCATGTGACATTCTTAATGTAAGTATTTGCTGTGCAGCAAACGTACATAAATTTAGTTGCAAAGTTTCTGGACTGATGTCAAATTTAGGAGGTGAGAGAATTAAAATTAGTTCATTTCTTTGCCAACACTAACATAAATCTCGGAGCACATTTCCTCAGATGCACTAAAATGGTGACAGCTTAGTTAACCACTGGGGAAGTTTTGTGTATGAGAGCTCGTATTCATTTAACAATTTCAGCTGAGCATGATCCCACCTCAGTTGCCTCTTCCTTTGTGTAATTAATAACACCATTGGCTTTTTTGAGAAGAGGATTTATCTCACAAAACAAACAAATTTCAGGCAGAACCCATCGTGCTACGGAAAAGAAAAAGAAAAATTGTATGCCTAGAATGTCATGTCTTGTTTTTTGTTCAACTCTTTTGCCAAATGTCTGTTTGCAACTACACAGCATTTTTGAAGTGGAACATAGCTGCATAATTGACAGGCTTTTTTTTTTTTTCTAGCAATTTCAGTCACTGACTGCGAACCACTGTTGATTAGTCTTTAACAGTTGACAAAACTATGTGCACATTCAGAAAATAACCTGACAAGTACCTGGTAATATATAGAACTGGACTCTGTTATTTAACCTGTTAGTAGAGAGAAAAAAAAATCCCTTTCCTCCGCTTTCAACTACCTCACTGGCTTATTTTCTTAATGCTAGTATTTCTAAGCCATAGTTCAAGGATTTTTATTTATCCCTGATCATTGTTCCTCTTTATATATTGATATTATGATTAACCAAAAATGTCTCTTGCAAAACATATAATTATTATTTATTCATAAAATAAATATGTATTGAGTACTTACTGTGAGTCAGGCACCATTATACATGCTATGGATATGCCCCTGAACAAAACAGAAAAACTTCCTGTCCACAGAGAACTTACTTTCTACTGGAGGTGGTCAGAAAATAAATATTTAAGCATTAAATCCTTACCATGTCAAGTGGTTCTAGCTCTTATTAGGAAAAAATAAAGCAGAGGATATCTGTTAGGACTCAAGCAAGAAAGCAGAACCACTATGAATGATACAGAATATAGGAGCTTATAATAGGAACTTAACACAATAATTGACCTAATGGAATTGCAGAAGCTGATAAAGGATCTGTTCAAGGCTGTTGCCTTTGCATCTGGTGGTGGGCCTGAAGTTTCTGTTGGTCTTCAGTGCTAGCAGTTGGGAAGAAAATATGGAATTTAAGCAGGAGGAAGCAAGGACACACTGGAACTCAAAAAAACATACTAGAATCAGAGTTTGTCTCTCAGTACCTTCAGCCTTGATCACCAGCAGGAGATCACCAGCTGGAGAAGGTCACACTCTTCCCCATGGAACTGTACTCCTGTCTAGCCCAGGACACAAAGAATATCTAAAAGCCATAGCAACAGAGTACAAGTCGGGGAGCTAGATTCAGTGGCCCTGGTTTCTTCTGCAGACAAACAAGATGAGGCAGGGCTATATGAAAAAGGGGTGACAGCCTTTATACTTGTAAGGACTGTGTTGGTACCACACACAGACCTCACAAATCTCACAAAAATTTCTCTTGAGTCCAACCCAAACTCAGAATCATACAGGTAAGGGAATTCTGGGAGGTGTAGCCCCAGTTTAGCTGAATTGATATAGTATAATACAAAACCACATGTAGGCAGTGATGTCCAATAGGCAGGTGAGTTTATGAATGTGAACTGTAGCAAAACTGTCTGCCTGAACATATAAACGTAGCAGTGTTTAGCATAGACTTCTAAGCTATAAGACTGGTTGAGATCATCTACAGCGAGTTGACAATGACAAAAATAAGAGCCCTTTGTGATTCCATGTTTAGCAGTCAGGGAGCTACGAAGGAGGTGGTAAAGAGACTCAGAATGGTAACTGAATGGATAAGTGGAAAATCTGAGAGCAGCTTCAGAAAATAAGAGAAAAATGTGATTCAAAAAGGAAGGAGAAAGAGAACCTCTTCCAACTGTTGATGATGGGCTGAGTAAAATGAGGGCTGGGCTGGACATCATGATTGGGCAATGTGAAGTTCATTGGTGGTTTCGTAAGTGCTCCTTCTGCATATGCTAAAACTGATTAGGTTGGGTTCAAGAGAGAATGGAAGAAAAAATAAGTCAAACAGAATTCATAGTCAAGTATTTTAAGGATTTTTTTTTTGTAAAACAAAAGAGAGAAATGAAATAGCAGAGAGAGTAATGAGACCAAAGATTTTTGTCTGTATGTCTGTTTTAAGATTGGATAGTTGCATTAAATTGCAATGTTTGCATGTTAATGAGGATGTACCAGTAAAGAGAAAAACATTGATGACATGAAAGAGATGAAGGCAATTTTAATGGTAGGATTATTTATTCTAAAATAATCTATATGTCAAATGTGTAATATTGAGGAAAATAGCATGCATGTTTTAAAAAAACTAAATTTAGTTTATGTCAGTATTATTTCCAATCCTGGAAGATACTAGAGAGATATTAAGAGACAGAGGGGGAGAGAGACAAAGAGAGAGAGAGAGGGAGAGGAGGAGAGGGAGCAAAAAAGACACATGGGAGTGGAGGAGAAGGAAAGGGAAAAAGAGAGAGAGCATTTAAATGGTGAAATGATGAGGTGCTGGGAAATTCTGTCATAAGACATTTGTGGGAAGAAGGGTGTCTTATTGAAGAAAAACCAACTGGAGAAAAGGAAGCCTAATAGATAACTTCAATATATGAGGACTGGTGCATGGGAAGGAGTACGTGATATGGATACACAAAGAATGAAGCAACCAAAAGAAGGAATCTGAAGAGTGGTGGTAAAAGAAACACCTAGTGAGGAGTTAGAGCTCTCTTACAGGGTGCCTCAAATTAGTGAGCTGCCATTTAGGAATATGTGCCAAGGAAGAAGCTGAGGGACCTACTATACTGCAGCCCTGTACTTCTATTATTAATTTGTTTTCTTTTTAATTATTTTTTCAACACAAAGTTCAGGCTTTATTTTTTTACCTTTCCTCAGATAACTATTATGCTAGTACTCTAAGTTGTTGTTCCCCGTCTCTTTCCACATCTCACATGATTGTCAAAGTTTGTTTTTGGAAGCACTGCTCTTATTTTGCCATCACTCTGCTACAAACATTTCAGAAAATTTTCTTCCTTTACACCAGAGTCAACAAACTTCTTCTTAAAGGGCTAGATCATAAAGGTTTTAGGCTGATAGGCCATACATATGTCACTGTGACTATTACCTTTAATGCTATAACTCAACAGCAGCTTAGACAATACATAAATGAATGGGGTGTCTGTGTTCCAATAAAAATTTAATTAAAAAATGGAGACAATCCACTGGCCATGATTAAACCCTAATTTAATCAATAAAAATTCAAATGACATAGATTCTTATTAAGGCATTGTCATTGGTATCCAATTTATCTTTTCAACATTACCATTTGACTGCAGTATGAACCAATACACAATCACTGATATGAATGCCATTTCAAAGACCTGGTGAAATCTATCTCAAATGCAGGATTAGAAAATGTTTACTATTACATAGAATTGACAGGTATCTACTTTTTTTTTTCACAATTGTACAGACATACCATGATAGAAGGATAGCAACAGTCAACATAAAAATCTCCTGTCATTCACATATTGTGGTGCTATTAATATCCCCAAAGAAAGACGTAAACACAATATTCCTGGTGTGAAATATATTTGTCCTTGATACATTGAATTCATAATCAAGAAAAAATAATTAGCAGAGCATGGTGGCTCATGCTTGTAATTTTAGCATTTTGGGAGGCCAAAGCTGGAGGATCACTTGAACTCGGGAGTTTGAGACCAGCCTGAGCAATATAGCAAGATCTCATCTCTACAGAAAAAAAAAAAAAAAAAACCAATAAAAAATAAACTAGCTGGGCACGGTGGCATGTGCCTGTAGTCCCAGCTACTCAGGAGGCTGAGATGGGAGGAATGCTTGAATCAGGAGTCTGAGGCTGCAGTAAGCTATAATTGTGCCACTGCACTCCAGCCTGGGCAACAGACCAAAATCTTGACTCAAATTTTTTTAAAAAAGAATAATAATAAATGTCCCCTCTAGGAGTACGTGCATGTTTGTATATGTGTGTGTGTAAGCATATTTGTGGTTGGGAAATATTATGGCTCATTAGAGACAATGAGGATTTTCGTAATTGTAGAGACCAAAGCTAGAATCATAATTCTATTACTCTAATTATTTGTGATCTTGGCCAAGTTATTAATCATCATTTAACTTTAGTTTTCTCTTCTATGAAATAGTATTATTTTAAAGATTACATGAAGGAATTAATGTATTTATTTTTATATGTATTTTGTTAGTTGCATAGTGCATATTATATAATAGGTAAATAAATATGATATCAATTATATATAGTCAAATGATAAGCATGAACCTTAAAAACCCTGACTTTTATAAAACTTTTATTCAGTGTTTTGATACCATGATTATATGTAATAATGTTGAAATCCTTCAAAAATCTTTTCTCTATAGGTAATAGATTTATCATTAAATATTCTCTTTGGATATTTAATGACAAATTTATTCTCTCTCTGAAACCTCTACGTCAGCTGCTCCTTTGCTATTATTTCCTCTGTTAATCAGGGTAATTAATACAAACTGCCAAAACATGCATATGTCATAATGCCAGTGACTTTTAACAGCCAATAGGATTCTTCTTGCACAGCTTTCCTCCAATCCGCATTCAGGAACCCTGGGTGACCGCCCCCCCACCCGCCCCCCATCTTGCAATCCTGCCATCTCAGAATCCTTCATTTTCAATCAAATAGACAGGAAAAAGCATATGGTAAAACCACACTGCTCTTGATTGTTTTACATTTGATATGACGTATCATTTCCCCTTATCTTCTTGAAACTCAGTTACACAATACCAAAATGTCTACTAGAAAAGCTAAGAAATGTAGTCTTATTGTGTGTGCAGTAAAACAAAAGAGAGTTAAGAACACTTAGAATTTGTTGTAAAAATGATACATATGTTGAAAATAATATGTATAAAAGTAAGGAAAACCCATTATAACATAATAGCTGGAAACTTTGTGAAATAAATTGTGAAATTTGGAAAGTTGTGCAATCTTGAAGATTATTTAAATTTTATAGACAAAAGATTTACCAAATTATTCATGCAGAAAAAAAATTGACTAAGGTAAAAAGCATTTCATTAAAAACCTTACAACATAGAACTAACGTAAATATACTTGGAAATTATTCTGTATTAGATTAATTGAGATAGATTCCTACAAAAGGCCCAATGGGTCACTTATAGGTCTTTCCGCATATACTTTCATTAAAATATTCTTTAATATCAGTTCTTGGTCTCAACATTCTTGATATATTTCTGCTAATTATAAACTACCAATGCCCCAGTACCAAAGAGTTTGAGGTTATTAGCTTCTTAGTCACTGAACATGTTTGAAACTAGCTCTGTGGTCTTTCCTTTAGCCTCAGAATATGACCTTTAGTCTAATGTCCCTTGCAACAGTAACTGATGGAATTTTTAGAAGTATACAGGATGTAACTTAAATTCTAAGTGGCAACACCAAATCTGTAACTTAATGTACACATTTGGTTTATTTAATAATCTAATTGACAGATGTAGGTTCTCTAGAGTGTAGGAATTAATCATGTACCCCTATGGGACTGTGATTAGCTAGCTATAAAAACTGAAAAGGGCTCTGAACCATGGCTTTCCTGAACTGAGTTGGTTCACATCATTCAGTATCATCTCTCATGACCTTTCACATTTCATGTAAAATGACAAGTTATTTGGAAACTGAGCCTGAGTGACAAGAAACTGTTTCTATCTTATTATTGTACATGGTAATTTACCCATCCTCTATTTTTCCAGAATCTAAGTGAGCATGGTGTTGGGTAAAGCCTGCTGTGTCTTGTGATTTTGAATGCAATATTATTCCTGCTGGTTGAACAGAGTGCATAGTGAACAGGTCAGTAGGCACAAAAAAACAATAAGCAAGATAAGAAAAAAGTAGCATACTATATAGTATCAAGGGCTAAAGAGGACAAACATAGCAGGGAAAGGGAATATGGGAAGTCACAGTGGGGCATTAAACTTTTAGAGGGTAAACAGCAAAAGCCTCACTAACAAGAAAGACCTAAAAACAATGAGAAAGCAAGCCATGTAAGTGGCTGAGAAATTTCTTTCTGGACAAACACAACACAAAGTGCAAAGGCCCTAAGGTGGGAGTTTGTCTCCTGCTTTTTTGCTTTTGCTTTTTGTCTCTGCTGCTGTTCTTTACTGTCCCAATGCAGTTCAGTAGATAATTCCTCAAACCACTGAGAGAAGAGGATTTTTTTTTTTTCAAGTTTAGGAAACTTCAGTGGAGTTCAGGGAAAAGCCATGACTTTAACTCTTGGTAGGTTTCTAATTTTACACATATACACAAGTTCCTTAGATACTCAGTTCTGACGACATGAGATTTATGTTACATCTAAACATTGAAAAATTTTACATTAATTTTACAACAGTTATATGAATAATGTTCACAAACCATTCATCTATAAAACAGTGATTTTCTCTTCATAGTAGCATCATACTCATCCATAATAGCGAGTAATTGTTTGAACCTTTCTTAGCCCACCTATTAATCACCAAGCAATGATATTAAAAATGTGATGGTATATATGAAAGGAAGTATTGACTCTAGAGACTTTTTATCCAGGAGAGAAAGAAAAATTAAGTTAACTTCTTAGCTGTTTGCATGATCTAGATTTTTAGATCATGTAGGCAAGTCTTTAGGTGCCAACAAATGAAATGAAGAAAAAATGGATTCATTGAATAATAGTACATTTCACTGAGAATAATTGAAATTTCATTGATACTTGACTGATTTTTTAGGTTTGTTCTGACATCATTTTTGCTCTTAGACTCTGTATTAGCTTCCGATTGGTACTGTCACAAATTACTGCAAACTTAGTGTCTTACAACAACACAAAATTATTATCTTTTATTTCTAGAGGGTGAGACATCCAAAATGGGTTTTGATGGGCTAAAATCAAGGTGTTGGGAGAGCTGCTTTGCATCCCTTGCTGGGGGTTATAGGGGAAAATCAGTTTTCTTGCCTTTTCCTCTTTTTAGAAGCTGCTTGCTTTCCTTGGCTCATGACCCCTATTTCTCTACCTTCAAAACTAGCGAGATCAGGCTACATCATTTGCATGCTGCTATCTCTCTGGTTTTCTTTCTTCTGTCTTCCTCTTGCATTTATAAAGACTCTTCAGATTACACTGAGCCCATTATTTGCATGGTCCAGGATAATCTCCCCACCTTGAGGTCAGTTGATTAACAACCAAATTCCATCAGTAACTTTAATTCTTCTTTGGATGTATGTTAACACAGTCACAAGTTCCAGGCATCAGGACGTGGAGATCTTTGAAGAAGCCATTTTTCTGCCTACCATAGCATAGTCACAGTGATTCAAGCAGTACTTGATAAAATAAAATGATATGCTTCCATTTGCTATCTGATAGTGTGATATTATGAAATATATATTTTATCTTTGATACACACCCCTTTCCTGTCATACAACTTCTAAGATTCTTATAATCTCCAGGCCGGGCACTGTGGCTCACACCTGTAATCCCAGCACTTTGGGAGACCAAGGTGGGTGGATCACCTGAGATCAGGAGTTTGGGACCAGTCTGGCCAACATGGCGAAACCCCATTTCCACTAAAAATACAAAAATTAGCCAGGCGTGGTGGCAGACACCTGTAATCCCAGCTACTCCAGAGGCTGAGGCAGGAGAATCACTTGAACCCAGGAGGTGGAGCTTGCAGTGAGCCAAGATGGTGCCACTGTACTCCAGCCTGGGTGATAGAGTGAGATTCCATCTCAAAAAAAAAAAAATCCTTATAATCTCCAATGTTATGTTTGTTCGTATGCTAATGAGTTGACTGATGTCTGGCAGCCCCTAGGTAGTTTCAGGATGGGGGCTGTTCACAAGAAAGACCAAGGCCTGATTAGAAGGTTAGGACTTTCAGCGCTGCCCATCTACCTCTTGGGAGAGAAAAGGAAAGAGAGACTGAAGGTTAAATTGATCACCAGGGGCCAATGGTTTAATCAATCATGCCTATTTAATGAAGCCTCCATAAGAACCCAAAAGGACAGAATTGGAGGAATTTCTGATAGCTAAGCATATGAAGATCCTTGGAAGATGGCTAATCCCTTCCACATGCCTTGCTTATTATGCATTTTTCTATCTTTATCCTGTGCAATATTCTTTATAACAAACCAGTAAACATCAAATATTTCCCTGAGTTCTGTGAATGACTCTAGCAAATCAAAGAAACCCCAAGAGGGGTCATGGAAACCCCGATTTATAGCTGGTCAGTCAGAACCACAACAAAAACAATCCGGGGCTTGAGATTGGCATCAGAAGTGGGAGGCAGTCTTGTGGAGTTGAGTCCTCAACCTGTGTGATCTGACAGTATCTCTAGATAGATAGTATTGGAATCGAATTGGAGGACACCCAGTTGGTGTCCACTGCAGAATTGATTGATTGTTTAGTGGATGGGGAAAAAAATCCCACACATTTGGTCGTAGAAATCACTGTGTTAATAGTTGTGGACAAGTTTTATTCATGTCCTTTGCCCGCTTTTTAATGGGGTTGATAATTTCTCTCCTGTAAATTTCTTTAAGTTCTTTATAGGCACTGGATATTAGACCTTTGTTAGATGCATAGTTTGCAAAATGTTTCTCTGTAGATTGTTTAGTCTGTTGAGTAATTCTCTGTAGATTCTGTAGATTGTTTACTCTGTTGATGGTTTCTTTTGCAGTGCAGAAGCTCTTAAGTTTAATTAGATACCACTTGTCAATTTTTGCTTTTGTTGTGATTGCTTTTGGTGTTTTTGTTATTAAATCTTTGCCCATTCCTGTGTCTAGAGTGGTATTGCCTAGATTGTCTTCCAGGGTTTTTGTAGTTTTCTCCTTTACATTTGTCTTTAATCCATCTTGAGTTGGTTTTTGTGTGTGCTATAAGGAAGGGGTCCAACTTCAATCTTCTGCATATGGCTAACCAGTTTATCCCAGCACCATTTATTGAACAGGGACTCTTTTTCCCATTGATTGTTTTTGTCAGCTTTGTCAAAGATCAGATGGTCACAGATATGTGGTTTATTTCTGGGATCTCTATTCTGTTCCATTGATACATGTGCTTGTTTTTGTACCACTACCATGCTTTGTTACTGTAGTCCTTTAGTATAAAGTCGGGTAACGTGATGCCTTCAACTTTGTTCTTTTTGCTTAGAGTTGCCCTGGCTATTCAGGCTCTTTTTTGGTTCCTTATGAATTTTAAAATAGTTTTTTCTAGTTATGTGAAAAATGGCATTGGTAGCTTGATAGGAATAATATTAAATCTGAAAGTTGCTTTGGGCAGTATAGCCATGTTAATGATATTGATTCTTTCTATCCATGAGCATGGAATTTGTGTGCATGTGTATCTTCTCTGATTTCCTTGAGTAGTGTTTTATAATTCTCATTGTTTCTCATTGTAGAGATCTTTCACCTCCCTGGTTACCTGTATTCCTGGGTATTTTATTCTTTTTGTGGCAATTGTGAATGGGATTGCCTTTCTGATTTGGCTCTCAGTTTGACTGTTGTTGTATAGGAATGCTAGTGATTTTTGTACATTGATTTTATATCCTGCAACTTTGCTTAATTTATCAGCTGGAGGAGCTTTTGGGCTGAGACTATGGGGTTTTCTAGATATACAATCAAGCAAAAAGAGATAGTTTGACTTCCTCTCTTCCTTTTTGAATGCTCTTTATTTCTTTCTCTTGCCTGCTTGCTCTGGCTAGGACTTCTGATATTACATTGAATGGGACTGGTGAGAGAGGTCATCCTTATCTTGTGCTGGTTTTCAAGGGGAATGCTTCCAGCTTTTGCCCATTCAGTGTGATGTTGGCTGTGGGTCTGTCATAGATGGCTCTTATTATTTTGAGGTAGGTTTCTTCAACACCTAGTTTATTGAGAGTTTTTAACATGAAAAGGTGTTGAATTTTATCAAAAGCCTTTTCTGCATCTATTGAGATAAACATGTGTTTTTCTTTTTCATTCTGTTTATGTGATTAATCACATATATTGGTTTGCATATGTTGAAACAATCTTGAATCCATGGATGAAGCCTACTTGATTATGGTGGATTAGCATTTTGATGTGCTACCGGATTTGGTTTTCAATAATTTTGTTGAGGATTTTTGCATTGATGTTCATCAAGGATATTGGCCTGTAGTTTTCATTTTGTCATATCTCTGCCAGCTTTTGGTATCAAGATGATGCTTACCTTATTAATTGAGTTGGGGAGCAGTTCCTCCTCCTCAATTTTTTGGAATAGTTTCAGTAGGAATGGTACCAGCATTCCTTTGAACATTTGGTAGTATTCGGCTATGAATCCATCAGGTCCTGGACTTTTTTTTTGCTTGCTAGTGTATTTATTAGTGATTCAATTCGACTTGTTATTGGTCTGTTCAGGGAAACAATTTCTTCCTGGCTCAGTCTTGGGAGGGTGTATGTTTCCAGGAATTTATTCATCTCGTCTAGGTTTTCTAGTTAATGTTCATAGAGATGTTCATAATTTCTTATGATTGTTTTTATTTCTGTGGGGTCAGTGATACGTTCCCTTTATTATTTCTAATTGTGTTTATTTTGACCTGCTATCTTTTCTTCTTTATTAGTCTAGCTAGTAGCCTACATTATTATTTTTTTCAAAAAAGAAAATCCTAGATTTGTTAATCTTTCAAATGGTTTTTCGTGTCTCAGTTTTCTTCAGTTCAGCTCTGATTAGTGTTATTTATCATTTTCTGTTAGCTTTGGGGTTGATTTGTTTTTGCCTCTCTAATTCTTTCAGTCACGAAGTTAGGTTGTTAATTTGAGATCTTCCTAACTTTTTAATGTGGGCATTTAGTGCTATGAATTTCCCTCTGAACACTGCCTTAGATGTGTCCCAGAGATTCTGGTATGTTGTATCTTTGTTTTCATTGTTTTTCAATAACTTCTTGATTTCTGCCTTAATTTCATTATTTATCCAAAAGTAATTCAGGAGCATATGTTTAATTTCCACGTAATTGCATGGTTTTGAGGGATTTTCATAGTCTTGACTTCTATTTTTATTGTATTGTAGTCCAAGAGTGTGCTTGGTATGGTTTTTGTTCTTTTACATTTGTTGGGGATTGTTTTATGTCCATTTATGTGGTTGACTTTAAAGCATGTGCCATGCAGTGATTAGAAGAATGCATATTTTGTTGTTTTTTGATGGAAAGTTCTGTAAAGGTCTACAGGATCCATTTGGGCCAACGTTGAGTTTAGGTCATGAATATGTTTGTTAATTTTCTGCCTTGATGATCTGTCTAATACTAAGTGGAGTGTTAAAGTCTCCCACTATTATTGTGTGAGAGTCTACATCTCTTTGTAGCTCTCTAAGAACTTGCTTTATGAATCTGGGTGCTCATGTGTTGGGTGCATATATATTTAGGATAGTTAAGTCTTCCCATGGAATTGAATCCTTTACCATTGTGTAATGCTCTTCTTTCTCTTTGTTGATCTTTGTTATTTATTTATTTATTTATTTTTATTTTTTGAGATGGAGTCTCACTCTGTTGCCCAGGCTGGAGTGCAGTGGTGCGATCTTGGCTCACTGCAACCTCCGTCTTCTGGGTTCAAGCAATTCCCCTGTCTCAGCTTCCTGAGTACCTGGGACTCTAGGCACACACCATCAAGCCTGGATAATTTTTGTACTTTTAGTAGAGATACGGTTTCACCATATTGGTCAGACTGGTCTTGAACTCCTGACCTTAGGTGACCCACCCACCTTGGCCTCCCAAAATGCTGGGATTACAGGCATGAGCCACCACACCCCGTCTTGGTTGTTTTAAAACCTATTTTGTCTAAAATTAGAATTGGAACCTCTGCTTTTTTTGTTCACCATTTTCTTGGTAGCTTTTCCTCCATCCCTTTATTTTGAGCTTATGAGTATCATTACATGTGAGATGGGTCTCTTGAAGACAGCATACACTGGGTCTTGCTTTTTTATGCAGCTTGCCACTCTGTGCTTTTTTGAACAGACACTTCTCAAAAGAAGACATACATGCAGCCGAGAAGCATATGAAAAAGAAGCTCAACATCACTGATCACTGAGAAATACAAACCAAACCACAAGATATCATTTCACTCCAGTGAGAAGGGCTATTATTAAAAAGTCAAAAAATAACAGATGCCTGTCAGGTGGTGGAGAAAACAGAACACTTATACACTCTTGGTCAGACTGTAAATTAAATCAACCATTGTGGAACACAGTATGGCAATTCCTCAAAGAGCTAAAAGCAGAACTACCATTTGACTCACAATCCCATTACTGGGTATATCCCCAAAGTAATATAAATCATTCCACCATAAAGACACATGTGTGTGAATGTTCGTTACAGCAGTATTAACAATAGCAAAGGCATGGAATCAACCTAAATGTCCATCAATGACAGACTGGATTAAGAAGATGTGGTACATATACACTATGGAATACTATGCAGCCATAAAAAAGAATGAGATAGTGTCTTTTGCAGGAATATGGATGGAGCTGGAGGCTATTATTCTTAGCAAACTAATACAGGAACAGAAAACCCAATACTGCATGTTCCTATAAGTGGGAGCTAAATGATAAGAACTTATGAACATGAAGAATGAATAACAGACACTGGGATCTACTTGAGGGAGGAGGGTGCAAGGAAAGAGAGTAGCACAAAAGATAACTATTTGGTACTGTGCTTAATACCTGGATGATGAAATAAACAGCAACACAAACTCTCATGACATATGTTTACCTATATAAAAAGCCTTCATGTGCACCCCCAAACTTAAAATTAAAGTTAAACTAGTTTTAGAATGAGAGCAGAGGGGTATGAGTTTGTTGTGAAGGACTGAGGTCTGTTTCTTATATTACATCATTTTCCTAGTCAATCCACTTAGTGTTACCTAGCTAACATTTTCGTTCTTCGTAAGTCAGTGCTATGACCTTCCTGTATGCACTTCTCAAATGTATATTTAATTATTTCAGTCACTTTTTTCCTTCAAACAGAGCATATACTTTTCAGTAGCAAAACAGCTACCAGTGTGTTAGCTGTAACTGAGTTGCTTGATCATGACACCTCAGGGCAGAACACTTGGCTTTGGCGTCTACAAAATCAGCAAATCAAATCTTAGCATGAATAATGGGCCATGTCTTAAAAGAAATTTTAGGGACTAATTTCCCTTAGTCTCCACATCCTGTATTATTTTTTTCTGGAACGTTAGAAATTATGATGATTTTAATTGGTCCTAGAAATATTTTCCCCCAAATGACACAAAAACAAAAAATTTAATTGGAGCTTAAGAAAGCATAAAATTTTAAATGATGTAGACTTGCTTAGAAATATAAAAACAACTAAGCTTGATATGAGTCTGGATTTTGTAGTTTCATCAATTGGCTGTCAAAAGATAGATTATAGAAAACTACTGGTGCTTTGAAGATGCTCTGCTTTGCTTCCTTAAAAGTAAGTTACTTTGGTTTATTTATCCCATCCTTGGGCTGACCTACTGCCCATCACACTTGACTGAAGGAAGAGTGTCATTTATAGGGCAAAGGAGGAGGACAAAATCAATATCTGTCTTAAATGTAAATCATCAAAGAGATTTTATATAAATGATAAGGAGAAGGTGAAGGATTTTGTTATTTTTAGTCATTGGCTTTAAGTAAACAGTTACTTATATTACAACCTGAAAACATGATTTTCAATACTTTGAGAAGAGGCAGGTTGACAGTAGTACCTCTAGGTAAATGCTGTTGATTATTTAACTGCTGAATTATTTTGAACTGAACAAAATCCTTTGGCTTAACACAATCAGAAAGTATTTTAAATTATTCAGCAGATAGAAAACATAAATTTCCCAAAGAATCCCATCAGTGGTTTGTATGAAGCAAATTTGATGAAACAAAATGCATTATTGTGTAGTGTTTCTGTTTTTCAGATATATTAGTTATATTAATAACTTTTAAATTAATTTCTCTTCAGAGGTCTCATGAAGATAACATAAATATTTTATAGATAACAAACTTAAAACGCTTTAAAAAGGACTTAAAAGTACAGAAAAAGATAGGTCAGTTGACAGTAGGGATGTTTTCTCTGGATTCTTTAAAAGTATCTAGAACTCTACTCTCAAAGATGAGAGCTCACCTTTGAACTGCTGTGCCCTCAGTGACCCATCTAACGTGCATTTATGTGAGGCACTGTGAAGGTACAAAGAAAAATAAAAGGGCTTACTTTTAAAAGTTCAGATCATGGAGAGTGGAGAAAGAAAGAGATGAAAACAAACAATCATATTAGAATCTTACTAATACTATAATGGAAAGCGGGGCACAGAGATGAAGTAACTCAGAGAAGCAAATGGTAACATTTTAGGAGTACACAGCTCAAGTTAAAACACACAATGGAAATTACCATGGGAATTCTTTCCATCCACCCCTCAAAACATAGCTATACCATGCAACTCTGAAAACATTCTGTACCTGTAATTTAGACTAGGTCAGCAGCACGTGGTCTAAAGGTATGATAGTAAGAACTTTCTAAGCCTGTGTTAATTTGATCAGATGAATTCTGACTGATGACATGGAGTGCATTGCAAAATATGTTTTTAATACTGTGACAGGCTCAAAATCGAATAGACATATCTTTTTTAAAAAGTGCTATAAAGTGTAATTTTTCATAGGTAAATTGTCCGTTGGCATGTGATTATCATGAGCCTCAAGCTCTAAACTGAAAGGGTTCATCAAGGAAAACAATAAGCTCCCTTTTACTGGACTCCAGGGAATGAGTCTGTAGAGTAGAGTTTGTAGAATGAGTTTGTAGAATAAAATCAGACAGCACTAACCAACAAATAAAAGGTTTGTATTCTAAATGGTATAGATGATAATATGGGGCTCAAAGTGAAAGGACTGGTTAAGAGTAAATATAAAGTAAAAGCTAAAAATGACAAATTTGGACAATCAGACTTTGGATTTCTGTGTGTGTGCAGTACTCTCTCACAACAGAGGAGACTGTGAGCTTAAGTAAAACCTTTGTTAGAATCCTGTGGACACTTCACACTGCTTTTAATTTTGTTCCATAGCATTCCATAGCATTGCAGGTTGTGCACTGCACAACCCTAGGGGCACCATTCACTTTGCATGATTCACTTCACAGGACACTTTTCCAGAAGACAGCAGTGAGGTTTCATGTTTCAGCACATCACTGCATTTCAACAGATGGAAGTAGTGTTTGGAGGAAGGGATGCTTATTTTTATTTTGCACATAAGCCCCAGGTTACTCTTCAAAGGAATTTCATAGTATTCAATTAAATGCTACGGGAAATTTTTCCTTTTATTATTTTTGCTTTGATGTCAAATTGATAAAAACTTGAAAACAGATTGGAAAATAAAGTGGACAGTTCAGCCTTGACAAGCACACATATCAGAAAAGAGTTTGTCTTAGCACCAAGGGAAATGTGGAAATTGAAACCTCTCCAGCCTTTTAATGTGGCATTCACAGAATAATAATCAAGAAAAAAAATTAAAAAGAAAGAAATAGAGTTAACAATATGTATTGGGCAAAAATGTTGCATAAAAACCTTCTGAAAAAGGACATTTCAGAATTTTCTTGTCTTATAAAGACTGTTGCTGAAAAATGCTTAAAAATTTAAAAAATAGTCTATGTTTAAATAATACTATTGTTATATGTATATCATATATAGATGAAACACCATGCAATGTATCCATCTCCTATGATATACTGTAATACACATTATATGGCATATTATAGGCTTTGTAAAGGTCTGCAACAATGACATCCTTAATAAACCCAGTATTTCTGACATTATTTTGCTCTACAATATCTTTTTCCTCCAAAGATCCACCTAGTCACATCCTGTGGAAGAAATGATGTGGGGAATTTGTGTTGGAAAGCACTGTTTTCATGAAATTCTACATATAAGAATACAGATTATATATGTAAAATCTATGTATAGATTTAAAGTATCTCATCAAATATATTTGGCCATACTTATTTATGTTTAAAGAGTTAAACCTAAGAAAATGTAATGAATATGGTTACGAAGAAGGACATTGACTTCAGAGGTGGAAAGAAAACTATTTTTTATTTTAATCATTTTGGATTCTTAGTCATCTTTGCCTTTAGAGTCTGGGTAAAAGAACTTCCACTTAATTAACTGACATTGTTGATCTGAATTAATGACAAGATTCCTAGCACCTGCTTCCAGCTTTCTCCAGGGAGCCAGTTGAGGGGAAAGGGCAGATTGAGAGAGTCTCAGTAGGGTAACTGAATCCAGGAGGTAGGGAAGAGGCTAATTTCTACTATAAGACCTTCATTAGTCATCTGTTGAATGTCAGTTACTGAGCTTGGAATATTGCTTTAGGAAGAGGTGAAAATATCCTTTTTAAAATAAATCTGCTCAAATGTGCCTGACTTAAGTTTCCCTTTAACAAGAAACACACTTAAAATTTCAGCTAGTTCAGTCAAGTAGCAATGAAATAAATGTGAAAGCCAGCGGATTTTGGCCTCAAAAAAATCTCATTGTGCAAAAATTCAGAAAGAGGAAAATCAGTTGTTTAAAATGTATTTCAAGACTATTAATAGACGGAGCCCAAATTCTGACACTGATTCTCTTTGTTATTCCTTGTAATTAATTCTACTGATGGTAAGGACACATTCTCTTTCCACAGAACTCTAATTCTTTTAATGCCAAAAGACTGATGCTTTACTCACTTGGTGGAACTAAAAATAACTAAAGATCCAAAAAATATCTCAATTGCCTTCTGTAACCTCAAAATAACTCTTGACTATATCTCAATTAAAAAACAAAACAATGAGAGAGACAGAAATGGTTTATGTCCTCACGATCTTCCATAGTAAGAGCTCATTGCCATTTTTTTACAGTAGTACTTATTGGCATAGATAAAACTGCTAGTGTAAAAGAAGTAATTAAATGCAAACTTTTGAGGTGTCAATATAGGTTTAGCTGTTTAAAGATTATTTGCCTTTACTATGTATAGTTAAAAAAATTTTTATAACTGTTAAATTGCCCAAGGATATTCCCATTTATAATTCCACAGGGGAAAAGATAGTGTTTTCAAAAAGTAAATAAAATTCCAGGAAACATATAAATCATAATAGGATAAGATAATTTATAGTAATTTTAGATATTGGTAGAAATAATTAGTATCAAAGTACTTTATTTTGAGATTGCAATATTTGAATAATTTTTAAATCAAAATGTTAATTTAGTTTGGGCCACTGGCAGTAAAGCAAATTAGATATTGTAACAAATTATTTCATATACAAATAACTAGTATTTACATAAAATTAAAGTAACAGTTTGCATTCTGCTGCCGACCTGCTTATAAATGGTAAGGGTAATATAAAAGAGCCTCTTCATTCTTCCCTATAAAATAAGACAGAGAAAATAATAGACTAAATACAAGCTGTGAATTCCTGTGAAGTTCAGTTTCTCCTAAGGGCCTATGTGGTGCCAATCTGCAGCTGGCTCCTAACATAAAAATTTCAACATTTAGCTGTGGATCCTGAGAGCGGCCAAAGAAAGGCCATTTTACTGATAGATACTTCCTGGTCCCTGGTGGAAAAAAATGTAAATAAATTTTGGTGTGAAACATCTTTAAGATAGGCTCCCAGGATTCTTACTGATTAAAGAAAGTCATCAAGTACCCAAGGGAAAATCAACATTATTTAGACTAAGCAAATAATATTAAAATCAAATAATATTAAACCTCCACTCCCCCAAAATGAAGATTGAGTGGGGCAGCAATGAATGGATTAAAGAGCAAATGAGATGCAACTTAAGAGAGAATGAGTTATCTGGAAGATAGACCAGAGTGATCCAGAAAGTAATACAAAGAATCACTAGACGGAAAAATAAAATGTTTAAAGAGATATGAAGTTGTATTGTATATCTAATCATGGCACCAAAAGAAGAGAATAGAGAAAATGAGGAGAGGCAAATTTGAACAGAAAACAACATACAAACTGGGCATGGTGGCTCACAACCATAATTCCAGCACTTTGGAAGACTGAGGTGCAAGGATCGCTTCAGACCAGGAGTTTAAGTCTGGAGTAAGCCATGATCTTGCCACTGCCTCCAATCTGAGTGGCAGGGTGAGATCCTGTCTCTTTAGGGAAAAAAAAAAAAAAAAAAAAAAAAGATAATTTTCTGGGATTTGTTCAAAAGAATCCATAGATATTGAAGCAAAAGTCAAATAAATAAAATCCATATTAGGTAGAATTTTGTGAAAGTACAGAATATTGATGCAAAGAGATGACTTTAGCAAGCTCCAGAGAGAAAATACAGATGATTTTCAAACAAACTACAATAAATTAACAGTTGACTTTTCAAGAGTAGCTAGAAGTCACTGGAATAACAGTTTCATTCTAAGAAAACAACTGTCTACTTAGAATTGTGTATCCAGGCCAGGCACGGTGGCTCACACCTGTATTCCCAGCACTTTGGGAGGCCGAGGTGGGCAGATCACCTGAGGTCAGGAGTTACAGGCCAACCCGGCCAACATAGTGAAACCCCATCTCTACTAAAAGTACAAAAATTAGCTTGGCATGGTGGTACGCACCTGTAATCCCAGCTTTTTGGGAGGCTGAGACAGGAGAATCACTTGAACCTGGGAGGCAGAAGTTGCAGTGAGCGGAGACCATGCCATTGCACTCCGGCTTGGGCAACAAGAATGAAACTCTCTCTCTCAAAAAAAAAAAAAAAAAAAAAAAAAAAAAAAATTGTATCCTGAAAATCTTATTTTGAAAAAAGAAAGTTTAAGGCAAACACAAAATTAAAATTAAGAGATTACCAGTAATAACAGATTTAAGAAATTTTTGAATGTTATTCTTGAGGCAGAAATAAAATGATTTCAGAAAAAGATCAGAGATCCAAATAGAAATGTTGAGTAAAGAAATATGAAAGTCTGTAATCTAAACATACCATTGCTGCATAAAATAATAATGACAATGGTTACTTATCTGTAGGATTTTACAACAGCAGAAGGCAGATAAAAACATCAGATGATCATAGCAGGTAAATTGAGAGACAAGGTGATGCTGTTAAAGTGGTCTGAGGTACTTGAACTTTTGGGGAGAGGGTTGTAATAACTTTAGACTTTCTTGAGTTAAAGACAGTTGGTAAAATTAAAGGCTAACCAATTACTGAAATAACAGAATATATACATTAAAAAAATATATGGCGGGAGTTAAGATTAAAAAATAAAAATCAACATAAAAGAGGCAACAAAGTCATAGAAATCAATAAATAGAAATAAAATATAACAGATTAGTTGAATTAATATAATGAATTATAATCAATGTAAATTTGCTATAAGAATTACATTTCACAGTAAATAAATAGCTGCAACTAATGAGCAAATGTTCTAGTTTACAGAAGAATGTCAAGCTAATAAATATGCTAACAGTGATAAAAGAATGAAAGAGAATGGGACATTCCTATAGTGCCAAAGTGGCATCATGACACCACACAGATTATTTTCTGATTACAAGAGGAAAAGTGCAACTTTACATAAAAAAGATTAGTCTGTTGCTATCCTAACCAGTAAGTACCTAATCGCAGGACCCAAACGTTATATGTCTCCTGATACGATGCCATACAAAATTTTAAACATTAGCTCTGATAAATTCTTGCCAAAACTGTTGATCTTCAATTGAATGAACACTTTATCTCTAACATCCAGGACATAACAGGCATATAGGAAGATCATCAGAAAGTAATCTATTGATTCTCGAATGTGGCACATTGTACAGGACAACTGTTAATATTTATTCAGCAAATTGGTATCATAGAAAAGATTACTCTAGATTAAAGAGGGCTGAGGGACATAACAGCCTGATGCAATGTATACTCCTGAAGTAGACAGTGACTTAAACATTTAAAGGAATCAGGGACATTTGGCTAAGAACTGGATGTGAGGTAATATATAATTGTTGTTGTTGTTTTTTTTTTTTTTTTTTTGTTTGTTTTTTTTTTAAAGACAGAATTTCACTCTGTCACCCAGGCTGGAGTAGAGTGGCACCACTTAGGGCTCACTGCAACCTCCGCCTCCCAGGTTCAAGCCATCCTCCTGCCTCAGTCTCCCGAGTAGCTGGAATTACAGGCGTGCGCCATCATGCCTGGCTAGTTTTTGTGTTTTTAGTAGAGATGGGGTTTCACCATGTTGGCCAGGCTGGTCTTGAATGGCCTCAAGTGATCCACTCACCTCGACCGCCCATGCCTGGGATTACATGCATGAGCCACCGCGCCCGGCTATATTTTATTAAATGTATTACATGTTCTTTTAGTCAGGCTTCACCACAGAAATAGAACTAATTAAAGATACAGCTATATCTATATTATCTATATCTGTATGTATATCTATGTCATCTATATCTATATCTATATTGAGGTAGAAAAAACAGAGAGTGAGAAGAAGGAAAACAGAGAGAGATTGAGGTTTTTTTCTTAAGGAATTGTCTTACCTGATTGTGGAGGCTGACAAGTCTGAATTCTGTAGGGCAGGCTGGCAGGCTGAAAATTCTGGAAAGAGTTGATGTTACAGTCTTGAGTCTGAAATCTGAATGGTAGGCCAGCAGGCCGAAACTCAAGCAAGATTTCTTTCTCTCTTTTTTTTTTTTTTTGAGACAGATTCTCGCTCTGTCGCCCAGGTTGGAGTGCAATGGTGTGATTTCACTCACTGCAACCTCTGCCTCCCGGGTTCAAGCAATTCTCCCGCCTCCTAAGTAGCTGGGATGACAGGCGCCTGCCACCATGCCCAGCTAATTTTTTGTGTTTTTAATAGAGATGGAGTTTCGCCACATTGGCCAGGCTGGTCTCAAACTCCTAACCTCAGGTGATCCACCCACCTCAGCCTCCCAAAGTATTGGAATTACAGGCGTGAGCCACTGTGCCCTGCTGCAAGATTTCTATATTGCAGTCTTGAGGCAGAATTCTTTCTTATTCAGGAAAGCTGTCTTTGTGTAGACCTTCACGGATTGAATATGGCCTACACACATTATGAGAGGTGATCTGCTTTTACATAAAGTCAATTGATTGTAAATCTTAATCACATCTAAAAAAATACCTTCACAGTAACATCTAGACTAGTGTTTGACAAAACAACTGTGCACTACAGTTTACCCAAATTGACACAAAAAATTAAGCATCGCAGGTGTTGTCCTAGTCAACACTACTATACCAAAATACCATAAACTGGGTGTCTTATGAACAACAGAAATATATTTGCCATAATTCCAGATGCTGAAAGTCTGAGATCAAGGTGCCAGCACGGTTGAATTCTGGCGAGGGCCCTCCTCTAGGTTACAGACTGCCAGCTTCCCATTGTATCCTAACATGGAAGAAAGAGGGTGAGAGGGGCCTCTGAGGACCCTTTTATAGGAGCACTAGTCCCATGCATAAGCACCCCATCCTCATGACCTAATTACTTGCCAAAGGCTCTACCTCCTAATACCATTGCATTGAGGGTTAAGAAATTAATGTATGAATTTGGGAGGCACACAAAAGTTCAGTCCATAACAGGTAATAATTTTTTTTTGCATATAAAGAATGTTTTTTGAGATTTAAGGAATTTTGTGGTGGAGTATGCTGTTTGCTATTTTCTTTGAAGTATCCCAGAAAAGTAAGTGATTTTTTAAAAGATTGAATTTTCAGATTGGGTTCATACGAATCTACCTATATGGTATTTATAAAAGACACTTCTAAAACATACGGCATGGCAAGGTTTGAAGTAAAGGATTAACAAGATACACTAGGTAAATAATAATCTAAAGAAAGCTGAGTTAACTATATTAAGTAAGACAAAATAGACTTCAACTTAAAAGCATTATTATATACAGAGTCCCATCATGTAAAGGGCTTGATTTGGTAATATTATAATAACAATTATAAACTTATAAGTCACTAATAAAAATAACCTCAAAGTATACAAGAAAAATTGGAAAGAATTACAAAACGAAATGGACAAATTCTCTACCAAGGAAGGAGATTCCAACACATTTCTTACAGTCACTGATAGATTAATAAGACCAAAATTAGTAAAGATATGGATAAGATAAGCAAAATTATAAGCTTGATTTATTGAATACAGAATTCTCAGTACAAGGAATATATGTCTTACTGTTGTATTCAATTTGAAGTTTCTAGGAGAGAATTATCTTATTTGTTATTAGAGGATACTTTTGGATCTGACACTACTGTTCAAATAGACCATGATTAGATATACCTGAGATCTTAGAATAAAGGTTTAATAATTATTCTATATTAAAATTGATTTTTCAGGTTACCTCCTAGGAGATGAGCTTCAAAATCAGGGTCAGTTTATGAAATGGTTTCATATAATGTATTGTAACTTTGAAAGAAACACTTCTAGACTTAAAATCATTTTGTTCTGAAGCTACATTTGTAAAACTTCCTTTATTTCAAAATTAGATTATAATATCAGCCCAGGATAAGTGAGCATTGCTCATTTGAACCTAAATTTGAATCTCTAAATTATATTGAATCTTCATAAGACTCAAGACTCCACTAATCTTAAGGAACTTATAAAATTAATGATTTATATCTGGACTCAAGACTCCACTAACCTTAAGGAACTTATAAAATTACTAAGAATTTTTGGTTTTACATGACTAAATAAATGATTTATATCTGGATTTTGGTAATTAAGTTTTTCATCCAATAAGGACCAAAGTAAGTGTTGGAATATTGATAGTGGGAATTATCATTTCTAATTCTTTCACATGCTTTCATATGTTTTCTTTTCCAATGAATGGAAATATTGTGATACATCAGCATGTTTTCCCACAGGAAAAACATTATTTGTGGCATGCCCTTTTCTTCATCCTGATTCCAAGGGTCATTCTACACTTTAGAGGTGCTAAACATTTCAGTTTCATGAAGTGCTAAATATTTAAATTTCATGCAAAAGCTACGTATGTATAAGTTTGGGTGTGCCTGAGTAAATGCATTTGTCTAATTAATAGCATTTTACCTGTGAAGAAAAGTCCACTTTAGTATTTTAGGGTTTTCCTTGGTTATTAAAAAGTATAGATTTCTTACGTAATGATTGCAGTAAAGATATAGTGTATTTTGTCTATAGACACACAGATTCCTATATACATTTTTGTCAAAAGCTTTATGTTTTCTCTTATTTTGAAATACATGGAGTTTTTCTTATCTAAATTAGATACTTTCTTAATTTCTAAGGCAGTTAAAAATAAGTATTATTCACTGACTTCTGTTTCAACACGCGGCACAGTATAAGAGCTTAAATAAAAGGTTGATGTGTTTTTTTGCCGTCACTCAAAGAACATGAAGATATTTCCAGGTGACTCACATAGAAAGGAAGCACACAAATTCTCTTGCAATTTGTTACTCTTTCTTTTATCAATATTCCACATTTATAAAAATGTAACTTTTTAATCTAACTTGTGGTGCCATTCACTGTTCTTATGAGTTCAACATAGCATTTGAATTCAAGAGTTAATACTTGCAAGCATGTTTATCTTGATGCCAAGAGTATAACTCATAGATTTATCTTCAGAATTATAGCAATTTAGTATACTAAGCCTGCCCTTAATGTTTATATTATAAGCAACAATAAAGTAATTGTTCCTTTCCCTAATTTTATTTAGTAATGATCTTCTAGCAGCTTAGCAAATTATAAAAATAAAAGAAATCTGTAATCAGGGGATACATTATGCAACCATGTTAAATCACATTTTAATTTAAAAAAGACCTCTTACTGTGTTTATGCAATTGGAAATTGCTACAAAGGAGGGAAAGATGAGCAAAGAGGAGTCACTGTTTGCAAGGACCTCTAGATGGAAAGGCAGACAAACATAAATCTATGGAATATGCAATGACAATCATTAATAAGTTGCTCAGTGAGTGCATAAGAGAAATTAATTTGATATAGAGGAGCAGAAAAAATTTATGGAGAGAGGGATTTCCATTAAAATTTTGGATATCATGCAAAACTAGCTTCAGTTTTACATACAGGCATGAGAAATAGAAGAGATCAATATTCTGGAATATTTCTAGTGAGTAGAACTTAAGAGTTAAGTTGAATGTGCTTATTTGTGCCTTTTAAACATCATCTAACTTTTCTCAGTTTTACTCATAAATCATTCTAATCAAAGTAACATGCTTTATCTAGTAAAATCTCAAGCAGAGGAGTCATTTCTCCTGCTGACATTCTGTTATTTCCCTTAGACTCAGCTAATGATGAGGTACCAGAGCCAGAGATATATCCTAAAATTTGTTAGCATAATTATAAAAAGTAAGCTTTCACTATCTCACAGCTGTAACTCATTAGTTTCCAAGCTTTGAAAATGGGATTTTGACACTTTTTACTTCTAAAAAGAGACCCATATCCTAGTATATCCTAGTATATAATATTTCATATGGCTTTTATATGTGTTTCAAATCTTGTGGAAAGAGAATATAACTTTGTCCTATTTGTAATATCTATCATTTTTTACTTTTGTAAAGTTGAGTCTTGTAATAGACTAAATTGTGGCTAAATGGATGACAGAAATACAAATTACACATCTCTGTTTCCCAGATTGAATGAAGGGGGAATTTGCAATGATTTTTGATTAAATACAAGTTACTTTATATTTTACATATAGAAATCAAAATTTTGAGAATTAAATCACAGTAAAATATAAGGTAATATCTCTCCTAATTAAAATTTGATCTTTTCAGAAAGTAGTTAAGAATCTTTAAGATCATGATGATCATTTTACAGTAGTTCACATATATTATTGTACATTTCTGGGGATGTTACTGGATGCACTTTTTAAAAAATAAATCATGAATTTTTGGCAATTCCAGTGGACTAAGCTAACTGATATAGGCATCTCTTCAATCCCCTTTTAATATTATAGAGAAATATTATAGAAAATATAGTATGTCTATAAAAGTTTACAAAAATAAGGAACACTTGGATTAAAGAATTGAGGAATAAGGAAAGCCAAAATGGCAAGTTTGAAATGTTACCTTTGAAGCCTCTAGGAATTTTAGAGTCTTGCAGGAGGCTGGAGCTCAGGTTATGCAGATGTGCTCTCTAGCCTCATGAAGGAGGGAAAATTTAAGACTAGAAAACACATGCAATTTATTGCTTGATGTATGTAAGTAGTGAAAGTAGTATGGCTATGGTAGTAGCAAACCATACTACTATTTTTGTGCACCACTGATTTTCATTTGGTAGTACTTTATTTACAATTTCGTCATTATATTTAGATTAGATAGATACTAATGTGTTTGCAGTTTCTTTCTAAATAGGGGTTATACTAAGAGGATAAATAGTCATCTTTTCTATGCTATAGACATTTATACTTAGAGATTTTTTAAAAAAATTCCTTGAAATGGTGCTAGAAATAATCCATAAAGCCCTATGAGATTGCTTCTTTTTTCTTCATTTCTTTAAAAAAATTCTATATTTATACAAGGATACTGGAAGAATGAACTACAAAGTACTGACTGCGGCTTTCTTTTGCATGGGGACATGGACAGTCAAAGGAAAAATAGGGTTATGCTTCATATACATTTTTATTCTTTACATCTTTATTAAAAAAGAATGTATTCATTGATATTTTTTATACAAACAAAACAACAAAACATATACATGTAAATCATTGCTTGTAAAAACATAAAATAATACTTTTTTGTATATTTCCTATTATTCTATAAACTTTAAAATCAAGTCAAAGTTATTATTCTATGAATACTAATGCGTAATAAATAAAAATAATTATTCTGTGATCTTGCAAGTCAAGTAAAAATTCAGTGGTTTATATCTTCAAACCTTGCATTGAAACAGACTAGAACTACCGTGTAAGCTTCCTCCGTTGTATGGAAATACTGCTCTATTTTATATGACAGTCAAGTGAATATCAAACTACCTCTAGATGGTTTTAGGAAGATTAGTAAAAACAAAGTGAAGAAATAAGGCTAAATGTAAAGAAACCAAATTTTAAAAATGGAGAAAGAGGCTGAACTTAAACCCCTTTAGTCTAGTGGTTTTACACCATGGTTCACAGACCTCCCTGGGGTCTCTGGATAAAACTAAGCATATTAACCTGAGGAAAACACAATAATTAAAATTTCTAGTAGGAAACTCTATGTAACTAGACCTCTTAAGATATGTATAATTATATGTTTTAGCTTGCAGCTACCCATTCTCTACATTGTCTATTAAACTGAACATCAGGTAATTAAATCATAGAATTTGAATATTTTCAGATAGCAACAACCAACTGCACATTCATTGTACCTCCTTTTGGTGAGAAAAAAGTACCTTCCTTGTTTGTGGCAAACCAAACAATTCAATATGGAAACATATGAAAAACAATAATTTTTTGGCTGAAACATCTTATTTAAAATGCTTTAATGACTGCTGTGGCATTAAATTGATCTTACTATAAGAAAGCAACAGTGAAGGTCATGATTTGAAAACTGCATGAAGAACTAATTGCCAGCCATGAGTTGGCAAAAATATGAAACACAATTATACTTAACAGGTAAACAGAAAAGCATAGCTGCTTTCTATAGCAAGATTATGCTCTGAGTGAAGGGAACCAAAGAAATCTAGTATGCTTGTATGTGAGTAACACTTCATATTTAGTGCTTTCATAGACTTAATCTTGATCTGAGTAACATTTTGAGGAAGGAAGGGCTTATTGCCCTGGAGTACCAGCAAGGAAACCAGATAAGAAATACCAAACAATCCTTCTATGGTTACAGTGCTAGGAAGCAGTAAAACCAAAGTAGCATTCATACCTCTTGACACTTAATGTAATGTTTTCTAGATGCTTATATTGTAAGGCTTGGTGAAGCAAAGCCAATAGGAATTGGGAAGGGACTATCATCAGGGCCAAAGTGCAGAATAGTCAAGATATGAGGAAACTCAACTTTACCTTTCTGCTGCTGCTGCTCATTTATTAAACTTGAGAGCCCACTGGATGTAGTAGGATGTTAAAATAGGGATGTTTCCATTTTACTTTTGTGAACTCTCAAGAAAACCTATTTTTGGCACCACTACCCCCCTCACTGCAAAATAAGGAGCTAGCTAACCATGTGGTAATGACAAAATATGCAGGAACTAGTTTTGGGCCCCCTTATGACAAACTATGCAGGAACTAGTTTTGGGCCCCCTTAATACTTCGGTCCCACAGAGGACTTAAAAGAGAAGAAGTGAAAGAGGTCAGCAGGTTTGTTGGCTGTTGGTTGGCCATCCAGAAGATTATATTTATGAGAGGTGATAAGTGCTAAAATGGCTTTGCTATTGTCTTGAATATGTCAGAAGCCACAACTAGTCCAGGGTAGAGAGAAGTGAGTGATGGAAAGGCAGATGGCAACTATTCATTTGTTCTCCCATTGCTGGGCTGATTTGGGGGAACAAGAAGTTACAGGTTTGATGGACATTTACAGTTTGGGTTATTATGCTGAGAGAGAGAGAGAGACAGAGAGAGAGAGAGAGAGAGAGAGAGAGACAGAGTGTGCGCATGTCTGAAGTACTGAAGTAATCATAGGATTTATTTTTGAACCCAAGAATGACAAGCAAAATCATAAGAACCTTCTTTCACTTTTATCAAAATAATAAATAAAAGGGAACTTTTGGAGTTTTGAAGATGCAATTGCTTGCTGAAGGTGGCTGTGGAAAAAGGAAGTTTTTTGTTTTGTTTTGCTTAAAAAGATCCATTTGCTTTTATTTTTTTAAGTTTTATTTTAGGTTTTGAGATACACGTGGAAGTTTGTTACAAAGGTAAACTTGTGTCACAGGGTTTGTTGTACAGATTATTTCAACACCCAGATATTAAGCCCAGTACCCAACAGTTATCTTTTCTGCTCTTCTCCTCCTCCCACCCTCCACCCTCAAGTAGACCCCAGTATCTCGTTTCCTTCTTTGCATTTATAAGTTCTCATTAATTAGCTCCCACTTTTAAGTGAGAACATGCAGTATTTGATTTCCTGTTCCTGTGTTAGTTTGCTAAAGATAATAGCATCCAGCTCCATCTGTGTTCCCACAAAAGACATGATCTCATTCTTTTTATGGCAGCATAGTATTCCATAGTATATATGTACCACTTTTTCTTTATCCAATCTGTCAATGATGGAAATTTAGGTTGATTCCATGCCTTTGCTATTGTGAATAGTGCTGCAAAAAATATTCACGTGCATGTGTCTTTATGGTAGAATTATTTATATTTCTCCGGCTATATAGCCAGTAGTGTGATTGCTGGGTAAAATGATAGTTCTGCATTTAGCTCTTTGAGGAATTGCTATAATTCCTTCCACAGGGCTGAACTAATTTACACTCCCACCAACAGTGTATATGTGTTCCATTTTCTCCACAACCTCACCAGCATCTATTATTTTTTGACATTTTGATAATGGCCACTCTGACTGTTGTGAGATAGTATCTCATTGTGGTTTTGATTTGCATTTTTCTAATGATAGGTGATATTGAGCTTTTTTCATATGCATATTGGCCACATGAATGTCTTCTTTTGAAAAGAGTCTGTTCATGTTCTTTGCCCACTTTTTTTGAGGGGGGTCTCATTTAGTAGTTTTATTACCAGTACAATAGCCAGATTCCTATTACTAAAATAAATTTTTGAAATAATTGTTTACCAGGATAACCCATACATTATTTTATTTTTTCATAAGTTATTGGGGTACAGGTGGTATTTGGTTGCATGAGTAAGTTCTTCAGTGGTTATTTTTGAGATTTTGGTGCACCCATCCCTCGAGCAGTGTACACTGTACCTTTATCTGTAGTCTTTTATCCCTTGACCTCTCCCATTCTTCCCCTTGGTCCCCAAAGTCCATTGTATCATTCTAATGCCTGTGCGTCCTCATAACTTAGCTCCCACATATCACTGAGAACATGCGATGTTTGGTTTTCCATTCCTGATTTACTTAGACTAGGAGTCTCCAATCTCATCCAGGTCATTGCAAATGCTGTTAATTCATTCATTTTTATGGCTGAGTAGTATTCCATCGTATATATATATGCCACAGTTTCTTTATCCACTTGTTGATTGATGGGCATTTGGGTTGGTTCCACAATTTTGCAATTGTGAATTGTGCTGCTATAAACATGCCTGTACAAGCATCTTTTTCGAACAATGACTTCTTTTCCTCTGGGTGCATACCAGGTAGCAGTATTGCTGGATCAAATGGTAGTTCTACCTTAAGTTCTTTAAGGAATCTCCACACTGTTTTCCATAGTGGCTATACTAGTTTACATTCCCACCAGCAGTGTAGAAATGTTCCCTGATCACAGCATCCCACCAACATCTATTTTTTTTTTAATTTTTTTAAATCGTGGCCTTTGTTGCTGGAGTAAGGTGGTATTGCACTGTGGTTTTGATTTGAATTTCCCTGATCATTAGTGATGTTGAGCATTTTTTCATATGTTTGTGGCCATCTGTATATCTTATTTTGTGGATTTTCTGTTCATGTCTTTAGCCCACTTTTTGATGGGCTTGTTTGTCTTTTTCTTACTGATTTGTTTGAGTTTGTTGTAGATTCTGGGTATTAGTTCTTTGTCCGATGTATAGATTGTGAAGATTTTCTCCCACTCCGTGGGTTGTCTATTTACTCTGCTGACTGTTCTTTTTGCTGTGAAAAAGCTCTTCAGTTTAATTAGGTCTCAGCTATTTATCTGTTTTTATTGCATTCGCTTTGGGGTTCTTAGTCATGAAATCCTTGCCGAAGCCAATGCCTAGAAGGTTTTTTTCCAACGTTATCTTCTAGAATTTTATAGTTTCAGGTCTTAGTTTTAAGTCTTTAATCCACCTTGGTTGATATTTGTATAAGGTGAGAGATGACGATCCAGTTTCATTCTCCCACATGTAGCTAGCCAATTATCCCAGACTATTTGTTGAAAAGGGTGTCCTTTCCCCTACTTTATGTTTTTGTTTGCTTTGCTGGAGATTAGTTAGCTATAAGTATTTGGGTTTATTTCTGGGTTTTCTATTCTGCTCCATTAGTCTATTTGCCTGTTTTTATACCAGTACCACACTGTTTTGGTGACTATGGCCTTATAGCATAGCTTAAAATCTGGTAGTGTGATGCCTCCAGATTTCTTCTTTTTGCTTAGTCTTGCTTTGGCTACGTGGGCTCTTTTTTCATTCCATATAAATTTTAGAATTGTTTTTTCTAATTCTGTGAAGAATGATGGTGGTATTTTGATGGGGACTGCATTGATTTTGTAGATGGCTTTTGGCACTATGGTCATTTTTACAATATTGATTCTACCCATCCAGGAGCATGGGATGTGTTTCCACTGTTTGTGTCATCTATGATTTCTTTCAGCAGTGTTTTGTAGTTTTCCTTGTAGAGGTCTTTTGACTCCTTGGTTAGGTGTATCCCTAAGTATTTTATTTTATTTTACTGCAACTATTGTAAAAGGGGTTGAGTTCTTGATTTGATTCTCTGCTTGGTGTCTGTTAGTGAACAGAGGAGCTACTGACTTGTGTACGTTAATCTTGTATCTGGAAACTTTGCTAAATTCTTTTATCAGTTCTAGGAGCTTTCTGGAGGAGTCTTTAGAGTTTTCAAGGTAAATAATCATATTATCAGCAGACAGTGACAGTCTGACTTCCTCTCTACTGATTTGGCTGCCTTTTCTTTCTTTCTCTTGTCTGATTGCTCTGGCCAGGACTTCCAGTATTATGTTGAAGAGGAGTGGTGAAAATGAGCATCCTTGTCTTGCTCCAGTTCTCAGATGGAATGCTTTCAACTTTTCCCCATTCAGTATTATGTTGGCTGTGGGTTTGTCATAGCCGGCTTTTATTACATTGACATATGTCCCTTGTATGCTGATTTTGCTGAGAGTTTTAATCATAAAGGGAATGAGATGATCATGTAATTTTTGTTTTTTAATTCTGTTTATGTGGTGTATCACATTTACTAACTTGCATATGTTAAACCATCCCTGCATCCCTGGTATAAAACCCTCTTGATCACGGTGAATTATCTTTTTGATATGTTGTTGGATTCAGTTAGCTAGCGTTTTGTTAAAAATTTTAGCATCTATGTTCATCAAGGGTATCAGTCTGTAGTTTTCTTTTTTGGTTATGTCCTTTCCTGGCTTTGGTATTAGGGTGATGCTAGCTTCATAGTGTAGATTAGGGATGGTTCCTTCTTTTTCTATCTTGTGGAATAGTGTCAAAAGGATTGGTACCACTTCTTCTTTGAATGTCTGGTAGAATTCTGCTGTGAATCCATCTGGTCCTGGACTTTTGTTGGTAATTTTAAAATTAGCATTTCAATCACACTGCTTGTTATTGGTCTGTTTAGGGTATCTAATTCTTCCTGATGTAAGCTAGGAGGGTTGTATTTTTTTCAGGAATTGATCCATCTCTTCTGGGTTTTCCAGTTTGTGTGTGTAAAGGTGTTCATAGTGGCCTTGAATGATCTTTTGTATTTCAGTGGTGTCAGTTGTAATATCTCGTTTTGTTTCTTAGTGAAGTTATCTGAATTTTCTCTCATTTTCTTGGTTAATCTTGCTAATGGTCTATCACTTTTATTTATCTTTTCAAAGAACCAGCTTTTTCTTTCATTTATCATTTGTACTGATTTTTGTTGTTGTTGTTGTTTCAATTTCATTTAGCTCTGCTCTGATCTTGGCTATTTCCTTTCTTCTGCTGGGTTTGGGTTTGGTTTGTTCTTCTTTCTCTAGTTCCTTGAGGTGTGACCTTAGAATGTCAGTTTGTGCTCTTTCAGTCTTTTTGATGTAGGCGTTTAGGGCTATGAACTTTCCTTTTAGCACCGCCTTGGCTGTATCCCAGAGGTTTTGTTAGGTTGTGTTGTCACTCAGTTCGAAGAATTTTTAAATTTCCATCTTGATTTCATTTTTGGCCCAATGCTTACTCAGGAGCAGGTTACTTAATTTCTATGTATTTGCATGATTTTGAAGGTTCCTTGTGGAGTTGATTTCCAGTTTTATTCCCCTGTGGTCGGAGAGAGTGCTTGATATAATTTCAATTTTCTTAAATTTATTGAGGCTTGTTTTATGACCTATCATACAGTCTATCTTGAAGAAAGTTTCAGGGGCTATTGAATAGAACGTGTATTCTGCAGCTGTTAGATGAAATGTTCTATGTATATCTGTTAAGTCCATTTGTTCCAACGTATAGTCTAAATCCATTGTTTCCTTGTTGACTTTGTCTTGACGACCTGTCTAGTCCTGTCGATGAAGTACTGAAGTCCCCTACTATTACTGTGTTGCTGTCTATCTTATTTCTTAGGTCTATTAGTAACTGTTTTATAAACTTGGGAGCTCTAGTGTTAGGTGAATGTATGTTTAGGATTGTGATATTTTCCTGTTGGACACAGCCTTTTACCATTATATAATGTCCTTCTTGGCCTCTTTTAACTGCAGTTGCCTTAAAGTTTGTTTTGTCTGATATAAGAATGGACACCTGCTTGCTTTTGGTGTCCATTTGCATGAAATGCCTTTTTCCACTTCTTTACTTAAGTTTATGTGAGTCTTTATATGTTAGGTGATTCTCTCACTGGCAGCAGATACTTGGTTGGTGAGTTCTTATCCATTCTGCGGTTCTGTATCTTTTAAGTGGAGCACTTATGTCATTCACATTCAAGGATAGTATTGAAATGTGAGGCACCGTGCATTCATTGTGCTCTTTGTTGCCTGTGTACTTTGGTTCTTTTGTTTTCTGTTTTTGCTTTTTAACTTGTGTTTTTGTTTTATAGGTCCTGTGTGATTTATGCTTTAAAGAGGTTCTGTTTGATGTGTTTCCAGGAATTGTTTCAAGATTTACAGCTCCTATTAGTAGTTCTGGTAATGGTGGCTTGGTAATGACAAATTCTCTCAGCATTTGTTTGTTTGAAGAAGACTATATCTTTCCTTCATATATGATGCTTAGTTTCGCTGGATACAAAATTCTTGGCTGATAATTGTTTTGTTTGAGGAGGCTGAATATACGGCCCCAGTCCCTTCTTGCTTGGAGGGCTTCTGCTGAGAAATCTGCTGTTAATCTGATAGGTTTTCCTTTATAGGTTACCTGGTGCTACTGTCTCACAGCTCTTAAGATTCTTTCCTGTGTCTTAACTTTGGATGGCCTGATGACAATGTGCCTAACTGATGCTCTTTTTGTGATGAATTTCCCAGGCGTTCTTTGCGTTTCTTGTATTTGGATGTCTAGGTCTCTAGCAAGGCCAGGGAAGTTTTCCTTGATTATTCCCCCAAATATGTTTTCCAAGCTTTTAGAATTATCTTTTTCCTCAGGAACACCGATTATTCTTAGGTTTGGTCATTTAACATAATCCCAGACTTCTCAGAGGCTCTGTTCATATTTTCTTATTATTTCATCTTTGTCTTTGTTGGATTGGGTTACCTTGTCTTTGAGCTCTGAATTTCTTTCTTCTACTTGTTCAATTCTATTGCTGAGACTTTCCAGAGCATTTCACATTTCTAAAAGTGTGTCCAAAATTTCCTGAAATTTTTATTGTTTTTTCTTTAAGCTCTCTATTTCCTTGAATATTTCTCCCTTCACTTCTTGTATCATTTTTTGGATTTCCTTGCATTGGGCTTCGCCTTTCTCTGGTGTCTCCCAGATTGGCTTAAAAACTAACCTGCTGAATTCTTTTTCAGGTAAATAAGGGATTTCTTCTTTGTCTGGATCCATTGCTGGTGAACTAGTGTGATTTTTGGGGAGTGAAGAGCCTTGTTTTGTCATATTACCAGGGTTGGTTTTCTGGTTCCTTCGCATTTGGGTGGGCTCTGTCAGAGGGAAGGTCTAGGGCTGAAGGCTGTTGTTCAGATTCTTTTGTCCTACGGGGCGTTCCCTTGATGTAGTACTCTCCCATTTTCCTATGGATGTGGCTTCCTGAGAGCCGAACTGCAGTGATCGTTGTCTCTCTTCTGGATCTAGCCACCCAGCAAGTCTACCCAGCCCTGGGCTGGTACGCTGGTACTGGGGATTGTCTGCACAGAGTCCTGTGATGTGAACCATCTATGGGTTTCTCAGCCATGGATACCAGCACCTGTTCTGGTGGAGGCGGTGCCGGTGCATGCAATGGACTCCATGAGGGTTCTTCACTTAGGTGGTTTAATGCTCTATTTTTGTGGTGGTTGGCTTCCTGCTGGGAGGTGGTGATTTCCAGAGAGCATCAGCTATAGTAGTATGGAGAGGGACTGTGGTGGGCAGGGCCCTAGAACTCCCAAGTTTATATGCCCTTTGTCTTCTGCTACCGGGGTGGGTAGGGAAGGACCATCAGGTCGGGGCGGAGCTAGGCATGTCTGAGCTCAGACTCTCTTTGGGCGAATCTTGCTGCAGCTGCTGTGGGGGATGGCGGTGAGGTCACTGGAGTTCTGTACCTAGGAGGATTATAGCTGTCTCTGCTGAGTCGTGTAGACTGTCAGAGAAAGCTGGCAGTCACAGGTTCCACTCAGCTCCCACAGAAACTGAAGGGCTGGTCTCACTCCCACCATGCCCCCCACCAACAGCCCTGAGTCTGTTTCTAGGCAGTGGGCAAGACAGGCTTGAAAACTTGCCCCAGGCTACCCGCCTCCCAGCTGTGAAAGAAAAGGGCTTGGTTCTTCCCCTGCCTGTGGAGTCTGGACACCAGATTTGCACCCTCCCTTGAGTTCTGGCCAGGTGGCTTCTTGCCCCCTTCAAATTGTTAGGAAGTTCATCTAGAGATTTCCTTCTCCCTGTGGAGTTTTACCTCTGGCCACCCTCCTGATGGATCCCTGTGGTGCCAGACAGGAATGGCCTGCTTGGGGACCCAGCAAGCTCCAAGGGCCTTTCTGCTGCTTTCTCTACCCCTGTATTTCACTCGGCTGTCTAAATTGATTCAGCCCCAGGTAAGGTCAGAAACTTTTCCTGCAAACAGACCTTTAGTTTCTCCAGTGGGGTGTGTGTTTGGGAGAGGAGGGTCTCCCTTTCCCACTTCTGCAGTTGGGCACTCACAGTATTTAGGGTGTCTCCTGGGTCCTGCAGGAGCAGTCTGCTTCCTTCAGGGGGTCTGTGGGTCCTCTCAGGATTGCTGGTTTGTTCTTGCAGTTGATCTGGAGCTAAACTTCACGACGCGAGCCTCTGTATGATGCTCTGTCTGGAGCTCCCCTTTGCTCACTTTTTAATGGGGTTATTCATTCTTTCCTTGTAAATTTGTTTAAGTTCCTTATAAATGTTCAATATCAGACCACTATCAGATGCATAGTTTGCAAAAAGTTTCTCCAATTCTGTAGGTTGTCTGTTTACTCTATTGATAGTTTATTTTGCAGTGCAGAAGCTCATACGTTTAATTAAATCCCACTTGTCAATTTTTGGTTTTGTTGTGATTGCTTTTGGTGTCTTCGTCATGCAATATTTGCCCGTTTCTATGTCCAGGATGGTATTGTCTAGGTTGTCTTCCAGGGTTTTTATAGTTTGGGGTTTTACATTTAAGGTTTTAATTCATCTTGAGTTGATTTTTGTACATGGTGTAAGGAAGGGGCCCAGCTTCAATCTTCTCCATATGGCTAGCCAGTTATCCCAACATTATTTATTGAATAGGGAAGTTTTTCCCCATTGCTTGTTTTTGTCAGTTTTGTTGAAGATCAGATGATCATAGGTATGCAGTCTTATTTCTGGGCTCTCTGTTCTGTTCCATTGATCTATGTGCCTGTTTTTGTACCAGTACCATGATATTTTGGTTATGGTAGCTCTGTAGTATAGTTTGAAGTTGGATAATGTGATGCTTCCAGCTTTGTTCTTTTTGCTTAGGATTGCTTTGGCTATTTGGGCTCTTGGGTTCGATATGAATTTAAAAATAGGGTTTTTTTTTTCTAGTTCTATAAATAATTTCCCTATTAGTTTGTTAGAGACAGCACTGAATCTGTAAAATTGCTCTCAATAGTACCTCCATCTTAATGATACTGATTCTTTCTATTAATAAGCATGGAATGTTTTTCCATTTGTTTGTGTCTTCTGTGATTTCTTTGAGCAGTGTATTGTAATCCTCATTGCAGAGATCTTTCACCTCCATGGTTAGCTGTATTCCTAAGTATTTTATTCTTTTTGTGGCAATCATGAATGGATTGTTTTCCTGATTCGGCTCTCAGCTTGACTGTTGTTGGGGTATAGGAATGCTAGTGATTTTTATACATTGATTTTGTATCCTGCAACTTTGCCAAAGTTGTTTATCAGCTGAAGGAGCTTTTGGGCTGAGACAATGGGGTTTTCTACATATGGAATCATGTCTTCTGTAAACAGGTAGTTTGAATTCCTCTCTTGCTATTTGGATGCCCTTTATTTCTTTCTCTTGCCTGATTGCTCTAGCTAGGACATCCAATACTCTGTTGAATAAAAGTGGTGAGAGAGGGTCTCCTTGTCTTGTGCCAGTTTTCAAGGCAAATGAAAACTTTTAGCCATTCAGTATGATGTTGGCTGTGCGTTTGTCATAGATATCTCTTGTTATTTTGAGGTATATTCCTTCAATACCTAGTTTGTCGAGAGTTTTTAACATGAAGTGGTGATGAATTTTATAAAAAGCCTTTTCTGCATCTATTGAGATAACCATGTGGTTTTTCTTTTTTTGTTCTGTTTATGTGATGAATTACATATATTGATTTGCATATGTTGAAGCAACCTTGCATCCACAGATGAAGTCTACTTGATCATGGTGGATCAGCTGTTTGATGTGCTGCTGATTTTGGTTTGCAAGAATTTTGTTGAGGATTTTTGCATTGATGTTCATCAAGAATATTGGCCTGAAGTTTTCTTTTTTTGTTGTGTCTCTGTCATGTTTTGGTATCAGGATGATGCAGGCCTCATAGAATGAGTTGGGGAGGAGTTCCTCCTCTTCAATTCTTTGGAATTGTTTCAGTTGGAATGCTACCCACTCTTCTTTGTACATCCAGTAGGATTTGGCTGTGAACTCATCATTTCCTGGTCTTTCTTTGGCTGCTAAAGTATGTATAACTGATTCAAGTTTGGAGTTCATTATTGTCTGTTCAGGGAATATATTTCTTTTTGGTTCAGTCTTGGGAAGGTGCATGTGTCCAGGAATTTATCCATCTCTTCGTTTTCTAGTTTGTGTTCATAGAGGTGTTCGTACTAGTTTCTGATGGCTGTTTTTATTTCTTTTGGGTCAGTGGTAGCATTCCCTTTGTTATTTCTAATTATATTTATTTGATTCTTCTCTCTTTTCTTATTAGTCTAGATAGTGGCCTATCTACCTTATTGTTTTCAAAACAGGAACCCCTGGATTTGTTGATCTTTTGAATGCTTTTTTATGTCTCGATTTTCTTCAGTTCAACTCTGATTTTTGTTATTTCTTGTATTCTGCTAGCTTTGGGGTTGACTTCTTATTGTTTCACTAATTCTTTCAGTTGTGATGTTAAGTTGTTAATTTGAGAACTTTCTAACTTTTTGATATGGGTATCTGGTGCTATGAATTTCCCACTTAACACTGCCTTAGCTGTGTCCCAGGGATTCTAGTATGTTGTACGTACCTTTGTTATCATTATTTTCAAAGAACCTCTTGATTTCTGCCTTAATTTCATTATTTGTGGAAAAGTCATTTAGGAGCATGTTGTTTGATCTCCATGTAATTGCATGGTTTTGAGTGATTTTCATACCCTTGACTTCTATTATTATTGGGCTGTGGTTCAAGAGTGTGTTTGGTATGATTTTGGTTCTTTTGTATTTGCTGAGGATTGTTTTATGTTCATTTATGTGGCCAATTTTATTTATGAATTTATTTGTTATTGTGTTTATGTATTTATTTATTTATTTTGAGACAAGGTCTCATTCTGTCACCCAGGCTGGAGTTCACTGGTGCAGTCTTGGCTCACTGTAATCTTTGCTCCCCAGGCTCATGTGATGCTCTCACCTCAGCCTCCTGAAGTAGCTGAGACCATAGGCACACACCATTACACCCAGGTATTTTTTTGTATTTTTAGTAGAGACAGGGTCTCCCCATGTTGCCTAGTCTGGTCTCGAACTCCTGAGCTCAAGCAATCTGCCCGTCTTGCCCTCCCAATGTGATGGGATTACAGGCATAAGCTACCACACCTGGCCTTATGTGGTTGATTTTAGATGAGAATAATGTATATTCTGTTGTTTTGGGGTGGAGAGTTTGTAGAAGTCTATCAGATCCATTTGGTCTTATCTTGAGTTCAGGCTCTGAATATTTTTGTTAATTTTCTGCCTCGATGATCTTTCTAATACTGTCATTGGAATGTTGAAGTCTCTCATTATTATGGACACTATTAAAAATTCAAATGCTGTTTTTTGACTTTCTGGTAATAGCCAGGCTACAGAGGAAAGGGAAGGCTGCAGAGGAAAGGGGATGCTTAAAAATTTCTAGTCACTGTGGAAAGCAGCTTGGAGATTTCTCAAAGAACTTAAAACAGAGCTACCTTTTGACTCAGCAATCTCATTACTGGATATATACCCAAAAGAAAAGACACATGCACTTGTATATTCATCACTGCACTATTTACAATAGAAAAAACATGAAGTCAACCTAGATGCCCATCAATGATAGTCTGGATAAAGAAAATGTGGTATATATACATCAACGAATGCTATGAAAAGTTACCTTTTACAGCCAAACCATATCACAACACTCCCTCCCTTAAAATTCTTCAACTATTTTCTTACTTTACTTAAATAAATTTCAAACTTCTTTCCATGGTTTACAACTTCCCATGTGTTCCCCTGATTTCATCTCTAATTCTGCTGCTTCACATCTACTCTCTAGCAATTCTGGCATTCTTGTTGTTCCTCTGACAGACCAAACCCATTTATTTTTAGGGAATTTCCATTTGCTATTTTTCTCTACTTGGATTTGTTTTTCTCAGCTATTTAAATGGTTGGAAGCTATTCATTATTCTTTCATGTCTCTGCTCAAATGTCATCTGTTTAAAGGGATTTTTGACCATCCTGTATCCTAGTTCCCCTTTATTCATTTAAACAGAATATTATCTTTATGGCACTTGTCATCATCTCCAGCCTTTAAAAAAATATTGTGTTAATCTCCCTTCCATATAAAGTGCAAGTTCTATGAATGCTGAAACTTATTCACTGATACATCCTCAGAGGCCAGAGCCATCCCTAGCTTAATAGTAAAAAAAAAAAAAAAAAAAAAAAAAAAAGGTGTTCTTTTCGTGAATAACCAAATATAAGTAGGCATTTCTGAATTTAAATACTGGATCAAATTGGACTTTTAACATAACTTTGGAAATCTTATAGACTATAACTATACAAAACAATGTAAATTAATTTTAATTTTCATATAATCTGTGCTTCATTTAAAAAAATACAGTTAAGTTACCCTGGTTCATCAATGACATAAGAAGAAATAGCCTTTCACTGGCTATAAAATGTCACAAAGTTTTCAGTGTATTTATTGTCTGCCTAAGACAAGAGAGAAACTCACTGGTAATTATAATCCCGTATTTCTAAAATGTCACCTAGATTTTCCAAATATGTGAAATTAAAGCTGCATATCCCTGTGCAAAACAATGATATTGAGACAAACAGAGGCTCACTGTTTCTTTTCAACCTGTCCTTGAAAATCAGACAAAAAGTTGTCAACCCTGCTGTAAAGGTGCCCTAGAATACCTTGACAATTAAGCCACTCAAAGCTGAGAATAACAGTGAAATTGACTGATTCAGCAGGATACCACTCTTCCCAGACAGGTGTGACCAAAGTAAGAGTTTCTGCAAATCTGCTGAGGAGGATGCATTTTTCCATCGTGAATAATTACATCAACTGTTGCCCCAGGAGGGGAAGATAAAGAAATTCAATATTCTAGATACAGGATAATGACTTATTCACATTTGAAAAACCTATAGTCATGCTGAGAAGTGGGTTCCTATGTTTTGGTTACAGAAACTAAACACATTTTCTAATCAAGGGAATACTTTTAAATTCTGGCACACCAATCACACTTTGGAAAGGACCAACTCTCCATATTATAGTACTGAAAATACACAATATATACACTACAGAAGCTGATCCAATTATATGGCCAAAACTCAGTGAGTCTGTCTTTGGTTATATATGCTAATTTTAGTTCACCACATATTTACTTAGCATCCACTGTTCCAAGCATCGAGGTTAAGGAGGTAAATAATGTCATGTCCTTTTTCTGGGAAGCTGTTTCAAAAGGGATTATTTAACTACTGTGCAGCAAGTACCAAAACAAGAGTTTGGTTGTCTTGAATAACAATCAACATATATGGAGGGGTCACAGAAGATATCCTGGAATAGTGAACACAACAGAAAATGTACAAGGTTTGAGATAATATTACAGAACAAAACACTAGCCTTGAAACATAAATCAACAAAGAAGAAAAGGGTATTCTAGGAAATGGTAATAACATGTTTAGATGCCTAATGTGTCGTCAGATTTAAGAGTGAATTAATCATTTGTACACCAGTGAAAGATGTTGCATAATTTCCATGTGATGCAGTGAAATAAAAAGCTTCCATACTGTTGGAAGGTAAAGTTCTAAGCAGAGTTTAGTGGAACATAAGACTTGACTGATAATCTTGGGTAGGTCTAAAAGGCCTTTACACATTAGTTGTGATTAGTGGGAAAATCAAAATTATTGAAAAACTTCCACTTTGGAAATCTGGTTGTTATCCACCTATAACACCATATCCTAGCCATCTGTTGTTATAAACTTAGTTGCATTGAAGTGGAGGTTCTTAATCTTATAGCTAAGGAAAGAGAACACTTGGTCATGGCTGATAAAAAAGGAGATAGCTGGCTGGCAGCAGTGGCTCACACCTGTAATCCCAGCACTTTGGGAGGCTGAGGCAGGTGGATAGCCTGAGGTCAGGAGTTCGAGACTAGCCTGGCCAACATGGTGAAATACCATCTCTACTAAAAATACAAAAAATTAGCCAGGCATGGTGGTGGGCACCTGTAATCCCAGCTACTCAGAAGGCTAAGGCAGGAGAATCGCTTGAACCTGGGAGACGGAGGTTGCAGTGAGCCGTGATCATGCCATTGTACTCCAGCCTGGGTGACAGAAGGAGACTCCATCTCAAAAAAAAAAAAAAAAAAAAAAAAAAAAAAAAAAAAAAGAGATAGCTTGGCAGAACAATGATTCAAAGGGCATACCTGCCTACCACTATCCTGTTGATTACTAGCAAGTTGAATTCCCTGCAAATGAAGTCCACAGACAGTCAAATCGGGCTTTATGAGATAGTAGTCCCAGAAAACTGTAAGACTGGCAAATTGGAACTCTGCTATATTTTTTACTAGATGATAAAACTCACTGAGGCTAGAGACTGTGGAAACTTTGACCACCATCTTATAACTAGTACCTAAATCAATACCCAGCATATTATAAGGACTCAGAAAATAATTGTTGAATGAATGAATAAATCAAAGACCTTATAAATGAAATTAAGTTGAAATTGAAAAGATAAGTAGGAGATTTTGAGCCCTCTGTCAAAAAATAAACTATTGGTAAATTTCTGGAGCTGAGGGACAGTAAATACAGAGGGAATTGTGAGATTAGTACAGTTCTAGTGGTCTTGGACATTTCAGGAGAGGAAAATACGTTTGCAATAAACCCTACAGAAGAAAAAAGAGAGGTTCAGTGTAAAACAGAACACTTGGTGCCACTGTGCTAGTATGGAGGGCTTATGGAGATAGTGAGTATGAAAATGTACCAATCTTCATAGATGTATGACTTTTCCTCACAATACCCAGTAGCCTAGATATGGAAAAGAGAGTTATATTCAAATGATTCAAATTTGTTCTAATACTGTTTCCATTTCAAAATTCTAAGAAGTGATTACCAGAGGTATTTAAATTTGAAAATATGATATCAATAGTGTGTATTTTAGATTGGTAAAATTATAAAATAATTCAGTAGAAAAGTAAAATACTTCTTTGTAAACAATTGTTAAAAGAAAAACTTCTGGTGAATTACATTTAAAGAAGTTTAATTGATCAATGAACCATTCACGAATTGAGTAGCCCCCAGAATTACAGCAGATTCAGCCAGACTCCCATGCAGCCATGTGGTGGAAGAAGATTTATAGATGAAAGAAGGGAAGAGACATACAGAAATTGGAAGTGAGATATAGAAACAGCTGGATTGGTTAGAGGTTGGCATTTGCCTTATTTGAACACTTAGCAATGTATGAGTGGTTGAAGTATGGCTGCTGCTATTGGCCAAGACTCAGCTATTGTTACAGGCACATACTTCTAAGTTAGGTTTTCAATCTTGTCTGCCTATTAAGCTAGGTTACAGTTCATCCACAAGGACTCAAATATAAAGGTACAGAGTCCTTGTCAGGCTTTCACACCATTTATTTTAAATAGATGTTTAGGAATGAGAAGTTTATTATTAAAGAACTTAAGAACTTCTAAAGAAGATTATCTTATGCTTTTACTTTATTTATTTGTAGCCCATGACTTTATTTCTTGGAATAAAAGATTTATATTTCCTTGAAAAAAATTGGAGTACTGTTGTATACAGTAGATACACTAGGGGTGATAAATGTTTCCTTGAATATAATTATTTAAGTGCAATTTTTTAAATCTTAAAAAGTATTTATTTTATATACTGTTAAAATAGACATAATATTAGGAAAGCTGTATATTAGGCTTTTATGTCCTTTTTATACAGTTGTACTTGTACTTTGGTAGTTTTTAAAATGTTGGTCCTGTGGCTTGCTCATGTCCTAAGATTTAATAGTGAATTAATCATTCGTACACCAGTGGAAGATGGCTTAATCAATATCAGAAATATAGCCTTTACTAAAACAACATACACTTTGAATAAACCCCTCTTATGAACTGAGAGTCATATTTCTTAAAACATTAAACCAATAGCATTAAATTTGGTTTGGAATAAGAGTGATCTCAGAATCACATCTGACCAGTCTAACCCAAAATGTGCCCATCTATACATTCACATCTATGCAATAAACTCATCTAATACATTATTAACACAGGTTGAAAATAATAATGGACCAAGAATTAATTTTTTATGTGCAATATGAATCTTCAGTCTTGTACTTCACGAGAAGCAAATGAAATTTTCTAAACCAGCCAAGAGATTGGATGCAAAAATGATAAAAACATGGAATCTAATTTCAAACAATTTCTTAGTGAAATCAACTTACTGAAATGGTTCAGAACAATAATGACACTTACAAATGTATAGTGAATAGAACAATACGCACGAAGGAATCATCACCTTAACACTGGTTTGCTTTTTGAGCAGCTTTTGAGCAACATTCTGCTTTGTTGAATCCTGTCTTTACAATGTAGGGTCCATTTCCCAAAGTTCTTAAAGGAGGCAATTAAGATGTTGCAAGAAGTTCAAATATTTACAACTAGACAGTTGCTTGCTGTTTTAAAGTCTTATTTTGATAAAAATTAATGCTTAGCATTATAGTATCTTGCAAACCCTTGTCTCCATTCTTTACCCATAAGAAAGCATAGGAATATATGTGATATCCCCGAAATCACCACGATGGGAGGGTTCTTGAAACATAGTTCACATTTTCTTTATTGAACTGAGATTTCTATTTTCAAAAAAAATAAAAAAAATACACACACACACACACACACGGGAAACACAATCCTCATCTACATACATATGTATATGTAAATAATTTTTAGAGAGAGCACACTGCTGCTTCCAAGCGCAAACTTTAGAATGTTTCCTATATGGCAGCAAGAACCACAGGATCCATGAAAAGCTAAGGCTTTCTGTTGGCTGTGTCATATGTTCCCAGTGCTTTGAAGAATGAGTGGTATGATCTAGGCCCTTTATAAGGATTCAATTAATGTTGCCAAATGTGTCTTCATTTGGATGCAAACAGCTGAAAACCAAAGAGCATTGAGTTTTCATCATTTTTGTTTGACCCACTATATATATAACACTAATACTCTTTTTGGAAAAGTTATGTTATCCAGAAGAGTCATGCAATGATTTTTCTAAGAAATAAATTTTTGAGTTGTGGTTCATGTAGAAATCACTTGTCTTGAACACTTTGTACTGTTTAAATGCATATATTTTGGAAAGTGCCTTAATACTTAATTCGAGAGTAGATTTGTCACTGGCTAGTTATGATATGTACTCTTAAGCGAGAAATTTCTCTCCTTGACCAAACGTAAGCCAGGCTCTTCTGAGCCCTTTTCTTGACTAGGCCTCCACGTTTGCTATAAAGACTTGAAAAAACATTAACATAGGTTCTAACAGCTCAAGGCCACATCCCTAACATAATTCAAGCCCCCGTTAACGTGCCTGCCTGAGAAGACTCAAGTCTGGCCCCAAAATTTTACAGTTGATTTCAGCCAACACCTGAGGATAGGGCCTCTGTCTTCCCGTCTCTGTGTGAGGATAGAATACTAACTTTGATAATTGCTTGCTGGCAGACAGAGCTAGCTTAATACCATTTACTCTGGGTGACCCTTTGTAATTTTTCACTTCCCTGATTCAACTGATCCCTAACTCTCTCCTCTCCCTATTCCCTCATTCTTAATTTAAATACTCACTAATTTCTATACAAATTGAAGCTGAGTTCAGTCTACACTGGAGACTTTTTCTTCTATACAAATTAAAGCTGAGTTCAGTCTATACTGGACAATTTTTTCTATTGCAATAGTTATTATTAAAATCTTTCCATATCACTTGAGAGTGCAGATTTGTGTATATTTGAAACAAGCTATCATTTAACATTTTAGGGTCTCAGTTTCCTCATTTGTAAAGTGTGGATACTAATTACTAGTATACAGTTTTATAGGATTGTTGAGAGGGTGAAATAATACATGCCATGCACCTTGTCCAGTTGTCAAACAGAAATTAGAAATGCTTCTGCCATTTTCCTTTTTCTTTGCCCATGGTGATAAGTTTTATATGACAATTCCAAACATGAATTTTCATAAAACCAGACAGTAAGTAGTATGTCCAACTGGCTTCCAGAATATTGAAACAATACATTACACACCATCCACTCAAATGCATTTAGATTGTCCTGAGCACATTTTCATATTTTCTCAATAATGAAATAAGTGCCTGTCTCTCATTCTCCCCCTACCACCTTTATGTATGGTCATAGTACTACACATTTTCAAGTTTTATATGCTAGGCCTAATGCATCATGTCTTTTGCTCCTTAACAGCAGAATAAATATTTAGAAGCAGGATATATGCCTGAATTTCCAAGAGCATTCAAAAATAAGGGTCACATAGAGAAGGTCACGAATGTGTTCTGTGCCGAGTCCCCCATTGAACTACTAGGCAGAACAAGTGTGCTAGCTCTGTCTTCCTAGACTCAGAAGAGTTGTCTACGGACAACACCATAGATGGCATCTTCAACAGTCATGTATGGTGGACAGCATGGACTGTCTACGAAATTGCTTTAGGTAGACACGCACCCACTGATTCTCTTCTCTCATATTGCTGATTCTGTATCCTAGCTTCTGATTTCTGCTTTTGAACTCTTATGATTTTAAGTTCAAGTTATGCTTCCCTCTTTTCTCTACTAGAATTCCCATTCAGCATGATGGACATTGCTAATGTTAATGTTCCCTCTGCACGGACTTCCTTTAACTGCCTGAAAATGCAGACTGTTTGTCTCCTCTTCCAGAAGAAAAAACCGAGGCAGGAGTAGATGAAGAGCTGTGATGGACAGAATAACCATTTTCTGATTGTGATTTTCCTAAACTCAGATAATAGTTAGAGGGAAAAGAGAGAGAAAATAGATGTACAGGTAAGCACCTGGATAGTGCACAGGAGAAATGTGAGAATGCCATGATTGATCCCACAATCATCTAGCAATGAGGATTATATAATGGTGAGAAGACTTTCCCTTTGCAGTGTTGTTATTTAAATAGTTAATAACTTTTATTTCATATTATATTATTTGTGTTCCATAACGCTTTTGGAAGTTTAAAATCTGGATATTTATTTAGAAAGGAATACTTATACTTCACTTACAAACTGGGTCGATACATGATATTATAAAAAATATTAGAGTAAAGGCTCACTGGCTTCTATTCTACTTGTTTAGAGTTTTTTGTTTTATACTGTTGTTTATATGGTTTCTCTATATCCATAGATCATCCAGTGATTCAGGCACAGTGAATGAAATGGGAATCGAGTTATCAGAATTGGGGTAAAAGTATCTTGTGAACAGATAACATTTTATTATGAGGACTAAGGCATAAATTTAAAGACTGTTTAACAAGTGGTAGCTGAGTTTCAGATTATTGGGCTAAAATTCTTTCAGCTCCTGTTGAATTTGACAGGCTATATTAAATTGAGAGAGGGTCTGAAGCATGATAGGGAATGTGCTGTGACTTGACCTCTGCTGTAGACAAGAGGTGGTATTAATGGGAACACAGAAAATCCTATCAGTTTTCTATGAAATGTGGAGGCAAATCATGAAAAGGATTAATAAACATAATTCCAAGAGCATGTATTCACTTTGTGTCTCTGCGTTATATTTTGGTAATTCTTGAAATATTTCAAGATTTTCATTAATATTATATCTATTATGATGATCTATAATCAGTGATCTTGATGTTACTATAATAATTGCTTTGGGATGCCAGAAACCACTTCCATTAAAGATGGCAAGCTTAATCAATATATGTGTGTGTTCTGATTGCTCCACCAAGTGGCCATTTCCCTGTCTCTCTTCCCTCCCTGGGCCTCCCTATACTCTGAGACACAACAATATTGAAATTAGGCCAATTAATAACCCTACAATGGCCTCTAAGTGTTCAAGTGAAAGAAAGAGCTGTACATCTCTCACTTTCAGTCTAAAGCTAGAAATGATTAAGCTTAATGAGAAAGGCATGTCAAAAGCCAAGACAGGCCAAAAGTAAAGCCTTCTGTGACAAAACTTTAGCCAAACTGTGAGTGCAAACGCACAATTTGTGAAGGAAATTAGAAGTGCTACTCCAGTGAGCAGATGAATAATAAGAAAGTGAAACAGCTTTATTGCTGATGTGGAGAAAGTTTTAGTGGTGTAGATAAAAGATCAAACCAGCTACAACATTCCCTTAAGCCAAGGCCCAATACAAAGCCTTAACTTCCTTTAATTCTCTGAAGGCTAAGAGACATGAAGAAGCTTCAGAAAAAATGTTTGAAGGTAGCAGAGACTGGTTCATGGCATTTAGGAAAATAAGCCATTTTCATAACATGAGAGTGCAATGTGAAGTTCCAAGGGTAGATGCAGAAGCTGCAGCAAGTTATCAAGAAGATCTTGCTAGTATAATAGATGAAGGTAACCACTAAATAACAGATTTTTTTGTTGTAGATAAAACAACCTTATATGGGAAGAAGATGCCATCTAGGACATTTGTAGTTAGAGAGGAGAAGTCAATACCTGGCTTCAAAGCTTCAAAAAACAGGCTGACTCTTTCATTAGGGATTAATGCAACTGGTGACTTTAAGTTGAAGGCAATACCCATTTACCATTCCAAAAATTCTAGGGCCCTTAATAGTTATGCTAAATCTACTCTGCTAGTGCTCTGTAAATGCAAGAACAAAGCCTGGATGACAGTACATCTGCTTATATCATGGTTTACTAAATATTTTAAACTCACTGTTAAGACCTACTGCTCTAACAAAAAAAAAAGAGATTCCTTTCAAAATAGTATGCTCATTGACAATGCAATGAGAGAACCAAGAACTGTGATGAAAATGTACAAGGAGATCATTGTTGTTTTCATGCCTGCAAACACAGTATTCATTCTGGAGTCCGCGGAGTGAGAAGTGATTTTGACCCTCAAGTCAAAAAAAAAAAAATCAGTTTTATAGGGCTACAGCTGCCATAGATAGTGAGTTGTCTGATGAAACTGGCAAAACAAATTGAAAGCCTTCCAGAGAGGATTCATGATATCTAAAATATATTTTAAATATCATTTAAGAACATTTGTGATTCAAGGGGGAAGGTCAAAATATCATTAATAAAATTTGGAAGAAGTTGATTCCAACTCACATGGATGACTCTGAGGGGCTCAAGATTAGTGAAGGAAGTCACTGCAAATGTGGTGGAAATGGCAAGAAAACCAGGATTAGGAGTGAGCTGTGAAAATGTGACTGAATTGCTGCAATCTCATAACAAAATTTGAATGGATAAGGAATTTCGTTTGATGGATGAGCAAAGAAAGTGGTTTCTTGAGATAAAATGTACTCCCAGTGAAGATACTGTGAATATTGTTGAAATTTAGAACAAAGGATTTAGAATATTACATAAACTTAGTTGATGAAACAGCAGCCAGGTTTGAGAGGATTAACTCTAATTTTAAAAGAAGATCGACTGTTGGTAAAATGCTATCAAACAGCATCACATGCCAGGGAGAAATATTTTGTGAAAGGAAGAGTCAATTGATGTGGCAAACTTCATTGCTGTCTTATTTTAAGAAATTTCCACAGCCACCCCAACCTTCAGCAACCACCATCCTGATCAGTCAGCAGCAATCAACACAGAGGCAAGACACTTCGCCAGCAAAAATATTTTGACTCACTAACGGCTTAGATGGTCATTAGCATTTTTAGTAATAATGTATTTTATAATTAAAATATGTACATTATTCTTAGACATAATGCTACTGCACACTTAATAGACTGCAGTATAGTGTAAGCATAACTTTTATATGAACTAGAAACCAAAAACTTTGTGTAACTCACTTTATTATGGTGGTCTGGAACTAAACCCATGATATCGCCAAAGTATGCCTATATATGTACTACAATTTCTTTACCCATTCATACATTGGTGGCTACTTGTTTCCATATCTTGGCTATTGTGAATAATGCTGCAATGAAAAAGGTGTTGCAGATATCTCTTCAAGATACTGATTTCATTTTCTTTGTATATATACCCAGTAGTGGGATTGCTGAATTGTATGGTAGCTCTATTTTTAATTTTTGAGAAATCTCTATACTGTTTCCATAATGGCTGTACCAATGTACACTCCCATAAACAGTGTATAAGAATTTATTTTTATCCACACCTCCACCAGCACTTATTATCTCTTGTTTTCTTGATAATAGCCATCCTACTATGTTTGAGGAGATAGCCCAAACTTTGTTCTTTTTCCTCAAAATGTATTTGCCTATTTGGTGTCTTTCATGGTTTCAAAATAATTTTAGTATTCTTTCTAATCTGTTAAAAGTGTCACTGGAATTTTAATATGGATTGTATTGATCTGAAGACTCCTTTAGGTATTATGGAAATTTTAACAGTATGATTTCTTCTAGCCCATGTTTATGGCATAGTTTTCCATTTATTTGAGTCTTCCCCAATTTCTTTTTAATCAATGTCTCATAGTTAGTGTACAGAGCTTTCTCCTCCAATTAAATTTACTTCTAAGGATTTCATTATTTTTGATGTCATTATAAATGGAATTTTTAATCTTTATTACTTTTTCAGAGAGTTCATTGTTAGTGTATGGAAACAAAAGTGCTTTTTGTATATTGATTTTTATTTATTTATTTATTTTGAGATGGAGTCTCGCTCTGTCCTCAGGCAGGAGTGCAGTGGTGTGATCTCAGCTCACTGCAACCTCCACCTCCTGGCTTCAAGCGATTCTCCTGCCTCAGCCTCCCGAGTAGCTGGGACTACAGGTGCAAACTACCATGTCCAGCTAATTTTTGTATTTTTAATAGAGACAGGGTTTCACCATGTTGGCCAGGATGGTCTCGATCTCTTGACCTTGTGATCTGCCCGCCTCAGCCTCCCAAAGTGCTGGGATACAGGCGTGAGCCACCGCGCCCGGCCATATTGATTTTTTTACCTGAAACTTCCTGATTTTATTAGTTCTAACAGTTTTTTGATGGACTCTTTAGGGATTTTATATATAAGATTATGTCATCTGCAAACAAGCAATTTAACTCCTTTTTCAATTTGGATACCTTTTATTTCTCTTGCATAATTGTTCTGGCTGGGACTTTCAGTACTATGTTGAGTGAAAGTGATGAGAGTGGGCACCCTTGTCTTATTTCTGACGCTGGAAAAATTTTTCAGCTTTCACCACTGAGTGTGATGATAGATGTCGGCTTGTTACATATAGCCTTTATTATGTTGAGGTACATTCTTCTATCGATAATTTGTTAAACATTTTTATTATGAAAGGATGTTGAATTATGTCAAATGCTTTTTCTGAGTCTATTGAGATGATCATATAATTTTTATACTTCATTCTGTTAATATGTTCTATCATATTTATTGATTTGCATATACTGAACCATCCTTGATTCCCAGGAATAAGTCCCACTTAATCATGGTGTATGATACTTTGAATATGCTGTTGAATTTTGTTAGTATTTTATTCACCATTTTTTTAAATCTATGCTCATATGGGATACTGTCCTGTAATTTTCCTGTATAGTTTCATTACCTGGCTGTGCTTTGAGGGTAATGCTGGCCTCATAAAAATCAGTTTGGAAGTGTTCTCTTTTTGCTATAGTTTGAATGTTAGACCCTTCAAACCTCATGTTGAATTGTAATCCCCAGTATGGCAGTGTTAGGAGGCAGAGCTTGGTTGGAAGTGTTTGGATCATGATGATGGATTCCTCATATATGGTTTGTTGCCATTCTTGAGGTAGTAAATTCTTACTCTCACGAGACTGGATTGGTTCTTTGGAGGAAATGGATTAGTTCTCAAAATAGTAAATTTTTTTTTTATTTTTTTATTATTATTATTTTTTACTTTATTTTTTTTATTATTATACTTTAAGTTTTAGGGTACATGTGCACATTGTGCAGGTTAGTTACATATGTATACATGTAAATTTTTAAAAGGAGTCTCACACCTCCCCACCTTTATCTTGGTTTCTCTCTTACTTTGTAATCTCTGTACATAAATGCTTTCCTTTGCCTTCCTCCATGAATAGAAGTAGTGTGAGACTTTTGCCAGAAGCAGATGCCAGCACCATGCTTCGTATACAGGCTGCAGAACTGTGAGTCAAATAAAGATCTTTTTTTTTTTTTTCCTTCTGAGACAGAGTCTCACTCTGTCACCCAGCCTAGAGTGCATCGGCACAATCTCGGCTCACTGCAACCTCCGCCTCCCAGGTTCAAGCAATTCTACTGCCTCAGCCTCCCAAGAAGCTGGGATTACAGGCTCCTGCCACCATGCCTGGCTAATTTTTCTTTTTCTTTTTTTTTTTTTTTGTTTGGATTTTTAGTAGAGACGGGGTTTTGCCATGTTGGCCAGGCTAGTCTCAAATTCCTGACCTCAGGTGATCCATCCATCGCAGCCTCTCAAAGTGCTAGGATTACAGGAGAGAGCCACCACGCCCAGCCTCATCTTTTCTTTACTACCCAGCTATAAGTGTTCTTTTACAGTAACACCAATTGACCTAAGACACTTCTTCAATTTTTGGAAGAGTTTGAGAAGGACTGACATTAGGTTATCAATTAAAAATTTAGTTTAAATGTTTGGAAAAATTTAGCAGTATAGCCATCAGGATCATGTCTTTTCTTTGGTGTGAAGTTTGTTTGTTTGTTAAGAGGAGAATTGTCTTAGATCCAGAGGTTAGAAGACTGAGATCAGATGGTAGGATTGGTTCTTTCTGAGGGAGGTGAGGAAGAACCTGTTCCATGTGTTTCCCCCTTGGTTTCTGGTGGTTTATTGGCAGTCTTTGTTTGGTGTTTCTAGACTTGCAAAAGCATCACTCAATCTCTGATTTCCTTTTCGCAAGGTGTTCTACCTGTGTTCCTGTCTCTGTATCAAATATTTCTCTTTTTATAAGAACTCCAAGAATACTGAATTATGTACAAGAATATAACTTTTATAATTTTTATTTAAATCAGGGATTGATAATTTTTTCTGTAAAGTTAGATCATAAATACTTTAGGCCTTGTAGGTATCATTTGGTATCATGGCATCTTCTTTTTTAAAAAAAATTCTCAAAAAATATAACCATTCTTAGCCTGTAGGCCATTCAAAAACAGGCTCCACTGGTGACATTTGGCCTGAGTGCCATGTAGCTTGAGGAACCCTGCTCTAAACTGACATTTTGCGTTTGTCATTATTTTATTTTAGATTATTCATGTATGGTTACTAGTGAGATAGATAGCCGGCAGTTTTTCTCTCTTACTGTGCTTCTCTGGTTTTGACTTCAAAATTAAGTTAGAGAGATGGAATAAGATCTAGTGTTCAGTAGAACATAGAGTGACTATATTTAACAATAATTTAGTGTATATTTCCCACTTACTCTGATTTGATCATTACACTTGTAAAAAGCAGATAAGGAGAGAAGAATTAAAATCTATCACTATAAGAATTAAATAAATCACAAAGGAATACAGAGAGATTGGAAGAAAGAAATAACAGAACTATAAAGCAGTCAGTAAACAATTAGAAAAATAAGAATAGTAAATCTTTACATATCAATAATTACTTTATATGTAAATGAATTATTCAATCAAAAGACACACAGTGGTTATGTGGATTAAAAAAAAAAAAAATCACAAGATCCAACAATATGCTGCCTACAACAGCCCACTTTAGCCTTAAAGTTGTATACAGGCTGAAAATAAAGTGATGAAAAAAGTTATTCCATGCACATAGTAACCAAAAGAGAGTGAAGGTAGCTATATTTATAAGCAAACAAAACAGATTTGCACTGAAAATCTGTTACAAGAGGCAAAGACAATCACTATATGATGATAAAAGGTTCAATTCATTGTAAGTTGTAATAATGGTATATATATGTGCAATTATATATATCTTATATAATTGCACATATATATGTGCAATTATATATAAACACACATATGTAAAATGTTGGGAATAAACATACACACATGTATATGTACAATTATTGTACTGCAGCACCTAAATATGTAAAGCAATAGTAAGGAACTTTAATACCCCATTTTAAACCTATAGATCTCTTCTTAATTCACTGTTTTTCTCTCAGTCACTGTTCAACTGCACTAATGACTGAAAAATTCATCTTGTAGTGCCTTATCGAATATGGCATTTACTTTGAAAGTTCATCCACAGTCTTTCAGCTTAGATTCCAGCATTTCCCAACTTATAAAGTATTTTACCAAATTAAAGCCATATCTTCTCACAATTAAAGTGATAATGCATTCATTTGTGGTCTCTTGAAGAGCTCAAAGTATTTGAAAATATATAGTATTTCTGTTCATTCTCAAGTTACTGATTTCCCTAAAACAATTAAACTTTTCATCTGGGCTAACTAAAATGGTCACTGTTTGTTATTTACTTGTAAATTTAAATATATGTGTCCCAGTTAGTTTGATAATTAACATTGGTTTAATGTTAAAGTCTTACATTTCCTTTCTGCAAACTATATGTCCCTTTTAATAAAAATTTTTTGATGATAAGTAATTTCATATTGGAAATATGAAAAATGGCATCTGGTAAGCCAAGCATAGTCACATCAAGTCAAAAACAGTTCTAGAACTGAATCTCACTTAAAAATAAGTATTTAAAATAAAAATAAAATCAAAACAGAGTAAGGAATTTCAATCATTTGTATATTGCTCAAAATTTCAGATGGATATAATAAATAATGTTTAATATTTTCAGTGGAAAGTAATATAACATTTTGTAAGACAATTAACAATTTAAAAGATTTATATTAAATGTATTGTTTCTATTAAAATATAACTTTTTGTTTTCTATCATGTAAGACCTAAATTCTCATTACTAGGTTTACTACCTCTTGGAAACCCAAACTGCTTAAGTCATTTTCGCACAACTATTTTTCTTATTAAAAAAGAAATAAGTGCTTACCTAAAACATTTAGAAAATTATAATATGAGAGGAAAATTTAACCATATATTCTGCCACCATTCAAATACTATTAAAATGTAGGTATGAGACCTAGCATAAGTCTGATAGGTATATATCCTACCAGAATATTTTGTTTATAGTCTAAATATTTTAACATTTTTTTCTTACCCTATTTTCTTTTAAAAGATAATATCTACCAATAATATTTTCCATATTTTAGCATATTTGTTTAAAATATAACAATGTATGGATATAATTTTGTGCTATAGAAATACTTACACACTTACCTATTAAACTTGATCTCTAATTTGTGGGAGACCAAGATATTTCCAAAGTTCTACTCTATGACAATGTGATGTATTCTTGCCTCATGATTAATATAATTTACTCAAGAAAAATGACCAAAAGTGGGACGCTGAACCATAAGTTATCAAAAAATCAAAACCTTTTGTTTGTTAAACTTTACTAAATTATTTTACAGAAGTGATTCTGCATTTATTGAAGGAAGGTAATTTCCTGTTTTTCTGCCTTTGTCGAGTATTACTATTATTTTTAAAATCTCTGACAAATTAGTATGTCAAATATAACATCTAATCTTTGTCTTAATTTGCATTTCTGTGAATATTGAGGATGTTTTACATATTTATTTGTATGTGTTTGTATATGTATTTACTTTCAAATTAATTTTTTCTTTCCATTAGCTTATTTTCCAATGGTAAATATATATGATTTAAAATTCATCTGTGTATGTAATAATATTGAAAATTGTTTTGCAGTGTAGTTTTTCATTATCCTTGTGACTTAAAAAATTTTAAGTGTAAAAGCATGAGTATACTTTATGTGGCCAAATCTGCTTCTATTTTCTTACAACAGTAAGTGTAACAGTGCCTTTACTGTCACACTTGAAAGGCACCATCTAATCTATCCAAGATATTTAAGTTCTCTACATATTTTCTAGTAAGTTATTTCCTTACGAATATTTAAATCGTCATCTACTTAAACATTTTTTGGTATGAATATGATTTTAACTTTAAAAATGCCCTTAATTCTATGGTATGACTATGATTCTAATTTTAAAAATGTCCTTAATTCTAATACCATATAAAAATCATATTATCCCATCCATTTGGAAGACCACATTGTTTTATAAAATATTTAAATTAATTTACATCTAATTATATACTTCTTAGTGTAGTCTTTTGCTTTATCTGTGCCTATGCCATATATATACTATTTTCATTCTTATAGCTTCCAGGATATGTTCCTTCTCAATTATCTTCTTCAAAATTTATTTGATGCTTTTGCAGCTTTTTCCCCCTTCTAGGTACATTTGAAAGTTATTCTAATACATTTCATGAATGTATTTTTTGATGATCTTAACCAGTATTATATTTATACATTTACTTGAGATAAACTGATATTGTGATAATGTTGTGTCTTCTCAAAGGAGAATATTGATTATGCTTTTCTAAACATATTTTACTACTAGAATATTGGATATTAGTTACTAAATAACTTTGGAATACTTTTATATAAAGAGAGGTACATTTTTGACCCATGTATATTATTGAGTATGATTCACTATAGTCCTTAATACTGGATTTAGTAAATTTTGTTTCCAAACAGAAACCTGTTAGAAAGCAAAAGATAGTCCCAGTTTTTTGAGAAATATAACTGTTTCTGTCTAAGAAAACTAAAGTTTGGTTAATAAAATAAATCCAAGGACTCAAACGTTATTGTTAAATAAAGAGTAAATCAATGAACAAATATTATTTAAAATCTCTGTCGTGAGTTTTTTCTAATACTAAAAATTTGGATTTTTGCTCTAAGAAAAAGTATGTTAGGAGACCTAAATATGCTTTATTTAAGATGTATTCTCCATACTACTTTCTGATGAGTGATTGAGGAATGATTCTGAGTGTAGCTTTTTTAGTCCGATTGGTATCGGTGATCAGCCTAGTCAATGAGACCTGTACTAATGGATACCTCTTGTTATTTGCTAATCGTGAGACTGTTTAAATGAAAAATGAGCATTCATTCAGTGGAAAGTTGTAATACAAATAATTCACCAATGACTTTATTATCGAATGTTTAAACACAGTCTTTTCATCAATTCCCATCCATGTATGTATAGAAGGATGAAAACGGGTGTGGCTTGTTCTATATATAGGATTTGCAACTTCTGAACTGTGCATATTTTTTTTGATTATGAGAATGACTGACGATTTTGTATTTTCCAAAAAAGTAAAACACTATATCCATGAAACTATATGCTTTTCTTGGATTATTTTGAAATGCGTGGTCCTTAAATTTTCCAGACATAGTTTTGCTCTATTCTTCTAACTGAAATTAATTCTTAAACTTAAAAATTGATATTAAGTAAAAATAAAGTTAGGAGATCCATGTCATTCTGCTGCAAAGTATTTTTTTAAAGTCTTGTACTTGAAGATGCATTCACAAGTAGATACGATGAACTTAATCTGAAGTGTTTTAACCAATTCAAAGTTCCCTGTTATATAGCTATTTTAAAAGGTTATATAAAACCATTTTGTTGCTATAGATTTTGAATTCACATATCACTAAGTTCCACTACAGTGAACTTGTATTATCACTTCATAAAACTCATTCAGCTTCATCATTCCAGCAAAGATATGACAAGGCTGTTTATCAGTAGGTAATAAGACAGATAATTTAACTGTACAAGCTCTAATTGGTCTAATTCACTAACTGACCTCTCACCACTTGATTCACTAGTACAATTGAGCTCTGATAAAGCCTTTAATTGTAAATTGCACACAGCTGTGAGCTGCTTCTCACGCTGGCACAAAAACACTATCATCGACTGTTTCATCTCTGCGACCTGCTAATTTAGAGCATATGTAACTGTTTTTAATGCTGAAGGCTTGACATACCACAAACAGCAGATGTTGCAGCTGCCCCTGAGACGCTTTATTTAATTCAATTACGTCTTTTGGAGATATGTAAAAAAGCTAGGCAAGATGAGAGAGGGCAGGAGAATGTTAAAAATGGAGCCCCTGGTTGAGGCCCAGGTGGCTCGATAGGCAAATGATTGGGTGAATGTCTAAATGATCTTTTTAATTGAGTAGACTGACGGCTAATCAGGGTCATGAAGTGTTATCACACTGATGAGCTGAGTGGAGCCCTGGGCTGCTCTGCAATTAATGCTGCTTTTGTGAAAGGAGAAAAAAGAAAGATAATGTATACCATCTGGCAATTGTTTATGATAAAAGCAGCAGTTTGCTGCAAATTCAAGTTAAATGCTATTCATAACATTATTTTTGCTGCTGCTGAGGGCAAGGACACGAATCCCAGGCCTTTGTCTTACTTCTCATTCTGATTCTCAACCAAAATATTCATTTTCTTTCACGTGTGTTATTATTAATTACTTGGCTGCTTGCTAATGTATGGCCTGAATGCTTCCCTGTTTGATATGCCAATAAAAAGCCCAGCATATACTTTTGGAATCTGTTACAAGTAGTTTCATGCCAATGTATCTGATTACAATAAAACAAAGCAATGGCTAAAGTCACAGCCAAAACTCAGAGAAAAACCGTGAGGTGTTTTTGGGTTTTTTTTGTTTTTTCTTTTTTTGTCCTAAAAGGTTTGTCTCTTTAGTATCTCTGAGATTAATAAAAAGAGGGGAGGATGAAGTTTTAAAAACAATTAAAAAATGTCTGTGTGAAGTGATTTTTTTCCTGCCTCGAGATCAGCATTTGCAAACTTTAAAGCACATTAGGATTATTCAAAAACTGCTCATTTTTTTCTCTTTATCACTTAAGATATATGTAAAAGGAATATCATAAAAATTGATATAAGGCTAAAAACTTAAAGTATTGATTGATTTGTTAACTAAATATGAGGGTTATACAGGAGTTTGTCAGACACAACCATACAAAAAATAGGTTGGCTTTTTATCTTGAATCATCAATGAGACCAAAAGCTTTAGCAAGGTCAACTATGGTTTAGAAAAGACAGAAATGTACCATTTCTTTCAGACACATAGATACAAGACTTTTGTGTCACTGTCACTTCAAATTATCAAAAACTACAAGAGCATATATATTCTGGAGTATAACCTGAGAAAATAAAATGCAACCTAAAATCAAGGAATTAGCTTTAAAGTGGTAAAGTAGATGTAGAATTTAAACACATAAATATAGTTTATGCAGCCACATTCCATCATTTGGAATTTCTTTGGTTGCCTCAGATGTAGCTGAGATGAATGCTGGCTTTAACTGTTATCTGTTAGTTGGAAGAAAATGTAGTGCCCGACCCAGAATCTACTTTCAGAAAGATAAAGGTATCACTAAGTATAATTTATCAAGCATTTATGGAAGTTTCCTACTACATTCTGGACTCTGTGCTAAGTACTGGGAAAACAATGATAATAGACACAGAAATTGCCATTAAGAAAGTAAAAGTCTGGTGGAGGAGAAAGATAAATCAGCAACATTCACTGTAGAGTGCCATGAGGCAAGTAAGGGGCTGTGAGAATTTACAGGTGGAAAAACCGAATCCAGACTTTGAAAAAAGGTAGAGGCGGCTATTAGGGAAAAGTTCCTAGAGAAGATAACATCAAAGGTGGGTGGTAAACATTTGTTAGAGTCTATAGAAGGCTTCACTTTTCTTCAGAATGTGTGAGAAATTGAAAAAAGCTGTTACAGAAAAACCTTCTTATCAAAGAAACGTAAAGTGATGTGACAGAAAGGTCTTCCTGAAACAACCCTAGAAAGGCTCAATAAATACTTGCTAAATAAATACATGGATAAATTTATATAAAGTTAATGCACATGTGACATCAGAGAATAATTTATACTCACAGTCCTCATCTGGGGGTGCAGAGACTTGTCTCCCATAAAGATGACAAAGAAGAGCATTAGTGAACACAATTACTCCACCACACAGAATTACTACAGATATGCAGTAAGATTAATCGTCTGTGTCAATTTTGTCACCTCAAGTAGATTGTGACCTCCATAAAAGCAAGAATGATATTTACATTTTTACATTTCTTCAATTGTTTCTAAAATGACTTCCATAACATTACAGTTGCAGACATGTGATGACTACCTGCACAATATTAGCAAAAAATCTTGGTGGTGGAGGGGCCAACAGTATGGCTACGTAAAGGTGTCTGTTTTCTTCAAAGGGCAGGTTTGTACACGATGATGGTCACGGAGGGGGAAAGGAAAGGGAGCAAACACAAAAATCATAAACTACTCTCAAAGTTACTTAAGATAAAATCAGATCTACTGTTGCATAAGATTTTTAGGAAAAGAATCCAGTTGAAAGTAGCAAAGAAACAAACAAAACACACACACCCTACACAGAAAAAAAACAGTCATTTTGATTTGAAAGAAGCATTAGACCTACCATGTCATATAAATGCAAATGAAAGCTGGATAGTTTCCTTTTAGGAAAACCATGCTGAACAGGTCCTCACTATTAATAACAGAGTCAGCTAGTGGACATAGGATACTTCTTATATACAACAGGACTGGAAAGGAAAAGAACAGAAATAAAAGGTGTCAGGGTTAGAAGTCAACCTCTAGTGCCTGGAATTATAAAAGGCAAGTTTATGTCAAATTATCTGAGGGAACATAGTATTAATTTGAATGATATCCATTAATATCAATACCAATGCTTATTATTTGCCAAGGATTGTGCTAAATGCTTTATTTATTTATGTAAAGATCTGATTTGATCTTTATAACATCCTTTCAGATAGATGTATTATCTCTCAATTTCTTTTTTTTTTTTTAACTTATTTTCAGTTCAGGGGTACATGTGCTGGTTTGTTACACAGGTAAACTTATGTCATCGGGGTTTATTGTACAGATTATTTCATCACCCAGGTATTAAGCCTAGTACCCATTTCTTATGCAGAAATAGAGACACAAGAAGGTCCTATAACTTAGGCAGATTTATAAAGTTAGTAAAGGAAGGAGCTAGGATTTAAACCAACTTCTGACTGCAGAAACCGATACTCTTTAATATACTTTAATGCTTATGTTGGGTAGTGTTTAGACATATGAGAATCATTCTTGAGCTAAACCCTGTTTTTATTTTCTTTATATAGACATAAACGAGTATTTCAAAATTATTTTATTGGTATATTTGGTAATATTCTTTAACTTTTGGCAATACCTGTAGGCTAACCATAAAATATTTATTTATTTAAGGCAGAAAATAGACCTTCTCATGCTCTAAAACTTCCAACAAAGGAAACTCAAAAGATTGCCTGAACAAGGAATCCAATTCCACCGAAGGTTTAGAAAAAGTAGTGGTTTTCTTTCTTTTTCAATATAATCTATTAATCCAATGGAATAATTGTTACTGCACTGACAAAGACAAATAATTTTTTAGTTTATGCTATGTTTTTTTCATGCCATTATGCATTTACCTATTATGTAGCAGGTACAGAAAGTAAAGGGAAATAAGTGATTTTTTTTCCTATTCTTGAGGGGTTTCCAGTATAGTTTAGGAGACAGATATGTAAAGGAATAACGACGATACAAAGACAACTAACACCTGCCTAAATTTGCTTAAAATATGTTCATGATTCCCACATGAACTGATCTTGCTGATCCAGCTAAGTTCCTAAGCACTGCTTGAGGAAATGTCAGAGTTGTGTTCCAAGTGAGAATCTAGCAATAAAAGGCACATGCAGAAAGGGGTGGAAGCTGGGGAAGAGTCCCAGAAAAGCATCCAAAAGCAAATAAGAGGCCAACCCAAGGAGTCCTGTATGGGAAAAGCACATGAAAACAGATTTAATAAATCTCAAGGTCAGTCAACCAAGTGATAGAGAGGGAAGAAAATGAAAGATAGAATTTACACAACATTTTAATGTTCTAGTTCACTGCAGAGGATTGACAGGGGAGCGCAATGCTGAATGTTACAATGCTATGTCACAATAACAATGGAGACTCTATGGGAAAATCATCTAAATCAGGATCCAGTGACAAGAAGGCTCTTCCTACTCTTATATTGCCTTCGTGGAATTATAAATTTTTACTAGAAAGACTGAGAGTCAATAAGTACATTATGTTCGAACACTGTAAGTTTTTTTTCTGTCTATCTATATATCTTTGTCACTTTTCTTGTTAACATTTGCACAAATTTGAGGTGATTCTTCAAGACTCGTAATTTTGCCCACAAAATGCTGTGGGAATCAAGATTCAACTCTGGTAGAATTGTATTAATAACCCAGGAAGTGGGTGATTATTTTTAGGCTATGAGATACACAGAGCCTTTTGGCACTAGGAAAGAAGATGAAAAAAAGAAACCATACTAGTGTGGACTAAATTTCAAAGGGAAGGTGGGCTTCGGGTTGATCTTTGAAAGTTGGGAGCACAGTGGGGAAGAACAAAGGGCTTTGAGACAGTCCTGCCTAAGCTTACACTAGCTGTGCTACATGCATGCTGGCTAACCTTGGACTAGTTATCAAATATCTCTTGTCTCAATTTCCTGATCAATAAAACAGAAAAAATAAAATACCTACCTCATAAAGTTGTTTCAAGGATTAAAGGTGCTGAGGCATTAAGGCTGTTAGCATAGTGGCTGGCAAGTGGTTAACACTCAATAAAGGCTAGTGATTGTTTTTATCCTTATAAGGATTAACAGGGGGAAAAAACATCTAGTTCAGGTGGCATAAACTAAATGTGCAAAACTATTCATGTAGAATGAGAATATGATCTATACAAGGCAGCAAGATCAGACATTCTAGTATAGGGACTACACTGAGACTGAAAAGAAAAGAAAGCATATGGAGGCTCAGAACTTTCAGTGCACACATGTGTCTCATCTCTTCCCATAAATTGCTAACCCTCCACAAATGTCCAAATAGATGCCCTCTTTTAGAAGGCCTGTGAGGAAATTTTACAAGATTTCAGGATGTCCCAATCCTTCACTCATTTGAGATATTTTACACAATCAGTGATTTTATTTCACATGATATAGGCATAGTGAATGAGACGTCACATTTTAGTGGGTTAGGTAGACATTTTAAAAAATGAAAGAACACGAGATTGAGGTAATTTCAGATAGTGGTAACTTCCATGAAGGAAATAAAGTGACTAAATCTAGGGTGGTTGGGGAATGAGGAAAAAGTAGGTAAGTTCGCATGGTCAGGGGAGGTGTTTTTGAAGAGGCAAACTTTGAATTTATATCTGAATAGCTGAAAAAGAAGGTAGCTGTGGATTATCTGGGGATGATTGGATTCAGAGGGAACAGTAAGAGCACAGACTTGAAGGGGAGAATAAATTCGGTCTGTGAAGCAACAGGAAGTCAATATCATTGCCGGAGAAAATTAGTGATTTGGAGTGTTGGATGACATGAGATAAAAAGAGATAGGCAGTAATCAGTTTATATGAAATTTACATGATTATATAATATATACTTATACAGATGACGTATACATATATATGTAGGGGGAGACAGAGAGAATGAGAAAGAGACAGACAGAGAGGCACACAGAGAATTTCAAGCATTTTAAAAACTAAGAAGAGAAAGATCACATATAAATTCCATTTATTGAACTGCCATCACCTGACAGCCAATCGACAAATGCCTCACACAAGTTATTTCATGTATATATCATAGTGATACCATGAGGTAGTATTGTTATCCTTATTTTACAAATGAGAAAGCTCAGACATAGAGAGTGCAAGCAGATTCTAAAGTCACATGTTCATTCCAAATACATTTCTCAAAGTCAGATTTATCTGACCCAACCCATACGCAAATAGTATTGTATCCTTTTTTTTACTAGTTGCAAATATTTCAATTTGTTCCCTTCCGGAAGAGTTTCTAAGCAGCATAAATCACCCACTGTTGATGTGGTTGTGATATGACTTTAGGGAACAAAGTGATATCATAGACATGTTTTATGTCAATTACAACAAAGGTGCAAAGAACAACATAACCTCAGAGGTACAATCACTGAGCACATAGGCCTATTAATATGCGAACACTGCCAGTTACCTAACAGATTTGGCTGACCTGATGTAGCCATGATCCCAAAATATCTTTGATTATGTCTTATGACTAAGGGAATGAAAGAAACTAGGTTTATCCAATTTAGGTTGATCCATTTTTGTGCAGAATATAACAATTTGGTAATAAATGCATCTTGAGTACTCCTCATGGTAAACAGCACAAGCAGATTTTAAAAGTCATTGAAAAACTAACCAGAAGACTAGTTCTCTTATCTTGTACTTTTTTTTTTTTTTTTTGAGATGGAGTTTCTCTTATTGCCCAGGCTGGAGTACAAGGGTGTAATCTCGGCTCACCGCAACTTCCACCTCCCAGATTCAAGTGATTCTTCTTCCTCAGCCTCCCAAGTAGCTGGGATTACAGGCATGTACCACCATGCCAGGGTAATTTTCTATTTTTAGTAGAGATGGGGTTTCTCCATGTTGGTTAGGCTGGTCTTGAACTCCCGACCTCAGGTGATCCACCCGCCTCTGCCTCCCAAAGTGCTGGGATTACAGGCGTGAGTGACTGCGCCTGGCCATCTTATACTGTAAACATGATGTAAGAGCATTTGTAATCCAAAATTCCGAAACCCAAATGCTCCAATATTTGAAACAGCACTGACATGATGTCCAAAGTAAACATTCATTGAAGCATTTTGGATTTCGGATTTTTGGATTACAAATGTTGAACCAGTAAATACAATGTAAATATGTTCCAAAATTAAAAAAAAAAATCAAATATCTGAAATAATTCTGGTCTCAAGTATTTCTGATAAAAGATATTTAACCTGTATAAACCACTTAGAAAAGAGAATATTACGTGTGCCAGGAATTAGCCATGAGCATTATAAAGATTATTTCATTTAAATCTCCCAACACACTATGAGGACATTTTTAGCCATTACATAAATTATTTATGATTCAGTGAGGTTAATTGATACAGGGTCAAAAATATTGTAGATAGTAAGTCAAGAAGAAATGTGTTTCCTTGAGTTTGAATCACATAAGCTTCTCTTTTTACCACTTTATGAAATAAGCTATATTAGGACTAGGATAATAGAGTGGAAGACTTTCCCATCATTCATTCTTCTTTTTTCTATAAGAACAGAAAACCATCCAGTCTTCCATTAAAGCAACAATATGTGATGAGACTTGAAAATGATATCAGGAATAAATGATCAATTTATTGCCTCTCAGCTCCAAATGTATCCTTTTTGCCTACTCTGTGAAAATAAATTTGGGCCCTTTAAATATTTTTCTATTACCAGCTGGCACAATATGAATTAAGCTTTATCACTAATGGGAAAAAAAAAGTTTTCTTTTTGGCTCTGGTGTGTTCAGTAGCAAGGCCCCACAGAGCTTGGCTTCTCCAACACCAAGCTCTTTTAAGGTAGGGAGATTCTCCAGCCTTGGCTCCCACAGCTTCCCCAGAGCCCGGCTCCTGAAGTGCATAGCAGCCAGCAATGCCAGCATCCAGAAGTTTCCCTGGTCATCTTCAGAAGGCTTCGTTGCCCAGTGCCTCTGGTGAAATACCTTCCTGTGAACACTTCCCAGTATCCGAGAGGGCTGATTTCCAGCAAGTTCTGTGGGCAGGACACTGTAACAACTGGTTTGTCCACCAGTGAGCTACAGCTGTGCCCTCCACAGCAAGGTCTTAATTTCAACCCTGGAGCAGAGTGGGAGATGCCTCTTCCTAAGGAAAATGTCTTCTTATATCTGCACTCATTATGTTCCTTAGAGTTCTCCTTACTTCTTACTAGGCAATCTCTCAATATTTCGATCCTCTGCACTAGTCAATAATTATTTTTATTAAACTTTCCTTATGGAAATTCCTGTGTGGTTTCTCTCTCCTGATTTGACTTACACTAATACAGAGAACAACGTATTTTTTTTTAATTAGAATGTCAATGTGGCTTTAAATGCCATTTCTAAATAAGTATACACATTGTTGTTGTGTTGTTCTAAGTGTCATATTCATCCTTTGATTTACTCATCAAATATTTATTGTGCACATTCTAAGTGCTGCAGATAAAAGATATTAATTATGATATACTCCTAAACTCAAATAAGGGTCTGGGTTTACCCCAAAATAACAATTATGTGGTGTGATAAGTACTGCAGAAAAGGCATGCAAATTGCTATACAACTCAGTGATATAAGTTTTTTTGTTTTTTTTTTTTTTGACAGTCTCGCTTCGTCACCCAGGCTGGAGTGCGTGATCTCAGCTCACTGCAACCTCTGCCTCCTGGGTTCAAGCGATTCTCCTGGCTCAGCCTCCCGAGTAGCTGGGATTACAGGTGCGCCCCACCACACCTGGCTAATTTTTGTATTTTTAGTAGAGGCGAGGTTTCACCATATTGGTCAGGCTGGTCTCGAACTCCTGACCTCATGATCCGTCTGCCTCAGCCTCCCAAAGTGCTGGGATTACAGGCGTTAGCCACCATGCCTGGCCAGAAGTTTTATAGCTCACTTATTTAAGCAAATCACCCACAGGACATAGAAGATGGTATGGAGTAGTAGGAAAGCCCTGAAATAGGAGGCAGAATGTCTAGGTCTCAGCTTCTTGTGTGAACTTAGATAAGTCTCATTATCATCTTTGCTTTTTATCAGTTAACTGGGGGATAATGTATGGGGAAAATTAAATGTAATATAATATTATATTACATAGAAATTACCTGCCACAGCATCTGGCTATGATGCAATAAAAGTTAACAACAAATAAACTTACCACTCCCCAGTAACATTACAAATTTGTAAGAATCCAACTAAAATAATAATATATTTGAAAACACTTTGTACAGTATAACGTACTATCTGAAGGGATGACATAGTTATTCCATATATAATATTAAATAAAATGCTGTTACTTCATTGGAGTGGGCTGGACAAATGTAGGGAACAGATGATAGCAAGAAGATCTGGCAAACACTGCATGATGAGTTGAAGAGTCACTACAGAAACGAGGTTAGGGACAAAACTTTTTCCAAGGCACACTGAAGTATGCCTTCAAAGACAAGGCAAAGATGTGAGTGGCTAGGAAAAACAGCAGTGGCAGACAGCTCAACCTGGTATTTGGCAATCAGTGGTGGGTGACTGTTTGAGAACAAGGGCTCTGAAGAGAACACGAAGCAGAGGCATAAATAGTGCCAGGCTCTGCAAATAACAGCTGCAGCTGCAAACCCATGCACACTGTGTGGAAAAGATTATACGTCACAGGCCAGTCTCTCAAATACACGTGCATTGGCTACTATCATCACTAGTTCTAGTCTTCACACACATCAGGGAAACACATATATGCTTCTTGTTATGAACCAATGTTATTATTTTTAGTATATTAAAAATTGTTTCATTAGTATTGAACATTTGGAATAAAACTTGAAAAATTATTAAACTTTAGTTAGTATTTTTTGGAAATCAGGAAATGTGTTTCTTATTTGAATAAATTCGTGGTTTGGTCTGGTTTCCCTAATTTTGATGAGAACATGAGCATTTATTTGTAGAGGAGCTAATAAGATATCAAATCTATAAAGCAAATGAAAAAGCCAAAGGTCCTTATTAATGATTTTTAACTTTATTTTAAATGACATTATATAAGACCTAGTGAATGCAGAAATATGTTCTTAAATAGGATGACTCAATGTTACAAGGATGTCTATTCTCAATCTTTAGATTTGTGGCAGATTAAAGATAGCCATGCATTCTCTGACTTTCCTTCCACAGATAGGTGAAGACTATGTCCCCTCACTTTAAATCTGGGTCAGCTTTATGGCTGCCTTGTCTGATCAGGTATGGTGGAAGCAACACTGATCCTTCTGGGATCAGGTCTTAAGAAACTTACAGCTTCCACTGCTACTCTCTTGAAATATTCCCTGTGAGTATCCTAGTCTGACATACACCCTAATCTGCCATGTAAGAAATTCAACTATCTTGGGACACATATGCTGAAGAAGCCCCATACAGGCACTTTAGTAATGGCTAAATTCAGCCTTTCAGACATCTCCACCAAGATGCCTGACATGAGTGAAGCCATCTTGGATGCTCTGCCAGTCCATCCACAGCAGAATACCACAGGTGGCATGTCAAAGCCACATGGAGCAGATGTATCATCTAATTCAGTCCTGCTTGAATGCCTGGCCCACGTAATTGTGAGCTTAAAATACAATTAGTGCTTATTTTAAACATCTAAGTTTTAGAATAATTTTCTATGAAGCAATAGATAATTGGCCTCGATGCAATTTCAATAAAATTTTTTGTGGAACTCGTTATGCTGATTATAAAATTTATATTCAAGAGCAAAGGACCAAAAATTAAAAAGTGACACTTCTGAAGAAGAACCATATAGAGCTAATTTGCTTTACGCCATATCAGGATCAAACAGAAGTCTTCAGATAATGTGGTATTGACGCAGATAGATAAATAGAGCATTGAAACCAAACAAGGAACCCAGAGCAAACTCTCGCTTTCATTCTCATACACACACATACATACACACACAAACACACACACACCACACACCACACACACCTACACCCACACCCACAAATATAACAAAGCTCTAATTGTTGATCTGTAGGGATATGTACAATATATGGTGTGGGACAGTGGCTTTCCATAAAGAAAAAAATGTTGAGAAAGTATTCTTAATTTTTATTGTGCCATAAAAGTAATTTCAGATGCAATAGAGACTTAAACATGAAGCCCAGAATTTTTTTGTTGTTGTTGTTTTTGTTTTTCTTTTTTGTACTCTGTCACCCAGACTGGAGTGCAGTGGCACAATCTCGGCTCACTGCAACTTCCACCTCCTGGGGACAAGTGATTCTCCTACCTCAGCCTCCCGAGTAGCTGGGATTGCAGGTGTCCGCCACCACGCCCGGCTAATTTTTGTATTTTGTATTTTTTATTTTTTGGTAGAGAACGGGTTTCACCATGCTGGCCAGGTTGGTCTTGAACTCCTGACCTCGTGATCCACCTACCTCACAGAATTTTAAAGTATTAAAAATATAACCTTATGACTCTGTTGATAAAAAGGATATTTTAGCTAGAAAATTTGACATTACAAACATTTAATTACAAGACAAGGGTGAGAAGCAAAGCCCTTAAGTAAAAGAAGATATTTGTAACACAGGTAACCAATAAAGGATTAGTACAGAGAATATATAAATAATTCCAATATAAGAATTTTAACAAGACAAACAAATAGAAAAATGGGCAAAAGATGTGAGCAAATATTTACCTAGAAGAGGAAACATTAATTACCCATAAATCACAAAAAAGATATTCAACTTCATTAATCATTAGGAGATGCCATTAAAACTACAATTTGATAACATTTCACAACAGGTTGCCAAAAAAAAGAAGAAAGAAAACAAATTACCACGTATCAGGGAAGATAAAGAGCATTTCAAGTGTAAGTATAAACTAAGTAATCACTGTAGAGAAAATTTGCTTTACCCGTCATCTTTTGTTTTGTTTTGTTTTTTTTTAAGATGGAGTTTCACTTTTGCTGCCCAGGCTGGTGTGCAGTGGTGCAATCTTGACTCACTGCAACCTCCATCTCGCAGGTTCAAGCGATTCTCCTGCCTCATCCTCCTAAGTAGCTGGGATTACAGGTGTGCACCCCACCATGCCCAGCTAATTTTTTGTATTTAGTAGAGATGGAGTTTCACCATGTTGGTCAAGCCTGCCTCGGCCTCCCATACTGCTGGGATTATAGGCGTGAGCCACTGCACTGGGCCTATCCATAGTCTTAAATATGTGCATATGCTTTGACCTAGCCATTCCTCTCTCAGAGAAATCCTTGCATGTATTCACCATAATTCCTGTATAAGAATATCCACAGCAGGGTTAGCAGAGATTTTTAGCTGTTTCCCATGATCTGTTCTCATCTCTTTTTAAAATACTAAAACCTCAGATTATTGGCTGTGCCCACAGTCAACCAGAATAAAGACTACAGGTAGGCATGGTGAGAGGCTTAGTTTTATGCAGTGGGATTTGAGCAGAAGTAGTGTGTGTAACTTCTGGTTAGTGTTCTTTAAAGGATGACGTGTGCTGTCTCTTTCCTTTTTTTCTTCCTGATGGCTGGGCTGCCAACATGATGGCTGAAACTGCGTGTGCAATTGTGAATATGAAGCTGAAATTGGGATTGGAGGCCCGACATGATGAAACAATATGATAAAGGAAGCCTGGGTTCTTGATAACGTGGAGCACAATATAGGCCCTGAACTGCCTATTTGGTTTTTATATGGAGGAGACATAAATTTCTATTTTGTTTAGGCAAATTTATTTTCTGTCACTTTTCTGTCAGACAGTTTTCTGTCACTTTCAGCATAACTTAATCCTAATTACTATAGCAGTCTTATTCTAGTAAGAACAAATTAAAAAAAAAAAATCAACTAAAGATACTGGCATGAACTAAACATACTGGCATGGATGAATTTCCAAAAAGGATAATGTTGGATAACAAAACCAAGTCATAGAAGCATATGCATAATTTAATTTATAGAAAATAAAAACAAAGCAACTAAACAATATAGTGAATATGTAGATGCGTAGGCACTAAAGTGAAAACGTTAAAAAGAGAATGTTTAAAAATATAATTGAGAGAGGAAAAAGAATGAATTTGAGAGAACTGTATGAGGAGGCTTCAACTACTAATATTTGAGTTTTTAGGCTAGACAGTGAGTATATTAGCATTTCTCCTATTTTATTCTGCAAGCTATATACATACTTTATACATACTTTCTGCACATATATTTATAAGATGATATATTTAAAAATAAGTTTATAATAGAAGCTGAAGACATAGATATAAATATTGACATAATCTCAATGGAATTCAGCTCTAAGAATGAGCAGAGGAACGTAGTTGTAACTCTAGGGAGTTATGGCATCAAGGGATGGTATTTCCAATAGCATGAGACATATCATCCACTGGAGAGGGAAAGGCTGATAAGGCAAAACAGGTACAGTAGTTAGCAAAGTGTTGCAGGCAATATTTACAAGTTCTCCATCTATACTATGTGAGTCCCAGAGAATTTAGGTTAAAGGAACTACGTCTACCTAGCAACCATGAGGAAGCATCAGGTGGGTGTACATGTATCTTTTGGGTCTAGAAAGTACTGGAGACTGACTAAAAGCAATTGGAAAACAATCAACTTCATGAATATAAATTGAGCCAGAGATTGAATGTGACCCAGCTGTCTGCAAACTCAAATCAGCCTGTCTGTCTATTTTGTTTGGGTTGGCCAAAATTCACCAATACAGAGTGTAGAAAAAAAATACATCATTTAGTCCTAACCTGTAAATTCAATTCAATCCAATAATTTAAAAGGTGTCTTATGTAATTTTGTCTTTCCTTGGCTTTTTAATATAAAATTATATTTTTCGAGAGTTCTTCATCCTTCTCTTATATCCCTCTCAATCTGGGTCTCAGTTGGGGGCTGGAGAGGAGGAAGGTAGAATGTATATGATCTTCTGGCACATTGGGTAGCAGTTCTCATCTCTGCAGTGTTGTCTGACTCTTCTCACCTCCATGATTGGGACAATTTTAGTCCAGGTGCTGTCTGCTCTGTTGGCATTTGAGGATGAACTCAGCCAAAAAGCATCAACAGTGAACTAGTCACTCCAGTGCTGAATACCTGCCTGGGGTCTGACCACGATTTCCATTTGTCTGTCCTAGGATGTCTACTCCTGCAGCTAAGGCCATTCCAGCTCCTCTTTTGTAGCCCCCTTTAATATATCTATATTTTTTGTTTATTTTTCTTTTGGAACACTGTCTTAACCTAGTCTTGGGGCCCTGACTGTAGGCCAGTCGGTTCCCTTTCTTGAGCAGTTAAGTATACATCCCAACTAGTTCTCTTGTTGGGCTGTCACACTGTGGGCCACTAAGTACCTGAGCTAATAATACCAGACAACTAGGGAGAGCCCTTATGCTCCAGAGTCCATAAAATAATTCCAATTAGCCAATCCACAAGGAGCCTGGAAACCTAGCTAACCTCACCCCATTTGCTACACATAAACTGTCACCTACAGCTCCAGTTTTCTGTTACCGTGTCCTCAGGTGCAAACCTTGTGTGGTGGCCTTCCCTGGTTTGGAGCTGAAAGTAACAGTGGGAGTTCATAGACTATACATGGATGACACTGTCACCATCATAAGTGATGGAACTCAGTGGAATGTGGCTGGTTTCTATCCGCCAACTGGGATGCTCCTGATAAAGGGTAGGACCCAAAGGTTCAGCACAATTGCCAAACTTCAGGCAGTCTTCTTAACACTGGATGCCCTGAACTACAAATGGCTCCATCTGCACATTTTTACAAACTCTTGGGCCATTGCTGAAAAGTTGTCCCCTTCAGGATAAAGAATTCTGGAAATAGTTTGCCTCATGGATACCCAAACTATAAATCAAGGTCATAGACATTTCTACATATATTAATGCCATACTAAAAGGCTTCCCAGACACTCCTTATCCCTTTTCGAGTTCTACACACTACTTGTCGTGATCAATGAACACACTTCACCTCTTAGAATCCAGTGTTGGGCTCATTCAATGGAACTTTTACCTCTCCAATAGGTTCCAGACAGCTGGTGTAATTTAGAACCTAAGAAGCCCTTCCATGAGCCCCTATTTATTTTACAAAATGACCAAGGTACCCCTAAATGCATCTTTATTTTGCCCTAGTTCTTACCCTCTCTTAATTCAAGGTCACTTGGCTGACTTATACCTCATACTAAATTTGAAAAAATTTCCCATCATCCTTTCCTATGTACATGTCTTGCCTCCATGTATATAAGGACTCATAATACATGAGGCCATTTAAAAATGTTTTATTTGTCTGTTTTCACAGTACTATAAAGCTACTACCAGAGGCTGGGTAATTTATAAACAAAAGAGGTTTAACTGACTCATAGTTCTGCGTGGCTGAATAGGCCTTAGAAAATTTACAGTCATGGCAGAAGGCAAAGGAAAAGCAAGTACCTTTTCAAGGCGGCAGGAGAGAGAGAGCACACACAAGGGAAACTGCCATTCTTAAAATCTTCAGATTTCATAAGAACTCCCTCACTATCACAAGAACAGCAGAGGGGAAGCTGCCCCCATGATCTAATCCCATCCCACCAAGTCCCTCCCCTGACTCGTGGGGATTACTATTTGAGATTAGGTTTGGGTGGGGACACAGAGCCAAAGCATATCAAATGGATATTTTTTGATATCTTCATGGATATTTTTAACTTACCCCCATCCCATAAAGGTAAGCCAAATTGGGCATTTACTTCCCTGCTACCCATTCACCATAGACTGCCCCATGGGCCGGGCACTTTTTCATCTAGTGTAGGACCCATTTGAGCCTGAATTCCTACCATCCAAGAAAACCTTCCCAAAATTTGCATTATAAGAGGGTGGATAACTAATCCAGACTCTCCTTCCAATCTCCTCTAGGAAACTACATTAGTTGTCCAGGGCCATTCCTACTTAGTGTGGACTACCAAAAAGGGAGATATAAAACTCCACTTAGTAAATTAAAAATTACATTTGGAGATAATAAAATCAACACTATGTCTCATAATGAAGACACCAGAAAACCCTCACTTGGCAATAATAAAAGGTGGAGGAAAATCAACATCAGACAAGAAAGACCTGCTGAATGCATCTACGTAATATTCTGTTGACTCTTGGTCTTGTTACTGTTGGTCTGGGTGCGTTCACTTGTTTGCAACCCAGAGGCCCCAAACCCTCCAAGTAGGCCATTTTTCAGTCAAATGTGGCAAATCTTGAGGCCTGCATTCGCTGAGTTGGGCTAATACAGGCTGGGGACCCCAAAGACCTCAATGGCTGGTGATACGGTTTGGCTCTGTGTCCCCACCCAAATCCCATGTCTAATTGTAACTCCTACCTGTCAAGGGAGGGACCTGGTCGGATGTGATTGAATCATGGAGGCAATTTCCCCGATGCTGTTCTCATGATAGTGAGTGAGTTCTCACAAGATCTGATGCTTTAAAAGTGGCACTTCCCCTTCGCTCACTCTCTCTCTCCTGCCACCATGAGAAGACATGCCTTGCCTTCCCTTCACTCTCATGATAGTGAGTGAATTCTCACAAGATCTGATGCTTTAAAAGTGGCACTTCCCCTTCGCTCATTCTCTCTCTCCTGCCACCATGAGAAGACGTGCCTTGCCTTCCCTTCGCCTTCTGCCATGATTGTCAGTTTCCTGAAGCCTCCTCAGCCATGTGGAACTGTAAATAAATTGAACCTTTTTCTTTTATAAATTACCCAGTCTTGGGTAGTTTTTTTATAGCAGTGTGAAAATGGACTAATATAGCTTGTCTGTCATCAACTGAACCAACAGCTGAGGCAAACAGCTCCTAGTAATTGGTGAAATTGGAGGGCTTGCCTACAGATTAATGCTGGAACTCTACTCTCAGCCACAGATATTTTAATTGGTAAATAAACTGGTACTCTATTGACAACATATCAGGCCATATGATTTAAAACCTATCTGCTAGCAAAATTCCTCTCATTATCTACATGGGCAAAACTTTGGACTATTAGGAGCTTTTAGATTTGGCAACCCTTAATTAGAGCTTTCATTGTCCCAGTAGTATTCTGAAGCTTTAGTCCAATTACGGCAGTATCATTGATGCTGGCATCATCTTTATTTGCTTTGTACCCACCAAATCCCCTGACCATAAAAATATTTGCAAGTTGGGCAGGGCGCAGTGGCTCATGCCTGTAATCCCAGCACTTTGGGAGGCCGAGGCGGGCGGATCACGAGGTCAGAAGATTGAGACCATCCTGGCCAACATGGTGAAACCCCATCTCTACTAAAAATACAAAAAATTAGCCGGGCGTTGTGGCGCGCGCCCGTAGTCCCAGCTACTCGGGAAGCTGAGGCAGGAGAATCGCTTGAACCCGCGAGGCCGAGGTTGCAGTGAGCCGAGATCGCGCCACTGCACTCCAGCCATGGGGACACAGCGAGACTCCATGTCAAAAAACATAAATAAAAATGAAAATAGGCTGGACGCGGTGGCTCACGCCTGTAATCCCAGCACTTTGGGAGGCCGAGGCAGGCGGATCACGAGGTCAGGAAATCAAGACCATCCTGGCTAACGCGGCAAAACCCGGTCTCTACTAAAAATACAAAAAATTAGCCGGCCGTGGTGGTGTGCATCTGTAGTCCCAGCTACTCGGGAGGCTGAGGCAGGAGAATGGCGTGAACCCGGGAAGCGGAGCTTGCAGTGAGCCGAGATTGCGCCACTGCACTCCAGCCTGGGCGACGAGCAAGACTCCATCTCAAAAAAATAAATGAATAAATAAATAAAAATTTAAAAATAAATAAATAAAATAAAAATATTTGCAAGTTAATCTCTCATGCCCAGTGTTGCCTTCAAATTCCATGACTAGCTCAGCCTCATAAAATAACATAGAGCCACCTAAAAATAACCCACATCAACTCAAGTGGGTATCCACTTCCCAGATGACATCACCTCAGCCCAAGACTTTGCTGTTGGAGATGCTTTCATTGCTGCATTGGATGTGGCTTAACTCCAGACACTGAGACTACTGCCCCAGCAATGTCCATGGACTGCCCCTCCTAGGGCACTAGCAAATTAGACATGGGATACTTATTGCTTTTGTTCCTTTGATATTAGGGATTCTACTACATTTCCTGAGCTTGCTATTTGCTTGGCCCATGATGCCAGTATACTTCTTACTTTCTGCAAGACTTATATCACTACACTCTCATTACTAAAGGAAAACCTTTTGTTATTATTATTGTAATTTCTAATTGGGAAACTATAATTGTATATATTTGTGAGATACAATGGGATCATTTAATATATGTATACAATGTGGAATAGTTAACACAAGCTGATTAACATACCCAGCACTTTACTTACTTATTTATTTATTTATTTTGCGGTAAGACATTTAAAATCTACTCTCTTGGCAATTTTGAAATACACATTTATATTAACTATGGTCATTATGTTGTGTAAAAGATCTCAAAAACTTATTCCTCCCATCTAACTAAAACTTAGTGCCACTGGAAGTGCGTCTCACCATTCTCCCCTCCCCATCCCCAGCTCCAACCGAGAGCCTCTGGTAATCACCATTGTACTCTCAACTTCTGTTCATTTGACTTTTAAAAATTCCACATATGAGTGCGATCATGCAGTATTTATCTTTCGGTGCCTGGTTTATTTAACTTAATGTTCCCCAGGTTCATCCATGTTGTTTCAAATAACAGAATTTTATAGTTTTTTTTTTAAAGAATGAATAGTATTCCATTGAGTATATATACCATATTTTCTTTATCCATTCATGCATCACTGGACATTAAGGTTGCTTCCACATCTTGGCTATTGTGAACAATGCTGCAATTAATGTGAAAGAACATATACCTCTTCTATATACTGACTTCAATTCCTTTGGATATATACCCAGAAGTGGGATTGCTGGATCATATGGTTGTTATATTTTTAGTTTTTTGAAGAACCTTGATCCATTTTCCATAAATGGCTATCCTATCTAACACGCCCACCAACAGTGTACAAGGGGTCTCTAAAGGAGAATCTTGTGGAGGTTACTACTATAATTGCCATTCTAAAAATTAATGGAGATTATTGCTTGCTTCAGTAGGTAACTGCCTCATACTGGTGTACCATTTAACTAGACTTCCTACCCCCAGAGCGTTTTCCTACTTCCCCTTCTGATGTGCCACCACAAGCTCGAACTGTGTGTCTGTAACCATGACTACCACTTGGTCAGAAACAAATACTACTCACTTTTAAATACCTTACAGAATTATGAGTCCATATAATCCAGTAATATAACTGTTGGACCTGCCACCTTCAATTGACTCGATAAGTACACCAAAATATTATTGTCATAAATAACTAATGCTGTAACACACTTTACAACCTCACCAAAATATTGTTAGAGACTCTAAGCATTTTAAATTTGTTTTCTTGACTAATGCCATATATATGGGACCTTAGATATGGGGCCAGCCTACAGGGAGTCCTTAGACTTTTCGTTCCTTTCTACTCTCATAACAAAATTCTTTCTACGTTATTTAGGGTAACTTAAGTCCTACACCGTAAAAATTTCCTCTACTACTTGGGCCACTCAAATACCCCAAATAATCAAGCTCAAAACTGATGTCAAGCCATCAAGGAGTTAATTATAATATATTTTGTTTCATTTTGTTTTTTGAAGTGCCATCTTAACCCAGTTGTAAGGCCTGGCTACAAGCTTATCAGTTTCCTATCTTGAGCAGTTGATTAAATACACACCCCAAACACTTCTGTTATGAGGCTCTTGCATTCCAGGCCACTATGCACCTGCCCTAGTGGCCCTGGGACCAGATCCCAAACAAAAGGGACACCTATTATGTCTCAGAGCCACAAAATGATTCAAATTAGCCAAGCCACAGGAATCCTGGGAAATCTAGGGTTACTACTTATTTGCCATAAGTTAGCTGCCTTCCACAATTCCAGTTTACTGTTACCGTGTCCCTGAGTACAATCCTCTACGTGGCAGCATTCTCTAGCTCAACGTTGTTAAGTAACGAAGACTTCTGACTTTCATTTATCTGAAAGTCAGTATATTGTGTCCTACCATCAAAACAATCCTTAAATCTCATATAACACTCTCTTGGCTATCTCTTCAGCCAGATTTAGCTTCATCTGGGTTCTGTGCAAGCCCACCAGAACTAAGGATGTCCCAAAAAACTACAAAAAATGTCTCCTTCTGCCACCCCTACTACTTGCTAGGTTTTCTAACAAGCGATGCCTCAGGCTGATTGCCTAAAAGATGATCAAACATGAAAGAGCAAGATCTTCTTGGCTTTCATGTACCTGGATGGTTCTAAACACTTCCCAGTTTCTGTCTGACCTCAACTCCAGGTATATAAAGTGGACAGGGGACAGAGTAGGAGGCAGAGATGGAAGGTAGGAAGAATAACTAGAAAACTCCAAACTCCTGGCAGCTGTTTTTCTCTTTCCTTGATGTCTGTTTTTCTCTCGTCTACCTTGCTCTTCTTACTATATCCCCCAAATTGGGAGGCTTTTATTTTGTTCTCAATTAATTTGGGTATTGAACACAAAAATGTGTATTTAGGAGTCACGCGGGTGTGATATAGTACCTGTTTCAAGAGATCTCTTTGAAGTCTGACCTGGTCAAAGAGGTCAACTTGAAGTAAGCACTGTGTTAATGGCATACTTTTAGGATATCTTCTTTTGGGCAGTCCCATGATTTCATGAGTACCTCTGTTACACTGAAGAGTCCTGAATGTATTAAAAGATTAGCCTGTATGTATATAATTTTTTCCAGTACAGAAGAATAACTAATTTTTGCTTCGATCAAAAATTTATATTTTTATGTTCTAAACATCATCATGTTTGGCTGACCAGATAGCTTTTGAAAAATATCATATACCGTATTGGGCAAAGCAGGCAAATCAGACAAAATAACAGGGTTACCAGTTGGGCAGCAAATGCTTCAGACAGATAATGTTCATATAAAATTTGTTTGATTGACGTGAAGTTCAGCTGCTTTTATTTTCCTTAGAGGATGTGCTAAGCAGTGAAAAAACAAAATCAAACTATCTAGTACACCCTCAATATACATAAAATGTATTTTTAAGTAATTGGAAGCTGATTGCTCTTTCTGTTGAAAAATGAAAAACAGGTTTATTAAAGGCTTAGCAAATCATAACAAGCGTTAGCACTGAGTTCTTAAAGATATCCATTCAAGAATTTGGATTTTGGTGCTATAATTAATCTCCTGTATCCTCCATTCCAAATATTAAACACATCATGAACTTAGTTTAAAACTTTAAAACATATCACAGGATAATTCTTTATAGATTCCTGGAAGTGACTTGAATTTGTCCACTTATGTATATAAAATATGTCATAGTGAAAATAACCACCTAAGAAATCATGTTTATCTCCGAAATCTATGATTGCACTACAGGTTCACACGACAATCTAAATCTCCTGTAACTCATGTAGGATTATGTTGAAATGCATTTCCAGAGAAAACATTTACATCAACACATGTTCTTTATAAATTTACAAAGAAAAAAATTGTATGACACTTAATCAAGATTAATATTATAAGTTTTAGCTTAAAATATTTCTTAATTCTCTATGCAAATGAAAATATAAAATTAGAGAATAGAACAAATTAACCTATAGCATCTCAGTGAAAGGATCCTTGCTTGTAACTCGAATTCATTGGTCTTTTACAAATTCGGTAGTGATTAAATTATAAGCTTCTCCATGAACAGAGAATTATTTCTAATCAAAGAATTTGCAAATATTTGTAACCAGCAGCTGTGATTGGAAAATAAGATTGTGAGTTTCAGAGTGCAATCTGTAAAATTCTGATTAAATTGAGAATAAAAACCTTGTAGTGCAGAGTAGTCTTGCAGAGCTTGTAGTTATTTGTTTTGGCTTGGATTCTTTTTAGTCTACCTTGAATGTGGCTATAATTTCAAGGAAGGAATACTTAGTCCAATATTCTATAAGTTACTGTGAATACTGCTGTTTAGAAAAATATATGAGAAGGGGAGATCTTTCTTCTTATCAAATTATTTTTTGTCCTTGAATATAGAATGATTTTTAGCAAAATTTGTCAAGGGTACTTCATATACTTCATTCTCTGAATTATATTGCTTTAAGGTTACTAAAAAGAATAACACCAATTTGCTGCCTTTGGTGTACAGAGCACATCAACAAACGTTTTTTCAGATACTTTCAAGGTAGACAATAAGACAGTTTTTAAAATAAACTATATAAAATATCCAGTAACAACATTTTTTGGAAATATATAAAACATTAATTCTATGTTATATAATTATAGAGATACAGGTGAAGAGTAAGAGAGTGAAGAGAAAGAGGAAGAGAGTGAAGCGATAGAGAGATGACAGGATATGCACCAACATTTTAAGACTATGGGTGATTTTATATATGGGTGTGTGTCTGTGTATATAAAATGGGTGATTTTTACTTTCTGATTTTTTTCTATAATACAAAAATTTAATTTAATAAGAAAAAATTTTTAAAAAAATCTTCAAAATGAAAATTTTTATTTCATTTTAAATAAACACAAACAGCCTTTCTGCCTAGGTACATAATATGTGTATGTGTGTATATATACATATCTACATGCATATATAATGTTATGCTCAATATATTTTTTAAATGTGAGTAAATATTGTATTAAATATGTACACACACATATTTTTTGCTCAATACATCCGTACAAAATGTAAGTATTTAAAATCCTTCATTTACAGTTCTCCAAAATTAAATTATAAAATAGTGATAGAACTCAAAGAGGTCTACAGAGGTAAAGTGATTCATTTGAGGTCTCATTGTTCTACCAACATCAGAATTGGAAACAAGATCTTTCAATCTCCACCCAGTACTCTTTCTCTGTGCTGTTAATTTCTTATTTTCAAATACCATTGAAAACTGTTATTATGTTTATTTTTATTCTCTAAGTCTTTAATTCTGTATGGCTTTCAAAGTGTATGGGCAGAATTTGTATACTTATTTTATATAATAAGGTTGAGAGAGGGAGACCACACAATCGTCTCAATTTTAGAGTAAGATATGTTGGTTAGGCACATTGATATCAGTGGCAGAATGAATAAGAGTCCTTTTAGAAAAGAAATGAAGCCTCTTTTAGTTATAACAATGAACTTGGAGATAATTTTTATAACCCTTCGTCTCCACATCTGAGTCTGAGCTACCTGGGAAAAATAAGGAAAACACATAACGCAGATAAGAGGAAAGGTGAGGCCTTGGGAGATGCTGTTTATATCTGGAGGCAACAGAATTTCCCAGTACTCTTAACACAGAACTGGAAAGACTTATCTACCCTGGCCTAACGTGGGCTCTCCAGCATGATGACATGGAAAAGCAGAGTAGAATATGTGCCCTCTCTGCAAAAAAGGAGAGAAAGAAAAGGCTAGGCTGATATCCTTGTTTCTCCTTCCAAACTAGCCAATCACTTTAAGTCACAGATCCTTCCCTGGAGAGATGGAAGTAAGGAGACTTGAGGATGACCTGGAAGATTAAGCAAGGAGAACTTATACAACATCGAGGGAACTATCAAAAGAGAAAAAGTGTTCTCTGCCCTCACCCAACCCACAAACACACACTAATGTATTCTTATTTGTGGACTTTAAATGATTGGAATGAATGTATGATTCATATGCTTAGCTGCTCATGGTCCTAATATTATTATCCCATATGTGCATGCACATACATTCTATGACAAATAAGGTATTCAAAAGCATATGAGTATATTTCATTAGTTGTCCCCTACTATGTCAGTTTCCTCTCAAAGAGAGAAATTGGGCTTAATTTTAACCCAAGCAGTTCCTAATTAGGGAGACAAAATTTGCTGTAACAATACACTGAGTACAAAGTTAAAAACAATTTCATTCATTTACTGTCTTTTCATTTGTTGTTCTGTATCTGGCTTTTATTCTTTTTAACAATTTAGAATAGACAGTGTTGTTGGTTAAAATGTTTTATTATTAAATGAGAATAAGCATGGATATGTCCTCCTCAGGTAAATTTTAAAAAACCTGGAGTTTTCTCAGACCATCAACAGAAATAGCAGGATGTGATGAAAAATACCTTGAAACAGTTTATCGTTGTAATGTAGATCTTGTAAAATTTCAGTGAAGTATAAATAAAAAAGTGATTTTCTTTCACATACAGCATTTCTTATGTAGTGAGTAAGATGGCCACGTAGTAATTTTAGAACTTAAGTCTGGGCATTCAGAAAATCTACACAGCCTATAAAAGTTTTCAAGAAGAAGAAAATAAAGGTTGAATAGGCTTTCAGACAGAGTCAAGAGAAATGACACTGTTCTTGGGCTATAATCCACCATTAGTTTAACAATACTAGAGAAAATGAAGACCTAGAATATATAATAAAGAGTGTTGTCTATGAGGGACTAGACAAGTGCAATCGAAGTGGAAACAGAGGCCCACGTTGAGTAGGAAGGCATTACTGGAAAATCACAACGTTTTTGAGAATCTGTAGAGTGTTAGAAGAGAAGGAGCTTGGCACTTATTACTATTTCTAAAGTTATGTGTTGATTTAGTAATGCATACTTGGTTGCATGTCTATGCCCATATTCATTTCCGTAACTATGTCTATGTCTACATGCATAGCAATTTATCTATATATCTATACTTGTGCACATATCTGCTATATTTCCTAATTGAATGTTAAACGTTTTTGTACATTCATCTCAGATAGCACTATGAGAATTTTTTTATCAGCTACAAAGTTACACGTCCATGAAGCATTTTTTAAATTTGCATAATATTCTGCATCTGAATGAGGAAAATTATTACCTCCAAATGGCATATATTTCCCTTTTTCAGCAGAACACATGGATTTATGTAACTCTCTAGTTGTTCTTATAGTTCAGGCTATTAATATTTTCTTGAAGATTTTTACTGACAACAGTATTAAAATCATCTGGTTCAATTCATTTTATATATATATATAGAAACAATTTTAATTTGGTCCTAAACATATCTTTGCAATTTACCTCAATATGAAGCACCATTACTTTTTTAAAAATACTTGTCAGGTCACGTATGTAACACACTGGCAGAGTTTCAGAGGTGCTATTTTAATTGCAAACACATTGCATGATTAGTCAACATAGTGAGTCTTGCACCCTAAGGCACAGATGTCTTCTGGCTGGACCTCCTGGGCAACTGGCATTGTGACCACTTCTACTGCTTACTATTAACAAGAAAGTCTATTGTGGAGTTGTATATGCTTCATTATTTCATGTGAGACAACTGTAGAAATCATGTTCAAATTTTATATTCTTCAACTTTTTGTAACAGAGGAAAGCATCACTTTCTCATATAAATACATTTTTTGGAGTTAAATATAAAAATAAAAAAGGAACAAACTAAAAAGTTAATGGCATAAAACTCATTAGTAATGTAAACTCAGGTATTTCTACAGCTCAATTTTGTGTTGTGTAGAAGATTTTTTTAAGTAAAAACTAAACTATGTTAATTGACACAGCTGGAAAGTACAATGTAGAAGACATTTTGATGTTTGGAAAACTATTACGGTTTTTCAGGTACTTCTGGCTCATCTGTTAGCTGGAACTTTGAATCTGCCGTTGCCATCTAGATGTTTAAAAGGCATTTTTGAGGATTAAAGAAAAAACCTATAACTGATAGATCAAGAACATGGAATTTTCATTATTATATTGGATTGTGGTAGTTAATAACACACAATAATCCTTTACAATTAGATCTCTTTGTAGTTTAAAGTAGTTTTACATATATTTTTAAGTTATTTTAATAGACAAAATTGCATCTATTTATGCTGTGTGACATGATGCTTTACATATAATTTTAATAACATATATTCATGTAACTTGCTATGAATTACCGTAACATATGATCATAAAACCTGTCCAATAAGACAATGTTTGCATTATTATTGATACTTGACCAAAGAGGCTCAGTAAATTGAAATGATTCATACAAGAATGAGAAATTAATAATTAACAGAATTGATACCATAATGTCAAGCTTATGTCCCCAATATTCTTTTCATTAATATACTCTTGAATTATTAACTGTTTAATTGACTCTTATTTATCACTCATTTATTGGGTATTCAGAATGTAAAATGCATCTCTTGTGGAGGCACAAACACAAAACATGATTCTTATCTTCAAAGAAATCATAGTTTATTTACTGACATGGATGTTTAAAAGAATATTATCATTTAGAATGATTGGTATGAAAATAGAGAAAAATATGACAATAAAAGTGATGGCTTAAGGAGAACATAATGAACTCTGTAAGACTGAAATAAAGAACATTTTAGAGTAAAGATAATTGAACATGGTGTTGAAGAATATATAGGTGTCTCCTTGTAACGTAAGGCAGAAAGGACTTTCCATTTATACAAGAATCAACATGGACTCATGAAGCAACCTGGGATTTACAAAACTGTCAGTAACTATGGCTAGCTGGACAAATGAGATGAGGCTGAATCATGAAGGGCCTTCTCCTTTTAGGAATTATTTACAGAGTAACATGCTCAGAACACTTCAGAACTAGAGGAGATTATTGAGATTACAGAGTCCAATTTCTTTATCTTACCCATGAGAAAATTTAAACTCAGAAAAAAACTGTCTAAGATGCAACTGGTTAGAAGGAGGCAAAAGTGACCCACTGAGTAAGAACTGGCTCACTCTAGTCTGAGAATCAGGCCATTTTGGATCACATCTGTAGGCATATTCATAAAGATATGAGGAAAAATTACATGAAGATGATATGTGTGAAATATATTTTTTCAATCTACAGATTTTGAATGTTCGACCTAGGGAAATAAAAATGCTATTCTGCCTCTGGCTTAGTGGATTCTACTACACAGAGGACCAATGTATTAACATTTTTTTTTTTTTGTATTTTCACTAAAGAGATTGGATAGCAACTATTTAAAAGAATACACTTCACCCCACATCTAGAAAAGGTTCAAAAATTAATTTATGACTTAGAACCATTCAATTTCTAATCATCTTCTAATACCTTGGAGGGGAAATCAGTTGTTGGAAATTCTCAAGATGCCATTATTGTCGTTGTGCTGAATTATTAAATACTTGTATCAAAGCACCAGATTAAATTGCTTTGGTCTTATGTAAAATTCCTCTGATCTTTGGCAATCATTACTTATTTATAGCTTCCATAATTTCCCCCTTTTGCAAAAACAAAGCAAAAAAAGGGTTGCTAACTATAGCTACAAGGCACTATTTTACTTTTACAGTAAAAACTGTCTCTAACATGAGAAAGTTAAGACAAAAACTGTAGTCTCTAAGATTTAGAAACAAGATTTTTCTATGTGAAAAGCAGATTATCTAAACAGTTTCTTTCCCTGAGAGAGATATTCATAATATTTATTGTAAAATATAAATATTAGGTTTCTTGCTTCATGTGAACTATTAATAGGTATAGTAAATATGATTCTTCTAAAACAGAACTAGGATAATAGCAACAGTTAATGTTTACATTTATTGAAGGACATGTGAAGATTACTTTAAAAAGTTAGAAAATTAAATAAAAATTTCCCATATGACAGGAAAAGAATATTCAACATGTGATGTTGTGCTGAAATTGGCTGCACTTTCACATCATGGCTTTAAACAGAACAAGCCTATGTTAAATTTGGATGTTTTTCTAAAACCTGGGATTGGGTACATTTGTACAAGAAAAATTGTGCTAAATAATCTGGTTTACATGTTGATCTGTAGCAACAAATTTGTCTTTAGCTGAGACCTATCATCTACTATTACCCTGGCAGCCTTAAGCAACACCTTAGATAAATAATAATGAGGGTGTTTTGTTTGTATGTTTTGTTTTTGTATGTGTAATTTTTCATTGTTGTTAAAGACTAGCAGGAAGTCTTTATAAGATTAGAATAAAAAATCAAATGATAATATAAATTACAGTTACAGTTTGGTATCTTTTACCTCAATGGAAAAACCAAATGTGTTGTGATACTATTAGTCCCAGAAACTAAAACACTTTCGATATCTGATCATTTCTGTAATATCTGTGATTTTTGGCCAGCAGGATGCTATTAACAATAATGCATTTTTATTAATCATTGACTAAGGTTAAATTGATCTTTAAATGATTGAAGAAATCTTGTTGTTTTCAAGGCATAGGGATAATTAACAAAAATAAGCAGTAAACTATGAATAGAAGGTCTAAAAGCATTCAGAGTAGTGTGCAATGAGCAGCATGCTGTAGTATTCTCTATTCTCTCCTCCTTCCCTGGATAGGAGACACATAACATGGGAGGAAAAGCATCGGGATAGAAAGAACTGAATTTAAGTCCAACTTTGTGCTAAATTAGTAAGTTGACTTCAGGTAAGTCAAGATTGAACTAAGTATATTTATTTTCCTGTAACTAGGAAAATAATGCAGCTTAGAATAGCTAATATCCCATAAAGTAGATACTGTTATTAGGCCCATTATAAGAGGCATAGATTAAATGTTGACACAGGGTTTCAAATCAAGTCATAACAGGTGCTCTTAAACGCTATGAACTACTGACTCCTTAGCTGAGCCGTTAACTTTCACTTGCTGGTTGCTTATGCATGTTAGGGACTTTGTGAATCAGAAAGGTCTCAGTGAATTAAAAAGCACCTTCCAAATGTATCATAGATTATTTTACTATTTCTCCAAGTGATAAGATCATTTTGTTCCTAAAAGTCTATATTTTTTTTCGGGAAATCTGAGTAAAGTATCTAGTCTAGTTAATCTAGTGTGTCAGTGTCATTTCCTAGTTTTGATATGTATGACCACAAAATTAGAAGAAGTTGGATGAAGAGTACGTTGAACCTCTCTCAGCTATTTTTATATCTTGTAACTTTATAAATATTTAAACATAAAAATGTCTAAATAAGAATGGATCTTTCCTACAGTGTCTCTATGGAAAGTGCACAAGATGTTTCATTATGACATAAAAAATTAAAATCTCTATTTCTATTATTTTGAGGTATGTTCCTTAAATACTCATTTTGTTGAGAATTTTTATCATGAAGGGATATTGAATTTTATCAGGTTTTTTTTTTAGCACCTATTGAAATGATCGTATGGTTGTTCTTCATTATGTTAATGTGATGTATCTGGATTATTGATTTGCATATGTGGAGCCATCCTTGCATCCCTAGGATGAATCCCACTGATCATGGTGAATGATCTTTTTAACGTGCTGGTGACTTTGGCTTGCTAGTATTTTGTTGAGGATCATTTCATCTATGTTTTATTGGCCTGTAGTTTTCTTTTTGTTGTGTCTTTGTTTTTGGTATCAGGGCAATGCTAGCTTCATAGAATGAGTTTGGAAGTATTCGTTCCTCTTCAATTTTTTGGAATAGTTTGAGTAGGATTGGTATTAGGTCTTTAAATGTTTGGTAGAATAGAGGAGTAAAGCCATCAGGTCTTGGGCTTTTCTCTGATGGGAGACTTTTTATTATTACTTCTATCTCATTACTCATTGTTGGTTTGTTCAGGTTTTCTGTTTATTTATGGTACAATCTTGGTAGATGTCCAGGAACTTATTTATTTCTTCCAGGGTTTCCAATTCGTTGCCGTATAGTTGTTCATAATATTTTCTAATGATCCTTTGTATTTCTATGGTAACATTTGCAGTATCTCCTTTGCCATCTCTGATTTTGTTTGAGTCATCTCCCTTTTATTTAGTCTAGCTAAAGATAAGCCAATTTTTTATGTTTTTAAAACACCAACTTTTTGTTTTCTTATTTTTACATCTTATTTTCATTTATTTCTGCTCTAAGCTTTATTATTTTTTCTACTAATTTTGAGTTTGGTTGGTTCTTGCTTTTCTAGTTTTTTAAGGTGCATGGTTATGTGGTTTAATTGAAGTTTTTCTACTTTTCTGATGTAGGTGTTTATTGTTACAAACTTTCTCCTTAGTACTGTTTTTGCTATATCCTCTAGGTTTTGATATGTTGTAGCCATAAATTACAAACCCACAGCCTACATCATACTGAACAGGGAAAAGCTGAAAGCATTTTCTGTAAGAACTGGAACAAAAAAAGGATGCCCACTTTCACCACTTTTGTTCTGCATAGTACTAGAAGTCCTAGCCAGGTCAATCAGGCAAGAAAAGGAAATAAAGGGCATTGAAATTGTAATGAAAGAAGTCAAATTGTCCTCATTTGCAGACAACATGATCGATCTTATATTTGGAAAAATCTAAAGATTCTAAGGTAGAAGGTGGGACTTGTCTCCAGAGGTGGGACATAAATTCTGGACCAGATTGAAGACTAGCTGAAACAGGGAAGGGGTAAAAGCACCTCTCTATAAGACACAGCCACCAGTGCCATGTCAGTTGAGCATTGTCATAGCAACATCTAAAAAGTTACTGCCTCTTCCCATAGCAATGACCCAGAAGTACCACCCTTTTCCTAGAAAATTCTGAATAACCTGCCTCTTGATTTGTATGTAATTAAAATTGGGTATAAGTATGATGACAGAACTGCATCTGAGCTCCTGCTCGGGGCGCATTGCCTATGAGGTAGCCCTGTTCTGCAAGGAGCAGTACCTCTGCGGCTGCTGTAAACTGCCACTTTAATAAAAGTTGCTTTCTGACATCACTAGCTAATCTTTGAATTCTTCCCTGGGCACAGCCAACAACCCTCCCAGGCTAAGACCCAATTTAGGGACTTGCCTACCCTGTATCAAAAGCACATGCAACAAAAACAAACATTGGCAAATGGGATTACATCAAATTAGAAAGCTTCTGCACGGAAAAGAAAACCATCAACAAAGTAAAGAGACAATTTACAGAATGGAAGAAAATATTTTTAAACTATTCATCTGATGACAAGGGATTAATAACCAGAATACGTGAAAAACTCAAACAACTCAATCACCAAAAAAAAAAAAAAATCTGATTTTAAAATGGGCAAAGATCTAAATAGACATTTCTCCAAAGACAACAAACAAATGTCCCCCAGGTATATGAAAAAATGCTCAACATCACTAATCATCAGGAAAATGCAAATCAAAACCACAATGAGATATCTCACACCAGCTAAAATGGTTATTATTAAAAAGACAGAAAATAACAGATGCTAGCTAGGATGCAGAGAAAGGAGAACAGTTGTACACTGTTGATGGAGTGTATAAATTAGTATATCTACTGTGAAAAACACCACAGAGGTTCCTCAAAAAATTAAACCTAGAACTAACATATAATTCTGCAATCCCATTTCTGAGTATATATCTAAAAGAAAGGAAATCAGTATACTGGAGAGACATCTGCACTCCCATATTTATTGCAGCACTTTTCACAATAGTCAAGATATAGAATCAGCCTAAGTGACCATCAGTGGATGAATGGATGAGGAAAATGTGTTATTTGTACACAAGGAAATATTACTCAGCAATAAAAGAGAATAAAATCTTGTCATTTGCAGCAACACATATGAAACTGGAGGACACTATGTTAAGTAAAATAAGCCAGGCACAGAAAGATAAATATCACATTTTCTTATTCATATGTGGGAGCTAAAAGAAATTGAGCTCATGGAGGTAGAGAGTAGAATGATGGTTACCAGAGGCTAGAAAGTGGGGGTGGGGGGAATAATGAAGAGAGATTGATGAATGGGCACAAAAATAAAATTGGAGAGAAGGAATAAGTTTTAGTGTTCAATAGTACAATAGCATGACTATAGTTAACAGTAACTTATAATGTATTTCAAAATAGCTAGAAGATTTAGAATGATTCCAACAAAAAGAAATAATAAATATTTGAGGTGATGGATATTCCTATCATCCTTATTTGATCATTGCATATTGCACGCATGTTCCAAAAAACACATAAATGTGCACAACGATTATGTATCAATAAAAAATAAATTTTAAAATCTGGCATTTTTCATCCTTTCAAAGTTTCTATTTTTATGTTGTTTTATAATGTATGTAATGTATTATAATACATATATATTTGAAAGTATATATATATTGAGGATTCTGGAGTAAAATTATTTTTTACCATTATAGATATGCTGTGAAAACTTCTGGTTTAAAGTTATGGTGGAAAGAGAATATACTTTAGAGCCAAATTTGGAACATAATTTGTGTTGTAATCCAGGCCCTTTCACTGATTAACTAAATGATGCAAGACAGATTACTTAATTTCTGTAAGTCTCAGTTTCCTCATTTACAAAAAAAAAAAAAAAAAAGATGGGCCAGGAGTGTTGGCTCACGCCTGTAATCCCAGCACTTTGGGAGGCCGAGGCAGGTGGATCACCTGAGGTCAGGAGTTTGAGACCAGCCTGGCCAAAATGGCGAAACCCCATCTCTACTAAAAATATAAAAATTAGCCAGGTGTAGTGGCGCGTGCCTGTAATCCCAGCTACTCAGGAGGCTGAGGCAGAAGAATCGTTTAAACCTGGGAGACAGAGGTTGCAGTGAGCCAAGATCCTGCCACTGCACTCTAGCCTGGGTGACAGAGTGAGACTCTGTCTCAAAAAAAAAAAAAAATTAATAAAAAAAAATGATGGAAACAGTACTAGTTACTGTGACGTTTATGTGAGAACATTTGTGTTTTGTGCTTAACATACAGTAAGACTCCAGTAAATGTTTGTTTTTCTCTCCGTTTGAGAAAATTGTGACTTCTACATATTTATTTTCATTAACTCTCCTTTATTAGAAGTATTTGGAGAAGGTGGAGGTAATTAGAACCATGTCTACACAACAAATTACAAATTAATCAAAATTGCCCAAATCATGAAATTCCTGCTTTGGGAAAATCACTGTTTTCAGCCTGATTTGCAATACATTTCATAGCATGGAGGTAATAGTTTCTTCCTAAGGGAAGCCAAATATATTAAGAAAAAGCAAAGTTTTGCCAAGTTTTCCAAAGTATTTTTTTAATAGTTTCCGAATATTACTATCTTATTTCATAGTGTCTGTAACTGATTGGGTAGCATGTCAAATTCTAAAAGAGCTGAGCTTTGTTATATAAACTGATATTTGTATAAGCAGTCATGTATTGGCTTTAAGGACTGAAAGACTGCTCTTCCACTCTGATGTACACAAACTATTCATTGCAATATGTTCAAAATTTTGAATTCAATATTTTCATTTCTGATATTTACCCAAGTAATTGACAATGTCTTAGTTGCATTTATAGACTTACGTACCAAACGCTTTTTTGATAAAAATTTCTCAATCAATGGTACAGCTTTGGTGGAGAGAAAGATTGGCTTAATGCTGGTGTCCTCACCAAAAATTGTATTTGCAACCTTGTATTTTCCAGCAATCTCAGTGTTATGTTAGAACCCTATAAGTACTTCTGGCCAATGAGGAGTGAGCAGAAGGGATAGGTGTCACTACTGGACAGAGTCAACAAAGAGTTACTGTGCTTCCTTTGCCTTTCTGCTGCTGTAGTGACTCTAGAGAACACGGGTTTCAAATGTCATGGCTAAAGGCTGAAGGAGGACCAGTTGACCACATTAGACGTCATCTCAAATGAGAAGATGAGCCTCTGAGATTTCAGAATTTAATTAATTGTGGCAGCTAGCTACCCTGATTTAAACAGTGGCTTGGCTGTTAAAAAAATTTATATACATATATTAACTTTTATATGTGTAAATATATATTAATATATAAATTAAAATATAAAAATAAAAATAAATAAAATTTATATGATTAATAGATTTAATATATATTAAATTGATTAATATATAGATTAATGTTTTTAAATATATAAATTAAAATAAATATAATCTATATATTAATATAAATTAAATTTTATATAAATTTAAAATATATAATTATATGGTTATAATATTTAAGTTTCTAATTATAGATATAATATATAATTTGTATATTATATATTTATACACATAAAATATTTTTATTTAATAAAATAAAATATAATTTATATGTAAAATATAACACATATTTATATATTAAGTTTTATATTATCTATTATATATGTTTCTACATGTTTATATACACACGCACACTCTCACACTGACTTTTATTTTAGGTTCAGGGGTACATGTGCAGGTTTGCCATATGCAGAAGGTTGAAACTGGACCCCTTCCTTACACTATATACAAAAAAATCACCTCAGGATGGTAAAATTTATATTTTTGAGAAGCTAACAAATTGTATAAACCATCTAAAGACTAATTTTAGTATCATTCAGATTGTAGTTAATTGTATGTAAATCACACTTTTATTAAAACACAAGTAATACATGAGTTAAAAATATAATGAAGGGTGAAATATTTTTAAAATTTATTCTCAATTATCAATAAAGACGGTTTCATTCGAAAGTGACCTCCACATACAGTGCCTTCATGCTCAGATACCTGCTAAAGTTCTCTAGAATGCCCAAACTGAGCGCTGATTATCACAGCAGAAAGGAACTCTGTATATACTAGTTCTTTCCGACTTAGGATGAATTGTCTTCTCCAACTAAATGTAGATCTAAGTGTACTCTACGATGAGCTTTATTCTCTGAATAATCAGTAAATGAAGAAGCTTATCTTCAATTGCACATAAGATGCTATTAGCAATTTTCTGATGTGAGTACCAAAGCTGTGTGGAATAATTCTTGCTATTTAAAAACAAAATGTTTCCAAAAGGTGTAGTATTACTAGTTGTACTTGAAGATAAAAAAGGTAATCATTTTACTTCATTGTGAAAAAATGTTGCTTCCAGGTGAAAACAGCAAAATCCACCCCAGAAAGTAAAAGTTTTAAGCTTAAAGACATGAGAGAAAATTCCCTTGGCACCAAAGCAAAAAGTTTCTCTGTAGAAACATGAAGTATATCGTTGGAGCTTTTAAATCTGAGACCTATGAGGAAACCAAACAACTAATTGTCTCTATAAGAAATATTCAGAATTTAAAACCAACTGCTAGGAGTGACAACTAATGAAATACCATTTAATTACTTTGTATTCATTTTAGCTATAAAAAAAATGGTGAAAACAATCCTTGTACAAAGGGAAAGTTCTGAAAAGTCTGTAGAAAGTCATTTGGATTTGGATACATTCTTTTTACTGAATTTGCCTAGCTTTCCAAGGTAAACACTCTGAGACTTCTGTAAATAGCCGAGGAACCTCTGATGCTCCAAAGCAATCACAACCTCAGCTATGCAAATCATTCCAAATGAAGCAGAACTTCCTAGAGAATTGTAGAATTACAATTAATATCAGGATACTGGTTTTGAAACCATAGCTTCTTCACAATTGAATAGTAAAGGCAAGCCCATTTATTTTATTACATATTTATTTTCTGTAACGGTAAAAATAAACAAGCAAGCTCTATTTAGATAACAAAATGTAAGGGGTCCTTTCCTTTTTGTTTTTTCCACATTGAAGCAAATTTAGCCAAATTTCTTAGAGAACAGCAAAATAACCATATCAGGATACTGATATTTAAACTGAAGGAAATTTTGCTGAAAGGAATTTTAAGAAATGTGATTTTTCAGAATGCATTTAATTTTAAACATGATTTTTAATACTAGATTATGTAACATTTTAATTTATAATAATGTCAAGTAACTTAAATGTATAGTTATGTAATATTTCAGCTTTAAGTCTTAATTCCATAGAAGAGAAAATAACACCAACTAACTTAAGCAAAGGAAACTTAGTAGGATTTTAGGTGGCTCACAAATTAATTAGACCCCAAGTTAAGAAATGGTCAATATACTTAATAATAGAGCATTTCAAATTGCTGAGAGTAAATTTCAAATATTCTCACCACAAAAAAATGTTAACTATTGAGATGATGGATATGCTAATTAGCTTCATTTAATTATTCCACATTGTATGCATAAATTATAACATCACGTTGTACACTATAAATATATACAATTATAAATTGTCAATTTACTTAAAAAAAGATCAAGGCACAGTATATATCTGGAAGCTTAGTCGGCTTAAACCACAACTATGATTTTATAGAACCAACAGTTTAATGAGAAACTTGCATATGTGATGACTGGTCTGCACCTGAAAGGCAACTGCTTCTTTTATGTTTACATCATAGTCAAAATTCTGGAGAAATGTGTGCCATGGGTTTAATTCATGGCATATTTTGCTCTCTTGCATGAACTAATATTTTTATTGCTTTGAAGAGAGAGAGAGCAAGAGAGAGAGAGAGAGACAGAATTGTCCAATACACTGCACTTCGACTGTTCAACATTCTTTTAAACTCTTTTACATATTTGCATTTCCAAAAGTGACTGTTCAATATAATTTTTAAAAAGTCACTACAACAGCTAAAAACACAGTTATCTCATTTGTTACTGTCTTATTCTTTAAGCCCAAATAGCTATTCCTACATTGGTGATACTCTGTGTATCTAGCATGATTGTGCAGCGGATTGAATACCTCTCTTCCTACCTTAGCCAACAAGAAAATACACATCCAGTTTTATACATCTAAAATGAGCATATCAATACCTAAGACAAGTGTTGAAAAATATATGAATATGCTTCCTAGTTCCTGCAGAGATAAATTTCATATAATTGTATACAAATTGAATATTGTTATATTTGAAGACATTCCCAAATTTTAAAACATACCGTCTTGAATAAGACCCCCCACCCTCATTCATTTGTAGGGTGATTTATCGTTCACCTAAATTTCATGCTACACACAGCTTTTTAATTAAATAAAGCATTTATATGTTAATACCTTTCTTTTGACCATCTTTCATTAAGTAAAATATTCAATTATTGTTTAAGAATTATTAGAAGCTTTAAAAGAATTTAAATTGTTTTCTCAGAATGATGTTGAGTCAGTCAATAAGTAATATGCAAATTGACATGCCTGCCTTACCAAGACTTTAACAATGGAGTCTATCCCTGGCATTATTCCATTCTCATCCTATGTGTACTAGGAAAGCTCTACCAAAAAATTTGGCTTCAATTACTACTTTTCTGTAAGTGTTTTTCTAATTACATAATCAAAGCTGTATGTTTTCCTGGACTTGAAACCTATGCCTTCAATGGTGTCCTATCAATGCCCCAGGCTCTTTCAAGTCAATAAACCAGAAAGAAAATTCATCTACTTCTTTTTAAATCTAATTTCTCCTGGTATTTTTGTATTAGTGAGTAGAACAGGTCACATTTAGAAATGTGGAAGTTATCTGAGACTCATCTTTTTTCATATTCAACCTATATCCAATTAATCAAATCAAATTGATTAAACATTTTTCTGATTCCTCTTATCTTTTTCAATTTTGTTGTCATTCACCTAAAATACTAAATATTTTAACCTTGATTATTAGAATAAATTCTAGTTAACTTTTAGATTCCATTTTTTTCTGTTTCATAGCCATATTTTATGTTTTTACTACAGCAAATTTTTAATAACTAATTGGGAGAGGTTATGTTTCTCCCTTACACAAAATCCTTCAGTTGCCTTCCCTTGGATTAAGGACAAACTTAGGAATATTTTGTGATGTCATATAAAAAAGCCCATGCCTAACATTCTAGCTTCCTCTCCTATCATCACTATATACCTTTCTTTCTTTTAGTTGTAACAACCCATTTAGATCTTAATATATGTCTTCTCTTATCTTTGATGCCTTTATTCATTATCTGTTCTCTATCGAAGACCACTGGATAGCTTCTCTTCTCCTTCGAAGTACCTGCAACACTTGGATGACAGGCTGAGACAGGCACACCCTCTGGATTTGTTTCTTCTGTCTCTTCCACTAGTTGTTGAGTTCCATGGATCTTATTTAATTGAATGTCATTAAGATCACTCACAGCTAATGAATTAACTTTCACAACAGAATAATAGCCTCAAAATATTAATATTTATAAACACTTACTGAATTCTAATGAAATACTAGGCTTAGTAGTTTGCATACGTCATGTCAGTTATCCCACAAGAGTATTTATAAACTGGCCACTGTTTTCACTGATTACCTCTGTTTGCCTTTATATTAATTATCCAGCAGCATTTTAGCACCGTTGATTACAATCTCCTTCTTGAAGCACTGCTTTTTTCATTCGATTTCCAGATGCCACTATCTGTTGATTCCATCCCTTCCTTATGGAAACATATTGTCTCTCTCTCTGCTATTTCTTTCTTATATTTATTCCTATGCATTGAAATGTACAAGAACTTGCTTCTAAATATTTTCTCTACTTTCAATCATTTCCTAGGTGATCTTGTTCAGTTTCATGGCTTTAAACATACCTAAAATGCTATTGACTTCCATGCATATACCTTCCTTTTTAATTTAAGATTTGTAAATGCAACAACCTACTCAAATTCTACATTTTGATATCTAACAGATATCTCAAACTACACGTCCTAAAACAAATGTTTTTTATTTCCAACCCTCTTAATCTACTCCTTCTATAGTCTTGTCCATTTCAATAAAAGACAACTTCATTTTCCCAGTTTCTTTGATCACAGGACTTAGAATCATCTTTCATTATTGGCTTACTTGAATACACCAATGCATCTGGAAATTTTGTGGTCAATTGCCTCCGAATAAATTCTGAATCAGTCCACTGCCCATCACCTATTTTCACTGCACGTCTTACAATAACCCTCTATCACTTCTCTGAGTTATTACAATTTCTTAATTGATCTTCCAGCTTCTACTTTTGCCCCCAAAATACATACTCCACAGAACAGCCAGAGTGATTCTTTTAAAATTTAAGTGAAATAATATCTTTTCTTTACTCAAAATTCTCCATTATATTTAAAGTGAAAGCAATGTTACTTGCCAAGGACTGGAAGGATATACAAATCTCAACTCCTCCCTGACACTCTAACCTCTATCTTTTATTCTCTTACTCACTCGCTTTTAGCCACATCATCCGCTGTCTCCTCCTGCTCCTGAACCTCTTCCTCCTGCTCTTCCCACTTTTTCTCCTCCTTCTCCTCAGAGTTCCCAGTATTTATTTCCTAGACTCTCCAGTTTTCAATGTGTTAATATATAGCCATAAAATGTAATACACATTCAAATTATTTATAAAATTTAGCAGCTTTCAGATCCCATTAATTACTGATGTCTTTTGACTCTAATATTTTGTCCAACATAGAAAAAAAATTCACCAGCTACGTGCCAAAGTTATTTTTTATTGCCACAATCTGTTCCCTGAATAAAATCTATCTCCTTTAAAGTTAAAGCTAACAATTTCCATTGCCCAATAATACCAAATATTGCTTAAACAAAATGTACTGAAAAAAGCACATTTAAAATTATTTGAAACAATTGTTTCTGATCGTATTTTACTTAACTCAGTGAATGTTTAGTGAACTTTTCTAGTAATTCAATGTGCACAGAAATTATTATAGACAGATAATTTATATTGTCCACATTAATACCAATTAAATGGCCAACATAGAAAATTATTTTATGAAATATGTAAATCATTTTGCAGTTATTTAAAATAAGTAATAGTATGTAAAAGTATGATAATGTTAAATATAAAACTTGAATACAAAATGCATATATTGTTTTATAAATTGTGGTAAGAACACTTAACATGAGATCTATACAACTAACATTTTTTGTTTAATTTGGAATCAATTTATTTAAAGCCACGTTCTTTGCAGCTGTTGTTCATTAAGATACTTTTATTTATGCATCCAGAAATCTTTCCTAGTAGTTTAAGCCCATAGAGGCTTTGAGCCCTATGAAGTATAGTAAATTGTAGGTGAATTGGTCCAGAAGTGTAAGTTTGCTTTTAAAAAAAATGCTTTGTAAAATAGAAAACTCTCAAGGGAGTGGTTGGTGGGGAAAGAGAAGTATGTGCTGACACTTAAAAGATCCCTGACTTTCTGGAATGCACATCTAAACTTTTGCAACAGTAGCCCAAGAGGACTGAAACTCAGTGTTCAAAAACCACTTTTAATAAAGCCTGTCTTCTCCAAGGATCCCAAACCAAATAATCTAGGGATAATTAGTTTATAATGAGACGATACTTGTTTTAAGAGACCAAAGAGCATCCTTTGTTTTGGTGCATCACAGATTTTATTTTTTTAACTTGTATTAATATCTTAAGTTCAAGGGTGCATGTGCAGCTTCGTTACACAGGTAAACTTGTGTCATGGAGGTTTGTTGTACAGATTATTTTATCACCCAGGTATTAAGCCTAATACCCATTAAATATTTTTCCTGACTCCCTCCCTCCTTCCCACTTCCCTCTCCGATAGGCCCCAGTGTGTGTTGTTTCCTTCTATGTCTCCATATGTTCTCATCATTTAGCTAAAAATAATGGCCTCCAGGACCATCCATGTTCCTGCAAAGGATATATTATTTTTTACAGCTGCATAGCATTCCATGTTGTATATGTAGCACATTTTCTTTATCCAGTCTATTATTGATGGGCATTTAGGTTGATTCCATGTCTTTGCTATTGTGAATAATGTTGCAATGAACATACATGTACATGTGTCTTCACAGTGTTACAATTTATACTCTTTTGCATATATACGTATATACCCAGTAATGAGATTTCTGAGTCGAGTGGTATTTCTGTGTTTTGGTCTTTGAGGAATTGCCACACTGTCTTCCACAATGGTTGAACTGATTCGCACCCCCACCAACAGTGTATAAGCATTCCTTTTTCTCCACAACCTCACCAGCATCCGCTATTTTTTGACTGCGTAATAATAGGCATTCTGACTGGTGTGAGATGGTATCTCATTGTGCTTTCAATTAGCATTTCTCTGATGATCAGTAATATTGAGCTTTTATCCATATGCTGGTTGGCCATATGTATGTCTTCTTTTGAGAAATGTCTGTTCATGTCCTTTGCCCACTTTTTAATGGGGTTGTTTTTCTCATGTAAATTTGCTGGACAGACTTTTTCTGACTGTGGATTCTTGGCACCTATGTTAAACATCTGTTGACTCTATATGTGTCAGTTTATTTCTGGACTCCGTTTTCTGTTTCGTTGGTCTGTATGTTTGTTTTTATGTCAGAATCAAACCATATTAATTAGTATAGCTTGGTAATATATTTTGAAATCAGAAAATGTGATTACTTTATCTTTGTTCTTTCTCAGAATTGCTTTGGCTATTTGGGGTTGTTGGTGGTTCCATATGAATTTTAGGATTGTTTATTTTTTATCTCTGTAAAAAAAAAGCTGTTAGAATTTTGATAGGAATTGCATTGAAAGTGTAGATTATTTAGGTAGTGTTGACATTCTAACAATTTTAAATCTTCCAATACATGAACAGAATGTATTTTCACTCATTTGTGTATTCTTTAATTTCTTTCATCAATGTTTTAAAGTTTTCAGTGTATAAGGATTTTATCTTCTTGGTTACGTTTGTTTCCAAGTATTTTATTCTTCTCGAGATTATTTTAAATGAGATTATTTCATTTACAGATAGTTCATTGTTAGTGTAGAAAAACATAATCAATTTTTATATATTGATAGTTTATTCTGTACCTTTGCTGAATTTATTAGTTCTAACAGTTTTTTGGTGGAGTCTTTAGGGTTTTCTACATATTTAATCATGTAATCTACAAACAGATAAGTTTACTTCTTCCTTTCAATTTGGATGTCTTTCTTTTTTTTCTTGCCTAATTACCCTGGCTAAGACTGCAATACTATTTTGGATAGAAATTGACAGAGTAGGTACCCTTCTCTTGTTTATAATCTTAGCCTATAATGTTAGCTGTGGGCTTTTCATAGGTGGCCCCTCCTACGTTGAATTGAGTTCCTTCTATGTTTAGTTTGTTGAGGGTTTTTGTTTTCTATTGTGAAATGGCGTCAAATTTTATCAAATGCTTTTTCTGCATCTATTGAGATTATGTGATTTTTTTTCCTTCTCATTCTGTTAATGTGGTGTATACATTAATTGACTTGCATATGTTCAGCCATCCTTTCATCCCAGAGATAAATCCCACTTTATCATGGTGTGTGATATTTTTAATTTGCTGTGCAATTCAGAATTAGGGCTGTTAGTATTAATATTTTGTTGAGTATGTTTAAATGTATTTTCATTGGGATATTGGCTTGTAGTTCTCTTTTCTTGTAGTGTCATTGTCTGACTTGGTAGTAGGGTAACGCTGGCCTCATAAAATAAGTTTGAAAGTATTCTTTCTTTTTGTATATGTTGAAAGAGATGAAGAAGGATTAGTGCTAATTATTTTTGTAATGTTTGGTAAAATTCATCAGTGAAGACATCTAACCCCGGGTTGTTGTAGTTGTTGTTTTATTGGAAGGTTTTGATTTATGAATCAATCTCCTATTCATTATTGTTCTATTCAGATTTTCTATTTACTTACGAGTTATTCTTGGTAGGCTGGATGTTTTTAGGCATTTATCCATTTAGTTTAGATTATCCAATTGTTGGTGTATAATTGTTCATAGCAGTCTTTTTTATTCCTGTGTAACCTGTGGTAATGCCTTCTCTTTCTGATTTTTAAACATTTTCCATTTTTTTCATAGCTATTCTAGCCAAGGAGTTGTCAATTTTGTTTATTTTTTGAAGAAAACGTCTAGGTCTCATTCATTTATATTGTCTTTTTAGTCTCTATTTTATTTGTTACTGCTATAATCTTCTATTATTTCCTCCACCATGCTAATTTTGGGCTTTTGTGGCTCTTTTTCTAGTTTCTTGATATGTACAGCTAGGTTGTTTAAGATCTTCCTTTTTTAATGTACATGTTTATTGCTGTAAACTTTTATTTTGGTACTGCTTTTGTTGCAACTTGTAATTTTTATTATGTTGTGTTTTTGTTTTCAAACAATTTTAAATTTCCCTTTGCATTTCTTTTATGACCCATTGGTTACTCAAGAATATTTTTTAAAATTTCGACATATTTGTGCATTTCCCAGCTTTTCTTCGGTAATTAATTTCTAGTTTCTTTCCATTGTTATTGGGAAATATATTTGAAGTGATTTCAGTCTTCTTAAAGACTGAAATGTTAAGACTTCTTGTTAAGATTTGTTTTGTAACCTAGTGTGTCATTTATTTATCGTGCAGACATTTTTGTGTATGCTGGAGAAGAATGTGTAATCTGCTGCTATTGGGTAGAATGTTCCATATGTGTCTCTTATGTCTATTTGGTCTACAGTATTGTTAAAGTTCATTGTTTCTTTATTGATTTTCTGTCAGAATGTTCTAGCCATTATTGAAATTGGCATATTAAAGTCTTCTGCTATAACTATATTGCTATCTATTTCTCCTTTCAGTATTATCAATATTTGCTTTACATATTTAGGTGCTCTGAAGTTGGTGTATATGTACTTATAACTGTCATATCTTCCTGGTAAACTGACATATTTTTATTATATAATATCCTTTTGTGTCTCTTCTGACAGTTTTTGACTTAATGTCTATTTGGTTTGATATAAGTATAGCCACTGCTGTTCTTTTTTGGTTATGATTTGTATCTCTACCTTTTTCTATTCTTTCACTTTCAGTCTATGTCTGTTCTTTAAAATGTAAATTAAGTCTCTTGTAGACAGTTTGTAGTTGGATCTTGTTTTTTTTTTTAATCCAAACTCTGTTTGTCTTTTGATTGCTGTGTTTAATCTATTCATGTTGAAAGTAATTTGATAGGTAAGAACTTACAATTGCCATTTGATTAATTGTCTTCTGTCTGTTTTGCAGAATCTGTTAACTATTATCTTCATTTCCTTTCTTACTATCTGTTTTTTTATTTGTGGATTTTTTATACTGAAATGTTTTTATTCCTTTCTCTTTTTGTGCGTGTGTGTATATTCTATATGTATTTTGTTATTATCACGAGGCTTACATAAAACATAGTCGTAACACTCTAAGCTGGTAACAACTCCAATTTTCAAAACAAAACACTCTACACTTTTACTCACCATACTCACACTTTCATGTTATTGAAGTTGCAATTTACATGTTTTGATATTGTGTATCTATTAACAAATTATTGTAGTTATAGTTATTCCTAATAATTTTGTCTTTTAACTTTTATATTACAATTAAAAGTGATTTACACACTGTCACTACAGTACGATACACACTATTTGTTTATATATTTACCCTTACCAGTGAGTATTTTACTTTCATATGCTTGTGTTGCTGCCTAGTGTCCTTTTGTTAAATTTGAAGAACAAAGGTAGGTATAGTGGTGACAAATTTCCTCAACTTTTGCATGTCTTGGAAAGCCTTTACCTCTCTTTCATTTTGAAGGTCAGTTTTCCCAGGCATTATATTCTTGTTTGACAGATTTTTTTTTTCTTGTAGCAATTTAAGTATATCATTTCACTGTCTTCTGGCCTACGAAATTTCTGCTGAGATAGCCATGAATAGTCTAATTGGATCTCACCTGTACACGACAAGTCACTTTTATTTTGCTGCTTTCAAAATTCTTTATCTTTGACATTTAACAATTTGATTACAATGTGTCTCAGTATATACTTTTTTGGGTTCATCTTACTAGGTGTCTTTGAGTTTCATGTATCTAGATATCTATATTCCTTAGATTGGGAACTTCTCAGCCATTCTTTTGTAAAATAAGATTTCTTTTCCTTTCTCTCTTCCACTTTTGGGACTTTCATAATATATATTTTTCTCTTGATAGTGTTTTATAATTCACTTAGACTTTCTCCCGTGCTACTTATTCTTTTTTCTTTTTGCTCCCCTGACTGAATAATTTCAAATGACCTGCTTTTGAGTTTTCTGATTCTTTGTCTTCCTCAGAGCCGATATTAAAGCACTCTGATGAATTTTTAACTTAAGTTATTGTATTTTTTCAGCTCCAGAATTTTTGTGGGTTTTTTTGTAGAATTTTTATTTATTGATATTCTCCTTTGGTTCACATATTACTTTCCTGATTTCAGTCAGCTGTCTGTGTTCTCTTGTAATTTACTGAGATTCTTTAAAAGTAATTATTTTGAATTCTTCATCATGAAATTCATAGATCTTCATTTCTTTTGTTGCTGGGTACTGGGGATTTATTTTGGTCCTTTTATTGTGTCATGTTTCCTGAGTCTTCAGGTTCCTTGTAGCTTGTGTTGGTTTCTGCACATGTTAATAAAGGTCAATTTGTTCAGTCTGTGTAAAGATTGGCTTTAATGGGGAAAAACTTTAACCAATTAACCCAGAACGAAATTCTAGGAAGTTCTGTAACCTTTCCTACGGATGTGTATTCTCTGAACTTGTGTGTGTAGGTTCTTAATTACAGGAATTTGCTGCCCTTTGCTTTTTCAAAGGCCTGTAAGCTCTCGCTTCTTCTTTTATGAGACTGTAAACCGTAGGTCAAGACATTGGCAGCACACTCCACTCCTTTCCTTCCTTCTGTGTGGAGAATATATAACCTCTGCACTTTCTCCAAATTTTACAGAGCCATGCGGGGTGTAGAAAGCTGCAAGTTCTTTTTCCTTCATTCTTAGCTGTCCCTCCAAACTATACCAGTTTTGTCAGCATTCTAAGTGAGAAAAAAATGGCAGCCAACCTGTTAAACAGTCCACTGAAATGGCAGGACACTGGAAGCATGCTCCGCTTCTCTCCATTCCACCTAAGGGAGGAGACTTTGGTTTTGTACTTTCTCTCAATCTGACAGAGCTGTGCTGGCTGCAGCAAGCTGTCTGCCCCTTTTCCTTTATTTGTAAATGCCCCCAGCCATTTGCGCAATACCAGTCCCATTAGCATCACATGTGAAGTGAGGCAGAAACTGTCCCCTTGGGCAACGAACTAGAAGGCTAGGAACTTAGAGGCATGCTCCACTCTGTTTTTCGCCTTGAGGCTAAGACAATTTCTCTAGGTGCTGAACTATGGCAGCTTGGAAGAGGGGCTGACACAGGGAAAGCAAAACTGCTCTTACCAGTTTCAATGTGGCCGTTCTCACTTTTGTGCCCATCTGGAGTACTACATCTTCTTAACTGGATTCTGGACCTCTCATAAAGGCATTCTGATACATATAAAATTGTTAAATCTGTGTTTTTGTCAAATATCAAGGGCCGGGACTTCTTATTCTGCCATCTTGCTGAAGTCACTCATCTACTTGCCTCTTGATATGCTAAGCTACACCCTTACCTGACTCATGACCTTCACATTCGCTGTTCCCTCTTCCAAATATCTGTAGTTTTCTGCCTCACTTCCTTTAGGTTTCTACTCAAATATCATCTTATCAGTACAATATTCTACACTTTCCAAATATATTTTTTAAAAAATCATAAGCAACTATTGCCACCTTCATCATTTTATGTACTATTCCAGTTAGCCTAATTCCCGTTTTCCTAACAACACCTACCACTCTATGATGTATTATATATTTCCTGCCTTTTTGTTGTCTCTATACCCACCTTATCACCATCACTGCAGTTTAAGATCCATGAAGTCCAGAAAGTTGGAATTTTCTGCTTACTGCTTTAATTGCTCAATTAGGAATAATGCTTGACACTTTGATGGTGACTGGGTAAGCACTTTTACTGCTCAATGAGAGCCAATTTATTTGGACACAATGTTCTTTCCTAACATTCTAAAGTTAGATGTGGACATATAGCACACTTTTTCAAGAAATGGGAGAGAAAATGCTGCATGTTACTTATAGATACTTGAATCTAATTGTTGACTCAAATTTTCAGCCATCACTTCCCCCTTGTGTGAAAATCTTGGAATCTCATGTTCATATGGCGGTGCCAAACAATTGAAGCAGCCTGCAATGCTGAGTGTACATTTGGAGGACAACTGTTATGGAGAGCTGCCCAGACCTAGAATGGATTTTTACAACAGGAAAGTAAATTTCTGGTATGCAGCCACTGAAAGGGAGTTTATCTGACCATGGCATAACCCAACCTATCTTGGCAGATGTAATAATCTATAAAAATGTATTGAATAAATGAATAAATTATCGCTATTTTTTGGATGTGGAAGCAGAATCACCATGAGGGTATGTAGTGTAATTATCTTTAGGTCGTCAATGAGAACCTGGATTCAAAGCCTGGCCACTTATAATATTTAAAATATGTAGCAATCATTTTAACCAAGAAAGATAAACTGTTTATTTTACAGTTACCTGTAATATAAATAATTGACAAACAGATCATAATCCAGTAACTGGCTTAAAACATTGTTGACAAAGATATGCTATGTAAAAAATATCTGGCTTTTCCAAGCTTTTTCTTCCTCTTCTTATGAAACTAAATGCCTGGGACTCTGTTATCTTGGTACCTGGAAGACTAGTTCAGTGTCCCAAGGCTTAGTTTAGTATAAATTTCTCTGTCTTTACAGATCAATGAAAAATTCATAAGACACGATTTTTCTATTTTATGCATTCACTTCTTTCAAAGGAATGTGTTGTGCATAATAATTCCTTGTGTAAGGACTTTGTAATTATTATTTGAGATTAATTACAGAAAAAGTTTTTATTTGCAGGCAAAAATGTTTGCTTTCTTTTACGAGATAGTAAAAGTTAGATAAGACAATACATTGCCTGCTACCTTGGCTTTCAGTTCTTGAAGTCAGATTCAGAATATCAAGGAAGAAAAGCCAAAGTCAAAGAAAAGGCAAAAGAAAAAGTCCTAAATACTCACTTTAAGAATACGTAAGTACCATAGCCTAGTAATATTGGATCTGAAAGGCATACAGAACTGTTCAGATATTTTTATTAGCTATTGAGAGTCATATTTTAAAAATCAAAAAACAGGCCGGGCGCAGTAGCTCACGCCTGTAATCCCAGCACTTTGGGAGGCCGAGGTGGGCGGATCACGAGGTCAGGAGATCGAGACCACCCTGGCTAACACGGTGGAGCCCCGTCTCTACTAAAAATACAAAAAATTAGCCGGCGTGGTGGCGTGTGCTGTAGTCCCAGCCACTTGGGAGGCTGAGGAAGGAGAATGGCGTGAACCCGGGAGGCGGAGGTTTATACTATGTTAAGAGTAAATTCTTTTTTTTTTTGAGACAGAGTTTTGCTCTTGTCGCCCTGGCTGGAGTGCAGTGGCGTGATCTCAGCTCACTGCAACCTCCGCCTCCCAGGAGCGAGACTCCGTCTCAACAACAACAACAACAAAAAAAATTAAAAACATATCAGAACTCTATTCTGTGTGAGACACTGGAATTTAACTAGATTAATTGAAAAGATAATTTATTTAAATAAAATATGTCAAATTTTTTTAAGTAGGTAAATTAATAATTATGTTATTAGTCTATTCTATATTGCTGTACTATATGGCTTTTATGAGAAATATAAACTCTCTCTCCCACTTTTCTCTCATTTTAATAGTTTTCTTTCTTTGAAATTGTATAGAGAAGAGGATTTCACCACAGCCTTTTAGAATTTAATTGCTATAGATCTCTGACAGTGTTGATTTTTAGCAACTTATAAATCTTTTAGCCTATTTGGCATAAAAACCAAATATTATATTTCTATTTTAAAAGATTTTTTTTGACAATTTTTGTAATTACTTATAAAATATTTTAAAATATGTAATACATACTCTAAATGTGCATACATGCTCCATTAATTCATATATATCTAAAAAACCTCTTCATTTTCATACATCTGAAAGATATACAGACATTCTTTTAGAGGTTTATCTTAATAATTTAACATTAAGAAGTCAACAGCATAAAAATAATAGCTTCTCATCCTTATGCCAACACTGTTCACTAATACATTTATTTTTAAATGTAATTAATAATTAAAAGACCACCAGTCTTTTGTAAAATTTTCCAATCATCTTTTTATTGGGAAGTCATTTGTAAATTTTTCAAGAATACTCATGCATAAAATTTTCCTTGAAAGGTACATGTTCAACAGTCATGTGTATGTGTACACCTGACCACTGAAGTGATAGTTTGGTTGGGTATAAAATCCTGGTACTATACTTTGTTTTTTTCTTGAATATCTTTAAAAAAAAAACCAGTGCTTCACTCTTTGCTGAAACTCGATTTTGCTACAGAAATGTTTGATGTCAAATATTATTTTCTTGCTTTATAAGTGACTTACTCTTTATGTTTAAAAGCATGGGAGATTTTTCTTTTTCTTCAAACTCTAATTTTACTGAACTATTTCTCAAGTTGACCAGGTCAATTTTTCAAGTATAACTTATACCATACATCTATGCAGAATTGATCAGTTCAATCAGCAGAGAGTTTAGTGACTTTTTTAGTGACTTTTTTAGTTTGTTTGCTTTTTCAGGTTTTTTGGGTCCGTTTTTGTTTTTAATGTTAACTGTTACTTCTGTTTTACTGTTTTAATTTTCTTATTTATGAAAACAAATATTCTAACTCAGGAAAAAAGTAAATGTTATATTTAGTGGGTCATTTTATTTATATTTTCTCTTTATACTTCTCTTTTTATTTTGGCTTGTTTCAATTTGCTTTTCTATGTTCCTTACTATAACTTACTTAACCTTTGCTCAGAAAATTCTATATTCTACAATGTATTATGCAGTCGTTTCTTTCAAGAGTTTTATAGTTTCTTGTTTCTCATTTTCTGCTTACTTGTCTATCTGGTCTTTGCTTTTCATTTATATTTTTATTTAATAAATTTCTTTCACATTTTTAATTCTTATCAATTTATTTTAACTCATGTTGAATTTTTTTTGCTCCCTTTTCCTTCATGATATGATTGCAACTGCCAATTTATTTTATTATTATTGTCTCTTCCTTTAATAATTGTTACATGGATGCTACAGTTTTATATTTGAAACTTGCTTTTTATATTTGAAAGTTGAATTGGTCCAGATTATCTGTTAATGGTGAGGCTCCTGGTACCTGGGTAGAAGAATGCTCAGGGTAGACTTATGAGTTCCTTTACCAGGGGCTTATGCTTTTTATTAGCATAGCTTACTTTGGTTCATCTATAGCTCTTATATTATCTACCTGATTCCCTTCTCTCATTATTGGCTGTCCTTTTATAAGAGAGACTGATGGCTTCCAAAGCTCATCATTTTCTTTCTTTCAGAAGCAGTACCTTTAGAAAATGTTAATTCTGGGCTATAAAATGAAAATTCATCTCTGACTTAAAGTGAAATTAACCACATTCTACATAGAGAAGCAAGCCACAAACCTGGATTCAAAATAAAGGGAGTAAGAAAAATTGTTGGGTACCTCCTTCCATGTTTAGATTTCTTGTCTGGATCACCAGGTGCCCATTAAAACAGTTAGATTAACATATTTTCACTGTAAGGGTTGATCTTTACATTTTGCTAAGACAAAAATGCAAGTTTTAGAGAAATGTCTTCAGTAAGATTCCCTTTTTTATATATCTGAAAGTATCCAAAAAAGATATTATTATGAATTTCAATATGCTAGGTACTGATCTCAATCTTACATGCCTTAATTATTTATGCTTAAAACAAACCTACAGTATAGCTATTCTTATTATCGCTTTACTGATAATAATACTGAAAAACAGAGAAGTTAAATAACTTGTCTAAGATATGATACATCAAGTAACCATCAGAGCTAAAACACAAGCTTTGTCAGGGTGTCTTCAGAGTCTGCAATCTCAAATCTTAAGTGGTATACCAATCTTTCTCTGTGTGTGTGTGTATTTACATTTATATTACTTATATTTATTTGAATAGTAAATTTTTATAATGGCTCTCACCGAATTCCTTGATTTTTGTGACTTCCTATAACTAATAAAATTCATAATAATAGAATGTGACTTCTAAGATTGGGCCCTACAGACTTTGCAGCTTCTGTTTTCACCTTCTTAGAGTGCTTCCATCATCATGGAAAGATGCCTATTACAACTTTTGGCCTATGAGAAATCAGGTGGTGGAGAACCAAGGTCACCTGACCAACAGCCCCCAGAGCTTTACCAGGCATGTGCAGGAGGCTATCCAGGACAATCAGGCTCAAGGTGCTGTTACAACTAATCAAAAAATGCATGACTGAGGCCATCCAGCATCACGTGATACACAGAGGAGTTAACCCAGACAATTCCTACCCAAATTGCTAATCCATAGAATTATGAACATAGAAATGGTTATTTATTTAAGCAGCAAAGTTTTGGTGTAGTTTATTATGCAGCAAAAGATAGCTGCTACAATATAAATTTATATTTGCCTGGAGAAGGAGAAGAAAATAAACACATCAAATTTTATACTAGTTAATTAAAGGAAGAATAAATTATTTTTTTTAAAAAAAGCTTTATGTCAGGAGCAAATGCTTATTGGCCAGTTTTGCTCCTTGCTTCTATGTAAAAGTGCTCAAATTGTGGGACCCTCTTTTGCCTCCTATTTACTCATTCCACATTAGGGGATGTAATAAAAGTTTTCTGGAGAATAAATTGGTTGGCTTGCCAGACCACTTCCACTTTCCATCTTTGAAGTTTGTTGACTCACAGCAGCAGCCCCTTTACCTATTGCACAGCAAGGGCCGATTCTCTTCTCTGAATAACAGAGCAGGATGTGGGGAAATCTGCTATGGTCATACTCACATGACTACATAGGTGGATTTGCCTAGTGCGATGGCTCAATATAGAAAAGCCACATTCTGTAATGATAATAATGGTCCCCCATTGTGATATCACTTTCTTTCTCAATTGGTTCAGAAATATGTATTATTTTGTTGTAACAAACATTGTAGAATAATATAACTGAAAATTGCATAGTTTGAAGATGTGTTCTAGGATAGATTAATGTCATAGCTACGAAAAGAATTAGTATCCTGCTAGGCAAAGTGGTATGATATTTTGTTAAACTGATTTTTCAAATATATCTACATAGGTCTTAAAAAATCTTTTTTTGAGACAGAGTTTTGCTCTTGTCGTTCAGGCTGGAGTGCAGTGGCACGATCTTGGCTCATGGCAACCTCTGCCTCCCGGGTTCAAGCGATTCTCCTGCCTCAGCCTCCTGAGTATCTGGGATTACAGGCATGCGCCACCACGCCCGGCTAATTTTGTATTTTTAGTAGAGACGGGGTTTCTCCATGTTGGTCAGGGTGGTCTCGAACTCCCAACCTCAGGTGATCCGCCCGCCTCGGCCTCCTAAAGTGCTGGGATTACAGGCATGAGCCATCGCGCCTGGCCTTAAGTTTTCTCTGAAATTTTCAATGACCAGGTCAAATGTCTAAAAGGGTAATCCATTTGCTCACACTTTTTTATACGTCTGGATAATTTGATATTTAGAAAGAAACAACAGATAAAATGTGTTTATTCATTTCAATTGTATTTTGGGCTCCCTTGGAAACCCCACAGAATAGCCATCTAGAGTGATTTAAGTGTAATTGATCTTTTAGATTGCTTACATAACCCTTTGACTTTGGTTACTATATAAAGCTGCAGACTTGCCCAAAATATTTTTGTATCATCATGTTTCATTTATTTTAGAAAAGTATGCTGCACCAAGCCAAACTAAATGGAAATGCCTGAGTTTACAGAAGCATTCTATACTATGACCTTTAAGTCACCTGGAAGAGGGCTCAAAGCACCTTTTACTGCTTAATCAAATTATAAACCTCTAAATTTCACTTCTTTCCCAGAAAGAAAATATACAACACTATTATAAAATAGCTCGTTGTTCTATAGACCTAGCTATAATGTAGAAAAAATTCAGTCCTCTGATTATATATAGATCTGTATTCTAAAACAGCTGACATAGCAAGTTCAGCCAACATCTCTCCTACTGACATGGAATGACTCAGTGTAACCACAATAGCCGTGACTGAATTTGGAAAAACTTCTCATGTCTCCGAATAGGGCTACCTGATTTAGGAAACAATGTAATCATCTACTGTGATCAAGCCAGGTAGCTATTTAGCCAATCTTTAAACACTTCCAGAAAAAATAGATGTTTCAGCATCAAGTCAAAGTTAGCAAACACCGATTGTTTGACCCTGCAATGACCGGCTCCAGTGTAACAGACTTTAAGAGACAGAGTAACTTAAAATAGAACAAGAGTGCAGCCATCTGGAAACCAGTGCAGCACAGTGTATATCAAATCTACCAAGGCAGCAGGAGATACACCTGCAGGCTGAAAGATCGCTATGGCAGTGTATTGCAACACCTTGCAAAGTCTAGCACAAGCCCCTCATGCAGCACACAGGTTCACAATGAAATTTGGTTTTAGGAAAGCAATAAAGAAAATACACTGCTGGTATGTCATTCACTTGGAGGCAAATATTCACTTACAGTAATTAGCTTGAATAGTGAGATTTTAATCATTTCATTCTCAACATAAATATTTGGCTAATCAATATGAAAGGTATTTATTTTCTCTATAGTTGGCTTTGCTTCTCAGCATTAGTACTGTGTGACAGATGGCTGATGTCATCTTTGCTTGGAAAAACTCAGTTGGCAATATTAGCATGGCATATTTCTGGGGACTTGTGATATGCTATGAGATGATAAAAAATAAAAGGGTCCAAAAGGGAATTCCCCAAAGCAAATATATTTATATGATTTGACACCATATTTTACTAATCCATCATACAAAGATATATATCCCATTTAATTAATGTTTTATTGAAACATATTCTGGTAAATATTAACAATGCCCTTGATCTTATTTTTTGAATTCTGGTAGTTTACAATATCATAAGGTTGTTTACATTTTCGTTGTCCCTATATTTGTCTAGTATATGCAGACAGAGCAGTCTCTTAGTACTAGTAACTGTACCCTCAATTATACCAACAATGATCAGTTTATAGCAATGAAAAGACTGGGAGTGTGCTGTGAAAAAAAGTTGACTTTTATGAAGTTCTCATCTGATGAGTCTAAAGTCACCCTTATTACTTGGTCCTATATTACAGATTTTGTTATTGCTGAAAATGGTCCATTACTATACTTTTCTCTCTACATTCCCTTTCCTTTATGCTGCCTGTAGCCACTAAGTGGCATGTGTCAAAACTTTTTATTTTTCTTTTTCAAGATAATTTTATTTTTCATGTTATGAAAATGTTAATGTAATTGTACTAATCTTCTTTTTTACATGTGCCCTAAAACTTAAAGTATAATAATAATAAAATTAAAAAAAAAAACTTTTGCTTTTGAAAAGGAGGAAGAATATGGGGTCAAAACTAGGATGCATAGTGGGGACACTAGAGGAGGAAAGGATATGAAATTTTTAAATTTTTTTAATGGGAGAAGGGTCTTTAATAATGAAATGTTTACTATTTTCAAGAACTCTTCTGGGCACTTTACATAAGTTAACTTATTTAATCATCTGAACAAACCACTGAGGTAGGAGCTTATGTTGTTTCTGTGAGAAAACTGAGGCACAAAGAACTTAAAAAAACTTTCTCAAGGTCTTTGAGCTGCTTTGTGGTGGAGTTGGGTTACAAGCTGAGATGGTTTGGCTCTAGAGTCTGTGTTCTAACTCTTATGCTAGAGACAAGAAAGCACAAAAGTCATCTGTGGAAGGAAAGGCAGAGTAGTAATTTTAGAGCCTGACTTCTATCAACAAATACATATTTCGTTTATACAAAAACATACCTCATTGAAGAAAATGATTATATCTTTTGTCTCTTTTGTTTCTTACACAGAATGCTTAACGTGGTTACCTTAAAAAATAAATTAAATACGAGCAATGACCATAACAGTAAGGAAGTGATTTTACAAATTGAAGGACAATTCAGAAAAAAAAAAATTGCGAATTTGCTAGTGTGTATAAGAAAAAGGAAAAGGTCAAAACAACAGCACTTAATAATTCCTTTAAGAATGTGATAATTTCCTATAAGACATTATTATTTCATTGAGGTTCTGCATATACTGTATATACAATTGATGGGACTATTAATTAAAATGAACTAAAAAGTTTCCTGAATTTAATATTAGATATAGTAGTAATTCTTGTTTTAAAAAAACCTACATAGTCAAATAATCAACACGTTTTCTCTTTTTCTTGTTTTAATGGCTCCAACCATTGGAATACCTCTGAATTATTCCATTTATTGATATTATTTTAATTTTTCCAAGAATCTCCCAAGTGTAATATCCATAGTCATTCAGCAAAGAGAAGTAGATATCATATATTTGGTTAGTTTATCTGCTTTGAAGATTTTTCTAAGATTTCACATCTCAATTATTAGAAACTAATGACAATTACTTAATTATATAAAATTTGACCAAAAATGTTCATGTTTAAATACATCTTTTTCAGGTATCACAGGAGTTTATTATTAACAATTTTAATCTCAGACTAAAAAGCTAATAAAAATGTTTACATATATATAATTACAGCGATACTATAGGTACTATTTCTATATTAATGTGAGGTATTTAGCAGATGTAACTAACATAAAGGTGACTAACATCTTGAGACATATGCCTTTGTCGCCAAGATTTAATAATCTTCATGTACCAGAGAAGGATACAATTAAAACATGGCCATGCTACTTATAAGACAATGTTCTTACTCATTTTTCTTGTTTATTTTTTAAAAGGGAATACGGTAAAATTATCATATGTGACATCATTAAAGAAAGTTTCCTGCTGATCTATTATCTGATAACATTATAATCAACAAATTATAATTAACCTAAGATATTTGTAAGTACCTATGTCGGCCTCGACCATTATGCCAGCAAATGTGTAACAAATCGGCCTTACGATGGCAGCATAAAGGTGTCCCATTTCACCTCGCTTATGTTCACTGTGCATTGCAGACAAACCCGGCTACAGCAACTGAGAAATGGAAACTGACAAGAAAACATTAAAACTGGTTTAACAGTGCTGTGTGTTTCTTCTCTAAGTATGATTAAATAATCATAAGAACTCCTCTAAGGGCTAATCTGCTATATTTTCCAGATTTTCACCTTGGGGACATATTGTCCCTTGTTACTGAAACCTCAGGGACAGAAGGGGACGCCACAGGGTGGCACAGCAGGAAGCTGAAACACTGATGAAACAGTGTTCAGTTAATGAAGGCATGGCCCATGGCCTCCGCTGCTCTGCCATATGTTTGAAGAAATGCTAATGACTGCAATTCAAATACCTTTTTCATCTTAACTATATGTAAATGTGTTTATAAATGCTCTCTTATAAATATACGATCACATTTTTAAAAGCCAAGTGCTAATGTTGCTTTCAACATCTATAATACACAATAATTAAAACTTAAGCAATTCTGCTTAATTATACCTTATGGGAAACTGTACAGTAATTTATAGAAATTAAGCAGAAAAACAAAGATCAACAGAAATAAAGCAGCAGTTGAGCAACTGAATAATAGATCACTTTGGTCATTAATTTACAACAGCAAAATCATTGTAAGTAAAAGACTTCAATCCTCATTCTTAAACAGCTGACATGTGAAAAAGAAGGTGTTAGAAATTTGGGTATTCCTTTTCAGAGCACAGCATGAACTGATGGTGGCACTGTCTACTTTCTTACTTTGTTCTTATGCTGCCCCCCAAAATCAAGTGGTAATTTCTAGTTGAAAACTTTCATTATTCTAATATGAGACATCTATCCTCATTTTCTTACACTTTTCCTCAACATTGCAGATAATTATTTGCTGGTAAATGGTCTCTTTTATGACAGATCCAGTTGGTACCCAGTTTGGGATATGCTGTACATTACATAATTTTTAAAACTACCCTAAAAGCTAAGTTGACTAGATCTATAAAACTGCAGATAACTATACATTCTAATCAGTAGAAATGACAAATTCTCACACCCTAAAATGTTCCCACTAAATACCAAAAATGATTGTTTGTGGCTTAAAATTCCCATTAATTAATTAGATCAATAAACTTACTTATGCATGTATTAATAGGAAAAAACTTCTAAGTTTGCATTAGCCATTATTTTGAGATATTTCATTAGAGTTGCTATTTTCTGCCATTTGTTTTCATTTCTAAAACAAAAATATTTGCTTAAACTTCTCTATACTACATCTCTGACTTTTATTTTGTCAGTAGAAATTTTTTAAAATGTTATGTAATTAATTATTTTACTGTCTTCAATAGCTGCTAAATTTCTAGATTTCTTAGTTCTTCCCCCACACGGAGGTTATGAAACTATTACTTTCATTTTCTTCAATGCTTTATGGTTTCCATTTTAATATTTATAGGCTTACTCCATTTGGATTTAAAAAAATAGAGAAGTAGGGATCTAGTTTTATATTCTTTTAAATAGAGAGCAATTTTTTTCAGACTTTTTTACAACTAATAGTTGTACATGTTCATGGGGTACATAATATTTTGATACATTTAATGTATAAACAAATTTTTCAACACCTTATTATATGCATTTCTCACTAGATTTATATGCAAATATCATCATATATTCCATACGCATGCATGCATTTATCTGTTTCTGAGTTCTCTATCTTGTTTTTCTCACCTATTTGTTATTTTTCTGCCAATATTTTAAACTTGTATTTCTGAAGATTTATGATATATTTAATACACAGCAGAACAAGTCCCTTATTCCTTGCATGGTCTCTTTTTTACCCAAAATTTCTTGACATTTCTCCCTATAAATTGCAGAATTTTTGTGTCCTGGTGCACACCTATCCCACTTTGCAATATTATGTTTGATTCACAAAAAGAATAGATGAAAAGTTATGAATCAGACAAATAGAACAATCACCCTGAATTTAAGATTCACCTTCAGAGCTGGCCAGTTATAGATAGGGTTACATCTACCCTATATAGAAAACCCATCTACCCATCTATAGAAACCCATATAGAAAACCCTATATAGAAAACCCATCTACCCATCTATAGAAAACCTATCCTATAGGTTTTCTATATCCTATATCCCATCATTCTGCTTTCACCTCCAAGGTAACCACTATTTTGAAGCTTGTATTTATTATTTTATTTAGTGTATAAATACTCATAAAGAATATGTAATTCTTTATAGAGATTTTTAAAGTTATCATACTTTATTAGTCTTCTTGAACTTTTTTCCATCAATATTATGTATCTGACTCATTCATGTGATTACATAGAGATAGAGTTTATTCATTTTTACTGCTACATAACATTTCCTTGTCCTAATGTGCCACAGTTTATTTTTCTATTGTTTATGATAGAAATTCAAGATTTCTAATGATTTTCAAAAATTATAACCAGTGCTGGTATGAACATTTTATGCATATCTTAGTTCAAACGTGCAACAATTTCACTAAAGTACATACCTACAAATGAATTACCTGACTCACAGTGTAGGTGAATAGTCAACTTGACAAAGTAATGCTGCATTGTTTTCTAAAGTGTTTGTAACAAACATTCATGCCTTTAATATTGTGTTTTTCTCTGTGTATGTGTATGTATAATATTTGAGTTCTTTCTCTGTAATATTTTAGATCTAATATGTATTAAATTATTTCCACACTATTCCACAAAATACAGTGATCAGAAATTTTGTTCCAACCCATTTTGTAAAATCTTTAATTGCTACTGTCATCATAACAATGGGACCTTGAACAAATTATTAAATAGATGTAAACTGGTTTTATTTTAGGGAAATGAGTAATAGAACCTAATTCACTTAGCCATTGCTGAAATAAAATGAAAGAGATAGTTCAAGAAAGTACCTTAGTAGGTTGGAATATAGGAAATGATCAGTAAATGCCAAGTGCTTATTATTATTGTAGTTGTTATTATTACATGCTGAATAAAATCTCTGGGCCTCTTTTACTCAAAAATTCAAAGATTTGAGGACAGTAAACCATTTGCATAAGTTTAGTCGATCATGTGAACATTGGGCAAGGTAAAAGATTAACATATGTATTTTTAATATTAATCTAAATAACTGTACAACCCATTCTTCAATGAAAATCTAAATATCAATTACCCAGATGGTAAAAAATACAAAATTCTGGTTATATAAGAGGAATCAATTCCAGATATCTATTCTATCACATGGTGACTATAGTTAATAACAATATATTGTATTTGTGAAAATTGCTGAGTGAGTTTTAAGTTTTGTCACCACAAAAAAATGATAAGTATGTAAGGTACTACATATGTTAGCTCAATTTAATCATTCCATGATGCATATATACTTCAAAACAACCCGTTGTACATAGTAAGTATTTATCATTTTTATTTGTCAAAAAATCAACTACCCAGATATTTTAGCTATATATACTCAACCACAAAATATGACCATAATATTTATCTGAATGTGTATGACTCTTATAGATAGATTTGGGCAGGATTCCCAGTCCCTCCAATGGTCTATTTTCCTCATAAATTAAAAAGTTTATTTGGTAAGGGAGGCAAAAACATTATTTTAAAATGTTAAAAGTAAAAATGGAGGTAAGGGATGACTGTTTAACACGTTTAAAAAACAAAGCAAACAAACAAAACAGAAGACAAGAGTTAAGCAACTTCCTCAATACAGGCTAAAAAGTGAATGTTGAAAAGCCATTAGACTGATTTTGCAGATCTAGAAAATAAAGGTCAGTGATATTTCCCCAAATGGGCTTGGCCACAAATATATCAGGATGCATTTTAAAACAAGCAGATGCATTTGTACCCCTCACTAGGAATATCTCAGCTCTGCTTTGCTTTAAGCACATACTAAGGAATTCTGATTACATGGGTCAACCAGTCCTTTTTCAAACAAAAGCCTCTTAGTAAAGAAATGTCACATGGTTCAGAAAAAAACTGACAAAAGGGCAAATTCTCCTTCTCCTTTCTTCATTGAGGCTGATTACAGGGTGGAATACATTCAAAGACCAGAACGTCTTGAAATTCATTTCCGAGACAAGAATCACAGCAAAGAAATACAAAATGATCAGTGATAGAACTAGACATTGTTTACCAGTAAATCATTTGCATAATGTTTACATATGAATGTATTATTGATGAGTATGGACTTTTCTCATATTATTTTTTCTTAATGAATTTGATTTAGTTTTTTAACAATGACCAGTGCATCTTGTTCTACCTCTGTCTGGTACTATTCCCGGTTTTTGCAGACTGTTGTCAATCTATTTTTCCTCTTATGGCCACTTAAAGATGGAAACATGATGCATTTATCCTGGGGTTTGTAAAATGATTTAATGATGCAAAGCATATGGAAATGCTTCTAAATAATGTGTAATAGCAAGCTTAGCAAGTGGAGGCTGTCTTGAATTTTGATAACTTACTAAGGGAAATATTGATGATTGGGAATGTTGGATGCTTAAGGGGAGAAAGTGAATAATTTACCTATGTTACCTGGATTCTTGACACCTATTCCTTGGACCTCAGGGAGGATCTCTGATTCTCCTTTCAAAAAAAAAAAAAAAAAAAGCAATCTTCTTTATGGTTCTTTTCTATGTGGTGAACCACACTTGTGAGTGATACGTTTACCACAAAATGAAACACAAAATTATCTCAGCACACTTTGAACAAGTAGAAATCTTGGGAGTGGGACAGTTTTCCTTGCATATGGATAGAATTTATGTAAACAACTCTAATGAGAACTTTATATGGCATTCCCAATAATGAAGTCCAATTTACTTAAAGTGAATAAGAGAAAAGTGGAGTGCCATGTACGGGAATATTCTTTACTAGTCATTCAAACCGATCTTACTCTTACAAGGAATGCGGGCTTCCTCATCAAACTTCTAGCTGGGAAAAGTGCTGCCATCTTCCCATCACTCTCCCTCTCCCAGTGGTCTTGTCCTTTTAACTATTAGCCTCTTTCCAGATGTGATTTCTCTTCCAGAGGTTAGCAAAACCCCAGCCTCTTTGATCATGGACTCTGCGACATATCATAATCAAAAGCTTTTCTGTTTGAGGGTGGGAGAATTGGAATTTCAAGGGTAGAATAATCATGGAAATGATCCTATATATTTCTGTACAGTATTTTAAAATTATGTTTCACCTATTTAAAAAGAAAAAAGAAAAACTCCGCCAAACACAAACACAACAGAAATATTTTGTTGAGAGGTAATCTTTTGCCGAAAGTATTTCCTAAGTCTAAATAAAAAAATGATGAATCACCCAGTTGCACTGATCCATTGTTAACCGTTGCAGTGCAATAGACTGAAGGATTAAAATTCCTATTCATTTTACCAAGGGATTGGGGAGGTAAGACCTCTCAATTCTACTCAACTGTGTAAAAATTGGGCCTTCCCTTTAAATAAATAATTGATAGCTCTTTTATCCCAATTAGTTGTCAACTCAAATTTCTTTGAAGGAATGAGGATGAAAACACAAAAAACAGAAAGATTACATTTTGTAGATGTTTGGTCTATTTTTCATAGCAAAGTCTATAATTTTTTATTGTTTTCTAATAACATTTATTTATATTTAAAGTAAGCTAGTATTTAACATAGAGTTTGCCACAAAATGATATTTGAGAAAATAAAGTAAAATATTGGTCATGGATATTCTTTTAAAATTATGGTTCAAAATAATAGATTAAGACTGTACTCTAAAGTATGAATTCTGAGGGAAGAATGACCCTTCAAATGTCAAACTTTTCTATCTGGTTTTTAAAAATACAATTAGCCATAAGAAGAAGTAAATCAGTGAGCATGCATTTTTTAACAAAGACATAGGTCAAGCATATAAATAGTATTGCCAAAAAATTTAGTTTTCTAAAACTATGTATATTGATGCATTGAATATTTTATTTACATTAAATCACTTATAAGGCAACAATATAGCAATGTACTCTAAACCACAAGAGCCAAGAATTTTAATAGGGCAATATGCCAGACTTTAAAACTTGAAATGCTATGGAAGAGGCCAACTTTTATGATTAATTCAATTTTTTTCTTCAATGTGTTAAAAATTTCTGCTTTTAGAACCTTCCAAACATACTTTCAATATATATTTGTGAACATAGAATGGCAGTTCATTGGCCAGATACATCAAGCGATGAACCATGTTTGGGGAAAGGTAATGATTAATCACCTTAATTGATCAACAAAAACTATTGAACATCAAGTAAGTTTTAAGGCATTATTATAAACTTCCTTATTTAGTTCATTTAATGTCCATATGTAACAAAATATATTTAGTTATGTGTTCTCAGAATGAAAGTAATGGAATATGGGCAAACAATTCTTGAGCTCCCTCATTTTAATAACATGAGTTAAGACTCAGATTTGCACAAAGCTAATACATGTCAGAAACAGGATTAAGTCCAAGTCTTCTGTCAAGTTGTATAGGTATAAATAATGGTATTTCTTACTCATTAGGGACTCATTAGAAACTATCTTTTCATTTCAAACAAGAGGTGTAAATGTTGCTGAATTTAGCCTAGTAAGTGACTGATACTGTTAGAAACTAAAAAGCAGCCTAGAAAATGAGTATCCCACTTTGAACACTTTGAAAGTTAATTTTAGGGTAAGTTATTTTCATCATTTGTTAGCCTCACTTTTTGCACTTGTAAATTTGAGAATTTGAAGAGTTGATTTCAAGGAAAATTTTATAGTTAAAAATAAAAATATAAAATGTCTATTGTCTCTACATTTAGTTGATAGCTGGAATTGATGCTTCCCATAACTGATACATTATGGAGGCTTTGGTTTTCTGTACCGTTAGGTGATTTTCTTCTGTCTGAGTTGACTATAACGTATGACTGTTAGCTGGACATCATGCCACCATCATTGTCTCTATATGCACTCTTTTATTTTACATTTCCTAGGTGGTACAGATAAATCTTATACCATAAAAATATTTTTTCTATTACTGATGCTCATTTTCATTAAAAATCTTCATTTCCCACATGACTGAAATTCAATTTCAATCAACTTAAAGGTCCTCAACATCTTTCCAAAGGATTATTACGAGGTAGGTAAAAGTTACTTGGTACCAGCTTACTGGGATGAGGATGGAATATTTAGCCTCAGTCAATGACTGTTGACCATGATCACAGTCCTTACACCAGTCTACTACAGTTACCTCACACACAGGTCCCAGTTACATCAACCTGTGCACTCCTTCAGTTATAAGTCTCTCTCATTGTCCACCCATGTTCTATTTTCTGAGTCAAACACTTTCACATCCTTGATCCTAAGGGCATCATGAGAGCCCCTATGCTACTCTTCAGCACATAAAAAGTATTTCACTGTTATCATGCCATGTCTGGGGTATGAACAAATCATGTGATGTTGTTTCAGGCTATCTGCCTTTACACAACAGGCAACCTTTATTGTTCTTTTGTCGTGGCAGTTTTCTGGGCTTTTCTCAGAAAATTGGAGTGCAAGTAATCTTCAGGTTAAAATTCATTGCTATTTGAGTTTTTATGTCTTATATCCCTACTACAGTATGGATGAAATCCAACCCCAATTTTTTCATGGATTCACTCTTCATTCCATATGGCTGTATTTCTCTACCCATTTTGCTTAGTCTTTATCTAGGCTGGTGCCTAAGTTACCATGCATTCTCTTTATTTTGAGTATCATCTGGGATCTAAGCTATTGATAACAAGAAGCACTTGTGATAGTCTAAGATCTAAAAAGTTTCGCTGAAAGTGAATATCTCATGATCTAGCTTCCTAAGTGGGAAAAGCACTAAGCAAATGTAAAGGGCAAAAAAGTTAATGTTTCAAAATACCATCCTACTAAATTCATATTTACTCATTGCACACTGAAGAAGAAAATTTGGGCAAACTGGACATTCACATTTTATTGACCATTTGAGGCTACACACCAAAAAGGAGTTGCTGTTATTGGTTGCCTAAATATGCAGGCTATTAAAAATTATTCTGCATACCTTTTGATTAATCTTTGTAGTTTAGCTATCATAATACTAGTATTTCGCATAATCTTGTTAAAACACTGTTTATGTAGATTTTTCTTTGGGACAAGACTTATTAAGAAAACATACCCTTTAGAATAATCACAATACAAAGGAGTATATTCATTGAAAATCATCCATTTCACTTAATTAATGTTGATTTACCGACAATGATTTTTTCCCAAGTAATTATTAGTGGATAATTTGTTGTTTAGAAATTGCATATTTTGTGATTATCACCATCTCACTGATCAAAAAATAAGTACAAATAGAGTGACCTAGACTGTTGGTTGGCCTAGGAAACTCCTGGTTTTTGCCTGCTGCCCTGTGTAATTATTTATAGTGTCTCCTTTTACTCTGAAAAAAAGTTTGTTTTGGACTATAAATTATTTAGTTCCTTAGTTATCATAGATTATATCTGCCTTACATTTTTCAACACAGGTCATGAGTGGATTTAGCAGTTTGAAAGTTTCTGTTAGACAGAATACACTAATCGCTGATGATGCTTCTGGAGTATTTACCACTTTCCATTCCTTCTGATTTCTAAGAAACAGTTTTTCTACTGTTTACAGATAAAGCCAATCATTGAGGAAAAGGAGAATATTTCAATGAAAAAGGAATTTTGATATCAGGAATTATGGGTAGCAATAGCCTTAGGATTCACTCAGCTTAAATATATTGTTTTCAAAATCCTTTTATCACTTGCATGTCCCTTGGAGGTCTGACATGGAAGCAAGGCTTTAGCCATCAGCCAAAATAGTAGTGCATCATAACCTTAAGTTGTAGAAACAGCAATCTTTTATCTGACTCTTTAAAACTCAGTATCAACTTAATCTTTATTAAATTTCATAGAATTTTAATCAAGTATCCTACTTGAGGAATAAGATTTTAGTTTCAACTATTATTCTCCATTTTTGTTGTCTGTATTACATAATAAAATAGTGTTCAAGAACTTGAAAATCTGCCATTTTTACTCAACTGATTTTGTCTTTATACATAAGCCAAGTTGTGGAATCTCAATATTGATCTGAATCTTTAAACATTCTTTTGGAATAATGTTATTACATTATTGTCCTAAGGATCATGGTGTTCAGGAATAATCTGATGGTGCTAGTATCCTAGTATTCTTACTACACTGTTTAAACAACACTTGTCCAACATTACGCAGTTATTTTTAGTCTGGTCCATAGCAGCCCAGAAGCAAGTATGTTTTCATGTGTTCCAAACTGTATTCTAGAATGAGCCTTAGGAAGCAACTAAACATAATGGGACATTATAAAAGAGAGTTAGACATTACTTTTATTCAAGCCAAAAGCACTACTTTTAGAAAAATAGATCCTAGTGTTCAGATGAAATATGCTAAACATACACACCCAATACGTTCTTACATTTGGTTATATAAGACTTAAATTTGTCACTAAGATAAGGAGAAGTTGTTATTATAAGTGTTGTTGTTATTATTATTTACTTTTTAGTTATGTCCAAAATTGAATTTTATATCACTAATGTTAACAACAATTTTCACTCTTTTAAAGACCTTATAATCATCAAGATACTGTTTTCCTACCACATAAAACTAAATTTTGGAATTTAAATAGAGAATTAATATAATACTTGAATACAACCAAAGCAATTTTTGAGTAAAATTAAGTCACATGCTATTCTTCTTATAAAATTGGGGTGTTCTTCAATGTTTTTTCAAGAAGGCACATTTGAAAACAAAGCAAACAAAAAACAAAATTATGGTTTCTTACCACCATAATCCAACAACAAAAAGACATTTCAATGTAAATTATTTAGGTCATAGTCTCAAAGTAAAATATCCTCTTAAATAGATTACAACTTTGAGAAAATAATAAACTGTCATTTTTTTTTCAGATGATGCAGATGATTAAAAAGATGATCATGAAGACACACTCTTTAAATGACTGGGGAAAACATCAGACCAAGGGACATGATAGTCATTGGTCAAAATTCTTAAATAGTTCTCTTTCTATTAAACCTCATTATCAGAAAGCTAAGCATATGAACGTACTACTCTGGCCAGCTATAGAATAATCTTAACTAATCTTTAATTAGTCTTTTTATTGCATAATGCAGGATCTTGTGTATTATTATCAAATTACTATCAAGTGCATTGCCTACTATGGCGTCAATATGCTTAAAATTCTGTCATAATATTTCTCTCAATTTTTTACATGAAAAAAGTCAGTTTTTGCCTTTATTTTTAAGAAGTTTAAAGTTAATTTTTACTGCACATTGACAACTTTCTCTAGTCTGAGTTTGGGGACACAGTTCTATCTTCTTTTTCCTTAACTACTTACTAGCAGTTGTTGGTTTTCTTTTGTTTTCATATATTAGGTATATATTTAATAGTAAGGTAGCCCCAGTTCTTTTTGGAAGTATGAAGGTCAACAAATAGCATGCTTTTAATTAGAAATTAAGTGCCCTGTATCCAGAGAATTTTGTCCCCTGAATAAGACTTCTGCAATTAGACTAAGTAGTAGCTTGGTTTCTCATGTAACTTAAGCCATTAGGTTAGCGTTGCCTACTTGCTTGTTTGTTGTGGATAAACATCACACTATCAAGTGTGTTATGCCATTAAGTTTAAATTTTATTCACCCTTCCCATGCTAAAAGACAGTATTATGAATTCTTGCTTCTTATTTAAAAATGAGAAACTAAACTAAGAATCATTGTACACAGCCTTCAATACATGCATTTTATGCCAAACACTCTGTTTTTTTAGGGGATTTAACCTGGGAAAAAAGGAAGAGGCACAAATTCTTGAGTCACAAAGGCCAAGAAGATATGCACAAATATCTCCTCTTAGCCTTACATGCTTTTCATACGTACTTGCATAATATATCACATTAAAAACTTGTCTGGTTTTTCCTTTGTGTGTTTATGTTGTTGTTGCCGTGTGTGACTTCTGGGTCATGAGATTTTGAAGTCCCAAACTAACAACACAAGATGTTGGTAAGAATGGCAGGTGAATAGTCACCTGTTTTCTTTGCACTTTCAAGTATTGTTTCAACTCATAACAAGACTGTCTCTGGATTGCTCTCAGGATGTAGCAATGGAGTGAAACCTGAAGCATGTTTTCTCTGGAAATCCTGCTTCATTCTGATTTGAATGAACTTGTGTGAACTTAAAAGCATCATTCAGCTTTGAGGTTGCTGTCCCATGCAGAAACCTAACATTTGTTGAGTTCCACAGAGAGAAGAGATATTTAAGCTCTTATGTATTTCTTAGCTTTCTCATCTTGGAGCATAAGATACTGCAGTGGAGTCATGGATGGATTGGTGGCAGTGAGGGGCAAGTTCCATATTCAACAGTCTGCTTCTCTGCTACCTTAGAGTCCATTTGGATTAGGAAAAGAACATTTTTGATTACAATATGTTTATTTGTTTCCATTTTTTCTTCTGAGATTCTTGAATTTATCTGATTTAAACATATTTTCCTGCTACTATTCCTAAGAGTCACTGCTAAAACATGGTTCATTTTATTATAGAAACAGAGTAAGCTAATTATCTCATGAGAACTTGCTATAATTTTAAGGGTTATGCACAAGATGTTAACTAATCACACAGCTCCCAGATATTTGTAACATGCAGTGTGACTCTGAGGTTGCATTTAAATGAGTGCTAGGCATGACCTATGATGTGTTGTTTCTGGTGCTGCATGGAGGAAAAAATAGTGCATTATGCAGGGTTAAATTCACAATACTTTACATGTCTTATTTCAGATAGAATAAAAGTATATAATATTTTATCACAATTCAATAATTCACAGCATTTTCTAAAAATTAATATTTTTGGCCAGGCACGGTGCCTCATGCCTGTAATCCCAGCACTTTGGGAGGCCAAGGCAGGCGGATCACAAGGTCAGGAGTTTGAGAACAGCCTGGCCAACATGGTGAAATCCCATCTCTACTAAAAATACAAAAATTAGCCAGGCACAGTGGTGGGTGCCTGTAATCACAGCTACTCGGGAGGCTGAGGCAGGAAAATTGCTTAAACCCAGGAGGCAGAGGTTGCAGTGAGCCGAGATCACACCACTGCACTACAGCCTGGGTGACAGAGCAAGACTCTTGTCTCAGAAAAAAAAAAAAAATAACAAGAATAATATTTTTAGTTTAAAAATATTTATAAAATAAGAGAAATTAATTGCCAATTGTAAATATAATATAAATTAATGCAAACTAGTATGAGTTAATATACATGTGTTAAAATAAATATCCTTTTAAAATCAGATCTTAAAATAATTTCAGTAATGTGAACAGGGAAACCTGAGGCTTATTTTTTTAAATCTTATGTTGAAGTCAACGTAATTGCTGCAAGTAATAAGAAATCTATTAGAACTGTTCAGAATTGTCAGATTAAAATGAAAAATACGTAGAACTGATGCATCTGATTTGCAGACCTGTTAACTAGATATCATTATGTCAAGGGTAGCTCTTTTTTAATTTATAAATTTTCCTTAAAAGATGTCTACAATCACTATGTTTATTTAGTCACTATCTATTCATTCTTTAATGCTTTTAGTTTCATGTATTCTAACCAACTATTAAATTTATGCTGCTTATAGTCCTAATAATAAGTTTAAAGGTCTTAAATACCAAAGGAAATGAATCTCCAGCCATTACCCTCCAAAATCTATCTGAAGCTTGATATGGCTACCTTCCTATTTTCACTGAAAACTTCTCCTCTCAAAATATGTGTTATATTATCTTGTTTCTTTACCTACATCCCAAATCATTTTTTTCTGTTTTAAATATTTTCAATTTTTAAAACTGTTTTTACATCTTCTTTCTCTCTAGAAGACAAGTACTCTTTTTTATTATTTTTTATTTTTATCCAAAGCACTAACTACACTAGCTTGCAAGTAACACTTGTTCAAAAATTACTCATGGGTAGAAAAAGAAAGATAAAGATCTTTTTGCTTTGAAAGAATTTTGACCTGATCTTGGTGAGATTTAAGTCACTTTGGGTACTGCTTTAGATTCCTCCTTGTGTCCTCAAAGAACTGAAGATCTTTCTTATTCTTCAAATATGTTATTCGGGAATCACAGAATCCGGAGAGAATTCAAATCTCTTCACTTAAATGGCTTTTTTTCCTTTTATCTGAAATTTATTATAGCTTATTTTTTGTTCCTCATAATAAAAATAATTGCAATTTTAAAATGAATTAGAAAATTATTTTTTATTCTCCAATAAAACAATATCTTATCAAGCATATGAGATCAAAATTCTGCATTGGTTTAGTAACATACCTTTTCTCCTGCCTATTTTTAAACAGAGCATTTTTGTAGTATATACATACCAGAGTCAATTAGGAAATGTAATGCAGAAGTATAACAATATTATTTACAAGTATAGTGGTGTACTTAGGGCTCAAGTAAATACACTGAGAAATAATCAGATAATTTATTATACTAAAGCAAATGTGTATTTACATTTCCTCTTTTATCTTTCATAAAAAATGTTCAAAAAATGTTTGTATTAAAAATATTCAGAGTATGCCTTCATCTAAAGTAAATCTCTTTGTTTAATGTTCCTTTGAGGCTTCCTGTATGTAGCTTAGTATGTCCCCTTAGAAATATATATATTGCATGGATTCTAAGATTTTAATACGTTTTTTATTTACAAAAATGATATCTTATTTTTTCATCATGCTCACTTTTTTTAAATGAGGAATTTGGCATAAAGTCTTTTCACCTTGTTAATGTCTACGACGTGGAGACTACGAGAATTTATTCTAGGTATAACTACAATGAGGAACCATGTTCCCTAAAACAAACACAGACTTACGTTTAAGTCTTTAATCCACCTTCAGTTAATTTTGTATAAGTCTGTAAGGAAGGGGTCCAGTTTCAGTTTTCTGCATATGGCTAGCCAGTTTTCCCAACACCATTTATTAAACAGGGAATCCTTTTCCCATTGCTTGTGTGTGTCAGGTTTGTCAAAGATCAGATGGTTGTAGATGTGTGGCGTTATTTCTGAGGCTTCTGTTATGTTCCATTGGTCTACACATCTGTTTTGGTACCAGTACCATGCTGTTTTGATTACTCTAGCCTTGTAGTATACTTTGAAGTCAGGTAGTGTGATGCCCACAGCTTTGTTCTTTTTGCTTAGGATTGTCTTGGGTATATGGGCTCTTTTTTGGTTCCATATGAAATTTAAAGTAGTTTTCTCTAATTCTGTGAAAAAAGTTAATGGTAGCTTGATGGGGATAGCATTGAATCTATACATTACTTTGGGCAGTATGGCCATTTTCACAATAGTGATTCTTCCTATACATGAGCATGGAATCTTTTCCCATTTGTTTGTGTCCTCTCTTATTTCCTTGAGCAGTGGTTTGTAGTTCTCCTTGAAGAGGTCCGTCATATCCCTTTTAAGTTGTATTCCTAGGTAAAGAGGTTCTGCACAGCAAAAGAAAATATCATCAGAGTGAACAGGCAACCTACAGAATGGGAGAAAATTTTTGCAATCTATCCATTAGACAAAGGGCTAATATCCAGAACCTACAAAAAAACAAACTTACAAGAAAAAACAACCCCATCAAAAAGTGGGTAAAAGATATGAACAGACACTTCTGAAAAGAAGACATTTATGTGGCCAAAAAACATGAAAAAAAGCTCATTATCACTGGTCATTAGAGAAATGCAATTCAAAACCACAATGGGATACCACCTCATGCCAGTTAGAATGGAGATCATTAAAAAATCAGGAAACAACAGATGTTGGAGAGGATGTGGAGAAATAGGAACGCTTTTACACTGTTGGTGGGACTGTAAATTAGTTCAACCATTGTGGAAGACAGTGTGGTGATTCCTCAACGATCTAACACCAGAAATACCATTTGACTCAGCAATCCCATTACTGGGTATATACCCAAAGGATTATAAATCATTCCACTATAAAGAAACATGCACACATTTGTTGATTGCAGCACTATTCACAATAGCAAAGACTTGAACTAACCCAAATGCCCATCCATGATAGACTAGATAAAGAAAATGTGGCACATATACACCATGGAATACTATGCAGCCATAAAAAAGGATGAGTTCATGTCCTCTGCAGGCACATGAAGCTGGAAAACATCATTCTCAGCAAACTAACACAGGAACAGAAAATCAAACACCATATGTTCTCACTGATAGGTGGGAGTTGAACAATGAGATCACATGGACACAGGGAGGGGAACATCACACACTGGGGCCTGTTGGGGGTTGGGGGGCTAGGGGAGGGATTTCATTAGGAGAAATACCTAATGTAGATGACAGGTTGATGGCTGCAGCAAACCACCATGGCACATGTATACCTATGTAACAAACCTGCATGTTCTGTACATATATCCCATAACTTAAAGTATATATATAACACAGACTTCTGGGAAGATCAGTTTACAAAAAGCAAAACAACATAACTCAAAACAAAAGACCCACAACTAAATCTGCTCACAACTCCCTTCTTTTGCACTATGCCCACCAAAACCATTCCATGTTTTAGCTTTAGTTTAAGAAGACCAATTTTGGTTTCAAAGGTGATTCATTTATTATTTAAGGCTTCATGCGCTACTTCATTTTTTTGTGCTAATTTGGTCCGCACTTATTCACTAAAGCAGCTCCTCCTACTCTTATTTCTCTTTCCTACTATCACCTAATCTAGCTACATTATGCCAAAAATAGCACAAAACTGGCTCTTTTATATAATTTTGTGTGTGTTTTCTGAGAATTGACTGACACTACTACCTGCAAACTGTCTACTGGTTTTGCCCATTTCTTAAACAATGGTCAAATGTTCACCCCCTAAATATGCACAGGTACTGTGAAAAACAGCAACAGCAATCAGCTTGCTTTAAGGCCTTCAACTTTTACATGCAGATAATGAGGCAGAGGTCAAACCATATAGGAAATGTCCTTCAATTTGACAGTGCAAAGGGAATACATCTTTCACAAACTGGTTCAACTGATGAGAAAACACAAGGTGACCAGACGTATATCTGTTTACTTTCATTTCCCAGCTATTTCCATGTCCTATGATGGGAATGGATGGAAAGTTTCATGTTATGTTTTGGCTTCTACTAAATTAGTCCTACTGCTTCTGGAAAGAAGTCTTTTTCACTCCCAGAAAAACAAACAAACAAACAAAAATACACATTTTAACTGAGAAAGAAAACCGGAGCTAAGCTGAGAGCAGGATGAAAACAGCACAGGGGTCATAGATATCAATGTGTAAATATTTGAAAAATCTCCTTCAAAATTGGGTTAACTTGATTCATGCTTATAAACCTGGGATATACGTATCCCAAGGGATATGCAGTATTTTGCAGAAACATATACAGAACCATGGTGTAAATGTGGGATGCACCTTGGGAGAATGAGGAAAATAAAATTTATGGAAAACTGGGTAATTTTATTGGTAATCTTTAAAATACTATTAAAAATAAAAATTAGCAAAGATATGATGCCCACAAGTGGATTACTGAAATACCATCACCAAACAGGACATCAGGTATGCATAATGTGAATAAGTAATAAAGTTCTCTTCATGACTGAGGCAGCCCTGTGGTGTTTTATAATAAAATAATTACTCAGGTTCTGTGCAGCCTTGTCCTGTTTTCACTCCTCCTCTCTTTAAAAATTTGGTGCAACTCTGACTTTAGTCATCCCTAAGAAAGGAGAAATTGGACATGGCCAAGCCTCTGGGAGTTTCCTGTGACCTCCACTGATGAGATTAGGAAGATTTATTTTGGCATCTCTGCTTTTCCCTTTAGAGTGACCAGTCAGAAACTGGTATCTAGAAGACTATGGTAACAGTGAAGTAGGAGACCTCTCGTCACCGCATTTCTAGAGCCTTTATGTTGCTTCCTCTTCCTCAGTGGCTTATAAGCAGGGAGACGATTCATTCTGTGGCAGACAGGAGACTGAAAGGGGTGCAGGGCCAACAGAAGTGTCCTAAGAAAAATGGACCCAATTTTCATAATAGCTAACAGGGAAGTTTGAAGAGGAAGAATTAAAGTTTAAGTTAATTTGATACATCAATTTTAAAGGTGTTTCTTGGGGCAATATATGTGAGAATAGAAGAGCCTGATTTCATACAGTGTGTCAGTCGCCAAAGCATGTAGCAGAAAATGTCAAAATTACATCAGGCTTAAAATAGGGCATACAATCTCAAAAACACTCAGCAATTTCCATGGGAGTATTTTAATTTACTTTTCCAAGACTTTGAGGTTGCTCTTTTACTCTTTAGGAGTTTCTCAATGAGAATTGTACATATTTAGAAACTTCTGGGAGAATCAGGGTGACTCCTACACTGCTCTATATCATCCATGATTAAGTAACTCATTAATGTAGCCCTTGCATAATTATAAATGGGCAACTGGTCATTTGAATTAACGTCTTCGCTATTTGGTTAAAACAGAATTAATTAAATAATGAAAGTTCCTTTCAGATATCATAAGGCAATAAGAAAATTTTTACAAAAGTAAATTTTGATATATTGATGTTTAATTAATGAAAGGTTGAGAAAACCAAAGCTACAACTTCTTTTCTTGGAGCAGAATTAAAACACAAAAATTATAATTTTCTCTTTTTCTATATATATACATTTTGATATTTTATTTACATATAATTTCAGACTTACAGGACACTATTAAATTTATATACATGATGCTAATTTGTGTGTTAGTCTCAGCAGAGCTGCTTCAAACATAATTTTTATGCAGCAGTACCACATATAATGTGTTTATACTTTTTCTAAATTATACATATAATATATAAAATAACTTTACTTCAAAATGCTTTTATTTCTTCCTCATCTCTGTATGTTGTCTTTTGTTATATTTTTAAATTTAATAATTTTTCAAACTAAATTTACTTTGTTCTTGAGATACTAAAGGTATCAAATTGAGTATAAAGAATATTCTTTGTGGCCGGGCGCAGTGGCTCACGCCTGTAATCCCAGCACTTTGGGAGGCTGAGGCGGGCAGATCACAAAGTCAGGAGATAAAGACCATCCTGGCTAACAGGGTGAAAGCCCATCTCTACTAAAAATATAAAAAAAAAATAAGCCAGGCGTGGTGGCGGGCGCCTGTAGTCCCAGCTACTCGGGAGGCTGAGGCAGGAGAATGGCATCAACCCAGGAGACGGAGCTTGCAGTGAGCCGAGACTGCGCCACTGCACTCCAGCCTGGGCGACGGAGTGAGACACCATATTAAAAAAAAAAAAAAAAGAAAAAAAAAGAATATTCTTTGCAAATGATCTTAAATAGTTCAAGAAAATTCAATTTTGAAAAATGAATATTAGTAATGAATATTAGTTAACTACTACAAATATTTTAGAAGTAAACCTCTAAGGTTCTCAGAACAATTCCAAAAGGGGACTTGTATAATACGAGTGCTTTCTGACAGTTTTCTAATTTCAGTTTCATCACCTGTGAAATTGAATTAAACATTTTTACCTCATAGGATTTGGTTGAGGGGCTGGTGGGGAGATACAGGTCATTATTTTTACGTCTAACTTAACGGTCATTTTGTAGCTGAATCAGTGCCCTGAAGAAATGGAATTTGGTATAAATGGAAGTTATTGTTGTTAGGAGAAGGTTACAAGTTTGGAGTCATGGGGCATTAAAGTGGGAATCCTTTATGCATGTCATTCCCTTTGCCTTGATGCTTTCTCCCTTTTCTTCTTAGGCCAACTCTGACTTACCCTTCAGTTTGGCTGAGGTATCACCTCACCTGGGAAGCATGCTCTCGTGAGACAGACTATAGTAAATTAGTTTGTATGCGTGCCTGTAGTATGACATGTATTCTCCTATCACAACATAGCTGACCTATGTCTTCACAGTGTTTACCATAAGTGTTGTGCTTACCTAGCTCCTCAGTTAGAATTTGGGCTCCATTTTTTACATTGCAAGATTTTCAGTTCTAGCACCAAAATGTAGTGCCTTAATGTTGAACTATTTAAAATTCCATCATTCTAATAACCAGTGGGCTCCTGCTATGTCAGACACTCTACTAGGCTCACTGCACCTGATAAATCCAAACATAGACTAAATCTTGTTCTTGGTGAAGAAGTGTATTGTAACTATATAGAACAATAAAGATAAAACGATCATACTAGTGACCTAGAAGTGAGCAGGACAGCCCCAGTGTTGTGAAATTGCTTCTAATGGACTCAGGGAATTCCCAAGCAATCAGAACACACATATGCTACAAACGAGCTGCAGGTGTCCCCCCCTGCATACTCCTACCAAGTAAGCATATTTTCATGTTCCTTTTTCTCTCTGCCTCAAAATAGGTTATTTTTTCCTCCACAGTAGAATTATGCCTTCCAGAGAAGCCCTACACATGAAAGAATTAAACAAAGGATAAGTACAGGTTGTTAAATGAATCTGTACTCCAAAAATAACATGAGGTGAGATTTCTGCCAAAAACAAGCAGTAAAAGCAAACACAAAACAACTAGGGAAACGTCATACAATGTTTACAAAGTTGAAAGTTGAAGTATTACTGTGTAATGTATTTTCTAAATACAATAATCAAGGTAGAAATAACATCATGTAGGTTAAGATTTGTGAAGTGACTCTTAGAGCTTTCATTACTTGTCAAACTTTCTGGAATGCTTATTGCACAGAATGATCTATGTGGAAAATAAAAACTTTGTAAAATATGGCTTATCAAGTCCAAAATATATTTCTTAATAATATGGTGTGCTTACTGTAGAAAACTTAGAAAATTCAAAGAAATACAATGTAAAAAATGCCTATATTCTGACCACACAAAAGCAATTACTGTTAACACTTTTGTTATATCTAATCCATTAATTATTTTCTATGCATATTTGTCTTGATATTTTTACATAGTTACTTTCTGCCCACCCAAAGGTTCATTATATGTTTGAGTTACATTATGTTTAATTATAGAGAGCTTAAATATTAACTACACTTACCAGAGATATTCCAGGCTGCAGAAAATGTTAAACTTTCCTGCCTCATTGAGTACCACAGTACATTTGAATAATGGTTTTACATTTTCTTTTTTTTTTCATTTTGACTTATTTATTCTTCATACAAAACCCGTAAGAAATAAGAATACCCCCTTTCTTCACGTGTGTCTATAGAATCAAGTGACTTACAAAGATCACTCATTCTAATAGGTAGAGTAAGAGCGAATGTATTGTCCCCAAGGTTCTCCTTCAGAGTTTTTCCTGCTACTGCACAGATTTATTTTTTTTTCTTTTGAATCTTGTAAGTCTTATATTTTCTTTTTTTATTATACTTAAAGCTTTGGGGCACAAGTGCAGAATGTGCAGGTTTGTTACATAGGTATACACATGCCATGGTGATTTGCTGCACCCATCAATCCACCATCTACATTAGGTATTTCTCCTAATGCTATCCCTCCCCTAGTACCCCACCCCCTCACAGGCCCCGGTGTGTGATGTTCCCCTCCCTGTGTCCGTGTGCTCTCACTGTTCAACTCCCACTTATGAGTGAGAACATGAGCTGTTTGGTTTTCTGTTTCCGTGTTAGTTTGCTGAGAATGATGGTTTCCAGCTTGAACCATGTCCCTGCAAAGGACATGAACTCATACTTTTTTATGGCTGCATAATATTTCATGGTATATATGTGTCACATTTTCTTTATCCATTCTATCATTGATGGGCATTTGGGTTGGTTCCAAGTCTTTGCTATTGTGAATAGTGCTGCAATAAACATACGTGTGCATGTGTCTTTATAGAATGATTTATAATCCTTTGGGTATACACCCAATAATGGGATTGCTAGGTCAAATGGTATTTCTGGTTCTAGATCCTTGAGGAATCGCCACACTGTCTTCCACAATGGTTGAACTAATTTACAGTCCCACCAACAGTGTAAAAGCGTTCCTATTTGTCCACATCCTCTCCAGCATCTGTTGTTTCCTGACTTTTTAATGATCACCATTCTAACTGGTGTGAGGTGGTATCTCCTTGGGGTTTTGATTTGCATTTCTCTAATGACTAGTGATGATCAGCTTTTTTTCCATTATGTTTGTTGTCCACATAAATGTCCTCTTGAGAAATGTCTTTTCATACCCTTTGCCCACTTTTTGATGGGGTTGCTTTTTTTCTTGTAAATTTAAGTTCCTTATAGATTCTGGATATTAGACCTTTGTCAGATGGGTAGATTGCAAAAATTTTCTTCCATTCTGTAGGTTGCCTGTTCACTCAGATGCTAGTTTCTTTTGCTCTGCAGAAGCTCTTTAGTTTAATTAGATCTCATTTGCCAATTTTGGCTTTTGTTGCTATTGCTTTTGGTGTTTTAGTCATGAAGTCGTTGCCCATGCCTATGTCCTGAATGGTACTGCCTAGGTTTTCTTCTAGGGTTTTTATAGTTTGGGGTCTTATGTTTAAGTCTCTAATCCATCTTGAGTTATTTTTTGTATAAGGTGTAAGGAAGGGGTCCAGTTTCAGCTTTCTACATATGGCTAGCCAGTTTTCCCAACACCATTTATTAAATAGGGAATCCTTTCCCCATCGCTTTTTTTTTGTCAGGTTTGTCAAAGATCAGATGGTTGTAGATGTGGCGATATTTCTGAGGCCTCTGTTCCGTTCCATTGGTCTATATATCTTTTCTTTTACATTTTCTAGTTGAATAAAAACATTTCAGATTAATATCCTTTCAGAACTAGAATAGGATGAAGTCTCTACAAAAAGAAGTCTTATGATGGGAAAGTTGAAAAATTCTGTTTTCTACTCAATAGTATAAAAAAATCTACCATTTAAACTTTTGAGATACTTAAGATTAAAGTACACATTTGGAAAATCCTAAGATAACAAGAGTTCAGAGGGGCTAGATGGGATCTGAGAACTGCTAGGACAAAAGATGAAGATTGCTAGTGCTTGCTCCTGATCATGTGTGAGTGCTCAAACCCTTCTCTTATCATTTTTGTGAAAGTGGCTAAAATATTAACATAGAAATGCTGGGAGTACACTTGGTAAATTATCTCAAGATTGGAACCTATATAGCCTATGTCAAACCTCGTATTTCTGAGGAGATCTTGGTCTGAAGTTCTGTCAGATTTCCATGGTATGGGGAATTACATGTGGTAAATAAACCGTCTGGAGATTCTATTGAACAATGGTCTCAGTTTTCACTTATATTACTTTTATTATTTTATATCAGAACCTAGAGAACAATACAGCAAAGGAGACATGGACAGTCAAAACAAATATTACATGTTCAATATTGTATTTGTTTTCTTACTTATCATGATGAGATTTACATGGACAACAATTTATGAACTGACACAGCCAAGGCTTCTTGTTCCTCTCTCACTGGAGGGGAAGGAAGAGGGGTAGTGGATACCAGTCCTTTGTGTCGCAATGAATCCCAACTGCTGCCATGTTCTGCTACCTCAGCATGTGTTTTTGTCTTATCCTCACCCCTGCCTTCATCAGGGGACGTAGGTCCAATCTGTACAGATACAGCAATGTAAAGCTTTAAAAAAAATTGGCCCCCAGTCTTTTCTGCAACTTTAGCCTTCTTGGTTGTGGGAATACCAGAGGACTGGGCCAAAGCCGTGTTTTATTTGCCATGGCAGACCTGTAGATTGATCTGTCACCTCAGCATTCCATTGGAACTGATTGTCTTAAACATTAGGCTGAAAGAAAAGCAGCCTGGGAGGGGTATTTTATCCCTCCCAGGACAAAAAAAATGTCATTGGCTATTCTCCCTTCTGGTGAGTATAAACTTTGTGTGGAGTTGACTGTGGCTGATACTATGACTATAATGCAATGATCAAGAAAGTGCTAATCAAGACATGCAGTATTGCTCCAATACCTCTTTCAATGACTAGAGAGCCTGGAGGTACAGGGAACCTGGAAAAAGAGGAAGAACAGTTCTCCATGGCTTATTCAATTACAGATCCTAGAGTCTATTAATATCAGTTAGCTTCATTAGTGGATATTTGATAGAGTTGCTCAATAGAGTACATCAGAAGGCTCAGGGGCACCATGATCAGGGTGGTTGTCTTAGTCTGTTTTCTGTTGCTGTAACTGAGTACTTGAGACTGGGTAATTAATAAGGAAAAGAGGTTTATTTCTTACAGTTCTGGAAGCTGGGAAGTCCAAGAGCATGGTACTGACATCTGGTGAGGGCCTTATTGCAATTTTATAACACAGAGTCTCTCTTTGTTGCCCAGGCTTGTCTCAAGCTCCTGGATTCAAAGTACTCCCGAGTTTGCATTTGACTTTGTTTTATAATTTATACTCCTTTATTGAGACTTTCTATTTGATGTCTCATTTTCATACTTTCATTTAATTACTTAAAAATGACTTTCTTTAGTTCTTGAACATATTTATAAAAGCTTCTTTGAAATCTTTGTTTGCTAAATCTAACAATTGGGTTCACTCAGAGACAGTTTCTATGTTTGCTCTTTTCCCTTGGTATAGGATATACTTCTTTGTAATAGGTCTTATGATATTTTTTTGAAAACTGAAACTTTTATATAAAATATTATAGCAACTCTAGATTCTGATTGCTCAGGGAGATTGTTGAGCTGTTTTCTATTTCAGTTTGTTTTATGCTAAATTGCCTAGACTAATTCTCTGTGATGTTGTGTAGCATCTGAAGTCTCTGTTCAATTTTTTTTTTTATTCTTAGTTTTAGTTTTAAGCCTATATTCTCAGGAGTTATTCCTCTGTCAGCATAGCTTAGTGTTCAATACCTGGATTATTATTAGTATTAAATACATATCCTTATATATTCAGGCATTCACTCTTTGCTGATGAATCTGTATGCAAGTTGAGGAGCACAATTAGAGTTCAAGCAATTTGCAAGTCTTCCCAACTTTTCACATTGCACTGAATTCTTTCATATTTCATATGCAAATGCAGAGTGTATCACATTTATCTAGGGATGTATGGATAGCTAGGGCCCTCTCCATTCTCTACTAGGTATGCCATATAGTTTTCCAGACCACTAGAGATATTTGGGAAGTATCAAATCCCACTTTGTTGGCCTCCTTTTCCAGATAACCTGGTTAAGGTCTAGATGGTCTACCAGTTTGTGGTTTTCCCTACCAAGGTTTTCAGTGACAGAGTGCCTGTAATATTGGCTTTCTCTGTTCATTTGCTGCTGAAATTGCTACTGGCTCTGACAATACCTAGGTTTTTCTATGCTTTGCCTAAAATCATATCCACTCCCTCTGCGGTAATGTTCTAATATTAAGGGCTTGCCCTACCGGGTAGGGTACATTTTGTTGCACTTCACAGAGGTAGGGTGAATGGGGAGGCAAATAGGAATAGCACTATGCTAAAATCCCACAAAATCTCATAGTTAGTACATGAAGTTTAGTAGATATTCTTACATAAATGCTTTTCAGCTACGTCTATGCTTTTGATCAATATCCAGAGTCCTGAAATGGCTGCTTGTGACAGTTTTTTTAATTGTTGCTTTTTTGAGAGAGGATTTACTGAGCTACTTAAGCCATCATTCGAGAAGTTCTGTCTTTGGTTATTTTTAAATTGTAAATGGACAAATTATAGTTGTATGTTTTTTATGTTTTAATTATAGTTGCATATATGTATGGTGTTATAATTTATAAGTACAATGTAAGATAATTAAATCAATCTAATTAACACATCCATCACCTCAAAGCCTTTTTTTTCAATTCTGAACAAATTGTTTTATTTTTATTAACTTTTATTTTAAGTTCAGGGGTACATGTGCAGGTTTGTTATGTAGGTAAACGTTTATAAGACCCTCTGGTGCTAAAAGAGAAACTCTGCTTGCTGTATCAACTGTCAAGGTTCAGGTGACCCAAGAACATGTCCACCAAGCCCTCTGAAATAGCATTTCCTGAGAAAAACTCATGGCAACAGGAACAATACCAGATATAGATCATCTATGACTTATTGCCTTATGGAGCAACACACACAGAAGCTGGCTAGATATCAGACTTCAGTAGAGGGACCCCAGATAGTTTCACAAAATGCTGCTGCTGTTTCTTCATCATCTTCTTCTCTTACACATATAATTTTTTTAATTAGGTGCTGGAGACAGAATTATAGAATTAACAACGATGAACATTTTTAGGTCTCTGGAAAAATGATATTACATTGCAAAAGAGTTTTATTAGTGTATAGCCTTCCTATCAGTGAATTATGAAAGTGTTTATTTCAATAGACACAAGCCAGCTGAGACTGACAAAACAGGAAGGGATATGACACATCCAATAGGCCTAAAGAGTAACTTTTAAATTTACATTCCTTTGATTTGTAGTAAGAATAAAACCCAAATATTTTCCCTAGTTGCATTTTCTTTTCTATGATTATTCTATTTTTTCTTTTGTCAATTTCAGTTAATTTTTTTAATTTACCATCTTACTAGATAAATCCTCTTATTTTTTTGCTTTGTAAATCTGTTTATTTGGAAATTTTCAAAGTTAATTATACCAAATGGCTCACATTATACATTAATCATTATTTATTAAAATATATCTCAGCATGTAAAAACAAGGTACAAAAACATTTAAGTGCTTAAATTCAAGAATTTGTACTTGATTAGTATTAATCAGTCCATACTAATTGGCTGCTCTCTATTTCTGACAATAGCAGAATAAGATAAAGGAACAAATAGAATATATTTTGCTATATGGTAATTAGATTCTGGTAGAGATTAATTTATATAAGAGGCTGTGATATGACCTTTAAATATCTTTAAAACTCTTTTTTCCTTCTTCTACCAGTAGCATTTTTATTCTAGTAGGAGCTCTAGCAAAGAATAATAAATGTTTAGAAACATCATTTTATAAATTAATCAGTAATTATCAACTGCAGCTAAATTTTACTGGTACAAAAATATTTTCTGGTACTATTTTAATATCAACTAATTTCATTGTCTTGGCTTCCAATAAGGCCTTTACACATATGCCACTAATCTATGACTCTTCAATTCTTTTCCTTTTCTGCTATTATTTATTTTTAACTATCTATAAATATGCATAGTCTGCTTTTACAATAATCACACTGTACATAAATTATATGCCTCATTTTTTCCAGTATGTTTAACCCATATAATTTATATAAATGTTACAACATTCCCAACCAATGTTATTTTTCTTGATGTCTAACATGGACATCTGCTTTACCGTAGAATCAAGGGGCCAACTCTTTGGCTGGGCATTCATCACCCCTACTGACTTGAAAAGGAACATTTAAAACTCATCCAAGAAGAGAATTTAGCTCATGAAAATGGAGTAGCTAAGAAGGTTTAGACCTTTATATTTGTGTGTCAATTTTTATTGTTTTATCAATAGCATAAACATTGAAAAGAAAAAAAAAACTGACTACAGAAAACATGCAAATGATTACTATTTTAACTTATGATTAACTATTTTTTTCTTTTAGTGATGTTTCTACTCAAATATCTCACTATCCTTAAGTCATATACTATACCTATTTTATTATAGTATATTACCTATTTTAAATTGAGTGAAAAACAAATAAAATAATTCTTTAAAGTTTTGCTTCCCTGATTATTCTTTTGGAAACAAAGTGTTTTCATAAATTTACCACCCTCCTTTTATATTTTTAATTTTTTAAAAAAAGATTCTATATAAAAGTCCCCTATATTTACAGAAACAATTTGTTAAGTCTGTTTGGATGTAATCACTTAATTAGGTGTAGTTATTTGATTTTTAGTTATATTCTTCCTTCCTCCATCTCTTTTGTTTTTCTCCTTCCCTCATTTCCTTGCTCTGAACATACTTTTCTATACCTAAGTACTTAATGTGATATCACTCTCCACAGGAATTATGGCATTTGAACGATACATTTCTTAAAAGAAACAGCTTCACAAGCAGGAAAAGTAAATAAAAGTTTTTTTGTGCTTTTGTTTACCTACCCACATGTTGACTGGATGCCCTGATGTTATAAACAGATTGGATTCCAGTCATCTGCTAGATGGCTATGTGAAACTCAAAACTGCATTTTTCTCAGCTCTGAATTCCCTGGACAAGCTATAAAACTAATTTAAGGTAACCACACCTGGGAACAGAACTGATTTTAGCTATCCATAACCATTTTTATTACACCGTTCTTATCTCTACCTTTACATCTTTATTACGTAACATAGTTATGTACCGTTGTATTTTCTTTGGAAAAGAAAGGTCAGTTGCTTCTGTACAGGATGGAGCTCTCAATTCAGACCTTCTTGGTACCTGCTTCCATGAGTGGTAGGATACTTTATTGAGATAAGCAAAAATGTTTTTCCTGGATAGCTCTGCCTTCTGCATTTATTTGCCTTATGGATGATTTTGCAGGGTTTATTTTACAAAAAGATACGTTTTAATTTCATAAAAGCCTAAACTCATGAAAAAGATCACACCTGGTGTGTACGGGAATGCAAATGACATGTAATGAGAAAATATGCCTTGAAGAAGGAAGCAAGAGAATGTTTTCAGGGACCAGTGTTCATGATTGGGGAAGACCACATTCTACTCTGTCATAGCACTTTGGGCAATTAGAAAGAACTCAGAGAAGATGGCAGAATAAAGCAAGGGGGATGAACCCTGAGATAAACCATAGTCTCAAAAACCAGTTAGGGTACATTGCCACCAAAATTTTCAACTGTGATGATAGACACTTTATCATCAACTACTGATAACTGCCCACCAAAGAGCCTGCTTGACTTTCAGCGCTGCCTAATATCCTGACACTTTGGCATAACCCTAAGGGAAGCTTCAGTGAAAACAGAATAACTTGTCAGCATCTGAGGCTGCTCAAAATCCCATTTCACTAGATTTAAAGAAAAAGCTTGTTATGCAAGAAGTAAAATTTTCTGGCAATGACCCTAGGCACTCAGTTCACGTTTTCTGCAAAATGATTGAGGACGGACCTGGGAGTGATGCTTTCCTTTTTCCCATATGAAGGTGTAGGCACTTCAGCTCAGCTTCTCATGGAACCTATGACATACACCTACTGGAAGAGGTGCCACTTCATCCAATAACCTCTAATTTCCCCCAAATTTATCAAATACAGAGCAACTAGCTTTTCCAGACAACTATTATAAATACCTGGTAACACAAACCCTGGCAGTGGCAATCTGATCATTCTTGCACTAACAAGGTTGTTATTATGCTTGCATTAGGAAAGAGAAAAGAGCAAAAGTGAAGGACTCTAATTCTTGGAACAAAATCCGTGCTTGATCTAGGTCTGACTGGCTCCCTATGAAAAACAACAGGCTGGAGTTTTGATGGAACTCTGTTTTTCTGAACTTCACCTTATGAGTTTTCTTTTTCCCTAATAGAGCTAAAGCCTTGCCCATGTCCTGTGACATTGTACAAGTTCTTCTAAATAATTTTCATGTCCCAGATAAAACGTACTATGAATGACATTACTTCAGTGTTGTATTTCTGGTATAGCTGAATTTATGGACTGGCATTTATCCTTGATACACACAAACACACACACACATATACATATATACATACACACACACATATATACATATGTGTGTGTGTGTGTGTATATATATATGTGTATATATATATGTGTATATATATATATATACACATATATATATATATATATATATCGTGCTTAAATATACATGAAATGCCGTAAATCAGAGTCTACCTAGTGGCTATACAAATGCATACATTTTACCAATTGGATACAGAATCCGTTAAACTCTTAAGAGATAAGAATTGAAAATATTTGTAGACAGAAGACAATCAGCCAGTCATACTGAGGCCTTTACCGAACCTTTAAAATAGAGATTGGCAGGGAATGGTTTCTAGATTTTTAAAGTTAAAGAAAAAAAAGAAGAGGAGGAGGAAAAGAGAAAAAGGAAAGAGAAGGAGAAGAAACATGGATAAAAATAAAATATGGCCCAAAAAGTCTAAAGTATTTATCATCTGCCTCTTTATAAAGTTTAGCAAACCCTGCTTTAAAATAAAGAAAAACATTCTCATTATTTTAGATAACAATTTAGGATTTTCATAAGAATATATATGTGCATTTCATAGGAAAAAATACTGATTATATTTGATATAAAAAATTGTAACTTCATTTTATAAACATGAGAAACTGTACAGCAAAATGGACCACGGTGTGCAGAGCAGGTAGCCAACCCTAACTTTGAAAGCTAATTGGAATTTCGCTAACAAATTCAAGCATTGTACCCTCCAACTTTACAGATCTTCTGAAAATCATCAAAGCTCAGAGGGCTCTCTCTTATGACCAGTGTATAGATATTTTAAAATGCTATCTTGAAAAATCATGTTTCCCAATTTTCATTCTTCATAGCAATTCAAGGAATCTTTGGAAATATTGGGAGACATTAGCCTAGTTATGTTAGTTACACTTGCAGCCAGTGATTAAGTCTAGCTTTAAATGACTTGGAGTTGATGGTAAAATAGTTCTTTAAGCTTTCAAAATGTGTTTTGCCCTGCTGGTTTGCTTGATAGTATCATCAGTTAGGATCTCGGAATGTGGTTCATATCTGTTTCCCCACCTCCATGCTCACACTCCTAACCTTGATGCTCCTTAAAGGGTAGGGTAGCTTCTCACACTCCATTTATTATCATTAGTCCCAGGAAGCTTTGTTTGCAAATTACTAGAGTAAAATTTTCTCCTTTATGTCTCCTTTGGGTGACCAGATCTGATAGCAAGGAAATACTCAAGTGAATAAACGGTTTAGTGTCTATCATTTGATTAATTAGGTACAAAGTTGAAGGATGATTTTATAGAACAGTGACTCATGAATTAGAGTTTTTGTAAAATATTGCCTCACTTTAAAATCTAAAGTCTACTTTTTATTTAGAATAGTTTGGAAACACTTATGCTGTTTGTTAAATAAAATTCAATAATTACCCAGCTGACAAGGGATTACTAACCAGAATATATAAGGAGCTCAAACAACTCTATAGCAAAAAAATCTAACAATATGATCAAGAAATTGGCAAAGGATTTGAATAGACATTTCTCAAAAGAAGACATACAAATGGTAAACAGGCATATGAAAAGGTGCTCAACATCATGATCATCAGAGAAATGCAAATCAAAACTACAACGAGATATCATCTCACCTCAGTTAAAATGGCTATACCCAAAACACAGGCAATAACAAACGCTGGCGAGGATATGGAGAAAAGGGAACACTTCTACACTGTTGGTGGAAATGTAAATTAGTACAACCACTATGGAGAACAGTTTCCAGGTTTCTCAAAAAACTAAATATTGAACTACAATATGATTCAGCAATCCCACTGCTGGATATATACCCCAAAGAGAGGAAATAAGTATAATGAAGAGATATCTGCACTCCCATATTTGTTGCAGCATTGTTTACAATAGTTTAGATTTGGAAGCAACCTAACTGTCCATCAACAGATGAATCAATAAAGAAAATGTGGTACATATAAACAACGAAATACTCTTAAGCCATAAAAAGAATGAGATTCAGTCATTTGCAACAACATGGATGGAACTGGAGATTATTATTTTAAGTGATAAATAAGCCAAGCACAAAAGACAAACATCGCATGGTCTCATTTATTTGTGTGATATAAAAATCGAAACAATTGAACTCATGGACATAGAAAGTAGAAAGATGATTACCAGAAGCTGGGAAGGGTAATGGTGGGGTGGGGTTGACGGAGGTGGGAATGGTTAATGGCTACCAAAAAAAGAAAAAAATTAGAAAGAATGAGTAAGACTTACTATTTGGTAGTACAATATGGTGACTATAGCCATTAATATCATAACTGTATATTTTAAAATAACTTAAAGAAAATAACTGGATTGTTAGTAACTAAAAGGGTAAATGCTTAAGGGGATGGGTGCCCCATTCTTCATGTTGTGATTATTATACATCGTATGCCTATATCAAAACATCTCATGTACCCCTAAATATACACACCTACTATGTGCCCACAACACTTTTAAAAGTTCAGTAATTGTTTCAGGCCAAAAGTGTGTCATCAATGGTCATTTATTTTAGTACACAGAGTACTTTAACAGATTATTATATTGTTAGCTTTTAAAGTCCTTTCACATTTCGAGATATAGATTGTGTAAGTACTTATATATATTTTTGATAAAGAGAAAATGAGTCATTGTGATGGAAACTGACTCATTAAGGTCCACTTGAAAGATCAAAAACTTAACTCTGGAAGTTTAAAATTTGATTCATACTTTTTCTCAGAAAAAGATGTTAAATATAAGATTTAGCAGATAATTCGGTTTAATGATGTATATAATTTTGCCAGTAAGGAATTTGGATTGCCACATTTTTCTATAAGTCAGTCAGTTAAAACAATTAATAACATTGAACTTTTAAATATTGTCTCTAGGTTGAGACTATAAATCCAATTGACTCACTGTAAATGAAAATGCAGGTTTATGATGTCAGTGTCATTCCAGAATTCTTCACAATCTTCCAGATTTGCTGCACATCAGGTAAAATAGAACTGTTCTTAAATTTGAGGATGAAGATCCAATATTTTGTGTTTTTGGAACATATAATTTATTAAATTATAGATCTCACATGAATTTATTAATAAAAATATTCTTCAACACATCATTTGCAGGAAGCTTGACAATGCTTACTTTAGCAAATCCTTAATCCCAGAAGGACAAACAAGAAAAGGTATTCATTAAAATGGGAGAGATTCTAATAATTTATACCATCTGCCAATCACTGTACACTATTGTGTGAAGAAATAAGATTAAATGTCTTTCCTTGATGGAATGGATTATTCTCACACCTTTGACAAGACAGGACAATGTCATCAACTGAATGAGAGAAGACTGAAAAATTAGAAAGAAGTTGAATTTTCTTAATTTGGAATGACTTCAGGAAGCATTGCAAAAATAAAGCTTGTATTTTAGATATTTTGAAGACTGCAAAATGAACATACAGAAGAAATTTTGTAATTAAATTTATGCAGGCCAAGCCTATGCTGAAAAGAATAGCAAGAAATAAAAATAACCTAAAGCAAAGGCACATTTCAGCAAAATGAGTGTCAATGTTTTCAAAATACATACAAATTCTCAGCACTCTAGTTAAGAAGATAAAAATAAAAAAGAAAAGTGGGTTTATATGTTACTTATCAAAAATGAACATGGGCTGTTAAAATACATAGGGGAAACCATATGTGTCACAAAACCCAAAAGAACAGCAGGGTTAATAGAATAAAACTTTTGGAACAGTTGGTTATTTGCTATCTCTCACAGTATATAGGCCGCTAAAAGACTAAGAAAGTCCTTAGACACCTGAATTAACAATGCTAAGAAAAAGCAATTAAATTTTTTCTTCCTTAGGTTTGCTCACTGCAATAGATTGTTCCTTCATTTCAGCTCTGCCTGATATGATAGCATCTGCTTATATGTAGCTATTAAGCATTTAAAATGTGGCCAGTGTGTTGGAAACATAACATTTTAAATATTATTAAATTTTTTTTCTTTTTTCTGTTATTTCATCATTTCATTAAGGCCATATTTTTTTCTTCATGGTTTTTTTTTTTTATTGTACTTTAAGTTTTAGGGTACATATGCACAACGTGCAGGTTTGTTACATATGTATACATGTGCCATGTTGGTGGGCTGCACACATTAACTCGTCATTTACGTTAGGTATATCTCCTAATGCTATCCCCCTCCCCTCTCCCCCCACCCCACAACAGGCCCCGGTGTGTGATGTTCCCCTTCCTGTGTCCATGTGTTCTCACTGTTCAATTTCCACCTATGAGTGAGAACATGCGGTGTTTGTTTTTTTGTCCTTGCGATAGTTTGCTGAGAATGATGGTTTCCAGCTTCATCCATGTCCCTACAAAGGACATGAACTCATCCTTTTTTATGGCTGCACAGTATTCCATGGTGTACATGTGCCACATTTTCTTAATCCAGTCTATCATTGTTGGACATTTGGCTTGGTTCCAAGTCTTTGCTATTGTGAATAGTGCCGCAATAAACATAATGTGTGCATGCGACTTTATAGCAGCATGATTTATAATCGTTTGGGTATATATCCAGTAATGGGATGGCTGGGTCAAATGGTATTTCTAGTTCTAGATCCCTGAGGAATCGCCACACTGACTTCCACAATGGTTGAACTAGTTTACAGTCCCACCAACAGTGTAAAAGTGATCCTATTTCTCCGTATCCTCTCCAGCACCTGTTTTTCCCTGACTTTTTAATGATTGCCATTCTAACTGGTGTGAGATATTAAATTTTAATTACTTAAAATTTAAAATGTCCCATGTGGCAACTGGCCAGCATACTGAACTGTGCAGTAAGACTTTATAATGGACTCCTTTTGTTGAATCAAAAAAGTTGATATTGTATTAGTTCATTTTCATGCTGCCATAAAGAAACACCTGAGACTGACTAATTTATAAAAAAGAAAAAAGTTTATTGACTCACAGTTCTGCATAGCTGGGGAGGCCTCAGGAAACTTACAATCATGGTGGAAGGCACCTCTTCACAGGGCGGCAGAAGAGACAATGAGTGCCAGGAGGGGAAATGCCAGGTGCTTATAAAACTATCAGATCTCATGAGAACTCACTCACAGTCACCAGAACAGTATGGGGGAAACCACTCCCATGATTCAATTACCTCCAGCTGGCCCCACCCTTGACGTGTGGGGATTATAGGGATTATAATTCAAGATGAGACTTGGGTGGGGACACAGCCTAACCATATCAAATATTTTACCACTTTTTTTTTCTTTTCATACAAATTAATTTCTGACCCTAACTTTTTCATTGTTTTCTCCTAAAGTAGATTATTCAAAGTGACATAAATCCTAAAAAAATTATTATTATAGTCACTTGTTCTTATTTAAGTATTGTTTCAAATTTGAGTCACCTCTTTTCTCCAAATTGGAAATTCTTAGTAAATATTATCCTAATATAAATTTAGACTTAGCTAGTTTTGTCTTTTGAAGGAGAGTAAGAACAGATAGATGCAGAGACTTATTAAAGCAAATATGCCAAGGTCAATGAGAAAAATGTGGTGATAAAGTAATATCGGAAGAGGGTCCGTCCACTCCTTCCCCCCTACCTGCCTTCCCAACTGTGTGTGGGCCTCCAGCCTGCTTCTGCTCTCTTTATTTCTTCATTATATGACACATACATTGGTGGGGAAGTAAGACACTGATGTTTTTCTACCATCACCACTCCCTGTGTAGCATTGGATAGATTATTTAATCTCCCTGCCTTTAGTTTCTTTAATTTCACAGTGAAGAAGTTGGATTAGATCAATGGTTAAAAATTAAAAGATGTGTAGTAATAGAGGACTGTAAAATATGATATTTGGAAATATATGTCCTATCTGCAGGCCCTCAAAATCACAATGAAACAATAAGCAAGCATATAGAAATGACATCCGCAAGATGGTAGATCAGGAGGCCCCAACCTTTTCCTCCACCTACAAACACACCAAATAAACAGCTACACACAGATCAATTTCTTCCGAGAGAAATCCAGAAACTAGCTGAGAGATTTCTGCATAAGGAAACTAATTAAACGCACACATTTAAACAGGTAGAAAAAATTGACATACTCTTGCAATAAACCTCATGCACCTCACAGTACTATGAAATTGGGAGAGAACCCCTAACTCACAGCTTTTCTCTGAAGATCCAATATGGTTTGGATTATACGTCTGGTACCCCAATTATTATGGTTTCTATGGAAAAGATTGGCCCCTAACTTGCCTGTCTCTGGGAGTGGAAGGGGACCTGCATTTGCCAGTCCTCCAGGACCACAAAAAAACAAAGAGGTATTTTTAAATAGGCACCTGAGCAATTCCAACACCTCTTACCCTGTCTCAGGGCAGAGCTAAAACAATTAAAGCAAGCTCCCAACTTCTCCCTGGAACAGGTTAGATTATACATCTAACCTAACATGTCCAGCTGCCGTCCAAGGGTCTGGCTTGTAACTAGCTTGCAACTCAGAGCTAAAAGAGCAGGCAATCATAAGTCCTCTAGGAACTTGACCAGGTATGTGGGCATTTCCCTTGGCTTTTCCTTCCTGGTTTGATTCAGTGATAAAAACAAGCCTTCGGCTTCTTCCTGGTAGGAGATCCCTAAGTTTAATAGCTGCAGCCTGAAGGACTGCCTCCTAAATTGCCTATCCCGGGGAGCTGATAGGGCCCGGCATTTGCTAGTCCCCTGGAACAACAGAGAACAAGTGTTTTTAAATGGACACACAAGCACATTATGGCTCTACCCCTCAGATCAGTAAACAGTGAATACAGGCCATAAAGCACACTTCTCAGATTCTCCCCAGAAGGAGTTAGATTGCACATCTAATCTCCCAACTTTTCTGGCTGCAGCCCAAGGGTCTGGCTTCTAACTTCCCTGTCTCTAGGAACTGATTTGGTTTTCTGAATGTTAGCTCTTCTTGTGTCTCCTGCTCCAGCTTTCTCTAGTGATAAAACCAATCCTTCAAATTTCCCTCAGAAGGAGGTGGACTAGACATCTAGCACCCTGACTTTTCTAGCTGCTATTCAAGGGGCTGACCATTAATCCCCCTCTCTTTGAGAGATGATGAAGCCCAGCATTCTCTAGATATCTATGGGTAATGGAGAGCAAAGCAATAATCCAAAATGACATGCACTCTGAATGAGTGTGCAGGCTTTTGTCACAACTTCTCTCCCTGGATCAGTGCAGAACAAGTAGGTGACAACTCTGGCTCCCAGTTTCTCCCTGATGAGAGAAGGAATTGGGCTACACATCCAGTGATCCAACTTTTTCAGCTGATACCCAAGGGACAGGCTTCAAGCTCTCCAGTCTTGGAGCACTGATGGGATTTGGCACATTCTAGTCTTCTGGGAGCCGTTAAGAACAAAGACAGCAGTCTGAATGAGCACAAAGGTTTGAGAGACACCTAGAATCTCTGGCTGGGATCATTGTTAAGTCTTATCTCCTACACAAGACCAGACTGTGAAGAGCAGGAAAAGTGGTTGCTTTATTTAATGTGCAGACACCAATACAGAGAGCCAAGGAAAATAAAGAAAAAGGGAAATATAGTACAAATAAAAAACAAACTAAATCTCCAGAAGAGATAAGTTACTAGAAAAATAATTTAAAATGACAGTCATAAAGATGATCACAGATGCCAGGAGAACAATTTTAGAACAAAGTGAGATTTCAACAAAAAGACAGAAAACATAACAGAAGTACCAAGCAGAAGTCATAGAGGTAAAGAATACAATAACTGAAGTACACGAACCAATAAAGTGGTTAATCCGCAGACTAGATTAAGTAGCAGAGAGAGTCATCAAACTTGAAGATATATCACTAAAAAATACCCCAGTTTTTATAGGATACCATCAATAAGACTGAAATAGGAATAATGACCATGCCAGAAGAAAACGAGAAAAACAGATGAAAAGTTTACTCAAATAAGTTACATCTGAATATTTCCTAAATATGCAGAAGAAAATACATAGGCAGATCTAGTAAGCCCAAATGATGCCAAATAAGAAAAATCTAAAGAAACCCACACTGAGATACATTATAATCAAATTGTCAAAAGTTAAATACATGGAATTATGAAAGAAGCAAGAGAAAGAGACTTTTTACATACAATAAAATGACTATAAGACTATCAGCAGATTTTTCCCAAGAAATCTTGCAGGCTAAAAGTGACTGAGATGGTATATTCAAAGTGCGATAGCAAACTGTCAACCAAGAATACTATACACAACAAATCTATTCTTCAAAAATGAAGGAAACATAAAGGCTTTTCCAAACAAAAACTAAATGATTTCATCACCACTGGACCTGCTTTACCAAAAATGCTAAAGCAAGTATTCAAGTTGGAACAAAAAAATGTTAAACAGCAATATAAGAGCATAAGAAGTATGAAACTCTTTGTAAAGGTAAATAGATAGATAAAACCAGAATACTGTATTACTATAATGATGGTGGGTAAATTGCTGTTAACTTTAGTGTAAAAATTAAAACATAAAAAATATTAGAATAACTAAGACTAAATTATGTTAAAGGGTACACAACATAAATAGATGTAAATTGTGATGTCATAGCATATCATGTGAAGGAGGGAGATGTATGATTACAGAGTTTTTGTATGCAAGTGAAATTAAATTTTTATCAGCTTAAATAGACAATTTTAATTATAAGAAATTTTATGCAAGCCCCATGGTAACCATAAAGAAAACACCCACAGTAGTTACACATGAGAAAAAAAATAAATGAACCAAAGTTAATAAATACAATCAAAAACAAAACACAAAGAAAGTTAGCAAGAGAATAAAAGAGAGGCAAAACAACAAACCAAACAGAAGACAGTTAACAAAATACCTGTAGTAAATCCTTACCTATCATAAACCACTTTTAATGAAAGTGGATTAAACTCCTCAATCAAAAAATGGATAGAGTGACTGAATGGATAAAAAAGTAATATCTATGATATTTACAAAAACCTCACTTAGATTCAAGGACACACGTAGGCTAAAAGTGAAAAGATAGAAAAAGATATAGAGGTAAATGGTAAACAAAAGAGAGCAGGATTGGCTATACTTATATCAGAGAGTATAGACTTTAAGCCAAAAACTCTCTCTAATGACAAAAGACTCATTATATAATGATAAAAGTGTCAATTCAATCAGAAGATATAACAATTGTAAACATATGTGTGTATGTACCCAATATTAGAACATCAAATTATATAAAGCTAATATTGTTAGCTCTGAAAGGAGAACTTGCCAGTCATACAACAATAGTAAGAGATTTCAATACCCCACTTTCAATAATGCATAATGCATCCAGGCAGAAAATCAATAAATAAAGAACGTGGACAACACTATAGTCCAAATACATCTAACAGACATATACAGCACGTTCCACCCAATAGCAGAAGAATATACATTCTTCTCAAGTGCACATAGACTACTCTCTAAGATAGTAAGCCACAAAACAAGTCTTAGCAAATTTAAAATCAAAATCATACCAAGTACCTGTTCTAACTACAATGGAATGAAACTAGAAATCATTAACAGCAAGAAAACGAGAAAATTCAAACTGTTATGGAAACTAAACAATATACTCTTGACCAATCATTAGGTCAAATAGTAAATCAAAAAAGAATTTTAAAAATAACAAGATAAAAACAAAAACACAACATACCAATACGTGTGGCCAAAAGCAAAAACAGTACTTAGGGGGAAATGACAGTGTTAAATGCCTACATTAAACAGAAGAAAGATATCATTAAAGAGCCTAACTTCTCACTTCAGAAAACTAGAAAAAGAAGAGCAAACTATTCCCAAATTACAAGTTGTATTTTGAAAAGTACACAAAATTGAAAACATTTAAATTGACTAAGAAAAAAAGAGAGATGACTCAAATAAAATCAGAAATGAAATAGGAGAGACATCAATAGGTGTCTCAGGGGAAAGAAGATCATAAGTGATTATTACAAGCAAATATATGTGAACAAATTGCAAAACCTAGAAGAACTGGATCAATTCCTAGAAACATACACCCTACCAAGACTCAATCAAGAAGAAATATGAAGCCTGAAAAGACCAGTAAGTATAAAGGGAATTGAAACAATAATCCAAAACCTCCCAACAAAAAAAAGCCCTGGACCTACTAGCAAGGATGTAATGAAAAGGGAACTCTGGAACAATGTTGGTGGGGATGTAAATTGGTACAGTCATGATGGAAAACAGTATAGGCATTCCTAAAAAAAATTCAAATAAAACTATATTATGATTCAGCAATCCCATTAATGGCTATATATCCAAAAAACATGAATGTCAAAGAGATGTCAGCACTCTCATGTTCATTGCAGTATTATTCACAATAGCAAAAACATAGACACAACCTAAGTGACTATCAACGAATGAAGAAATTGTGGTATACTTACACAATGGAATGTTACTTATCCTTAAAAAAATAAGGAAATCATTTCATTCGTGAGAACAAATGACATTATTTATTATGCTAAGAGAAATAAGCCAGACATATAAAAAATAAGTACTGCTTGATGCCAAGAACATAAGAATCTTAAAAAATCAATATCATAAGAGAAGGAATTAGAATGGTAGTTACCAGATGTGATCAGGTGGGAGTGGGAAAAAAGATGAAATGTTACTAAAGGGGGAACAGAGTTTCAATTACGTAGGATGAATAGTTCTAGAGATCTACGTACAGCAGAGTAACCATAGTTAATATTATACTATGTACTTGAAATTTACCAAAAGTGTAGATCTTGTGAACTCACCATACACACACACACATACACACACACACAAGATAACTATGGGAGGAGATGGTACATCAGAAAAGGAACCAAGAATAAATGGAAAAATAATGTACAGTCAAAAAATGCTCTTTAAAAACATTCTGTCAATAGGCATTAAGTTTGCTATCCTAGAAGTAGATAAAGACTATATCCTATTTTTGAGTTTTAACACTGGGTTAATTATATTTTTCTATAAAACATTATAACTATACTATTCCGAATAATACTAGAAAATAAATCCCATTAATGGCTATATTATTTTTTCTTTAAAAATAATTAAGTATATTGTGCTTGAGTCATGTCTTTTAAATAATATAGGAAAGATACTGAACCAGGGGACTGGGAGGAAGTTAGCTATTTAATGTTTGATTCATCATATAGTCAAATAAACACCAGGACAAAATAACACAGTTGTGCTCTTGGTGAGGCACTGCATAGACAAAAGTTTAATTTTATCAGAAAAGACATTCTTTAGCATAAGAAAAATCTACATAGTCCTCAGCTTCACTATTAAGAAGTACTTACATGTTCTCTCTCACATAAACTCAAATATGTTGAGAGTTAAGTAGAAAATTTATTATGTATATGTGAAGGAGAACCCTTCCCACTTTCAAGTTCACAATCAGTGTCAGTGGATTTAGGTTAAGAATAGTTTAGTCTTTCTATTGGGTCTCAAATATGATGGCATAACTCCATATAGGACCTACGAGTTCTCAATTTAAACTATTTACTCAATCCAGATAGCATATGTTTTCTGGCTTTCCGATTACATTGATTTTATTTAAAATGATTTTTCAAAATTATATTTCTTTTAATTTTTCATATACTAAATATTATTGATTACTAAAATGAAAGCCAAATTGACATCACAACTGTCCTTTTAAAATAATATCATTTAAGTAGTGTTTTATGGGCTGAAAAAACATTTTCTATGCTGGAATCATGTCTTTATGTATGTTTTCATCACATCATCAGTTATTTACTTCCTGAGGATAGAGATAGAGAGAATAGAGGGAAAACACAGAGAGAAGAGAGACAGACAGAATGGGCCCTGTTGGGGATGGGGAAGGAGAAGCATCAGGAAGAATAGCTAACGGATGCTGGGCTTAATACCTAGATAATGGGATGATCTGTGCAGCAAATGACCATGGCACATGTTTACACATGTAACAACCCTTCACATCTGGCACATGTACCCCAGAACTTAAAATAAAAGTTGAAGGAAGAAAAAATTATATATTATACTTATAATTATAAAATGATTATAGTATATAATTATAAAATGATTATAGTATATAATTATAAAATGATTATAGTATATAATTATAAAATGATTATAGTATATAATTATAAAATATAGTATATAATTATAAAATGATTATAGTATATAATTATAAAATATAGTATATAATTACAAAATGATTATAGTATATAATTATAAAATATAGTATATAATTATAAAATGATTATAGTATATAATTATAAAATATAGTATATAATTGTAAAATGATTATAGTATATAATTATAAAATGATTATAGTATATAATTATATATTTATATATAATGATTATAGTATATAATTATATATTTATATATTATATGATATAATATATATTTTAAATTATATATTACATATTATATATTATATATTATATATAAAATCATATATAATATAGAATATACTATATATAATATACAATATATATTATATATACATAACTATATATACATAAATATATTATATATACATTATATATACATATATATTATATATATGTATATGATATACATATATACATAATATTATATATATGATATATCATATATTACATATATTATATATTATATGTAATTATATATTATATACACACATAACTATATATACATAAAATTAATATACATAATATATATATACATATATTATATATACATATATATATAATGTACACATATATGATATTATATAATATATTGATATAATATAAATACAATATATAATAGATAAATATAAAATATCACATATAATAATAAATATTATGTATAAGATATATAGATATAAATATTATATATAATATATATAAATATAAATATTATATATAACATATATAAATATAAATATTATATATAATATATATAAATATAAATATTATATATAATATATATAAATATAAATATTATATATAATATATATAAATATAAATATAAATATTATATATAATACATATAAATATAAATATTATATAATATATATTATATATAAATATAAATATTATATAATATACATTATATATAAAATTTTAAAAAGGAATGAGAATATCTTTTCCATATTGAGATACTGATGATACATTTAATGAATTTATGAACATTTAATGATGCTCATATGATGTACATTTAATGGAATTTGCCTAAATAATATGCTGTTTACTGCTTTAACAACTTTTTCTGATTCTGATATTATTTTTCTGATACTGTCAAGAATTTATTAACTTAATGAAAAACCGTCTGATTTAAGTTTTAGGTCAGTTTTAGAATTTTTTTAAATAAAAGTACATTAAAATCATCAGTGTTGTCATAAAAATGAATAGCATTATAGTTTCTTCATAAATAAAGTTAGAGAAGAAAGTGAAAACCACATTAAGTAAGGCAAATTAAATGAATTCTAATTTGCCAGATATGGTTGATTTTCTAGTTTACAGTAATTATTTATGACTGCTTTAATTGTAATTGTGAAACACTGAAGATCTCATAATCTTAAGACACTTTCATTTAATCAGGACTGTTTTGCACAAGCCGCTTTATGTAGATGCTGCACAACAGTCTCTTTTTGTACCTTTTTCCTTCAATAACTACTGAAGTCTTCATTTACACTGAACAAATTATCCTGAGCAGCAGGTAGAAGCAATCAGCAAGGTGAAGCTGGAAATAGGTCTATTTTCATTATGAGTTGGAAAGGGCTAGGGGCCATGACATTTGTCCAGCCTGCCAAAGGAAGACTCTATTAAGCCAAAATTAATAATTAAATAAAATACAATCAAAGCAGAAAAAAATACACCCACTGTTGACCTACTGTCTTACTGACAACACATGATAAAGTAAAATTTTTTAGAATACATAGTTTATGTTGTAAACATTTTCTGCTATTGCATATGATGACAAATAAATTGAAGATGAATCTTTAAGTATGGCCTTTTAAGGCATATTTTCTTTTTTCTATTCTTTCTAAAATAATTTTCATCTATCTTTCTCTTTGGGGCTCATCAAATTACATTTATATAAGTAAATAGAGAACACACAGTGTCAGCCGGGAAAAATATTCAGAAAAAAATCGGAAAAGAGTATCTTTTTAAAATATGGATAGGAAGGCCTGACCCAGCTAAGTCTCAGTGTGGTGGCTACAGGGTGCTTGTGTCACCCTTCCCCAAGCTCCACGCATCTGAGCACAGAAAGAGAGACTCCATTTATTCTGCGAAAAGTAAGGGAAAAGACCAGACATTCTGCTTGGTAATAATCCAGTGAATTCTTCCAGATCTTACCAAAGACCACCATGGTGGTATCTCTATGAGTGGGTAAGAGAAACAATGTTACTGGGTTTGAAGGGCCCCCTGATGCAGATACAGCTGCAGTGATCAAAGACTTAGATTACAACACTTAATTCCTTTGGAATACCTGGAAAGCCTTCTTAAAAAAGGATGGGCACAAACAAGCCTAGACTGCAAAGACTACAATAAATACCTAACTCTTCAATGTCCAGGCATTGAAAAACATCCACAAGTATCAAGACTATCTAGGAACATGACTTCACTAAACAAACTAAATAAGGCACCAGTGGCCAATCCCAGAGTGATGGAGATATGTGACTTTTCAGATAGAAAATTCAAAATAGCTGGTTTAAGAAAGCTATAAATTTCTTAATTTTATAGATTAAAATTTAAAATTTAAAACAATATAGAGAAAGAATTCAGAATTCCATCAGATAAATTTAACATAAAGATATGAATGATTTTTTAAAAAATGAACCGAAATTCTGGAGCTGAAACATAACAATTGACATATAGAAGAATGCAACAGAGTAAACAGCAGGATTGATCAAGAAGAAAAAAGAATTAGTGAGCTTAAAGACAGGCTATTTGAAAATATACAATTGAAGGAGACAAAAGAAAAAGAATAAAGCAAGCCTACAAGATCAAGAAAATTTAAGTTATCTCCCTTAAAGAGGAGGTAGAGTGAGAGTTCAGGGTAGAAAGTTTATTCAAAGGGATAACAGAGAACTCTCTGTACCTAGAGAAAGATGTCAATATTCAAGTACAAGAAGATTATACAACACCCAGAGGATTTAAACCATGTAAGACAACTTCAAGACATTTAATAAACGAGCTCCCAAAAGAAGAGAATAAAGAAAGGAGTCTAAAAGCAGCAAGAAAAAAGAAACAAATAACATCCAAAGAGATCCAGTACATGTGGTAGCAGACTTCTCAGTGGAAACTTTACAGGCCAGGAGGGAGTGGCATGACATATTTAAAGTGTTGAAGGAAAAAAAAGTTTTATCCTAGAATAGCATATCCAATGAAAACGTCATTCAAACATGAAGAAGAAATAATGACTTTTTCAGACAAACAAAAGCAAAAGCTGAGGGATTTCATCAATACCAGACCTATCCTGCAAGAAATGCTAAATGGAGTTCTTCAGTCTGAAAGAAAAGGATGTTAACAAGCAATAAGAAATTATCTGAAGGTACAAAAGTCATTGGTAATAGTAAGTATACGTACAAACAGAGTATTGCAACACCGTAATTGTGCTGTGTAAACTACTCATAATCTTGAGTAGAATGACTAAAAGATGAATCTATCAAAAAGAATAACTACAGCAACATTTCGATGCATAGACAATAATATATCAATATGAACAATAAAAAGTCAAAAAGGGGAAATGAAGTTAAAGTGTAGCATTTTTATTAGTTTTCTCTTTGCTTGTTTTTGCAATCAGTGTTAAGTCGACATCAGTTTAAAATAATGGCTTATAAGATGTGATTTGCAGGCCTCATGGTAACCTCAAATCAAGAAATCTACAACAGATATCCAAAAAAATAAAAAGCAAGAAATTAAAACATACCACCATAAAAAAATAAACTTCACAAAAAGGATGACAAGGAAGGAAGGATGACAAGGAAAGGAAGGAAGGAAGGAAGGAAGGAAGGGAAGGGGAAGGGGAGAAGGAGGGAGGGGAGAAGGTGGGAGGGAGGAAGGGAGAGAGGAAGGAAGGCGAAACAACCAGAAAACAAATAACAAAATGGCAGTAGTAAGCCTTTATCAACAATAACATTGAAAGTAAACGCACTAACCTCTCCAATCAAAACACAGAGTGGCTGAATGGGTTTTTAAAAACAAGGCCAATGATCTGTTGTCTACAAGAAACATGCTTCACATATAAAGACACAAATACTGAAAATAAAGGAATGGAAAAGATATTCCATGCAAATGTAAGCCAAAAAAGAATAGAAGGAGCTATACTTATATCAGACAAAATAGATTTCAAGGCAAAAAGTGTAAAAAGAGACAAAAATGGCATTATATAATGATAAAGGGGTCAATTAAGCAAGAGGATATTACAATTGTAAATATATATGCACCCAACAGTGGAGCACCCAGATATACAAAGCAAATATTATTAGAGCTAAAAAGAGAAATAGATCTCAATACAATAAGGGCTGGAGACTTCAACACTCCACTTTTAGCACTGGACAGATCATCCATTCAGAAAATCCACAAAGAAACATGAGACTTAATCTGTGGCACAGACCAGATGAACCTAGTAGATGTTTACAGAACATTTCATCCAATGTCTACAGTATACATATTCTTTTCCTCAGCCCATAGATTATTCTCAGAGATAGCCCATACATTAGGCCACAAGTCTTAAAAATTTTAAAAGATGAAATTATATCAAGTATCATCTCTGATCACATGGAATAAAACTAGAAATCAATAACAAGAGGAACTTTGGAAACCATACAAACACAGGAAAATTAAACAATACGCTCCTGAATGACCAGCAGGTCAAATAAGCAATTAAAAATAAAATAAAATTATTTTTAAAACAAAGAAAATGGAAACATAACATACCAAAACCTAGGAGATATAGAAAAAGCAGTACTAAGATGAAATTTTATAGCACTGTCTCCATGAAAAAAGTAGAATATCTTCAAATAAGCTAATAATGCATCTTGAAAAATTAGAAAGATAAGAACAAACCAAACTCCAAATCTGTACTCACAAAAATTAAAAATTGAAAAACTAAAGTAAAAAGTAAATACTTTATATTGTATTAATGAAGATGCAATACAAACTATATAAAATTAAAATAATTTTTGTCTTAATATCTGAATTTTATTATTTTAGAAATTAATATTTCACATATACAGCACGGAATACGATGCAACCATAAAAGGGAACAAAATCTTGTCTTTTGCAGCAACATGGATGCAGCTGGAGGCTGTTATCCTAAGTGAACTAAGGCAGAAACAGAAAACCGAATACTGCAAATTCTTACTTATAAGTAGGAAGTAAACACTGAATACATAGGGACACAAAGATGGGAACATAGACACTGGGGACTACTTGATGGGGGAGGGTAGGAGAGGAATGTAGGTTGAGAAACTGCCTATAGGATACTTCACTCACTACCTAGGTGAAGGGATCATTCGTACACCAAACTTCAGCAACATGCAATTTACCCATGTAACAAACCTGCACATGTACCCTCTGAACCTAAAATAAAAATAGACAGGAAAAAAAGAAGATTTTAGTACTCTGTAATTTTCTTCTCATAAAACATTTTTATTATGAAATATTTCACTCATAAATGAAAGGAAACAAAATAAAATGTATGGTTCAATAAATTTTCACAAGGAGAATACCTTTGAACCACCACCAAGACCAATAAATCATATACTGTGTAACTTTCTATAGATTATAGGTTTACAGGAAAATATACATTTCTAAACACTATGGAAACTATACAAACACATGGAAATTAAACAGTATTCTCCTGTTCAATTTTGCCACTGTTCACATTTTATATACCTGACACCTCACTATATGTATTATTTTGTATAGGTTTTATTCATCCAATATTTTAAGAACAGCTATGTTACTTAATGGAGATGTAATTTGTTTTTTTAAATTGCTTCACTGAATTTCTTATATGAATATATTATATAATAAAGTATCCATTATACCATTTGCAGACTTTAAAATTGTTTCTAATATTTGATTATTATGAATGATAAAGTTTTGAAACTCCTTGTCTTTGGGTACAAATAAACAACATTTCTGTTGTTTATAAAAATGAATTGCTAGGCATAAGGAATGCATATGTTATACTCAATATATGAGACCAAAAGAATTTTAAAGAGTGACTGTGCCTATTTGTACTTCCACCAAAAGATAGAGCAGTTATGTTTGTGCCAGATGTTTTCTAATATCTGATGCTGTGGCATATTAATTTAGCCACTCAAATAACTCTGTTGCAGTATTTCATTGTAGTTTATTTATTATTTTCCTAATAACTAATGCTGTTAAACCTTCTCATGTTTATTGTCCATATTGATATCATCTTTTGTGAAGTGTCTGATCAAGACCTTTGCCATTTTTCCATTGACTAACCTCTTTTTCTTATTAATTTGTAGGTGATTTCCATGTATTCTCAACAAAAATACTCTGCTAGGTATACATTTTGGCAATATCTTAAGCATGTCAGCTGTATGTCTTTTGATTATTTTAATGGTATATATTGTGAACAGAAATTCTTGGCTTTATTGAAATGTAATTAATCAGTCTTTTCCTTTAGATAAATGTTTTTATGTTACATTTTGGAAGTCTTTCTCTATATTAAGCTTGTAAAAATTTTTATTTTATATTTTCTTCCAGACACCTAGTTTTTTCTTTCACACTGTAATTAACAATCTCACTATAATTAAATTTTCTCTGATATATAGAAGAGATTATGCTTCACATTTTTCATATGAATATCCAAATTCTTCAGTAGCATATATTGAAAATACCATAATTCCCCACTAATCTGCAATACTACCTTTGTCATAAGTCAAAAGTGATTATATCTGGGGTCTGTTTTCAAACTCTTTCTTCTATTTCCATGACCTATCTTTCTAATCTTTTATTATCCTTATTGTTGTAGTGATACAGCTCTAATGAATGGAGGAACACCAGGTTCTTGTCTCGCACGATTTAGATAAAACAACATGGACACATGTGGAGTGGAGCAGAGTTTAATAAGCAAGAAAGAAAAGAGAAGGCAAAAGGAAGAGGCTCCCCAATAAAGACACAGAGGGAGGGGGGCTCCAAAGCTAAAAGAGGAGACTCCACGTCCCACAGATACCAGCCAGGTATAAGAAGAGGCTGGAGGAGGCGGTGTTGGATTTGCATAGGACTCAGGGGATTGCTTTGACCAGGCCTGTTTTTCACATAGCTTCTAAAAAACTAGCCCTCCCACCCTAGCCTTTTAATATACAAACACAAGGCACCATGATGTTTTACATATGTGGGGATATGTGGGGACAGCCATGTTGCCAGGCACATGTGGGGCAAGGGCAAGAAGGCCATGGGAATTGCCATTTTTGGGTGGACCCAGTCTCTAATGGCCGACATTCGCCTATTAAAGGTTGCCTCCATGGCTTTAAGAGCCTGGACTTTGCTTCTAGACAAGAAACGTTTTTGGAGCTGCTTTAAAAGAAACCAAAACGTTTCCTCTTTATCTGCCTAAAATAATTTCTTAAAAACTCCTACCACAGTAATTATAAAAAGTCTTGGCCGGGTGTGGTGGCTCATGCCTGTAATCCCAGCACTTTGGGAGGCTAAGGTGGGCAGATCACGAAATCAAGAGATGGAGACCATCCTGGCCAGCATGGTGAAAGCCCGTCTCTACTAAAAATACAAAAATTAGCTGGGCCGTGGTGGTGCATGCCTGTAGTCCCAGCTACTTGGGAGGCTGAGGCAGGAGAATTGCTTGAACCTGGGAGGCAGAGGTTGAAGTGAGCCGAGATCACGCCACTGCACTCCAGCCTGGTGACACAGTGAGACTCTGTCTCAAAAAAAATAAAATAAAATAAAAAAGTTTTGTTATTTGATAGATCAAGACCTCTCACCTTGTTTTGTTCAAAAACTTGGTGTTCTCAGTGATTTTAATTTATCTATCTATCTATCTATCTATCTATATATTAAATTCACTTCTTAAGTTCAAAAATGTTTGAAGACAATATTGCTTCTTTAAATCTACAAACATGGCATGTTCTATCACTTACATGGGTCTTTATTACTCTTAATATTTTATATATTTATTCATATATCTTATGTATTATTTATTCAATTTTCATGTATAGTATATATTTGCATGCTATTTTAAGTATTAGTTTTTTTTATACTTTAAGTACATGTGCACAACATGCAGGTTTGTTACATATATATACATGTGACATGCTGGTGTGCTGCACCCATTAACTCATCAGTTACATTAGGTATATCTCCTAATGCTATCCCTCCCCTCCCCCCACACCCCACCACAGGCCCCAGTGTGTGATGTTCCCCTTCCTGTGTCCAAGTGTTCTCATTGTTCAATTCCCACCTATGAGTGAGAACATGCATTTTTTTAATGCAATTTTCTGTTACAAGTAGATACAAATTCAATTGATATTTTTATAATGAATTTGTAACCTTCAATTATGATAAATATGCTCAATTTCAGTACTTTCTCTGTTGATACTTTTAGCATTTTATGTGAATGACAGCATTTTATTCAAATGATATCAATCCTGCTTATTCCTTTTCCATTTTATTATTATTTTTCTTTATTCTTGCCATATTACATTGGGTAGCATGTCCAATACAATGTTACATGGAAGTGATAATAGCAGATATTGTTGCCCTTTGCTTAATCTCAAAGGAAAGATTTCAATAATTTGGAATTATTTATGTTGATGACATGGCCTCTAAAAATCCTTTTTATCTATAGTTCCCTTCTATTCCTAGTTTAGTAAGAGGCTTTGCATGAAAGATATTGGCTTTATGAAATTTTTTTTCTACATCTCTTAAGATGTTGTATATGACTTTCTCCTTTATTTGGTTAATGTGAATAACTGTTTTTATTAATTTTGAAAGTTTAACCAACATTACATTTCTTAAATATATATTCAGTTGTGAAGTATTATTTATCTCATTTCACAAAAGTAAAAATTGAGATCAAGGATATGAAATGATTTACCAGTTAGTGTTTGAGAGAGAGTACAAAAACATACATCCGTTTCTTAATTTTATGCTCATTTTACTATTGCTTGTTATAGTAAAATGAGTGTGATCTTTGAATCAGAATTACATTGAAATTTCAGATCTACATTTCATAATCATAGAACCTCGTATATATTATTTAATCTTTCCCAGACTAATTTTCCCTTTAAATTGGGGCTTGTGATTAGTTTTAAAGATAAATATTTAAAAAGGACAAATGCAGTACATAAGAATGGAAGATCTTTTAAAAATGTCTTTTTTATTATAAGTTATAGTGATTTTCATTTTAAATGTAGATTTTTTGATTTTTAATAACCTAGGAATTTTAGACAACAAAATATATTTTTTATAAATGTTAACGCTCTTACCATGAATTTTAAATTATATAATGCTTTTACTCCTGACTTACGCCCAGATTTTTACTGCATATTCCTGTTCTTCATTATAAAGTTATAATATCTTATATGTCTAAAACTGTTTTATATCTTTTACAGTGAGCCTGTACTACTTGTGTTATAAACTGAATATTAGACAATTTAAAACCAAGTATTTTTGGATAAAATGAAAAGACAGAAATCCTATGTAACAGCCCAGAAAGGTAAAACAAGATGAAGGGGGTGCAAGGACTAGTCAGGTTCATTGATTGGCCACTTAATAATGTTAGGGTGTCAACACTTCCCAAGGTGATCTATAGATTCAATGAGATCCCCATGAAAATTTTAGATGCGGTGGACCCCCAAAATTTGAGACAGGTCTCAGTTAATTTAGAAAGTTTATTTTTCCAAGGTTGAGGATGTGCACCTGTGACACAGCCTCAGGAGGTCCTGACGATATGTGCTCAAAGTGGTCAGAGCAGTTTGGTTTTATACATTTTAGGAAGACATGAGACATTCAATCAACATATGCAAAATGAACATTGGTTTGGTCTGGAAAAGTGGGACAACTCAAAGCAAAAGGGAGACAACTTGAAGCAAGAGGAGGCTTCCAGGTCACAGGTGAGAGACAAATGTTTGCATTCTTTTGAGTTTCTGATTAGCCTTTCCATAGGGGGCAATCAGATATGTATTTATTTCAGTGAGCAGATGGATGATTTTGAATAGAACTGGAGGCACGTTTGCCCTCAGCAATTCCCAGTTTGAATTTTCCTTTTAGCTGGGTGATTTTGGGTGCCCAAGATATTTTCCTTTCACAATGCCTATTTTGTAGAACTTAACAAACTGATTATGACATTTATATAGAAATGCAAGGGATCTGAAATAGTCAAAACAATATTAAATATGAAAAACAAACTTGGAGGACTCACATTTTCTGTAAGTACTGTACACAGCTATAGTGATCAGCACAGAATTGATTAGACAGAGTGGTACTGGCATAGGATAGACATGTAGATCAATGGAATACAACTGAAACTCCAGAAATAAACATATAAATTTATGCTCTAATGATTTTTAATAAAATTGTTAAAATAATTTGATGGGGTAAAATAGTCTTTTGAACAAATGGTATTTGAACAACTGGATATACACATACACAGTTATGAAGTTGGACCCTACCTCACACCATTTATACAAATTAACTCAAAATGAATCAGGGGGATTTAATTTAAATAAGAATTTAAACTGTAATACTCTAAGAAGAAAATATAAGAGTAAATCATCAAGACTTTAGATTAGGGAATGGTTTCTTAGATATGACAATAAAAGCACAGTGACTAAGAAAATAATTGACCTTTATCAAAATTAAAAACTTTTATGCTTCAAAGCATATGACTGAGAAAGTGAAAAAGCAATCCATTGAGAGAAAATATTTGCAAATTATATATCTGATAGGGCATTATGGCCAGAATTTATAAAGGACATAGGCCAGGGGCAGTGGCTCACGCCTGTAATCCCAGCACTTTGGGAGGCCAAGGCGGGCAGATCATGAGGTCAAGAGATCGAGACCATCCTAGCCAACATGGTGAAACCCCGTCTCTACTAAAAATACAAAAAATTAGCTGGGCATGGTGGTGTGTGCTTGTAGTCCCAGCTACTTGGGAGTGTGAGGCAGGAGAACTGCTTGAACCCTGGAGGCGGAGGTTGCAGTGAGCCGAGATCGCGCCACCGCACTCCAGCCTGGCAACAGAGCAAGACTCCGTCTCAAAAATAAATAAATAAATAAATAAATAAATAAATAAATAAATAATATTTATAACTTAATAAAAATACGAACTGATTTTTAAAATGGTCAGAGAATTTAAACAGACATAACTCCAGATCAGATCTATAAATACCCAGTAAGCATAAGAAATGATAGGAATCATCGTAAGTCATTAAGAAATTGCAGGTCAAAACTACAATGAGGCCGGGCGCACTGGCTCATACCTGTAATCCCAGCACTTTGGGAGGCTGAGGTGGGCAGATTGCTTGACCTCAGGAGTTTGAGACCAGCCTGAGCAACATGGCAAAACCCATATCTACAAAACACATGCGTGCGTGCACACTCAAACACACAATTGGCTAAGTGTGGTGGTGCGTGCCTGGAGTCCCAGCTACTCAGGAGGCTGAGCCAAGAGGATCACTTGAGCCCAGGAGATGGCACCATTGCACTCCAGCCTGGGCGACAGAGCAAGGCTGTCTCAAAAGAAAAAAAAAAAAAAACCTAGGCCAGGTGCCGTGGCCATAATCCCAGCCTGTAATCCCAGCACTTTGCCAGGCCGAGGCGGGCAGATCACGAGGTCAGGAGATTGAGACCATCCCAGCTAACACGATGAAACCCCGTCTCTATTAAAAATACACACACACAAAAATTAGCCGGGCTTGGTGGCTGGCGCCTGTAGCCCAGCTACTCAGGAGGCTAAGGCAGGAGAATGACGTGAACTGGTGAGGTGGAGCTTGCAGTGAGTGGAGATTGCGCCACTGCACTCCAGCCTGGGCGACAGTGCAAGATTCCATCTCAAAAAATAAAATAAAATAAAATAAAAAAACCTACAATGAGATAGCATTTTGCACTCATTAAGATGGCAAAATGACAAGATCAAAAATAAAAAGTGTTGATAGATATAGAGGAAAGTTGGTGGTGGAATTGTAACATTGTACAAAAACTTTCAAAAACATTTGGGAATTCCACAAAATGTTAAACATAGAGCTACCTTATCATTTGACAATTCTACTCATATTCAACATAATTGAAAATATATATTCATAGAAAAACTTTCACACAAAGTATAGAAGAACTGATACAAGCTACAATGTGGACGAGCCTTGAAAATATTATAACATTAAGAAGCCAAACACAAAAGGCAACATGCTGTGTGATTTCATTTAAAAGAAATATTCATAATAGGCAAATCCACAGAGAAAATAAAAGTAAATTAGTAATTGCCAGGTGTGAGGAAAGGAAGAAATGGGGAATAACTGCTAATGTGTCTGGGTTTATTTTAGGGGTAATGAAAGTGTTCTACAATGTGCTAATAGTGATGGTTGCACAGCTTTGTGAATATAGTAAAAATCGATGGCTTTATTGATTGATTGATAGTTAGATAGATATGGTCTCACTTTGTTGCCCAGGCTGGAATGTAGTGGTGTAATCATAGCTCACTGCAGCCTCGAATTCCTGGGTAAATTTTATGATATGTAAGTTACATATCAGTAAAGCTGTTAAAAGAAAAAAGCAAGTACCGCAAGGGTAGGAAAATGTAGACTTTTGAATTCAAAGATTTATTTCACATTCTAGATCTCATTTATCATAAATCAACATTGCCCAAGTTTATTGATAAATATTTGTTTTAGTTTCTTTATAAAATGATACAATGTCTACAGCATAACTTGAAGTTTAAATGAACTCTTCTCAGTTTTTCTCAAACTCTGTTGGTCAAAAGACTCGCCTCTGGCAATTGCTAAATTACACATTCCTAGACCTCTACTCCTAGGGTCTGATTTGGTAGGCCTTGAGGAAGACACAATTTTCTGTTTAAACATGTATCTTAGAGATTTCTTATGATCAAAGCTTAGAAAAATAATCATAGCCGGCTGGATGCAGTGGCTCACGCCTGTAATCCCAGCACTTTGGGAGGCTGAGGCAGGTGGATCACGAGGTCAGGAGTTGGAGGCCAGTCTGACCAACATGGTGAAACCTCGTCTCTACTAAAAATACAAAAATTAGTCAGGCATGGTGCTGCGTGCTTGTAGTCCCAGCTACCCGGGAGGCTGAGCCAGGAGAATCACTTGAACCTGGGAGGGCGAGGTTGCAGTGAGCCAAGATCAGGTCACTACACTCCAGCCCAGGCCACAGAAGTAAGTCCCAGTCTCAAAAAGAAAAAAAAAAAAAGGGAAGAAAGAAAGAAATAAAAAATAATAGTAATTAATAACAGCTAAGAGTCTTACTAAATGGATGCTTAATAAATACTAGCTTTCCTCTGTCTTCCATGCTAGTACTCCTTTAAGGGAATGTTTGTGTGTGTGATGGGAGGGGTTTATAATGTATATGATTATATACGACTATACACACACACACACACTCATACACATCAGAGTTCCCATTTCAAAATTTCTACAAAATGTATGCCTTAGCTGCTTAAGAAATTTCAAGGTTTAAAATGGATTTATGCAATTCTAGCTAAAATTTTTCAGATTCCACATAATGGAATCTGATGTAAATCAACATTAGAAATATAATCATGACTTGCCACTGATACATTTTACCTTTGTAAAGAAAGTAAACAAATCTGTAACAGGTTATAAACACAGTGACCTCAGTCTATTCCTTAATAGAAATTTGTCTTTCTTCCCAACTATGTAGTAAGGTTGTCAGTCTTTGCACAATAGATGCCAAGTAATTAAGTAGCAGTGGCATTACAGATTTGCTATGAAGATGTGTGTGGGTAGATCTGTGTGAACAAGCCTGGAGAATAGCCATATGCATTTTTCCTAACTGTAGTCAGGATTATCAGCATCACAAACTCTTATTAGCACCAAACTTAAGAAATTTATTTATGTCATAAAAAATATAGAGCCAAATATAAATAGACTGGAATAAACATCTGTGATTACTGAAATCAACACATTTTCTCTATTAAATAAGCTTTCCCTAAGGAAAATCTTCCTACAGGGCAAGAAAATTATTCCAAATTCCCTTTTGGTTTGCATTTGAAGAAGTAGTCTCTGTCTTTTATGAAAGATGTTTGAATGTCTATCAAAAACAGTGTTTGTTTTTTAAAAAAGAACAAATAAAAAGTAACATTTCCAAGAAAGTAGACTATGGGGAATGTTACAAAGAAAAATATGCAGTATTCTTTTTTAAAAAAATTCATCATCATATTATATCTACTTTTAATTAGTTCTATTCATTAATACAAACAGAAGAGTCTGGAGGCATAGAACAGCTATTCATTAACATTTAGTATTCATCCATTCCATGGCTTGCTTAGCTTCTGCCATTTGGTTAACAACCACTTTCCTTTGTTTTCACCCCTACCTCTAAAATTGTCCAGGGTTTTGTGATGGTTGCTTGAAAACATTGAACCTAAAGCCCCATAAAAACCTGTATTTTAGAAATAGTATAGAATAAAGACAAGAGAATCATATGGAAAATTTTACAAATTTTCTTTCTTTTCTATTCTGAAAATTGTCTGAAAATCTCAATAATTTTAACAGATTTCAATTATTCACAACATAATTTTTCTCCCTGAATTGGCAGACAAGTAGTCTTTGTAATAGGGAAACTCAGAATACAGGTACTGAAAATTATTAAATGAAGTTTTACATTATTTGTAAAATATATTTGTACATATATGTGCATATATACCTATATATTTATATTATTGCTTAGTCAATTTTTATTTTACACACAATAATAACATTTACCTCTTTGGTGTTCAGTTCTGAGTATAGACAAAGGCACACATGACAAACATTACAATTCCAAAGAGGTCTATCACCACTTAAAAAACTGTTGTGTTGCTGCTCGTTTTAAATAAGCCCCTTTCTTGCTCAGCTCCTGGCCACCACTAATCTGTTTTCTGTTTCCATAATTTTGCCTTTCCCACAGTGTCATGTAAAGGGAATAGTAAAGTGTGTAGCCTTTGAGTCAGCCTTCTTTTACCTAGCACAGTATACTTGATATTCATTTATGTTATTGCACATATCAACAGTTAATTATGTTTTTTAGTATTTGAAGAAATTTATTAAGCCAAATATGAGTGACCATGGCTCATGAAACAGCCCCAGGAGATCCTGAGAACATGTGCCCAAGGTGGTCAGACTACAGCTTACATTTTAGGAAGACATAAGACATCAATCAATACATGTAAGATGTACATTGATTTGATCTGGAAAGGAAGGACAGCTTGAAGCCGGGGCTTCCAGGGGATAGGTAGCTGAAGACCTGAAATCAATAGAAGGGAGTGTCTGGGTTAAGATAAGGGGTTGTGGAGACCAAGGTTCATATTATGTAGATGAAGCCTAGTTAATTGCTTTTTTTTAAATCACTGAGTAATATTCCATCGTATGTATGTTCCACTATTTATCATTTTATTTATTGAGGGACATCTAAGTTTTTTCTAGTTTTTGATGATTAAAATAGAGCTGCTATAAATATACTTGTACTAGTTTTTGTGTGAACAAATATTTTCATATCTCCTAGTCTCCTAGGTAAATACCTAGGAGAGGGAATATTGTATTATATCATAATCATGTGCCTAACTTTATAAAAAGTGAAAGTTTTGCTGTGCCATTTTACATTCCAACCAGCAATGTATGAAAGCTCCAGTTGTTCCCCATCCATGTCAACACTTGGCATTGTCAGTTTTCTTCTTTTTCGTTATAATAGTTGCAAAGTGGTATCTCATTGCAGTTGTACTTCCATGTACCTAATGACTAATGATATTGACTATCTTTTCACGTATTTATTGATCATCTGTAACTCTTGCTTGGTAAAGAGTCTATTCATGCCTATTGTCTAAAATATTGCCTATATTTTATTGGGTTGTTTCTTAGCTGTTGAGTTTTGAGAATTCTTTCTATATTCTGGATATAAGATTTTTCGTGATATGTGATTTGCACATCTTCTTTCCTAACCTGTGGCTCATCTGTATTCTGTTAATAATCACTTGTCATTAATAAATTTTATGTAGTTTGATTTATCATTTTTCTTTAATAAAATGTATTTTTTTGTCTCATATGTAAGAAACATTTGACCTAAAGTCATAATTTTCTTCTATCTTTTTCTATAAGTTTCATACTTTTAGGTTTTACATTGTAAAATTTACATTTTAAGTTAATTTTTGTATTAAGGGTGAGGTATGGATTGGGTTGCATTTTTATCAGTACAAATATTCAATCGAGTAGGTAGTTAAATTTTTCAAAAGTACAGAGAAAAAGGAATAAACATGTATAACAAATAACTGAATTCCTATTCTCACAATCCAGGTTTAGCATCTCTTAACCACATGTAATATCTGTTTCAGCGACTTTATTTACTAAAGATGTATATTTTACAGATTATGCATGAGACCACTATTTTCCCTTATGAATCCCATTCCCTGAGAAATGGTTACTTTCTGAATCTGTTTTTTAATCAATTCTAATAAATGTTTAAGAAATATTTTATAAAAATATATATTTATAAAAAATACTCTTTTGCATACTTTAAGATTCAATGTCATATTACACCATCGTTATTCTGCAATGTTCATTTATTTTGGTCAACAAACGAGATTTAATTATGCTTATATATGTAGACCTACTGCTTTCTTTGTACTGCTGTACCACAATTTATTTATTCATCCTCCTATTGACAAATACTTATTTAGGTTGTTTACAATTTTTTCAGTAAATACAAATGTGGTAAGCAGTGTTTCTGTGCATGTTTTCTTGTGCACATGTGCAATGTCTGTCTATGGTATGTGCATAAAAATGGAAAGTCTGGATTTCAGTGTATAAATAAATATGCTGAATAGTATTTGATATTGGAATATTATTTTCAAAGATGGATGTAATAATTTACCATTTCACCATGAGGCTATGTGAGTTTTCACTACTGCACGTGGTCAGCAATATATAATACTTTATTTCTTAAAAACTGTGTTTCATGGACATGGAATTATTGAATATCTTTCCATGTATACAGTGGCTATATGTGTTATATCCTCTGTGTATTTATGGTTGATATATTTTGCCTATATATCTATAGGATTATTCTTTTTTGTCATTATTTGATATTCAAGGTATTTCTTTAATTAATATCATTACATTTTTTCAAATATAAAATTATTTGACCTTTAACCTTTAATGTTAATTTGTGTTAATAAATTTCTCTCCTAATATAATCAAATACATCAATATTTTACATAATTTTGTTTTCCCTTGATTTGATATCATGAAAATATTATTCAATATTTTATTGAAGGTGTTAAAACTGTACATTTCAAACTTAGTCCTTAATCCATCTAAAACTAGTCATTATATATATGCTGAAATAGTAATTCAAGTTCAGTTTTTCCTCATGTGAACAATCAGTTGCCCTAATAGCATTTATTTCATAAAAAATCCATTCCCTTCTCATTTTTAATCATCCCTCTGGCATATATCAATTTTTCAAATATGCATGGATCTGATTTTGAAATTTACGTTCTATTTGTCTACTTATATGTTATAATATCTTAATAACTGTCTTAAAATATATCTTGATATTTGATAAAGCAAGTTTTCCCATCTTGTTTTCTTCCTCAAAAAATTATCAAAGTTTTTCTTTATCCTACAAATTTTTTGAACTTTAAAAAAACGTTTTTGTAAACCATTTTGAAATTATTTGGTTGCAACAACAGTAAATTTTTAGATCAATTTACAGAAAATTGATAGCTTTATAATACTGAGCCTTCTAATTCATGCTGCATTTTTTTTTTGAGACAGGGTTTCACTTTTTCACCAGGCTGGAGTACAGTGGCACAACCTGGGCTCACTTACTACAACCTCTACTGCTCAGGCTCCAGCAATCCTCCCACATCAGCCTCCCTAGTAGCTGCGACCACAGGCACACACCACTATGCCCAGCTAAATTTTGTATTTTTGGTAGAGATGGGATTTCATTATGTTTCCCGAACTGGTCTTGAACTGAGCTCAAGCAATCCACCCTCCTCGGCCTCCTAAAGTGTTGAGATTACACACACACACTATGTATGTGAGTGTGTATATATAGATACATACACACACGCACACATATATATACACATATATATACACATATACATATATATACTGTGTGTGTGTATATATACACACATGCTATGTGTATATATGTGTGTGTATATATGCATACATATGTGTGTGTATATATGCATATGTGTATATATATATGCACATATATGTGTGTATATATATATATGCACACATACACACACACACACACTATGATTAGACTCATAGTCATTTATTTAAAAACCAGACAGTTATATATTTGGTAGATGTGCCAATTACTAAGCTTTTGATGCCAGTTTCCAATCCACCCAGCTATACTTTCCTTTGTGATGCTAAGGCTGGAACTCTAAAAACCCTGTTTCTCCTTTGACACCAGACTCCCCTTTGGCTCTGTCAATAGAGGGCACTAGAAAGAGCCTCGAAAACTGGTGGAAGAAGGGATATGCTCCTTTGTGTTCATTTTCCCATCAAATCAGTTTAGCACCTTTCATGGTCTATGTTTAGAATCTAGCAATATTCACACATTAGTCAATTCCTTTGTTATCTATTTAAGGTATCCCCTGGACTGCTACATATTTTCCTGCTGGAAGGATGTTGTTTCCTCTTTGTAAGTTTCCTTTTTTCCATACACATACACCCAACTCCAGACGTTGCAGTGTGCTGCCTTATCTTTCACTAATACCAACTGGTGCTTGCCTCTCTTTAAGAATTTTACATGTCCTAATAACAATATACTCACACAAGACAGACACAAATGGCACAAACTGTCAAGCACACTCGGAGGATAGATGTCTGTCAAGATAATTTCATGTAATTTCTGTTATTTCTGCCCTCTGCTTATAGCAAATAATGTATGGGGGCTTTTTTAGTACCCTTAAGAAGAAAATAATGGGGCCGGGAGCAGTGCCTCATGCCTGTAATCCCAGCACTTTGGGAGGCCAAGGCGGGTGGATCACAAGGTCAGGAGTTCAAGACCAGCCTGGCCAAGATGGTGAAACCCCGTCTCTACTAAAAATACAAAACAAATTAGCCGGGCGTGTTGGCGGGAGCCTGTAATCCCAGCTACTTGGGAGGCTGAGGCAGAGAACTGCTTGAACCCAGGAGACGGAGGTTGCAGTGAGCCAAGATCATGCTACTGCACTCCAGCCTGGGCAACAGGGCGAGACTCCATATCAAAAAATAAAATAATAAAATAAAATAAAATAATAATCAATAGTATTGAAAGGTGGTCTTTATGTATCAATCCTAATAGCACCTATTTTACTGAAAATTTATATTAATTACTTCCAAAAAGGCATGATACTGTAGAGATAGGTCTGAAAGGTCTAAATTGATATCTCTGGGATTATAAAAAGGCATCTCCCATGATGGTGAAACTTAGCTAAAGTAGGAGAAAAATGTTTTAGTGACTTGAGCTAGATGATACCATCTGCACGTGTGCATTCTTTTTTTTTGGAGAGTTGGGATCTCGTTCTGCTGCCCAAGCCTGAGTGCAGTGGCATGATCATAGTCCACTGCAGCCCTCAAATCTCTGTGCTCAAACGATCCTTCCTCATGGCCTCATGAGGCTGGTCTCAAACTCATGGCCTCAAATGATCCTCCCACCCCAGTCTCCCAAAGTGCTGGGATTACAAGTGTGCCACCGCACCTGGCCCACATGCAATCTAAAAAAGCAGTTTATAAATTTAAAAACACTGGTTTGATATTTACATTAAAGGATTATAATTATTGTGCTATTTGTCTAGAAAAGAAGCAAATAAAAATTGCGTATTTATTTAACAAGTTAATTGTTGAAAAGACAGACTTTGAGTCACTTGAATGAGACTTGACTGATAGGGAAACTTTGTTAATTTTTAAATATGAGGAAAAATTTAAATAATTGAAACAAGAATAGAGTGATACAGTGAAAGAACTGAAACAAGAATAGACAAATTTAGATCCCTTTACCAATTACACAAGGCCATTTTCACATACCTCCTATCTAGCTGTTTAAGCTCACTCCTGGCCACTAACTTCCTTACACATTTTTGCAAGATTTCAAGAGACTTAGTGAAGACAAATAGAATATTTTAAAGTACATCCAAGGCCGGGCACGATGGCTCATGCTTGTAATCCCAGTGCTTTGGGAGGCTGAGGCGGGCGGATCACCTGAGGTCAGGAGTTTGAGACCAGCCTGACCAACATGGAGAAACCCCGTCTCTACTAAAAATACAAAATTAGCCAGGCATGGCGGCACATGCCTGTAATCCCAACTCCTCGGGAGGCTGAGGCAGGAGAATCACTTGAACCCGGGAGGCAGAGGTTGTGGTGAGCCGAGATGGTGCCATTGTACTCCAGACTGGGCAACAAGAGCGAAACTCCATCTCAAAAATAATAAAAAATAAAGTACATCCAATAATAAAGAACTAATCATAGTTCCCAGAACATATCATACTCATCATCTTTCTATATATTTTTCACATGAGCCTTTCTGTCAACATTTAAATTTACTATCAAGTCTCAGCAAAAATGCAACCTCTTTGGAAGCTGTTCTTCATTCAGACAGATGTGGGAGCTCTTTTTTATATGTCCATCACATTCTGTATTTATCAATGATATGGTTTGCATCTGTGTCCCTGCCCAAATCTCATGTTGAATTGTAATCCCCAGTGTTAGAAGTGGGGCCTGGTGGGAGGTGACTGGATCACAGGAGCAGCTTCTCATGGTTTAACTCCATCCCCTTTGGTGCTGTCATTGCAACAGTGAGTTCTCATGACATCTGGTTGTTTAAAAGTGTGTCACACCTCCCCACTTCCTCTCCTGCTCCTACTCTGCCCATGTGATGTGTGTGCTCCCCCTTCACCTTCCACCTTGATTATAAGTTTCCTGAGGCTTCCCCAGAAGCTGAGCATATGCCAGTATCATGCTTCCTGTACAGCCTGCAGAACCATGAGCCAACAACTAAGCTCTCTTTTCTTTAGAAATTATCCCGTCTCATTATTTATTTATAGCAATGTGAGAACAGACTAATACAATTACCATTGCAGCAGTCTTGCTGTGTAACTTTTTAAGAAAAGTAATATTGTTTTGGATAAATGTCCATGAGGATTATAAGAAAAAATTTTTAAAACCTGCAACTATAGGTGGTAGGTTTTTGCTGAAAAATGAATGCTGAAACTCTAAGTAAATGTAAGGTGTCCTATTGAGAAGACAGTGTAAATATATAAAGACATAATTCAATGTGAGATAGTTGGAAAGATCAAGTGAGAAGTATATGTTCTTGCTGGAATTCCACTTCTTACTTTGACCTCTCATATGAACTCATTTCTTTTATGGGTTCTTCCAGCTAGTGAGAAAAATAAGTGTCTGCATATTTCTGAAGACACAATACATGCATATTTCCTTTCAAAAAATCCAAATTAAAAAAACATTTACTAAGTAGGCAGTTACTGTGAAGTTTGTCACTTAAAATAAACTTGATTCTTTGCTTCAATTATCTAAAAAATGAAATTGTTAGGAAAATACTATCATTGTGTTATATTGAAACAAGGTTATCAGAAATATCCAGATACTCAACCAATTAACTAATATTTGTGATAAAATTCCTTTTAGATATATTTTGTAAAATATACAGTAACAGTTTAAACTGATATTTGATGGTTTAGATTTATAATTAAAATAGATGTTGTTATCAAAAGAAGATGCAGGCTGGGTGCGGTGGCTAACACCTGTAATCCTAGTACTTTGGGAGGCCGAGGCAGGTGGATTGCCTGAGCTCAGGAGTTTGAGACCAGCCTGGGCAACATAGTGAAACCCCATCTCTACTAAAATACAAAAAATTAGCCTGGTGTGGTGGCGTGCACCTATAATCCCAGATACTCAGGAGTCTGAGGCAGGAGAATTGCTAGAACTCAGGAGATGGAGGTTGCAGTGAGCCAAGATCGTGCCACTGCACTCCAGCCTGGGTGACAGAGCAAGACTGTCTCTTAAAAAAAAAAAAAATGCAGATTAATATCATTATGGCTTCATTTAGATTAGACCTTGTATTTTTGCCTTATCTTATTTTTGCATTCTTTTATTTAAATTTTATGTTTTAGTATTTTGTAATTTACTCTTGTTCTCAACATAAATAAATTCATAAAAAATTGTGAAAATTAATAAAAGTGGAGAAAGGCATAAAAATAATTAGTAATAACATTAGTCAATACTTTGATATACTTAATGCAACCAGTTATTCCTAGTTCTTCTTTCCATATATCCATTATGTAAGTTATAGACCCCCTCAAACTAGCTTCATACTTAGAGTCAGTGAAAACTTCACATACAGTGTTCACTAGAAAAAGATGTAAACACAACTGTCAAAACCATCGCAAGTCTCCCTCTTCCTTCTTTTACCACTTTTTAAGTTACGAAGGCCAAAGAAAACACAATTAGAATAATCCACCAAGAGGTTTATTTGCCACCTGCCATTCTTGGAATGCCTGCTGATAAAAGTGAGTTTTTAACTTGCAGATTCTCCTTGATAGGCTAGAATTAAGAAAGTTTCTCTCTAAAGTGAGTGCTCCAGCTACCACATGGGGATAAATATAGTATCAATCAAATCAAAGTTTGGCAACATGGAAGTAAAAAATGCATTTGATCTGTCCCAAAGATTTGTTATTTGCATAAAAATAAAATTATTAATCATTTGTTTTTTAAATCTTCCAGAGTTTAATTATGGTTTTTTTGTTATTTTACCTGATTTATCTTACCTCTGTGTAGGAGGACGGGTTTAATAGAGTTATCTGAGAATTCTGACAATTTGTAGGTGGAATAGCTTTCCAGACCCAAGTTATAAGAGACAGCAATTTTTGTTTCTTGGCTATATAACTAGATATTTATGAGCACCATATGATTTCAGCAGACCTGGACAGGGACATAAAAACTCATGTAAGAGTTAGTAAAAGTATCTCTATCTCTATCTTTTAGCAGCTACAATGTGTAAGTGGTAGTTTTTTAAAAAAATATAAATAATAACTCTTTAGATATTGGGACAATATAGTGTCTACAAGGAATATTGACCACACTCCACCAATCTTTTTCTTTTCTTTTTATTTTTATTTATTTATTTTTTTTGAGATGGACTCTCGCTCTGTCGCCAGGCTGGAGTGTAGTGGCATGATCTCGGCTCACTGCAACCTCCGCCTCCCAGACTCAGGTGATTCTATTGCCTCAGCCTCCCGAGTAACTGGGACTACAGGCACGTGCCACCACGGCCAGCTACTTTTTGTATTTTTAGTAAAGATGGGGTTTCACCATGTTGGCCAGAATGGTCTCGATCGCCTGACCTCGTGATCCACCTGCCTCAGCCTCCCAAGATGCTGACATTTGCAGGCGTGAGCCACCGCACCCAGCCCCACCATTCTTTAAAAAGATGATTGGCTCCAAGAAGGTGGATTGGAGGCAATTTTAGCATGCCTCTCCCACTTGGAAAGGCAAAATAGTGTGTAGATTCATACTGTGAACATCATTTTCAAGAAACAATACAGAAACTTAAAGGAAAACTGAAATCCACAGATTCTTTGAAAGAAACAGCAGGCTGCAGGCTATACCATGAGCCAGGCAAAAAACTCTAAGTACTGAGAGTATGAGAGGGGAAGACACTGCCTCTAGGACATACATCCCCACTGGGGAACCTGGCAATCCAGCCCATGCAGAAGGCCTTAACCCTACCCAGCACTGGAACTGGTTTAGGGAGCAGTGAGAAATAGAAAAGTAGGAACTAGGAATGGCAGTGGGAGGAGCCTGGTGTGCATTCTCAGTCTACAGCGTGGACTGAAGGAAGTCATTCCTTATTTTGCCTCACTGGGACCCTTGTGGAAGTTTGCCAACTAAGGCAGCAGTGGCAGGTTAAAAGAAGCTCCCAACTGAATTTAGCAATATAACCTCAAGTTGGGAAGAACTCTCTTGGCCAGAATCAGGGGGTGAGTGGGAAATGTAGCTTAACACAATGGATGAAAACTTTGGGGAGCTTTATGGCCCCATCCATCTCCCGAGAAACCAGAGTACTGCAAAAAAACAGGCACAAATCCTGCTACTACTACCACAGCTAGTGCTGTTTTGCAACCAACACCTCCTGGGTGGAGGCCAGCTGACACAGTCCATTACAGCATTCAGGTAAAATAACACTGCACCCAGGAAGGAGAAAACTTGTTCATGACCTCAGCTATCACCATCGCCTATACCACTCTGGCTAACCAGGAGGTCCTGAGTCTGTCCATGTGACTGTTCATTACTATCACAACTGGTATTTGAGAATGCCAATACACTAAGACCACCTATATCCAAGAAATCTCCGAGTCTATGTGACTCCCCTGTCATTCCCAACGTAGCTGGTGCCAGTACCCACTGCTGGGAGACTTGTGGACAGGTCACATCTGTGCATTCCTTGCAGATATTCCCCAGAATCAGCCTCTCTATAGTCAAGGAACTCATGCAGTCTGCACTCCTGAAAATACCAAGAGCTCAATTAGACTACAATAAACCATAAGCATTAAAATCACATCCTTAAGGGGGGAAAAGAAAAAAAAGCAGTCAAAAATAATTTCAACAATAATTAGTCTTACCAAATTAGAAGGAACCAGAAAAATAATTCTGGTAATATGACAATATGGGATTCTAAAACACCCCCAAAAGATCACACTAGCTCTCCAGCAATGGATCCAAACCAACATAAAATTGTTGACATACCAGAAGAAGAATTCAAAAGGCTGATTATTAAGGTACTCAAAGAGATACCACAGAAAGGTAAAACCAACATAAACAAATGTAAAAAACAAAAACAAAAACAAAAACCCAATGAACAAAATTTTCTAAAGGAAGAGGTATCTTAAAGAAAAATCAGTCAGAACTTCTGGTAATAAAAGACACACTTAGGAAATTCTAAACTACAGTGAAATTTTTCAACAATAGACTAGAATAAGTAGAAGAAAGAATGCGAACTTGAAGACGTAGAAGAAAGAATGTCAGAACTTGAAGACAAGGCTTTTGCATTAACCCAACCAGACAAAAATAAGAAAAAAGAATCTAAAGAAATGAGCAGTCTCCAAGAAATATGGGATTATATAAAAGGGCCAAACTAAGAATAATTAGTGTTCCTGAGGGAGAAGAGAGAGCAGAAAAAATCTTGGAAAATTTAATTGAGGAAACCTTCCCTGGCCTTGCTAGAGATTTAGACATCCAAATACAAGAAGATAAAACATCTCCTAAAAGATTGATTGCAAAGGCCAGGTGTGGTGGCTCATGCCTGTAATCCCAGCACTTTGGGAGGCCAAGTGGGGAGGATCACAAGGTCAAGAAATCGAGACCATCCTGTCCAACATGATGAAACCCCATTTCTACTAAAAAATATAAAAAATTAGCCAGGCATGTAGTCCCAGCTACTCAGAAGGCTGAGGCAGGGGAATTGCTTGAACCCGGGAGGCGGAGGTTGCAATGAGCTGAGATTGTGCCACTATACTCCAGCCTGGCAACAGAGCAAGACCCTGTCTCAAAAAAAAAAAAGATTCATTGCAAAAGGGCCATCACCAAGGCTTATAGTCATCAGATTATCTAAATTCAACATGAAAAAAAAAATTTAAGAGCAGTGAAAAAAAAATCATCAATTCACCTCTAAAGGAAAATCTATCAGACTAACAACAGGCTTCTCAGCAGAAACCTTACAAGCCAGAAGGGATTAGGGTCCTATCTCTAGCCTCCTTAAACAGAATAACTGCCAGCAATGCATGTTGTATACAGAAAAACTGTTTCATAAATGAAGAAGAAATAGTCATTTTCAGACAAACAATTGCTGAGGAAATTGGTTACTACCAGACCAACCCTACAAGAAATGCTAAAAGTTCTAAATCCTGAAATCAAGGTTGGAAAAGCACCAAAATAGAACTTCTAGAAAATATAAAACTCAGAGGGCCTATAAAACAATAATACAACAACAGAAAACAAAGTATATAGGGAACAATTAACATGATGAATGGAACTGTATGTCACATCTCAATACTAACATTGAACCCAAGTGGGCTAAATGCTCCATTTAATGATAAAGATTGGCAAAATGAATAAAAAGTCACAAATCAAATATCTGCTGTCTTCAAGAGACCCTCCTAACACATAATATTTTATATAAAATCAAAGTAAAAAGGTGGGAAAAGGTATTCCACAAAAATGGAAATAAAAACAAGCAGGAGTAGCTATTCTTGTATCAGATAAAACAGACTTTAAAGCAACAACAGTAAAAAAAAATGACAAAGAACCTCATTACATAATTATAAAAAAATTCAAGCCAACAAGAAGATATTACAATCCAAAATTTATCTGCACCTAACACTAGAGCGACCAGATTCATAAAGCAGTTACTACTTGACCTAAGAAATGAGATAACAACACAATAATGGTGAGGGAGTTCAATACTTCACTGATAGCACTAGACAGATCATCAAGACAGAAAGTCAATAAAGAAACAATGGACTTGGGCCAGGCGTGGTGGCTCATGCCTGTAATCCCAGCACTTTGGGAGGCCGAGGCGGGCAGATCACAAGGTCACAAGGTCAGGAGTTCTAGACCAGCCTGGCCAATATGGTAAAACCCCATTTCTACTAAAAATACAAAAACAAACAAACAAACAAACAAACAAACTAGCCAGGCATGGTGGTGTGCACCTGTGGTCTCAGCTACTCAGGAGGCTGAGGCAGGAGAATCACTTGAACCCAGGAAGCAGAGGTTGCAGTGATTGCACTACTGCACTCCAGCCTGGGCAACAGAGGGAGACTCCATTTCAAAACAAAACAAAACAAAAAAATTAGCCAGGCATGGTGGTGGGCGCCTGTAATCCTAGGTACTCGGAAGGCTGAGGCAGGAGAATTGCTTGAACCTCGGAGGTGGAGGTTGCAGTGAGCTGAGATTGTGCCTGCCATTGCATTCCAGCCTGGGCAACAAGAATTAAACTCCATCTCAAAAAAAAAAGAAAAGAAAAGAATAAAGAAAAGAAACAATGGACTTAAACTACACTCTTGAGCAAATAAACTAACAAATATTTACTGAATGTTCTACCCAAGAACTGAAGAATATACATTATTCTCATCAGCACATGGTATATTCTCCAAGATAGACCATATTATAGGCTACAAAACAAGTCTCAATTAATTCTAAAAAATTGAAATTATATCAAGTAGCTTCTCAGAGCACAGTGGAATAAATCTAGAAATCAACTCCAAAAGGTACCACCAAAACTATACAAATAAATGAAATTAAGCAATGTGCTCCTAAATGATTTTTGGGTTACCAATGAAATTAAGATGAAAAATTTTAAAAATTCTTTGAAATGAATAATTGTGACACAAGTTGTCAACACCTTTGGGATAAAGCAAAAGCAGTTCTAAGGGGAAAGATTATAGCACAAAATGCCTACATCAAAAAGTTTGAAAGATCACAAATTGACAACTTAATGTTATAACTCAAGAAACTAGAGAAACAAGAACAAACTTAACCCAAAGCTAGCAGAAGAAAAGAAATAACAAGAATCAGAGTAGAATTAATTGAAATTGAAACAAAAAATACAAAACGTCAATGAAACAAAAAGCTGATTCTTTGAAAAGATAAACAAAATTGATAGACCATTAGCTAGATTAACCAAGAAGAGAAGAGAGAAGCTTCAAATAAGCTCAATTAGAAATGAAACTGGAGGTATTTACAACTGATACCACAAAAATACAAAAGATCGTTTGAGACTACTATGAACACCTCTGTGCACACAAACCAGAAAGTCTAGAGGAAATGGATAAATTCCTGGAAACATATAGCCCTCTTAGATTAAACCAGGAAGAAATAGGAACCCTAACAGACCAATAATAAGCAGCGAGATTGAATCAGTAATAATAAAAAAAAAAGGCCAATTAAAAAACAGTCCAGGACCGAATGGATTCACAGTTGAATTCTACAAGATATTCAAAGATGAAATTGTCCCAATCCTACAGAAACTATTCCAAAAGATTGAGAAAGAGGGAATCCTCCCTGAATCATTCTATGAGGACAGTATCACTGTGATACCGAAACCATGAAAGAACATAACAAATAAAGAAAAATATAGACCAATATCTCTAAGGAACATAGATGCAAAAATCCTCAAGAAAATATTAGCTAACTGAATCCAACAGCACATCAAAAAAGATAATACACCATGATCAAATGGGTTTCATCCCAAGGATGCAGGGATGATTTAGCATACACAAGTCAATAAATGTGGTACATCACATAAACAGAATTAAAAACAAAAACTATATTATAATCTCAATAGATGCAAAAAAGCATTCAATAAAATCCAGCATCACTTTATGATAAACCCTTCAACAAAAATAGGCGTACAGGGGCCAAACCTCAAATTAATAAGGGCCATCTATGACAAAACCACCACCAACATCATACTGAATGGGAAAAAGTTGAAAGCATTACCCCTAAGAACTAAAACAAGACAAGGATGCCTACTTTCACCACTTCTATTCAACATTGTACTGGAATTCCTAGCCAGTGCAATGAGGCAAGAGAAAGAAAGGGCATCCAGATTTTAAAAAAGAGGAAGTCAAACTACCACTGTTTGCTGATGATATGATTGTATTCCTAGGAAACCCTAGGCACCTCCAAAAGACTCCTATATTTGATAAAAAAAAATTCCATAAAGTCTCAGGTTACAAAATCAATGTACACAAATCAGTAGCACTGCTATACACCAACAACCACCAAGCTGAGAATTAAATCAAGAACTCAAACCCCTTTTACAACAGCTGCAAATAATAAAAAATAAAATACTTAGAAACATACTTAACCAAGTAGGTGAAAGATCTCTACAAGGAGAACTACAAAACACTGCTGAAAGAAATCATAGATGATACGGACAAATGGAAACACATACCATGCTCATGGTTTGGAGGCCTTAGCCTTCCTAGAGACTTACATATCCAAATACAAGAAGATAAAAAATCTCCTGAAAAATTCATTGCAAAAAGGTCATCACCAAGGCATATAGTCATCAGACTATGTAAATACATCATGAAGGAAATTATTCTAAGTGCAGTGAGAAAAAAAGCATCAATTCACCTATAAAGGAAAATCTATCAGACTAACAGCAGATGTCTCAGCAAAAACCCTACAATCCAGAATGGATCAGAGTCCTACCTTTAGCCTCCTTAAACAGAATAACTGCTTATTGTAAAACTGACCATACTGTGTTATAAAAATGATCATATTGCCCAAAGCAATCTACAGATTCAATGCAATTTCCATGAAAATAGCAATATTATTTTTCACAGAATTAGAAAAAAAAGACTCCGAAAATTTGTATGGAACCAACAAATAATCCAAATAGCCAAATAATTCCTAAGCAAAAGAACAAATATGGGGGCATCACACTTCCAGATTTCAAGTTATACTACAAGACTATAGTTACCAAAACACCATGGTGCTGGTATAAAAGTTGGCACACAGACCAGTGTAAAAGTACAGAGAACCCAGAAATAAAGACAAATACTTACAACTAACTGACCTCTAACAAAGTATATACAAAAACATAAACTGGGGAAAGGACATCCAATTTACTAAATGGTGCTGGTATAACTGCTAGCTGCATGTAGAAGCATAAAACTGGATCCCTGTCTCTCACCTTACACAAAAATCCACTCAAGACAGATCAAAACCTTAAATCTAAGACCCAAAACCATAAAAATTCTAGAAGATAATTTTGGAAAAACTCTTCTGGATATTGGCCTAGGCAAAGAATTCATGGATAAAACCCAAAAGCAAATGCAAGAAAAACAAAAATATACAAATGGGACCTGATTAAATTAAAAAGCTTCTGCATGGAAAAAGAAAGAATCATCAGAGTAAACAGACAACCCACAGAATGGGAGAAAATATTTCCAAACTCTGCATCTGACAAAGGACTAGTATCCAGAATCTACAAGGAACTCAAACAGTATCAGCAAGAAAACAACAAATAATCCCATCAAAAACTGTGCAAATGACATGAAAAGATATTTCTCAAAAGAAGATATACAAATGGCCAAAATACATATGAAAAAATGTTCACCATTACTAACCATCAGAGAAATGCAAATTCAAACCACAGTGAGATACCACCTTAATCCTGCAAGAATGGCCGGTATGAAAAAGTCAAAAAAACAACACATGTTGGTGTGGATGTGATGAAAGAGGAATGCTTTTATACACTGCTGATGGGAATATAAATTAGTACAAACTCTATAGAAAACAGCATGGAGATTCCTTAAGGAACTAAAAGTAGATCTACTATTTGATCCAGCAATCCCACCACTGAGTATCTACCTAAAGGAAAAAAAAACCAGTAATTATATGAAAAAGACACATGCACACTTAACGTTTATTGCAGCCAAATTCATAATTGCAAAGATAGGGAACTAACTTAAGTGCCCATCCACCAATGAGTGGACAAAGATAATGTGGTATAAATACACCATGGAATGTAACTCAGCCATAAAAATATAACCATGAAATATAACTCAGCCATAAAAAGGTATGAAATAATGTCTTTTGCAGTGGTTTGGATGAAGCTGGAAACTATTATTCTAAGTGAATTAACTCAAAAACCAAACACCATATATTCTCACTTTTATGTAGGGACTAAGCCTTGAGTGCCCAAAGGCATACAGAGTGATGCAATGAACTTTGGAGACTCGGAACGGGGAGATGGTCAGGAAGGAGTACGATTAAAAAAACTGCATATTGGCTACAGTGTATACTACTCAGGTGACCTGTGCACTAAAATCTGAGAATTCACTACTATGTAATTCATCCATGTAACCGAAAACCACTTGTACCCCAAAAGCTATTGAAATAAAAAAAAAATTTAAAAAACGATTGCCATATAGACACACACTGTGTCTACATCATAAAGCTCTATGCTTTGGAGTTGGATTTTTTTGGTTTGGGTTTTTTTTGTTGTCTGTTTGTTTGTTTTGTAAACAGGGTCTCACTCTGTCATCCAGGCTGGAGTGCAATGGTGTAATCTTGGCTCACTGCAGCCTTGATCTCCTGGGTTCAAGCAATCCTCCCCCGCTTAGCCTCCCAAGTAGCTGGGACTACAGATGCATGCTCGTTTTTAATTAAGAAACCACCTCTAAGAGGTAAGTTGTATGATGGTATATGTGACAATTATCTGTCATTTCTGCAGACATTTTTGGATATCGTAACTCATCTCTAGTCTTCTATGCAGAAGATACTCTGGGTTGATTAGAGCCAATATAAAAGTTGAAATGTTAAATTGGACACATATTGGGTTAGTTTTCAATGGGATCAGATATATTGACTCAGAGTTATGTGGGCACTTGGCTACTTTTCCTGCTGTTTCTCAGAATATGCTGCTGCTCCTTCACCAAGCTGATCATTATTTCAGGAAGTAACTTTCCCCATATCTCCACTGTGTGTGTGTGTGTGTATGTGTGTGCGTGTGTGTATTTACACACCCTCCTTCCCAATCCCTACTCCAAGATAACAGCAAATAACAAAGAAATTTTTACATTTATTCTTGGCATCGTCTTTAAATGTCTCAATAAAAATTGTCTAAATAAACACAGGATGTCACTTTTGAATTATTTTTAAACTAGCTAAGTACCCAGAGAGAGAAAGTATTGTGCTATTGTTTGCTGTTTCTGCTGTTGCTCAGTTTTCCTCCTACCACATTGAGATTGCTTGCTTCTTCTGTTTCAGCTATGTGAATAAGAACTCCAGGTTTCTTTCTCAAAGAAAGCACAGACAGAGAAAGAATTATGGTTAGAGAATGGGAGAGGAGAAAGTAAATGAAAAATAAAAAATATGGGAATGTCCTTGCATCAACAGAAATTTCCTCCGAAGCCAACTCTGCTGAAAATATAATATACCTGTTCTCCAGGAAAGAAAACAACAATATATTTTCTGATTCTTCAAGAAATGACATGGGATCTTGAAAAGCACTAATTTCTAGGAGCATCTATCCTGAGATTTGAAACTTGCTTCATAAAGTTCAAGATCTCAAATTTTGTGTAGTTGATGAATAATTTCGTTTCATCAAACCAGTCTACAATAATGATTCAGGTATTCAGTCTTGTTTTCCTGAAGAGACTTTTAATACATGGATTACATTTTATGACCAATATTTATTAATCTTTGCAATAACTATATTCAGTTAACATTATTATCCTAGATTATAGGGTAAGTGATTGAGGGGAGCCTTTGACTTGCTGAAGGTCAAACTGAAATGAGAAGCAGAAGTAGGAGGAGGTATGAAAGTGATTCCATGACTCTAAGTCCTAAATCACCGTGTCACTTAGAAAGGCCTTTTTAATTTTCAAATTCTTTTTTTTCCTCTTTTAAAATTTGCCCTTATTACATAATTATAGCTAAAATGTCATTATGCCATTTTAATAAACTGTTAATATGGAAACCTCAAATAGAGCCTTCCTCTTCAATACTAAACATCACTGCAATGTAAAATTATATTTTTCTCTATGAGTTTTAAATTTTAAAATAGCAGCTACAATACATTTGAGATTTTGTATTTAAAATATATGGATATCAGCTTAATTTCAATCCTGTTATTAAAAGCATCAGCTGGTTGCTGCAGAATTTTTATATAGAAAGAAACTAGGATAAATGTAACAGAGAAACAGGGATATAGAGTTGGAGAAAGAAGAAAAAGAAGATGCCATGAATTTCTTTCAAACCTTAAAAAAATGGGTAAAAGTTTCTCTCACTGATGAAATGAGCTCTTTACATATAAATGATATTGTAATAACAGAGCTCCTGGGTGGAAAAGAGTTCCTTCTCCTGCTGGCAAAAATTAAAATAATCACAGATGGCTAATGATCAAAAATACTGACTGACAGCTCTGAAGTATAAGACACAGAGAAAATTCTCAAAGGAGTGAGAATATTCTCAGTTTCTTAAGCCAACACTCAAATTTGGTTCAAGAAACGCACAAAGATTTTCTTACCAAATATTCATGTATAGGAAGGTTTTATTCTATTTTCAAGAGTACTATATGTTCTCATAGAACTCTTTCAAGAAAGTTAATGAAATTCTTTGTCCATATGATTACATTAATATTTTGGGGAAAATACAGGAATTCACTAAGGAAAGAGGGTCTATATTCCTAAAATAGTACGAAAAATGTGTTCAATTCAGGCATTAGGAATCCAGTTTCTTATTTTAAAATATAGGTGGAAAAAGAAGGATCTGCCTAGTGGAATTAGCTAAGTCTTCATAAATATGTCAAACAATATTAATAACAGTAACAACTAACAGTTGTTGAGGACTTTCTCTATGACATTTTTAAGCATGTTACTAATATACCTCATTTAATTTATCAAATAGTTCTGTAAAAAACATTACATTATTATTCACATTTTTCAGATGAGGTAACCACGTGTAGAGAAGTTTAAAACCTTAGCCAGGATCCCCCTACAGCTGGTGAGTTGTAAAGCAGGGGCTCAAAGTAGTTTCTAAGCCTGGTGCTTAATCCAAATAGAGCAATTATATTAATTATACTAGTAGGATACAAATTCAAGAATATCTATGGTAAGACCAACAACAAAATGTCACATTCTATATCACTTTAGAGAAATTTGCGAAGAATTTGATCTTGCAATTACCAAATAAAACAATTATGGTGTTACTATAACTGATAATGATTAAACTGTGACTTAAAGTTTACTCATTTATTCATGTATTTATTTTACGAAATTAAAAGACTAATATTTTAATTGCCTGAGTTCTAATTTTTGCAAATGCAAATATACATACATATAAAATATAAAACACTGTCGCTGTCTTTTAAATGCTTATATTCTATAAAGTGATGTACATTGCATGTATGTATTAACATTTATGCATATAGATAATTCATGTGATGTGTGTGTGCCAAGGGCTACAGGCGCAAAGTAGAGAAAATAATCCATGGTACCTGCGTCAGAGTTATCAAAGAAGGTATGGCATAGATTTTAGATTTTGAGTTATAGCTGGAAATTTGTTAGAAAGATGAAGTTGAAAAAGGTATATATCTTGGTGCCTGGAGTAGTTCTGCACATGCTAAACATACTTATTGAATTAATAATTCTATATTTTCTATATTCAACTTGATAAATTATAATCATAAATATACAGATTCCCTCAGGAGTACAGTAACATTACTAACAAATATGAAATATCATAAGCAAAAATCTTTTTTAAAGTGATTTTTTTAAAAGGATCTTTGCAAACTGAATCATCAGGGTAGATTTTGGAGAACATTTTGGGAAAAAAATAAAACCCATAATGTTCTCAGCACTGGCTGAAAGAAACACCAACAACAGGCCAGGCGCGGTGGTTCACGCCTGTAATCTCAGCACTGTGGAAGGCTGAGGTGGGCGGATCACGAGGTCAGGAGATTGAGACCATCCTGGCCAACATGATGAAACCCCATCTCCACTAAAAATACACAAATTAGCTGGGCACAGTGGCAAGTGGTGGTGCATCCAGTGTCTTGATTTTGAGTCCCAGCTACTTGGGAGGCTGAGGCAGGGAAATAGCTTGAACCCGGCAGGTAGAGGCAGAGGTTGCAGTGAGCAACCTCTGCACTCCAGCCTGGGCGACAGAGCAAGACTTTGTCTCAAAAAAAAAAAGAAAGAAAAAAAGAAACACCAACAACAAATGGTTACAGTTAGTAACCATTTAAATGGTTGCTTTTTTATATCCCTGCCAGAATTGCTTATAATGTGGGACTTCTCCATTTGGATGTTACTTTTTCCAACTAAAATATTTCCAAGTCGACTCACTGTATTTCACAATACACTGAAATGAGTATAAGTATTAAAAGCATGCCTGAGGCGACAGAAACTTTGAGGTTAATTTCCATTTCTTCAAGTATATTTGATGAATGATGTGACAAAGGAATCCTAATTAAGGTTGAAATCCTGAATACTAAATAAATCAGAAGTGCCACTACATTCGTCTTCCACAGTGATAATACTGCCACTTCTGCTTCTCTTTAGCCCAGCCCTTGACTTTTCAGGAAACCTTTTTCTGTATATTTTCTTCCTCTATAACTTTTGCAGAGAGTAGATCGTGAGTATCCTACCTAGACTTAGTGAAGGCAAAATCTAAAACGTCTGTGCCTCTTTGTTTTGTTTCTCACTTACTCTTCTACATCAATAGCAAATGTTTAATTTTTACATTTAACCTCAAAAATAGCTCCATTTGTGACATGATAATTCCTGTTTCATCTTACATTATAATATTTAATGGCAAAAGTATAAGGTACATCTTTTAACTTCTAAGGAATGAAACATAACACAGAACAGTTTCATAAAAGCTGTTTTAATGGTGCCATTTTCATTATCATTATTATCATGAGTTGACAAGTAAGGGTGCGAATTCTTTCATTTCTCACTAGATGAGTAATGTTAGGCATGTTACTTAATATTTATGTAACTCCAGTGTCTTGATTTTGAGCCACTCTTGCCATTCTTGGTAGAAAACCCATTGACCTTAATGTTCGGGTTGAGTTCTATTTATTTTATTTTGAATATTTTCATCAGTAATGAGATTGGGTTCATTTTCTATTTTATTCTTTTTAAATCAGGTTCTAATTTTAAGTTATATTGCCTTCATAAAATACATTTAAGACTTTCTAGCTTGGGCCTGAAATAATTGCAATAATTTAAAATTACCTGTCTTTTAAATTTAAGTAGAACTTAACTGAAAATCCATCTAATCTTGGTGCCTTTCACCAGTTTGTACTGTGGTAATTGATCCATTCAGATTTTCAACTTCTTATTAGGTCAATATTGATAATTTACACTTGAACAGAAATTGCTAATTCCTTGTGGCATTCAAATTACCATGGGTTTGCAAGTAATATTCATGAATAATTCATTTAAGCTTCTCTATATTAGAGGTGTTTACTTTTATATTCCAAAATTTGTGTTTTCCTCTCTCCTTTTTAAAAAAACAAACATCAATAAGTATTTATATATCTCATTAATATTTTCAAATACTCTGCATTTGGGTTTAGTCATTATTTGTTTTATTTATTTAGCAAACATTTATATAGTATTTGCTCTGTGCTGAGAACAGCTTTACACACTTTACAAATGTTAACACTTCTGATTTTTATTAATTGGATTATTTCGATTATCATGGCAATTGTATACTTAGATATAAGGGTTTAAACACTACATGTCAAAGACAGTTGTGCTGGATATGTCAATCATGCAAAAGTTCATTCCAAGCAAAAAAGTCCTGTTTACAATCTTCTCTGAAAGATCAGCCTAAAGAAGCCACGTGAGCCTGAAATGCTTATAGCACTTTGGGTTATGGGTGAGGATGAGGCACAAAAGAAGTCAATCCACATACTAATCAGCTGCTCATAAAAAGGCCTGACATAAAAAGTCATGATGATAATAATTTGCTGAATCCATCAGAATACTTATTTCAGGAGTAAAGAAAGTATAGGCCTATAGGTAGTGAGAAGAGAAGCAGAAAAGAAAACCGGCAGGTAAGATCATTAATTAGACATGACAGATAAGGGTGAAAATTTCTTTTCACTTAAATATATAGATGTTGGAACCCTAAAGTGAAGTCACAAAGTTCTGATATTTGAGAATTGCCTTGAACCCTGAAAAACCATCTGCAAGGTCCCTCTCTATTTTTGTTCTCATCTTGCAGTGCATCAGATTGTTTTATCTTGAACTAATGAATTTCCTTCATTATTTGAAGAAATCAAGTCTCTGTTTATTCCAACTTAAATTAAAAACAGATAGGATAAGAAACAATACGGAAACATTAGACAAATAAAAGTCTTAACAGAGTTAAGAGAAAACATATAAAATATGACAATAAATATAAATGGGTTAGGCACTTGAATCAAATGTAGAAGTAACATTTTATTTTTAAAAACATACAAAATTTGGAGCTGAGCATTCTCACATAATAGTAATGACAGTTAGTGGACTAGGTGAAATTTGGAACCAAAAGGATGTTTTAGAATTCAGCTTCCTGTAATGCAGCTACAGACTGTATCAAGAGAAAGACAGTAGCAAGAGAATATGGCATGAGGATGTCAGGAATTAGCTGTAACTTTTTTTGAATAAAGTCTGTGGGCTTCCAAAATGTATAAGAAGCAGAACTGCACACAAGATAGCTTCTGCAAAACAAAAGCTTCTGCCTCAAATCAAACAGCAAGTCTCTTCTGTATAGTGTTTTTAAGAATATTGGACATTAATTGGTTTTTTGAGCACCACTTCATGCACACAGATAGTAATCACCATGAGTAAAACAAGAAATAAAATATTTTTTGATTATTGTTTATCACATTTCAAAACTCATTTCACATTTCTCTCTCTCTCTGTGTGTGTGTGTGTGTGTGTGTGTGTGTGTGTGTGTAGGTGGGGCAAGGGGGCAGTGAATGATGAATTAGTATGAGAAAACTTTTCCCTTTTATCTCATTATCTAGTTTTGTCTCTTTCTGATGGGAGGGTAAGGGAAGGAGAGACAAAGACAGAACCTTCACAAGATGGATAAAATATTCACAGAATTAGAGGCCGTGTGTATTTTCTAAGGAACAAGAAAAGCCTTGGCAGTCTCTGTGTTAGAGGACTGTCATATTTTTGCTCACAGTTTCAGGACTGGTTGTAGGAAATGCTGCTTTCACATTTGATTTGGAAAAGAATATTGGACTGTGTGTAAATATGAAACCTTTGAGACTGCACCATCTGGATCCAATATTTGAAGTGATTTACACATGAAATAAAAAAACCAGAATCTTCATGAAAAGTGTGCTTAAAAATTTTTAAATACATTAACTGGATTTATTTACTACCTCCAAATTGTACCTAATTATGAATTAAAATGTATTCCCTTACAATGTTGGCTTTTGTAATAATCACTAAACAAAAATCACTCAGGTTTTAAGATATGTGGCTATCACTTGAGTCTTGCTTTTTGGCATTTTTTTTTTTTTTATCATTTGACTGTCTCCTACTTCAATATATGCCTTTCCAATCCCAATACACTCAACATATGTTGAGTTTAGTAAATGCCATACATCGCGCTAAGATTTAGGAAGCTAATGGTGAATATTTTTAAACAATGGTCTCTACATTTTGGGGATAAGAAATTTGTTGATAAAACAGACTCTAATCAAAGGGCCACAAAGCAATCACTTATTTTTATAAGCATTTCAATGAAGACCATAATCATTGATGCCATATAGGTTAATCAGAATTAAATGACTATTGAGTGAATAGTATCACTCCAGTGATTTGGAAAATTATGTAAAATATTCTTAGGATTCATTGTACCTCTTCATGTGGAAACTTCCAGGAGAAGCATTTGGGATTTCTATGAATCACCATACTTTTTCCAAATTGATTCCCCCTAAACCATGGGTAGTATAGATTTATGAGAAGTCTGTTTAAGCATCTAAACTGCACGCCCCTTCCACCTTCGTAGTTCCACCCTCTCAACACGCGCACATGCACACACATGAACAAGCACATACACACACAGAGGTGTACATTTCTTGCATCGGTAAATGCATCCAGATATTGCAAAGCAATTTAAAAACATTTTCCAGCTGGAATTCCAAAGTCTAGTATGTTTCAAGCTGGTCTGATCCAGAGGCTCAAGAAAGTATCAGGAACTCAGTTTCCATTCCAATCTTTTTTATGCTTTCCTCAGTATTTATTTCTGCCTCATGTTGGTTTTTTGTGTTGGTTAAGACTCTCTTCCAATAGTGACTGGAGCTATATATTCTTTTCTTTGGTTCTCATAGAAAGAATAACAACCCCCAGAATACCAAGGACGAAGTCCTAGAATCACCCTCATTGGACCACGTAGGTCCTTGATGAAATGACTATGTCCAAGGGAATGGAACCTGCTGCTTGCTTTAAGGCATCGTGCCTACTTCCAGAAATACAACATTTTCTTCCAGCGTCTTCTTAGGCTACTGAATATTCCTACACAATGGGGAAGCCAAATTGACATTTACACATACTTCTAAATCACTAGTATCCTTTTCTATATCTTGGTCTGCTAAAGCCTGTTGCTAGTCAATGCCAGACATGCACTTTTAACACTTACATTCATAGATTTTAAATCATTTGCTCATTAGTTATTGGATCAGCAATGGCATCAGGGATTGAAAACAGCCCGTTAATGAGAGTTGCTGGCAATTTTGAATGTGTCAATGTCAAGCCAGTTTTTCAATAGGTATAAAATTGGATTTATCTAAGTACACAAAGTCACTATTTTGAGGAGAATTGAAGCATACATTTCTCACCTGGTAAAGACCAGGTATCTAACCCATTATAGTGTTGCATTCCCAAGGAATAGATCAGTGAATGGATGTATAATACAATAAAATAGAAAATCCAAGGAAGGCCACGACAGCTTCCAAGTAATACCTTGACTACATTTAACAGATAGTATTCTTCTTGCAACAATATTATTTTGGTTAAGACTAAACCAAGAGGACTTAATGATCATCTTTTATAATTACTTGCTTATAGTGAAAAGGAATAAAGATTATCATTTGCAAATGGCGCAGGATAGCAGGAAAATAATCACACTTGATCTCAGATAGGGAAAAAGCCTTTCAAATAGCAACCTCTCCTGTAAGCAATGGCAAATGGACACTATCAAACTGTGTCAATAAGTTGACCGAGCCTCACAGAAGTAAAGTAACTTGCTGTGTATCTTGTGGATTATAAGTGACAGACAGTCTATAACAATACAGAGACTCAACCTTAGGGTGAAGCTAATTCTGGGGAGAGACAGAAGAATCAGACAGAAATTAAACGAGCTCTACCTGACTCAAAATTCCATGCTTGTGTTAATATATGATGCACATAAATGTTTTGCTCATTTATCAGTCAGTTCAACAAAATAGGCCTTTTAAATAGTGTGTCTGCAGTTGTATCATCTACAGGTAATCAGCAGCTGCTTAACCTTAACCATAATAACACATTATCACTATTTTCAGTCAGTTAATTTGCAAAAAAAACAGTAGCAACCCTACCCCACACGTAATAATTGATTCCTCGGTTATTGGCACTGAATAAATACAGTGACCCTCACTGGAAATGCCAGGGACTCAGAAAACAATAGCAGTATGCCACAAAAGAAGAAGTCAGGTTGAAGAGTTCATGAGGAAGTCACAACTAAAAGCAGGCATGGTCAACCCTTAAACATAAACTGATGGCAATCAGAGCCAGATTTAGAGTTTGGAATGAAAACCAGTTTTATTTTCTCCAGTGTATTATTCTACTTTACTAAATGTAAGAGGGAATAGGTTATATACTTAGAGCTTTGATCCATGAGCATTGTTGCTAGTAGGTCTCCTGATAGCTACAGGGAAAATGATACTATATAAAAATGTAATAAATATATTGGCTGGGCAAAGTGGCTCACACCTGTAACCCCAGCACATTGGGAGACCAAGGTAGGATGATTGCTTGAGGCCAGGAATTCAAGACAAGCCTGAGGAACATAGCTAGACCCCATCTCTCTCTTATCTTTATCTCTCTCTCGCTCTCTCTCTCTCACTCTCTCTCTCTCTACATATATTTATGTAGAGATATATATATATGTAGATATATATACATATATATGTAGATATATATATATGTAGATATATATACATATATATGTAGATATATATATATGTAGATATATATACATATATATGTAGATATATATATATGTAGATATATATACATATATATGTAGAGAGAGAGAGAGATAAGTATATATGTAAGTGTGTGTGTGTGTGTGTGTGTGTGTGTGTGTGTGTGTGTATGTATATGTATGAGATATAAGTGTGTCCAGGATACAGAGGTTGCAGTGAGCCAAGATCTCACCATGGCATTACGGCACAGGGAACAGAGCAAGACCCTGTTATTTGTTGTTGTTGTTGTTGTTTTGGTTTTCTTTTTGTTTTTTAGAAATATCAAGTCTACAATTATTATTTTATTCTCACAAATAGTTTAAATTTTCTCTCAAGCACAACAAAAGAAGTAAGTTACTTAGGTTTCCAGATCATATCTTTTGTATCTGTTTTCTGTTGGCTTAGGCTAAAAGCAAGGATCTAAAGACATTGGTCTTAAAAAGCAATTATCTGCCTTGTTTTATAACTAATTGAAAGCTGCTGGTCCTTTGCAAGCCTCTCTACAGATCCATGGAACTGGGAAAAATCAAACAAACAAACAAACAAATAAAAAACACCAAAAACAGCAGGATCAGCCTAAGGCTCAACATCTATTTTGCCCTTAGAGCAACACTAAAAGTTAATCATACGGATTTAATTTCCTTCTTACTGATTTTCTCTGATTTACCCAGGAGGTATACACTATTGGAATGCTGACTTTATATCCTCACTTTATTATGGACCAGAGAAAATTTGGAAATTCATTCAAATATATTATTTTTAAAGAGATTAGTTATGCACATCTATTTAGGACAAAGGAGAAAACAGAACACAGAACACAATGTAAGACAGAACTTTTGCTGAACATGAGGCATAGAGATAACAGCTATCAAGTCATCCTGATATATTCTAGAATTTTCTAGAATATTCTAGAGGAGAAGCAGTTACATATTTACCTATAAGTTTTTTACATTGCTGGCAGGCTCTTTTTCTTGCTTACTGTTTTCCAGGCATATGATTTCCTTGCTGTAACTCTTAACATGCCACATGTTCCTTTATTAGGACTTTTGCACTGGTAATTCCCCCTGCCTGGGATGATCTTCCTCAGATATTTACTTCCCAATTCTCTTACATCTTTCAAGTATCTGTTCAAATGTTATCCCAGCACACTGATTACACTTTAATACAGTATCCTGCCCTCTCTTCCTGCCCAATCACCAGGTACACTCAAGTCCTCCTAACCTGTTCTACATTTTCTTTATTCCATAGAACTTATCACCATGTAGCACAGTATAATTTATAGTGTTATTCTGTTTATTGTTTATTGACTGTCTCCTTCTGCTAGAATGTGAGCCCTGTGATGGCAAAATATTCATGTTTTTTCCAGTAAGTATTCAAAGTGCCAAAACAGCCTAGTGCATAGAAGTCGCTCAATAAATATTTGTTAACAGAAGGAAAGAATTCTAGTAAAATGTGATAGATAAGAGCATAAGCTGCCTGGAAGCAAAAGCACTACTTTACTCAGCAGTATGTAGCTAGTGCCTATTGCAGTGCCTCACAAATAGTAGATGCTCCAGCAGTGTGTTGAATTAGCAAATAAAATAATAGGTAAATAAATAAGTTTATTTTATGAGACACAAATGAATTATACATAATAAAAAATAATTGGTATGCAAATTTGAAAAATATTCTATAAAACAGTAAGTATTTTATCTGAGTTTTAAAGTACTGGTACAGAGGAGTTGTTTAGGTTAAAATACTGAGAAAAAGATAATTAGGGGACCCTTTGAGAGTCAAACATATTATTTATAAATCAGGTTTGAATCTAGTGAAGAAATAATTAAAACAAAACATTGAATTTCCTACCAAAAGAAAAAAAAATCCTAAGCATCATATCCCTCCATTTCTATTTAGTTTACAATATTTCTAGAGTTATAAGAAGTATGCAACCTTCCTAAGTTATTATTCAAGAACAAATTATAAATCCCCAGATTCATAGATCTTGAAAATATGTGGAAAAATTAAAATACAATATTGAAGTAAAATAAAAAGCTGAAATACCACATTTAAAAGAAATACTCAAAACTGTAAAATATAGTGGGACTTCTAGAACATAACATTTAGGTAAAATTACAACTGCATTTAAAGAGATGTTTTCCAGAAATACTGAGAAAACTGCATTAAAAAGTCTTTCTTGTACAGTAAAGCAACAGAACTTTACTTTTTTTGGAGGCAATATTTCCAATGATTCATGCTTTTTTCCCATAAAACTTAAGAGAAGCAACCACCAAGGCTTTGAGTTTAGTATTAAATAAAAATGTGAAATTGGATCATTGACTATAAAAATCTTAAGCTAAAACACTCATGTTTGGGGAATGTATTGCTCCTATAAAAAAGTTCGAATCCCTGAAATTTGGTATGTAAATTTCTATTAACACTAAATTTTTTTTTAAAGAGGATGAGATCAATAAGGGTAGAATGTACTTTCTCAGAAACTAAGTCTATAGAGTAATACTTGGTTAGCCCATTCCCAAGACACCTTTATCATAGTATCAGAATCCTTGTTTTCCAGATGAAGTATTTCAGATATACACAAGTCACATCCAAACTATTTATCATTTATTTTTTCTTTTTCCCTACTCTATCTATCACTACCATAGCTACATGCCATTGTTATCTATGCCTGGAGAACTGCCCAGGACACCACATTGTTGGCTTGCAGTAGTGATTCAGTCAATTCATTCTTAACAAGTTGACAGCAGAGATATTTCTAAATACACACTAAATCATCTTAAATTCTAATTACAACCCATCAACAGTCTGCCAACGATCTCAGAATAAAGCCCTTACTAGTCAACATGGCTTTGCAGGTGACTCTACAATTTCTGACATCAGCTTTATAATTCATTCCGTCAACAAAGCATCTTTTATTTAATGTGAGCACATCACTTATGAGGTTATAATTTGCTATTAGCTTATTTGCCTCAGTAAATGTGTACCCTGTTGAAAGGAATGCATGTATCTTATTCTGGAATATGATCAAATACTTTGTACTTAACATCACAGGAAGAGATGAGGGCATTAAATGGGAAGAAAAAAATTGTCATTTAGTTTTCCTCAGCATTCTTATTTCATATAATTCCTGCAGAATGAGAAGACATAAAAAACAAAAGTAGAAGGTAGGAGATAAAAAATCTAACATCCATATAAATCATAGCACAACCTTAAAATCTGTATTAAAGTTGTAATTACTCTTTTAGGTGTCAAAAATGCTATTTGATTTTACATATCAATATCAACAAACAAGTTACAGAAGTCACGATTTCAAAAGTGTGCGTTTGCCATTACTAAAACCTAATCAACACATACAGAAAAAAATATTCAAAATGTTCCTTTGACTTTACCTTTTTTTCTTACATTGTATTTCTGTTCCTTTTTTGGGGGAAGTACATTGAGGTTTAATTTACATACTGGGATTATAAGTGCACAGATTAATGAGTTTTGATAAATGGATTTACCCTTGTTAAGGTATAGAATGTTTCTACCAACCCAAGAAGTTTTCTTGTGCCTCTTTCTCGTGACCCCACTCCTATTTTCAGCTCTAGGTAATCACAGTTCTAGTTTCTAGCATACAGTTTAATTTGTTCTAGAAACTTATCTAAATTAAACCATAGAGTATGTATGTTTTTGTACTATTCTTTGCATATACTCTGTGCATGTACTCTTTCATGTAACATAGTATTTTTAAGATTCATCTATGATGTTCTTCATAAGAGTAGTTTTTCTTTTTATTACTATTTGGCATTCCATTATTTATCCATTCACCCATTGAGAGACATATAGGTTGTTCCCAGTTGGAACTATTACAAATAAAGTTACTGTGAATTTCTGTGTATTTGGTGTGAACATATGTTAACATTTATCTTAAGTAAAAACCAAAGAGTGAAATTTGTGAGTCATATGGTAGGTTTATGTTTCACTATGTAAGAAAATCTCAAACCTTTGTTTCAAAGTGATTGTACTATATTATGTTCCCAGCAGAAACTTATAAGAGTTCCAGTTTCTCTACATCCTCACCAACACTTCATAGTGTCTTTTTTTTTTGGTGTGTTTTAGCTTTTTGAGAAAATAAGCTCAGTGGTTTTTATTTGCATTTTTTGGCATTGTGTTTTAATTTGCATTTCCCTGGTATACTGACTAATATTACTGAGCATTTCTGATATGCTTATTGGTCATTCCTATACCTTTTCTTCAAGTCCTCTGATTATTTTTTATTGAGCTGTTTATTGTTGTTGTCATTGTAGTAGTTCTTTATATATCCTAGTTAAGTCTTGTCAGATATATGTATTACAAATTTTTTTTTCCAGTTGCTGTGTTACTTTTCCATTTTCTTAAACAGGACTATTGAAAAGCAGCTTTCTTTTCTTTCTAATTTTGATAAAGTCTCTGACCCTATTTTAAATGTGGAATTCTCAGACCCTCTCTTAGAAATACTGGCATTAGTCATAAAATATTCTTTTATTTCTGGAACCAAAATTTGATATAGATCCCTAATTTTTCTATGGCATGCATAATTACCATTATACTTTCAAATTTATTCAGACTTATCAGGATTACATATCTGCTTGGATTTTATGAGAAATAATGACACCAAAACTAAAATCAGCTCCAAGAAGTTCATATAGAAGACTTGAAATTTTCAAAGTTAGATTGACTCCTAAAACTCAACAGATATTGTATAAAAATTCTAATATATTTAATTAGTTTACACGATGTATACATTTTCTTAATAAATTATATAATATCCTCAGCCTAGTTTTCCTGGGGTTTTTTTGCTTATAATACTATTAAAAATAATTTTGCATGGAAATTGTAAAATGCCTAAGTATGTTAATATACAAGATAAATGTTGAAATGAGTAGTTTCTGGTAGCCTCAGCATTTATTTAGAGATGGGTAGCTGTAGAAAGAAAACCATTAAACCATGTTTTACTGCCGCCCCCCCATTAACTGGCTATGTGGCCACGGGAGTCCTACAGTCTTTCTTGGCACTTAATGCTCCTAACTATAAAATGAGGGTAGAGAGCCTCCCAGAAAATTGTGCTCGGATAATTTGGTAGTCACATTTTTTAGAAAAATAGCTATTTTGTATTTTGATTATATTTAAATATACTATCAGCTTCTGATACATGATTGCTGTGTTTAGGTAGGTCTTAATATTTAACATCTTTCACAGGGAATTATTAAAAACCCAAATGTCTTTTCTAAATGTACCTAAGTGTATTCTAAAAAAAATGAATGTTTTCACTGTAACGACCCCCTTTAATATGACAAGCTGTAAGGCAAATATGCTTGTGAAATTAAAATACAGTTTTTGCTGACAAATTTTAATATGTACCCAGAAAGTAATGTTGTAGAAAAACAGACATATACAAAACTCAGAGTGGTTATATACACATGCTTTCTCACCACAGACACTGTTTAATATACATTTCATTATACAATATACCCAATATTCATGCAATAATATTATGACTCGAGGAGCGTCTTTATGCCAATCCTTGAGTTTTCAGTTATTTATTAATAATTACAGGAAACATCTTAGAGTTTCCGTATTCTCTTTTTCATACTTAAGTAGATATCCTCTAAGATTACCCTGGAGGACTCTTCTCTTCTTTGAAATTTGTTCACTTAGGCAGCTCAAGAAAAGGAAGAACTCCAAGGTAGAGTGTGCATACTTGAAATCAAAGGTAAGAGGAGTCAGGAGAAATGTCTGTAAGAGGGCTCATTAGGTCAAATATATTTTATTTAACAGGGAAACAAAAATTTCATAATATAGTAAATTATATTATTTCTGCCTGCATATCCCTTATAATTTTTGTGTCCGAGCAAGGCTCTAACGGTAATTAGGTTATTTTTAAATATTACCATTTTCTTCTCTAATAATCAAAGCAAAACATTGTGTATCACTTCTATACAGAACAAGGAAAAATTCGGGGGGGGGGATTTTTCTTTCAGAGTAAAGATGAAAGACATTTTAGTATGAGAAGCTAAGCGTTTCTGAAAATGTGAGCTCTTCATATGAAAATGGCAATTGTATAAGAGATTTTACAAATATTATCTATGGCCAGAGGACACAGACTTTGAAAACGTTTAAATGGACAGACCTTTATATGAGATCTTCAAATATTGTCAATAATATTTTAAGAGCTTATATAATTAATTTTATATAATTAATTTTAAGTAAAATTAATTAACCAATTAATTTTATGGTCATTTATGCAATCCATCTGGAAATTAGTTCATCTTAGCATAGATCCTGAAATATCATATTTAATATTTAATCACTCATGGTTTCAAAGTTGATAAATCCTAAAGATATACAACACATGGTAGTGACTGCAGGCTTTCCATGAGGTAAAGATAGGGGGTGCTTTTTGACATCCATCTCCAGTCTGTCTGGAGTGAATAGTTGCTGGCAACTCTTAAAATCATCTTTCTTTGAATTCTTGGTTTTAACATCCCCTTGGCTTGGTTGCTGGCTTCATGGAGCAGAGTCTTTGTGTACATTTTCAAAGTACAGCACGTGATTCAGGATCTCCCTCAGATTCTCTGCATGGAAGGCTATGCTTTTCTCAAATGACATTCCTCAAAATGCTGGCTCTAAGTCTCCAATTCACCAGTTTTCTTCCCACTCTAAAGCTGACTGCTCTCCATCTGCATTCTCTCTGCCAATATAAGCATGTATTTGGATAGCTACAGTAGAAAAATAGGTAGATGGCATTTGGCCAAATGAGGCCTTTTACCTCTTACTGCTCCTATAGTACTTTAATCATACCGCATGTCACATCACTTAATTTCAAAATATATTATAGTCTATTGCTTATGTAAGCATTTTCTTTGTTCCTCTAGAACCATGAATTCCACAGGACAAGGCCTCTTCCCTGTTGATCTAGTATCTATTGTACTGCTTGGGACTCAGGAACAACAGAATACATATGTTATGTTCTTGTGCTAAAGCAAAACAGAACGAGTACATAGAGTTTCTCAATCTTACTAGCCCATAAAATGAGTGAGCAATTCTCTTGAAGCCATTGGTAATAGCTAAAATAAATCATAGATTAGGCTAGAAAAGTTTATTTCATGCCCCTCAATCTCTTCTATTATATACTTAGACCCTCTGTGAGAAAGCATGATGCCCTCGTAAATTATAATAATTAGGTTTTGAAAACATATAGAGTTTAGATATAAAAAATACTTCTGAGGACAACACAAATACATGGAACCTCCTAGACATTTGTGGCTGAAAGGAGGTGGATGGTTCTCTCATGATAGGGCTCAAAGGAAGAAGAGGCCAGAAAGGAATAAGATTAAGTAGGGCAGGTTTACCACAACTTGGTTATGGAGTAAGCAGTTGTGGTCTGTGCTGGAAAGGGGTGAACACAGATGTCTTCACTCCCCTTACTAACTTGTTTCTTTTTTCCATGTTATAGCTTTGGGGGACTTAGGAAGGGAACGTATTTTTCCAACCTACAAATATGTTCCAATAATGAAGGAAAATCAGGAAGAAAAGGAAAGAAAATGAAATTCTAAATAAAGTAGGTTAAAAGGAAGGCTTCTTTCTTTCTTTCCTTTCCTCTTCTCTCCCTCCCTCCCTCCTTTCTTTCCTTTCTATCGTCTGTCAGTCTGTCCTTCCCTTTGCAGAAATAGTATCCTATATTACCAAATTCAGCATAAATTATTCATCTTGAATAATTATAAAGGAAGGTGAGGTGGAGCAGCAACTGCTAAACCTGTGCATCTAATTTAAACTAAAACTTGTAGACCATCAACACTTAAGATTAGATTAGGTCTTCTTTTATGGGAAAAAAAAAAGGTACTCATCATATTAACTGATTCTTTGAGACATTTCCCTAAATGACAAATGGTGGGAACATGGCATGGAATCAAATTTCTAAGGATAGCTTTTCAGCTAATGATTTGTTTGAAAAACCTAAATTGATGTTCAACTCTGAATAGGAAAATAGACCCAGTTTACACTGCAACTGGCTTGTCTGCCCTCCATCCGTTAAACAATGGGCTAGGTTTGAATAATTGATCTACATTGATTTACAATATAATGGCAACATGCCCCAACATCATAAAAGATTTATGTTTTTATTCAGTGTTTATGTTGATATCTTAAGTAGCAAGCACATCGCACAGCACATCGATATGTAGTGACAAGACCAAATGCTCTTTGGCAGAGCTTCAGTATAAAAATGAGAAGGTGTTGATTTCATTACCACTCTGGCAATACATTTGAAAGAGTGTTAATGACTATTAATGGCCTAGTCCTGAGCCAGAAGAACGCCTGAAGTCAGTGAAAGTGGCGTTTTATCTGCTCTTAAACATTAAAAAGAGAGAGCCTCCTACAGTTGCATTTGTAAGTGCCTTTCCTGCTCTACAAATAATCACATCCCCCACTTAACTGAGCTTTTAAAAATGTTGAAATTCAAGGCAAACCCAATTTCTCCACTCTGGAGGCTTTAGCTCTCTTCCTTTTCTTATAACAACTAACACATTTTGTTCTTGTCAAGAAGTATTTGAAGGTGAATTCGAACGAAATTATTTTAAGAGGACCTTTTGTCTCTTTTAAACTTTGCAATATAGAAACTTCATTGTTTCAGGTTTAACAAGAAGAGCTACTTATTTCCTGTTCCTATTTATTTTTGGAGACACAGATGAGTCCAAACATTCTATGATGGAATGCACTATGAAACCCAAATGTTTTCAGGGTTTGATTTTTTCTTCCCTCAAACAAGTTTCCTTTTTCCTTTTTTTTTTTTTTGATTTGTTTTTTGGTCCCTTGAGGGTCCCAAATCAACAAGTTATTAGATGAGGAATGGAAGCTTCTGTTTCAGAAATCACGACTGCAGCTAGACAACAGAAAACAGATGCCAATTATTTGCCTATGGCTGCTGGAAAACAAAACATTTTATGACATTTACTTTGCCTTAGCAGAACTGCTGCTGATGCCAAAGAAATATAAACTAGTCAAATTATCAGCAGCCGGTTTTGAAATGTGAGGTATTACAATTTGGAATCTTGTTCTACAGTTGGTCATTCTGTGACCTACATATTTCTTTATACACTGATTCATCATGCAATTTGATGTAAAACTCAAGCATTTTAACAGCTTATACAGGGAAAATATGTGTAATAGATATGTATAATGAAATATTTGATATAGTTCAATATCTTATGCATTTTCTTCTAATTCCACTAGTTTTTGATTCAGGGATAAAGATAATGTTTGATGTTTGCTACTCGAAAGTAAGTTTCTTAACACATATTTTTATTTCATGTGGCAAAAGCTTCAAATTAAACATCTTTCTTACACTGAATTCAGCTGAATTATTCATTGTTAATGTGATGTCACAAGCAATGTTTAAGTATTTTTCCCACAGTAGTTGAGAGGCTTAATTTGGTCAGAATCAATATCCACCTAGCCCCATAAGAATATATATTTTATACATATTTTTAGATTAAGTGTCTCACCTTTGAGACACATTTCTGAAGCAATGCATAGGTGGACTTCACTAAAAATAGCAGTTATGACAAATAAATTTCTGCCCGTATAGCCATGATAATGTACTATGTTGAAGATCTGGATTTGCGAGTAAAATCTTTTGAACATCTTATACCATGTGTGCCTAGTTTTCTTTCTTGTCATGGTGATTTGGGTTACCTTTTAAGGGGTGAAGAAAGGCAGCTAATACATTTTACTTGAGAGTATGGATTTACCACAAGCAATGGTGCTATAACATCTGTCATACAAGTGTCTACATTGCCTCAAGAAGTGTCCTGAGTGAGTGAGAAGCAAGCTATATTAGGGATTAGAATTATATCACCCAGAACTGGTTGAATATGTAAGATGAAAAGTGATGATCAAAGTAACTGAAAGAATATTTCTCTGTTTTTAATATGCACATGAATCACCAGAGATCATGTCAAATGTAGATTCTGATGTAGTAGTTCTGGGGTGGGGCCTGAGGCTCTGATTTCCACAAGTTTTGATGTGAGGATGTTAAGCAGCTTGTCCATGGATCACACTTTGAGAGGCAAAAGTGTAGATGACATGGGGTGGAGCCATTCTCCACTGAATAACACCAATTTTCAGAACTAGTTAAATATTTCCAACCTCAACATGCAAGGAGGTTGATTAACTTGCAGTCAGGCCTCAAAGAACCCTAGTCCAGCCCTTATGATGAGTAATGATTGTCATCAGCCACCTGGTTCTAGTATAACTTGTGGAGGCTGCATGATGGGCTACATAAGACCTCCACCATCTCCTTCTTAGATATGATAATGTCTTCCATGGTGTATGTTATTTGTGTGTGTGTGTGTGTGTGTGTGTGTATGCATGGGGAGAAAGAGCAAGAACGTAAAATCAGAGGCAGAAGCACATAAGAACATTATGGCATCATTAGAAAAAAGGGAAAACATAACTGCATCCCTAGGGATGACCCAAACAAGTGGTGCATCAAGTTCCCAGTAGCATATCTTCCTAACTTCAACATCAATCACACCGAATATCTGAATAATCATCATAGCAAAGGAGGGGGAAATTTAATCACATTTGTCTTTGCTCCCATCCTTTCAAGCAATAGAATCTGTATATAGGCATAGATTCTAGACAATATTTTAGCATCCCTGATGGACATTCATTCAGCTAGCATTTAGCTGAAGTTCACCTCTATCTATTATACTCCATTTCCAGTCAAAGGAAGGCTTCCTATCAAATTAAAACCACAAAGATCATTTCTAGGTAACATTTTATGCACTTCTACACCCTCCCCATCATACTCCACCAACACCTGGGACAAATTTATGGATGCTTCTTCAGTAGACAGGAATTTTGGCAGATTTCCTGTCTAGCTAGGGAATACCTGGCAGGATGTCATAGCCGATTAGTGAAAAAAAAAAAGCATTTAATATCCTTTTGGAAGATTTCGGACTGATAACCACATTAGATGAACAGATCTTGAACCATATCATACTCCTCCCACCCAACTCCCAGTCCCAAGTACAATTGATCCTTTCACAGACATTTTTCTCTTTTTAAAATTTTTTTTGTGTGCTCAACCTGCCCTCACAAACCCATGCCTGAAGTATTGCAGTTGTCTTCTAACTGGTCTGCCTGTCTCAGTTTTCATGATTTTAAATAACAGTGTCTCATTAGCTGCCAGCACTCTCTTAGTTGTTTGTTTAACAACCCTTAATCAACTTCCTTTAGCTGTAAGAATAACTCTGAATTCCATGCTCTGTCACTCAAGTTGTCCACGAAATCTATCGACAACATTTTTTGAACTCTCAAAAGTTAGCCTCTTGCAATATCCCAAACAATCCACGCTTATTATCATGCCTGCTTAGACTTTACGGATTTCCAATCCCGATCTGTAATCTAAATACTTCTCCATTAATTTTTCCTTGAAGTCTCTTGACCACACCAATTTTTACTGATTTCTTCCATAGCAGTAATTACTACTCATTTTATTATTTGTTAAAATGCTGCCTCATGTTTTGTTTCTCTTGCTATTATTTGATTTTTAAATATTATGTTTGTTCTATATAGGATTCTTGTGCTTCCATGAGGTTTGGGAAGGTGGATATTGGAGTCAGTCTAGATTTGAGTCTCAATGAGTGAACAGTAATTGTCATCTGTAAATCAGGGATGAAAGCATTCATCTTTCGTGACTATGGTGGGGTTTCAGAGATAATAAGGGTAACATATCTAGAACAGTTCTTGATAATAGTTTTGTTTTCAAATAATGTTAGTTTTTCTTAACTGCTCAACATTAAGGACTTTGCAAGATGTGACATACAGTATATAGAAGAGGGTTCTGTACAAAGGAGAGACATGAGATACAAAAATATTTCTTTATTTAATTAAATTGTGTTGAATTAAATGTTAATCTGTAGCTAAGGACTATTCTATGGAATTATGTGATGGAAACCCTGGCAAATTTATTATGAGTCTGCTGTTATTTTAAAGCACTTCCCCTATGGCTATATGTAGCACATTCGTGGCTTCTATCCCTTTAAGATATTATCATTTATTTGATGTACCTGAACTTTTCATAATCACTCATCATTAGTACACAGAATATAGGATGACTTTAGCAAAATAATTAACTGGAATCAGAAGAAAATCTAAAAATAGATCTCACAAATAATTTTGTCCTCAAGAAATATAAAAATAATCCAGGTTTGACGTAAACTATGAGCCTAAATAGGCTAACCCAAGGCCTTTAAGAGGAAAATATAATTTATTTCCACACAAATTCTGCAAAATTTAGCACATGGTAGATGTTAAATAACTTTTCTCTGAATTAGTGAATAAATGAATGAATATAATTCTATAAAAATTTGTACGAATCTCTAGTAATAACTTTGTCTTATTATTATTGAAGGATTTTTAATCTATGAGTGATAAAAATACTTTAACTTTTTTAGTAAGTAGTTTACTAATTCATCCTATTAATATAAATATTTACTAATCCTACCGTATGTTAGAGTATATAGTAATTTGGAGATATGGAAATTAATATCTGAATGATTGCCATCAAAAATTATTTAGCAGCTGTGACAGTGTGTTCCCATCACTGCACCTAGTATATTTTTAAGAGAAACTTCATATATATTAATATGATTTGGTTTGTAAAAGACTAGATACTATATTTTATGTGTTGCTGATGTAATTAATTTTGTTTCATTGAATTCTTATACATCTTGTCCCCTCCTTATAAAGCCAAATTTTCATGACTGGTCTATCAATTTAATTAAAGATATGATTTCTCCTCCGTGTAGTTTGCAATACCATTGAATGTAGAACATTTCCAAAGTACTAGAATTTTAAAAGCAGTTTTCTGGAGCCTCTTTTGGAGGACATTATTAGAATTAGATGTTTATGTAAAATTGGTTTTCTGTATCTGACAATATCTTCTAAATGCCTTTTATGACCTTCTCTTGAAGATTTATTATGAAAGACCTGGTATTACAAACATACTTTTGACATCTATAGACATCTTAACAAATTAACCTGCCTAGGGGAGCTTATGTGTATTAGTGTTCAAAGCATCCACTTGCCTCAGAACCAAATATTGTTGTGTAGAGTTTGAATCTTTATGTAAGCAATCTTTCTCTGGAAGATTTGAAGTCATCCTTCATTTCTGTTTAGTAAACTAGAATGCCATTTTGCTCAAATCAAACACCTGAATCTAACTGCCTCCCTTCCTCTGTTTACTTCATTAAGATGTAACTTGATTTATGATCAGCACTCTATTTTCTTGAGACAGAAATTAATCACAATAAGTTTGGTGGATTCATTCCATCAAGGGTGAATCCAGTTTCATTATTCTGAAAATCTACAGTGGACTACATAATAAACATCAAAGCGTCAATAAGAATTTTCATTTAATTTTTGAAATCAACATGTGTTCATCTTAAAGGAAAATGTTAAGAGGAATAATATATTGAAAGCTGAAACAGGTAGTGCTAATGTTACACCTATACTATGTCATTCTACTTTTGAGTCCTCAGTACTTTATGACATCATGTTGATTCATGTTCATAAGTCAGATTTGGTGTAATCATGGTCAAGGAATTATTTCATTTTTTAAAAGCATAAGAAAATGTTAAATGGGGTATAATAATTTCATAAAACTTGACAAAGTTGGAAACTATATTTGGCATTTGCTACATTTAAAAACTGAATCTGTGATTTTTGGCAAATATATTCCTTTTGACAGCTTGTCTGTTACCTGAAATTACATAGGTCAGTGTGGCATTAAGACTGGGAGAGAATGGGAAGGCTTATTATATGGTTTCCTTAAGATGAGAAACATTAACTTCTCAAATAACCAAGAGTGAAATTACATTTCAGACTAAATAAAAATCAAGAAGGATGTTCTGATATATTGAATTGAAATTAAGAATCTGGTTATCTTACTGATTCATTATCTCTAAGGTGTGCAAAAATTATTTCTTCCTCATTTTTAGTAGATCCTGGGAACATTTTAATTCTACTCATAGTCAGGAACCAAGGTGACAGTACGTTGTGAAACTTAGAAGCTCTTTTAAGAAAAAAAATAATGTACAAACACATAAATGGATACTTTTATTTAGAGCAGGGGTCCCTAACCCCCCAGCCATACACTGGTATCAGTCCATGGCCTCTTAGGAACCAGGCCGCACAGCAGGAACTAAGCAGAGGGCAAGCAAGCAAAGCTTCATCTGTATTTACAGCAGCTCCCCATTGTTCACATTACCACCTGAGTTCTGCCTCCTGTCAGATCAGTGATGGCATTAGATTTTCACAGAAGCATGAATCTTATTGTGAACTGCACATGTGAGGAATCGAGGTTGCATGCTACTTATGAGCATCTAATGCCGGATGATGTGTCATTGTCTCCCATCACCCCCACATGGGACCATCTAGTTGCAGGAAAACAAGCTCACGGCTCCCACTGATTCTACATTACAGTGAGTTGTATAATTATTTTATTATATATTCTAATGTAATGATAATAAAAATAATGTGCACAGTAAATGTAATATGCTTGAATCATCCTGAAAGCACCCCCCCAAACCCAGCCGATGGAAAACTTGTCTTCCATAAAACCGGTCCCTGGTGCCAAAAAGGTTGGGGACTGCTGATTTAGAGTATATCTGCTTATTTATATATATGAGGCAATGTTCAGATTATGATACATTCTAATCTACAACAGGAAAGGGTAATTTGGAAACTCTTCAACTAGTGTTTGGAGTAAACATCTATCGTCAGAATTAACGTTTTTAATAAAATACTGTGTATCAGAGAAGCTCATTATGAACCTAAGCAAATATACGTTTATGTGTACTTAATAAGTCTGAATTTCACAAAATGTCATAGATATAGTGTATCTTTTTAATGTAAATATTTCATTGGTTTTCCTATTGAAATTCTGCCTCACTGAAGATTTCTTCTATTTCTCTCATTCACTCTTAGTCAATGTGTTACGTCCCTTGGATTTTCTTTGCAATTTCTGTAGTTTTCACTTGTTTTTCTGAGTAAATTATTAGTTTTCTAACAGTAGGTTTCAGCACTCTTCTTTAATAAGTATCAACGAGCACCAAGCATATTAAAGTTTGGCTTAATCCACATGACAGTAAGTATGTAAGTTCATTCTTGATTGTCTCTGGCAGAGTAGTTGCTTAGTTCAACTATGTGCTATCATAGAATAGAGGAGACAGAATAAAAGGAGTGAAAACATTTGTTAGTAAGGAATGACTAAACACATGTCAAATTTGATGAAAAACATTTATGTATATATCCATTAAGCTCATTAAATTCCACATTGGATAAATACAAAAAGATTTGCATGTAGATGTATCATAGTCAAACTTTGACAGCCAAAACTAAGCAGAGGCCAGGCACAGTGGCTCACACCTCTAATCCCAGCACTTTGGGAGGCCAAGGAGGTCAGATCACTAGAGGCCAGGAGTGGGAGACCAGCCTGGCCAACATGCTGAAACCCTGTCCTACTAAAAATGCCAAAAATTAGCCAGGCGTGGTGTCGCGCACCTGTAATCCCAGCTACTTGGGAAGCTGAGCCATGAGAATCACCTGAACCCAGCAGGGTTGCAGTGCGCCAAAGAGGTTTGCAGTGAGCCAAGATTGTGTCACTGCACTCTAGCCTGGGTGACAGAGCAAGATGCTGTCTCAAGAACAAAAACACAACAAACAAACAAACAAGAAAAAACAAGCCAGGCCCAGTGGCTCATACCTGTAATCCCAGAACTTTGGGAGGTCGAGGTGGGCAGATTACTTGAGGCCAGGCGTTTGCGGCCAGCCTGGCCAACATTGCCAAACCTTGCCTCTACTAAAAACACAAAAATTGGTTGGGCATGGTGGCTTGCACCTATAGTCCCAGCTACTCAGGAGGTTGAGGCAGGAGAATCGCCTGAGCCTGGGAGTCGGAGGTTGCAGTAAGCAGAGATCTTGCTACTGCACTCCAGCCTGGGCAACAGAGGGAGACTCTGTCTCAAAACCAACAAACAAACAAATAAACAACATCAAAAAATAAAAAATAAAGCCACCAATGAGATTAAAAGCTATTTAGCACATAAAAGGGAATTATAATAAAATTAACATCTCAGAATTAATGGAGGCTAGAATGCAGTGAAGTGACATACTTATATATCTAAATAAATGAAGATTAATTCAATGACCAATAAAACTACCCTTCAAAATGAGAATAAAAATACAGACAATCCTTGCCTGTTCCCCAAAGACCTGTACCTAACTGAAATCTATGGAACAGTCCATCTAACAGCAACAGAATACACATTCTTTCCAAGGGCATATGGAAAATATACTATGATAAACCGTATGCTAGGCCATAACATACTAATCAATAATCAGCTTTAAAAAGAATAAAATAAAGTATATTATCAAAACAAAGATAATAAATTAGAAATCAACAAAACTATGGAAATTTTAGTCTTCAGAAAATAAACCACACACTACTAAATAACCCATGGACCAAAAGATAACTTACAGAGGAAATTAGAGAATACTTTAAAATGACTGAAAATTGAATCACACCATTAAAAAAAATTAAGCAACGTAGGCAAAGCTGTATTTAGAAAAAAAAAAATTAGCTTTAAATGCCAATGTTAAATAAAATCTCAAATAAATATATTTCTACCTTAAGACTTAACTAGTAAAATGAGAAAAAAATCAACTCAAAGCAGAGAAAAAAATAAAGATTAGAACAGAATTAGTAAAACTGAGAAAAGAGGAAATCAATGAAACCACAATCAGTTTCACTGGAAAAATTAGCAAAATTGACAAAAACTTATATATATTGAACAAGAAAAAAGAGACACAAATTTTTGAAATCCAAAATGAAAAGTAGTGTATTATTATAGATTTTACAGAAATTAAAATGTACATAAGGGAATAAAAGCAAGTTTATGCTGAAAAATTAGACAACTTAAATAAATGGACAAAGATTAAAATAAAAAAACAAATTATATATACTGAGAAGAAAAGAAATAGAAAAGGTGAATACATGTATACCAAGTAAAGGAGTTAAACTGGTAATTAAAATGATTCCAAGAAAGAAAAATTCAGATTCAGGTGATTTTACAGGTAAATTCTATCAAGTACTTTAAAAAGAGGTGACATAAAACATTCATAAAGTGTTACAGATTTCAGAAGCTGCAACAATTTTCAATTCATTGTGAGTTGCCCCAATGCTAACTCCAGACAAAAATATCACAAAAAAGAAAACCACGTATCAATATTTCTCTGAGTATAGACAAAAAGTCAACAAAATATTTGCAGCCCAAACTCAGCAACATATTAAAAATATTACACATCATGACCACGTGAAACTTATCCCAGACAGAATTACCACACAGAGAATTTCTTTTACAAGGTTAATTTTTACAACTCTTCCACAACTTGTTCAAATTTTTAGATTTATCTAAGTTAAAACAATCTTCTAACCCTCTGGCAAAGATTTACTTCCCCATGACTTCCTATAATCTTTTTTTTTTTTTTTTTTAAGACAGAGTCTCACTATGTCACTGGTGCAATCTTGGAGTTCAGTGGTGCAATCTTGGCTCACTGCAACCTCCACCTCCGGAGTTCAAGAGATTCTCCTGCCTCAGCCTCCCAAGTATCTGGAATTACAGGTGTGTGCCATCACACTGGGCTAATTTTTGTACTTCTTGTAGAGATGGGGTTTCACCTTGTTGACCAGGCTAGTCTTGAACTCCTGACCTCAAGTGATCCTCCCACCTCAGCTTCCCAAAGTGCTGGGATTAAGGTTTGAGACATAGTGCCTGGCTGCCTTCTTATAATCTTTAACCAAAAACACATTTCACGCTCCTCATACACCTTGCATGTATTAATAAAACTATTTTTTTAGTAGTCTTAATTTCATGTTATAATGGTAACTCTTAGGAACTTTTACTTTTGGTGCATAAATTTCCTTTCATCAATCATTTCACGACTTACACAGACCGTCTACGACATGCTTGGATTTTCTGGCTTGTCCTAAACATTCCTCTTTTTAAACAACCAGTTATTTTAATTTAGGACATGAATTTACCATATGGGATCCTCTCTTATATAAACTCTTTTCTTTATAACCTTCTTGGCATAGCTAGGGGGCATGGCTAATTCAACACGTCCCAAGGCCTTATCTAGAATCTAATGTGTTCATGGTAGGTAAACTGAACAATTTTCAAAAGTCACAGCAGTTTATGACCTTAAAGTCTTTGGAATACCTAATATCTGACCTGCCTAATTTAGACTAAATGTCCTTATTTTACCAATAATCTTTAAAACTTTTTATTTCCCAAAGATTACTAAAGTTATGTGAACTAAAAAGAATTAGTTTTTATTTTTCTTTCAAAATATCTCATTTAAGCACTTATTTTTCTTTAAGCCAGTTAATTAGAGTTCTTTTGTATAAACATCACACACACAACACATACATAACTACACAGGCAGACAGAAGAAGATCCGGTAGTTGTAAGATTTTTCACTTGCCAGTTTTGAAGTTTCTTAATTGGATTACTTGCTTTAGGGTGCCTCCTTCAAGAAATAGGGCTGAGAACACAGGTAGTTTTTACAATATATAGAATCTTTGAAGGTAGCTTGAAGACAGAAAAATTCAAGAAGGGAAGACAGAAGTTGTTCATGGAGGGGAAGAGAACTATCAAATGGTAAATGTCACACAGATACCAACCAGAAAGTACTCATTTCCTAAGCCAGGATTGAACCTGGGCCACCACTGTAAAATGGCAGAAACCAAAAGAAAGTACTGACATATGGTTACAAGGTTAAGCTCCCAAGGACATAAAACAAGATGCAGACCTCATCCAGTTTTTCTTTTGCTTTTTTCAGAGACCTGCAGCAAAGTTTGTAACTGACCAGCTTGCTGGGCCACCTTGAATAGTGAGCTTATGGGATCCTAAGCCCATGTATCCTAAGGTATCCTAAGGTACCCCTATTCATGACAGAATGACACAGAAAGACAAATTCATAGCAAAAATACACCAGATTCACCACAGTTTAAGACTAGCCTCAGAATCCTTTTTCACATTAATCAGAACTTTACAGAGGAGATAAACAGTGATTTTTGTCATTCATTCAACTGGTTTGCACAGAGAAAGAGAGACCAGAAGCCTGACTGGTAGGAAATTCTTACCCTTTTGCCAGCATGTCAGGTTTCTGGGTTCCTCTTCCATGAGCAGCCCTAGCAATCCTGTTTGCCATACCATACCTCTGGGGACCAAGCTGCATCACAATGGAAAATCATGGAACCACAGGCAAAATCCTCCTCATTTTGCAAGATGCTGCCCAAGGAGCTTTATGTAGTAACCAAATTAACATTTTCCATTCTGGCCAGAGCAAAATATGTGTGACAAAACATAGACATTAGCCACTCTGGTTAGCACCCAATATTGAACTGGAAAAGGTCAAATTTGCCCCTGGTTGGGCCCTGTCACCTTTAATCCATTTTAACCAAGAGGGACTTTACTGAGGAGAGGGCCTCTAACCCAATCCCATCCTTTACTCAGGTGAAATGTACGGCAATACTTATCCAAAGTCAGCCAATTGGTGTTGCAGTCTATTTCCTTTGGATCGGAATAGTAACTAAGCTAAAAAGTCAGTAGATGTAATTTTGGGGAGCCCTCGTTTTTAAATTCACTTCAATACATCGTTGTTCATTCAGAGTGTTCCACTGTAAGTTATCTTTGGTAAGACTTCACCATTTCCGTAAGACTTTGTTGCTTCCTGAGCCTAATGTTTAAGTTGAAAGGAAATCAGTCTTTTAGAAATTAAGGATCCCATTTTTACCTAAAATATTGGCTTTACTCTCAGGTTCCCTTGATTGCCTTAGCCAGTGATTTTTCTATGAAACAAAGGGGTAGAACACAAAAATCCCTGCAAATTTTCGAAAGCCAAACTTTACAACCCCAACAACATTACCATTTACTACCAGTTTCTTTCTGACCCAGTCAGATGTAAGAGGCCTCTAACTAGATCCAAGCCAGTTAATTACTAGATCAAATCTGACCCTGGACTCAGTCCAGTTTCTGTTGTTACTTCCAAACCCAGTTTAGAACAGAAATTTGCTCAAAGAAAATCAGAAAGCTCAAAACACAAATCTGTGGCACTCCAAAATCTGAGAGAGAACTTACCCACTGCTCTGAGAGATCAAAGGACACAAGTGGGTCCTTGCAGGTACCTTGCTTGTTCACTCAGCACTTCTGGGGGTCATTAAAGCTCTACTTTGAACCCCGCTTCTGACACCATCTGTTAAAAGAGAAACTTCAATCAAATTACATTTAAAGGAGTTTAACTGAGCAATGAATGATTCACGAATTGGGCAGCCCCCAGAATCACAGCAGATCCAGACAGACTCCCTGCCCTGCATTTTTTGATATCCTACCTTTAGATCTAGTTTATACTAAATTGGTTATAAAGCAGTTTAATTGTGTAAACATACAAAAAATTTACAAGGATCTTTGATGTTAAAAAAATCACATGTAGAATTTTATTTTAGTTACTTCAAACCACTCAGTAATCTAATTAGCTGGAAGCATACAATAAAATTTACTCTGTACTTTTTGCTTCTAAGTTATTATATAACCATAATGGCATTCAATTTATCTCAGCTTAATGTTACTTTTATCAGTATTAACCTCAACATACTGATAATATTTTACTAAATGTTTTTAGACATAAATTTCACATATACTTGATAAAGCACTCAGCTCCTCCTAGTGGATAAGCTTTAGCTAATGGTGTCAATATTTTCATATTTTAATAATGTTATTGTTAGTTTTAAGTATGTCCTCAAAATTCATAAAACATAAAGCAAATGGTGTCTACAAAGTTAAAACCAAATTATGAAAAATATAAACAATTTCTTCTTAAATAAAATCAGTTGACATTAAGTGGCACTTAATTATCCCCATGTTATTAAATATATTAAAAAGCCATAACAGAGATTTTAACCAACGGGGTATTCATTGATTTTCCACTCATTCTGTTACACTTTACAATTTCTTACCAATGAAAATAAAAAGAAGTAACTGAGAGAAAAAAAAGGAAGTAAATAATATTGAAACCTAGATTTTTAAAAGGTAGGGTACAGAAGATAAGATTTTTAACTATCATACTAATGAGCAGAAATAAAATACAAAGTATCATTTGAAAGAAATATACAGAATCAATGGAGGTATTCAGCTCTTTCCGGTGGGTGGGCGACATGCTTGTGAAGGAAAAATGCATTGCCTAAAAACCATACCCACGTGTGATGGAGTGTGCATCTGTTCAATACAGGCCAAGCCAAAATCTGCAGGTGTCAAAATGCCAGTAGTACACACAAAATGATGGAAATGAAGACAAATTATCTTTTGAAAAGTACCAATGTTCATAAATTTTTCTTATTTCTGCATGCGCGAAGATATCATTGGCTTTCTTCCCCTTTATCATGTTGTCTGTGTTAACTGATAAAAGTCAAAAACTGAACAAGAAAAAATGTCCTCTCTGCAATCAACAAAGCAAGCAAATGACTAGCCTGACATTTCATCAGTTCTTCTAGGAAATCCCTGGATAACAGCACCACTGTTTTCATTTTTGCTAAAAAGCTGATTAGAAAGATGAGGTCCAATTGTTGGCATAAAACTTTTCAGAAATATTTCTGTGAAGTGTGAAAAAAAGACTTGTAGATTTTGTAAATTATTGGTCCTGTGTTTGTGCACTAAAAAGCCAAAGTTACAAATTGCAGATGCCACTCATCCACTTGTTCTCAGGTTTGCAAAATGGCTCTAGATAACCTTCCAAAAATGACAACCTGAATTATGAAAATAATTTTGACTCTGATAAGCTTCTCTCTAAGCCATTAAGATAAGCACATTGAATGAACAGTGATTTTCCATTATACCAGAACATATGGCTTGCAAATGTGAGTTATATACATTTCATTCAAGTACCTTCTTAATTAACAAATATAATAAACTTCATATTACTATACACTTTAATAAAGTAGTATAAGTATGTTCATTTCTCAAACAATCCTGTGAAATGGGAAGTCTGACATTTTTATTTTCTGACTACAGATGTAGAAAAATGTAATGGCTTGCATAAAGTCATGCACATTTAAATTGTAGCAGCAACACTGGAACTCAAGTGTTTTGATTTTTATCCTTACACCTCTTCTGCTATGCCATCCTGCTTTTATTTTTAAGAATTTAAATCTTAATTTTTGTAATCTTCATTTGTACCATTCGTGGATTGTTTCCTAGTAATACATAAAGCCACTTATTAGATGTACTATGCAAATTCATACCTTGCTTTTCACACATGCACAGGCAATACAAACATACAGTAGTAGTTCATTTACTATATCAATAAGTCAATAAGTGGATCTAATTAGCATTAGAACTTAAAAGTTAACATAATCAAAGGGATTATTATAAAATAGAATTTGCCATGGATTTGCACACACCATATAACCAGAAAATACTTATTTGTATTAAGTTTCCTAGGACTGCTATAACAAGGTACCATTAAACCAGGTAATCTAAAACGTAGGAATTTAATTTCGCACAGTGGTAGAGGCCAGAAGTCCAAAATCAAGGTGTTAGCAGAGCCATGCTCCATCTGAATGGTCTAGAAAAAAATCCTCCCCTGCCTCTTCCTAGCTTCAGGTGATTTCAGGCTTGTGGCAATATAACTCCAATCCTTGCCTCTCTTGTCATGTAAGATTCTTCCCTGTGTGTCTCTACATATTTGGAGCTTCTCTTAGTATAAAAACAACAATCATACTGGATTTAAGGCACATTCTAATCTCTTATGACTTAATTCTAACTAATTACATCTGCAAATACTTTATTTCCAAATAAGATCACATTCTGAAGTTCCAGGTGGACCTGAAATTTGAGAGGATACCCTCACCAGCTACCTATAGAAATCTCCTCTTCCTTCCACAATACTACACAGGAAGACTTCCTTTTTTCCTTTATTTCAGAAGCCATTGGAACTCTCATACATTATAGAGTTCTTTTTAATCTTACTTGATCTAGGGTGTTATGTAGATGTACTAAGCATCATAGGTAAAGGACAACAGAGAAGGAAGAGGAACAACTGGTTTTGGTAGCACAACTTAATTGTTGGCTCATCACAGTCCATTTTAAATCTTTACTGTAATAGTTTGTTTTCTGGCTGCTGATAAAGACATACCCCAGACTTGGCAATTTACAAAAGAAAGAGGTTTAATGGACTTGCAAATCCACACAGCTGGGGAGCCCTCATAATTATCATGGCAGAAGGGAAGGAGGAGCAAGTCATATCTTACATGAATGGTGACAGGCAAACAGAGAGCTGGTACAGAAAAAGCTTCCTTTTTTTTACTTTTTTTTTTTTAATTTTACTTCAAGTGCTGGAATACATGTCTGAACATGCAGGTTTGTTACATAGGTATACATGTGTCATGGTGGTTAGCTGCACCCATCAGCCCGTCATCTAGGTTTTAAGACCCACGTGCATTACGTATTTGCTCTAATGCGCTCCCTCCCCCTTCTCCCCATCCCCCAACTGGCCCCACTGTGTGATGTTCCCCTCCCTATGTCCATGTGTTCCCCCTGTTCTCACTCATAAGTTCCCACCTAAGAGTGAGAACATGCGGTGTCTCATTTTCTGTTCCTGTGTTAGTTTGCTGAGGATGATGGTTTCCAGCTTCATCCATGTCCCTGCAAAGGACATGAACTCATTCTTTTTTATGGCTGTATATTATTCCATGGTGTATATATGCCACATTTTCTTTATCCAGTCTATCATTGGTGGGCATTTGGGTTGGTTCCAAGTCTTTGCTATTGTAAATAGTGCTGCAGTAAACATACAGGTGCATGTGTCTTTTTTTTTTTTTTCCTGAGATGGAGTCTCGCTCTGTCGCCCAGGCTGGAGTGCAGTGGCGCGATCTTGGCTCACTGAAAGCTCCGCCTCCTGGGTTCAAGCCATTCTCCTGCCTCAGCCTCCCAAGTAGCTGCGACTATAGGCGCCCGCCACCACACCCAGCTATATTTTTGTATTTTCAGTAGAGACGGGGTTTCACCATATTAGCCAGGATGGTCTCGATCTCCTGACCTCGTGATCCGCCCACCTCAGCCTCCCAAAATGCTGGGATTACAGGTGTGAGCCGCTGCATCTGGCCCATGTGTCTTTACGGTAGAATGATTTGTAATCCTTTGGGTATATACCCAGTAATGGGATTGCTGAGTCAAATGGTATTTCTGGTTCTAGATCCTTGAGGAGTCACCACACTATCTTCCATAATGGTTGAACTAATTTACACTCCCAATAACAATGTAAAAGCATTCCTTTTTTTCTCCGCATCCTCACCAGCATCTATTATTTCCAGACTTTTTAATGATTGCCATTCTAACTGGTGTGAGATGATATCTCATTGTGGTTTTGATTTGCATTTCTCTAATGACCAGTGATAATAAGCTTTTTTTCATATGTTTGTTGGCACATAAGTGTCTTCTTTTGAGAACTGTCTGCTCATATCCTTTGCCCACTTTCTGAACTAGAAAAAAGTACTTTAAATTTCATGAAACCCAAAAAGAGCCCATATAGCCAAGACAATCCTAAGCAAAAAGGACAAAGCTGGAGGCATCACGCTACCTGACTTCAATCTATACTACAATGCTACAGTAACCAAAACAGCATGGTACTGGTACCAAAACAGAAATATAGACCAATGGAACAGAACAGAGGCCTCAGAAATAATGCCACACATCTACAACCATCTGATCTTCAACAATCCTGACAAAAATAAGCATGGGGAAAGGATTCTCTGTTTAATAAATGGCTAGCCATATGCAGAAAACTCAAACTGGACCCCTTCTTTACACCTTATACAAAAATTAACTCAAGATGGATTAAAGATTTAAACAGAAAACATAAAACTCTAAAAAGCCTAGAAGAAAACCTAGCCAGTACCATTCAGGACATAGGCATGGGCAAAGACTTCATGACTAAAACACCAAAAGCAATTACAACAAAAGACAAAATTGACAAATGGGATCTAATTAAACTAAAGAGCTTCAGCTCATCCAATGAAACTATCATCAGAGTGAATAGGCAACTTATAGAATGGGAGAAAATTTTTGCAATCTATCCATCTGACAAAGGTCTAATATCCAGAATCTACAAGGAACTTAAACAAATTTACAAGAAAAAAAAAACATCAAAACTTCTGTTTTTAAAACCATCAGATCTCATGAGACTCACTCACTATTACTAGAACAGCTCAGGAAAGACCTGCCCCCATAATTCAGTCACCTCTCACCGGGTTCCTCCCATGACATGTGGGAATTGTGGGAGTTACAATTCAAGATGAGCTTTGGGTGGGGACACAGCCAAACCATATCATTTACTTCTTTACTTTCCACAAATTCATCTTTTTTCATGTCTCAACAACTCTGGAGACCTTATCCTACTCTTCAACATGAGCTAATTTGAAAAACTGCTCAAAGATCCATAAATCTTCTGTACTGATCACAGAGAGAGAGGAACACTGATTGCAATACCAGATAGTGGCAGTTGAAAGGAATTGTGCCCGAGGATGAAAATAGCATTTATTTATTTAAAAGCAATCAAATACACAAACATATACACCAATACATCTAAGTGACTACATGTCAAGCAACTGTAATAGTGTGTAATGTATTCTCAAGCTGATCTCTAAAAAACACCAATTGAGTTTTCACCAGTTAGAATTCTATGACAGATGTTACTTTTCAATGTAATGCTAGAAAAAGATTTTAAAAATTAACTCTTCTCTGGAAACTTCATTTTTAAATTTTTATCCCTCTCATATTCATCACATCCATGATAGAAGCCTCTTATGATAGACATCAAACTATGCAAAACTCTTTGTGTGCTTCTTCCCAAATCTAGTGCATGGGGAGATATGTTATTGGCAGCACAGACTAGAATAGTGAATGGCATTGCCCATGAAAGCATCACTATGGTTTTATAATTCAAGATCATTTTACTTTCAACAATACTTCTGAGCTAGTCTAGGCACGAATAGCACAATATACTGTGGTGTTTTAGTTTCCATAATATAAGTGACACATTGTATTGCAATTGCATAGATAGACAGATAGATAGATAGATGTCTATTTTTATCTTCTTCCTAGTCATTTAAGGTATTTGAAGGCAGTATCTGGGACAACTTAGATGCAGATCAGTTTGTTTGCTGAAAAGTGACTAGAGATTTTAATGTTTCTATTATGTCTTTTCCCAAATAGCGGTTATGTGCTCCACTCAATTTAATTCTTGGGTACTGTGGTGATCATTAGGGTTCTTTGATAACTATTAATTGTTCTCCCAACTTCTGGCACATAGAAAGATTGAAATTACTGGCCCTTTACGGGTATGGCCATTTCAATGAGTTGTGAGCAGAAGAGACGTGCGTCACTTGTAGACTGGAATATTTAATTGCCCATATAATACTGTCTAGAGCTCCTTTTTATCTGAATATAACTTCTTGCCAACATGCATTAAAGGTGTAGTGTAGGTGAGCAATAAACCTTTGTTGTTTAATAGAACAGAGATTCAGGTGATATTTGTTACCATAAACTTTTCTGACGAATACAAATGCTATTTTGCAGTATTACTTGATACTATCTAATGTCATATAAGACATACTAGATTATATATTCATGAGAGTCAATGACAAAATTTCTCACTTTGTTTTTATTCTTCCAATTGTGACATCTCTGCATTGACCATATTTTGAGAACATTAGTCAAAAGGACTAATGAAATGAAAATATTTTCGTAATTTTTCACTTGATCCTGGTAAGCATGGCTCTCTTTGCACTATCTTTTTTCTAGGTGTTTTCTTGAAATTCTGATTTTTAAATCAGCAAATTTAATCGGCCCACCCTGTCAGTTTGCCTAAACCTTACATAGTAATGTGGTAAATACAATATAAAATTCTACTCTGTAATTTCGAGAGACTCAAAGGGACTTAACTTGTACTTTGTTTCAACTTTTATACCACTCAATCTTAATTAATTTTGATGATTTTTGGCTAAATGAGAAGCAATGGGTAGCTCTGCAGGAAAGGAAAAGGATAAGAGCACCTAACAAAGTTCCCTGTAGGTAACCCCAACCTAATTTAAAGCACACTTGATATGTAGCAATAGACCCTGGTAAAATGGCAGGTGATTCTCTAAACAGAATAAAAGTAGCAGTTGTATCCCTGCCCAGACTCAGTAAATTTGTATGAACATGGTGCTTTTCATTAGGCAATCAATAATATATTTTATTGGTTCCAGAACACTGCAGAAAACCCACTAGAAGTCATCTCACTCCACTGTTTTGAGTGTGAACACTACAATTAAGCAAAGAAAAAAATAAATTAGTTTTTCTGAAATCTGGAGGTTTTCTAGTTGTAAAAACCCAATTACAAATTAGCAAGCTGTGAATAATCAGATTAAAAAATAATCAGGCGCAAAGCAGCAAGTGTTTGACTTATAAAAATCTGCGAAGACTCACAAAGTTAGTTATACGGTAATTGATGGCAAATGGGAATATCAATGATATTACATTGAATCACAATTTTTTAACCTCAAATATCAATAGTTTTACTATATATATATATATCTAGATATATATATATAGATATATATATATATCTAGATATATATATATATCTCCTTGAAATTTCTTATTTTCTGTTAAGGAAGTGTAGAGATTTTGTAGGGGTGCATATGCCAGGTTGAAATAGTTCTTATATGTTTGAAATTCAGATTATTTGCTAACAAAGGATGATTATGAAGTATTTGAGTATATATAAATACAACATGAAATAATATTACAAAACTAAGACTAAACATATTGGTAATATCAGCAAATATCAGAGAACTTAACCTACTAAAAACACAGCTTTTCAGATTGGCTAAAAAATCAAATTTTAACATTATACATGAAACATCATAATACAAAGAGATTCAGCACCATTATACTTAAAAAGTAAACCAAAAACACACACATACACACAAATAGAAAGAAAGACAGAATTTTGATGCTGATATTTGATGAGGTGAAATACTGTCGTGAAAGCATAAAAGAAACAAAAATGACATCTCATGATGCTAAAAGTTACAGATTATAATGATAACAGTTATTGATATTTGTACAGCAACAAATTTTAGGAGGCTAAAACTATAGTTATGAAAGAAATAAGCAGATATATATTAATAACAGTAGAATTTAACCCAACTCTTACAATCCAAGACTGATTAAGTGGATAAAGAGTTAGAAAATATGTAAAAGAACTAACAAATAATTAGGTCGGTGCAAAAGTAATTGCAGTTTTTGCCATTCCTTTTACTTTTCAATAAGTTCATCAGTGATATATATCCAAGTAGGAACCTCAATAAAAGAGGATAAATTATGTTCAAGTAAATATGAAGCATGTACAAAATATGGCCATATGTTAACCCACAAAATATGCTAATAAATAATATTTTCTGCTAGAAATCATAAAATTATTTTCAAAAGAGATTTTAATATAGAAACTGAAAGTGTGCTAAATAAATCTCAGGTTAAAAGGGAAATACAAAACAAAATTATGAAATTGCTTAAATAATAATAAAAACAGGACATTTTATTTTATCTTACTAAAAACAGGATATTTTAGAATTTTGGCTTACAAGAAAGGCAGTTATAGAGTAAGACTGATAACATCAAATACCTATATCAATAAAAACTATAAAAGTAAAAAAAATTAGAACAATTATTGAAACCAAAAATGTACAATTAAATAAATGTAGAGAGATGAGAAATAAAAATTGAGGCAAAAAAATAAACCAACAAAAAGCTATGAAACCAACAAATAAATCTCACATATTGATCTTCAATAAAATCAACGAAACTGACATGATAAGCTAAGTAAGGGAAAAAAGTAAAACCACAAACATACAAATTTAGAAGTAACAACAACATAGACACTAAAACAGAGGAAGCCAGACATAGCGGCACATGTCTATAATCCCAGCCACTTGGGAGGCTGAGGTGGGAGCATCCTTTGAACGCAGGAGTTGGAGACCAGCCTGGTCAACACTGCATGAGGTGGAGTTCAAGACAAGCCTGGCAAAGATGGTGAAACCCTGTTTCTGCTAAAAATACAAAAATTAGCCGGGCATGGTGGTGGGTGCCTGTAATCCCAGCTACTCCGGAGTCTGAGGCAGAGAATTGCTTGAACCCAGGAGGCGGAAGGTGCAGTGAGCAGAGATTGTGCCAGTGCACTCCACCCTGGGCCACCACACCAAGATAATTTTCTTGCATTTTTAGTAGAGACGGGGTTTCACCACATTGGCCAAGCTGATCTCAAAGTCCTGACCTAGTGATCCGTCTGGGCGACAGAGCAAGACTCCATCTCAAAACAAACAAAAAAGAAAAAAAACAACAATACAAAAACCAAAAACAAACAAAAAAATAATATTTACAGCCCAACCCCACTTATGAATATTTATGCAAATATTAAAAAAAAGAAGAATCAACAGCACATTAATAGAATTAATCCTCTATTATAAAGTATTTTAATAAAATCTTTCACATTAATAGAACCAAGAAAAACCATCTGATAATTTTTACAGCAGCAGACCTTTTGCTTGACAAAATCCAACATCCACTTGTGTCAAAAAACCCTGAATTAAATAAGAATTGATTGATAAGTCTTAACAGAATAATATAATAAATATACCTCAGCCCTGCAGTAAGTAAACGTTCCATTTAATGTAGAAAAAAAGGCATTTCCAGTAAAATAAGAAACAATGCAATATGGTATTGTCTCTACTACCAATTGATCTTATCTTGCATTTACTAGTCATTAAAATTTGACAATAAATGAAGTTAAAGACATAGATTTAAAAAACAATAGGTAGAAGTATCTCTATTTGTCTTACCTCAGAGGTGGTATATTTAATAATTTCAAACCATTTACACTCATACCTGTTCTGCTTTTTCAAATCACTATAAGCTCTTTGAGGACTTGCTGAACTGCTTCATTTTTCCACTACACAACAAACCTAATACATATGATAATGCCTCCATAACTTGTTAACAAATATAGATAATGACATTGTTGACCAACATTTTTTATTTTTTATTTTTTGAGACGGAGTTTCGCTCTTGACGCCCAGGCTGGAGTGCAATGGCACGATCTCGGCTCACTGCCACTTCCGCCTCCTGGGTTCATGAGATTCTCCGGCCTCAGCCTCCCAAGTAGCTGTGATTACAGGTGTCTGCCATCACGCCCAGCTAATTTTTGTATTTTTAGTAGAGACAGGGTTTCACCATGTTGGCCAGGCTGGTCTCGAACTCCTGACCTCAGGTGATCCACTCGCCTCAGCCTCCCAAAGTGCTGGGATTACAGGCGTGAGCCACCGCACCCAGCCGACTAACATTTTTAATATTCCAGAACATGGACAAAAAAGCAAGCACGGACATTTGATGTGTTTGATAAGGACCATAATTACTTTTGTTGATTTTCATGATGACCTTTATTTCTGAGACTTTGAGAAATCTTTGAAATATTAAGTATTTTTCATAAACAGCTTAACATGCAGAGATGAAGAGTAAAGAAGGCCTCTCTTTGGAAAGAATATCTTCTACTAATTAGCAAGAAACCACTTATATAAAAATACCTTAGAAATGTAGTTTTTACTTAAGTAGATTCCCAAGCAGAAGCCCTGCTCTGACTAGATAAAAATGCATTAATAACCAATAGAATATTTAAAAATTTCAAGTTATTCCTGTATAGCTTTTCATAGCAGCTCAGTAAGGTACCAAGATCTTGAATTCAGTATCCAGATATTGATAAACTGAGTTTGCCATGCTGTGATTTGAAACACAAGGTTTCATAACAGCTCATAGAGGCAAAAAAGACTAACAACTTCCACATTCTGTTTTCTGTGGTGGAATCTTCCCTGAATATCCCCAGGCCACTGTTATTGTTTATTTCTGCAAAACAAGATTATTTTAGGTTGTGAGAGAAGAAAAGCTTCACTTAATGAACATCATTTGGAGAATACCATTGTGAGGTGTTTGATTCCGATTGACTGTCAATGTTTCAGCTAGTCACCAGAGGCTACAGACTCACACACAGCTCCACACATGCACATCTGAACTCCCTGATGAGAAGAGATAAAAGAATCCTATTGTGTTAACCACTTTTTATGAAGAAAGCCAATTACAGTTAATTCTGCATTGCTCATTGTACAGTTCGTGGAATATTCAGGCAATTGTTTAAACACCCATAAGCTTGAAAATCAAAACACTGGGTTTTAATCCAGGCTCTATCACTTACAGGGAGAGTTTAGGAGGAAGTAAATTGCACAAAAAAAACTAGAAAGAGAAATAACACTGATACTCTCAGGTTGGTGTAAAGATTAAATAAGGCATCATGTACACAGTTATTTAAATTTTGAAGCCCTATAAAAGTTTTAGTTATTGTTATTAAAAGTCTTGTCAGCTTTGTTGGAAAGTATGCTGAGATTTCAAAAGTATGTACCTATAGAGAAGGGAGAAAGTATCTGTTTGCCAGGACTGCCATAACAAAGTAGCACAGACTAGGAGACTTAACCAACAGAAACTTATTTCTTCACAGATCTGGGGATAGAATTCCAAGATCGAGGTGCTAGTACGGTTGGTAAGGCCTCTGTCCTCAACTCATAGATGACCACCTTTCATTGTGTCCTCATATGATCTTCCCTCTGTGTCTACCTGTCTATGTCCTATAAGGATACCTCTCATAAGGATTAGGGTCTTATCCCTATGTATTATAAGAATACCTGTCATATTGGATTAGGGTCCATCCTCATGACCTCATTTTAACTTAATTACCTCTCTAAAGATCCTATTTCCATGTGCAGTCACATTCTAAAGTACTGGTGGTTAGGATTTCAACATATGAATTTGAGGAGTCTTGCAGGGAGACATGACAACATTTTGCTCATAACAATGACTTTCAGGATTATCAGGATAAAGGAAAATGGCAAGTAAACTGGTTACCGATTCCCTACAAGGTCACTCAGACAACCTGAAGCACAGTTTAGGACTGAAAGACTTGAAGGCAGGAGCCATACATGGACATTTTTGGAATCTCAAATAGCTCAGAGTGCCTGACACAGAATAGGCACTCTGCTGTTGCTCGTTGGATGTGTCGAGTCCAAGTAAACTCAGGATTCATTTGGGTAACTGTTCATATATCAATGTATTTATAAATAATAATTTTTCTTTCTATATTAATATATCAATACATCAGTATATCATATTAAGAAATATATATTAATATTTACAATTTTTAAATATATGATATATGATAGTTATATATCTAACATGCCATGTAATACTATATTAATATACATATGTGTATTTACATATTTATATATATTAATATGTAGAAGTATAAAGACCAATTACGAGGAATGTGCCATTTGAATGAGAGATAATAAGTGGGATAGTATTTAGCATTTCAAGAAGAGAAAGGGAAGTTTCATTCAAGTAATAGTTGGGAGATAAAATCTGCAAAATGGAGAATGTTTTGGATATGAAAGTTCACAAAAGTTAAGAATTACTTCTACATTTCAGGCTTGTATAACTGAATGCATAGACGTGCCATTTCTTAAAATGGAGAATACTGGGTGTAAATAAGTTGTAGGAAAAAGATCTTGAGTTCAGTTTTGAACATGATAATCTGGAGATGCATCTGAGATTACCAAGTGGCTATTTCAAATAAATAATGGTACATAAGTCACCGGAATAACAAGTTCCTCTTAGCTAGAGAATTGTATTTTTAAACGATTATGTACAGTTGTTAATTTTAGGCTTACACAGTTGAACATCCACTCTGTTCAAGAGTAGAGCAATAATTTTAAAGTTATTCTCTGGTCTCAGTCTAGTGAGGAGATAGCTATTAATCAAATATTCACACAAATAAGTGTAAAGACCTGTGATAAGAACTGTGAAGCAGTCCATTGGATTTAGTGGGGTTAATGTTATTGATGATCACCCTTCACAAATTCCTCCCCCGATGATCACTGAAACTCTCCAAAAGCATTGGTGTAGGCTGAAGTAAAGGTAGTAGGTGAAGAGGTGGTTTCTGTACGTATATATACATATGCACCTTTTTGAAAGGTTTGGATTTAAGAATGGGAAGAAAAATGACAGCAGCAGGCAGAAGGGAATATTAGATCAAAGGAAGGAATTACTACTTTTTTTTAAAAAATGGCATGTAATCTGAGGAAGTTTACAAACTCATAGAAAGAACACAGCTGAGAGATAGAGGAGATACCTACAATAATAGATAGGATTGCTGATAAGTTGTAAAGAGATAGGCTAGAAAACCTAATTGACGAGTTTGGTCTTAGATGGGAGGAGAGGTGCTCCTGTATTTAGCAGGATAGAAGGAAATTAGTATGGGTGAAGGTGTCAGGAGGCTTGTAGTATCCTTTCCTTTCTAGTGAGCCTTTTGAGAGTGTTATGTGAAGACCTCTATTTTTTATATTTTTATTTTGAAATAATGGTACAATCACACAGTAGTTACCAAAAAATCTTTTTACTGTGCTTTATATTCTTTTAATTATTTTCTATTGATGCATGATAGGTGTATGCAGTTTCAGAGTGCATGTAATAAGTTAATACATTCATATAATTTGTAAATATCAAATCAATGTATTTACAGTATCCATCATCTTAAATATGTATTTTCTTTATGCTGAACCATTTAAACGATTCTCTTCTATTTTAAAATACGTAATAGGTTATTATAAACTGTAGTTATAGTACTGATTAATCCAACACTAGGTCTTATTTCTTCCATCAGACCTTATATTTGCACTACAAATCTTCTATCTTCATGGGATTCTGTTTTTTTTTTCTTCCCACATATGAGTGAGAACATGTGATGTTTGTCTTTTTGTTCTTGGCTTATTTCACTTAACATAATGACCTCCTGTTCCATCTACATTACTGATAATGTCTTATATAACCAAAGTACAATGATTAAAATCCGAAAACTGGCATTGGCACAATATTATTAACTAAAATATGGGCTATATTCAGATTTTACCAATTGTTGTCTAGTTTATTCGAATTTAATCATATGTGTAGATTCATGTGAACACTACCACCATAAACCAGGACACAGAACTGAGCCATCACCCCAAAAAAACTTTCTCAACCTCCCCCTTGTAGTCCCAGCAACCACCCTCCAACCTAGTTCCTGGCAATCACTCATCTTTTCTTCATTACTACAATTTTTTCTTATTAACACTGTTATATAAATAAACTTATACAATAGAAAACCTTTTGAGATTGTTTTTCCACTCAGCACAATGCCCTTGAGATCCATCCCAGTTGTCACATTTAACAATTGTTTGTTCTTTTTTGTTGCTCAACAGTATTCCACTATATGGATAAAGGACAGTTTGTTTATTCATTTACCCATTGAAGAACATATGAGCTGCTTTTTTGGGCTATTACAAATAAAATTACAATGGACAATGAAAAATTTTGTGTGAATGTAAGTTTTCATTCTTTATGGTAAATATCCAGGCATGGAATTACTAGGTTATATGGTACATATATGCTTATAAGAAACTGTCAAATTGTTTTCTAGTTAAGATGATCTAAAAGTGAGATAGAAGATGGGGGGGATAGGATTGCAGGGAAAAATACTTGAGAAGGGTAGAGTAGTTTTTAAACATATGCTGGTTTTTATATAAAACTGATATTTACCATTGAGATTTTTCAAACATTCTTCCATCAAAAACATATATACACATAGAATATATTCAAGTAGCATCACATTTTAACAGGCACATACATGCCTACTGAGAGCTTGTTGTGTGTCTGTGTACACTCATACTTATCACAGTATAAATGCAGAAGCCAATGAAAAAGGCTCTGTTTGAAGAGATATAAATGATTGCAAAAATACTTTTTAAAAATGAGACACAGATTTTATTTGTTTATACCTTCATCACATTTTTGTGGTACCTAAATATTGTAGCCAGCCTGAAGAACAATGCGTGATGTGTTTATCTGCATATGTATTTATTTGATATATATTATTTAATTACTATAAGATAGTATATCTTATATACTTATTAATTACATTTATCAATTATAAAAATGATATCTGGGTCAGGCGTGGTGACTCACACCTGTAATCCCAGCACTTTGGGAGGTTGAGGTGGGTGGATCACGAGGTTAGGAGATCAAAACCATCCTGGCTAACATGGTGAAACTCTATCTCTACTAAAAATACAAAAAAAAAAAAAAAAAATTAACTGGGCTTGGTGGCGGGCAGTTGTAGTCCCAGCTACTTGGGAGGCTGAGACTGGAGGATGGCGTGAACCCCGGAGGCAGAGCTTGCAGTGAGCCAAGATCGCACCACTGCACTCCAGCCTGGGCGACAGAGCGAGACTCCATCTCAAAAAAAAAAAAAAAAAAGGACAACTGTATTTAAATAATGACAAGACACTGACCTTATTTTAGCCTGAAGTCAATTTTTCAGGTACAGCTAAAGCTGTAAACTTAGCAACAGTCAAAAGTTTTAAAATGCTTTTTGGGAAGACAACACTACAGGTGTCCTCAAGTTTGGAATGTGTCTTCACTCAATGTTCACTGATGCTCAAAAAGCACTTTGTTTTTCAACATGAATGTTTCAATTATATGTATAAGCAGTTCTTTACCTTGACAATAAGATACATGCTACGACAATAACCACTTACTGTTTATATTAAAGGCACCGAAGTTTAGAGAAAAAAATTTAATAGCTTTCTTTTGTTTAATCTTTTTTTTTGTTGATACATATTAGATGTACCTATTTAGGGTAAATGTAATAATTTAATACATTCATATAAGCAAATCAGGGTAATTGGGATATCTATAATCTTAAATATTTATCTTTTCTTTATGCTAGAAATATTAAAATTATTCCCTTCTAGCTATTTTGAAATGTACAGGGAGCGAGTGGTCACTCCTACAGAGGCACAGTCTTGTGCCTTCCCCAGGCCTCCTGTTCTGCTTTCCACCCAGGCCTGATGTTTACTAACCATCTTGTGGCTCTCAGAAATCCTGTTTCCACAAATTTCTCCCGGTCCAAAGTAGTGCAAAATGAAGATTTTTTTTTCTCATATCTAGAACATTATTCCATGTAAAAATTCATCTTTCTGAGTTCTTCCACAGGACAGAGAAGATTCAATGTAAATTTTGTTTTGGAAGGTTCCTCTGGAATTCCCACCATTCCCTAAGGTAGATGTTAAAATTGATATTAATACTGGGAGACATACATATATATCCACCAGGGCATGTCCACATACATCTCAACATATTCCTGTGCTTCAGCTATATGTGTCTGTATTAGACTTTAAACATGTATTCAGAATATTTTGCCTTTTTACTATTTTCACTTTTGAAGGGATTTTAATTTGTACTTTAATCCTGCAATATCCCCATTGTGGATAAAATGAAACAAAGGTATCTCTAAGAAAAACCTGAACTAAGTTTCTTAATGAGGGAAAGATTTGATATATATGATGTCATCTCCCTATATCATGTATGCCAACAAGCAGAACAGAAATACGATACAACTCAGGCAGTACTGGAAAGCCATTTGTTAGCTATTTTCAGCTTCAGAGAATGAAGCCAAACCTATGAGGTTGGAATGCATTAGTAAAGTCCTAAAAGCTTTACCAAGAGTTTTGCTTTGACACGAATATTTTGCTTTCTTAATATCCAAATGAAAGGTGAGGGATAGCAATCCAATTGGAATAGCATAATGTAGCTTCCTATACACCCTGTATTTACAATTTACTTTTTAAAACATCTCCTAGCTATTGAAGAAAGAAGAGCAACCAAAATCAACTTTAGAGTCAAACAGCAGGGGGTGGGGGGGTGGTGAGGGGCATCAGTAATGTCTATCAGCCAATTTATTATTCAAGGACAGCTCATTTCCTCTATCTAAAAGGAATGCAGACAGATAATGCAAATAGAAAAATTATGTCTCTATGGATTTTAGAGTCATTGCTAATCTAAGTAAACAACCAAACTTTTGGCAAAAGAAAAAGAAGTTCTGAATCTGTGGTTCTTGAATCTCTACATCACCCATTGATAGGAAGCCAGGAGGCCAGATTCTGGTGGAAATATATGAAAATTCAGTGGGTTTGCTCACATACATGCATTTATCTGCAGAGAAATTCCAGATTTCCAAAAAGATCTATGATGCAGAAAGTTTCAGAACCACTGCTTTAGAGAACAATTACTATTTCCTTGTTGCTTTCATACTTTGATTTACAAGACTTCCAATATAATTTAAGGTGAATTAAAAAATCATAAACTGAAAGATAAAAGGGACTTTAGTAGTCATTGTAACCAGCCTTCTAAAAGTTTGCTGAATTCTAATTCTCAATTTTGTATTAACTAATAAGACAAAGTCATAAAACTCTTTCTTAAGGATGATACAGCAAATATTTCAGGCTTCTGAAGACAAGAGAGAACATCAAGGATATTATATAGATAAATATATATTTAAAACATAACTATTTAAAATTGTAAAAACAAAAATAGTCAGTGTACCCAATTTTGCCTGCAGTTTATTGGACTCTGTTTTATGAGGACAATTCAACCTTTATAATATTAGAAAAATTTTAGCTTCATGTTATAAATTGACAGAATTTGTTAAATTATAAAGAAAGAGAGGACTTCCTTGCAGAACCTTTAATTTAAATTTGTTCAAGTGCCACACTATCTCAAAGATCTTTTTCTGTAAAATACTTATATAAATTTGTGTTTTTGTCTGCCTTCCCATCAGATTTCATGACTGTTGGGCTATGCTTACTTCATCAGTGTTTCTCTAACATTTGTTACATTGCTTTCCATTCAATAACTACTTATTAAGTGAGTGTATGAAATAAAAACAATAACACACTTTTTAATCATAGTTGCAAAACTTCATAAATTTAGTATAGATACTAACCCTATTTCAAAGAAAAGAAATTGATTATGTATACTTGTTTTACAGTCATCAATTTTTGTGTCTCCACATAAATAGAAAGGTAGAATTATGTTTTATATATTTTAAGAATGTAGCAGAGCCTCTGAACTTACATGACCGCGGTCCAAAATCCATCTTTACTCAGATGGCTTTACAACTTGGGCAAATTACTTATATCCTCTGAACCTCAGTTTCCTTCCATAAAATACAGGGATAAAAACAGTATCCATTTCATAAGATATTGTGAGAATTAATAATATAAAATATAATGACAGTAGTTATAGAGCCTGAAACACAATAATATGTATTCAAGGAACTGCTATTATGTATACTACTGATTTGCTAATAAATTACATGTTTGCATAGGTTTGTCACTGTGATAATTTTTTCTATTTAGGTTTACAATTTTAGATTATACGCAACAAAGAATTACAAAACAGACCGATTAGATACAATCAAGGCAGAATTCAAATTTTGTCATAAGCTTTTCAACAAATATTTATTGCATATGTGCACATTAGAATAAGCTTTTCTGCAAACATTGTTTATTTCACTATCTTCATTTTAAAAATACAATTACATGTGTTACCAGATCTGAAATTCTTTCCCTATTGCTACTACTCACCTTGATAACTGAAATCCTCCATTTCTTTTCCCCCAGATATAAATGGAAAAAAGAAGGCATTCTGACTTCCAGAGAGATATATGAGGATTAAAATGTAGTTTAAAGTTTAGATACCACAGACATTTCCAAAGACATCTTTTTGTCTTTTATGCTGGGGATAGAGGCTTTTTGATGGTGTTTTTATTTTAAGTATCTATAGGCTTTTATCCATATGAGTATGATATAATTTTGTTCCTGCTGTAACCATTTGCTTATTCTTTTAATTGTTCCACTATGAAAAAATTTGATGAGTGCAAAAAAAAAACAAAAAAAAAACCAAAAAAACAACAACCCATAAAGTCCAGAAGTAAAGCCTTGCTTAATCATTGTAATCCACTGAATATACAACTGATAGTGTACCAGGCTGAAGATGTTGCCAAATGATCTATGCATGTTGAAAGGTATGCCAGCTTAAACCTTGATGGATTATTACCAATCCCCTAAGGGAGTACCAAATTTTCAGTGGACACCTGACAGCCATTAAGCAAGTCTGGCTGCCTAGAAATACTCACTCAGTTTCTAAGGTTGATGGAATGTCTGTACTTAGGGAAGTTGATGACATTCTGTGTCTAGCCCATTTTTCATCACTAGCAGAGTGACACATGATTTCATAATTGGTTCAGTATTATTCACTTTCCCTTATGTGGCTATGAACAAGAAAACAATAAAACAGCTGGAAACTGATTTGAAATACAATGTTCATATTCTGAGAAACACTTTACTTCAGTGTACATGCTGCCCCAAGCATCTCTGAAGTAGTCAACCAGGAAATGTGCCTTAGTGGTGATTACTTTGTCTTTATGAAAATGCACATACGGAATAAAGTAAGCTTCAATAAACCAGATTAAAGAGTTGGCCAAATACTAGGAGCTGATATATTTAAAAAGAATAAACACACAATTTAGCCTCAAAAGAAAATATTCACACAGACAGAGATTTAGTTATAATATGAAGATGATAATTAAAATTAAATTCTGCTACTTTTTAGTACTATCTCTATGGTTGCACTAACAAAGATATGGAAAACTGACAGAGATTTGTAGAAACATATTTCAATAGATAGCAGTTTGTTTCTTTAAACATTTTAATCCCCCTGTTAAACAGACATTGAATCCACTCAATTCAATTCAATAAACACACATCAAAGGCTTTCCATGCGTCAGGCACCAGTAAACGTGTTGGGAGCGAAAAAAAAAAGAGAGAGAGAGAGAAAATTCTTGCCTCCATGTATCCAATTATTAGGGCATCATAAAAATGATATAAATTACATACACAACCCTGAAATGTTAGTGACTAAAAATCAAGGACTACACAAATAATATTTTATGTTAATATCTTTAATGTCTAGCAATTAGTTCAAACAGATCCTCAATTAATATTTGTATTATGAAAGAAGAATTATAACTCATTAGCAAAAAGATGGTGCTGATATAGACCAAAATCTCTAGTTACTTGATTATTGGAGGCTTCTTATACATAGGGGAAATGAGAATGCCACTGATTCAATGCAACAGTCTTTTTTTGGTGATTTCCCCCAGACCCACTGCTCTTGTTTATCACCAAAATTAAGTTGATTGTCAGGTGGCCAAGAATCTCTCACTTTTGCAGTATTTTCCTCATAATTCTACATTTTAGCCACTGTTATAAGAAAAGCTAATTTTATAGAACTACTAGGAAACAAAAGACTGTTTTGTTGTTGGTTTTCTTTTTTTTTTTTTTTTGAGATGGAGTCTCGCTCTGTCGTCCAGGCTGGAGTGCAGTGGCGCAATCTCAACTCACTGCCAGTTCTGCCTCCCGAGTTCACGCCGTTCTCCCGTCTCAGCTTCCCAAGTAGCTGGGACTACAGGTGCCTGCCACCACGACCGGCTAATTTTTTGTTTTTGTATTTTTAGTAGAGACGAGGTTTCACTATGTTAGCCAGGATGGTCTTGATCTCCTCACCTCGTGATCCACCCGCCTTGGCCTCCCAAAATGCTGGGATTACAGGCGTGAGCCACCGTGTCCGGCCAAAGACTGTTTTTGAATTTTAGTGATGGAGAGTTCACTGCCTTCAGGTACTTTAACATTCAATATGGCCAGAGCTTCCCCACTAAACGAGTAGAGCATGGATCCAACAGCCAGGAAGAACACTTAGATTTTGTAGGATATGAAAATCCTGATGGCTGAAGCAGGGTATGTAGGGATCCAGTTGATTATGGATAGTAAGGACAGTGGTAATAATCATTGAGCATATCTTTTAAATGTTAGGGTAGACAATCTGAAGATATTTATTTTCTACTAATGATGTTTTACATAGGATTTTTGTTCCAAAATTTAATATTAGGAGATACTTGTCCAACATATGTAACAAAGCACACACAAATGTGTGCGTGTGCACATGCATGCATGCACACATACTATGTAGTTCTAGGCCTAATGTCATTCATAAAAGAAACTCCTAAAATGTATTCACAAATAATAAAAGACTATGGCTTTGGGACAGCCAATTTTTTTCTTTTTCAAACTTTTACGTATCATTCTCTAAAAAGCTCTTTGGTACCACATATAAACTGAGTTACATAAATTAAGACAATTAAGGTATCGTTTGAGGATTTATTTTGTGGGGGGAGAGCAGCCTCCTAAGCCAGAGTAGGCTCAGAGACTCCTTCATTTGGGATTTTCTGACAAAAACAGCAGAATTGTGAAGGATCATCTGGGGGTAAATTAAGTAGTTATTTTGCTAGTAGTCACTTCATTTGTGGGTGGCCAAATGGATAAAACTCCAAATGCCAAGGTGAGGATGGCAAAAGAACTCCTGGCAGAAAAAACTATATGAGCATAAGCACAGAGTAAGCAAGAAAGCATGTCATGTTCTGCAACTGTGGATATGCTACCTTGAGTTTCCCAGAAGATTTGTACTGGGAAAGTGTAAGGCTGGTCATATAGGTTAATATAAACTTAAGAAGAACCTAAATGTTTGAGTTATGGAATATGGATTTATTGGAAAATAAGTGAGGAGGCATTGAAGGTGGTTAAATAAAGTGCTGACATCATCATTTAGGCAAATGATTCAGACAGTAGCAATCAGGATATGTTGAAATGGTTTAATTATGGAAAGATAAACACTTAAATATGTTAAAGCACTATTGAGGGTAACTTGCTATGAAATTACTATTAAATATGCCTGCCTGTTTTTTTCCTATATCTAGCTCTTTAAACATTTCACTTACTGGTGAACTATGAGCACACACATATATATGTATGCATAGATAGTACTTTTGTACCCATTAACCAACTCCTTCTTATCCTCCTCCCCACTGTCTTTCCCAGTAACAACCATTCTATTCACTACCTCCATGGGATCATTTTTTTTAGCTTCCCCATATGAGTGAGAACACACAAACAACATTTGTCTTTCTGTGTCTGGCTTATTTCACACAATGTAATGTCCCCCAGTTCCATACATGTTGCAAATGACAGGGTTTTGTTTTTTATGGCAGAATATTTTGGGGTTTGTGTGTGTGTGAGTGTGTGTGTGTGTATACATATATATATATGCATAATTTCCTTTTTAAGTAAATTTCATATCCATCTATGACAGTAAGTTGTGAGATATATATGTGTATATATATACACACACACACACACACACACACACAAACACACAAACATACATTTTCTTTATCCATCCATTCATTGATGAACATTTAGGTTGATTCCATGTCCTGGCTATTTTAAATAGTGCTACAATAAACGTGGAAGTGCAGATATCTCTTCAATGTATTGATACACTTTCTTTTGTATGTATACCCTGTGCTGGCATTGCTGGATTGGTTAATGGGTACAAAAATATAGAAAGAATAAGATCTCGTGTTTTATTACACAATAGGGTGATTATAATTAACAATAATTTATTGTATATTTCAAAGAAACTAGAAGGGTAGATTTGGAATGTTTCTGATACAAGGAAATGATAAATATTTGAGGTGCTTGATATTCTACTTATCCAGATTTGATCATTACACATTGAATGCTTTTATCAAAATATCACGTATAGCGCATAAATATGTTCTACCATTAAGTATCCATAAAAATTCCTTCCTTTTTTCTTTCTTGCTTTCTTTCTGGCTTTCTGACTTTAAATCTTACTTTCCAACTCTCCTGCATTCTTTTTTCCTTTCGTTAAACTCAGTGTTGCTCATGGCTGTTATAATCAATTTCCTTTTTAAGTAAATTTCATACCCATCTATGACAGTAAGTTGTCAGATATGTGGAGGCACACTAACTAGATCGTCTTAAAGCTCATTAATGCTCAGTAATAGCCTGTTCTATTATGCTGAAGGTCAGCCATGAGAAAGAGTAACAATAAAGATAACTAGTGCTTAAAAGAAACCAGCTTAGAAATAAAAGTTCTATATAAATATCATTGCTGTGTTGCACATAAATAGTCCTTATCCAATACAATGAAATGTCATCCTCATCTATTGACATCATTCCTTTGAAACCATTCACATACCTACCATAAGAGAATGATTGTTTATCTGCTTGATTCATTGGTGCGAATGTTTCTTAGCCCACACAGAGGTCAGACTCTGCTGTGTGGTTTCAGAGATTGGTTGAAAATATAACTCAGTGCATGCATTAGAAAAAGAAAATCAGAACATTAAACCACTTGTTTTACCATCTCTGATCCCCCTGAGGCTCAGTGACATTTGGTACATTTATCTTCCTTGTTAAAAGCAGATTCTCTAACTCCTTGTAGCGGGTGGAGGAAAGATGTAGCAGAATGTTTACAATAAGGCGTATAAATCTGTTACACGTGTGTATGTCTGAGGAAAGGGAAGGTCATTGTTTAAATTTCACTTTACTTCCTCATTTTTGGTGAAATTTTTCTCTAGTGCTCTGCAAATTAAATGTCTCAGAGGACTTTTTATAAAAGAAATAAAGAAAAAAATAAAAAGCAGAAGCAGGGTATACAGAAAGCAGAAAACCATAATGAGGTAATAGAAAACACAATCTTTACAAAATAAAGACATCACACATACTGCTTTTCGGGAGTTTCATTCCTTAAGTTTTTGGTTCATACTTGTTTGCACTTTAATTTTATACGTATTGTTGTAAATTCTTATACTTTGTGGGACTGGCTTGTACTAGGAAAAGTCAATGACAGAGATACTGCCTCTTCTTAGAAATGTTGCATTGTTTTGGGTTAGTGGAGTGACTGGTAACCTTGTCTTTCAAATTTAAGGATGTTGTTTTTCTCATTTTTAATTCTTCAGTGCATTTTGTATATTCTTATCATAAAGGAATGGTACAGAAATTTTGACTGGGCCATGTTTTTTCTTCCTTTATGAGTTTAAATGCATACGAATCTGTATTTTTCTCTTTCTCCTATCTACTTAAATAACTATGCTCTCTTCTTAGGGGCTTTCAAATTTCATTGATTTCTCCCTCACTTGCTTTCTGCATATAAATATAACCATGTTTTAATTTAAGGAACAGCCTATCTACTATATAGCCCTCACCCACTATTTCTCTCTTTTTATTCACATTCAACCGCTTAAAGGAATCCTCATGACTTCCTCAAATCTGATTCTTTCTAGGCTCTCTCTCATTAATTCAATTTATGTCATCAACTGTTTTTGGGTATGTATATGCTATTTGGCAGTAATTCTGTAAATCAAATAACCATGATATAATTTTTTTTTTTAAGACAGAGTTTTGCTCTTTGTTGCCCAGGCTGGAGTGCAGTGCCGCCATCTTGGCTCACTGAAACCTCCGCCTCCCGGGTTCAAGCGATTCTCCTGTCTCAGCCTCCCGAGCAGCTGGGATTACAGGCACCCACCACCATGCCGGGCTAATTTTTGTATTTTTAGTAGAGAGGGGTTTTCACCATGTTGGCCAGGTTGGTCTCCAACTCCTGACCTCAGGTGATCTGCCCGCCTTGGCCTCCCAAAGTGCTGGGATTACAGGAGTGAGCTACTGTGCCAAGCCAGCATGGCATAATTCTTGACCACACAGAAGGTTCAGACATACAAACAGAAAATTTCAATAAAATAAGATAAAACCATGGAACAGTGGTTCTCAACCTTGGCTGTGTATTAGCATCACTTTGGAAGCTTTTAAGATCCCAATGCTAAGGCAGTAAACTAGTCCAATTAATAGAAAATTATTTTGTATGGGGGCCAGATATCCTTTCATGATTCAGCAAAGTTGAGAACCATTGTTGTAAATGCATGCATAGGAAGCTAAAGGAACACATGGGAAAATATTGCAAGTCAACTAGAGTGAGTTAGAAACCCCAGAAGAGGTGGTATCTGCACAGAGCTTTGTAGATTGAGTTGGTCAATTAAAGGTTTGAGCAAAGGACCTTTGGAATAAAAACTGTACAAGCTACAGATGATGTATAACATTATGTGCTGTTAGGCACTTGTATCAGTCATCCTAGACTGTAATATCTGAGGCATAACATGGAAGAATAGGAGGCTTGGAAAAAATGACAGGGACTTTTACGAAAGAGAGCAATGGGAATGGGAAAATCTGAATTAGAATTCTACCTCTTCACAAATTTAAAGTGATGATTTAACAAAGTCTTCAATATAGTCACCAAAGAACGAAAAGGAGCTGTTCTGGTTCTCGGACATTTTATTGACTTTCAACATCATATGGACTCTCTTCCCGACTATCCCTTCCCTGAAAAGTCTTATTACAGACATGAATGGGACACTCCTAATTTTTAAGTTCCCTACATTTCCGAAACTTTCATATCCAGTCTTTATTAAGTTGGTGTATGTTTCCAAAGTGGGGCTGTGGAACTGCTTAATTTATTTCAGATGAAACAACATTTAGATAGTGCTATATAAACAAAGAAACAAACTTTCTTGTACATTCTTAATACCACTTCAAATGGGAGGAAGATTCATTGTTGACTTGAGAGGTAAGTTTCTTTTCTTCTGAGTTTAATTTTGAATAACAAAATAAAACAATTAAATTAGTGGAATAAAAATGTTTGCAGTCATGAAGTGTTTGACTGAGACAGTCACAAAATAATCCATTTAAAGTTGGCTTTTCTGTATTTGAGCCATTAGTCATCTCACTAAATTACAGACAGAACTGCATAGGTGAGGGGAAAAAAAACTAACATGTCACCTATTTTTCTGCTGCAAGCAAATGTAATAGGTATTGTATTGCTTTATTTTAGCACTTCCTAACATGAAGTAAGTGTACACAGGAATAAAACTAAAAGGTTGAAATCCAATTTTACCGTTGTATTTCTTGAATTACTAACAGTACTTTTAGTATGGGTTACTACATTCCAACTTCTGTCAAAATTCTAGCAGTCAAGGACCATTCAGTATTTCAGGGAATCTTGATAAGGATAAATCTATTAGGAGGGAGAAGGCTCAGGTGGCTGGAAGCCATCCCTGTAAGTGATAAACATGGCACCTTGAATAAATAAAGCTTGATTGTGGATTTGACAAGGTCTATGTGTTGATTCTCAGGTAGAAACATCTGCATTTTTAGGGCATTCTGAATGTTTACCTGTTCATTAAACAAGTACCCATTAGCTTTTTCTCTATTATAGATCATGTAAAAGGCACTGGGGATACAGCAATGAGAAAATGAAGAATAAGAACAATAATTACTCATGCAATTAGAACAGTATCACTTGCTATTACTGCTGAGAGTATCCCTAATCATCTATTTACTGAACTGTTACTAAGATTCTACTTTGGACTATGCTTTGTATTGGGCACAGATGCTACAATGGCAGACAAGGTCTAAACCCTACTGGGAAGAAGGTATGTGGCCTAATGTAAGGTTTCCAGGCCTGAATATCCTGAGAAACCCATAAGATTTATTAAATTGTAATATTTACAGTTCTACCCAAGGTATTTGTATTAAAAGAAAATAAAAATGTAAAAAAAAATTCCAGATGATTCTGACAAACTGCTAATTGTGAAATCGTTCTCTAGTCTAACAACACAAGAAAATACTAAATGCTATCCTCTTACAGAACTTTGACATTTGGAAAACATTTACCCTCATATACTTGGGCTTTTGTATGTGTTATTCCACTTGGCAAATGCAGAGTGTCCATTTTCCTGAGCAATAATATAAAATCAACATAAAATAATAAAACATCATTTTAATGTAATTTAGTTTATTAAGGCTTTATTTTTGTACTTGTGTTCTTCAACATTCCAATTTTATTTTTAATGTAGAGGCTATTGATGGTATTTACTAGAGAGATAATCATGGCAATCAACTCGACTCTGCCATATACATATGGTGTTATGCTTGTAGAACATTGAATTTTCTTGGCAAAAGTTACTTTCCCATTCTTGGACAATAACACTGGAAAAACTGCCCCAAAATTCAGCATTGTCCTTGGCACCTAAACTCAATCACTGCCCATCTATTCATAGAGATTCTTCTTTTACTTTTGTCCTGTATAAATTAGTTGCCAATATGGCCCCTCAAGATAAACGCTTGACTAAGAGGGCCAGAATTACATCTTAAAAGAGTTATCTATATTTTGATATATCAAGTTATTGCCATTTGTTGACATAATTTTATGTAATTTCTATAATTTCAGTCATCATAAGGCTGCCTGCCGTAGCATAACATTTTCCTGCCTAATTTTGACTAGTCGAGGGATGAGCAAGCATATTTAAAATAGCTATGTTACTATCCACATAGATCACTGATGTCAAAGTCCAGAATAATTTGCTTAAAAGCTGGAAATTAAGAAATGTGAAGCCATTATTTCAAGTTTGCTAGATCAAAAAAATTTTCATGATAGTGTTAACCCAGGTGCCATTTGAAACAGTTTGGCTAACGATCTTCTTAAGAGTTAAAAACGAAACAAAGTGACTTCATTGGAGTTTAATCCTATCCTTTGATTGCTGGATGCTATATTAATTTTTTCACCAGTTCAGCTGTTCCAATGTAACAAATTGGCTTTATCTTCATTGGTCAGCTTCTTCCTGTAATTCAGACAACTTAATGGATTTTAGTTCTAAATAGAGTATGGTTTGTTTCTGAGTATTAATTTCAACTTTAGTTATTGTGCAAATTATGCCCTAACTTAAAATTGAACCACATTGACCACTAAAACAGAAAAGTCTAATATATGACCCAAATTAACAAATTTTGCCCAGACAGCAAAGTTAAGTTGGCTTGATTTCCTCATTCTCATATACTATTTCACAAAGCATGTTCTCCATCTAGTGGCTGGAAAGCTCAGAGGACAAGCTTATCTCATTATTACTAATTCACTATATATTTATATATCTTTATAAGAATAAACAAATCACATATATATGACAATTGAGTTTTTATTCTTGCCTTCTACACTATTATAGGGGACAGGACAAGGATTCGGTTTTATTAACTTTACATTAACTGAGACCTTCAACATGACAAGACAAACAATTTTTTAATTGCTTGAAATAAGACTGAGAAAGAATACAGTAAGTAGATTTCTGCAGAGTATAAAATAACATAAATGTCATGTATAATTGTTAGTAAGTGCTTGTTTTTATTATGGAACCAAATCAGGTAACAGAATCCTGGATTATAAAAGGTATCTCTTGGAATCTATGTTCTTGGCTATATTTCTAATCAATTATTTGTTTATTGGGTCTGGTACTTTCTACTGGATCCACATTATGAGCAAGAACAGCTCATTTTTCCTTTCTCTACAGTTACTAATGAAATGTTCCTTTCCATTTCATCACACTACTTCAGCTCTCATTTTCTGCTAGTTGTCATGTTCTTGGAGTAGTTCTTATCCCAGAAAAAGAAAAAAAAACTTTAATCAGTAAAAATACTAAATACTATCAAAGATCATAAGAGGATATTTTATACATATATGCATGTCTATTTTTTTAACTGGAAATTTCAAAGGTTTTCCTTGACCTTGGTGAGTGCTGCTTTGGTAAAACGAATGCCTTGGGGAACTAAGTCAACTCCGAAAGAGCTGAAAATCTTCCCTCACAACACCAGAGAGGAATATTTTAGAATCAGAAGTATGTTAGGATTCATGTTCTTGTATTTGCCCATTTTACAGATGACATAGATGGAGCTAGCCCAGAGTAGTAAAAGGATGAAGTTGAGGTAAAGTAGGCTTCAGAATAAGATGTGTTCAAATACTCCATCTGCCACTGGCCAGCTCTGTTATCCCAGGCCAGTGACTTAAACCTGCAGAGCCATGGTTTCTGTTCCATAAAATGTGAGTACTATTACCTGAAGTGTAGGGTCATTATTAAGATGAAGCAAGACACAGACAGACAGACAGACAGACAGACAGACAGATGATTGATAGACAGATGATAGATAAATCGATAGCTATTATAAACACTTGGGACATGTAGCTGGCAATCTATCATCTATCTATCTATCTCAAGAGTTTATTATAGTGCCTGGTACATAACAGAATTTTTTAAAACGTAAGGTTAATTACATAGTAAGTTAAAATGAAAGACCTAGGTCTTGAACCTGTCTTAAGCCCAGATTTTCCATCATGCCACATGGTTATACATTGATCTTTTAAAGACTTAATGATAAAATGGTATTCATGAAGCTGAGTGAAGAAAGTGCTTTATAGCAATTGCTGACTTAATAAACTGATGTCTCTAAAAGTTAAATGATGAGAAAATTAAATATAGCTTCAGCAATTAAATAATTTTTTTTCCACATAGCCTAAAATCTGGCAATTAAAAAAATAATTGTTATATTTATAACTATAAAACTATAATTATACTTCTGTAGATATGTAGTATAGCTTATATATTTCTAGAGTATGTGAAAAATGCATCAGAACACCTCTCTCTCCCTCTTTCTCTCAATACCTCATTAGATAAGTTTCCATGTTAAATAAGTAGTTTCCTCAAGAAAAAATGTAAAAATGATATTTAATAATTAGCAGACATATAGAACAGTGAGAAGGACTATTAAAGAAACACATGGATTTTTTTTTTTCTATTTTAACCAGGTTTTGCTCGCTATACTACTCAATGTCATCAGGTAATGAGCACTCCCACACTTCTTTTAGGTAAATGACAAACTGGAAGCACAATCCAATGCATGTATTCATTTTACTAACATAAGTATATCTAATAATAATTAACACTAATGAAATGGATTCAAATATTTCAGTAAAAAATTACAGACATCTCACAGAGCTATCGCAAAATACAAATGTTTCCCAACAGATTTCTTCTCACTTTGACAAATCTTTGTTCTTCATATCTTTGTCTTCAAAGTCAATAAACATCTTTCTAATTGAAAGGGCTTTTTTTTTTTTTTTTTTTTTTTTTTTGGAAATCAAGGCCTATAATATGTAAGTATGGACATACACATGAAAAAAATGTAAAAAAAAAGACAACTTATTAAAAGATTCATCAAGGAATTTTATATTTTTTCTGTGAATTAGAAAAATATACAGTTCTTGAAAAATGACGCATGAGGACTCACATGTACACTACCTTAGTGCTTAACATTTGCCTAATTTCTGTCTCATTTTCTAAGTTCACTATTAAAACTGAATGAGGGTTCTAACATTCTAAAATAAACTAATATTGTACTTCTCCTTAAATATTTAGAGCTCTTTTTGTAAAATTACTTTTTTAACAACTATAATACATTAAAGCTCTGAGTATAAAATTTCACTAAGGCCATATCAAAAATTTCAGGGACCTGTTGCTAATAATTTATAAACTTATAAAAGCCAATCTCGCCATCTAGTGGTTATAGATGAGAAATATGAATTAAAAGATTGAAAGTAACCGTTTCTATTTTAAGACATTTCAAATTAGCCAAACATATTTACTTGTGCAGTTTTTTAAAAGGTACAAAAACAATTCAGTAGAGAAAAGATAATCTTATCAACAAATGATGTTGGATAGATTATATTCCATTGGCAAACAAAAAGAATATTAGCCTATACCTCACAAATTAAACAACAACAAAAAAGCCCCTGAAAAAAATAGATTAAAACACAAACACTAAAAGTTGTAGGAAAAAATGGGACATAATTTTAGAGATTTAGGGATAAGCAAAAATTCTTAGATGACACCAAAAGCTTGATCCATAAAAGGAAAAACTGAAACGTTAAACCTTGTAATTAGAAACCTTTGCTCTGTGAAAGACAGAGGATGTTTCATTCGTTAAGAGGATGAAAAAAAAGCTACCTACAGACTGAGAGAAAATAGTTTCAAAACACATACTGGAGAAAGGAGTAGCATTTAAAAAATATGAAAACTCAAGTAAAAAAACAAATAATTTAATAGAAAATGAGCAAAAGATATGAACAGCCACTTCACTGATGAGAATATGGAAATGGAAAATAAGTACATAGGAAGATATTCAATATTATTTTCCATTAAGGAAATACAGATTAAAACCACAATAAGATAGCATATGCTTTTATTAGAATGGTTAAAATAAAAAAAGTAGTGACAACACAAATCTTAGTGAGGATGTAGAGAAACTAGATCACTCATACATTGCTGGTGGGAATGTAAAATGGTACAGCCATTTTGGAAAACAGTTTGGCAATTGCTTATAAATCTAAATATGTAAACATAAAAGTCAGCATTTGCACTCTTGGATATTTATTCCACAATAATATAAATGCATGTTCATGTAAAAACCTGTATATAAATTTATTCATGATATCCCCAAATGGAAACATCTCAACAGAGGAATGGTTATACAAACTATGATACATCCATACCATGAAACACAAAGAAATGAAAAAATGAACTATTTACACATGTAACAACTTGGATACATCCTCAGAGAAATGCACTCAGTGAAAAGAAGCTGATCTGAAAGATTATAAGCTGTAGGCTTCTATTTAAATAATATTTTGGGAAGCCAAATTTATAGACTAGGATAAGTGACAGATTAGTGGTGGTCAGCACTTGGGGGTGGTGGGGGTGTTGCGGAAAGAACATGGGTGTGGCTATGAAAGGGCAACCTAAGGGATCCTTGTGGTGATGGAACTGTTCTGTACCTTGACTATGGTGAATGCACTAACCTACACATGTGATAAAACGGCATGAAATGTAATACGAGCGAACTCCAAAAAGCTCATTGAAAAAATTAAAAAACTAAAACATAAAATATAAACTTTATTTCTCAATGTAAGTTCTATCAAGTTCAAGACACTTTTGAAAGTGATGACACCAGCCATTTAGTCGATCCCTATAAAGAGCTGAGGGTCCTGGGAATTTAACCATGTCAATGCGCTCTTTTTTGCATTATTAACTGAAGAGAAATGGGTGACCTTTAAATATTTTTTAAGATTACAAACAAACACAAGTCAGACAGAGCCAAATCAGGACTGTGAGATGAATATCTAATGCTTTTCTATGAAAACTCTCACAAAATTTCATCATAGGACTGAGCAGGAGCACCGCTATGGTGAAGAAAGACTCTCTGGTGAAGCTTTCCTGGGTGTTTTTCCACTAAAGCTTTGGCTAATGTTCTCAGAACACTAACAAGGAGATGTTATCCTTCACTGGCCGCCCAGAAAGTCAACAAGCAAAATGCCTGGAGCATCCCAAAAGGCCATTTCCGTGACTTTTGCTCTTGACTGGTCTGCTTTTGCTCTGACCTCTGAGTCAAATCTTGTGCTTTGTCTTCAGAACAGTATTGGTAAGGCCATATTTTATCTCCTGTTACAACACTACAAAGACATGTTTTAGAATCTTGATTCTACTTGATTAAAATTTCAGTTGAAAACTCTGCTTGTCTGCAGCTCATCTGGACACAACAGCTTTTGCACTTACGAAGTGGAAAGTTTGCTCAACTTTAATTTTTCAATCATAATTGTGTAAAGTGAACCAGTTGAGATGTCTATGGTGGTGGCTATTGTTTGTGCTGTGGTCAGGCTCCTTCCATTAGAGTACAAACAAGATGAATTTTTTCCTCACAAATTGATGCGGATGATCTGCCTCTATGAACTTTATCTTCAACATTATATTGTCATTTTAAAAAATGAATTTGTAAACTACTGATTTCTTTGAGGCATTGTTCCCATAAACTTTTTGTAAAGTATCAATGATTTCACCATTCTTCTACCCAAGACTCACCATAAATTTAATGTTTGTTTTTGCTCCAATATTAACAAATCCATGTTGCTGTGACAGGGACTCTTTTCAAACTGACGTGTTATCCTACGTAATGCCTTAAACTAGATCCTGCTCAGAAATGTGATAATAAGTTACTACAAGTTTATTTTGGTGCAAATCCATTCATAGTTTTTTTCATAATACACATTTTCCATGAACTTTTTGAAGACCACTTGTATAACCTCCACTCCTACACACACACACTCATGTACGAGTAAAACTGGGAAAGCCTGAGTAAGAACAGTGGATTATACCAATGTTAGCCTCCTGATTGTGATACTGTACTATAATTTTGCAAGATACCAAAGACAGCAAGATACCATGTTAACATTGGGGAAGCAGTATAAGAAATGCACAAGATATTTCTGTGTTATTTCTTCCAATTGCATGTGAATCAGCAATTATCTCAAAATAAAATATTTAATTTTTAAGAAAAGTGATTCTGCCACCTGGTGGCTGCAGACTAGAAATAAGATTAAAGGGTTAAAAGAACATGAGTTAATTCCTATTCTGGGACAATTAAAACAATCTAACATATTTACTTGTACATACATTTATAAACAACATCTTGAGAATCCTCATAGACCACCTGGGAAAATTTTGAAGAAAATTTAGATAGAGGTTATCAGGTTAATATACACATGAATGACCTACCCCCACCAGCTGCTAGGCATATTCATAAAGTTTATTGAAACCTGTAAGGCCTGCAGAACCATAAATGTCACCAAAGAACACATTAACAGCTACTATTTCCAAAGATGCCTAGCTAACCTACAGAAATTGTATAGGTAATAGGTAAGTAATAATCAATATGCCAGTGCTTTATATTAAAAGAGTAACTGTTTTACAGATACATTTTCGTACATATTGTTTAATTTTTAAAAAATTCCAGGGAAATATATGAGATGTCAGTCATGTGTAATTGTTCAAGCAACAACTGAGGTCAAATCATTTTTTTAAATTTTCCTTTGGGAGGGAACATCATCTTTGGTGATAAAAGAAAATCATCTGTTAACCTCAATGCTGCTTAAGATATTATTGAGTCGATATGTATATAGTTGTTAATTTCAAAAGTTTTAAAATATCTAGCATTTTACCAGCGTATACTATAAACATGCCATTTTGATAGGTATAGGAAATGGGTGTTGGGGGGAGTTATTTGCTGACTCTGGTGAGATAAGTTATATTTTGGTATTTAAACTCTATATAATTGTTGCAAATAATTTTGTTTTATTATAAATGTACAGCTACTTTAAATTTCATGACAGAATGAGATAGCTTGCCTATTTAAAATATTTACTAGAAGTAAATATTTACTAGGGATGATCCACCTCTAGGAAGTATGATACTACTGTCCCACTTTTTGTATTAGCTTAATTAATTCCTGCTTTTGTTTTCTGCACCACATTTATGGTTCTTGTTTGTATTCTTCTCTTTTTAACTGCTTAGAATATGTTTTCCTCATCTATTTATATATTGTAAGATATCCTAAATTCTTCCTAAACAAAGGGTAGGATAAAGAAATAATTTCACCAAAATCACACTTTGGGGAACTCAACGCCCTAGACAGCCATTGTATTGTTTGAATATGTTGACACTGTTTTTACTAGATAGAAGAGCTTCCTCCAAAGCACACTTCATAGGATAAAATGCAGTGACAATCTCAGCTAATTAGAATCTATCTTGGGCACTGCCATAATGTGCAGTTCAGAGAGTCACATGCTGCCATTGTTCAAGTTTCCAAAATTTCTGGACTGCTCTGGTGGATGCCCTTCCCAAATAATGCAATTCTACGTGTCAAGGAATCAAGAGATGAAAAACCAAATAAAATCCCAAAGGCTATACCAAATATACCCTTATATTGTTAATAATAATAATAATAAAAACATAGCTAGACAAGGTGAGTACTATGTGCCATAAACTTATCTGGAATTTGAACACAATTAAATTTCACATGCATTTTTGAAAGCTTAAGATTTATAATATTAATAATGATAGCATATTGATGATTTACATTAATATATTTTTATTAAAAACTGCTAATATTTTGATTATTATAGTACTTACTATATCTAACCCAGGCATTATGCTAGCAAAAGGGATAGAGCATTTACAGTAATAAACTAGATACATCCATTTCTACTATGGAGCTGTTTGGCAATGACAAGACAATTGGCAATTCTGATGCTGAATGATAGAGGAGATCAAGAGTGCACTCTAGGCATATTTTTCCATTTGCTATGTGGTACTTTGCACTGTCCCATATATCCCTGAAATAATAAACAGATGACATTATGGAGGAGTAGAAAAAGTGCCAGCAGCAAACTAAAAATTTTGAGGAATTCCTAACAACAAAAAAGCACATAAGAAAGAATGACAAAAGAAACAACAATCCAAAATGCATGGAAGAAAACAGCTGCAAATGTGGTTATGGCCCTGTAAAATCCCTGAGCACTGAGTCAGTAGATGTAAGGAGCTGCATAAGAACCTTGGTTATCAGGAAATCAAGTAGAGAACTGCAGCTGCATCAGTTGAGCCATGAAACTCTTTCTCCTGACCCCATCTGTGCAGAGGAATGGCTGACATGGTGTGTGCCCAAAGGTTAAAGCACTGAGAATGTGCCCTGGGCTGGAGAGGACCATGGTGCTTCCCAGAACCACTGAAGCAAGCCTGCAATGGGAAGGTCAGCACACAAAAGGCATTTGGGCTAAATTCAGTAGTATGCTGAAGGTATGAATCAAGGAATACTCCCAAAATACTATGCAAAAGGGGAAAGGAAGCAGAAAAGTATTAGGCTACTTAGAAGATGGATTCAGAGAGCCAAGATGGCCGAATAGGAACAGCTCCGGTCTACAGCTCCCAGCCTGAGTGACGCAGAACATGGGTGATTTCTGAATTTCCATCTGAGGTACCGGGTTCATCTCACTAGGGAGTGCCAGGCAGTGTGTGCAGGACAGTAGGTACAGTGCACTGTGCGCGAGCTGAAGCAGGGCGAATCACTGCCTCACTCAGGAAGCACAAGGGGCCAGGGAGTTCTCTTTCCTAGTCAAAGAAAGGGGTGACAGACGGCACCTGGAAAATCGGGTCACTCCCACCCCAATACTGCGCTTTTCCGATGGGCTTAAAAAACGGCTCACCAGGAGATTATATCCTACACCTGGCTCAGAGGGTCCTATGCCCACAGAGTCCCGGTGATTGCTAGCACAGCAATCTGAGATCAAACTGCAAGGCGGCAGCGAGGCTGGGGGAGGGGCACCTGCCATTGCCCAGGCTTGATTGGGTAAACAAAGCAGCCAGGAAGCTCGAACTGGGTGGAGCCCACCACAGCTCAAGGAGGCCTGCCTGCCTCTGTAGGCTCCACCTCTGGGGGCAGGGCACAGACAAACAAAAAGACAGCAGTAACCTCTGCAGACTTCAATGTCCCTGTCTGACAGCTTTGAAGAGAGTAGTGGTTCTCCCAGCACGCAGCTGGAGATCTGAGAACGGACAGACTGCCTCCTCAAGTGGGTCCTTGACCCCTGAGCAGCCTAACTGGAAGGCACACCCCAGTAGGGACAGACACCTCACATGGCCGGGTACTCCTCTGAGACAAAACTTCCAGAGGAACGATCAGGCAGCAGCATTTGCGGTTCACCAAGATCTGCTGTTCTACAGCCACTGCTGCTGATACCCCCAGGCAAACAGGGTCTGGAGTGGACCTCTAGCAAACTCCAACAGACCTGCAGCTGAGGGTCCTGTCTGTTAGAAGGAAAACTAACAAACAGAAAGGACATCCACACCAAAAACCCTTCTGTACGTCACCATCATCAAAGACCAAAAGTAGATAAAACCACAAAGATGGGGAAAAAACAGAGCAGAAAAACTGGAAACTCTAAAAAGCAGAGCGCCTCTCCTCCTCCAAAGCAACGCAGCTCCTCACCAGCAATGGAACAAAACTGGACGGAAAATGACTTTGACAAGCTGAGAGAAGAAGGCTTCAGACGATCATACTACTCTGAGCTACAGGAGGAAATTCAAACCAATGGCAAAGAAGTTAAAAACTTTGAAAAAAAATTAGACGAATGGATAACTAGAATAACCAATGCAGAGAAGTGCTTAAAGGAGCTGATGGAGCTGAAGGTCAAGGCACGAGAACTACGTGAAGAATGCAGAAGCCTCAGGAGCTGATATGATCAACTGGAAGAAAGGGTATCAGTGATGGAAGACGAAATGAATGAAATGAAGTGAGAAGGGAAGTTTAGAGAAAAAAGAATAAAAAGAAACAAACAAAGCCTCCAAGAAATATGGGACTATGTGAAAAGACCAAATCTACGTCTGATTGGTGTACCTGAAAATGACGGGGAGAATGGAACCAAGTTGGAAAACACTCCAAAGGATATTATCCAGGAGAATTTCCCCAATCTAGCAAGGCAGGCCAACATTCACATTCAGGAAATACAAAGAACGCCACAAAGATACTCCTCGAGAAGAGCAACTCCAAGACACATAATTGTCAGATTCACCAAAGCTGAAATGAAGGAAAAAATGTTAAGGGCAGCCAGAGAGAAAGATCGGGTTACCACAAAGGGAAGCCCATGAGACTAACAGCAGATCTCTTGGCAGAAACTCTACAAGCCAGAAGAGACTGAGGGCCAATATTCAACATTCTTAAAGAAAAGAATTTTCAACCCAGAATTTCATATCCAGCCAAACTAAGTTTCATAAGTGAAGGAGAATTAAAATACTTTACAGACAAGCAAATGCTGAGAGATTTTGTCACCACCAGGCCTGCCCTAAAAGAGATCCTGAAGGAAGCACTAAACATGGAAAGGAACAACCGGTACCAGCCACTGCAAAAACATGCCAAAATGTAAAGACCATCAAGGCTAGGAAGAAACTGCATCAACTAACGAGCAAAATAACCAGGTCACATCATGATGACAGGACCAAATACACACATAACAATATTAACTTTAAATGTAAATGGGCTAAATGCTCCAATTAAAAGACACAGACTGGCAAACTGGATCAAGAGTCAAGACCCATCAGTGTGCTGTATTCAGGAAACCCATCTCACGTGCAGAGACACACATAGGCTCAAAATAAAGGGATGGAGGAAGATCTACCAAGCAAATGGAAAACAAAAAAAGGCAGGGGTTGCAATCCTAGTCTCTGATAAAACAGACTTTAAACCAACAAAGATCAAAAGAGACAAAGAAGGCCATTACATAATGGTAAAGGGATCAATTCAACAAGAAGAGCTAACTATCCTAAATATATATGCACCCAATACAGGAGCACCCAGATTCATAAAGCAAGTCCTTAGTGACCTACAAAGAGACTTAGACTCCCACACATTAATAATGGGAGACTTTAACACCCCACTGTCAACATTAGACAGATCAACGAGACAGAAAGTTAACAAGGATACCCAGGAATTGAACTCAGCTCTGCACCAAGCGGACCTAATAGACATCTACAGAACTCTCCACCCCAAATCAACAGAATATACATTTTTTTCAGCACCACACCACACCTATTCCAAAATTGACCACATAGTTGGAAGCAAAGCACTCCTCAGCAAATGTAAAAGAACAGAAATTATAACAAACTGTCTCTCAGACCACAGTGCAATCAAACTAGAACTCAGGACTAAGAAACTCACTCAAAACCGCTCAACTACATGGAAACTGAACAACCTGCTCCTGAATGACTACTGAGTACATAATGAAATGAAGGCAGAAATAAAGATGTTCTTTGAAACCAACGAGAACAAAGACACAACATACCAGAAACTCTGGGACGCATTCAAAGCAGTGTGTAGAGGGAAATTTATAGCACTAAATGCCCACAAGAGAAAGCAGGAAAGATCCAAAATTGACACCCTAACATCACAATTAAAAGAACTGAAAAGCAAGAGCAAATACATTCAAAAGCTAGCAGAAGGCAAGAAATAACTAAAATCAGAGCAGAACTGAAGGAAATAGAGACATAAAAAATCCTTCAAAAAATTAATGAATCCAGGAACTGGTTTTTTGAAAAGATCAACAAAATCGATAGACCGCTAGCAAGACTAATAAAGAAGAAAAGAGAGAAGAATCAAACAGATGCAATAAAAAATGATAAAGGGGATATCACCACCGATCCCACAGAAATACAAACTACCATCAGAGAATACTACAAACACCTCTACGCAAATAAACTAGAAAATCCAGAAGAAATGGATAAATTCCTCGACACATACACCCTCCCAAGACTAAACCAGGAAGAAGTTGAATCTCTGAATAGACCAATAACAGGATCTGAAATTGTGGCAATAATCAATAGCTAACCAACCAAAAAAAGTCCAGGACCAGATGGATTCACAGCCGAATTCTACCAGAGGTACAAGGAGGAGCTGGTACCATTCCTTCTGAAACTATTCCAATCAATAGAAAAAGAGGGAATCCTCCCTAACTCATTTGATGAGGCCAACATCATCCTGATACCAAAGCCTGGCAGAGACACAACAAAAAAAGAGAATTTTAAACCAATATTCTTGATGAACATTGATGCAAAAATCCTCAATAAAATACTGGCAAACCGAATCCAGCAGCACATCAAAACACTTATCCACCATGATCAAGTGGGCTTCATCCCTGGGATGCAAGGCTGGTTCAACATACGCAAATCAATAAATGTAATCCAGCAGATAAACAGAACCAAAGACAAAAACCATATGATTATCTCAATAGATGCAGAAAAGGCCTTTGACAAAATTCAACAACCCTTCATGCTAAAAACTCTCAATAAATTAGGTATTGATGGGACATATCTCAAAATAATAAGAGCTGTCTATGACAAACCCACAGCCAATATCATACTGAATGGGCAAAAACTGGAAGCATTCCCTTTGAAAACTGGCACAAGACAGCAATGCCCTCTCTCACCACTCCTATTCAACATAGTGTTGGAAGTTCTGGCCAGGGCAATTAGGCAGGAGAAGGAAATAAAGGGTATTCAATTAGGAAAAGAGGAAGTCAAATTGTCCCTGTTTGCAGATGACATAATTGTACATCTAGAAAACCCCATTGTCTCAGCCCAAAATCTCCTTAAGCTGATAAGCAACTTCAGCAAAGTCTCAGGATACAAAATCAATGTGCAAAAATCACAAGCATTCATATACACCAGTAACAGACAAACAGAGAGCCAAATCATGAGTGAACTCCCATTCACAATTGCTTCAAAGAGAATAAAATACCTAGGAATCCAACTTACAAGGGATGTGAAGGACCTCTTCAAGGAGAACTACAAACCACTGCTCAAGGAAATAAAAGAGGATACAAACAAATGGAAGAACATTCCATGCTCATGGGTAGGAAGAATCAATATCGTGAAAATGGCCATACTGTCCAAGGTAATTTATAGATTCAATGCCATCCCCATCAAGCTACCAATGACTTTCTTCACAGAATTGGAAAAAACTACTTTAAAGTTCCCATGGAACCAAAAGAGAGCCCACATTGCCAAGTCAATCCTAAGCCAAAAGAACAAAGCTGGAGGCATCACGCGACCTGACTTCGAACTATGCTACAAGGCTACAGTAACCAAAACAGCATGCTACTGGTACCAAAACAGAGATATAGATCAACGGAACAGAACAGAGCCCTCAGAAATAATGCCACATATCTGCAACCATCTGATCTTTGACAAACCTGACAAAAACAAGCAATGGGGAAAGGATTCCCTATTTAATAAACGGTGCTGGGAAAACTGGCGTGCCATATGTACAAAGCTGAAACTGGATCCCTTCCTTACACCTTATACAAAAATTAATTCAAGATGGATTAAAGACTTAAACGTTAGACCTAAAACCGTAACAACCCTAGAAGAAAACCTAGGCATTACCATTCAGGACATAGGCATGGGCAAGGACTTCATGTCTAAAACACCAAAAGCAATGGCAACAAAAGCCAAAATTGACAAATGGGATCTGATTAAACTAAAGAGCTTCTGCACAGCAAAAGAAACTACCATCAGAGTGAATGGGCAACCTACAAAATGGGAGAAAATTTTTGCAACCTACTCATCTGACAAAGGGCTAATATCCAGAATCTACAATGAACTCAAAGAAATTTACAAGAAAAAAACAAACAACCCCATCAAAAAGTGGGTGAAGGATATGAACAGACACTTCTCAAAAGAAGACATTTATGCAGCCAACAGACACATGAAAAAATGCTCATCATCACTGGCCATCAGAGAAATGCAAATCAAAACCACAATGAGATACCATCTCACACCAGTTAGAATGGCGATCATTAAGAAGTCAGGAAACAACAGGTGCTGGAGAGGATGTGGAGAAATAGGAACACTTTGACACTGTTGAAGGGACTGTAAACTAGTTCAACCATTGTGGAAGTCAGTGTGGCGATTCCTCAGGGATCTAGAACTAGAAATACCATTTGACCCAGCCATCCCATTACTGGGTATTACCCAAAGGATTATAAATGATGCTGCTATGAAGACGCATGCACACGTATGTTTATTGCGGCACTATTCACAACAGCAAAGACTTGGAACCAACCCAAATGTCCAACAACGATAGACTGGATTAAGGAAATGTGGCACATATACACCATGGAATACTATGCAGCCATAAAAAAGGAAGAGTTCATGTCCTTTGTAGGGACATGCATGAAACCGGAAACCATCATTCTCAGCAAACTATCGCAAGGACAAAGAACCAAACACCGCATGTTCTCACTCATAGGTGGGAATTGAACAGTGAGAACACATGGACACGGGAAGGGGAACATCACACTCCAGGGACGGTTGTGGGGTGGGGGGAGGGGGGAGGGATAGCCTTAGGAGATATATCTAATGCTAAATGACGAGTTAATGGGTGTAGCACACCAACATGGCACAGGTATACGTATGTAAGAAACCTGCACATTGTGCACATGTACCCTAAAACTTAAAGTATAATAATAATAATAACAAAAATAAAAAAAATAATTACCACTAAAAAAAATGATGGATTCAGAACTTCCAAGGTCTACGGAGTAAAGAAAGAAAATAGCAAGTTAGAAATATTAAAAGAAAATTATCTAGAGCTGAAAACAGATATATATCTTCTATCAAACTAAGTGACTTACAAGATGAATTTTAGCAATAGATTTACATCTGGACATATCATTTTGAAAGCATAAAGATAATGTTAAAAGCTGCAGAGAAGTAAAATTAAGAAATGAGAGGAAAGGTTATCTCCAAAAGAATGAAAATCAGATTTACACGAGATTTCTCACAAGAAGAGTGAGAAAATAATTATATTTAAAGCTGTGAGATAAAACAATTTTAACTTAAGTCTGTACTCAACCAAAGGAAAATTTAAGTGCGAGGGGAAAAGGGCATTTTGTGATAATGGTAAATCTTAAACTGGTCCTATGCACTGCCTGTCCAGGTGTTTTTTAATCCCTTTTCTTGGAAAATGGTAGTTTTACACATCTTTTTTTCTTCTCATATATAATGACTCTTTCCCACGCTGCCCCCACATTCACTGCCTTTATGCTGTGGCTTGCTTCATGGATTTCATTGAGAAACTAGAGGCAGTGAAATGAAATTTCCGTATTCTCCTATAATTCATTCAACCATCTTTTCTACATGCGTCAGGCTCCTCTTAAAATAAACATTCCCATTCTCTCAAAGGCTACAAGCATTTTTCTTATGCCCTATATCTCTATTTCTCTTGTTATCCCAACAATATGGTTCTTGTCAATATTCCTTTTTTCTTCTACAACTTCATTATATCACTTTATAGCAGATGTTTCCACTTAAATATGTTCCAATACCCCTCAGCGAACCATAGCTACCACCTTACTTCCTGTTTCCCTTCATGGCATGTGTTGTCTATAGTCACTGTGTCCTTTCTCACCATCACAATTTACTCTACTTCCCAATGCAATGAACCTCCATTCTGGCCAACCACAAAAATGGTCTTTTGTTGTTGTTGTTGTTGTTGTTGTTGTTGTTTCAGCTGTCACCCAGGCTAGAGCGCAGTGATATGATCAATAGCTCACTGCATCCTTGAACTCCTAGCACAGGGATTCTCCTGCCTCAGCTGCCCAAGTAGTTGGGACTACCACAATGTCTGGCTATTTTTAATTTTAATTTTTTTTTTTTTAAGAGAGATGGGTCTGCCTATGTTGCCCAAGCTGGTCTCAAATTCCTGGCATTGAGTAATCCTCCCACCTTGGCCTCCCAGAATGCTAAGATTATAGGTATGAGCCATTTTCTCACCTTCCACCCCCAACACCCTTTTTTTAGTTCTGTAAAATAATGAAGGTCGTTTTTCTTCACGGTGGATTCTGTGTCATATTCCTGGTTCTCCACTTTGCCTGGCTCTTTCTTTTTAGTCCCTTTTCTGGGTTTCCTCGTGGTGTCCACCTCTAAGTGTTCAGATCTTAGACCTGAGCTCCCTTTTCCTTCCACACTCTTCTGTCTCCCTGCAAAATGGTTCCCCCTGTTTCACCAGGCACCTGCCTATTGCCTGCTTACGATTTCATTCTGAGCTAAAATATCTCTTCTTCAAAAAAGCCTTTCTAACCACTCAATATCTCTTGTATCATATTGTTTTGTTTTCTTCATAGCAGTTACCACTATCAGACTTATCAAATTATGGTGTTTCCCATCTCTCTAGAATAAATTTAAAAAGCATGAATGAAAGAAATGAACTCATTTGTAGCATTCACCACCAAATCTCAAGTACAAACAACAGTGTCTGGTAAGTAGTAAGCTTATAATCTGTAAATGAATTGCAAAATATGTTGATAAATAATTAATATATAAAGATCACCTTTCATTTTGAAAAAAGACAAATATCTTAGAAAGTTGGAAAGTTATCACAATTAAATGCAAATAATATTTAAACATATGAAAATATTCTCAGCTTTATTAGTAACTGGAGAATACAAATTAGGTCTATAATATTTATTGCTTTGAATATTTTTAAAATATTAATAACGGCAACATAAACTTCAGGAAAGGCAAATTGACAGCATCAATCAAAATTCAAACTTCATGTATTCTTAGCATTGTTCCTATAAAGCTATCATGATTCCAACATACACAGAGATTTATGTACCAGGATGCTCACTGCAGAAAAAAAAGGAAATAATCTAAATATGTATTCATAGAAACAGGTGGATCCCTTTCCATCTCTCTCTCTATCCCTCTCTCTCTCTCTGGATAGTTATCTAAGACATCATTTAAAAATGATCATAGAGAGTCACAGATGCATAGATGTATAGGTTATTTTGAAGTTTAAAACACATTTATTAATTTGTATGTTATTTGTTTTGTATGTTAGAGGTCTGATGGTATAATGATTGGTTTCTCTGTTCAAGGTATGTTGACTGAGTCCTTATCCAAAGGCTTTAGTGAAAAATCTGCTTCCAAGGTCATTTTTTGGTTGGAGGAATTCAGTTCCTGTGGTTGAGTGACAGAAGTTTTCTTCTTCTTGCTGCCTGACAGCTCAGGGCTCTACCAGCTCCTACAGACCATCTGAATTCCTTGCCATGTGGCCCCATCCCTCTTTCAAGCTAGCAGTGGCATCTCAAATTCTCCTTTTATTAGAATCTCTGATTTCCCCTTGTTACCAGCAAGAGTGAGCTCTCTGCCATTAAAGGGTCATGTGGTTATGGCAGGCCCACTCAGATAATATGCCTAATTTAAGCTGACCTGACTCAGAACCTTAAGTACATCTGAAAAATCCTTTTGCAGCAAACTGAGATTAGTCTTTAAGTGGGAGAAGTAGGGGCCAGGGAACATGGGGAGCCATCTTAGAATTCCATCTGCCACACTGAGACTTAAAGAAGTTATGTAATTTGCCGAAGGTAGAACAGGGATGTAAAATCTAAATACAGTATTTTATAATATCTTGATTTACACTATATGGCATATATATATATAATGTTTTATAAAATTTACAATAATAAGCTAAGTGTAATGTTGCATTTCCTATTGTATGTGGCCAGGTAATACACAGAGTTCTGTAACCTAAAAATTCTTTACTTGTGATATTTTCATTCACTTAAATTCATGTTTTTTTGAGGAATACGAAGGGAAACAAAAAGTTAGAAACTTGGATGTATTTAGTACCTGTTATGTGGTCTAAATATTCCATATACCTATGAAAATGACATGTCTATACTCTGGCAAAGTGCCAGATATTTTTAAAACTTCTGAAATTAACAACTATATAGCATATTGACTCAATAAATTTAAAGCAGTATTGATATTAGGAGATGATTTACTTCTATCATCAAAGATGATGTTCTCTCCAAAAGAAAAATGAAATAAATACGATTTGACCTCAGTTGTTTCTTGAACAATTACACATCACTGACATCTTATATATTTCCCTGGATTTTTATTAAAATCAAATAATATGTATGAAAATGCATTGGTAAAACACTTAGTCTTTCAATATAAAGCATTGGCATATTGATTATACTTCCGTATTACCTGTATAATTTCTGCCGGTAAGCTAGGCATCATTGGAAACAGTAGCTGTTAATTTAATGTACTCCTTGCTGATTATTTATAGTTCTGTAGGCCTGAAAGGTTTCACTAAACTTAGCGGATATGCCTGGCAGCTGGTGCAATTTTTGGGGTGAAGTATTTACTTACATTGGCAAGGTGTATGTAATACATGTTTTTAAAAAAAGTAAAAATTACTCAAGAGGCAGCAACAAATGCGATAGTTGAAACAAACTATGTTAACATGTAATGACATGTATTATGGAAATGTACAGAAAACGAATACAAGGAAAAAAAGTGTACTGCAAACCTCTTACCTCTGAGAAGGAGAGAGGCTGTCCTTGTGTGTATCTGTGTGTATGTGCTTGTGTGTATATAGGTGTGTGTCTGAAAGTAGGGAGATAGCAAAAGAAAATTCACATTTTACTCTATCTGCCTCTACAATGTTTGAATCATATACATACAGAAAGTCTTCACTTAACATTGTCAGTTGGTTTTTGGAAACTGGCTTTAAGAGAAATTATGTATAACAAAACCATCTTTTTCCTCATCAACATTATGACAAAATGACTTGAAGGAAATGAAGTTATTTAAGAACCTGCTGTAAGTTGTTTTGTTTAAAGTCATAGTTTCCAAGAATCTATTGACAACATTAAGGAAGGACTTACTATACAAGAGATTGTGATAATGTATAAAAGGTAAGGTTTAAAAGGGAAAATAAATTATATTAAAAACGTAAAATATGGTTACAGGAGTCACTGTGATAATGGTTTTTAAATGGTGCTACTGGAAAGCAAACAAGAGGGTCCCTAATCTAGTGTGAGTTCAGGGAAATGGCTTCCATAAAACAAGTGACATTATCATTAAATAATTGCATTACTCAAAGAGTAGATCTTGGGATATAAAAATATAAATCTAGACAGAAATTGGGAATTTGAAGTCATCAGCATATATTGATACAAATTGGAGTTATCAAATACAATGTTCTCAGCGCAGAAAAATGGACACAATGAGACTTCTAAGGGACAAAAACATTTAAGGGTTGGGTAATGGAATACGACCAAGAGAGGGAGGCTGAGAATGAGTACCAAGATAAGCAGGAACAAAATCTGAAAAGTATGGATTCTAGGAAACTAAAGAATGTCTGGAGAAAAAGAGAATGACTAAGAATTTCAAATATTGCCCAGTGGTTATGCAAGATAAGTATTAAAATGCGTTCACTGATTATCTAACAAAGAAGCCAATGGGGAATGTTGGGGGGCAAAGCATTTTCTGTGGATTCTTATCTGAATATGGACTGAGGTGGGTTATTAAATCCATCTGAATAGAGAACGTGGAGGAGGTAAGTGTAGGTCTTCTTTTAAGAAGCTTGACGATAAAGGGAAAAGCAGGGGAAAAGAGAAGAGGTTGGACCTGGCAGTTAAAGGTTTTGGCTGATTGGTGGGTGCTTTTCTGCTACAGTTGTTTTGATAGTGGTTGTTTTCAATTTTTTCAATGTTTTATGATGCTGGAGAGTTGTGCATATTTAAATCCTGATAGGGAGAAGCCAGAAATTAGAATAGGTCATTGATATAGGACAGAGAGAAGAATGGACGAAGGACAAAGCGTGGATGGAGATTATCCTCTAATGGGTCTCTAATATGAATAAAAGGAATAGAGGAAGAATTGACTGCTTTTTAGTTCGTAAGTAGAAAGTGGAGGTAGTTTTTGGCTGAAATAATATATTTTACATATGTTGTCTCTAGTATTCACAGTACCATATCTAGGGTGGGACACATTTTATAGATCAGAAGAAAAGGATTTAGCCAGCAATTGATCACTGTAACATACAAGGACAGATACTATAAGGAAGTGAGTGCATTATGTACTCGCAGCTTTGTGCTTATCTACTTTTTATTTAGGTCAAAACACTGCTTTGTTTCAATGCATAAAGTATACTTAATTTCTAAATTATAATAGCAGACATGCTTCTTTAAAAATAACGTTTTTGTTTTTCATTCTCCCACTAGGTGTCAGGACAACACTACAGACGGTAATGGTCTGAAATCTGTCAGGACACTTGTTACTAGAAACCAAAAATAACTGAATGAATGAATAGAGAAATAATAGATTTATATTTTTCCTGTACAGTTGTTCTCTCCTCCAGCTATTCTCACATGTTTAGGAACTGTCATTAATAAGTACACAGTGTCCAAGGAATCTTTCTCTTCTAAAAACTGTGGAGCCTTGGGGAAGAGAAATAGGTTTTATTGAGAGAGAACTAGTAACAGCTCTGTGCTGATGATTCCTTGAGAGAAAATGTCAGTAGAGCATAGGAATGTTAATTTAGTGTGGACTACTATTAAGTATCTCAAAATCTTGACTTATTGAAAAGGCCATGGAATCAATAACCTCATTTCTCCCGGCTACATCTCATTATGCCCAAGGAAGCAAGGCAGAACCTACTGTCACCAGAACATACTACATTATTCCAGTAAAACAAGGGTTGCAAATGAGACATGACCAGAATTGTGAAAAGAACTCCTTTGTCATTCACTAGCTCCAGGATCCAGGGCAAACATTTAATTTCTCTAAACCTCATCTGTGAAAGGTTGAAATATGTTTTGTCCCTTTCTTAGGGCTATTTTTGTGTAGCCCCACATTTAAGGGAGTTAACTCAGTGAATGTCACTTCTCAGTCCTTCCGAATGCTGCAGGGCCTAGAATATCTCCATGCCTAAGGAAATCTAAATCAAGATTTTCTCCATTAGAATCTTATCTTCGGTGCCTAAAGTTTTCAGATCAATTTTGCTTGAGGGAAGCTGCTGGGCGGGCATTCTCAGGAGAAGATAAAGTCAACCAGCAGTGTGATTTCAGTCACAGACCCCTCTTCTTGAATGGAGTCCTCTTTGATCTTTTGCTGTGGACTACATTGTGCCAGGAAGTGTGGGTAAAACATAAAAAAACATCGTGCTTGGGACTCTTCTCCTGAAAAGGCTTTACCAGGAGCAGAAAGCTGACATTTGAGTCACAAGTACCTTCTCTCTAATCAGACTGACTGGTACTGGATTCCAGCCCCATCACTTAGAAATGACATGACTTTGAAGAAATCGCTTACTCTTTTTAACTTTGGATCCCCCTTGTATTATTACTTCAATCTATAAAATCGTGGTAATAATAAAACCAACCTAAACATTTTTTCTAAGTAATAAATGAACTAATACTTTTAAAGAGTCGAGAGTTCGAGACCAGCCTGACCAACATGGTGAAACCCCATTTCTACTAAAAATACAAAATTAGCTCGGCATAGTGGCAGGCTACTGTAATCCCAGCTACTTGGGAGGCTGAGGCAGGAGAATAGCTTGATCTCATGAGGCAGAGAATGCTGTGAGCCGAGATAGTACCATCACACTCCAGCCTGGGCAATAGGAGCGAAACTCTGTCTCAAAAAAAAAAAAAAAAAAAAATGCTGAGTCCGGTGGCTCATGTCTGTAATCCCAGCACTTTGGGAGGCCGAGGCGGGAGGATCACCTGAGGTCAGGAGTTTGAGACCAGCCTGGCCAACATGGTGAAACCCCGTCTCTACTAAAAATATAAAATTAGCTGGGGGTGGTGCCATGCGCCTGTAATCCCAGCTACAGGCTGGGATACAGGAGGCTGAGGGAGGAGAATCGCTTGAACCCGGGAGGCAGAGGTTGCAGTGAGCTGAGATCCCGCCACTGCAGTCCAGCCTGAGCAACAAGAGCAAAACTCTGTCTAGATAGATGGATGGATGGATGGATGGATGGATGGATAGGTAGGTAGATAGATAGATAGATAGATAGATAGTAAGTACAGAACAATGCTTTAGCAACTAGAGGATCTCCCACCATTGTCAGAAAAGAACTAGCTCGGGTAAGTTCGGATATATTTTGAAAATCAGAACTTTCACCATTGATAGCTAAGTATAAACTGCATCTGTTAAAAATTATTCTCTTAACATAAAACAAATTAGAGCCAGAGTAAAAGGTACAAATATCATATTGTACATATCATACTTCTCAACATTATACCAGAATCTGAAATTTTAAAATCTAATATTCTGAAAACAAATTAGAGCCATACCACTCTGAGCAGTTCTGCTCAAATGACAGGCATGAGAAAGATTATAATTGTTGGCACTCCACACACACGGTTTTATTTAGAAAGTGTTTCTCCTTAGTGAGCAGCAGGCATTTATGCAGCACCTATATAGAAATTACCAGTGAAATGGGAGGTGTAACTTAGAAATGAATATGGCAATATGAGTGCCAGGCAAGTACCTTTACTAAACAATGCATTTCTAGGTTCTAGGCACATGTGGCCCAAGCACACTTGGAACTTATACAAGCTCTTTTTTTTTCTCTTCTTTTTTTTAAACTAACAAATAGAAACTGTATATGTTTATGGTATACAACATGATATTTTACATATTGTGGAATGATTAAATGAAGCTAATTATCATATCCATCACTTCATACACTTATTCTGAGAACATTTAAGATCTCCTCTTTTTCCAGTTTTCAAGTGTATAAACATTACTATTAAGTATAGTCATGATATTGTACAACAGATCTCCAGAACTTATCTGGAATCGGAAATTCTGTAAACTCTCTATTTAGACTTTTAGTTAACATATATCTGCCATTATAAAGAATTGTTTGGTCCTATTGTATGTAACAAGGGCTGTCACAGGCCACTGTCATAAGACAAGTTCCCTAGAAGCAGAGCCTGAGACAGATTCTTGTGCAAGGAATGTTTGACTGAGGGAGTGCTCTTAGGAGAAACCTGTAAGGAAGCAAATGAAGAACAACAGGGTAGGGGAAGCAACTAAATAAAATCTATTTCAACCTGATCTCACAGGGAATTGTGAAGGGAAAGTACCCATAAATTTGTTCCCTCAGTTAGGTCACTGACTATGTTCTATCCCCAAGGGATCTGCACAACTCCACAGGAGTCTCTGAGCCTCTAGTCAGCTGAGTGAATTCACCTACAAAAGTGAAGCTGTGAACCATGAGCAGACAAGGCTCACAGCAGCTACAGTACTCCCAAGACTTCACTAGCCTGGGAAAGGAAACTGGGCTGGGCACAAACAGTATCTACTGGCCATCACACTACACAGACATTACCAGATAACATGGACAAATTTAGTCATGAGTGAATGACAGCTCTACTGCTCTTCATTCTAATTTCCATTGTCTGCTTTCTAGTATCATCTTTGTGATACTTGGACTTTTATCTGCATTATAATATTAACTTATTTTACTTGCGTATAATTTAGTTGCTTATAATTTACTAAATTATAAGCAGGTAAAATAACAGTTAATATTATAATGCAGATAATAATAATATAATTTGCTTCTTTGAGAAGCAAAATAAACATTATTTTTTCAGGGCACAAGGTGACTATTAAGTATAGAGAAGCTTATGATAAATTTTTAAAATAATAATAAATGCAATTAACTAGGAGGATACAATTAGATGTCTCTATTTAACATTTAATTATAATAGATATACCCAATCAAGACAGCCAACGCTAACTAGCTGATGCAGTAGGCTCCTTGAAAGTGAAGAAGGGACAGGAAACCATCTACATTGTTTAATAAAGGAAACATCATGTTTAACACCACTGGTGAGGCTGATGATACCATCTGCTTTCTAACTCTTCCACTTTTGTCTTTCACTTGTTTCTTTTCAACCGTATCTACCACTTTTTCAGTTGAAATGGCATAGTATTGGCCGGGTGCAGTGGCTCACGCCTGTAATCCTAGCACTTTGGGAGGCTGAGGGAGGTGGATCACCTGAGGTCAGGAGTTCGAGACCAGCATGGCCAATATGGCAAAACCCCATCTCTACTAAAAATACAAAAATTAGCCAGGCATGGTGGCAGGTGCCAGTAATCCCAGCTATTTGGGAGGCTGAGGCAGGAGAGTCACTTGAACCCGGGAGGCGGAGGTTGCAGTGAGCCAAGATCACGCCACTTCACTCCAGCCTGGGCAAAACAGCAAGATTCTGTCTTAAAAAAAAAAAAAAGGCATAGTATTATATGAATATGGTAGAGAACACAATGATATACATTTATGTTTCTTCATGGGGCTGAAATACTCAACACATTTTTTTATTGGAAAAGTACATTGAGATATGTCTTTAGGGGCTGTGCTTCTCAAGACTCTTATTTCGAGATTTGACAATGAGTGCCTTAATATTGCACATGGACAGTCACTTATGGAGGAGATCAATACAAATGGTTCAGAAAATCTTGATACCACAGGAGAGAAGAAGGTAAAGATTCTCTATGGGTAATTTTAGAGTCTTGGTTGAGGGTGCCTAATACTCTTACCATTTATATATTTGTTTATGTTAAGTAATACTTTACGTTTGTGTATATGGGATTTTTAAGATGTATCCATCTTATTGTTAAGCAACACTTTGTTTAATATACAATTGAAATCTAGATAATTTTGGAAACATATATTAAAGTGGCAACTTTCACATACCATTTTGCTTGCTTGCTTGCTTTCCTGTCCCCTGCTAACAAATTATTATGCAATGTCTTATGCTTATTGAAGTTACAGGCATCGATATATTTCTGACAATTTGACACACTAACATGGAGAAAATGAGTTAAATGACATAGTGTCAGCTGTGAGTTTGTGATGAGATGCCTTCTCACATCTTCAAATAGTTTATACAAATTCTATATTTTCTACTAGCATGACTCTATAAAGATCTGATTGATATTCCTTATTTACAAACTGGCTGCATGTTTTCTTAAACTGATTAAAATACACAAGTATAATTTGAATATGGAGTTGACTTTGATTTCTTTTGCATTTATTTAATTGCCTTTGCAAAAAGGAAAATGTCAAATAAATGTGGGTGTAGAAAGAAAGGCACAGCCCCGCCCAAAATGTCCCCATACCAAAGCCAAGTTACTTGGTCCTATGGAAAATCAAATGAGGACACAGGCCTCCAGCACCTGTGTGGCTATTCACTAGTTGCCTACTTTACCTAAGGGAAGTTAAACACCTCCTTACATTTCAATTTAGTCATGTAACAATGAAAGTAATAATACCTTTACCTCAAATTGTTTTTGGCTTTAATGAGACAGGGATATAATAATGCTTGGTAAGGTAACTGTACGAATGTAAGGTAATGCTGTTATTTTATGAAGTGGGGAGACATGGATATATTAGGGGTTAATCAGGAGAGTGCCAGAGAAGAAGCCACGTGTTTCTCATAGGACTACATTCACCACTTCAGGCGCACTGAGTCACACACGCTTAGAAATAGGGTATTTTACTAACATTCCACAAAACCACACAGCCGGATTGAAGAAAAACTAATTGGAGAAGAGACTGTGGAATGTACTTGAAGGGATATGGATGCTGTTTTGTATTCAGGAGAGAACACTGTAAAGATCTTTTAAGCCTCCGAAGAATATTTGGGGATTATTTTCTTCTAGTACCTTAATTGTTTCCTTGAGAAGCAAAATAAACATTAATTTTTCTAGGACACAAGGTGACTATTAAGTATAGAGAAGCTTATGATAAATTTAAAAAAAATAATAAATGCAATTAACTAGGAGGATACAATTAGATATCTCTATTTAACATTTAATTATAATAGAAAATAATAATCCCATTATGATTGATTTTGGTTCCTGATTATGTTCTTGAAAGTCTCCCAGAAGCAGAGATGGCTATGAAAATATTTGTGAAAGTGCAGCCATAAAGAAAGTTAACATACAAAACAATAAATATACATTTATTTGGTTCACATACAGAAAACGAACACTGGGTCCACATTTGAGAAAGTTAGCTATAGAGAAATGCAACATTCCAAAGAACAAATCTATACAATGCATTAATATATTAATTGATACATAGAATATCAACGGTATCCATATATAATGCTATACATTAATATGTACCCAGGACTTTCTTTGTGCTAATCAATACTTATCTTTAAGGATATACAGTTATAAAGTCCTAGGGAAAATGGAGACATAAGCTAACATATTTTACCATATTACTGATATTTAAAAAGTAAAATATATACACACTGAGAAAAAAATATAAATACAGCACTTTAAAAAATTATCATAATCTAGCACATAATGCTTTCTTAATTAAAATTTTTTTAAATGTACAATTAGGTACATATAACTATAAAGTTACATATATAGCTAACCACCCATAAACAGCACATGTTTACAGGTGTGTGTGTGTGTGTGTGTACAAGTCAAATCAAAATCTGTTGCCCAATCAAAGGGAGTGCTATAGAAAAATATTAGATTATCTTATGCAACCTTTATTATTATCTTTTTATTACTGGACCTACAAGGCAAAATAAAACTGCAGCATTAGTTTTCCTTAAATATATTAATAAACTATCCAGAACTTTCATTTCTGTTTTCCTTTTTTCTTTTTTTTTTTTTGAGACGGAGTCTCACTGTAACCCAGGCTGGTATGAAATGGCATGCTCTTGGCTCACTGCAACCTTCGCCTTCTGGGTTCAAGCAATTCTCCTGCCTCAGCCTCCCAAGTAGCTGGGACTAAAGGCAGCTGCCACCACACTGGGCTAATTTTTGTATTTTTAGTAGAGATGGGGTTTCACTATGTTGGCCAGGCTGTTCTCAAACTCCTGAACTCGTGATCCGCCTGCCTTGGCTCGAACTCCTCAACTCGTGATCCACCCACCTTGGCCTCCCAAAGTGCTGGGATTACAGGCGTGAGCCACCATGCCCGACCAGAGCTTTCATTTCTTAAACGTCAAAAATTAGTTTTTAAATGTATGTACATGTTTCTTCATGACTCCTTCAGGAGACTTGGAGGCTTAATTTAGATGGTCATCCCAGTTTTTCCATGATTTTCTTATTAGTTTTAAGCAATTTGATTGTGAATGATTAAAGCAAACAACATTTAATTTTCTTACTACTTATATACCAAGAAGTCACAGGTATTAATTACAGTTATAAAAGTATCTTTTAAAATATGAATGGTGAGTGAGTATAAGAAATACTAGTACAGAAGTAAAAGGAAGAAAAAACACAAATATGAGAAGGGGGATATGAGGAAGTAAAATGCTAAGGCATTATTCTCAGTTGTGGCTCCAGATAAACAATTATTTAGAAACCTTTTAGGGTTTGAATGAATGCTAGTGTTATTGATGACAAAATAAAATAAAATAAGGAAAGTAGGACTAATAATATAATTTTAGCACTTCTAATTCTGTAAACTTTGTTGAGCTGACTCCTGAAAAAGTTGGGGTTAGGGGCACCAACCCACCTTACTCCTTAACCCCAGAGCTTACCCCCCAAAAAGGCAAAAATCTTTGTGTAACTTGACTCCCCAAAAATGCAACTACTAATAGCCTAGTATTATCCAGAAGCCTTACTGATAACATGGTTGAAGAACACATATTTTATATGTTATATGTATTCTACACTGTCTTCTTACATTAAGCTGAGAAAACAATATTAAGAAAGTCATAAGGAAGAGAAAATACACTTACAATGCTGTACTGTATTTATTGATATCTAAGTTTACATAATTTGTTTACAAGATGAATTGCCTAAAATGGTGGGAAACTGCAGCTGCAGACCTATCTAGGGTACATATCAAGTAATTCAACTTGTTTTTTAATGTCATTTTCTCTGCTTCTTGGGAGCACTTCCAGCAACACTAGTGGCACTTCATATGAGTCCCATGGTGTTATTTAAGGTTTATGGTATTACACTAAACACGATGAAAAACAGGCAATAGCCATGAGAGATAACTTTTTACTGTGACACGCAATTTACTGAAGAGACAAACTGCTCCGCACAAGTGTTTAGCATCACAGGGCATTTTAAGTAGATACTCCCGACACTTGAGCTCAGGGCAATAGCAATGGGAGGTGGCTGTGAAATTATTACAGTAATATAGTATTTACTATAGCTAATCTATGCAGTTATGATTTAATACTGCATCTTTACATTTGTTTACATTACTCTTGACTGTGAATGTCACTGTGTATGGTCTGTAAGTGTTTGTGGGGGTAATTTTTAAATAATGGATTTATGTATGTTTTATGGTAGTAAATGATAAAACAGACAAATATCTACATATATTTTATGCATTCATGATATACTTAACTTTTTCTTAATTCTTTTGAGATTTCTAGACTCCACAGCTCATCTGTGAGTTTTTTCAAATTGTCACAAATCTCCAAAATTTTTCCAATATATTTATTGAAAAAAAAATCTGTGCAGGTATATTCATTCAGTTCAAATCCATATTGTTGAAGGGTCAAATATATATATATATACAAGGAGATTTATCATACGTTATTGACTCACTTGACTATGGAGAGTGAGAAGTCCCACAATCAGCCATCTTCAGGCTAGAAACCCAGAAAAGCAAATGGAACAGTTGAAAGGCCCAATGGCTGGGGAGCTGATGGTATAGAATCTGGTCTGAAACTGAGCCTGCAAACCAGGAGCACTGAGGACAGGAGACTATCAGGAGAATATCAGTGTCTAAGCTCTGCAGTCAGGCAGAGTGAATTCAATCTTCCTCTACCTTTGTATGCTATTCAGGCCCTCAATAGATTAGCTGATGCCCACCCACACTGGGGAGGGCAATTTGCTTTACTCAGTTCAATTCAAATGCTGATCCTTTCCAGAAACATCCTCATAGACCCTCCCGGAAAAAAAAAAAAAGTGTCTAAAAAGATATTTGGGCATCCCATATGTGGCCTAGCTGAATTAATACATATAATTGGCCATCAGAGTCTGCTAGTTTCAATATTGGTTTCATATCAAGGTCAGACTTAGTTGATATCTTTACTTGAAAATGTTGTCCTTTTTTTATGTTTTTGATGTTTTCTATGTCAGGTAATCTGGATCAACTGTGGAGATTGTGGACTCTTGTTATTTTTCTGTGGTGACTGCTGCTTCTCCGTGATATCGGGTAGTTTTCTGGAGTAGGTTGTGCCGCAGCACCATTCCCTGGTCTAACTTTTTGTCTTAATTTAGGCTCCCTGCATTCTGTTTTGTGCATGTGCAGAGATATGGATACCCGGTTTAGAGATTCCTTTTGGACGTTCTCCGTCTACCCTCCTTCAAATGAATGTGCATTCTAACATGGGCTATCCGCTGCTGTTCACTCTCCAGGATTATTCGTGTGGCATCTTCAGTCTAAGCTTAAATATTTTAGTTTTGGCTGAGCGGCTTTGAGTTTGTTCCATCCATGCCTCCTTTAGCAATCAGTCAGAGAAGGAGATAGAAAGATTTTAGAGATACTCTCCCTGGGTTTTTTTCCATCCTAGATTTCTCCTTTTTTAGCATCTCCTTTTCTCTTTCTTAGCATTCATAATTTTTCCCTGTTTCATGTTTCTGTTTCACAGGATAGAAAGATTATGGGGTGAAGTTCCTGCCAGATTTATATTTTATTGTTCTACTCTTTACTGTCTACAGGTAGTTACTATAGGTACTATGGCCAGGTGAGGTCATCTGGCAGGGTCTTAGTCCTATCAAATCCAGAGCCATGATTTTTGAACAGTTTTAATGAGCAATAATGGGCAAATATTACAATTTTTTGAGATCTTTAAGGTGTACTATTTTAAGTAGGTGTGTACACCCATAAAATCACCAAAATGATAAAGATAATAAACATATTAATCACCCTGCAACTTTTTTTGAAATTTTTTCGTTCAGCATAATTATATTTTTTTCTTCAAAGCCCCAGCATAATTATTTTGAGATTCATCTCTGCCATTGTAGTTCGTTCATTTTTACTACTAAATAGTATTCCATTGTATGGATATGCTATAGTTGGATTATCTATTTGCCTGTTGATGAATATTTAGGATATTCCTACATTTTAATCATTACACATAAAGCTTCAATAAGTATTCATGTACAAGTGTTTTTATGGACACGTGCTTTCATTTTTCTTGAGTAAAAACCTAGAAATGTAATGCCTGGATTATATAATAGTTTATGTAAAAATTTTTAATAAAACTGCCAATTTGTTTTTCAAAATGACTGATTGTACCATTTTATATTTATATTACTAAAAGCAGTGTATGATTGCTTACTTATTTAATGTGGAGAGTTCTTTATATATTCTGTATAAAAGTCCTTCAAGAGATATAGAATTTGGAAATATTTTCTCCCAGAAAGTAGCTTGGCTTTCAATTTTATTAACAGTGTCTTTCGAAGAGGAGAAATATTTTATTTTGATAAAGTTTAATATATTAAATTTTTCTTTAAGAATCATACTTTGTTATAGTTAAAGATCTTTGCATAAAGATCAAAGATAGTTTATTGTATATTTTATTCTAGAAGTTTTAGAGATTTGTGTTTTATATGTAGGTATACAACCTACTTTGAATTATTTTTTGTATATGGTGGCACATAGGTAATGCAGTTCTTTTTACATTTTAACATATGGACATCAATTATTCCAGATGGTTCACTGAAAAGGCTATTCATTTTCCATTTGTTATCCAATTTTGTGAAAAATCAGTTGTCCAAATATTAGTGAGAATATTTATGGACTCTATTTTCTTTCATTTCTTTTTCTATCTTTATGCTAATACCACATTCTTTTAATTATCAAAACTGTATAATAACGCCTGACATCACAGCGTGTAGTATTACTTCTTTAACTTTGTTCTTCACTTGCAAAGTTGATTTGGAACCACCATGAAAAATTCACCAAATTACAGAAGATAGCAAGAGAGAAAGAAAGGAAAAAATGATGTATTAAATAGTTAGAAAACAATTAACAAAATGGCATTAGTAAGTCCCTGCCTATTAATAATTACTTTACATATAAATGTATTAAGTTCTCTAAAGACATGGAGTAGCTAAATGAATAAAAGAAAAACCAAATGATATTCTGCCTACAAGAAACTCACTTTAGCTTTAAGGGCACACATAAGCTAAAAGTGAAGGGGTAGAGAGAGATATTGCATACAAACAGTAACCAAAAGAGAACAGAGGTGGTCATACTTAACATTAGATAAAAAAAGACATTAAGTCAAAAATTGTCATGATACAAAGAAAGGTATTTTATAATGATAAAAGGGTCAATTCATCAAGAAGATATAAAAATTACAGATATTGATGCACTCAACATCAGAATGCCTAAATATGTAAAATAAATACTAACAGAAATGAAGGAGAAATAAATAGCAATGCAACAACAGTAGAGAATCTCCACACCCTACTCTCAACAATGGATAGAACATCCATCCAGGCACAAAATCAAGGAAACAGCAGATTTGAACAACACTGTAGATCAAATAGACCTAACAGACATATACAGAAAATTTCACCCAACAGAAGCAGAATATACATTCTTCTTAAGTGAACACGAAACATTCTGCAAAAACAAGTCTTAACAAATTCAAGAAGATTGAGCTAATATTAAGCATATGTTCTGGGCACAATGGTATGAAATAGGAAATCAGCAATAAGAGGCATTTAGTAAAAGTCACAAATACGTAGAAAATTATATAACTTCTAAACAACCAACGGATCAAAGAAGAAACCAAAAGAGTAATAACAATATATTGAGATAAATTAAAATGTAAATACAACATACCTAAGCTTATGAGATGGCAAAAATAGTCAGAAGAGGGAGGCTTATTAGCCTACACGATTTTTAAAAACTCAAATAAACAACCTGTCTTTACACATTAAAAATCTAGAAAAAGAAGAATAAACTAAACTCAGGCTGGCAGAAGACAGGCTGTAGTAAAGATTAGAGTAGAAATAAATAAAATGGAGAATAGGAAAGCAACAGAAAAAATTGACAAAACTAAGACTGGTTTGTTGAAAAGATAAACAAAAATACAAACCTTTAGCTAGACTAATCAAGAAAAAAGAGAAAATACTCACATAAACAGAATTGTATATAAAAGAGAAGACATCACAACTGATAATACAGAAATACAAAGAATCATAAGAAATGAATAATTATACTCCCCATAAGTTGTATAACCTAACAGAAATAGATTCCTAGCAACATGCAACCTACCAACACTGAAGAAATACAAAATATGAATAGATCAATAACAACATATTGATTCAGTATTCAAAAATATCCCCAGGAATAAAAACCTAGGACCAGATGGCTTCCCTTGTGTGTTCTATTACACATTTAAAGAAGATTTAATGTCAACTCTCAAACTCTTTCAAAAAAATTCAAGAGAAGGGAATGCTCCCAAGCTTATTTTATATGGCCAGTGTTACCCTGACTCCAAAATCAGATTAGTACACTAAAAGAAATGAGATTAAAAGTCAATATTACTGATAAACTTAGGTGTAAAACTTCTCAAAAAATAATGTCAAACCAAATTTAATGATGACCATTAGACAGTACACCATAATCAAGTGGGATTTATCCCTGGGATGCAAGGATAATTCAATATATGCAAATCAATAAATGTGCCATACTACATTAACACAATGAAGGATAATCTGATCATCACAATATATGAAGAAAAAGCAGCTGACAAAATTCAACATTGTTTCATAACAACTCTCAACATACTAGGTATGAAGAAATTTACTTCAACATAATAAAGGCTATATATATATATGTAATCTCTAGTTAATATCATGCTCACTAGTAAAATGAGGAAAGCATTTTCTCTAAGTAAAGAGTAAGACAAAGATGCCCACTCTCAGTTTCTATTCATGATTGTTCTAGAAGCCCTAGCAAGAGCAATTAGGCAAGAAAAAAGAAATATGCAAATCCGAAGGGAAGAAGCAAAATTGTCTGTTTACCAATGACACTGTGTTATTTATAGATAACCCTAAAAACTTCACCAAAAAACTGTGAGAATACATGAATCTAGTAAAGTTGGAGGAATAAAAAAAATACAAAAATCAGTAGCATTTTTATACACTGAGTTACCTGAATATGAAATCAAGAAAACAATCCCAGATACAATAGGTTAGAAAACAATAAAATACTGAGAAATCAATTTAACCACGGAGGTTATAGACTTTATAAAGCTGATATACTAAAAATTATAAGACACTGATAAAAAAAAGTTGAAAACAAAATAAACAGAAGCCTATTCTACGTTAATGGATTAGAAGAATTAATAATATTAAATATCCATGCCTCCAAAGCAATCTATTAAATGCAATCCCTAAAAATATTCCAATGGCATTTTTTTTAAGGAAATAGAAAAAACAATTCTAGAATTTGTATAGAAGCACGAAAGACTTCAAATAGCCAAAGCAATCTTGAGAAAGAATAAAGCCAACAGCATCACACTTCCTGATTAAAACTATATTACAAAACTATAGTAATCAAAATAATACGGTACTGACATAACAACTGATACATTTACCAGTGGAACAGAATTAAGTGACCTGAAATAAACCCATGTATATATGGTCAAGTAATATTGGAGAAGAATATACAATGAAGAAAGGATATTCTCTTCAATAAATGTTTTTAAATTTAAGCTTTAATTTTTGTGGGTACATATAGGTGTATATATTTATGGGGTACATAAATGTTGGGAAAACTGAATATTCACAAGCAAAAGAATGAATTTGGACTCCTAAGTTATACTACTCTCAAAAATTAACCCGAAATTGATTAAAGATTTAAATGTAAGACCTGAAGTCATAAAACTCTTAAAAGAAAACATAAGGGAAAATTTCCTCCACAAGCTCCTCGACACTGGTCTTGACAATGATTTTTTGAATGTGACAACAGTCCACATAACAAAAGCAACAATATCAAATGGGGCTGTATCAAACTAAGAAGATTCTGCACAGAAAAAGAAAAAATATGCAAAATGAAAAGGCAATCAATAGAATGGAGAAAAAAGTTTGCAAACTATGTATCTGATAAAAGGTCAATATCCAAAATATGTAACGAACTCACACAACTCAATAGCAAAACAAAAACAAACCAAACAAACAGATAACACCAAAGCAAATATACTTTGATTAAAAAATGGGCAAAGGACCTATACAGGACATTTTCCAAAGACGATATACAAATGGCTAAACAGTACATGAAAAGATTTTCAACATTACTAATTATCAGGAAAATCCAACTAAAAACCACAATAAGATATCACCTCATGCCTGTTATAATGGCTATTATCAAAAAGACACAAATAAGTATTGGCAAAAATATGGTAAAAAGAGAACCCTGCTATGCTGTTTGTGGGAATGAAAACTGATACTGTGAAAAACAGTATGGAGGTTCCTCAAAAAATTTAAAAATAGAACTACTCTAGCTCTTCCTCTTCTGGGTATATATCTAAAGGAAATGAAATCAGTATTAGCATCTTGAAAAGTAATCTTCATCCTTTGTTCATTATTCACAATAGCCAGGACATAAAAATAATCTAAGTGTCTGTCAAGAATGAATTTTTAAAATAGGATATATTTCATATATATACACACAGCATGCATACAATGGAATATTATTCAACAATAAAAAATAAGACAGAGACAAATACTTCATCATCTCTCTTAAATGTGAAATATAAAATGTTAAATGTATAGAAGCTGAGATTAAAATGGTGGTTGCCAATGGCTGGAAGGTGAGGGAAATGGGAACATATTGGTCAAAGGGAACAAAATTTCATTTATAAGATAAATAAGTTCTTGAGATCTAATGTAAAGCCTGTTGACTATAGTTAAAAATACTGAATTGTACAATTGTAAAATGCTAAGATAATACATCTTAAATGTTCTGAATATACATGCACACACAGAATAGTAAATAGGTGAAGTGATGAACGTGTTAAATAACTTCATTGTGGTAATTATTTTACAAAATTTACACATATCATATCATCACATCATACACCTTAAATTTACACAATTTTATTTGTCAGTTATACCTCAATAAAGCTGGAAAATAAGTAAATAAAAAGAAAGCTCATCTATTCACATCTGAAAACAAAAAAACAAAAAAAGATTTGGCAATTCTAGGTTATTTAAATTTCCATAGGAATTTCAGAAACATGTAGATTTCTATAAAAACAGTTGACTAAGATTTTGATTGCGATTGTCTTGAAGGTATATATCAATTTAGAGAGAATTGACTTTTTTTGAGACAGAGTCTTGCTCTGTCGCCAGGCTGGAGTGCAGTGGCACAATCTCGGCTCACTGCAACCTCCGCCTCCTGGGTTCAAGCGATTCTCCTGCCTCAGCCTCCCAAGTAGCTGAGACTACAGGCACACACCACCATGCCCAGCTAATTTTTGTATTTTTAGTAGAGACAGGGTTTCACCATGATAATCAGGATGGTCTTGATCTCTTTTTTTTTTTTTTTTTTTTTTTTTTTTTTTTTTTTTTTTTGAGATGGAGTCTCGCTCTGTTGCCAGTCTGGAGTGCAGTGGCGCGATCTCGGCTCACTGTAATCTCCGCCTCCTGGGTTCAAGCGATTCTCCTGCCTCACCCTCCTTTGTAGCTGAGACTACAGGCATACGCCACCATGCCCAGCTAATTTTTGTATTTTTAGTACAGACGGGGTTTCACCATGTTGGCCAGGATGGTCTTGATCTCTTGACCTAATGATACTCCCGCCTTGGTCTCCCAAAGTGCTGAGATTACAGGCATGAGCCACCGCACCCGGCCGAGAATTGACACCTTAACATGATTGAGTCCTCCAACCCAATATCGTGGTCTATCTTTCACAAAGATCTTTAATTTCTTTCAATAATATTTTGTAGTTTTCAGTGTATAGTTCTGCATATATTTTGTTACATATATTTCTAAGTATTTAATTTTTGATACTTTAGTAAATTATTGTTTTGTTAATTTTAATTTTCAGTTGTCCTCTCCTAATATAGAAAGATACAATTGATTTTTGATGCTTGATCTTATATCCTGCAACATTACTAAACTCTAGTTCTAGTTGTGTTTTTGTATATTCTACCAGATTTTCTACTTAATCTTGTACTTGGTGAACAAAAATACTTTTCCTCTTTTCATTTATTACCAGAATATTTGTACAGCTGACCACTGAATGATACAGGTTTGAATTGCATGGGTCTACACATACGTAATTTTTTTTTTCAATGAATATATCAGATTTTTTTGGAAATTTGTGACAATTTTTGAAAAAAACTCACAAACTTCATAGCTTTGAAATATCAAAAAATTAAGAAAAAGTTATGTCATTAAGGCATAAAATATATGTAGATACTAGTTTTGTCTTATCATCTACTACCGTAAAATACATATATAAATTCCTTATTTAAAAATTACCCACACAAACACTTATAGATAATCTGTGGTACCATCTGCAGTCAAGAGCAATGTAAACAAAAGTAAAGATGCAGTATTAAATCATAACCACATTAAATTAGCTGTACTACATACTATATTACTGCAATAATTTTATAGCCACCTCCTGTTGCTATTGCCCTGAGCTCAAGTATTGGGAGTATCTGCTTAAAATGCCCTGTAAGGCTAAACATCTCTGCTGAGAAGTTTGTCTCTCCAGTAAATTGCATATCATGGTAAAAGGTCATCTCTCACAGGTTTTGCCTATTTTTCATCATGTTTAATGTAATACCATAAACCTTAAATAACACCATGAGACTCATATAAAATGCTACTAGTGATACTGGAAGTGTTCCCAAGAAACAAAGAAAAGCCACCATATTAAGGAAGTTGAATTACTTGATATGTATCCTAGACTGTGGTCTGGAGCTGTAGTTTCCCACCATTTTAGACAAAGGATTAATCTTATAAACAGAAGATGTAAATTTAGGTATTAATAAATACAGTACAGTAAGGTAAATGTATTTTCTCTTCCTTATGACTTTCTTAATAATGCTTTCCTTTCCCTAGCTTACTTAATATAAGAAGACAGTACACAATACATATAACATAAAAAATGCATGTTTATTGGCTATGCATCCGTAAGGCTTCACGTCAACAGTAGGCTATTAGTAGTTAAATTTTCAGGGGGTTAATTTATAAGGGGATATTTTTGCTTGTGCGGGGATCAGCTTCCTTAACCCCCTTATGGTTAAGAGTCGCGTGTGTGTGTATGTGTGTGCGTGCATGCACACGTGTATCTCTATATGTCTGTTTCTCTGGAGAAACCTATTTCTAGAACTGAAAAATATAACTTCAGAAAAATTAACTGAATTGCTTAGCCAAATGACCATGACAGAGGAAATAAGTCAACTTGAAGATATCTTATTCAATAGAAATAATCCAAAGTGAGAAACACAGAGGAAAATAATTTTTTAAAATATGAATAGGGCCTCAAGCACGTTAGATGATATCAAGTAGTCAAATACACCTGTAATTATATTATCAGAAGTAGACAACCTCCTGAGACTGCAGGAGTTACAATAGAGTAGAAAAACATCTTAAATTGCTGAATGTAGAAAACCTGACAAATTAGATTCTATATTTGAAAAAAAATCAAGAATGAAGATAACATAACAAAATTTCAGATAAAACAAAACTAAGTAACGTTATTGCCAGAAGACCTGTCCTATAAAAAAATGCTAAAGAAAGTTCTTCCTTTAGCTGAAGGGAAGTCAATGTTAATAGAAACTCTGATCCATAGACAATAATAAATTTTACATTTTTAAATTTCTTTATAAATCATATAATAGTTTAAAAATATTATATTGGGGGTTTTATGATGTTCATAGATGTATTATATATAACAACCACAACCTACAGGATAGGGATGGGAGATATACATCAGTCAACGTTGCAAGTTTTCTGTATTTTACGTGAAGTAGTGCATTATTAACTCTAAGAGGACTATCCTTATGTTAGTGATGCATATCACAAATAATAGGAAAACCAATGTAAAATAATGCAAACAAGAAAAACTAAAAAGTGAACAGAAAAATTAAAATAAAATTCAAATTTTGATACCTTGTTAAAGGGCAAGAGGAATAGAGAGAAAAACACGGAAGTAGAAAACAATAAATAAATAAATAGATAAATTCATCCTTCTACTGAAAAATCATCAAGCTTGTCATGGGCTTATCATTTATCTTAATGACAGTTTTAAAATTGGGTGCAGAATGACCATCATTTTTCTTGTTTTACAAATAGATAGCTGAAGCAAAAAGAAGGTAAATGACTTCTCCTGGGTCAAACTTAGAGACTGTGTTAGATAAATATTTGTTGTCAACAGAAGATAAATGGGTTTCAACTTTATAAATTAATTCTGGCTATTGACAGGTAAAGTATTATATTTAGCAATGAATTAAGCCCAGAGAAAAATGTATGAAATATATGTACCCAAAATAATAATTCTATTAAGTATCTTTAGTTACTTACATGCTAATTACCAGTGTCTTGTTCAGAGAAGCTCTTGCCACAAAGAAAATATGGCCTGCAGTTTAGCAAGAGCAGTTTCATAAGCATGAATGAGAATATTTTTAAGAATAAAATCAATTCAATACTTTTTTATACCTTGAGATTTACTTTAAAGTCTTCTAATCAAATGAACTTCTACTTAGTGTTGAATATATTTTATAGAGTGTTTGTACTACTCTACCCATTTTCTAATGATAATATTTATAGTTAAAAGGAAATGCTCTAATATTTAGATGAGGTAACTGAGGCACAGACATGTTAAGCAAATTGGCAAAGGTCACAAAGGCTGATGATAGTTGTTTTCCAGTTTGAATGACATAGCTAGAATATGTGGAGCTGTATTTTATTGCTGTGTAATTGTAAAAAAGGGGGAGTCAAGAAACACTGTAAAATAAATTTTAGATAAACTAATTTACAGAATTATTCATATAGATGCACTATGGAAATAAAAGGTCTATTTTAAATACAATTTTAACTGGAGAAATAAGGATGTAAAAGTCAGTTTTTCACTCTAAAATACTAACTGGTCATATATTGGATTACTCATTACTGAAAAGTGGCACTCTCTTCCACAGGTTGAGAAAATTGTTGGTCCAAGAGACCATACCCAGCCAGAAGCCCCTTCTCTTCCAGATCATGCTCCAGGTACCATGGACCCTTGAGCTCTTTTCCCAAATGCACTTTAGCTTACTTTCAAGTTTTGTGCAAATTCCTTTTTCTGGTCTGTCCTCGAGAAGATCAATTGCTGCCAGTGTGTTACCTTTAGATCCACTGGATAGCCAAGAGATTTGCAACTGATTGTGAGGTGTATGGATGAAATTTAGACATGTGGGTTGGGTTGTCCAAATGCATGCACAATAGGCTGCCTGTATGCCTCAGGGAAGGGAGAGTAGGCCTTAGTGTGGGGACTTGGATTTATACTTGCTTGGGCTTTTCAAATGTGAGTGCTCACAAATATATCTTATTTTAGTTTCTAGAGAAGACTACATATCCAAAACAATAGAGTGAAAACTCTAACTCAGCGGTGACAAATATCACCATCTTAGTTTGTTCAGGCTGCTATAACAAAATATCATAGACTGGGAAGCTCCTCAACAACAGAAATTTACTTCTCACAATTCTTGAGTCTAGAGAAGACCAAGATCAAGGTGCCAGCAGGTTTGGTATCCTGCAAGGGCCCATTTCCTGATTCATAAATGGCATCTTTGGCTATGTCCTTACCTGGTGAAAGGAACAAACAAGCTTCCTCAGAGCCTCTATTATAAGGGCACTAATTCCATTCGTGGGCGTTCCACTTTCATGATGTAATCACTTTCCAAAGTCCCCACCTCGCAATACTATCACATTGGTTATCAGGTTTCAGTACATGAATTTTGGATGGATACAAACATTCAGACCTTAACATCTTCTGATGATCCTAATTAGCAATTTTTAAATATATTAACACTGCTTTTATGTTCAAAGCTTATAAATCCATTTCAAAAGATCATAAAGTTCTAATAGGAGCTGTTATGTTACCATAATGCTAATACGTTTTATATATATTTTAAAATCTATCTTTAATCACCCTTTTGCTCCTAAAGCTTTTTTCTTCCTAGTTAAGTATTTAAAAGGCAACTGAATGTTCTAAGAGTGTCTCGGTATTTACTGGACAGAACCATATTTATTGATATAAGAAGCTTCCTAGGCTAGCCTCTTCTTCTTCTAGAGAAGCTTTTAAGTTGATATTGTCTATTTCTTTCCCTCTCCAATTTTTGATGAGGTTTGTGCTATTGCAAGATGGTTTCTGTACATTAGGAAAACAGGGGGAGGGGGAGAAAATAAGATGTGATCTAGAGCTTGAGCAAGAGATTCCAGAAGTTTAGAGGGGGAAAGACTATGTGTGTTGTGGAGAGTAACAAAGCAAAGAAAAATCATTGTTGTTTTTTCCCAAGATATATTTTGGTTGATTATAGCTTCCTTTCCTGATATATGAGAAAAACATGTAAAAAATCTTGAAAATTAATATTTGACACAGTAAATATTACATGATTATATATTATATATATTTTAATAACAGTGCTGTGAAAGTTCTTGTGGCCTTGGCTTTAATGGAGTTGCATTTTGTTGTTGCTGTTCAAAAACTAACTTGAATTATTGGTTATCAGTTTGAAAATAGCCACATAAGCTATTCAAGCTATGGCCCAGAGAAAATGCAAGACATTAAAGATGAGTTTAAAACTTAGCATGATGAACTACATAAATAACTAAGCTTAGTACTGACCATGAGAAAGCCACCTCCGAAAACTATCGTATGAAGTTTCAGGGAAGAAGAGGTCCATTCCATTTGGAAAGATAACAAAAAGGTTTTATTGTACATTTTAGAATAGATCATCATTAATGGGAAAATGAAGGATGGCAATATCACCCAATCTAAGTTACACAGGCCATTTTAAGACAGGACAAAGTATTTTGGCTGGAATATAGGGTACATATTGAGATAATGGTAGATGGGTAATGAAAAGTAGGTTGAAATCAAACATGAATAGCTTTAGATGTAAGGCTTAGGAGACAACTTCATATAGCAGATAATGGACACTTTTGAACATGAGAAAAATATAATTAAAGTGATATTTAAGAAGCATTTGGTAGTGGTGTCCAGGATGGTTGTTGATTGTAGCCATAAATGCTGGCGGTTTGTTCATAAGACATGTGTCTCATGTTCATATATGTCTATTGCAATGTCTGACCTTTGACAATGTACAACCATAACTTTCCCCATAACCTCCTAAAATTTTCAGATTACTTTGAGGAAAGCCACATAATATAATGCTAGGACACCGATTTTAAACCTTGTACAATTTCCTTAATTTCAACTTTCTTCTATCTCTATGACCTTAATATTTTGTATCACAGATTTTTATAAATAATTTAATATATTAAATACTTGGTATAGCTCCTGATAGAGCATACACAAGTAAAAAATATTAATTTATTGTTACATTTTAAATTTAAAAATATATTTAGTAGGACATAATCTATAAGAAACTTCAATTCAAAAATAGTAACCACATAAATATAGTTCATTACAGAAATAAAGATCAGTTATAATGAGAACTTACTGCTTATCAGTAAGAATTCCTCCCCTGCAGGGGTGAATGAATACTTTGACAAATTGAAGACTTTATCAGTCAAAAAACCTGAGGAAACTTATCTTTCTTATCTTCTGAAAGGCCGCTATAAATAATGTATCACTTGCAACACAGGTTTTCTTACAGGATGCAAAATAATCTCTAAGAAAATCTTTGCTTTTGTGGAATTCTGTCAGAGAATTCCTGATATAGGGATCTCTTTCAGTTATTACCTGTTAGTTTATTCACCAGAGAGGAGGAATATTTGGAAATCCATGTCATCTCATCAAAATAACTGATACTAAAAGTAATAACTTCTCTGCAACAGTGGGGTGGTCCAAATTTGTTGCTCAAACTGCCGCAAAACATACCTTCGCAAGATGCAGGCAAAAATCAAACAGATAAAATGCCACAGTTCACATTTTAGATAAAGGAAGAAATATTAAACAGTCCAGAACAGAGTTTTGATATACCATATAGCAATGTATTGTCAGTACGAATATCAGTATAAGAGATTCTGACAATTAATCTAGCAGTAAACTTAGTGAAATATAAAACTAAAAATATATTTTGTAGAAATAAGGTGATGTAATAATTTCCATCTCCAGCCTGCTACAAACACATAAATGTTAGTATAATGGCTGTCAAAGCTTCAAAATGATTTTTATTATTATCCATACTACCAATCCTTAGTCATTTTAGTTATGACCTCCAACTATCATGGTAATTAATCTTTTTAGCATGATACCCTATTTTCACTACCCTACTTACCAGAGTTCTTTTTGGACAATTAACCTTGTATTAGATGAAAGTGCTCATCAGAGACACACACCTTCCATCATCTATTATATCTGCAGTGATTAATTATTTTAATTTTAGATTAGAAATTCTGTTTCAGTCAGGGTTATTAGCAGCTGCAACAAAAAACGATTCAGGCTATTTAAAGTTTAAAAGGAAATTACTCAAAGACTATGAGGTATCTCATAGAGCAGCCCAGAAATTTTCAGGAGAAACAGTCTTGGTTTTCTGACCTGTGACTTACAGAGCTAGGCAATCAGAACCAAGCCATAATTATGCCTCAGTAACAGTATGGTGAGGTCTGAGGTCATTGCCACTGCCAACACTGGGAGTGAAGTACTCCTGCTGACACCATCAATGCAACCAAGAGGAATTCTTTACTATGACTCATTACCCTCCTGTGAGAGATTCTCGTCCTGGGTAGGAAGGTCAAGATTGAATTCCTAGGCATATGCCTGTTTCCCACTATCATAGAAGTAGGTTAGAAAAAATAAAGCATATGGATGCTTCAGCTTCCGCAATGGAAACTGAGCCCTGTCCCTTGGCAAGACTCATAGAGAGAGGGATTGCTCCAACATAGGGAAGATCAGTCAAAAAGGCAAAGAAATGCAAAGCAGGGTCATCAGTCAAATTACAATGTTTATGACTATACAATTTACAACATTATTATGTTTTACTTCTTTTAAATCATAAAAATCTTACTAGGTGAAATATTTTTCAAAATATTTAGTTATAGAGCAATGATTGTTGACTAAAAATATCTTGGCATCCAAGTGCTCATTTTTTGCTGTTCTTTTTGTTTCTTTTGAAAAATTAGTAACATTTCTGGCCATATAGAGTACTTGTTTGTCAATCTAATGATCTAAAATATTATATCTTATAGTCTTCCCTTTGGAAATAGAAAACATAATAACAGAAATGACAGTTATTTGTGTCTTTAAATGCCACCTCTCAACAGACAAGATATTCTTTAACAGCTAGAGATTTGGGAGGGGGTGAACTGAAGGCCAAATTTATATAATATATGCCTTATGTTTAGTATAATCAGGCCTATTAGAATAACCATAAATAAAAATTTGGAAACTCCGAGTGAGGTAAGAATGTGACCCAGGGACCTATTCTGCTGTCATCAACAATCCCCACTGGCACTTTAAAATTAAGCAATAATATTGAGGTACTTGTTCGAATGTCAACGAAATGTGCTTTTATTTATCACATTAAAAAACATTTAATAAATCTTAATACTAAGTGTTACAGGGAATGTTGGGAAATTAGACAGTTTTATGTCCTTAGAAGTGTTTAAACTGATAAAATACTTCGGATGCAATAGGCATTATATTAAAACTGCTATGCACTTTGAACCAGCAATGTCACCTATCAAATTTATTTAAAAAAAAAATCAATGAGAGAAACACATGTAATTGAACAAGAATGTTCTATGTTGTATAATTTCTGCTAAGAGAAAATACAAACTAAATGTCCAAAAATGTGGAACATTGTAAAAAAATTATGATGTATCTGACTAGAGATGCATATTAAGATATTAAAAACTATAATTTCTAAGGATTTTTAAGGATTTTGGAAAATTTATGATATAGTACTGTTTTTGTTTGTTTGTTTGTTTTTGAGTCAGAGTTTTACTCTGTCACCCAGGATGGAATGCAGTGGCAGGACATTGGCTCACTGCAACCTCTGCCTCCCAGGCAAGCAATTCTCCTGCCTCAGCCTCTTGAGTAGCTGGGATTATAGGCATGCACCACCACGCCTGACTAATTTTTGTATTTTTAGTAGAGACAGGGTTTCACCATGTTAGCCAGGCTGGACTCGAACTCCTGACCTCAAGCAATCCGCCCCCCTCGGCCTCCCAAAGTGCTGGGATTACAGGCATGAGCCACAGCGCCTGGACAGTACTAAGGTTTTTTTTATTTTAATTTTCACTTTTTTTAAAGATATCAACTTAATTCAACAGATTTCTATTGAAAACCTACAATGTGTCACTCGAGCTATTCTAATTGCTAAGGATATAACAGTGAACTACATAAACATGCTTGTTTCTACAAAACAAATGTCTAGATAACAAAAATTAAGACTTCCTATTAAGGATATTGAACACTAAAAAGCTGTCATAAATTTTAAAAGACCTTTTAAAATATAAAATTAATTTCTGATTTTCGTGGTTCAGCAGAATTAATCTAGGAATAACAATGTTCTCTTCCACACAATTTCATATAGGTGCAAAGTGAAAAGTGTCACAGGTTTAGTAAGAAGGAACAAGATTTTATAACACTGTTTTATTAGAAACAATTTTTCTCTTTCTAATAGATCATTAGCTCAAATTACACTAAAGCATATGGCTCGAAAAGAGTATTTTATCACTCACATGGATATTTTTTGTTTCTTTGAAGTCATTTTGCAAGATATATTGAATATCAGGAGCAGTCCACATTGATCTGAGAGCTGCAATGCATCACTCAGTACATTAATCTTGGCTAATAATGTGTCCTGCTTGCAGCCAGGACCACACCAACACCTGGTCATGCACCTGGTCACAAAATCCTGAAAATCGTTATCCAGAAGGTACCAGTCTGTGTGTATTTTCTATTTTAAAGTGATTAGAGACAACCATTTTAAAAAGATGATTGTATTTTAGTCATTATTTCCAGCTGTATTGAGTTTCAAAAAGTGTTATTGAGCTAATTGATTTTGAGTTGTGTGAAGATGTTTTTAAATGCTGCATACAAATTAATACAACTTAACTGATATATTTGTATAGTTACAAATACACAGATATGTCTTTATTTTCTTCTGGAAAAATATATGTGAGCCAATTTCACCCAAGAGGCATTACAGTGAAGTGGTTAAAAGCACTCAGGACCTTCATGTACAGCTTTGCAGGTTGTATATTGCTCAGCTTCCAAGAATTGTGCCAGTGTGGCCTTGAGACCTCTGGCTCTAAAGGAGAAGAGCCAGTGGGTCTAAATTCTAGCTATGATACATTTAGATTTTATGAACTTGGATTAGGAAACTAATTCTTTGCTGCTTCTTTTTCTTTTAAAAATATGATTAGTAATATCAACTCCTTCATTAGAATGTGAGGGGAGAGTTGATTAAATTAGTAAGAATATAGCATTTAGACACATTCTTGGAATATGGTAAGCAAAAAAGGTGAGCAATTTTTATTTTGCTAATAATCTTTTTAAAAATTTATGAAAAATTGTCAAAGTTATAATTATGGGTCTCAAATGAATAACTTTCTTAGGCCTCACTCCATCATTGCAACTGACTTATTGTAGAATTAGACTTAAATAATTTACCTCTTGGATATCAAACTTTCCATATCCAGAAAATAACATAGTTAAAATGATGTAGTATCTCAAATAATATGTTCAGTTGAGGGTATAAATGCAAACTGCAATTATGAATCTCATGTGATTTATGGGAAAAAACGGTTGCTAGTAAATATAAATACCTTGTTTAGGCAGCATTTTATTTATGGAAAATAACAAGCAAATGCCCGTTAGAATAAAAGCAGAGCACTATCTTTTGCCAGTGACAGTACAATGTGGTGACTTCAACATGGAAACAATATGGTTAATCTCCTGGTACATTTCTCTGATATTATGAAAAAATTGTGTTTTTGTCTAAAGTGCCCAAATAAAGCCCAAGGAGTAAATGTAATGTGGTAATCAGTCACTTAAAAAATTGATACTGCAAAAATAAAATAAAAATGTGGATATAATTAAGGGTCAGAATAGGGCACATTTTGAAGAGTTTATTTAACAAATCATTAAAGGACATTTTTATAAGTATAGTCTCAAGTAGCTCTTACCTCTATGGTTTTTAAAGGGTTAAAGAAAAATAGAAGACACTAATAGTTGTGAATGTATTATATGATATAAAGCAAGTTGTTTTCTGATATTATATACATATATATTTATAATTTTAATTCAAAAATGTTTACTGCCATGCTAGATTCATGATGTAAAATAATATTTGTAACAGATATATCCTAATCAATAAGACTGTAGTAGTTTAATTTTCAACATTAGTTCAGCCACTGGTCAAAGGCTCTTTAAGCTTTGCTCTGTACAGACTCCATTCACTGAGCAATAGATAACCGCTTTCCATGAAAACAACAAATTTCATTTGGAGGTAGATATCAAGGTAGCATTTATTCTTTTATTTATTATACATCTACTGAGTGCCTTCTATGTTCTAGAACTGATGTTATAAACATTGATATATACTGCTTTTTCTTTAACCAAGTAGATTTTAGTTTGGAGGGGAGAAAGATGTGGAAATTTGTATACTATGAGAGCAGGTTTTAATGTAGGGACAAAATAACAGAGAAGAAAGAATAACTTACATAAGCCTGGAGGAATCAAGGAGTAATGGAGACTGGAGACTTTTGAGTTAGTCCTTATTTTAGGAACCACCTAAAATACACTTCTAGTGTATGCTTATGCCCGACTGAGAACAGAAGTCATAGGCATGGCAGCAGCTTCTAGAAACTGTAGGAACACCAGTACAATTACTTTATCTACCAAGAAAGATTGATGACTCCTTCCAGTTCCCTTCACTGAGTATTGAGAACTAAGCACCATCCTTCTAAGGGGCTTTGCATGTAGTCATTAATTTTGTTCTATTTATGTGAGAATCTGCTTTAAGACTGTGTCAGGGGTAAGCAAGAATTTCCACATAGATGCGTCCATTCACTCTAAAAATACCTCAGACCAGTACCCAGGGGATAACCCAAGGCAAGAAGCACTTATTTTTTAGCACTGTGTGCCAAACAGTACAAACATTATCTTCTGCTACACAAATTACTTTTCAGTATGCTAAGGATAAAAATTACAAGCAACAGGCACTTATTTCTCTTTTTAATACTAGGAAAATACTTTAAATTTTTGCTGCTTAGAATTAATCACATCTAATCAATCACTAAATATACTAGCAGATAAAAAAATATTTGCAGACAGAATCAATTTGTGGTCCTATTTAGCATTAGGTGACTGGATATAAGGGAAAAAATCTTGAAACAAATATGTGAATGGAAAAAGTATGTTCTTGATAAAATAACTGCTAGGATGCTACTAAATTGTGTAAAAAAAAAAAAAACAAATAACATCTGATATCATCACATTTTCCCTTTTCCATGCAACAGTCTTATACTATGTAATTATAATTTCTTCAATCTCTGATGCAGCTTGATGTTCTGAACCAGCTCATAGTGCTTCCTATTCACGTACACAAACATTTACATATTGACCTAAATCCTCTCCCAGGCTGTTCAAAAAGGAAAAAGAAAAAGCTTTCTTTTTTTTTTTTTTCCCTTGGTCCCTGATCTCATTTTCCCAGATGGTATTAAAATTGAGTTCAAGCCAGCCTAGCACCTGTGTGGATAGTTTTTTTCCTCTTTGCACAATTTATTTTTAAATTTTCTTATAACAGATCTGTTATTTAAGAAGTATTTATACAAATAAAGAAAAATTATGTAAAAAATAAATGAAATAACTTAAAAAAACACATTTTAGTTTTTCTCTCTGCCTAAATTTTTTTTTGAAGAGCAATGAAAATAAACAAATGATTACATTATTCTGTTAAAGGAGGATTATACTATAACATCTTATGGCTGCTTAATTATGTAACTGGATAGTATATCATTCAGTAAGATTGAGTTCTGGAATCTAAATTATAGCAATGATTTTGAATTTTGATTTATTTCTACTATATACATGTTCCCTGTCATCAAAGAGAACTTTCATCTATTTGGTAAACAGTGGACACTCAGGAAGTACGTTTTGAATGAATTGAAAAGCATGAATGAGTTAATTAAGTAATACATAAACCATGAGGATTTTTAAGGACTTTCTTTTTCCTATGTACCACATCTTGAAATAGGTCTTCAGTCACTTTCTATGGACAAGGAGGATGCAGTAACAACTATGCTATCATTTTTTTGAAGGAGAGCAATAGTAAAAAATTAGAAGGCAATCTTCTTCATATGACAAGTACTTGTTAGAGAAAGTAACTCTCAGGTATCTAACAAATATTTAAAATATTGAAAAGAAATAAAGCAAGACGTAAAGAGAGAATACCCATGAGAGACTTTCATAAATAAAATATAATAGGAACGTTTGTGAAAAAAAAGGCTGAAAAATTAAGTCCAAATATCGATATGAATATAATTAAAATGTTAAAAGGTTTATATTTATTTATTATAAAAAATTAAAAGTAATGAGGAAATAATTCTTGGATAATAACAAATTGGACCTCTGAAATGAATAAGAGGCATAGGAGAAAAAAAGCCCTAGCTAATCACATTTCACAGTGGAAAGAAAAATGAATACATAAATACATCACACTTTCATCTAGAAATTTTGTAATCCCATTTTCATAAGACATTGAGAAGGCTTTTCTTTGGTGCCTTATTGTTTTTACTATGTCTCAAAATATAAGGCAATGAGATACTTAGAACCCAATAGCCCAAATTGAACTGTCAATAATTGGAAGGAAACTACTCAAAACTGACCTCACAACCACTAGCCACCACTTAACCTCCTCTCCATTCCCAGAAGAGGATGGTCAGGAAGAAAAGGAGAAGAATGAGGGCAGTAGTCAGAGAACCCCAACTTATAAGAAGTGCAGTAGTATTATGCTGAGAAATTGCATCTATGGGTACCCAAATTAAAGGGTAAAATGGGGATCCAAGAAAATGATTCTGAAAATGCAGGGGTGTCTACAAAATGGTGAGCGGCTGTTTGATGGTGGCTTGGATAGCAGAATTGCTGTTACCATCTTTCATGTCCCTCAGCAAGATAAATGGGCAATGGAGTCAGATGGCAAAGGTCTATCAAGGAACAGAATTCACCAAAATGTTAACAGTGCCTGTCTCCTCTGTAGCTGGATTTTGGAAGACTTTTTTAAATATCCATATTTTTCTTTATTTAAAATGATGTCAGCAATAAGAACATGACTTTTCTATACTCAAATAAAGCCAATTAAACATTAACATAGAAAAGTAAAAAACACTAATCTTCATTGGTCCAAGTAAAGAAAATATTTTCTTAAATATAAAAAAGGGCTTGGCCGGGCTCGGGGGCTCATGCCTGTAATCCCAACACTTTGGGAGGCTGAGGCGGGCAGATCACGAGTTCAGGAGACTGAGACCATCCTGGCCAACATGGTGAAACACCATCTCTACTAAAATACAAAAAATTAGCCGGGCATGATGTTGCATGCCTGTAGTCCCAGCTACTCGGGAGGCTGAGGCGGGGAATTGCTTGAACCCGGGAGGTGGAGGTTGCAGTGAGCTGAGATCGTGCCACTGCACTCCAGCCTGGCAATGGAGCAAGACTCCGTCCCAAAAAAAAATAACAAAATAAATAAAAAATAAAAGAGATTTATTTTTCCTTTTAAATTTATAATCTATTATTTTTTAATAAAATATTTTTCATCAGCCCAATTGGGAAATTGCTGACTTACGGACTACTGAAAATATAAGGAAATGTCCATATTTAAGAAAATTTTTATATAAATATTTAATTTAGTAGTATTAAAGGATTGTACATTCCAGTATTACATGGTAACAAAGTCAAGGCTTGGTAAAAAATGATTAAAGCTTTTGTAGATTATTCTAATTGGCATATTAATCAAAGTTCAAGGGATAGTTAGTACACTGGAATTCAATTTAAAAAAATGTGTAGGCAAAGCCTCTGCCTCATGAAGTTGAGAGTCCAGAGTGCAGGGTATGTTAGAGAAAGTACAGCACTATAGGAGTATGTAACAAAACAAACAAAAGGGACAGTCAGTAAATAACTACACATTCATTGATTATACATATAATACATATATAAAGAACAATTACATTGCTCAGTTCCTTTACACAAGGTAATTGGTTGACACGGTTAAACCAAACGATTGTCCTAGCTGGATAATTCTTTAGTACACATTAAGTGCAAAAGAATGAATAGTTTCTGCTTAAGTATTAAGAAAGGCTTACTGGTTTCTACTACATATATACTGTACACTTTTTATGTTCTTGAATGTATAAACAATACAACTAACTCAGCTAAACAAACATTTATTTTACACCTACCACACACAACATATTGTACTGTATACAAAATGATGTACTGTTTCTACCCTCAAGATGCTTTCACATCTAGAGGAACCTTGTACAAAACATATGACAAGATTCATATTTCAGTTTTTAATGAGATATCATTTGAACTAGGATAAGGCCTCCAAAGCTAGTGAAGGCAAGAAATACAAATTAGATGACTTAGGAATGTTTGAATGCTCTGATTGGTACTTTACATGTGGCATATCACCTAATCTCAATAACTGCAAATTAAGCGTTATTTTAGTCATTTTACATGCCAGAAAAATGATGCAAATAAGTTAAATAATGTTTCCCAGTTGATTTCACTAGGACTTAACAATTTTATTTTCCAGGGTTTTTCCACTCTGCCTCCCCAGTTTCTAAAGGAAATTTGGATAATTAAGATGAGTCGGGTGGCTTTTTCCCTCTCATTCACCATCCTTAGATATGTCTTCAGTATGGTTCACTTCCCAGATCACATAAAAAATCCTACCAGCGGGGAATAAAGGCAGCTGAATTTTGTACATAATGAAGTAAAAATTTTGGTTTGGGGAAAACTGGGAGTGTCAGTGGTAGAAAGTGTTAACATAGAAACAGAGATAATGAATATTATAAAATATTGTTTGAACTGGTATGGTAAATGAAAGTCTGGAAGCATAAATACAAACATGACAGCAGAACAAAATAATGAATTTAAATAGAAGAAACATGATAATTTAATCACTACTTTCTCCTAAGGTCAACCGAGCATAATTACCTTGATCACAGGCATGCTAGTATTTCATGAATAGAAAAAAAGAAACAGCCAACTCTGTATTTACCGATTTTGATGGCATTTTTTGACACAGGAATAAATATGCCTCACTCTTCAGAGATGTAATATCCATACTCAGATTCCTTAGATAATGGATAGCCATTTAAGTACAAATGAAAAGAATTAATGCCTTATGAGTGGACTTTTCCTTGTCTCCCATTTAGTTCAACAATGACCACCCATACTAATGGGCAGTTGATAATAACCTCTGGGTGATAAATGCTCAATTGTGACCTTTAATTATGTCAAAGAGCCAAAAAGAAAATGCAAGGTAAATTTTTCTCAGCTAAATATTCCTTTTTACTTATTTCATGCATTCAGTTATTGATTTTTAGAAAGAAATTTAGAAATATAATGGACTTTTATATAAATTAAATAGCCTTTCTTGTCTAAAATGTATAAAATATTTTAAATTGTAAGTTGATGACCAGTGTAGACACTGGAAAATCAGGGTGATACTGTTTTGAAGACCACGCAAATTAAACGCTGAGCTCTTTGATGCAAGACCATCTGCGGACTCTGCTGCAGCTTCTGCTGGTCTCCAAAGGAGGGTGACCTGTTTGACCCTGAAAGTGCTTCCATCTGCAGGAAGAATGGAGCTGCTTACTAGCAGACCTGACAACTGTGCCTTGGAGACCAATTTAAAGGGGATTGTCTTTGTTCAGAGATTTAAATTCTGGGAATCAAAGGGAAAAAAATGAAAAGTGCTAATAATGAGCTCACAGAAAAATATATCTATTGTCTCGCACATATACACTCACTTGTGAGTGTGTGTGTATGAATATAATATATTCCTTTGTTGATTACAAAGTAACAAAGTATCAACTCTTTAGTCAGAGGTAGCCCTAAATTTTGTTCTTTATCTGTATAAGGTGAAAAGACATCGTTGGAAGATCTTGTGCTGTAATTATACAATGCAAATCTTATGCAAGTTTGATAGATTATATACCAAGTTAGTATTCACTGGTAAGAAATCATTTAGTATATGTAGGCAACAGGCTAAGACCACAGGAGCTGCACAGATCAGCAACAAATCATCTTCCCTTTCTGCACAGTATAAAATGATTAGAATAGATTAATGATGATGCTGTACAGAAACCATATTTCCCTCATTTTCTTCTGGAACAAAGTGTAGAATATGTAAATACATATTAAAACACATTAATAGTCTGGATATAATACTATGTATGAGCATCTCAACACATTTATACAACTCCATCCTCACTAAATGATAAATTGCTTTATTAAGGGACCATGGTTATTATTTTGTTTTGTTTTATACTGTGTGTTTCCATGGTGTTTTAAGTAGCATCTTAAAAAGAGAAAATCTTCCCTGTAAGTGGAAAATAAATTCTATAATCAATGGATATGGGTCTGTGTACTTCTAAGGATAGGCAAATAATTTTAAAAATAAATATATGCTTAAAATATACTCTTAATATTCATGCTCACTTAACATAGTATATAATGTTAAAATTATGTTACTTTTTACTGAGTTTAACTAAGAAGTACTGATTTACTTCTACCTTTGAAAAATAGACTAGTACAAAAGATAATTTCTAGTATTTAGAAAGCAAAGGAAGATAAGGAAGAAGACAGCTATCAGAGACAGGTGGAGAATACATGAGGAAGAGTCGAATAAAGAGGAAAGAATAAGAAATAAAAAAGAAGAGACAGAGAATAGGAAGGAAGAAAGGCAGTAGGAAGAATGTAAATAAAGAGGAAATCAACTGAGGAAAAGAAAAAATGAACCAGATAGGGAGGAGGGAGAGAGGCAGAATAGAAAAGGAATAGAGTAGCATCAGATAAAACAGGAAGAGCGAAGGAGGGTTAGTGGGATGAGCGAAAAAGAAGGCAAGAATGGAAGAAGAGAGACAGAGGGAAAAAGGAAAGAGGAAGGAAACTATATATAAAGTGATGCCATAAAAGGACACAATGCAATTAAGTGGAAGGCCTAACTCTGTACAGTCCAAATGGGCAGATAACTTTTATCCATCACATTGAAGAAACACGACAAATCATGAAACCATTTCTGAGAAATCTAGATTTGATGTTAAAAGTGAATCAGCCTTAAATACTCTAATGCCATTCTTATAGCACATATAACTTTTAAAGAAAACTGCAAGTTATAAACAAATCATTTTTAGTTTTATTTATATAAAATCTTTTATTTTTATGCTATTTTTCATCAATGGGTAATACTAGGTCACTAATAAAATCTACATGATAAAATTTTGAGGCTAGAAAAACTGCCATTATTCGAAGTTATAAGCACTTTTTTAGGATAAAAAATATAAGGTAAGGTAGATTGCACTTTGTCTAGGTACAATTAATTGAATGAATCCTTTTAATTTTCCAAGTGTAAGAAAGGAACTCACCTTCTCTTCTATGGTAGAATGTAAAAGAAAATAAATAGACTGTCAAGGTGCAAGTGAAAGATTCTGTAGAGGGATTGAGGTGACTGAGGTATCTAATTGCACTTTCAAATTCACATAATGGTGTAATGATTTGCTTGGGGGAGTCTAAGAAACTGACCTTTTGACTTTCAAAGCCATAAACACAGTTCTTATGAACAGAGGTGACTACAATCAAAAACAGATTATAGTGAAGAACACTTGGAACGAAAAGCCCCTTAAATGATGAAGGGAACATTTGAGCTGGAAGCTCAGTCTTAGCACCAGGATCTAGCCCTTCAAAGAAGAGTCTAATTTTGTGTGGAGCTATGCCTATTACAGAATCCCTCCTGATGGGCATCCTGGGCTTGAGGAAATGGCTACATTAAGATGAACTGTGTAGCCGACCCCTATGAATTAGTAGTTGTAGCAGCATACCTCTGAGGTACCCCTGGATGATCATGACCAAGGCACCAAGGCTAGTCCTGCTGATAACAAACAAATTAGGGATACATGCAGAGAGCCAACACATGAAGAGGACTGAAAAGCATCCCCAAGAACTTTCACTGCCAGAGCTCTCCTCCTAGTAAAGGATGACAAAACCCATACTCATGAATGTTGTCACAACCACGGGACCTTAACACTTTGGTAACCTAACCCCAGGCCTGATTAGCTTATGCTGGGAAAGGTGGTAAAGAGACAAATGAGAGGTGGACAACAATTTTAGGAAGCAAACTAGTTTTCGGAGCACAGAGCAGGTTGTGGAAGGCTTTGGAGGATGGATGTAGCAGGAAAATGAAGGAATGCAGTGTTGAGTTGGCGTAAGAACTGCAGAACAACAAGAGGATGGGAATGCAGGTGATTCCAGAGCTGTCTACCCAGGCCTTTGCAATGTGTCCCAGCATAAGTCACCATGCAACAGCATGCTTAGAAAAAATTATCCTAGTATATACACCTGAACTTACCGAAAATTTAGCAGTTCACGTATGTGCCTCAAAATCTGAGTATAGATATTATGACTTTAATTATGCGTCAGTGAAATCTGGACAGGCAGGTTATAGCTCTATGAACATGTACGAATAAAATGTAGCCCTCAGTGTTAAATAATGAGTTTTTCTTTTAAAGTATATTTTTAATATTATAATTTTAGAATTTTCTAATTATTAATATTTAATTTCAAACACTTTGTGTTTCTATACATATTTTATAGACAGTATTTGGCTACATTTTAAATTTTTTCCCAATCTGTCCACCTGTCATTTCTATACCCATAGTAACTACTTAGAAGATGAAATTAAAGAAAATATTTTATAGTAGCAACTAAAAGAATCAAATAATCTCAAGTACCTTCCTAAACAATGTACACTATCTATACAATGAAAACATTAAAATGCTATGAGATGTCATAAAAGAGACCTAACACCAACCAGGTTTCTAGATATAAAACATAAATTGTCTCAGAATTACTGTACAAATTTATATAATCACATCTATCTCTCTCTCTCTCTCTGTCTGTCTATCTATCAATCTATCTATCTAATCTGGGGAGAAACTAAGCTAACTGATTTTAAATTCCATGAGAAAAAGTATTAAAATGCAAAAACATATATAAAGCTTTTGGAAAAAGAAAGGTATTTGAAACACAAAATTGTACAGTAGTTACTGCAGTATGCAAAGACAGTCCAGCAACCAGAGACAGAGCTAAATACTATTAGAATTAGATAATTGGTAAACTTTATATATCAAATCAGTGGGATAAATCATGATTATGTAACAATTGTTATTGGAACAATTAGGTAGCCATCTTGGGTAAAAATTCATTTAGATCCACCATCACACTTTACCATATACAGCCCTACATTACCTCAATGCTAAACCTGTCCTTGTGTGAAAATGCTGACATTTCACTTGAAACATCAGAGATATTACAGTAGAGACCAAGGTCACTCGCAAATGTGCCATCAACCCCTCCCTACCTACTGCCTCCAACCACTCACAGCTGTTTATCACCAGATGTCTCATCCATGATCTATTTTCTTCTGGACTCTTGACATCTTGTGTTATCTACCTGCCCCTTGTCTCAGGAAAATTCCCTACGGATCAAGGTCCTTGTGTATGTTTGATGTTCAGTGCTATTGTTTCCCTGATTATCCAGAAAACATCTAGCTAGATTCCATAGCTCCTAGCAATGTCCCAGTTACATGACAATTGTTTAAAAAGCTAAATACACTAAAATTAGAGGGAGTATGTGACTGAGAGACAAATTAATCTTTTTAAGACGGTATTTGAAGGAAATCTAAAAAGGGAGAGTACTGCAGTGAATTTGAGATATCTACTTTTCTTTGCCCCTACAGACGAGTGCCTCTTATAGCTCACTCAAATTTTGGTTTAGCTTTTTTAGCATGTGTCACACAAAATTAGAGGTGGATACAGAGTATAGAAAAGTACATTTTAACTTTAGTCAGAAAAATAAAGGCAACAAAAGAGCTTTTGCAGTTCAACATATCTGATTTGGTACAGGCCAACTAAATGGTAGAACCTTGGTTAATCTCTACATCAATTTCTCTTCTAATGTATATTCTGAAAAGATAATTTTAATAGTATGCAAGTGAACAGAGACAGAGACCCAGAGTAATTCACCCACTTCATCTGTTGTCATATATACTTATGTTCAAAGATGAGTAATAAAAAATCACAATGGTTTCCATTAGAGATCTTTGACGTATATGAGAAAGTAACTTTTAAATAATTCTTAATATCGGGTATGTAAAAACCTCTAGCAAAACAATACAAAACATGCTGGCTGTAATGAATCAGGAATAGAAATACACATAGACTATAGTAGTCCGTTTTCACAGTGCTGATAAAGACATACCCAAGATTGGGTAATTTACAAATAAAGAGGTTTAGTTGGACTTACAGTTCCACGTGGCTGGGGAAGCCTCACGATCTTGGTGAAAGGCAAGGAGGAGCAAGTCACATCTTACATGGATGACAGCAAGCAAAGAGCTTGTGCAGGAAAACTCTCCCTTATGATAACCATCAGATCTCATGAAATTTACTATCACGAGAACAGCATGGGAAAGTCCTGCCCCCATGATTCAGTTACCTCCCACAGGATCCCTTCCACAACATGTGGGAATTCAAGATGAGATTTGGGTGGAGACACAGACAAACCATATCATAAACACATAAAGATAACAGTAAAATCCTAATGTATAAATAACCACTTTTATAAGGGGTTAAAATTATATTATTGACAATTTTGGAGAAGGGAAAAAATATTTATGATTTATATGAATTGCAAAACAGGATTTATTAAATATTACATTATTTTATGATCTCAATGATGTAAAATATACATTTCTGTGAGAAAAAATACCTATTAAAAGTAGTTATATATGAATATACTAAGGACTATTTATATATATTTTTAATATATTTTCCTATATTGTCAAAGTGATGTGTCTTCCTTTTTTACTGGTGTTGGTACAGTATTTATTTAGTTAATTTATTTGAACAACAGGTTTTATTTGGATTTAAGTATTTTTTCCAGTATTGTCTTATTTTCTAAGATCCAACGATGCATTTAGTTGTCATATTTCATTAGTCTCCTTCAAGCTATGAGAGAGTTTATCATTCTTTCCTTTTTATTTTTTATTTTTTTAGTTTTTGAGGCAGGATCTTCCTCTGTCACCCAGGCTGGAGTGCTGTGGCACGATCACAGCTCACTGCAGCCTGGACTTCCCAGGCTCAATTGATCCTCCCACCTCAACCTCTTGAGTAGCTGGGACTACAGGCATGTGCGCCACGCCCAGCTAATTTTTGTATTTTTAGTAGAGATGGCTTTTGCATGTTTCCCAGGCAGGTCTTGAACTCCTGGGCTCAAGTGATCTGCTCACTTCAGTCTCCCAAAGTGCTGAGATTACAGGTGTGAGCCACCACACCTGGTCTGTTTTCCTGTATTTAATGGCCTTGGCATTTCTTGAAGAGTACTGGTCAAATATTCTGTTGAATGTTCCTCGACTTGTGTTTTTCAGATGTTTCCTCATGGTTAGTCTGGGCTTATGTATTTTGGGGGTGAAAACACATAACATTTCACCACAGAGGTGAAATGTTCTCACCGTATCACAACAGTGGTTACAATGATAACATGACCTATTGCTGGTGCTATTAACCTTGACCACTTGGATAAGTAGTGTATACCAGGTTCTTCCATTGTAAGGTTACTATTTTTCTCTTTTCATCTTCTATTTATTAGAAGAGAAACACTAAGTCCAGCCCACACTTAAGGGGGAGGTGAACTAAGCTCCACTTCCTGAGGGAGGAGTATCAAAAATTTGTGGACATTTGTTAAAACCACTTCGATGATAAATAAATGTGCATTTGCAGGGAGATAATTTGAAGCTATGCAAATATCCTCCTTTTCCTTAAATGTGTGTTTTTTTATAGCCCAAAAAAGTAAAGAAAAAGCATTCTTCAACTACAAATCTCTGCAAAGAATAAACCACTGGATATTATATAACATACAGTTCCAGAGGCTTCCCCCTTCTTCCCTCTTTGTGTCTTCCTTAAAGGCACACTAGAAAAGCTAAGTATGCTATTTTTATTATTTAAGATTTTGATCTTTCTCATTTTATAGGATGCCAGTAGCGATCCCAGCTGGAAAGAAAAAAAAAAAAAAAAAAAAGGGTGTGGGGTGGGAAACTGTATTCTGCTATTTTTCTAAAGCTGAGAGATTTGGCAGACTGCAATTTTTTGAAAGGTTCCCAATATGTTTTTGATAATCTCCAAGTGTTTGAGAATAATTGCCCTAGATAATGTTGCAGTTTACTTTATAAACGAATGTATGGGAGGTAAATGATAATGTTGGAAAATTTCTTAAAATGAGATGGTCTGAACAAAATATACTTTGAAAATTTCACCTTGAATCAGTATAAGATTCAGAAAAATATCCCAGCACTTTGGGAGGCTGAGGCGGGTGGATCATCTAAGGTCAGGAGTTCGAGACCAGCCTGGCCAGCTGGCCAAGATGGTGAAACCCAGTCTCTACTAAAAATATAAAAAATTAGTCGGGCATGGCGGCAGGCGCCTGTAATCCCAGCTACTTGGGAGAATTGCTTGAACCTGGAAGGCAGAAGTTGCAGTGAGTCGAGGTTGTGTCACTGCACTCCAGCCTGGGCAACAAGAGTGAAACTCCATTTCAAAAAAAAAAAAAAAAAAAGATTCAGAAAAATAAATCATTTCAAGCACTTGTGATTATTTCTGTCACAGACATGAGAAGAACTATTGTTGTAATTACTCTTCACTTTAGAACATATGGCCTAAAAGTAACACAAGACTTCTTAAACTTAGGGTAAGGTGTAGTTTTATGTTATATTATTCTCAGGCTTTCAGTAGGCTAGAGAAAATTCCTCAAAGAATTTATATCATTGTTTAAGTATCAACCTAGGAATATTTAAATGGGTTTCCCAGGGCCTGGCAGATACTTTAGAAATTTGTCACTGTGGTGGTTGGCAGTTGCAAATATAACCTGCCCACCACCACCATGCACACACCCCTGCTGCTGCCACTTTACCACCTAAAACTTTCTCAGCATGACAGAGCTGACATTTTAGGAGTCCACAGAGTATGGAACAGAATCCTACTTCACAAATTACTTTTGCTTTTGGCAAGATATCATTTCACCAACCAGAAATGAAAAATATGGTTCCTAGACAACAGCACAGTAGTTACTCAAAAGAATATTTGCATAATTTTGTTTTTGAATTTGCATAAAAATGAAATGCAGACCAGCATGCAATTCTCAAAAGGCCTCTAATCATCTTCTTAGTAAATCTTTGCCAATAATATTCTAAGTGTCCATAGCAAGCTTAACTTTTTTGCTGGAACAGTGTTATTTATGAGTTCTAAGCTATGAGGAAATTATATAGACACTTTGACATTCATCATTTGGTGACTGGATGTGAAATAGTGTCCAGTGTAGCTGTCCAGCATTTATATTTGGTTAAGTTGCTTAATATGTTTGAACTCACCAATAGAAACCAAGGTATTCTATATTTCACATGAGTTATTAAGATATGCTTAGCAATCATTAGCTGTATGTAATTCAATACTAATTGGGAGAATGATTATTGAAACTAACCCAGTATTCATAGAACAATCCAATTTGATTTTTTAAAAAGGAAATAAAAGTAAAAATAACAACATGATAACAGCTATATTGGTAGCTTTCCTTGTGATATAACAGCTGAAATTTTATTAAGGTATTCAATATCTGATTAACCCAAATAGTGTCCCATTTCAGGCGTGGGGATAGATAGAATAGTGATAAATAGGATAGGGATGATGAATTTAAACTTGTACATATTTCAAGGATAAAACTAAATTTAATGAAATCAATCTTTGTGTGCAAGGAATTGGGCATCATGATCGTAATGGGGAGAAGACATTGAAATTGAGTGGAGCATGGATCTGTTTAATCAGAGAATAGTAGAAAAATTTAGAGGGCTAAGATATCTAACTACCACATTTCTAGACAGGCATCACACCTAAGCAGTGCTAGGCGGGGAAACTGGATCTCTGGAGGTAAGGGAAAAAAAAGAAACATTACTTGAAGCATTTGCTGATTCGTAAGTACTGCCATGTAAGGTCATTTCTGAGCTATCAATGTTACGTCATTGAATATGGGGTAGCGAAAAATGATGCAAAGAATTAACTTTTCTAAGCGGGTATGAGCCTGCTCCAAAACGCTTTTACAAGAGTGACATTTGAACTCATCTTACCCCAGAGGCTGAGAGGTTCCTGGGTCTCGTAAGTTGGATCTGAAGGGAATTCATATCCTAGAGGAGATCTTAATGCTGCTTACAATATACTTAATTGTTTTGTTCAATATTCTAACACACCTGTCTTCCACATACATCATTGATGCAGCCATACTTTAAAGATTTTGTGAGGTAAATGATTTTATATATATATCTGAAAAGTCCAGAATTTGGAAAGAAATGCTTTCAAAATGTTTTAAGTTCTAAATGAAAGAGGTAAACTGAAGATGAACCAGCAGTATATGCTCAAACAATATAGTCATATCACTCTTTGGATAAAACTCTTTTATGGTTTCTGTTGCCTTCAGAAGTCATACGATTTGATAAGACTGACTTCACTGGTTTTGTATCTATCCTATTGTATCTTTTATTTTGCAACACTGTGATTGGCTATTTTAATTTCTCCCCAACGGGTAGAAGCTATGCTGTCCACTGTACTTTGTGCCTAGTGCCTCGTGCAGTGCCTAGAACGTAATACATGCTCAATTCAATAAGGTTTTAACATGTATCTCATTTGTTAATGATCTGACTGAAAAGAAGGATTTAAAACTCTTCCTGTTTCTTCTGAAATTAATTAAATTCTAAAGTGTAACCATGATTTAAAGGAAGATAAATTGTAACGATTTATCACCATTTGTTGAAAAGGGTGAGAAAAGGCCTGGCACGGTGGCTCACACCTGTAATCCCAGCACTTTGGGAGGCCGAGGTGGGTAGATCATGAGGTGGGGAGTTTGACACCAGCCTGACCAACATGGTGAAACCTCATCACTATTAAAAATACAAAAATTAGCTGGGTTTGGTGGTGCATGCCTGTAATCCTAGCTACTCCGGAGGCTGAGGCAGGAGAATCGCTTAAACCTGGGAGGTGGAGGTTGCAGCAAGCAGAGATTGTGCCACTGCATTCCAGCCTAGGTTACAGAGCAAGACTCCATCTCAAAAATAAATAAATAAATAAATAATAAAAGTTAAAAAAAAGAAACGTGTGAGAAATATTATATAGGCAAGTTATATTTACAATTTTAGAGGTGTATTGTTACTATCTTACCAGAGAGCCTTGGAACTCAATACCAAATATGTTGTTTTTTTGTTTTTTTGAGACAGAGTCTTGCTCTGTCACCCAGGCTGGAGTGCAGTGGCACGATCTCGGCTCACTGCAAGCTCCGCCTCCCGGGTTCACGCGATTCTCCTGCCTCAGCCTCCCGAGTAGCTGGGAGTACAGGCGCCCGCCACCACGCCCGGCTAATTTTTCGTATTTTTAGTAGAGAAGGGGTTTCACCATGTTAGCCAGGATGGTCTCAATCTCCTGACCTCATGATCCTCCCGCCTCGGCCTCCCAAAGTGCTGGGATTACAGGCGTGAGCCACCGCGCCCAGCCCCAGATATGTTTTAAGAGTGTGTGTTGTACTGTTCTCTCTTTCACTGGTGGTTTTTATTTCTGTTGCTATTGTCATTCTTCGTGGTATAGACTTTATTTCTTGTAAAATTTCAGTTATCATCATCTTTCTCCTCTATATATAAAGTAGTATTCTGTTAGGACAACAGTTTGTATAATACGACTACATTTTCTATCTTGGATTATTGTTTCATTCATTAGATCATTGAATTTACTCACATTAACTTTAAATAATATTTCCCTAGTTTTGCTGAAAATATAGAAAAAATGAGAATGCATGAGATGCTATATTCACAGATGTTAAAAAATTCTAAACACATTCAGACTTCAGTAAGCAAAGCATGTGAGGCTAACTCTGGGCTCACAGATGTGACAGGAAAGAGGTGCTACAGAATAGTTAAGACAGAAATGGCCTTTGGAACTTAGAACTTTTTTTTTTTTTTTTTTTGAGATGGAGTCTTGCTCTGTTGCCCAGGCTGGAGTGCAGTGGAGCAATCTCGGCTCACTGCAAGCTCCGCCTCCCAGGTTCACATCTTTCTCTTGCCTCAGCCTCCCGAGTAGCTGGGACTACAGGCGCCCGCCCCCAAGCCCGGCTAATTTTTTGTATATTTAGTAGAGACGGGGTTTCACTGTGTTAGCCAGGATGGTCTCGATCTCCTGACCTTGTGATCCGCCCACCTTGGACTCCCAAAGTGCTGGGATTACAGGTGTGAGCCACTGCGCCCGGCCCTTTTTTTTTTTTTTTTTTTTTTTTTAAGAGGGAGTCTCGCTCTGTCTTCCAGGCTGAAGTGCAGTGGCACAATCTTGGCTCACTGCAACCTCCGCCTCCTCAGTTCACGCCATTCTCCCAATTCAGCCTCCCGAGTAGCTGGGACTACAGGCGCCCGCCACCACGCCCGGCTAATTTTTTCTATTTTTAGTAGAGACGGGGTTTCATCGTGTTAGCCAGGATGGTCTCAATCTCCTGACCTCGTGATCCGCCTGCCTCGGCCTCCCAAAGTGCTGGGATTACAGGCGTGAGCCACCGCACCCAGCCAACTTAGAACCTTTCATTCAGATTTCTTTAAAGGAAGTTATTTTTGAAAAGCAAAATACAGCACACTGAGAGTAATACAAAATAAGTCTAGCTTGATTTATTTTATAACAGTAAAGGCCAAGCATTGGAATAATTACTGCTAATTTTCCTGGGATAAGTTTATGTTTTGCCTTAAAGAAAATAAAAATAATTTACCTCTTGTTGTTCATTTGAAGAATAACTATTTATTGTCTATGATGTGTAAGGCATTATATTATGAACTGAAATGATAAGCTAATAAAATTATTTAGATTTAGTCACTGCTTATAAGAAAGTCTTAGTCAAGTAAGAACAAAATGATGTGACCTGTGGAAGATGCTGTAAGAGTGATGGCCATTCAACAATATGTTAGCGCAAATTATATAGATGTAATCATTCCACAAAGTCTATGTAGTTCAAAACCTCTTGCTATATATGGTGCATATGATAAATACATACAATTGTATATGTCAGTTTTAAAAATAAAGGAATAATTTAAAAACAAATTTGAAAGCTATTATCTTAATTGGCTATTGGCAGCTGAGAGGGCCAGGTTAAGATACACAGGTATTTGTGCTTGAACTTGAGCAATGTATAAACATCGCTCTCCCCAACTTTGTCTCCTCCCAGTTTTGTGCCCCTGGAAAACATTTACACATCAGTCAAGTTCAATCAACTCAAAGAAAAAAAGAGTCCAGAAAAATTAAAGAATAACAAAAACATGAATTAAATAGCTGTGAGAATTATCATGAGTCACTACATAAGAAGCAAGAATTATGCATTGTCTATACCCGAAGGGTGTCATCTGCCACTTTACACTTGGTCTTTATTTTCAGATAGTGGCTTTTAAAGTGACTGGTGTAACCAGAGCTGTGATTTAGAAAGATAACGGACAGCAAGGTAAGTTCAGAGAAGTTTGGAGACTTAATACAGTCAGTATGAGACTTGATGATGGTTCAGGCTCTAAGTGACAACAGTAATGATGAAGAGTGTAGAGAATGGAAAGATTTTTTGAAATACTATTAAATAAGGCTTTATAACTGACTAGGTAAGAGGTAGTAAGGGGAACAAATCAAGGATAACTCTACAGTTTCTATCAGGAAAAGACAAAAATGTCAAAAAGTTGAGAGAACTAGAAGGCACTAGCCATGTAAAACTGGGAGGAATTTGGAAATTTTCAGGCTACTGGTAATCTGAGACAGCTGCTTTGTTAAAAGGTACAAATTACCTCCCAAGCCATCATGGACACCACACCTCTGTGACTCTTTACTGTGTTATTTCTGTCTATAAGGCCGACCCCTCTTCACAGCTAAAATTACCTAGCAGTCAAAGTCTAGCTTCAATGTTACTACTTAGGATGACAATCGTGGTTTACTGAGAGACAACTGCTGTGGATGGAGGAATAATTCCAGGCTTTAAAATCAGACAAGCCTGGGATCTCATCCCAGCTCCTGCTACTTACCAGCCTTGTAACCTTGAGTAAGTCACCTCTCTGTTTCCACTGTTCCTCCTGCACATACTTCATAGGAAATGTGTGAGGAATAAGTTAGGTAATGCATGTGACTGACTTACCATTGCATTACAGACTCATCTACCTTTTCATAAGACAAAGAGCAATTTCTGAAGACAAAGTTCTAAGAACTTTATAGTTATTAACTCACAAGGCCTCCTATGAAATGCAGCAGAACAAAGCTAATACATGAAGGCTGGCTTCAGATGCAAAAGTGGTACTTTTAGTTTCTGTTTTAACTGAAGGAGTAAAAAAATATGTTTTCAGATTAAATCACTGTTTATTAGAAATCTTGGACTCTAAATAGAGTCCAATGGTTAAATTTGATTCTGTTTTGATTCTATTTTGTTTCTTAACTTCTAAATGGTACAGCTACCCTTTACAGCCTTTCAAATTATAGTTTTAAACTACCCAAATCATTGAGAACACAATGTGTTCTAGATTAATTATATTTTTTCTATCCTAACTGAAGCAACCCTGTTTTTTTTTTTTAAATAAACATTTTATGGATGGTCCACTTTGAGAACTCTGTTTTGTTACTAAGGTAATTTAATGAGTATCTTATAAAAGTTTCCCACTTTTCTTTTTATACTGTGGAGGCAATAAGACCATCATGAAGCCAGAACAAAAATACTTCTCTTTTGGAAGTATTTTATGGGTCTGTTATTAGTTTTGCTGTCACACTAGGAGGTGAAAAATAAAGTATTCCACATCAAGTCCCTCGGTGAGTACAAATGGTTTCCTTTGCAAATAATAAATTCCAAAGAAAATATTTGAACTTTATTTGCCCCTCATGCCTTGGCCCTGATTTGTGCCTATTGGGAAAAAAAAGAGCAAAACAAAAGGAAAAGCCTTCATTCCAAACACATCAATGTCATCTCTGACTCCTGCCTTCCAGTTGAAGCATTCCTTGTGGAATCCTTGGCAGGTAGCATAATGCCTGGCACATAGCAGATTTAGATAATATTTATAAATAGATGTATGAATGAATAAAAGCATTAATGAACACTCACATATTTGCATGTTCTTAACTGAAGCTCTTCACTGGAAAATAAACAGCCACGATCTACCCTTCTTAGGACATATTTCTATTAACAAATAATTTTTTAAATAAAAAATCAAGCCAGACACAGTGGCTCATACCTGTAATCCCAGCTCCTGGGGAGGTTGAGATGAAAGCCTTGCTTGAGCCCAGAAATTCGAGGCTGTAGTCAGCTATGATTGTGCCACTGCACTCCAGCCTGGGTGTCATAGTGAGAATCCATGTCTAAAAAATATATCAGTAAATAACATTTACCATCATAAAATCAATACTCTTAAATTATTTTTATATTGGAATATTTATTAAGCCATAAAAAGTCATGTTGTGAAATAGCATTTAATGACCTCGTAAAATATACACATCAGATTTCTAGGCTTAAAAACAAATGACAAACAATCATTTTATAAGTATGTAAGGACTATAACTGGAAGGGCACTACAGGTAACAAAATTATGAGCGATTTTAGTTTTAAGAAATAATTTGTATATTCTAAATGTTTTACAATAACCAGGAATCATTACTGTATTCATTCACTCATTTGACATATTACTGAGCAGCTACAGTATAGAGCAACTCTATACAGAGCAACTAAGCACTTGTGTAGAGATTCCTCAGTATACCCAATAAAGTGGATCCTTGAATTTATCATTTAAAAGCTTTAAATGGTCAGATACTATTGTATCCCTGCCATATTAGCAAATATTTTACACACATGCAAACAAAGCATGTATACACTTAAAATAACCAGCATTGAAAATGTTGGCAGAAAAACAGTGAAAAATTGCTAGTGAAATGAAACTTGGTACTGTCCTTAGAAAAAATCTAATAATATATTTGGAGAGTCATAAACATATGTGTAATTTGTGATTCATTTATCTAACTGCAAAGAGATGCCATGAACAATGATTTAAATGAAGAAACACTGAATGTGTTAAGATACTTTTTGTGTTTCATAATGAGAAAATACTTTTTTATAAAAAGCAGCTTGTAGGCTGGGCGCGGTGGCTCACGCCTGTAATCCCAGCACTTTGGGAGGCCGAGGCAGGCAGATCACAAGGTCAGGAGATCGAGACCATCCTGGCTAACATGGTGAAACCACATCTCTACTAAAAATACAAAAAATTAGCCGGGCGTGGTGGCGGGCACCTGTAGTCCCAGCTACTCAGGAGGCTGAGGCAGGAGAATGACGTGAACCCAGGAGGCGGAGCTTGCAGTGAGCCAAGATTGCACCACTGCACTCCAGCCTGCATGACAGAGTGAGACTCTATCTCAAAAAAAAAAAAAAAAAGCAATGTATCTATATACTTAAAGAACCTTTGAAAAACACTTAAAAGTAGAAAGAGGGAAACAATGTTATCACTAGTAATACCTCCCTGAGTCCACTTTTAAAATATTAATTCAAGTTAAATGCAGCAACATTACAGAGTACAACATTGTACATTGTTTATAATTTGGATATTTAAATAATCCATTTTACCTCCACTTGCAATAAGAGGCTTGCTATCTATATCAGTGGTCCCCAACCTTTTTGGCAACAGGGACTGGTTTTGTGGAAGACAATTTTTCCATGGACCAGGGATGGGTTGGCGGATGGTTTGGGGATGATTCAAGCACATTACATTTATTGTACACTTCATTTCTATTATTACTACATTGTAATATATAATGAAATAATTATACAACTCAACATAGAATCAGTGGGAGCCCTGAGCTTGTTTTCCTGCAACTAGATAGTCCCTTCCGGTGGTGATGGAAGACAGTGTCAGATCATCAGGCATTAGATTCTCATAGGGAGCGTGCAAACTAGATCCCCTGCATGCACAGTTCCCAATAGGATTCATGCTCCTAAAAGAAACTAATGCCTCCAGTGATCTGACAGGAGGTGGAGCTCAGGCAGTAAAAGTGGCTGTCAGTACAGCTGAAACTTTGCTTGCTTGCCTGCTGCTCACCTCTTGCTATGTGGCCCTGTTCCTTACAGGCAACAAACAAGTGCTGGAACGTGGCTTGGAGATTGGGGACCACTGATCTATATAACAAATAATTTGTCAAGCATTTCCTCTACCTGAAATCGTTTTAATTCCTTAAAGTGCAATCAAGGTGAGGCTAAAACACACCCACTCTCTAATGTCACTTATAACCAGCCCCTCAGCCACAACTGACTCCCAAATACACTTAACTAACACCCATTCTCCAATACTTCCAGGCATGCCCTCTCATGAGGATGTCTCTTAGACCCTAGGTCTTCATTCATTTTCCCTTACCTATTATCTCCATCAATTTGCTGAATGCTTATTCCTCTTTAAGGAAGTAGCTAAAATGCCAGCTAAGTGGTAAAGCTTTTAAAAGTTCTGAGAGTAAGGTTCAATTTTTCTTTTTTATACTTTTTACTTGCACTTGCTACATCTCTTTTGTTTTTATGGTTAGTCCTGTATGTATTATTCTCTCCATTTAGGCTATAAATCTTTCAGTGTAGGGTGTTTCTAATGTCATATTCTTCCAAAAAAAAAAAAAAACAAGCACATCTTATTCCTCCTGAGAATGTGATATTTATTAAATTAATTCCATTCAATATTGGTGCAAACAGCCTTCCCCCAGGAACAGAAGAGCTCAAGAACTGATGTGGGAATATCTGATTTCATACAATTTAGGCTGTGCTGCAAAATATTTTTTAAAATTAAGTACTCAAAGTCCAAACCATATTGTTTTAATAAATTATAACTTCATGGTATAATTTCTGTAAATTTTTATAGATAACTTATTAATATGACTTGTGATCTGCAGTTTTAATTTCATATTTAACAAGCATTACTTTAAATATGGTATTTCTAGGTATTTTTTGTCCAACTTCATGCTCACTTTGGGTGAGCACATTCTATCCTATGACTTAAATATCATCTGTCAATGAATATTTCTAGTTTTGATAGGGCTAGAATTCCAGACTAATATATACACTAAGTGACATAGCCTCAAGGAAGTCAAATGAGCATTTAAACTGTTGCCCAAAAATTCAGATCTTAAATTCAGATCTTACCAACTCTTTTATCAGGGTCAGAAGATGGCTCATGTAGTCATGATAAAATTGTCTGAATAGAGGCTTTTGATATTTTCTGTCACTTGTTCTGACCATTTTACTACTGCCACTGTTGATGCACCTACTAATGTTGTGAAGAAGTGTAATATCTTCCACTTCTCCCCAAACGACTCATGAGCATCTCATAGCTGCTATGTTATTGGCATCCAATAAAGTTATCCAGGGCACTGTGACCCTACTGTACCTTCTATAAAATGTGCTTCTTTTGCTTCCTGCCAGTTACCTGTACCACCATGATGTCAGCTAGCATCACTGCAGTCATAAGTCCTATGCTTATAGTTCAGAACTGAATTTTATCTCAAGGTGGGTTTCAAATTATTATTTCAAACCCTATTAAATTTTGCTTTCAGGCCGGGCATGGTGGCTCATGCCTGTAATCCCAGCACTTTGGGAGGCCGAGGCGGGCGGATCACGAGGTCAGGAGATCGAGATCATCCTGACTAACACGGTGAAACCCTGTCTCTACTAAAAAATACAAAAAATTAGCCTAGCCAGGCGTGGTGGTAGCTGCCTGTAGTTCCAGCTACTTGGGAGGCTGAGGCAGGAGAATGGCGTGAACCTCGGAGGCAGAGCTTGCAGTGAGCCAAGATCGTGCCACTGCACTCCAGCCTGAGTGACAGAGCGAGACTCCGTCTCAAAAAAATAAAAAATAAAAAAATTATGCTTTCATTCACAGTCTGCATAGTATTTTAATAATTTTATTTAATAATATCACATTCTAGCATTTTTTAAAGATTATCATAAATAATGTAAGCTTCTTTTTACCTAGATTAGATAATTATGTTAAGGTTTGAACCTTTTCCCTCAAAACTAGTATTAACTGAATTATATATTTGATCCAATTAATAGCATTTTTTTTTTTTTTTTTTTTGAGAGAGAGGGTCTCACTCTGTCACCCAGGCTGGAGTGCAGTGACATGATCTTGGCTCACTGCAGCCTGGACCTCCGAGGCTCAAGAGATTCTTCCATCTCTGCCTTCCCAGTAGCTGGGACTACAGGCATGTGCCACCATGCCCAGAAGCTCAAGGCATCCACCTGTTTTGGCCTCCCAAATTTCTAGGATTACATGTGTGAGCCACCATGCCCAGCTAATTGTTTATTTTAAAATGTAAAACTACATTTTGAATGTGTGACAAAAGATTTTTGTTTATCTAATCAAAATCTTCTGTATTAAATTCCTTTTTTAATGCCATCTAATTAGGAATTATTCCCTCATTTTAGGCTTTATAACACACGTAATATGACTTAAAAAAGTCTATCATGCATTTTTAGGTTTGTTGACTGACTACCTAAGCTTTCATTTACTTTCTCCCTAATGCCCATTGAAATGACAGAGTAGCAATCATAGAAAGACAGGAAAGATGCCTTCAGAGGGCAAGGATTATTAAAGAATTTTTTAAAGATATTAAGCAGATGGGATTTAATTAGAAAAGAAACCCCACAGAGGTAAGCAACTGACAACTCAATAGGGACTTCTGAAAAAAGAGTTTTCCAAATAGAACACCAGAAAACTCCGCAGGATCAGAAAAAAATCTGGCTTGGGAGGCAGAGCAGTCCCTGGGGCAATTGACAAAGTAATTAATTAAAGTGCTGTGGAACTTCTGTGATGGGATACAGCTCTCAGGCACAAGCTAGCAAGCTCTAAATTAAGTGGAGAACATGCCTTAGGGGACTCCCAAGGTGAGCTTGGTGGCAGGAAGAGAAGTAGGGCAGTGCCCTCGTCAACTTTCAATGACAAAGTATACATTGAGACCCCTCAAAGGGATCACTGAGACAGAATCAACAGTCTCTACATAAAACATAAACATTCTGATAGAAAATGTGGTAAATATATTTAGAAACTTGGATGAGAAAACACATTACAATCTTAATACAAATTCCAGAAGTCATGAGGAAAAAGTGGCATATTTGACCAAATAATTATTGATATGGTTTGGCTGTGTCCCCACCCAAATCTCATCTTGAATTGTAGCTCCCATAATTCCCACGTGTTGTGGGAGGGACCTGGTGGGAGATCAATGAACTATGGGGGCGGCTTCTATCATACTGTTCTTGTAGTAGTAAGCCTCACAAGATCTGATGGTTTTATAAGGAGAAACCCCTTTAGCTTGGTTCTCATTCTCTCTCTTGCCTGCTGTCATGTAAGTCATGGCTTTTGCCTTCTGCCATGATTGTGAGGCCTCCCCAGCCACATGGAACTGAGAGTCTATTAAACCTCTTTTTCTTTACAACTTACCCAGTCTTGGGTATGTCTTTATCAGCAGCATGAAAAGGGACTAATACAACTATCTTTACCTTCATCTTGAACACATGTATTATAAAAAAAGGCAACACACGTGAAAGCATGAGGAAATATATATATTACATGTAACAGACAAAAATATGATCTTCCTAATATATAAAAACTGCTCTAAATCAGTGAGAAAAAGACAATCCAATAGAAAAATGTCATATGAGCAAGTTAACTTACTGACAAATATTAAATTAACACAGGTATTTTCAAAATTACCCATGATAAAGGTAATGCAAGTAAAAATATCAATGCATTGTCGTGTCAAACTTAAAAAAATATTTAAAATATACAGTGTCAGAAAAGTTGCGAGGAAAGTAACACTCTCATTTACTCTTGAGTATAAACTGATTTAAACTTTTTGGAGAACAATTTGACAGGATTTACCAAAATTTAGCATTGTGAGTAAAAGTTTAACAAAACCCATTCACTTCTGCAGGAGGAGTGCACCTTGCGTTCAGTTAAATCTATAGCTCTCTTTTATTGGAAACACAATAAAGGTAAAACATCAGCAGTGTTTTCAAGCCAATCTGCTCATTGTAAAAATAGCTCTCATTGATGAAATGCCTCTAGATTGATAGAATGATAGATAGTGAGAAGCCATCTGCATATTGTAACTCTCCTTGAAGGAAAACATCTGACTCTGATCCTGACAAACTGGGTTTCCTATCTTAGATCCTTGTAAGGAATATGATACTAAGTGATATGTTTAGGCTGTGTCCCCACCCAAAATCTCATCTTGAATTGTAATCCCCATAATCCCCACATGTCAAGGAAAGACCAGGTGGAGGTAATTCAATCATGTTGTTCCCATGACGGTGAGTTCTAACAAGCTCGATTTTTTTGTTTGTTTGTTTGTTTTCTCTTTTTGAGATGAAGTCTCACTCTGTTGCCCAGGCTGGAGTGCAGTGGCGCTGATCTCAGCTCACTGCAACATCTGCCTCCTGGGTTCAAGTAATTCTCCTGCCTCAGCCTCCTGAGTAGCTGGGACTACAGGCGCACGTCACCATGCCCGGCTAATTTTTGTACTTTTAGTAGAGATGGGGTTTCACCATGTTGGCCAGGCTGGTCTTGAACTCCTGACCTAGTGATCCACCCACCTCGGCCTTCCAAAGTGCTGGGATTACAGGCGTGAGCCACTGCGCCTGGTCGAGATCTCATGGTTTTATAAGTGTGTGCTTGTTCCTCCTGCATTCTCTTCTTTGTGCCGCTTTGTGAAGAAAGTGCCTTGTTTCTTTTTTACCTTCTGCCATGATTGTAAGTTTTCTGAGGCCTCCCCAGCCATGCTGAACTGTGAGTCAATTAACCCTCTTTTGGTTATAAATTACCCAGTCTGTGGCAGTTATTTATATCAGTGTGAAAATGGACTAAAACACTAAGTATGCCCCATAGTAATCTTATAAGCCTGAACGCTTAGAGAGGCCTATTCATATGAAACAATTAATCTAAAGCTTCTGCTCAGGAAAATAATTAACAGTGTGAAGAGAAAATATATGGACTGTGGGAGAAAATATTTTGCAAGCCATATATCTGATGGAAAGATAGTATGCAAAATATGTCAGAGCTCAAACAACTCAATAGCAAGAAAACAAAAAACCCAAATAAAAAATGGGCAAGAGACCTGAGTAGACATTTCTCAAAAGAAGACACACAAATGGCCAGCAGATAGATGAAAAAATGTTCAACATCACCAATCATTACGGGAATGCAAGTTAAAACCACAATGACATATCATCTGACACCTTTAAGAATAAGTATTATCAAAAAGACAAAAGATAACAAGTGTTGGTGAGAATGTGCAGGAAAGGAGTCCCTTGTATACTGTTCATGGGAATGTAAATTAGTACAGCCTTTATGGAAAACTGTATGAAGTTTCCAAAAAAAAACTAAACTAAAAATAGAATGATTGTATTATTTAGCAATCCCACTTCTGGTTTTTAACACAATACATTTGAAATCAGATTGTCAAAGAAATGTCTGCACTCACATGTTCATGATAACATTATTTACAATAGCCAAGTGAACCAACCAATAGCCAAGGAATCAACCTAAGTGTTCATCAACAGGTGAATGTATAAAGAAAAGGTATATATATATATATATATATGGACACACACAATGGAATACTATGCAGCCTTAAAAAGAAGAAAATTCCACAACTTGTGGCAACATAGCTACAATTAGAAAATATGCTAAATGAAATAAGCCAGGTGCAGAAAGACAAATACTCGTGTTTTCACGTATAGGTGGAATCTAAAACAATCAAACTCATAGAATCAGGGAGTGGAATTGTGGTTATAGGATGAGGGAATGAGGAGATAATGGTCAAAAAGTACAAAATTTCAATCAGACAGAAGAAAAACTGTTTTTAGTTCTATTACACAACATGGTAAAAATATAGTTAATAATATATTGTACATTTCAAAATTGCTAAGAGGGTAAATTTCAATTTTTCTTTTTTTTAGACGGAGTCTCGCTCTGTTGACCAGGCTGGAGTGCAGTGGTGTGATCTCAGCTCACTGCAAGCTGTGCCTCCCGGGTTCACGCCATTCTCCTGCCTCAGCCTCCTGAGTAGCTGGGACTACAGGCGCCCACCACCATGCCTGGCTAATTTTTTGTATTTTTAGTAGAGACAGGGTTTCACTGTGTTAGCGAGGATGGTCTTGATCTCCTGACCTCATGATCTGCCCGCCTCAGCCTCCCAAAGTGCTGGGATTACAGACATGACCACCGCGTCCGGCCCAGATGTTTTCATTACCACAAAAAATTTTAGGTATTTGACACGATTACTATGTTAACTAGCTTGATTTAATTATTCCATGTTGTTTTCATGAAGCATAACATGACTTTGTACCTCATAAATTTATGCAATTATAAATTGTCAATTTATAATAAAAAAGACCTCTGGTGGGCACTGGAACTTGCATAAGCCACTTAAATTTGTTTCACATAAATACAAATACCAACATACACATAGTAATATATTATTATAATAAATATAAAGGTATTATAAACATCCAGAAACAACAGAGCTAATAATTATATTTTTGTTACCTATGCCACGTAATATTTTCTACATTCTAAATAGAATTAGGTAGACTTTTTTTACCAAAATGAGAAGGGTCCCATGTTATATTGTTGATTGAAAAGAATACCCTGCAAAACAATATGCATTATTTTTTATATGTGTATATATGTTTCATTCTCTTTTAGGACCTAGGAAGTTCTGAGCACTGACTGGTTTGACTGGTCCCCTAACCACATTTTTCATCTACGAATTTCAATCTTTCAGGAAACTAGACCTTGCTCTTCTACTCCTACACCCCATGTTTATGTCTTTCTATAAATGACTTAACTAATATAATCTTGGAGAAACTCTACTGATGATATGTATTCTGTCACTCACAAAAATGAATCTCTAGGTCAGCCATGGCTACACATTATGACAATTAGGGAGCTTTTAAAAAAATACCAATGCTGGTTGTAATGTCAGCAAGCTATTAGATAGGAGGTCTCTAACCCTCATCCCCCTACAGAACCAATGATTTGCTAACCATCCAAAGACAAAAGTGCCTTTCTGGGAGCTTTGCACTCCAGGTAAATGGTTCTCTCTGGTATGAAGAATGGAAAACAAAACTATTAAATACAATTACTATAATTTGTTGGAGATAAGCAATATAAGAAGTATAAATTGTGACACTGAAAAATCAAAATGTAGGGGAGAGTGGAGTTAAAGTGTAGTCTTCTCAGTTGTCTTTCTTTCTTTGCATCACACAAGTTTTTCCAGTCTAAAATAACTTACTATAATTATAGAATGTTTTTGTGAGCCTTGTGGTATCCACAAGACAAAAATCTGTAACACACTAAACATAAAAAGCAAAGAATCAAAACATACTACTAGAGGAAATCACTTAATCACAAAGGAAGACTATATGAGAGGAAAAAAGGATCTACAAAGTGACTAGAAGACAGGTAACAAAATCGCATCAGTAAAACCTCACCTATCAACAATAACCTTGAATGTAAAAGGATTGAATTATCTAATTAAAAGACAGAGAGTGGCAAAATGAATTTAGAAATGTCCCAACTAGATGCTGACTATAAGAAACTCATTTCATATGAAAACATATGTATACTAAAAGTGAAGGGATGGAAAAATTATTCCATACAAATGCAAACCAAAAAAAAAGAGCAGGAGTAGCTGTACTCCTATCAGATAAGATAGACTTTAAGCAAAAACTGTCAAAAGGGATAATGAAGGCCATTACATAATAAAAGGATCAATAGAGCAAAAGGATATAACCATTATGAATATATGTGTACCCAAAATCGGAGCACCTAAATCTATAAAGCAAATATTAATAGTATTAAAGGAAGAGATAGACTACAATACAGTAACAGATGAGGACTTCAACACCACAACTTCAGCAATGAACAGATCATCTAGACAAAAAAATCACGAATGAAACATCAGGGTAAAACTTCACTCTAGAATAAAGGGACCTAAAAGTTATTCACAGGACCTTCTATCCAACAGCTTCAGAATACATATTCTTCTTAACTACCCATGGAACATTCTGCAGAATAGATTGTACATTAGGCTACAAATCAAGCCTTACCAAATTAAAAAAGATAAAGATATCAAATATGTTTTCTGAACATAATGGAATTAAACTAGAGGGGGTACTTTGGAAACTAAAATATATGGAATTAAATGATATACTCCAGAAAATGCAAAGGATCAATGATGGCATTTAAAAGAAAATATAAAAATGTATTGAGACAAATGAAAATAGAAACACAGCATACTCAAACCTATGAGATACAGCAAAAGCAGTGCTAATGGGAAAGTTTATAGCATCAACAAATGAGAAATATCTCAAATAAACTACCTAATGTTACACCTCAAGACATTAGACAAATGCCCAAAATTAGTAGAAGAAAATTAGTAATAATAGATTATAGCAGAAATAAAGAAAATAGAGACTGCAATGTTACAAAAGAGCAACAAAATGAAGACTTAGGTTTTTAAAAACATAAACAAAATTGACAAACCTTTAAGAAATAAAGAGATGACTCAAATAAATTCAGATGAAAAAGAACACATTACAACTGTAACTACCAAAACACACAGGATCACTAGAGACTAATATGAACACTTGTCTGCCAAAAAATTAGGCAACTTAAAAGAAATTGGTAAATTCCTGAACACATACAACCTGCTATGATTGAATGAGGAAAAAATAGAACACCCACCCAAACAGACCAATAATAAGTAAAAAGAATAAGTAATAAAAAGTCTCCCATCAAAGAAAAGCCCAGAATTTTAGAATTGCAAAATTCTAAAAATATTTAAAGAACTAATGTCAATTCTTCTCAAGCTATTCCAAAAAAAAAAGCAAAGAAAAGAAAATGAATTGAAGTGAATAAGTGAATTCTTCCAAACTCTTTCTATGAGGCCAGCACTACTCCAATACTAAAACCAGACAAGGACACAACAAAAAATGAAAACTATAGGCCAATATCCCTAATGAACATAGATGCAAAAATCCTCAATGAAATACTAGCAACTTGAATCCAACAGCATATCAGAAAGATTATTCACCATGAGGTTCAAGAATGGTTCAATAAACAAAATTCATAAACATGATATATCGCATTAACATAATGAAGGACAAAGCCAGATGATTATATCAATAGACACAGTAAAAACATTCCATAAAGCCAGATGGTTATATCAATAGACACAGTAAAAACATTCCATAAACTTCTATGTCCCTTTGTGATAAAAACTCTAAACAAGTTAGTTGTAGAAGGAACATACCTCTACACAATAAAGGCCATACATGACAAACCCATATCTAACATTATATTGAATGGGGAAAAGTTGAAAGCTTTTTCTCTAAAATCTGGAACTAGACAAGATGCCCACTTTGACCACTTCTATTCACTATAGTACTGGAAGACCTAGCTAGAGCAGTTACACCAGAGAAAGCAATAAAAGGACATCCAAATAGGAAAGGGGAAAGTCAAATTTTATGTTTGCAGATAATGTGATATTATATCTAGAAAACCCTACAGATCCACCAAAAAATGTTAGAACTAGTAAGTCCAGTCAAGTTGTAGCATTCTAAATCAACATATGAACATTTATGGCATTTCTATATGCCAACAGCAAACTCTGAAAATGAAATCAAGCAAGAAATTCCATTTATAATGCCTACAAAAAAATGCCTAGGAGCAAATTTAACCAAGGAGGTAAATGATCTCCACACTAAAAACTTTGAAACATTGATAAAAGAAATTGAGAACACTAATAAGTGAGAAGATATCCTTTATTTATCTATTGGAAGAATTAATATTCATAACATGTCCATACTAACCAAAGTAGTCTATGATTCAATGCAACCTCTATCAAAATACCAGTGACATTCTTCACAGAAATAGAAAAAAACAATCCACAAATTTTTATGGAACCACTAAAGACCGAGATAGTCAAAACAGTCTTGATCAAAAAAGAACAAAGCTAGAGGCATTACATTCACTACTTGACTTAAAAGTATACTACAAAGCAGTAGTAAACCAAGCAGCAAGGTATTGTCATAAAGACAGACATACAGACCAGTGGAACAGAGAAGGGAAACTGGAAATAAATTCACTCATTTATAACCAACTAACTTTCAACAAAGGCACCAAGAACATACAATGGGGAAAGGGCAGTCTCTTTCATAAATGGTGACGGGAAAACTGAATGTCCACATGCTAAGAATGAAACTAGACACCTCTCTCTCTCTACTTACAAAAATTGACTCAAGATAAAGATTACATGTAGACCTGAATCTATGAAGGAAACAGACTGGAAGAAAACAGGGGAAATGCTTCATGATATTGGTGTGAGCAAGGGTTTTTTTTCTTTTTAATAAGACCTCAAAATTATAGGCAACAGAAGTAAAAATAGTCAAATGGTATTTACATCAAACCAAATAGTTTCTGGACAATAAAAATAACTAAGTAAAGAAACAACCTATAGAATGGGAGAAAATATTCACAAACTATGCATCTGACAGATGGCTACTAACCAGAATATATCAGAAACAAACAACTCAATAGCAAAAGAATAATCCAATTAAAGAATGGGCAGACAATCTGAATAAACATTTATCAAAAATATAACATACGAATAGCCAACAGGTATATTTGAAAATGCTTCACATCACTAATCAGAAATATGCAAATCACAACCACAGTAAGATATGTCACCCCAGTTAGAATGGCTATTATCAATAAGACAAAAAATAACAATTGCTGGTGAGGATGTGGACAAAGGCAACTTTTATACACTGCTGACCACCATGTAAATTATTACATCCATTATGGACAATAGTATGGAGTTTCCTCAAAAATTAAAAATAGAACTACCACATGATCCAACAATCCCACTACTGGGGATACATCTAAAGAAATAAGATCAGTATGTCAAAGATATAGCCGCACTCTCATGTTTACTGCAGAACTCTTCACTGTTAGCCAAGATATAAAATCAATCTAAATGCCCATTAATAGATGAATGAATTAAAAAGTGTGATATATATATACAATGCAATACCTTACATATACAGCACATATATATGCAATGAATATATATACATTCAGCCACATAAAGTAATAAAATCCTGTCATTTGCAACAACATGGATGAACCTAGAGCACTTTATGTTAAGTAAACCCAAGCCAAGCACAGAAGGATGATTTCACTCATATGTGGAATCCAAAAAATGTTGGTATCACAGCAGTAGAGAGAGAATAGTGGTTACCAGAGGCTGTTGATGGGAAAAAGAAGGAGGCAATGGGGACAGGTTGGTCAATAGGTAAAATAGTACAGTTAGAAAAAAAAAAAAAAAAAGAAGTTCTGGTACTCTATTGTACAGTAGGGTGACTATAGTTAACAGTAATGTATATTTCAAAATAGCTAGGCAAGAGAACTTTAGGTCTTTCACTACAAAGAAATGACAACTCTTTGAAGTGATGGATATTCAAATCAAGGATTACCTTGATTTGATCATCACAGAATGTATAGATGTAACATTTCACTGTGCCCCATAAATATGAACCATTATTATGTGTCTACCAACACCTACAAAAACGAAGTCAATAATAAATAGAAAGCCTTCATACAACAATAACAAATAAGGATATTAAATCAGTAATCGAAAACTTCCCAAAAAAGAAAAGCCCAGGACAGGTCAGCTTTATGGACAAATTCTACTAAACATTCCAAGAATAATTAATACCAATACTTCTTAAACTCTTCCAAAAAATAGAAGAGGAGGAAACACTTCCAAATTCATTTTGTGAGACCAGCATAGGCCAGAAAGAGAGCCACACAAGTATGTCCAACATGTTTAAGAGCATATTTTTGGCAAAGGTGCAAAAGCAAGTGAATGGAGGATAGACAGCCTTTTCAACAAATGACACTGAAGCAATTGGATATCCACAAGCCACAAAAATGACCCCTGACCTCAACTTCACACTGCATACTCACATTATATCAAAGTGAATCATAAAAATCATAAAACCATTGGAAGAAAAAGAGGAATAACTCTAGGACCTAGGAATAAGCAAAGAGTTATTAGACTTGATAAAAAACATGATCTTTAAAAGGAAAATCTAATAAACTGAACATCAAAATTAAAAAATTTCATTCTATAGATGACTCAAGAGGTTGAAAAGACAAGATATCATCTGGGAGGAAATATTTGCAAACTACAAATACAATAGGGAATTGTATCTAGAATAAATAAAGAACTCTGAGAACTCAACAGTCAAAAGAAGAGAATACAATTAGAAAATGTGAACAGACATTTCTCTGAAGGAATGGCAAATAAGCACATGAAAGTAGATACAATATCTTGGCTAGGAGTGGTGGCTCACACCTATAATCCTAGCATTTTGGGAGGCCAAGGCAGCACTTGAAGCCAGGAGTTAGAGATCAGCCTAGCAAACATGGCAAAACCCTGTCTCCCCATATCTACTACAAATACAAAAAAATTAGCCGGGTGTGGTAGCACACACTTGTAATCCCAGCTACTCAGGAGGATGAGGTAAGAGAATGTTTGAACCTGGGAGGTAGAGGTTCAGCGAACCAAGATCCCGCCACTGCACTCCAGCCTTGGGCGACAGAGTGAGACCCTGTCACAAAAAAAAAAAGAAAGAAAGAAAGAAAGAAAGAAAGAAAGAAAGAAAGAAAGAAAGAAAGAAAGAAAGAAAGAAAGAAAGAAAGAAAGAAAGAAAGAAAGAAAGAAAGAAAGAAAGAAAGAAAGAAAGAAAGAAAGAAAGAAAGAAAGAAAGAAAGAAAGAAAGAAAGAAAGAAAGAAAGAAAGAAAGAAAGAAAGAAAGAAAGAAAGAAAGAAAGAAAGAAATACAGTATCTTTAGCCATCAGGAAAATGCAAATTGAAACACAATGAGATATCACTACACACCTATCAAAATGGCTGAAATAATTATTAGTGACAACACTAAATGCTGGAAAGAATGCAGAGAAACTTGATCAACTGTACATTGCTGGTGGGAATGTAATATGGTACAGCCAAACTGAAAAACAATTTGGTAGTTTCTTATAAACCTAAACATGCAACTACCAGCAATTACACACTTGTGCAATTTATTTCATTAGAAATGGAAACATATTCACACACAAGTCTGTGCACAAATGATCATCCCAGCTTTGTTTGTGACAGTCCAAAACAAAAAATCCCAGATGTTCTTTGATTGGGGAATAATTAAACATACTGTGGTGCATTTGTACCATGGACTACTACTCACCAATAAAAAGGAACAAACTATTGATACACACGACTCAGATAAATCTCCAGTAAGCTATGCTGAGTGAAAAAATCTGATCTCAAAAGTTTACATACATTATGATACCATTTATATCGCATTCTTGAAATGGCAAGATTAGAGCGCTCCGGAACAGACTGGTAGCTGCCAAGGGTCTCCAGGGGAAGAAAGGAGGTGGCTATGACTATAAAGGGCTAACATAAGGGATCTTTGTGATGAACTGTTCTGTATCTTGACCATGGTGGATGTCACACAAATCTACATATGTAAATGCACACAAACACACAACTGCATGTAAAATTGGAGTGGTGTGAATAAGGATATAATATATAAATTTTATGAATGACAATTTCCAGGTTATACTCTAGTTATGCAAGATGTGACAAATGACAGAAACTGGGTGAAGGGTATATGAAATTTCTATGTATTATATCTGACAACTGCAAGTTAATCTACCATTACCTCAAAATAAACTTAAAAAACAATAACAATCCAAAGCTTCATGACAGAGACTCCAATTTATTTTGTCTGTGGTGGAGCCCAAGGTATCTGTATATTCTTATTATTTCTTTATAACTTTTAAGTTCAGGGGTACAAGTACAGGTTTGTTACATAGGTAAACCTGTGTCATGGGGGTTTGTTATACAGATTATTTCCCCATCCACGTATTAAGCCTAGTACCCATCAGTTTTTTTTTTTCTGATCCTCTTCCTCTTTCTACCCTCCACCCCCTGAAAGGCCCCAGTGTGTGTTGTTCCCCTCTGAGTGTCCACATGTTCTTATCATTTAGCTCCCACTTGTAAGTAAGATCATGTAGTATTTGGTTTTCTGTTCTTCTTGTTAGTTTTCTAAGGATAATAGCCTCTAGCTCCATCCATGTCCCTGCAAAGGACATGATCTTATTCTTTTTATGGCTGCATAGTTTCCATGGTATTAAAAAAAAAAGCTCTTAAATCAGATCTATGTGAATCTCAAGTTGAGGACTATTGCTAGATGCTACTCCCACTATTTAGACTGAACAAGTCTGTGTTCCATCTGTATTTCCTGTCTTTTAAACACTGGTTATTCTTCTTGGATTCACCCATTACAGGTGGATTCATTGAAGTCTCTCTCTTCCTTTCTCTGCTTTAGACTGAGCTGGTATTCAGCCCCAGCCTACAATACTCAAAGCTTCATATTGTTATAACATACATTACAACATTTAGTTCAATACTATTGTCAGTAATATAATTGTATTAATATTTTAATAAATTATGTAAAAGCTACCAACAAATATAATTTAACAAAAATAGGCTTATAAATATTTTGATATCAGAATTTCAGAGATATTTACAATTACTGTTTTTAGATTTGTTTCGTTTTCACCACTTTCATGTACTAGAAACAATGTAAGTTTAGCCTCAATTCAGAAGGCATTTTAACTTGGAATATCAATACAGTTTTTATGTGTTTTTAATTATTTGTTCTGAAACAAATTAGCTCATTACTGTAGACAGCAGCAAACATTGTTAGCAAATAAAATGGCAAACAAAAATGATAAAAAGAGAGGTTAAGTCTCATTTGGAATATAGTACAGTTGTTATGAAAATACTCGCACATATTTACACACACACACACACACACACACACACAGAGCTCATACTTTCAGCCCACTTGTTTCAAACAACTCCTGATTAAATAAAATTCCATGACAACTAGAAAGTCTGTCTTACAGTGCCTATTGTAATCAAATCAGACTTGAGTTATAAGTGAAAATCAATTAGAATTTCACCTCCTCCTATGTGTTTTTTTCTAGGGAATAGGCATTCTGAAATAAAGATTCTGTCAGAAGAAGCTGACAAACAATTATGGGTAACAATCGAAACCCACACAACTTCTTTGATATAGTTACTTTATAGTTACTTTAAACCATAGTTTAAAGTTAGTTTAACTTTAAATAACTAATACATAAGTAACATATAGTTACTTTGTTATAGTTACTTTATAGTTACTTTAAACCATAGCGTTTCTCTGGCTAGAGACCTAACATAGGATGCTGGAGAGGATTCATTTTTTCATAATGTGGCATTTAAATACTTTTTGTGAATTGTGATAATCATTACTAACCATCATGACTGCCGGTATTTTTCTTATTGCATCCTCTTCCAAAAAGTTTGTGGTACATTTCATGTGAGCCAAGTATAGCTAATGATCTCAGTAGTACTTAATGCCTTGGGTGATTACCCTTTCCCTGACTGCTAAGTAGGCTAAATGGCTAGGTAGCCATAATTATATCGCTGTGATTATGATTGCCACAACCCTGAATTGGAATCAAAGCATAGAACTAAAAGCCAGCCATGCCCATCACATAGCAAATACTCTTTTTTCATGATCATATGATTTACTGTTTTGTATTTGAAGCTCGGTCTTGCACATTTTTCATTTAATAGCATGGGTAAATGAATCATAGGACTTACTGAAAAAGAAGAGTATTTAAATGATTGAATGTTATAAGAATCAAAGGTAACTGACAGTATTGCCAATACTGGGTTTTTCTAAGAACGTACACATTTGTTTTCTAAAAAATAACATTTTCTCATCATAGTTTTGGGAGATTTTCTCATCAAGCTCTTTTTTCCATTCATGCACTCAAACTCCAGTTAGAAGTGTCTGATTCTGACTCAGTTTTAGAAGACTTGATTTCCTGTGGGTTACAACAACCCTCAGCAACAGACCAATCTCACCCTTGGATGATATTTAAACAACTTCACTCAACAGTCTGACCCTCAAGATCTAGTTATACTAGCTGAATCCACTTGTTTATTTTCAGACTTGATCTCAACTGGAATAACCAAAATTCCACATTTTTTCCTACCTTATTAGTCTCTTTAAGTCCCACATTGTTTCTCCTGCACCTTTTCAGGGAGGAAGGTGTATATACTCATGCCCCACTAGAGAAAGGGAGGCTGGAGGTGTCCCTCTCTCCTTGGTTCTAGCTTGAGAGCTACATGCTTGAAAAGAGCCCTTTGGGGCCATGGCAATGTAGAAAGGGTTTTAATGTTTCCTGGCACTCTCCTTTGGTAACTTTTCTGCTTGTGAGATAGCATTTCATTTGGCAAACGTTTGAACAATTTGGGGCTTGAGGCCTTTCTGTTTCAGCCCAACTTTTTCTCCTAAACAATAAAAGAATTCAGAGAGCAGCCAAGGAAAAGAAAGCCAGAAGTTAGCTGACTGAAGCCTAGCCCCAGATTTAAGGACAGTTTTCTAGATTGTCCTAGGACTGAGCTTGCCTTGTTTATGTCAGCATCTCCCCATTTTTCTCTGGTGCCACTTAGCTATGTCCTCAAACTCTGGTGTATCTAAAAGTCACCTCAGATTCTTATTTACCGGGTCAGTTTCTGAGCCCCACCCTCAGATTTCAATTCAGCCTGGCTAGTGCACAGGCATCTTAACCTAGGACTAAGCAAAGAATTGTTAGATCTGATGGTTAAAAAAAAAAAAAAAAAAAACCATAAAAGGAGTAAATGTGATCAACAGAGCCCGTGTCTTTAATATCCTGGTAAAGATAATAGGGTTGACTCATGACAGTGTCAGTAACTTGTGAATAGTAGAAAATCTGAGCACAGCTCGATCTCTTACATAATTGCATCTTCTCTTAACAAGTAGAGCAGAATCTCCTTCTCTTAGTCACTTCTATTCCAAAATTTACCATCTGAAATAGATTCTTATCTCTCATTCCTCTTTATAACTATTCAGAGGGAAAAAAAGGAATTGGCCTTTATTGAAACAATTACTTTATCTTATCTGTAAAGCTCCATTTTTCTAACACTAGGATTGCATGACATGAAGTAGAGGTTGAGATTCATTTTAATTCTTGTCAACATTTCATCACTCTGTTGACAAGTTTTATTTCTCCATTGGAATTATTCAGCTCCGTTGTTGAAAATTAAATGACTGTGTGAGTGGAGCTCTTTTTAAGCTCTTCTGTTCCACTGATCTATTTGTCATTCCTTGTCCCAGTACTGTGTTGTATTGATTATTCTGGCTTAATAGTAATTCCTGAAATCAGCTAATGGGAGTCTTCTAGTTTTTTTCTCTTTTTTAAGAATTCTAGGTTTTTTGAATTTCTATAGAAATTTCAGAATAAGCTTGTCAAATTCTATTTAAAAAAACTAAACCTTTTGGAATTATTACTGAAAATATGATTTTATATATTCATTTGGACATAACCTAAAATAACAAGAGAGACAGGCTCTCCCCAAAAAGTTTATTCGGGAATATGCAGGAGATTGGAATCCAGGATATGTATGCTATGATGAATCATAGGCATATCTGGAGCTATTAGGATAAGTGGAAACTTTTAAAGACAAAGAGGAGAGGTCCACATAAGCTATTCTGAAACAAAAATCACTGGTCACATAGGCTTGTTGAAGGAGCCATTGCTAACTCATTGGTGGAGACAGCCATTGCTAGGCAAGTGTATTTGTAGGAGCGGCTTATCTGGAACACTACAGTTTTGACAGATTTCTTGTGATAAGCCCTGTTACAGACATATGTGTAGGACCTTCAGAATGAGCAGGATGTGTAGAACATGCAGAACATGTGGTAATTTCTTATGAGTTTTCAGACGGTTCTTGTGGTACTTTTTATACCAGACATAGCAGTATGAGATTCCCCTCCTTCATGACTCCTGGCTTACTTTGTTTGGGTCTAGTGTAAGCCATTGCATCTTGGCATCAGTGACTTTTACATTTCCCACTTTATATTAAGATCTTTCTCTGAAGGTATCACTGATCAATTAACCCGCAGTTAGGTTTTTACTGTCTCTCAATGCCAGGATAGACCTTCCTTACTGGTCTGGTCATACGCTGGGGAAATAGCCAGAAATTATGAGTCAGTGTCAAGAAACTTTGAGCAAGAAGGTTTGCAAGTAGTGGCTCTTGTTAAATTTGCCTGGGGTTCATTGTTAAATTCAATTTTGTCAGTTTCATAGTTGTTGGTTCCTATTTCAACATGTTGGGCTAGCATTATTCTGCTAGGTGTTGTATTTCTGCAGAAATTTGACATGCGAAAGGTACAAAATTTAAAGAAAATAATACAAAGCAAAACCGAAAGGAATATAACAAATTCACAATGATTCTGAGTCAAGAGCCCAAACAACCAACAAATTAAAAGACCATTGGGGACTGAGTGAGACCTATCATAGTCACCAAGACTGTTTTCTTATTTTATGCAGTGGGTCTCAATTTCCTCAGAGGAATTTATCTAGCTACAGCATATGGTATTAGCGGTGGTACAGATACATCTTTGTTCAGCTAGTAGGTAGCAATTATATTAGTTAGTACCCTGTAACTAAATTAAATTAAAGCAGATATTGCTAACTCTGTGAAAAGGGATCATTAGTGCAATTTGAACAAAAAGTTGTATGAGGGATATGTTTAAGTTACTTATTAGGTAGACTAAACGCTCTCTTTAACAGAAAGACTTGGGTTAGGCATGCTGTCAAGTCACCTGCAGAATCTGTTTGTGAAATTCTAATTACAACATTATTTTTGGTATGAAGAAAGAAAAGAAAGAAAGAGAGAGAGAGAGAAAGAAAGAAAGAAAGGAAGGGAAACAGAGAGAGAAACAAAGAGAAAGAAAGAAGAAAAAGTAGGCATAAACAAGGCAAAAATAAGAGGGGTAAGAGTTTCATGATAGAAGTCTTGTACTAATGTCTTGGGAAAAGCTGTCTATAGCCTGAAGCTGTCAACCTCTTGTCCTGGTTTGCAGTTTGAATGTCTATGGTTATGGCATCAGGTGGCTTGGTGAATTTTTATGTAGCCCACACATGAGACACAATGTTTTCCTTTGAAATTTGCATGAAGTCATCCAGCTTCAGCTTATAGCGTTTTAGGAACAAAGCAATTCTTATTCCTGGTGGGAGAGTTGCAGCCAGATATTGTAGGAAACTAGAATAATTTGGATCTAGTCCTGTAACTGCAGTTTAATAAATCAAACAAATTTCAATATTTTTCTTTTAAAAGAGCAAAAAAACCTAAAGCCCAGGACAGAAGCAAAGAAAAAGTTCAAGGTTAAACATAGTTTTTATTGCTTTAAACATTTCATAAAGACGACACAAACCTGTCTAACCATCAAACCCAGCAAAGGTGTCTGCACTACATTTAATGCCAACAATTCTGAAGGCATTCTTCGTGTACAAATTTTCACACTAGATCTATTTGCCAAAGAGTATATCTCAGATCACATGAACTAAAGGACATTTCAGTTAGTTTTTATTTTTCTGATAAAATACTTGATTTAAACACTTGTGGTAGGTTTCTTAAAGTGAATTAAATAGAGCCCTTTATAAATTCTGGCAACATCATTAAACTATCTTTAAATTCTTTTAAAATATCTTATCAGGTTCAGCTGGAACAAACAATATTTCCAGCAGTATTGAACTCTTTAGGTGAAATGAGATAAAATTTACATCTCAAAAGAATACAACTTAGATCTAAACATCATTATTAGTTGAGACAAAAAAGAGGCTATAAAAGCCCAGTTAAGATAAGATAGCTAGGAAAAACCATCTTAAACAAGGTAAGGCTTACTATGTCCATTTTAAACCAATGCCTTTTTCATCTTAAGAGTTTCTAGTGACTTAGTCTTTCCTCTTTTACTGGTGTAGAGAGGTAGATACCCTTGTAAATGAAGACTTTCTTTAAAGATGTAATTTTTTTTCACTAAGATTCTCAAAATAACCAGCCAAATGTCAGAAATGTGTATTTGGAGACAGATTTTTTTTTTTTTTTTCGGTAAGTGGTCTTTTCAACTTAGCTTGTTTCTTAATTAGATATCTGAGTTAAGGGTGGGATCCTTTAATGAAAAGGGCAAAAAATAACCAGTAGAAGCTTCCTGGAACATCCCTCCAAGCCCCCAACAATGCTGGTGGTTAACATAGAGATTACCATCAAAAGGTGGGCCGCCTGCTTTTTAATGTCCTGTTTGTTTGCACAAATGACAACGGTTTTCTGGAAACTGCTATTTTTGGGGTTGCTTATGAAAGTAGGACCCTGGGGAAGGCCCAACAGTCATTCTAGGTTGTTGGTTGGCAGGAGCTGCTATAATCACAAGGCCATTTATTTGAAGCTTTCCCCGCAACCCCTCAGCTGGAATGCATAAGAAAAAAACAAAACTTTCCATGAGCCTTGAAATCAGTAACAGATTTGTCGTTCTTTCATGGGTAGGTCTGGTTGTTTGAGCAATCAATGCAAGTGGGAAAACACTTTCAGAATAAATACCTTTTATTATTGCCCTAAACTCAAGACTTTGGCCTAGGCATAAGGGTGGTTTAAAAAAAAATACACTAGGCCGGGCGCGGTGGCTCATGCCTGTAATCCCAGCACTTTGGGAGGCTGAGGCGGGTGGATCACGAGGTCAGGAGATCGAGACCATCCTGGCTAACACAGTGAAACCCCGTCTCCACTAGAAATACAAAAAAAATTAGCCAGGCACGGTGGCGGGCGCCTGTAGTCCCAGCTACTCGGGAGGCTGAGGCAGGAGAATCGCGTGAACCCGGGAGGCGGAGCTTGCAGTGAGCCAAGATGGCGCCACTGCAGTCCAGCCTGGGCGAAACAGTGAGACTTCATCTCAAAAAAAAAAAAAAAAAAAAAAAAAAAAAAAAAATACACTAAATGAATCTGAGAGTCAAACTTTTATAAATACTTATCAAGTTTTTTCATCTTTTCCTTTGGGGCATTCAAATAATCAAGTGAAAAAAATCAGCCTATTCAAAGTAAGCAGGGAAAGATAGAGAGGTTAGAAGCCTTTATACACCAATCAAAAATATAGTGGATCTCTTGCTTAGCCCCAGGAGTTTAACTACAAAGTCACTGCCCCTAACTGCTACACTGCACTGCTCCTCAGTTTAGCAACTCTTCTCAATATTCACTAAAGGGTCTAACTTATTATGTGGGAATGTTAATTTTTACATATTTAAAACTTTCTCCATTAGAGCAGAGTGGTTATTCACTCATTCACTAATTCAGTAATTATTTACTGAGACCTATTACATAATGATGAACCATTTCAGCCAGCAACATTCTACAGAAAACTAGCAGAGAAAAACTTCCTATACTGTGCTGATTACAACTACTTTTCCTCCTTCCTTTCCCCATTCAGGTGCAGATATAAATTTTTTTTAGTTAAATATCTAGGCCCACACACAGATGTTTTGTTGCTCATCATGTAAAAAAAGAAATACATTACTAAATGAAGTTTAAAAAATCTGCTAACTATCTATTCCAGAGAGAAGTATCACTACATAGTATTTAGCAAAAGCCCTTAAAAGTTTGTATTTCTTGCTAAATGCATTTTTAAAATTGTTTTACTGGGACTGAAGTCTGCCAGAAACACTAGTATTTATAATGAAAAAGACAATGTGCATAATTTCTTGCTTTTTTTCATCCCAAGCACAAATCCAGTATACAAACCATGAAATTAGTTGAATAAGCAGTACTGTAAAGAAAGTCTGTAATAATTACATACCTGTGAAATATCAATAGAGATTTTCTGTGTGTGTGTGTGTCTCTCTCTCTCAACAATGACTGTCCTAAAAAGAGCATTAGTCATTGGTTTAGAGAATATATTTGAAAATCCAAACTGTCTGTGTTTATATCCCAGTTTTGACTCTTCCCAGCTGATAATCCTGGGAGAATTTATTGACTTCCCTGAGCCTCATCTTCCTCAACTAAAAATGGAGATTATAACAGCTTCCAAATGATAGGACTGTCACAAGAATTGAGTGACACCATACATGTAAAGCTGCAAAATGCTGTATAAATATTAGCTATGAAAATAACAATCACAATTATATTAATCTAAAATTAAATCTAATTGCCATTCCAAAGTAGCAACAGTGTTTTGTATGCCATAAAGATAAATTCCATATAAGATACTTATGACAGAAGAAAACCATAATATTTTTTAGTTCAAAATGACAAAAATCTAACTTTGATGGTCAAAAGGATCGTTATTGAGTTCAAAGATGACAAGATCCAGAATCAAAACAAATTCATTCATCAATCTCTATCTTTCTCTCTTTCTCTGAATCTCCCCCTCCTTCCACTTGTCTCTACTTCCAATGTTTTCCCTTTATATCCTTGACAGGTTTTCTATAGGTTTACTCCAGTGACTTAAAGCTCTATTCAAGAAAGGGATATGCCCTCACTTGGTGCTGCTTGTGTCACCTGTCCACCTCTGGATTAGTAGCTGTGCCTGGGACAGAGAGGAGATGGATGCCTCTAATTGTCTAGGCAATGTTAGATTAACTGGGGGTCTTTTGTTTGACAACTCCACCAGATTTACCCAGATAAGTAAAAGGGTGTTCTTAAAAAGAAGGAATGTTTCCTACAAAAGCAGGTGGTGATGCCAGTGCCTAAAGACAAAGTGAAGAGCAAAGATTGAATTTACCCTTTTGTTCAGAGAGCAGCATTAACCAGACTGGTTATCCTGGGACTTTGCCAAGACTCCCTGATGGGTAGCATCAAATTGGCATACTGTACCCTGCTATAAAAATGTACAACTTTGATGTGCTTTGACACTCAATTGAATTAGTGTACTTAGACTTTCATTTATTTTGCTACTTCTTATATATTCTTATATATTCAATTCTAATAACATTCTAGGGATGATATTTTAGTCAGAAGTATTATATTTTAATGCATGCATATGGAGGGATTAAAAAGGCTTTAATAAGTCTGGTGACAAATGCATCTAAGTTTTAGAGCATGTTATGCTTACTAAAAATGAACTATTCGGCCAGGTGAGGTGGCTCATGCCTATAATCTCAGCACTTTGGGAAGCCGAGGTGGGCAGATCACGAGGTCAGGAGATTGAGACCATCCTGGCCAACACAGTGAAACCCCATCTCTACTAAAAATACAAATAATTAGCCGGGTGTGGTGGCGTGCGCCTGTAGTCCCAGCTACTCGGGAGGCTGAGGCAGGAGAATCACTTGAAGCTGGGGGCAGAGGTTGCAGTGAGCTGAGATTGTGCCACTGCACTCCAGCCTGGGCAACAGAGCGAGACTCCGTCCAAAAAAAAAATGAAGTATTCAATTAAAAATTTCAACCACTTGGTCCAAATGATGCATTAATTCCAAGGTCAGTGTAAGAAGGTGATGATTAGAAAACCCTTAGAGAATCTGTTGATATTTAGAAATTTATCGTTATTTGAAAAACTTGTAATAAATTCAACAAATATTAACTATTTAACAAAAACAAGACATTACTAGTAAGTTGTCAAAAGAATTCTCCTGCTGGCCTTTTCTAGCAGGCTGGTTAATTATTAGGACAAAATGGTTCACCTAATTGACAAATTTATCTCATTTGGTTAAGTTGGGGTATCCCTGAGGTAATATGGATCATGTGTATTAATACTTGAAACGTATTTATTCAAATACTGGTGTTTTATTTACTTGTTGTTTGACTTTAGGCATAAATCTAACTTTGTGAACATTGTTTTGTCCTTCTATGTGGCAGGAATAATAATAGAACCATATATGTTACCCTGAGGATGAAGCGTGATTATAAGTTAGTACATAGAAGTATGACTGATTCTCCTCAATTCACATAGCTTAGGCTGCACAGGTGGATTCATGAAGCCAAGATACAAGGCATTTTGAAACATGAAGAACTAACAGAACTTTTAAAAACCCAATTACTATTTGAAAATCAATTTACATTTTAAATAATACCTTTCTGTCTGAATTACACTTTAATATTTTTCTCTTTCTATTATCTAGCCAATACAAACTAACCCAAAAAGTTTTTACTCCAACAGTGCTTATAACAGGTGGTCAGGATTTTACCTCCCACATGGCTCTAAATGTAACCAATACTTCTCCAACAGCAGCAGTGAAAGCATGTTATTTTTTACTACGTGAGCCTTGTAAAATTTTGAAAATGCAACAAACTGTTTCTTCAACAGAAAATTAAATCTAAATATAATACCCTTATTGAATTTCCTTGGAAACAACTAAATATAAAGACACTGATTTTTCCACATTCTAACTTTATCATATCAAAATGAGTCCACTTCCAAGTTTGCAAATATGTCACTGATGACATCGTAAAATATTTCTGAAATAGTAAGATAGACATTCTGAATCTATTTTTTCTTTGCTCTAAGAAGCATATTAGCTAGCAATTACTAGTTTCCATGAGTAAATCCTTTCTTGAAATCAGTCATAAATTCAGTAAGTTAATTCTACCAATGTAAGAGTAGACTAAAACAAAACACGATCTCTATTAAATATTGGGAATTTAAAAATGTCTTTTCACCTTTAAACATAAAGTTTTGTCTCCATAGTGGAGAACAAGAGAAAGACGCGAAGAAAGTGACTGTCAGGATGTTGAATCTAAGTATCCTGAGGCTTTGCTGAGTTTTTTGTTGTAATTAGAGGTCCTCTGTCCCACTTTCTCACATTCATGAAGTCTTCCAAAAAGATATATGTGCAAGGAACAAGTTGAGACAAATGTACAAATATTTTTATCATCAACTGAGATGTTGGTCCTGAGAATCAATATAATTTCCAAGCAAATACAACTAGACTGAAATGAAAATCAGTGGAATCTCATATTTAAAAAGAAGGTGGTCCCAGTTCAACTTGCTAAGCTAGTTGCACAGAATTCCAAGAGAGAATTACAGTATTTGAAAGAAACAGTGAAGTTCAAAAAGAGTTTAAAAAAAAAAAAATCCAACAGCCCACTGCCAAAGAACGCTGATTTTAAGTTTTCTGTTTGTTACACTAACAATCTCATTGTCAAACATGTTGGATCTGGATTGAACCCATCTCTAGTAACGCATCTCTTACTTGAGAGTAGAGAAAAGACATTTGAGCATTTCATAGTGAAAAAAGTCTGCTTTGACAGTAATTATTTTGCTAAGTAGTTCAGAATAACAACTAGGTCTAAATCATCAACCAAGGGAAGAATATAAAATTTCTGCTCATAAAATTTGCAAATGTTTCTATGAATTGTGTGGAAATAAATGACATGAGAATGTTTCTTCCTTAGAGGTTTCAATTAATGTGTTTTGATGTTTCCTCTAAGACATCAAGAAATAACTCAGGAAAATATTTTTCTTACATTTTTCTCAGTTCTTTATATGGACTCTCCACTCAGCTGAGAAATCTTCTTTCATCTATGTTGCATGTTAGAGTATGTTCATGTATAATGGAGACCACAATGAGCAGAATTCCCTGGCTTCCACATTGATGAATATCAATAAATAAACATGTACTGTTTAAACCTACTGGGATTTTAGAATTGTTACTCTGCATAACCTAGCCTATTGTGACTGATATACAGAGAGAAACAAAGAATACAAAAAAAGTAAAGTCCAATTACCACAGGCTAACATGTTCTGCATTTTTTCACCCCACATAAAATTGAACCACGTTAACCCCTCTCAATAAATCCCTTGATCCTAGAGAGAAATTAAATTTTTGCAAAATATAGGGAAACAAACCTTGAAGAACTTTTTATTCTATTCAAATAAAACCAGAGGGATCTTATCAAGATGCCCAGTTGGAGTATGAGTTTCTTCATTACTATTTGAAACCAGGGCTTTGCTCATCTGGAACTGATCTAACCTTTTAAGCATATCCAAAGTTACATTACGCAAACTGCAAGCCTAATGTGTTTCAATTTTCCAAAGTTCCATACAGACAAAAGGAAACACAAGAAAATCACAGTCCAACACCATGAATTATAGAAAACACAAGCGCATCCCAGAATCAACTGTGATGACTGCAGCATGACTCTCTACAGTCCAATTCAACCATTACAGAAAATTCCAAGCTAAAATAGTGTGTCCCCAAACTACTTGTAGTTAGCATAAATCTGGGCTGCCTCTAGGTCTATCTTAAGATAGCATTTTCTTAAAGAATAACACCATTTTGGCATCTTTTTTCTTAAAATGTTATGAAATGAGAGAAACTATAAATACACTGTGCACTAATATTTTATCAGTCTCATAATTCTATACACAGTTTAGATTCTAGTCTACAGCAACACATAGTTCTGTTACTGATTATAACAGAGACAGTGCTTTTTTTTCTTTTCTTAGAAATGAAGAGAAAAAAATAAGGTAAAGGAAAAATCCTCCTGAATTCAGCCTTGCCATGTGACAGTTAAATTAGGCCACTTATCCAAAGTTCATCCTTGTTCACAGGGACAGATATTATATCTGTGGTCCTAGGATTTTCATAACTGGGGAGATAAAAATAAGGCATTACTATTAAACATTCTTTCTTATAGAGCATCACTGAAATACCTTAGTCATTTTGCTATACTCTGACTTTATACACATATGCAAAATGAGCAATATACACATGGAAACACACACATGTGCTCTTGCATAAGAGTTCAGATATCACTGCTTATATAAAGAACAAACCTACATCAGTATCAGACAAGCATGTGGTTGAAGATCTTAGCGAAATTGTAGAGCCAAATTTAGGAATTTGTGTGTCCTACCAACCATTTCTCTCAATGCTGAATGAAATTGCAAAAAGTAGTCAGATAAAGATAAAGACCACCACAGTCATGTAATCTTTTGTAGCCAGTTCCATAACATCTAAAAGTATCTTACCATCAACAAATAAACAAATGAAAACCCAGTAACCTTCACACTGGAGTTTGTCATGCTTTCCGCTAAACAATTTTCAGAACTAGATCCGCACCAGCCAGAGAAAGTTGTGAAGGCAAAGTAATTTCCTGTGAGATTTTGATCACTAAATTGTGGCTGCCCCTAACTTTTGAGAGTCCCTTCTGTTCATTCCTCATGGAATATTAGCCAACAAACCTTTAATTGGCAAAGGAACTCTTAAAATAAAGCAGGCATTTTTTTTCACACAAGATTTCACTCCCGAAACATACCCATCTGCATTCACATTCGATGTGCCAATCAGTGGCAGACACCAGCCCTGCCTTCAAGCTGGAGAGAGATAGAATTGCCCAGGATTTTGAGTGACACCCAGATGCTAAACGGGTGAAGATAATAATTGGCACAATAGCTAAGCCTGTCCCATTACATCTATCCCCTTTGTGGCCGCCACAGGAAGTTATAAACACAGAATAAACAAATACTTCTTCACTATAGTTGGTACCTGGTCAACAACCCCCATAAGAAACATTCCTGGTGAACCGGTTTGGGCCAGGTTATGGTTAACAATAGTCTCCAAATATTTTTAATATTAACAGACAACTGATGATTTATTTGTTAGGGTGTCCATGACTTATTTTATTCTTTACCATTTCCTTCACATTTTTCCCAAATAAGATAGCAAAAACATTAAAAAATTCATTTTTCCAACTGTGATTTAAATTCCCACATTTGATATCTGAGACAGTCATGAAGTAGTTTAAGCAAAATAACAGATGGCAGTAATTTAATTTAGCTCAGTTATTTGTAGACATAATTCTCAAATTTGAAAGCATGGTGGTTAAACTCCACAGTTACTCTGCAGAAAATTTTGAGACAAAATCATTATTAATACTAAGATCTGCTAATAGGAACAACTACCACCCTTTTCCACCTCCCCAAAAAAGTTTGATTTATACCCTTGCATGTAAGCACAGTTAACACTAGACTTAAGTTATTCCGCTTTTAGAAAGCACTAGAAATGATACATTTTCCTAATAGGTTTGAATGAGTTCTCACATTTTTTTCATGCATTGGATGTGACAAACCAGCCACCCTAATGTACTATAGCACTAAAGTAGTGCTTCAAATTAAACCATTGAACATATATGTTTTTAGTAACATGTAAAAGGATTTATGACTTATGGTAATGGATACATATTTCTTGAGGTAGTTCATCGAATCGAGATTTCTAATAAATCTTCTGATATAAAACTTTTTATTTTTATTTTTTTGGTGAGATGGAGCCTCACTCTGTCACCCAGGCTAGAGTGGCACGATCTCAGCTCACTGCAACCTCCACCTCCTGGGTTCACTGACAATTTAGAATGTTAAATATTAAGCTGTATTTGTGGGAATATCAGTCTTGTTAATTGCATCCCAGCATATTATGCCTCCAAATGAAATTTTGTATTTATCATAAATATATTAATTTTTTTCAGCAAAGCATTATCAATTCTATGGTAGGCTATATTATAAAATTATAACTAAATATAAAAATGTATATTAAAATATAATTAGTACATATTAATGTATTATGAAAATGAAATAAATGTCTTAGGTGATATTTTCTCTAAAATTCAAACCCATGACAATTTTCAAAAATGTTTTTACTTGATCCTATTCAATAGTAACCCTAATCTTGGAAGACATTCTGCAGAATTTCTACTTAAGAACATTGAATTCAAAATAGATATAGCTGACATCATGTGACATGTATGTTCATGTTGTTTGTGTGTATGTGTGCTTATGCAAGTTGGTTTGTGAAAGTGACTTATATTTGTCTTTATCTAATATTCTCTAGGGTTAAGACAAAAAATGGAACCAAAACTGCCTATGGTATTAATTCTCTTATACTGATTTGATTTATACATTTTAAAAATAAATCAGTGTATAGTCAATTAACAAGACTGATATTCCCACAAATACAGCTTAATATTTAACATTCTACCTAAATTACTGTCTCCCCTTCATAATACTTGTCATTATTGTCAAACCCTGTATGTTATTATTTTCTTTTATTTTTATTAAGGTGTATACTGTGTTTTGATATACATAATGAAATGATTAGCACAGTCATGTGGTAGATGATTTGACAGTTTTTAGATTCCACATATAAGTGAGAGATCATGCAGCATTTTTGTGTGTGGTTTATTTCACTTAGCATAATGTCCTCCAGGTTCATCCACATTGTCCCAAATGACAGTATCTTTTTCTTTTCTTTTCTTTTCTTTTAGACAGAGTCTTCCTTTGTTGCCCAGGCTGCAGTACAGTGGTGCAATCTCAGATCACTGCATCCTCTGCCTCCTGGGTTGAAGCAATTCTCCCATCTGAGCCTCCTGAGTAGCTGGGATTACAAGCGCACACCACCACACCCAGCTAGTTTTTGTATTTTTAGTAGAGATGGGGTTTCGCCATGTTGCCCAGGCTGGTCTCAAACTCTTGGCCTCAAGTGATTTGCCTGTCTCAGGCCCCCAAGCGCTGGGATTACAGGTGTGAGCCACCACACCCAGCCTCATCTTTTTTTAAAGTAGAATATTTCATTTATATATAAACCATGATTTTAAACTGATTCATCCATTGATGGACACTTAGGTTGTTTCCATACCTTGGCTATTGTAAACCACACTGCAATGATCATGAAAGCAGTTATCTCTATGAGGTGCTAATTTAATTTCGTTTGGGTTTACTGGGTCATATAGAAGAATTTGAATTCTTTGAGCACTCTCCATGCTGTTTTCCATAATGGCTGTACCAATTTATATTCCCACCAACAGTGCACAAGTGATTCACATCCTTGCCAACACTGGCTACCTTTAGTCTTTTTGATCAACAGCCATTCTAACAGGTATGAGGTGATATCTCATTGTGATTTTAACTTGCATTTTTCTAATGAGAAGTGATGTTAAGTACCTTTTCATATAACCGTTGGCCATTTGCATGTCTTCTTTGAAAAAGTGTCTACTCAGGTCCTTTGTTCATTTTTAGATTGCGTTGGTTTTCTTTTGTTGTTGTTTGCTATTAAGTTATATAAGTTCCTCATGTATTTTGGATGGGAATCTATTAGATTTATGTATTTTAAAATAAAATGGAGCTCTAATGATGGTCTGAGTTGTGCAAAGGGTTGTAGTAATGAAGAATGAGATGGAAGCATCTGAAAGCTAACAGAAAACATTTTAAAATTTTGTAAACTTAGATGAACATATTAGCCCCAATTGTAAATTTAAAAATTACATGAAAATGATAACGTATGTTTTAAAATGTCTTTGATAATATTTAACATTAATGATATATTAAGTAACTTAAGAAGTACTTAAGAAGAGGGCCTTATAAAACTATGTAAACTAGGGTAGGGTAATAATCATGTTCTTTGTTTTCTGTATTTTATGATCCTTTGACCTCTTGGGGGCCTTGTTGGTCAATGAGAACCTGCCCCTCCCAGGGCTACTTAATTCCCAGAGTTAGCAAACAACTCCCCTGTGAGCATGCCTTTCATATACAAACCAACAAATTCAAAGTCCATATTCTAACCACCTCCTTCATCTAACTCTCTTACACCAAGCCAATATTTCCTCTGCCCTAAGTCACCCCAGGGCCAGGTGCTGGACAACTGGAGCTCTCCCTGTAGTAAACTGTAAATTGTACTCAATAGTAAGTTGGGTAAACATAGGATAGGATAGTTGGGGAGAGTCCACTGAAGTTATTCCAACTATCCTATCCTATGTTTACTCAAATTTACCTTCCCTGCATTAGTTCGTTTTTACACTGCTATCCAGAACTACCTGAGACTGGGTAATTTATAAAGAAAGAGGTTTAATTGACTCACAGTTCCACATGGCTGGGGAGGTCTCAAGAAACCTACAATCATGGTAGAAGGTGAAGGGGAAGCAAGGCATGTCTTATATGGCAGCAGGAGAGAGAGAGGGGGATTGGGGGACCCACCACACACTTTTAAACCATCAGATCTCTTGAGAACTCACTATCACAAGAACAGCATGAGGGAAAATGCCCCCATGATCTCATCATGTCCCACCACGTCCCTCCCTTAACAGGTGGGGATTAGGATTTGAGATCGGATCCCTTTTGGGTGGGGACACAGAGCCAAACCATATCACTGCCTCATTCATGTCTTCTCATGGAAACCACAATAAAGGCTCTGGGCCATAATTTCCCTCACTCCTCTGCCTCCTGAATGACCCTGGGGCTTCCCCATGTGGCCCTGTATGGTGTGGCATGCCCCCTTTTCCTGGAGACTATGAGTAAGAAAATTCCCTTGAGTGGCATTAATCTCACTGGGTTTCAATCAGTCACCTCTATAAATTAAATCCTACTTACAGTCAAAACAGGTAGTAATACCAATTATAAATTATAAAAGAAATACAACTTATTTCTGCATTTGCTTCACTTCTAGTAATGATTCTGTTAATACAGTTTTTGTGCAAACTAACTTGTTAGTGTACCTCTCCTGATTAGTCTCTGAACTGTTCTTTTTCTTCTCACCAAGTTGTTTGTTGTTCCTGTTTCTTTCCTGCTACCTATTCATCTATACTTATTCCATATGCTTGCCATTCTGTGTGCCTTTTTTCTCATTTATGCTAATTTACTCAAATTCATATATTTACCTAGTCTGTGACTTCATGAGAATAAAACTAAATTAAAATTTTATCAAGCTTATCTTATACCCTGTGAAAAGTCAAAGTCTAAATGGTATGTTAGTTCAAAGCAATTTTATTCCATTGGACAACTGTCTATGCTTCTGTGAATTAGTCTCTAAGGCAGTCTTATAAGAATCAGAATTCTCATATTCAGGACATCATTGTGTGAATCAAATATTTAAACCTGTAGATATTATAAACCAAATATTTTCTTACTTGCTGTACTGTGTAACACTCTATTTGTCCATCATGTTTATTAGCGCACTTGAATCTCCCTTTTCCACTAGTTTGAAAGCCGTAGAATGGAGAGACTTCTGGTAAAGCCTAGCTGGGGCTTATAATCTGCCATCATCTTGTCCTGACTATGTACTCAGATACTGAACAAATTCAAAGTCAGGGGTTTACTTGGGGCACGTTTATCGGAGATGAGAAAATGCCCTTTGTGAAGACCTAAATATTTTAATGTCTTCTTTATAGCTACTTTCCATTTTCATTTCTCAGAATCAGGCAGATTGATAGAAACAAGAGTAATTTTGAAGAAAATGTCAGAATAACACACTGGGAAGATATAGGTATGTATTAGTAGAGTGTCTTTTCTTGGTTCATATAGATGTTAACTAGAGAGATTCTTGAAATGAATCTGGTTTATTGTAAGTTTGATTGCCTACACACCCCTAGCACATTCTATCACACAAATGACAGCTTATACTTAATAAAAGAGGCCACTTATTTAAAAGCTGATTATTCTGAGAAAATCCTTAACCCAATTCCCTGTTTAAATGAAAATAGAAGGACTAGACTTTTACAAATCGTCCAAGGAATGCATTTCTGCTTTCTAAAGAAGGGAGGGTGGGATGAATGTGACCCACCTTTCCTCACACATCTTCCCAATTTAGACCTAGAAATTAAGATGTATAAGTATCTATAATAAGTGTTTTCCCATGGGTATAAATGTTGTCCCAGAGACTATGAAGAGGGCAAAAAGAATGGCAACCCGACTCAAAGACAGGCAACCTCCATCCCTATGTTTTCCTATAGGGCTGCACACATTGCTCCATCCCTATGTTTTCCTATAGGGCTGCACACATTGCTCCATCCCTATGTTTTCCTATAGGGCTGCACACATTGCTCCATCCCTATGTTTTCCTATAGGGCTGCACACATTGCTCGCTCTTGGAGCAAGGTTATGTTGTTGGCATTCAGAGAATATGCCCACAAATAATTATCCAAGGAATGGCGCAGTTTTTTTTTTCTTTTAGAGGGTAAGATAATAGATTTTTATCCCCTGCTGTAATTATGAAGTGTCTTTCCTCATGCTATTTCTAAGCTTAGTCGAAAAAGATTTTAATATGACTTGACTTTGATAACAATGATAAACTGTCTACTGATAAAATTTATTAATATCTATCTTGCTTTATTAGTGGAATGATACTAGCATAAAAATCTAAAAATTTTCTTGTTATAGGTGGATAGTATATTTTTCTCATTTTTTTAAAGAAACGAAGTTTTATTCCTACATTAATAACATATGATAAATATAAAACATTATTGCTGAGTGTGGTGGCTCACGCCTGTAATCCCAGCACTTTGGGAGGCTGAAGCAGGCGGATCACCTGAGGTCAGGAGTTCGAGACCAGCCTGGCCAACATGGGGAAACCCCGTCTGTATTAAAAATACCAAAAAAAAAAAAAAAAAGAAATTAGCTGGGCGTGGTGACAGGCACCTGTAATCCCAGCTACTTGGGAAGCTGAGGCCAGAGAATCGCTTGAATCTGGGAGGCAGAGGTTGCAGTGAGGCGCGACTGCGCCATTGCACTCCAGCCTGGGCGACAATAGCGAGACTCCATCTCAAAACAAACAAACAACAACAACAAAAAAAAACACAAAAAAACCATTATTGAGATGTTTTCCTCTTTTGGACCAAATCTTCAAAATCCAGTGTGTACTTTATACTAACAGTGCATTTCAGTTCAGACTAGCTGTAAAGTGCTCACTCACCATACGTGGATAGCATAGCTAGCTCTGTAGAGTTACAAAATTCTATTGGAAGAATTCATTTAGAATTATATATGGATAAGATGACAGCAAAAATGAAAAAAAGGGGTGGGGGGCTGGGGCAGGGATAGCATTAGGAGAAATACCTAATGTAAATGATGAGCTGATGGGTGCAGCAAAGCAACATGGCACATGCATAGTTATGTATCAAACCTGCACGTTGTGCCCATGTACCCCAGAAATTAAAATATAATAAAAAGAAGAATTAAGTACATTTCTTGTAGATTTTGCTTATGAAGGTAAGTTTATCATTTACATTATATTATAATATTGGGAGCTTTTAAAAATTTTCCCACATTCATCTTTTAGAGTACTTAATACCTCTTAGTTAAATCTAGGAGGAATTCAATTATGTGTAATAATCAGTATAGATAAGTTGCCATCTACTAGGTGCTTTCCATTGCCAGCCTGAATCTTGGTACCTTGAACACCAGTCTCTACAATTTTGCAATAAGGTGCTAATTGGATCAGTTTCATAAATTAAATATTCCATTCCTGATCTTTCCACCCACAGTTAACCCAAACTCGAGATTTGTTCTCAGTAAGCCAAAATTTTTCCTTCTCTGCGATCCTGGAGTATAACTGGCCTGCCATTCTTGAGAGGAAATTCTTAGTAGTGATAATTGGTTGCGTTTCTCCTTCAAAAGCCATGGCTCATTAATCCCCATCAAAGCAGCCTGAGCAAAGTCATTTCTACTCAGCAGCAGATTCAGGCTGATCCAATGCACAGGCTAAGCTGGCAGCTGCTCAACTGAGATTTGAAGGATCCAAGAAGCCCTCTCTGGCTCCTGGTTCTCTCGTTTTAAAAAACAAACAAACAAAATCCCTGTTATTCACCACATTGGCATGCTCTACTAGATCCAGATTTTACTGAAAAGGCAAACATGGGAAAACATATTCACCTGACTAGTATTCAGCATAGTCCACATCCTGAATGATAAAAAAATTAATTTTTGATTAGGGAAGAAATTAAAGAGAATTCATGCCTTCTTGTGATGATGTTGCAATTAAGGACAGTGATAGACAAGGAGACTTGGGAGCACACTGGTGACCTGGGATAGGTATGGGGACACAAAAGGGAGTCACCAAGAAGAAAAAAAATTTGAAAGAAATACATGAAGGAATAGCATTATTTCATAATTTTCTAATAGATCTGAAGTTGGAGATGTTTTGAATACATTTATTTGCTTTATTGATCTTTCTACTTTATAAACTAGTAAGCTAGATTCTGATATTCCTAAAAGAGAACTTATCAAAGAAATAAATAAGGTAATTTTTATTACACATTCAAAAAGTGAAATAACTAAATTTACTTTAACCTTGTGTTACTTTGCTAGTGAAGTAGCCAAATACTTTGCTATCTAAAAAATTAGATATTTCTTTCCTCTGCAACTTTCATAGAAAAAAATCTATTTTTCTTCAAGGAGATACTGAATGCCCCGCTTCTGAAAAATGTTCAGAGTCCTCTCTTAAGGTATAATTTGAATGTGTCAGAAACTATAATTTGTTCCAGAGAACTAAGCGAGAGGGTCTATTGTGAGATTTTAAATATATTCTTAATGGTTTCTAAATCCTCTTGTGAACTACATTAGTGTGAAATGTTATTTATTTAATCTAATAGAGCCATTACTCACAAAAGGAAACGTACAACTCCATCTCCTCAGAGAACAAGAAAGAGCTTCTAGGGTAAAGAAGAGAACAGAGCTGTTATTTATGAGTACAGATTAAAAAAAAACTGAATGAGTTGAACTTCCTCTCTCATGCCTACACTCGGAAAATGGAATCCACAGCAGAATTAGTTACCCAAATTCCTTTTCACAGTGTGCCTTTCCAGTGAACTCTCCTCTTCAGAAACTCCACAGCTGCTCACACAAATTAATTTTGCAATGAGGTTTTCTAGGAAAGTGTTGAACTGCAACCCAGGCTGCTTTGGATTCCTTTCTTTTTCGCTTACACAAGAGGCACTGTCCACGAGTGATGATATGTGGGCTCTAGAGGTATGTCCATGAATTTGAACACGCTGCTCAAAAGAGAGCATAATTTATGGGGTAAGAGCATAGTGATGATTTATTTTGCTTCTGTAAGGGAGTTATTATACATATGGAGGTGGTTGTACAACAGAAGGTAAAATCTACACAAAGTAAGATGACACAGTAGTTAAACCTGTGCTATGAAATCTGATAGGTGCAAATTCTAACTTGGCCACTTGCTAGCTGGATGAGAGCAACCATCATTATTCTCAGGCTGTTTTGTGTATCAGTGTATGTGATTGCCACAGTAACCCTTAAAACTATTATTATTCTTCATTTCAATGCAGAAACTGAGGCATAGGGAATGTAACTGTCCCACGTCTGGGAAATGGTGAAGCCTGGTTTAAATGGGAGCTGGTTACTGCAGAACATGGGCTCTTAGCAAAAATGCGGCTCAAGCAACAGACTTCTTACTCATTTTTTAGTTATTTAACCTCTCTTTTCTGTTTCCTCATCTGTAAAACGGAAATAAGTATATGACCTGCCTCATGGAATTAAACAAGATCATGAATGTAATAAATTGAGCACAATGCTGGACACTCAGCAAACAGTAAATTAGCTTTATCAAACGCTTACCTTTCTTACAGTCAGTCTCTAGAGAACAATATATCTCTAAATGTTAATTAGACAAGACAGTTAAATCTGTTTATTGGCCCAGACCTTCAGAGCATCTCACCTTAACACAGTTGATGAGTGTCTCAAGCAAGTGTCATCTGACATTGCAACTGTCAACTGTTATCATTGCAGCTGATGGTGAAACTGTAAACAGGCTATGTGGAATGACTAATAATGTGACGAAGAATAAATCCATGCTCACAAGCATGGTCTAAAGCCCTTTAACAGGTGGAATGATTGCTGGGACTTAATATCTCTCCTATCTCAATCTTACTGAAAGGCGGATATTCAAAGCGACCTAGATCTTACACTAGGTGGCAATGTTAAAATATGCTGGGCTAAGTCAATAATCTGACCACATGCATTCTAGTGAGTGGGCTGACAAGACTGCATAGAGAGTTCTGTGCACCTGCTCTTCTGCTGCAGACAAATAATATGCAGCAGGGAAAAGAAGTTGACCTAAAAATACACCATGAGAAGTCATTATCGGCATAAATCCCAAGAAGTATTTAGTGAAAGACACTGGGTTTTACAGTGGGTTTTCCTATTATAAATGATTTTGGGGAAAAAGTGCCAAGACCTAATATATGTGTATATAAAATATGGTTCTAAATAAAATGTGATCATTAAATAAGAATACAGTTATAAATTAAGGTATTACTATGAAGTATCAGTCTTAAAAAAACAATATCATACTACTTTGAAGGAAAAGAAATAAAATTTAGATTAATAACAATGTCATTACTAGCAAAAGGTCAATGGTAATTTTATCAAGCAAAGAAAACATTATTCCCTTCTCTTATATAGTTGATTTTTTCCTGAAACACTGCATTTAGCAAACAGGAATAATTTGGAGAGAAATAATATTGTAAAAGATATAAATTCTGATGACAACCATACAATTTTCTAATTAATAGTCCTGCCTGAATCTTTTCTGAAGAAAGATTCTTAGATTCTCATTTTAAAAACCACATACCAAAATGATAAATAGGAAAGACACCAATTATACTCACACATTAACCAGATGCAAACAAGAAGTAATGTTAAAATGCATTAGTCACCATATACCATGAACACAATTTTGTAATGACTGATTACTCAATAACTGGCTTGCAGATTTCCAGTAGCTACAAATATTTGACCATATTAGCATGTTCCATTAGTACCATTTTTTGAAAGTACATTTTATGACCTACCTGACATGGGAAAAATCTTGAAATGTGTTTAATTAGAGAATATTCAAAGAAAATAATAAGAACATATCAATCTAACACCAAAAATGTAAGTTAAATGTAAGTTCTGGGCCATTAAACAAAATTTGATAGAAAAAAAATTTTCATCACACTTTCTCAATACTCCCTGTGCATTGACCCTTTGTTGTGGATATACACATTTTTCACACATTAAATTCGTGTTTAAGCCATCTAGCAATACAGGATGCCAACAACCAATAATTTCACCATAGGCAATGGATGGAAAATTTGCATAAGTAGATGTGTCACAAAGAATCACTTTTATAGATACATTACAAACATAGGGAGATCAGGGCCCACTGTCCTAGAGGAAGTGTGCACAGATATTGTTCTTTTTGCAGAGATTTAACAAAAGTACCTTTTTCTTTTCTGTGTGATATGGTTTGGCTCTGTCTCCACCCAAATCTCACCTTGAATTGTAGTTCCCATAATCCCCATATGTCTTGGGAGGGACCTGGGGGTGAAGTAACTGAATCATGGGGGTGCCCCCATGCTATTCTCATGGTACTAAGTTCTCATGAGATCTGATGGTTTTATAAGGGTCTTCCCCCTTTGCTTGGTTCTCATTCTTCTCTCTCCTGCCACCATGTGAGGAAGGACGTATTTGCTTCCCTTTTCATCATTATTGTAAGTTTCCTGAGACCTTCCCAGCCATGTGAAACTGAGTCACACCTCTTTTCTTTATAAATTATTCAGTCTCAGGTATATCTTTATTAGCAGCATGAAAATTGACTAATACACTGTGTAAATCATGATCCAAGCAGGTAGTAGACCAATTTGATAAGAATCCCTGAACCTTCTAAAATGGGAAGGATTACCTCTTCCAGAATGAAAAGACTCGAATTTCTTTTGGTGTTAGAAAGAGCCAATAAACTGTTAGATGAAGCTAGTGGGGGCTAATGAAATGGTGAGTGGCAACAGGTGAGCAGACAGCTTACCCAAGTACAGAGACAAAAACAAAGTATTTCTTGGTCCTATTTGTGGCAGAAACTTTAGATGATTCAGTTTCCTGTGGCCACCTTGTACCTGGGAAAATTATTGTATGTATAAATTAAAATATCTGTGGGAAAGTAGAAGAGGGACGGAGTCAAAGGAGCATTAACTCAAAGGCCCTGCAATCTACAGATGAGACTCTTCATTGAGAGAAACACTGGACACTTTACCCTCAGATGTACCAGAGAAAGGTGATGTCCCTGCTATGGGTGAGACCAGGGGCTTATTTTCACTCTCCACTATTTTTAAATAACATTCTACCAACCCCAGAACTCAATTTGTACCAACAGCCTTTCCATTATTTGGAGCATATCAAAGGACTGATGAGTCTCCGGCTCTGTTCGTTAGGGTACATTTAAGCTTTTTGGGCTTCCTAGGCACTTAAAAGAGAAAATTTGCTCCTTGGAGAGGAATAGACAAGACTTTTGAAGTTGCTGAGCAGTGGGGTCTCTGGCATTGCCCTCTAGGGACTAAGTGAGGAATCTTATTTTCACCTAATTTGGGGGGATGCTCTTGTCATTGCACACTACTATGAACCATGGGTCAAATCTTGCCTGATACCTTTTTTTTTTTTTGCAAACTAAGGATAGTTTGTACATTTGTATATGGTTACATTTTAAATGGTGATGTAAGTACCTACAAATCTTCAACATTTGCCTTTCCTTCAAAGCCTAGAAAATTTACTAACTTGCCTTTACAGCAAAAGTTTACCAATTTCTGCTTTATTTACACAGAGTTAGATCTATTAGAATAACTAGTCAGTTGTTTGAATGGTAGACTATTGTGGCTTTGCGTCCATTAACATTTTTATTAGAAATTTTATAAAAAGCATCATTACATGGACGCTACTGGGACATACAGCTCCTTGAAAGATATGCGATAATTCATATATATTGAGTTTTAAAATGTTAGTCATGTCACTAATGACTCCAGAAGATACCAATTTATATTTTCTGTGTAGTAAAAATAAGAACCCAGTAACTATCAGGGTAAAAAAAAAATAGCATTTCTTAAAAATTATACACAGTCCATTATTGTCCCATAAATTATTAATAGGTCAAATTTTTAAGTTATCACATTGAAGAGTATTTGTGGAATTTTAGAATGAAAAATAAAATAAGTTTTTCCTGCAGGACTGTAGAGAGATTTTATGGAGGAGCCATACTGTGCATTAGTTTTCTTTTCAAAACAGTGGATGATTTTTGTTTAGGAACCTATTCTACATTTTCCTTTCTTGAGGTTCAAATAGAGCTCCACCCCATTACCAACAGGAAAGAGGCACAGAATCTGGGTTTCAGGTTATCAGTTGATAACAATATTCATGCACATTCAAGATAAGCTAGACTGAAGATATTTTTAATGTTTTGGAAAATGCAAGCTCATTTTAATCTCCCTCTTCTCTTCAATCCACCATCACTTCTGTAGAAAGACTGGCATTCATATTTTAACAATTCTATTTAGAGTACTTTTCCATGAAGTTTGTGTTTACTATTACTTTATTAAAGAACCATTCTTCGACAATATTGCATCTAGGAGTACTAAAGTGAATAAATTATTTATGGATCAAAATATCTTATGAAACATTTGCATCACATATTGTGTACAACACATAAATATTGCTGATGGGCTGTCAAATAGAAAGGGAAAACTGAACAGGACACAAATTTACATAATGCGATGAAACTCGAGAGATATTTTTCTATTATACATAAATCATAGCACACAAAGGAACAAAGTTCTCTCAAACTGCTAACAGTGCAGCAGCTGCAGATGCATGCTATTTAGAAGCCCAAAAAGGTAAAGAGAAGTTAGGATAAGTTCTGCATTTTTCAAAATAACAAAATATGCAGCTACTTACTAAAGAAAAATTTATTTGTAAATATGAAATGTATTCAGAAATATTTCTCGTATAAGAAACTTTAAAAACTGAAAGAATTTTGAGGTAATTGTTATCTTAATTATCCCTGTTAATATTTAACAAAAGAATGACTATATGTAGCTTAATTCTATTCAAATAGATGATTTTTCTTAGTAACTTTCCAGCAGCTATCCTTGTTTCACTGTTCTTTATCACTGTGTTTCCTCATCTAGGCACTGATTGAGCCACTTATTAAGTGGGATTAACAAGATTCCTCTACATACCTACTTCATTAGGTTGTTATGAGGATTAAATGAACTGATGTGTCTCTAAAGCACTTAGAAAAGAGCTGAAGACAGAATGTTAACTATTAACATAACAGTTTCATCATCATTGTTGCCATCAGCTATTTGTGTAAGTTATTTGTGTAAGGAAAAGCAACATCTTATGTTGCCTCTTTATCACCCAGGACACTACAGAGTTGGTTTTAGCAATTGTGGGTACTATCTAGAAAATGATATGCTTGCTCCTAAATGTTTAACCACTGGCATCCGTGGAGGGGTGGGGGTATACCAAATTTGTAGTGCCTGCTGACTTCCATGGTATAATTTCATATAAACATGAGTTGTTGAAAGGACTTGAAAAGAGATGAGCACAATCAGCTGTTACAAAACAGCAGGGCAGACTCCAGACCACCACTGCATCTAACCATCTCCTTGTTTCTTTCACACAAAGATGTGTGTTTATCAATCAAGAGGAATACACTTGATGACTGCAAGATCTGATGACAGTTGAGGCATGGAAATCAGTTTACCCGAGAGTCTGCAATTAGACTCACAGAGTAGAATTCTCACTGCAGCTAACCTTACTCATATTAAGCACAAAAATATGAGCTTGGGAAAAGAAAAGGCAAGCCAACTGAATTTGGATAACAAAATTAATCTAAACCGTCAGAGTATTCAACAAGTATTTATAAAAACATGTCATTTGCAAAGCTGGGCTTTTTGGAGAGCATCTATAATAACAGAATACTGCCCCTGCCCCTAATTGGCTTATATCCTGATTGAGGTGATAAAGATATGTAGTAGGTAAAAAATACAAAAGATGTAATTCATAATGTTATTTATGTTAGTGTTCAAGGACAAATGCTAGAGGCCATCACCCCAAGTGAAATAACTCAGAAACAGAAAATCATATACCATATGTTCTCTCTTACCAGTGGGAGCTAAGCAATGGGTACACATGGACATAAAGATGGAAATAATAGATACTAGGGACTTCAAAGGGGGAGAGGGTAGGGAAAGACCAGGGATAAACAATTACTTATTGGGTACAATATTCACTATTTGGGTAATGGGTACACTGGAAGCCAAATCTCACCATATGTAATATACCAAGTAATAAACCTGTATATGTACCTCCTGAATCCAGGAGAAAGAAAAAAAGAAAAGGAAAAGGAAAACAGGAAAGGGAAAAGGAAAGAAAGAAAGAACTGTAGAGTAATGGAAATGGGATATACGATGCTAAAATAAAATTCTTTTAAAAAATGCTTAAAATGTAAAATAAGTTTTTAAATGAGATACATATACACAGTGGAGTATTATTCAACCCCCAAGAGGAAGAAAATTCTGTCATTTGTGACAACATTTAGCTAAGTGAAATAACCCAGGCACAGAAATACAAATATCACATGATCTTACTTATATATAGAATCTAAAAACTTTGAAGTCATAAAAGTAGAGAGTAGAATGGTGGCTCCGAAAGACCGGGGCAGCAGAAGGACAGGGAAAGGGGAAGGGTTGGTCAAAAGGTACAAAGTTCAGTAAGTTCTGGGTGCTTTATTGCACAGCATAATAACTATATTTAATAATGTTTTATATATTTCAAAATTGCTAAAAGGATTAATTTTAAAGTTTTCACTGTAAAGATTATAAGAATATGAGGTAATGGATGTTAGTTAGCTTAGTTTGATAATCTTACTGAATATATGTGTATGACAACATCACACTATACCCTATATATATGCACACACAATTATTACTTGTCAATTGAAAATAAAATACAATTTAAAAAATATATATTTATTTTTAGTTTGCTTTCTGTCCTAATTGAGTAACATAAGATCTTTGTAATGTTTTAGCATTTATGTCATGGTAAAAACTTAATTTTTGTAAACATGTTGTATCATTCAATGTAATAAATATTCTTCAATTTTTCTATGAATAATTCTACATTTGGCCTTTTGAGTGATTTTGCCACTCATTTCTCTCATTCATTCTTTTTTGGTTTTGTTTTTGGCTTTTGATAATATCCATGGCTTTTTTTTTCTTTTGCTAGCGTTTTTAATTATACATACCATCCAGCTGTTTTAAGAGCGATTAAAAATGAAGCACCCTTCTCTCATTTTCTCAGGAAAAAAATGACTAAACATAGGAGAAATGAGAAAAATTACAAATTTTTTCAAATTTATTTCAGTTGCAAAGTATACACATCTCACTGTAAATAAAAATGCAAACAAAAAATAGAAAATAGGTGAAAGATGTACCTCACTGCAGTTTCTCTCCCTTTCCAATAAATAAATATTTCCACTTTCCAGGTGTATTAGTCTGTTTTCACACCACTATAAAGAAATACCCCGGACTGAGTAATTTATAAAGAAAAGAAGTTTAATTGACTCACAGTTCTGCATGGCTGGGAAGGACTCAGGAAACTTATAATCATGGCAGAAGGGGAAGAGGTATGTCCTACACGTCAGCAGGCAAAAGAGACAAAAGCAAGCAGAGGAAACGCCAGATAATTATAAAACCATCAGATCTCACGAGAACTCACTCACTATCACAGAACAGCAGCAGGGAAATAACCACCATGATCCAATCACCTCCCACCTGGCTCCTCCCTCTACACGTGGAGATTATGGAGATTACAATTCAAGATGAGATTTGGGCCAAACCACACACCTAAACTGTATCACCAGGGAAGTACAATCACTAATGATAAACTCATTTTGTCAATATTTCCTGAATTAAAACGTCAAGTTAATCTTAAACAAGAATAAGACAGTATCCCTAAGAAAAGGATGACTGCTGAGAACAAAAGCAACTGTCTAAGCTAAATTTATTATGTCTCTGTTACTAACACAATGAACAAACTTCTCAAAATTAAAATCAATTCTTGGATTGGGATTATTTCTCAAATATCCAATAATAGCCCCTATCCACAACAACAGTGCAGTAAATTATTACCACATTATCAAGAGTTAAGTTCATCTCAAGGCTTGTAATGGAAGAGTTAGCAAATAGCAGAGAAAGAGCCATGTTTCTCAATCATTAGCCTGCAACAGAAACACCTGGAAGATTTGTTAAACACAGGCAGCTGGGATGGGAATTAGGCCCTGAGTTTCTAACTCAAAAGTTCTGGGACAGGGCCTACAAATTTGCATTTCCAGCAAGTTCCCAGGTGATGCTAATGCTACTGGTTTGAGGACAGCTGGTCTAGTCCCTAGAGCAGCATTATTTAAATTATGGCCCATAAAACAGTGCCAGTTTGTGAACTGCGAGTATGAGATAATTACATAAATTTAGCATAAGCACTTTAAAATGTTTACAACAATTTGATAGAATTATTTCATGTCTGCTATATCTAACAATATACAATTTAAGGACATAATTTGAATGTCTTCTTGTTTTAGTTTTTCTTTTCTAGAAATTAAATTTTGTTGTATTTCATACAAGTATTGTTCGATGCTGTGTCAGAGGCAAAAGCCAACATGTTCTTCTCCACAGATCGTCTGAGGTGTACTGGTATAGAGCACAGGGCCCTTTGAGAAATGGTAAAATATCTAGTGCACACAGCAGTATTTGAGTAGAAATAGAAGAGAGATTATCAATATGTACTTGGATGAGACTTAAGTGTTAGGAAAAGGGTACCCATCAGAGAAGGAAAGAAAGGAGAAGCACCTGCATGAGAGAATCATATAATGGCACAGTTAGAAGGGAACTTAAAGATGATTTAAGAACTCAGACATGTTTTGTAGGCACGACTTTCACTTAACTAGTGAAGCTCAGAGTACCTGCAATTTAAAATTGGTAGGTAATACATTGTAATCGAAAACTACCCTGTGAGATAGGTGTCATCCTGACTTTGAAAATCAGGAAATTAAGCTAAATATAATTTACAGAAGGTAATGACAACCTCACAGCTAATAAGGGACAGACCCAATTCTCATTCTAAATCTCTTTCCATCAAACGTAATAAATCCACAGCTTACACTGAATTGAGTAAGTGTAGGGTGCTTCTTTTTGCTCTCCCAAAAATGTTATATGAAATCATTTTGTCAGTTTCATTACTTCCCAGTTACTTTTGCCAGTAGCAAATACTAGTTTTCATGAATGAACCTGTAATCTTGTTCAGCAACAATCAATTACAATGGTAAACTTAGGAAGTAACAAACTGCTTATGCAATTTAGTGCATTTTCCATGAGTAATCAGCATATAGAAAGTCTGCTAACACTTCCCAATAAACCATGGCATGGTCTTAAACAATTTTGCATTTTTTAATATCATGACTATTTAAAATTCCATCATTTATCTCCTTCTCTAGATGCCCTTGCCTTTCTAAAAGATAGTTTTTTGCTTTAAAAAATTATCCATGAGCAAGAATAAATGACTTGGAATACATTAATATCTAATGTATGCCATTTATACATATAAATGCAATCTTTTTATCAAGAATTATCTAGACAGCAATCTTTCATATAACAATCCAAGTAATTTTATACTTTATTGAGGTAATAAAAATATCAAATTTACCACAATTCTAAGATTGCAAGTCTTTTATGTAGTGATTTTCTATAATAGTGATAGAGATTAAACAGAAATAAAAAGCATTTTTTAAACGCTCTTTTTTCTTTTAAAATGAACATTATAATTGTCAGAAAGGGGACCTTTACTAACTTCCATTCTACCTTCTATTATACCTCTTAGCAACCCAGAATTAAATGCTGTCTGTTTTGATTACTTAGTACAAAAGTTCCCTAAGCACCAAACCAGGTAACAAGGTTACAATATCCCTCCTGGTTTCTTAGGATATTAATAGGTAAGTTGATAAGAGTGAACAGGGAAACAAAATGAGAAAATATAAATCAAATGAGGAAAATAAGATGCTTTGATAGTTACTTCGTAATTCCCAACCTTAGTAACTACTTCAAAGGGTCACTTTCTGTCTTCTTTATCCCACTAAAATTTTGTTACTGTGAAACTTTTTCATGGAGGATGAACACGAATGATACACATGAAGTGGTGTTTAACATCATCAGTTAACAAAAACATTAAATTAAATTTTTGTGATGTGTATTTGGAGAGGTAGAGACAGAAAGGATATACATCCCTTGAAGCTGTAGATGCCCAATATCAGTTCTCATGCTGGTGATATTTTGAATATCAGGTGTATATCTCAAGAGTGCATTAAACAGAAACTAATATTCTACCTAAGTAAGCCCATCCAAGTGAATGATTTGGTAATGTATACGAAGATTTTTCAAAATATAATATCCTTTGATCAAATAATCCACACATATAAAACCATCTTAATAGCCAGAAATGTAGAAGATTGTTTTCAAGGAATGGTTACTTAATATTGTTAAAGTTATGGCTTTACATACTTAAGTATTTAAACTGTAATTCATCACTATAATATTTAAACACAGTAAAGTGATTTTTAAAACATAATGACATGAGAATATTCTCACAAGTAAGACTTTAAGTAACTGACATATTGATACGGTTTGGCTGTGTTCCCAACCAAATCTCATCTTGAATCGTAACTCTCACAATTCCCAGGCATCATGGGAGGAACCTGGTGGGAGGTGATTGAATTATGGGGGCAGATCTTTTCTGTGCTGCTCTCGTCATAGTGAATGAGTCTCACAAGATCTGATGGTTTTAAAAAGGAGAGTTTTTCTGCACAAGCTCTCTCTTTGCCTGCCACCATCCATGTAAGACCTAACTTACTCCTCCTAGCCTTCTGCAATGGTTGTAAGCCCTCCCCAGCCATGTGGAACTGTAAGTCCATTCAACCTCTTTTTCTTCCCAGTCTCTGTTATGTCTTTATCAGCAGTGTGAAAACAGACTAATACAGTAAATTTCTACTAATAGAGTCGGGCGCTGCTAAAAAGATACCCAAAAATGTGGAAGTGACTGAGTAATAGGCAGAGGATGGAACAGTTTGAAGGGCTCAGAAAAAGACAAGAAACTGTGGGAAAGCTTGGAGCTTCCTAGAGACTTGTTGAATGGCTTTTACCAAAATGCTGATAGTGATATGGACAAAGAAATCCAGGCTGAGGTGGTCTCAGATGGAGATGAAGAACCTGTTGGGAACTGGAGCAAAGGTGGCTCTTGCTGTGCTTTAGTAATGAGACTGGCAGCATTTTGCCCCTGCCCTAGAGACTTGTGGAACTTTGACCTTGAGGGAGATGATTTAGGGTATCTGGCAGAAGAAATTTCTAAGCAGCAAAGCATTCAAGAGGTTACTTGGGTGCTGTTAAAAGCATTCCATTTTAATTGGAAAGAAGAGCATAAAAGTTCAGAAAATTTGCAGCGTGACAATGCGATAGAAAAGAAAAATCCGATTTACTGAGTAGAAATTCAAGCTGGCTGCAGAAATTTGCATAAGTAATGAGGAGCCAAATGTCAACCTCAAGACAATGGGGAAAATGTCTCCAGGGCATGTCAGAGGTCTTCACAGAAGCCCCTCCCATAACAGGCCCAGAAGCCTAGAAGGAAAAAGTGGTTTCATGGGCCTGGCCCAGGGTCCCCATGCTGTGTACAGCCTAGGGACTTGGTGCCCTGTGTCCCAGGCACTCAGCCATGGGTGAAAGGGGCCATGGTAGAGCTTGCTTGGGCCATGGCTTCAGAAGGCGCAAGCCCCAAACCTTGGCGGCTTCCACATGGTGTTGAGCCTGCAAGTGCACAGAAGTCAAGAATTGAGGTTTGGTAACCTCTGCCTACATTTCAGAGGATGTATGGAAATGCCTGGATGTCCAGGCAGAAGTTTGCTGCAGCAGCAGGGCTTTCATGGAGAACTTCTGCTAGGGCAATGCAGAAGGGAAATGTGGGTTTGGAGCCCTCATAGAGAGTCCCTAATTGGGCACCACTTAGTGGAGCTGTGTGAATAGGGCCATCGTCCTCCAGACCTCAGAATGGTAGATCCACGGACAGCTTGCACCACTTGCCTGGAAAAGTCTCATACACTCAACGCCAGCCATGAAAGCAGCTGAGAAGGAGACCGTACCCTGCAGAACCACAGAGGTGGAGCTGCCCAAGAACATAGGATCCCATCTCTTGCATCAGTGTGACCCAGATGTGACATATGGGATCAAAGGAGATCATTTTGGAGCTTTAAGATTTGACTGCCCTGCTAGATTTCGGACTTGCCTGGGCCCGATTTCGGACTGTCTGTAGCCCCTTTGTTTTGGCCAACTTCTCCTATTTGGAACGGATGTACTTACCCAATACCTGTACCTCCATTGTATCTAGGAAGTCACTAACTTGCTTTTGATTTTACAGGCTTATAGGCATGAGATTTGGGAGGGGCCACGGGAAGAATGATATGATCTGGCTGTGTTTCCACCCAAATCTCATCTTGAATTGTAACTCCCACAATTCCCACATGTTGTAGGAGGAACTTGGTGGGAGGTGATTGAATTATGGGAGCAGGTCTTTCCCATGCTGTTCTCATGATAGTGAATAAGTCTCATGAGATCTGATTGTTTTAAAAATGAGAGTTTCCCTGCACAAGCTATCTCTTTGCCTGCCTCCATCCATGTAAGATGTAACTTGTTCCTCCTTGCCTTCCACCATGATTGTGAAGCCTTTCTAGCCATATGGAACTGTAAGTCCATTAAACCTCTTTTTCTTTCTGTTCTTGGGTATGTCTTCATCAGCAGCATGAAAATGAATGAATACACACATACACAGAGACATAGATGATGTGAAGGAGAAACAATAAAATTCACTGCAGTTCTCTCAATAGAGTGAGATTTTTATTATTACCTTCTATATTTCTTTATATTGTCCAGCATAGCTATTTCAATAAAATGTGCATCTTTATGATTCAAATATATTTAATGTAAATATTCTAAATTGAAATTTCCTTTATGTGGAAAAATACTAACTTCTCTACATTCATAAAGCAAAGTGAAAAGGAAATGCTAAACTACCACAGATTGTACCCACAAGACTTCTGACAAATTGCTTAATTAGAAAAATCAGAGACCACTGTTACCATCTTTATATACTGCCTGTTTCTGAATTCAGCTTTCCTATCTTTAAGCAAATTTTCTCATCCACCTCACACACCAATTTGTGTGCCTCCTCTCCACCCAAACCCCACACTCCAGGATGATGAATGCTTCTGTTCACTGTTTTACTAGTGGAAAGGATGGGGCTGTGGTGGGAGGGAGCAGGGGAGTTCATTAGAGAAGATGCCAGAGAAGGCTAGAGAAAGAACAGGCAGGAAAGATGGCGTGGTAGTTGGGAGTGATATTTACATTTTGAAAATAGGCTGGAAAAAATAAATCAATGTTTAATTTGCATTTATGAAACTCCAGATAAAACTATAATTAAACTATAAGTGTTCCTCCTTTAATTATATAATACTTTTTAGCTTTTGTGATATGAAATCATAGAAAATGCCAACTATTTAATGAAAAAAAGTAAAGTTAATCTGACATTTCTTTAGTATTTTAAATAGTATAGACTAGTATTTTTGGGAGAGGTTATTTTTAAAAATCAGCCACTCACCTGACATTGCATTAACAAAAGAATTTCAAAGGATTGGACACAGAAAATAAGACTAAAAATGTCCAAGTACCTTCTTCATTAGTGGATAGGCCTGAAGATCTGCTTATTTTGTGATAGAAGATTAACTTTCAAAGTTTTCTTTGAGAGCCAATAATCAAACATATGCTTTGAAAGAAGCTCAAGAAAGACCAAAGTAATCATTTTTGAACATGAATTTTAGTAACAGAAGAGAGATAAGAAGTGAGTTCTTAATGAAGTACAAGGAATGAATATTGACAATGTTTATTCCACTTGTCCTCCCATTTTTGACAGCAATTCCTCTAACAACACCTTTTTTAATGTGTTTGTTTTATTTAAAAAAAAAAAAGGGGGGATACAGGAAGAATAAGGTCCTTTTTTTTGCCTCCAGCACTGAATAATAAGAAACAGTTGTCTCTGCTCTATTAAGGGTTGAAAGGAAAATTGTGGTGGAATGAGTTTGGCTGCTGGAGGCAAGGGACCACTGACAGTGCCTCAGCTTGTTCGTCCATGACAGCGCTGCAGCTGAGAGCTTGCTATTTCCCAGGAGGAAGGAACAGTGGAAATGACAAAAGGAAATCTGAGAATGGAGATAATAAAATGATGGTTGCATTTGAGGCTGTTATCAGTACTTCTCTCATGCCAACATATAAAGGAGAAGTAAAGATTTTAATATTATGAGAACTGTAAGTATCCATAATTCAGATTTCAGCAGTCTGGTAGTACGGTAAGTCGCATCTTGGTGGGATCCACAAAAACTTTTGCAAAAGTGTTTAATTGTATGATAGCATTTCAAAATCATTTCCCTTGATCAGATAAGGACCTTCATGTGAATCTATTTTATCAATTAATGGTCAGTTTCATGTAGCTAGGTTACATAGTATAAATTACTTTTAAAACCCCCTTCCAAAGAATTCATGTTTTAATAAACTATAGTGAATGACACTGTGTCTAAAACAGTGTAGCAACTAGTTCTGTGATTGGCACAGTTAATATACCATTAATGTCTCACTGAAAGCTAACTTCTGTTTTTCAGTGAACCTGCCTACACACAAATACTCTACTGAAATGTGGTTGTGATGTGAATATTTTACATTAATAGGATTAATGTATTAATCAACTTTCCACAATTGCTATATCACCTACATTTTAAACGTGTTTTTATCTTCTGCTTTTCTTACCTCATTTTCTTCTAAAGAGAAGAATTGTCTTGCTTCCTCTTATCTCTTTATTGCTGTTAATCTTGAGGACATATAAAAGGATTACCTTATTCACAGGGGGGAAAAAAGGTCATTAGAAATCCTCACTCCTTTATTTTCTCCTTCCTGCCTTTCACTGATTTCATGGAAGAAATCTTAGACTGTTTTTCCATTGCTAGTAGAAGAGTGGTTATTAACACACAGGAAAGCAAGCACACACATTCTATCAATAAACATTGCTCAAGCCATGGGTTCACAATTCACTAATTCATTTATTCAGTCAGTTAGCCCACAAACATTTATTAGGTATTTATTGTACTCCAGAAACTGTGATAGACTCTGGAGATTAAAGGATAGATTCAACATGTTTCAATAAAGGAATAAATGAATGAATAAAGAAAATACTGAATCAGTGAATGATTAATTAGAGATAAGATCAGCTATTTATAGAAATGCACTAATTCAGAAACCCAGTGTGCTGGACCAGTTTTCTTGAAGGAGTGGAAAAAACGAAGAAGACAATATTGCCTCAGAGTGAAATCTTCATTCTTTGAGGGAGGTGTTAGATCACAGCAATCTGTTTTTGTTTGGGGTTCACCTCAGTAAAGAAAAGGGGTAGGTTTTACCTGCTACTTGGTTAAACTGACAAGGTACTAATGGTTTTCCAATTAAAATGTGATGTATACGTGATTTCTTTTGCTACTTTTCCCTTAACTTCCAACAGTTATCTGAATACCAAAAAAAATTTGTCAGAAAGTAAAGCACACACCAAACTTCGTAACCTTTCTATTCTGGAGGAGAATGTGGCAGGAGTTGAACTTCAGGAAACGAGTTTCCATGTTTTTAGTCTTCCAAATGAAGACAAACATGGGTGTAGGGGCTAAAGAAGTATTACTGAGAGGTCAACATTTGTGAATGTTGCAAAAGCCCATGAGGCTTTGGTGGTGGGGGAGAAATGTAGGGGGATTTTATTTGGAAAACTAGTGCAGGAAAGAAACAGTGGTATTTGTAGGGGGAGGAAAAAAGGGTATAGGGATTCCTCCTCCTCTCACATTCCCTCTACCAACACTAAGCTGGTACCAGGAACTCATGTTCTCTGCTGCTCTGAGATCATTGAGATTTATTGTAAAACTTCAAGGAAATTGGTAACGTACATTCTTTAATGGAATCATGAGATGAGACAATAATATTCCAACATATTCAAATAAAAAAGGTTGCCAGAGCAATGGCAGAATCATGAAAAAAAAGAATTAAATATTACTCAATATTAGATTGTTGCTGGAGTAGATAGAAACTGCCCCAAAATTTCCAGTTTCACAATGTGAAAAGAAAAACTTCAGCCAAATTAAATTTAAAAGAGTTTGAGCAGCGAATGATTCACAAATTGGGCAGTCCCCAGAATCACAGCGGATTCAGAGAGACTCCAGTGCACCAACGTGGTGGAAGAAGATTTATGGACAGCAAAAGAAAAGTGATGTACAGAAAATGGAAGTGAGGTACAGAAACAACTAGATTGGTTACAGGTTGGCATTTGCCTTATTTGAACATGGTCTAAACACTCAGTAGTGTATGAGTGGTTGAAGTATGTGGTCGAAGTATGGCTGCTGGGATTGACCAAGACTCAGCTATTATTACAGGCACATACGCCTAAGTTAGGTTTTCAACCTTGTCTACCTATGAAGTTAGATTACTGTTCATCCACAAGGACTCAAATATAGAAGTACAGAGTCCCTCTTAGGCCATTATTTAGTTCACTTTAAGAACAGTCATTTAATTTATATGTATAAGAATATTTCTTGAACTTCTGCCTTGCCAATGGCTCTTTGACCAATGGATTTCTGGTGAGACTGACGATTCTTATGTATCATGTTGCCAAAAATTTAAAATTTTTCAATATACTTCGATGGAAAACTTGTGTCAAATTACTCATTTATGGAGGGAAATTTGGAAAAATCTATTAAGCATAAAATTCATTTGCTCTTTGACACAGCAATCTCACTTCAAGATAGTTATCCCTCAGATACACTCCACACATAAAAGAAATCAGGTTTGCACATTATTTGTGGTAATGAAAGAGTGAAAACAATCCAGTGTCCTCTATGGAATAACCACTCTGCCTTGCATCTCTAAGAGAGAATGAAGATTCCCTCAGTATTATGGAAAAATCTCCAGGACATGTCATGAAGTGGAAAGACGAAGGTACAAGGCAGTGGATATAGTATGTTAAATTCTATATAAAAGAAGAGATGAAAATATAAAAGTATAAAAAGATATTTGCTTATATTTTCAGAAAGATAGACTAAAAAGATACAAAAGAAACTAAATAGGCTAAAAAGATACAAAAGAAACTAAGTTAGGAATGGGGACAAAGTTAGGAATACATGAACAGAGACAAAAATGAAACTTAATCAATGTATGTTTTTTAAATCTCATTTTTGTATTTTAACTAGGTGAATGTATGACTATTCAAAAAATAAAATTAAAATGTATAAATAAGTTAAGATTAGATTTTAATCTACTTTACTTTTGCAATCTTGACACAGACAAAGTTAGGAATACATGAACAGAGACAAATAAAAATGAAACTTAATCAATGTATGTTTTTTAAATCTCATTTTTGTATTTTAACTAGGTGAATGTATGACTATTCAAAAAATAAAATTAAAATGTATAAGTAAGTTAATATTAGATTTTAATCTACTTTACTTTTGCAATCTTGACATAGATAAAATGATATTCTCTCTGGTCTGTTGATGTTCACAATTCTCCATAGCACAATTACCTTATCAGGCCTATCAACCTTTTGGTTTTGTGAGGGTAAAGATCCAAATGATCATCTAACATTCTGGTGGTCCACTTTGATTTTTCTGCCAGTGAGAATATTCACAAATATTATTTGGAGCAAAATAAAAAAGTAAGATCTAAATCTGTGTAGTGTAAATAATTTAGTCTATTTTTAGGGTTTTTAAATGGTGATAAATTGTTATCATAAGGAACTGCTATCAGGCCACTGGGAGCAGCCTCAACTTTCCTCCATGTGGGGAGAAGGGTCCTCTAGACCTTTCTAGAGTCTGAACAAAAGCTTGTACCTTGGATTCAGCAAACCTGGGTCTGTGCAAAACAGATGATGACAGAAGCTTCCTCAGACTGTTGTGTGTGGGTGTCCTTAGGAATTCCTCTCTCCTTTTCCTCTTGATGAAATCAATTAGAAATAATTCTTCCCAGGTCCTGAATAAATCTCTTCTGGAAGAATTATAAACCACTGTGACCCTTGTGCCCGGCAGTGGCAGAAAATCTGACCCTCCAGTCCTGTGGACTATGAAAAATTTGCTCAGGTGAAGATCACAAAAAGTAGTCTTCAGCAAGAATAAAGATTATTGCTAGATTTTATTATTTTGTGAATAGTTTAGCCTAATAACTTATGAGGCAAAAATTAAAAAGTTTCTATATTTATTTTAATTGGAGATATCAAGTGTTTGTGTCAATCACTTTATTAAAATATGTTTTTAGAATGAAACCATAAAAAGAATTTTCCCAAATATTCTAATTCTCCATCTTCTACATCTATTATAAGGCTTTGCTGCCCTTATTACATTTAAGTAAGATTACCTGCCATTATATTTGACTAATAAAATATGAGTGAAAGTGGCATGTGACTTCTGGAAAAAGGCATTAAATTACCAGAGTGACAATCCTTTATTCTTGCTGAAATTATTTTGGGAGCCTATATGAAGAAGAATTTTTCAGCAGCCTGGTCCTTAAGTGTCTTAGAAGGCAGTTTCCCTGCTGATCCATGCTGAATATGCAAATGGAAAGAAATAGAAAAGACAGGGACCAAAGAACCTTTACTTGCAATAGGTCTTTACTTCTGTATAGAGAAGGATAGTCTCTGATCTGAAGACCCAAAGTTTACCCTGCAGCAAATATGCCCATATATTTCTCATCATGATTTTAATAGGAGAGCCATCTAGACAACTCCAAACAAACAGATTGCTGCCTAGAAGATATTCAGACTGGGAGATGAAGGACTGATGAATGGGCTTCAGTGACCAATTCCCTCATCAGTTATCTTCCTCACTGTAAATCAATTGCAAACCAATCTCTTAAGAGTTAGCATTAGTCAGTCAGCTCCTGGTACCTTCTGAATACAAAGAAAATATCAAGACTCTGGGACTGCAGATCTCAAGATCAGACTGAATAATCTTACCCTTGATCTCACCACTTTCAAATCACAACATCCCAGACAATATCTACAATGCAAATGTTAATGAAATCATCATTACTTTCGTATTAGTACAAATAAAAAAAATCCAACCTACCAAAGCCTACACACCTACTCTAAATTTATTTAGTACTGTTTTACAGTATTTTATAAGAAAAGAATTAAAATAGGAAATATAGAGGTATACTGATTGTTAATAAGGGTATCAGAACAAAAAAATAAAACAATTATATTCAGGATGAACATTAGCTAAATCTGAATAACAGAATTCACTGACCAATTTGGTCTTCGAAGGTTTACAGGTGAAAAACAGTTCAGATGTGAAAAGGTTTACAAGTGAAAAGAAGTTCTGTAAAATCTCCAATCTAATAAGAGCACACAAAAATGCTGCTCATTTTGTTCTCACTTTCCTCAAGTTCAATTAGGTTGTCAAAATTAAAATGAGGTTTAACACAATCCAAATCTCCTCCTTTCAAGGTAGCATTCAAGATTTCTTTTATATTTTATTATATGTTGCTAAAGAAGATAGTACAGATAAAAACTGAATTGCAACATTCAAGGAATATTCATATATTCAGAGTTAAAAAATATGCTTAGCTATTTATACACACAGATGTTTAAGAGATGAATTACATGTTCTGCCTTCAAACTTAGAAATAAAAATTAAGACAAAAAAAAGAAAAAAGAAAGGAAAAAGCTGTATTATCTAATTTACCAAGACTTTTGCTTGTTCTGATATTTGTTTTCCTCTTTTGTTAGTCATCAGAATCAAGTTCTAAAGTCTTTTTCTTATTAAATTAGATAGGTGAGCTTCACTCAATTTGAGAGAAAAGTTTGAAACTTACATTAGCTTCAGGCTAATCTGTTAAATGACTAAGGCCATACTGAAAGATGTAATACATCCCCTGTCTATGACTATGGCTATGGTTTATAACCATGGACTATGGATGTCATTTAGGCTTTGTTCAGCTTATCATTTTAACCTTTGAAAATATTCCTATCAGAAACTAAAGGTGAAATGTAAAATAATTTTTTGAGCAAAGCCCACTCTTTAAATATGAGTCATTCCTCAAATGCCAGCTGTCAATTAAATGTACTGTAACAACATTACTGACAGACTTAAAACAAGTCCATTTGTCAGTTCATTACAGAAAGTTTACTTGTTTAGCTACTTTTTAAATTTGATCTGAGTTTGGGCGCATGTACATTTCTATGTGTTGGATTTCAGTTTCATCTTCTGTTTTCAGTACTTCTGTTTTTTCTTTTTTCAAATTTGGTCTCATGTGATGTTTTTTAAGTACATGGGGAAACACTTTGGTGACTTTTATCATCTTCCTCACCTTTCTCTTATACCTCTCCTTTCTCATCTCCCTCTTCCCCATTCCTTTCTTTCCTTTTCCCCATCACCCTTCTCCTCACATTTCTTTGCCTGTTCCTCCTCATCTTACTCCTCCTCCCCTACTGTTTTCCCATCCCCCTTTCACCATTGTACCAGATGTACAACTCCTGCTTCAGTGACAGCATCAATAATTAAGAAAATGAAACAAGAAAACAGCTGATGTGAGCTCAGATGAGAGATCTGCAGATGAATAAACACGGTTTGCTTAGAATCTCATTTACAATGTGTAATAGCCAATATCAAGGAATAAATATAGCAAAGAGCCTTTATTTATGTATGTGTGTGGGAGTGTAATTACATGCACATGTTCATATTTAGATAGCTTGAAAATCATACAAGCAAATATTAGTGGTTTTACACTTAATATCTTCCAGGGGAAAAAATGATGATTTTGCTGCTAACTGAATGCAGTAATGTAATTTCACATGAAATCCATAACTTGGAAAAAGGAAACATTAATATCAAATATGGGTACCATATAATTGTGCTAAACTAGGAGAAGTCTCTGCTTTTTAGTTTTCTGTTAAAGTTTTATTCCCAGAGCAGAGAACTGCTAAAGCTGTCAGCAGCTGCACAAACACTGTCCTCATTTCATTTAAGGATAGTCACACATCAAAAGATGCCTTCCTGAGCACCCTATGGTCTCATAAGAATGAAAAGTCAGAGTTAGTAATGCAAGATGTTAGATAGTAAGTCCAATGATTTAGAATCATTGTTTTATTTTTATGTGTTTTGGTAAAAACTTCATTTTGAAAATGTGCCAAAAGCATCGAACACAAAAAACAAAATATGACTATAGTTCTGTATCTAAATTAATGTATTAATTAATAGACTTCATTTCCTTTATGTAGTTTAGAGGAAAAGTCTTTGTCACTCCAAAGAATTCACGCAAATGCTTGTAACAACACTAGCATAGAGCCCATATATTATGGGGGAAAAAAGGAAAGGGGAGCAAAGGAGGAACAAAACAATGTAATTCTTGTGTATACCTTATAATGCGACCAGATTCTTCTCTCAGCTTTTGAAATTTTGCAAAGTGAGACTATATCTCAGCTTCCAAAATAGCAAACTTTGTTAACTATAAAACTAAAATGATATAAACAAACAAGTTACCTTAGAGAGTTGTTTTTCTGGAGAATTAACATCATTCATTCATTCAAGCAATGTATCTACTATGTAGTAAAGAACACTACAGTTAGTGCAAAGAAGCTATGAGGAAGCCTAAGACAGCAGTAGTCCTTTGTTAATTTACAGTAGAGGACAGAGAAGATCAATACAAATATAATTATTATAAGAACTGTTTGATTAAAAAATGGTAGCTGATCTCTTATCTGGCATGATACAGAGGCCAAAAGATGGATCTGGAGTTAGGCAAACTTGATTTTGAATATCTATTCCACTACCTGTGTGACCAGAGAAAAATTATGTAAACTCATTTATAAAATGGGATAACACAACTTAAAAATTTTCAATGAGGATTAAATATGAAGCTACATATATTTTGCCTTAAAATATATGATATGTAAACCTAGCATGGTGGCACACACCTGTAGTCTCAGCTACTCAGAAAGCTAAGGTGACAAGATCACTTGAGCCCAGGAGTTCTGAGCAGCATAGCTAAATCCTGTTTCAAAAAAAAAAAAAAAAAGTGAAATGAAATACATGACATGTAAACCCTTCTATACTGCCTAGTCTGTAACAGACATTCAACATGTGGCAGTTATCTTTTGTGATTAAAGTGGTAATGAAATATTAGAAACATTAAAATTTAAATAAAAAATTAAAATCCAGAAAAAGTTGATAAAATTAACATTTATAGGTGCCAGCATTGCTTTGACAATTTTTTAAAAACATGCTGATATTTATTGTGAACATATTAAAATTTGGATAATTTGCTGTGTAATGAATTCGATTTTGAGAGTTTAGTACTCACATTTGAAAAATTTACAGTGGAGAGTACATATTCTGAAAATCCTAAAATGGCAATACAAAAATTGTAATCATATATGTTCTCAACTGCATCACACAGGCTGAATGACTCATTTTGTAGGAAAGGGTTTAATTACCAACATTTTGCCTATGCCATGGAAAGACAATCCTAGGATCATTCTATTATGGTAGTTATTGGCATATACCATAGACTGAGTAGGGAGAAAGCCAGCCAGTATTATTAGCCTGGCAAGCAATAAAAGAAAAGTGATAGTTTTTCTTAAGCACAACATTTTATATTTTTAGCAGAAGATTGTATGACTTAAATTATAAATCTAAATATGTTATTTGAGCTGTCAATATTTACCAATCTTTATTTTATATATTTTGGTATAGCAAAAAGCTCTCATAAAATGAACCAATGTGAAGCCAGGCGCGCTGGCTCACACCTGTAATCCCAGCACTTTGGAGGCTGAGGCAGGTGGATCACCTGAGGTCAGGAGTTCGAGACAAACCTGGCCAACATGGTGAAACCCTCTCTCTACTAAAAATACAAAAATCAGCCAGGCATAGTGGATTATGCCTGTAATCTCAGCTACTAGGGAGGCTGAGACAGGAGAATCGCCTCAACCCAGGAGGCGGAGGTTTCAGTGAGCCGAGATCACGCCATTGCACTCCAGCCTGGGTGACAGAGCGAGACTCCATCTCAAAAAAAAACAAAAGAAAAGCACCAATGTGATCTGTCACACCCAAAGGGGCACTGCATATAATATAAACAGTGTACGATTGGGTGGAACAGACTTTAAGTGGCATAATGAGTTCAGGTGAAGACAGTTACCAGAAGATGAAAAATGATAATGATACAAAAGGCTAGTGCATGTCTAATTTTAATCAACAAAGGGGAATGAATTATCATGTATCTTAACTTCGTTTTGCCCTTCTATATTCTACCCTGTACTGTTGGGTTTTACATACGTATATGTAGTGTATATATATATTATATATACACTATTATACATATATATATACATATATAATATATATATACACTACATATATAAATATGCTGAATATTGTATTTCCCTGACTCCTTTGCCAATTATCTTTCTCTTTACCCAACTGGAGAGACTGGAGGGAAATATAAAGATGGCAGAAGAAAGAAGCATTGTGGTTCAGGCTTCTTCAGTGTACTCATGTAGCAGTGAGGGCAGGGTAAAGGGCTGGTAGCCTCCGGCCAAAGGTATTATCAGCTTCCTAATTTTTAGGACCACACATGTTCTTTTCTTTGCTCTTCTTGTTCATCCAACAACTTTATAACAAATTCCTTGTAATTATTTTCCTCTGTTTGAAATATTTGAATGATTCCTGACTTTGTAATGTAATCGGTACAGTTGATGAACTTGTATATCATGCCGATATCAACTTAGCGAATCTTAAAAAACAGGAAGGATAATCAGGAATGAGGAGTTTGTGTAAAGTCAGATTCAAACGTCATATTCAAATTGTAGTAAACAAATTTCAAAGAGTTCAGAAAAAAGTAAAAGCTAACCTCAGCCTCTTAAAATGAATATAGCACCAAGCCCTCAGGCATTTCTCAAGGAGGAAGTTACTATACTGATGTTGCAATTGTCAAGGTACACTTTCTATAAAGGTGAACCCATATGAAGCACAAACTGTGTACCTCAAGCTGGCACCAGCAAATAAAAAGAATGTTAAAAATAATAATAATGATAATATACCTGCTACCTAGAAACCTAAAGTAGGTAAGAAAGTGGGTTTTCTTAATAAAAACCACTTTTTTTTTCCTAACCCTAACTTTAACTCTAGCCCTAAATCAATCTCCCTCTCTCTCTCTCTCTCTCTCTCTCTCTCTCTCTCTCTCTCTCTCTCTCTCTTAAACTAGGGAGGTAAAAATATCTGGAATGGTTACTCCCATGTCCTCTAAGTCTGCCTCTAGGTTTCAGAGATAGCCCTAGAGGATACACGCATTAGCTCTTTGAGTGAATGAGGCCAGCATATGCTTCATGATAGATAATAATTTTGTTGGTGACGTCTTTTTAAATTTTCAGCTCCTGCTACATTTCTTCTTCCACAAAACTCACACATAATACCGAATGTTTAAAGAATTACTCCTTAATCATAACTTTATATCCATAGAAGTCTGAGTTCTGTGGGCTTCAAGAGAAGCTCACAAAATTCCACTTCTCTAGAACAAATGAAGTTTCTCTAAACCCACAAAGTGGATCTAGGCAAATTCATAATCTTTAAGTGTTCATCTCCATCACCCACTCCTAAGCATGATAAAAACTTGCTCTATTCATGGGGTTATCATTGTGGTTTCTAAGTTTGGCATCAAGCCTAGAATTTACTATCTTCATATCACTTTTCTAAGGAAGATGATAGCCCAGGTGAAAGAAATCCCCATAAGAGCAAGACTTGTTCCTGTACCCCTTCTCAGCAGGCCTTCTCTCAGGTCTGATACGTGAGAACTGCTGTTTACTTAAGAGTCATTGATGGCAAATTCTTGCCATGTCACTGAAACTGAAAGATGTTTAGGAAAAAAAAACTCATGTGTTTGAGCTGATAAATGGTTTAAAACATTTGTGTACATATTAAAAACTATAGAGCTGTAGTTGAATGCACAATTTTTATGAATTTTTACTTAAAAAAGATTATGTCACTGCATTTTGCCTATTTGTCTTTGTTTACTTTATCAAGGAATTTCAGATTATGTTTCTAGACTGGCAGAAATTATCTTTATCCAATCACTCCATTAGAACACTTTTGTAAGAGAAAAAAAAAGGCAAAGTTCTATCACCTTCGTTGACTATAAATTATTTAAAGCTGCAGATGCTTACAAAATTAGCTTATTTAGTTCTGATATTTTAAAAATTCAATTTATTTGCTCACATATGACTCCACTGAGTTTAATGCTTGCGAAACAGGGAGAGAGTTTTTTTTTTGGTTTTGCTTTTTTGAGACGGAGTCTTGCTCTGTCGCCCGGGCTGGAGTGCAGTGGCGTGATCTCAGCTCACTGCAACCTCCCACTGCCGGGTTCAAGCGATTCTCCTGCCTCAGCCTCCCAAGTAGCTAGGACTACAGGCGCGTGACACCATGCCCAGCTAATTTTTTTTGTATTTTTAGTAGAGACGGTGTTTCACTGTGTTAGCCAGGATGGTCTCGATCTCCTGATTTCGTGATCTGTCCATCTCGGCCTCCCAAAGTGCTGGGATTACATGCGTGAGCCACCGCACCTGGCCGGGAATTTATACAGTGGTTTGAAGAATGACCTCGTGATCTGCCCATCTTGGCCTCCCAAAGTGCTAGGATTACAGGCGTGAGCCACCGCACCCGGCCAGCAATTTATTCAGTGGTTTGAAGAAAGCTTTACCATGGTAACATGCAAGCTGATTTTGCATCTGGTATAAAAATGGATTTTAATTTTCTATTTTATAAATAGGGTAAAAATATTTCTGGACTTGGCAAGGTTGCTAATGAGAAAAAAACTTAAAATACTAATATAAGCCTTGCTCCAAACACGTTAAGGGTTTCATTCACTTATTGAAAATCTTTTAACATCTTCAAAGTTAGTGAGAGTTAGAAATGGAGTTGAAATGGGTTTGATGATGTCTAGAAAAATTGGCAGTCAATATTTATCTTAGACATTTTAATTTTTTTGTTGCTCAAATTTTTAAATTTATACAAGAAGAAATGCAAAGTAACTATCATTTGGAAAAATTGCTGCTCAAAATGTGGTCTGCTAGCTGTCTCCTGGGAACTTGTTAGAAAGGCATATTCTGGGGCTTCTATAAGTCTTAGGGAATCAGAATGTCTGGGAGAGGCCCAGAAATGTGAGCTTAACAAGTCCTGTAGTTGACTCTGAAGCCCATTTAAGTCTGAGAAGTTCTCATCTAAATGTTGCTGCATTTCTCCTGAGTCACTTGTCAGTATTCAAATCTAATTCATTAAAGTGAAAGTTAGTCTTTTAAGATACTATCTGGTAAATCTCCTTACTCCTGTTATATGATAAAGAGCCTACAATTTACAATGGTAACAGCCTTTTAAGAAGGCAGTATGTCATGGTTTATTGGCATATAAGAACACTGGAATTTCACTGGACCAAAAGAAAAAGAGAGATGGACATTCTGTTGCTCTATTACCCGGTATTAAATCAAGTTTAGCCTGAAACTACCTCCTTACATATTTTAAGTTTAGCCTGAAGGTTTACATAGGTAAACTATAACCTAAATGAAAGTGTAAATGGACTGTAACCTACTCTTGTGTCAATCACTGAGTTATGGCCAAAGTGGACCAACTGTTTAAACCATGTTCAAATAAGGCAAATGCCAAGCTGTAATCAATCCTGCTGTTTCTGTGTCTCACCTCTTTTCTGTACCTCACTTTCGTTTTTCCATCTATAAATCTTCTTCCACCATGTGGCTGCACCGGAGTCCCTCTGAACCTACTCTGGCTTGGGAGGCTGCCCAATTCACAAATTTTCTTTGTTCAATTAAACTTTTAAATTTAATTTGGCAAAGATTTTTGACACTAGGAAAGACTTACAGTTGAATGAATCTCAAATACTCATGGATGTGTCTAAATCCTCTCCATCCTTGATCACCAGATCTTGAGCTTCATAAAATCTTTCCATGGAGATAACAGTTTTCATATTAACTTTAAAAGTTACACGAAATCTATTGAATCAGTCTGTAAAGACTCAAACAGGTCCATGCTTTTTCTAATTTAATGTATATTAAAATTTTTATATTGGTGACAATATGGTCCAAAATAAACAAATTCATATTTGATTATATTCTCAGGCATTTAAATTGATTCAGAAAACTAAAGTAGAAGGTTTAATGTGCCTTATGCCTGAAGACTGATCTTTTAAGTGGTTTGGATGTTAATCATCAAGACAGCAGAGGAAGTACTAGATTTCTAGCAAAAACAAAGCTGTGGAATAAAAGCAAGTTATGTTAGACCTCTGCTGATTCCAAAGTTATTCTGTTGAAGTAATTTATAATGACCAACCAATTAATTTAATTTAAAGTAATCATAGAGCTGGTCATAATTTTTTGAAATTACAATACAGCATTTATTAATTTAGTACATGGTTATATAGCAAAAATGAATGTAATGCTATGTTTAAATTATTAATTTAAATAATAATGAAACTAGCCAACAGTTAATTACAGATCATGTCATCTTATCAATAATTAGGAATATAAAATGTCATCAAGAGCCACTTACTTTAGTTATATTTGCCTAATGTCTGTGTTTAGGCCCTGTTCTATTTTATATGCTTATATTCTCAAAATTATTCCTGAACTTGAATTTCAAAGGCCAAGAAGCTCTGTTTCAAGGATCGACATTCATGACTTTTTTTCAGAGTAGAGTTGAATCGCAAATTATAATAAAAAAGAATTGTGTATTTTAAAATGTGTTACCAATGGATAGTAAGAATATGTGTGACATTTGCTTTTTATGTATTTCAAATAATTTTTCTAAAATAATGGTACAATATTTATGAATAGGGTAGAAGTATTTAAAAACAGACATGGTCTCTCATTCCAGGAAGTGCTCCCCTGTCTACTTGGTCTTTTTCAATTTAAATTACCCAATAGCAACTTTTGTGAATATTGAGCAGAGTTGAAGAGAGGATAAATGGAGCCTGAAACCTAGGATGACTCATAGTTATTTGTCACTGTCTTAAAGCCAGTTTTGTCCCTTTTGTCATGGACAATGCATTACCTAACTACGTAAGTCTGAAGACAGTGTCCCACTCTCTCTAAAGATTTAGTTAATTAATTCTACATAATATCTCCTTGCTGTGCATTGATATATGACCTGGCTTTGTAAAGTAGATATTGGTGTTTTATTTGGCATTTAAAGTGGTACAAAACAGAAGTACTAGACAGAAGTAAAGAATGGATAGAAGCGTTAGAGGCTTTGAAATCAAATGAAACTTGGTTTAGATTGGGAACTTTGTTAGTTGTCACCCTTTGGCCAGTTATTTAAGTTTCTGAGATTTTAAGCTTATGAGATTTAAGATGGAATGTTGTACAGATTCAGTTAGACAGTTTACGTGAATTCTTAGTAAAATGCCTAGCATGTAATAGATGCTCATTCAATTATATTTATTACTCTTCCTAATTTTAAGCATAATGGCATAATCTCAGCAGAGATAACTTTAATACCTTCTAAAAAATGTCATTTGCTACTTTAGTATTATGTATTTCCCAGAGGAGCAGAGTCATAGTATGACCTCATCTTTCAAATCCCTTACGTATTCCCAACTAGGTCTACATGAGGCAAGGATATCCAAGCTCATGACTTTATTACTTCTAAATGTTTAGAACATTCACTTGCTCATTCAACCAACATTAATAATCACAACATGTCAGTTGCTGAACGAGGCTCTGCATATGCAAAGATTGAAGATAGCTCCAGTGAAGTCCCTATCAAGTGCTTGGGCATGCCATGAAGATGTTTTATTGTTAATTGTCCCATCCCATATATCTGGATTATAACAACTGAAGAGTAGGTACATGACTTTATGCTTCATTGAAAGTATTGTCTTCTCGACATGAATATTGCTTTATAATGTTTATTATCCAGTTGATTAAATCTTATATGCCATTATGAAGACCAAATAACAAATATATATTCTTCATACCTATGCCTTATTATTTTTTCATGAGTCAAAGAATAAACATTTATATTTTAATGCAAACATTTATTAGCCCAAAAGAATGAAAAAGAAATCTATAAGCCATCGCAATTCAGAGTAGAACAATTTATAATTTCTAAAATAGTGTTTATTATAACCATTTAAAGGAGAGAAGCTCTTTGGAAAAACAACAATGCATATAACAGAAAACTGTAAAAACAAAAATGTTCATTTTCATTTGCTTTAATAATGAATTTGAAAACTACTGGCAAATAAAAATTGGCACAATTTTCTTTTTTCTAAAAATGGAAGCTTTATCTAAAAGAATGCCTCTATTTAGTGAGTGATTATACTGCATGGAAGTATACAATGTCTCTGAAACCACAGATGCTTACGGGGTTAGGATTTTGGGCACATATTTTGTTGAAATATGCCAAATAGGTGTTTTTAAAAATGTGTTCCATTCTATATCCAGTCAGGAGCCATATTTGGTATAGCTTAAGTGTAAAAGCAAATGTCATAATAAGCTAGAACATTGTTTATGTTTTTCTACCTTGCAACTCTCCTGTAGTCAACACTGTCAAGAACTCTCTCCTTTCTTAGGAGAGTTGAGAGTAGTAAGTGCTGCCCAATGACCAGAACATTGCGTCAGTTATGTGTAAGTTTTGGCCTTATGACACAAGCATGCTTTGGGAAAGAAGGGTTAAATGTCACTGCAAAATGATTTCTAGTCACTTTATGCTTCTGGGGACAGAGGGGAGAGAGGGAAAAGGTGTATGAAAACATTGACCAGAGTTGATAAGCCAAGTCAGTGAGAAGGTCATGAAGGTGGTGAACTGTTCACTTTCTCCCCCAACCCCTAAACCCCTGACCATGTTTGGGCATTGCAAATGGTGTGATCAGGGTTTTTCATTCTACAAACTGGCCTACAGAACAAGGCAGCAATAGGGTTGATGGACATTACTATGTTTATAGTCTTGAAAGTTGAATTAGAGGTCATGATTTAAAGCAATAGTAAGAAATCAATGGTGCACAGCTACTTGGGCAGATGGCCACACCACTAAGAAAGCATCAAGGGTTCTCTCAGAGAAATGTTCATCATGCAATTCCTCTTTCCATCTTTTTCTGTTTTTAGTTTATATTCATTTTTCTTAATATGTATTCTATACTTTATTTTCCCCATTATTTCTTCCTTTTGTTGACATTACCTGTTGATTTATCCATTTATATTTTCATAATAAAAAAACTTAATCCTTAAGTTTATTTTGTTTAAATAATCTGCTATATCGAATATTATATATCAATAATTTATATGAATGCATGATTTTTGTATATTTAGTTGCACTCCATGTATGAGTCCTATTAGAATTGATTTTAATAGAGTATTAAAAGATAGACTTTGGTAGATTTTCATTAAATTTACAAAAATTTGAAAACCTGAACAGTGCTAATATTCAATCAAGCAACGATGTAAAATATTTATTCCCTTTGAAGTATTTCAAAGAGTTATTAAGGTGGCATTCAATGACTTACCAATAATCTTTTATGATATCCTCTTTAAAAAATATTGATGGGGACATTTTGAGGCACAAGTGAGTACATCTTGCTATGGTAGATATTCAGGGCTTATAAGTTCTAGTTTTGAATGTAACAAGTGATCATAGGCAATTTACTCACCTTCTCCAATAAGCTTCTTTATGAATAGACTGTAGCCCATGTCTAACTTATGTGCAATTCGTATCAGGTTTGTGGGATTATTTAAAACGATGCATGTAAAAGAGTTTAGGAACTGCAACATAAAACAAATTACTGATGCACTGTTGTTCTCTTATTAAAAAAAAAAAAAACTCATTCTTGAAGTTAGTTTTCCATTCTCCTCAGAGAAAACAGTGTGGTGTTTAAAATAAAGAACACACACACACACACACACACACACACAATCATAACACATTACTCCCCTCCTTAAAACATTTTAATGACTTGCTATAAAGTTTAGGAAAATAATAATACCCCTCACTATGGTCTACCATGTCCTACCTACATTAGCCAGTTTTACCAGTCTCTCCAATTTCAGCTCTCTTGCTCATTGTTTTCTATCCACAAAGCCCCCACTTCTGTCTTTCAAAAAACCAGACTCACAGTCTTCGCTCTACTGTGTTAAAAGAAAACCTGCAGAAAAGTTAAATGTAATAGAGTTTATTTGAGCAAAAGATGATTCATAAATGAGGCAGCACTCAGAAGTAGAAGCAGTTCAGAGAGTCCAGCTTTATAGACTTTATGATATATAATCCAAGATATATATCAATAATTTATATTTGGGTGTATTAGCTTTGCATTCATGAATTTTTTTTGGGGGTGGGGGGCGGTTTGAATGCATGGAGTTTTGCATGGAAGCTAAGTAGAGAAATCACCTACCCAACCACAGCTAGACATCTGCCTTATTTGGGCACAGTGTGATGAGTGGCTGCCTGTGATTAGAAGAAACCTGGCTGCTTGTGATTAATTACAACTCAGTAGTTACACTCCTAAGTTGGTTTTGGTTTGTTTAGTACTGTCAGGTTGCAGTTTGTTTGTAGGAACTCAAAGCACAGATGCAGCCTCCAGGTAATGGCCTCTCACTTATTTAACAAATGCTTTCCTCTGCTTAAAATCCTCTGCTTTAGATAAAGCAGTGAGTGCATTCCTCACTGTTTTATCTAAAATAATCACCACCAACCCTCACCAACCCTTAAAACACCTCACTCTTCTTCCAATAAATTGTAATTTGCAATTATTTGATCTACTCATTTGCTTACTATTCTTTATGCCCTTCCCACTAAAATAGTTATTACATTTATATAACAAAACTCAGAAGTAGAAAAGACCACACCACACTGTATCAAGTGCCACATTATGTGTGAAAATATATTCATTACGGCCCGGAGCGGTAGCTCACGCCTGTAATCCCAGCATTTTGGGAGGCCAAGGCGGGCAGATCACGAAGTCAAGAGATTGAGACCATCCTGGCCAACATGGTAAAACCTCATCTTTCTAAAAATACAAAAATTAGCCAGGCATGGTGGCTCACACCTGTAGTCCCAGCTACTTGGGAGGCTGAGGCAGGAGAATCACTTGAACCTGGGAGGTGGAGGTTGCAGTGAGCCAAGATCATGCCACTGCACTCCAGCCTGGCGACAGAGCGAGACTCCACCTCAAAAAAAAAAAAAAAAAATTATCCAAAGATAAAAAACCATTCAAATCTCACCCTATTGGTCCAGAGGGACCTGAGGGAAAAAAATTAACAGAAAGAGAAATAGAAATGTACTTGTCTTTCTTCACCAAATCTTATCTATCAGCTGAGTAGCCCTATTCAACCCTAGAGCCTTGTATCATGGTTCAGAAGCGTGATTAGAGAAAAAAAAAAAAGGAGGGCTTACAAGTATTTATCTTCACCTATAGTGCACTAAAAAATGAAATAACCAAAAAAGGGTTGATGAATTTCATTATTTGACATTTTAAAGTTTTTTCTTTAAAAACATAACTGCTAAATAGCTTGCTTTCCTCAAAATAGAGTGATTAAACCAGCTCTATAGTCAGTGTTATTTCCATGATAAAGTCTTGAAATTCACAGACGTAATCCTCACATTTGGGAATATGCTGTAAGTGCCCAGTAATTCTTAAGTATAATAATTTGTAATTGCTGAGGCATAAATTACAATCCTGTGTAAAAACTCTCCCGGAGTAAGTGGTTGACACTGTAATATCTGAATATAATGAGGCTTTGTACGAGACTTTGCACATCAACAGGGATACAGAACTTATCTACATAAAAAAAGCTTTATAAAGGACTTTCATATTATTTATATCAAGGGAGAGTAGCAGAATGCCCAGTTCCACCCTAGAGTCACACTCTCGGTGCACATTATATTCCTTCCACTTACTAAGTAACCATATTGGGTGAATTACTTAACTTCCCTGAACCTCAGTTTTCTTAATTTTAAAATGAGAATAACAATAAAATCCACTTCATGGGGTTGTTGTGAGGGTTAAAAAAGGTGTGAAGTAATGCATAGCATGTAGTTAGTTATCCATAAATGGTAGCTATTATTGTCACTTAAAAGTTGACGATGAGGATGCAAAAATCATAGATAGTCAATTATTTTCCACTATATTTTATTTGGAAAATACTATTCTATAGTTGTGCTTGAAGTGAGTCCTGCTGCTTTGATGTATAGACTGTTTGTTAAAATAGTAATAAAATAAATGCTTTTTTTTTTTTTTCTGGCAGAGTCTTGCTATCGCCCAGGCTGGAGTGCAGTGGCGCAATCTCGGCTCACTGCAAGCTCCACCTCCCAGGCTCACACCATTCTCCTGCCTCAACCTCCCAAGTAGCTGGGACTACAGGTGCCCGCCACTGCGCCTGGCTAATTTTTTTGGATTTTTAGTAGAGACAGGGTTTCACCGTGTTAGCCAGGATGGTCTTGATCTCCTGACCTCACGATCCGCCCACCTCGGCCTCCCAAAGTGCTGGGATTACAGGTGTGAGCCACTGCGCCCAGCCAATAAATGCGTTTTTATTTATCAGATCAAAGATTAAAAAAAAAAAAGGTTAGAAGAGTAATAATGGTTTGGCTTTACTTAAATAAGAAAAAATATATAATAATAAAGGACAGGGCAGTTGTGGGCAGCCTGGTTTCATTTGCTAGTTTTTATGTTCTAGATATTAAGAAAACCATTTCCTTTGTATATGCAATTGATAAATTGAAAGAGAAATATTGAGAGTTTATAAATATATATTAGAATTTTTTTCAATGACAGAATTTTTCTAACGCAATGCAGAACACTTCCAAACTCATTACTGAATAAAATAGATAATGAATTCTCATTGAGATAATCTAGTGTCAAATCCACTTAAAATCACAAATGTTCATAGTTACCAAAGATTTCATACGGAGATTCAAGTAGGAATGAATTTTGATTAATTTAGATCCAGATGGGCCATCTCTGTTGATAGTATGTGATCTAATATCTTCTAGAATGGTCAACTTTGTAGACCCTAGTAGAGTTTTTATGACTGTCACTAATAGTGACTAAAAGTTTTTACTTACTGACAGTTTTAAAATATGGTAACCACCATGCTAGACACTTCACTTGTAAACTTTTTCTATGACTGAGGATAGTGGAAGTCCAGAGAGGTTTAGCAACTTGCCCAGAGTGACACAGCTAGTAACTGGTAGAGCCAGGCAACCTGACTCCAGAACCCCTGCTCTGCCCAGCACATGTATACTAGGAGAACAAGTGCTTAGGGGAGCTTTCTGGTTAATTTGAAAGGATAAACTGCCTTGAACTTCCTTTAAACTTTTTCTAGGAACAGTTGATCAATGGAGGCTAATGGGAACATGCTTTTCATTATTTGGACACTTAACCATAGTTAGTACAAATACATCTTAGGATGGCAACAACATAGAACTAACAGTATAATAACAATTAAAATGGGACTGTCACTTTTATATTTTTAGAATTTTATGTACATAATTAAGAAACAGTAGTTCCCTTTTATTTCATTATGATGATTTATACAAGAGTTAAAGCAATCAGGTTAAAAAAAAAGGTGGGGGGGAATTTTCTGAAAAAAAAAAAAATTTAAGTTCATTGAATGCCTAGAGTCATTATTATTACTATGATTTCCTATAGATGCATAATTACAATTATTGGATTTTCTGAACATGGCGCAGGCCAACTAAGCTTCATGTTTTTATAATAGCTAACTTTTTTTACTGTTTACTATGCACTAGGCACTGAAGTAAATAGGCTCTTTCATTGAATCACCATAACAGACTAAGAAAATAAGACACGAGGAACATGTCCATTTTAAATTTAAGGAAACTGTAACCCAGAGAGGACAAGGCACATCTCCCACAGCTAGTAAGTGACAAAGCTAAGCTTTGAACTCCTCCTGTAAGTCTCTCACTAGAGCCAAGACTAATATTAATAAATAGGCATTCTGTAGAAAGAACTACCTCCAAAGATTGTATGCTATTTTGTCACCTTCAGAACAGCTTTCCATGAATTAATTCATCACTTACTCACAAGAGCTGCCTGATATACACAGAAGAAATTAAGAAACTGAGTTTCAGAAAGGTTAAGGATTTGCCAAAGATCACAAGGATTTTAAAGTAGTAACACTCACACTCTTGACCAGATTTTATGTCTCTTTGTTCCACAGTTTTCTAACATAGAAGCTTCTTCCTTGGATGACAATAACCAAATGCTTGTATTTTAGTACAAGTCTTAGGCTCTTGCTTTGATTTAGCTGTTGAATTCTGGCCACACAAAGTACAGCTGCTGCTTCTCAGAGACTTCAGCTCTTTTTTGACCTTGGCAACGTAATTCAAGTAGAGCGAAAGTCAACCACAAATGTTTATCCATCTGCCCAGTTATTCTCCATTCCCTCCCGGCTCCGACTCCCTGTACACCCAGGGTTTCCCTATGGACCTCACATGTGTCTTGCCCCAGTACAATCCCACATTCAGAATTTAAATTAGGGTCTGTTGAAGACTGTTGGTCTTCTCTGTGTTTTTTCCTGTTGCATTTTGAAAAATAAACAAGTTCTTACGATTAAAGTATAACAATCTTATTGTCCTCTCCCATTGTATTATGGTTGCTATGTATTTGTAAACTTCCAAGTTCTCCAATTTTTCTCTATACTTTTAGCACTTTGAGGTTATTTAGCAGATACAATTTTATTCTAATGCCACTCAACAAGACAATTTTCCCCAAAAGTCTTTATTTTTTAAATTCATTATTAATCATGATTGACACTGCCTTCTGCTGTTTTAAAATCCCTCCAAATTACCTCAGAATCAGCTCATCCATTTTTAGTGTTATCATTCTCGTTTAATGACATGTTACAGCAAAATATTTAGCTTCTACAAAAAGAAAGAATGTAAGAAGAGGAAGGCACACTTTTCAGTTGAGTCCTACATTGAGCAGTGAAGTAAGTAATTTAGTGCCACTGATAATGTCACAAGACCCCAACATCCAATATACGTTTTTTAAAATATTTTATCTCTTATCAATATTTATGTACACATAAGCTCCAGAACTGCTGGTATTGCCCTTCATATTTCACACTGGTTGTTATTTCATTCAGCCAAAGAGGTGCTTCAGAAACAATAAATTATATTGCTTTTTACCATATTTTTATAATAAGCTGTTAGGTTAACAGAGCAGTTACTCCAAATAATGAATGTACCAGAAATAGCACTTCGTTATACTGATTGCATTATATGTAAATTCTAATGAAGGACAATTTCTAAATATACAGAGGCTTGGGGAAGGAGTGTCTGTTTAAATTTCTTTTTAAAATCATTGCTGAGAATGAGTAGAATGATAGAACTGGGAACAAATTGGGGATATTTATATTCTAAATCTAAATCTGATAGGGAGCTTCACATTGTTTTGCTTATTATAGAGCCAAACTGAGAAGGCCAGGTATCTGCAACAGTGGCCAAAGAGGTGTGAAACAAGTTTGGTCAGACTGTCTTCAGGGTCCAAACCTGTGATAAAATCTGTCCACACTCAGTCCACCTAAGGGCTCCTGAGCCAAAGGAATGCGTTTGCCTCCCAAGCCCTTGGAATAATAGACTTAGAGTACAGAAATAATATAAAGAGAATATTGAAATTACCTGTAATTCATTCAGCGATGACCACTGACATCAGTCAACATTTTAGTGTATTTTTAAAGTTATGACTATAAAATTGATATGGGTGTCAACTGATAAAATCTTTTAGATACTAATTTTTCAATAAACATCAGTATCTTTCAAAATGATGCAAAAATTACACTTCTAGATAATTATCTTCAAGAACTAATCAGAAATCCGCAGAAAGATTGTATATGTGTAAATGTGCAGTGATACACAATACAGGTTTGTGTGTATTAACATATTTTTGCATACACACAAATATATACATATTTTTCACCTACCATAAGAGCTTTTACTCAAATTCTTAGTCATAATTCTATATGATTTAAATGACTACATAATACTGTATATGTAGACATGCCATAACTTATGTAACTGGTCTTCTGCCATTGGACTTCACATTGTTTCCTCTTTACTTCATAAATAACAATGTAAAATATTATTCTTGTGGATACGCCTGTGTATGAGTCTCTAATTCTGCATTTTGGATAAAACTTTATACAAGTAACTGCTGGCTAAGTACATTCTGAAGGTTTGTAGGACAACTTATATTTAAACTACCAGTATACAAGAATGCCATTTTCTTCACACTGAGGATAGTACCATAAAAATAAACAACAGCACAAGGTATACTAAAGATAAATATATATGATATATTGCTGTTTAAATCTTTGTTTCTTTAAATCTTTCCTGATGTATTATTGTTTGCATTTTTGCCCTCCTTATGTTTGTTGATCACTTGTATGCCTCCCCTTTTATTGCTTAGTAAATTGACATTCGTGTTCCTTGCCAAGTTTTCCAACATGCTCTTAAATTTTTTGGTTTTATATTCCTGGAAATATATTATCATTGTCTATTAATAATTTTGACACTGTGTTACATTTTCAGCAGTTTGATACTTGTGTTTTTGATTTTTATACACAAACACTTCTTGATAAAATATAGTCATTAAAGCCACATTCTGGGATGTAGAAGTTTCAATATGTAAAGCATTTTTCTACCAATTTGTTCTGTTTAATAAAGAAAAAAATTATTCGTTTCCTTGGAAAAGGAGTTTTACTTATAAAAACTGCTTTAATAGAGATATCTTGGCATTGCATTCTTTCTTTTCTCATTTTCCTAGTGCCTTACCAATCCACATCACTCACAGCCAACACATTTCACCAGGATGCATATTATCAGAAAAGCATTAAAGAAGATAGAGGGTGATCTAATGTTTTACTCAGTTTGGGTTGCTATAACAGAATAATATAGATTGAGTGGCTTATAAGCATAGAAGTTTATTTCTCACAGTTTTGGAGGCTGGGAAGTCCAATATCAATGTGCAGGCAGATTCAGTGCCTGAGGAAGGCCCACTTCCCAGTTCATAGGTGGCCGTCTTCTTGCTGTGTCCTCATATGGTGGAAGAGGGGAGGAAGTTCTCTCAGGCTTCTTTAATAAGGTCATTAAACCCACTCACCAGGGCTCCACCTTCATGACCTAATCACCTCCCAAAGGCTCCATCTCCCAACATCATTACAGTGAGGATTAGGTTTCAGCATATGAATTTTGGGGCGACACAAACAGTCTGTAGCACCTAAATATAAATGATTGTTTGTCTCAATTCTGACTTTCTTAACCCAAGGCTATTGATTTCTAACAAATATAATATCAGTTAATTTGTATAGTAATAGTTTGCTTTTATGTGTAATATATTTTACCAATACTGTTGAATTTACATAGTATAGAAGATATTATGTCTCCATATTTCCATTAGAACATGAAAAGGTAATAAATATCACTCCCTCTCCATTCTCTAAAACAACAAAAGAGACAAATGTTTTGGTAAACTGCATTTTATTTCTAAAACGTTATGGTCTGAATTTAAAACATCCTTGATGAATTTCTCACCTTCTTAAAATTTTTTGATGTACAATTGATTCTCCTGTTTAAAATGTCTAATTTATTGTTCTGATACTCTGCAAAATTCCAGTTAAATTAATTATTGGCTTGAACTGGGTTTAATGTTGGGCTGCTACTGTGCAAAAGAGTGACAATTCCTTCGTAATTGTAGTGGAACGTTCAACCTTCCAACTAATAAGAAATAAAAGCATATAAAAGTGAAGAGATGCAACTGGCTTCAGGACAGGGACATCCTGGGAATCAGATTATGTTCTCCATTAATGTTAGATTTGGAGAACAAATTCACCTGTAAACTTGATGATAGTGAAAAAAAAAGGTTGTAATTTTTTAATTGTCATTTAAGTTTAAAAAGACACAATTTCTCCATTTTTATATATTTTATTACTTATTTTTATAATTAATCAGGTTTTCTTTCCTTGCAAATGCATGAATTAGTTCAATAAAGTAGACAAATATCTTGAAGAATTAAATTTACCAAAGCTGACAGAAAAAGGAACAAAAATTTTAATAGTGCATTACCTATTAGAGATGTTGAATCCGTTAAAAAGAAAAAAAAAAAAGTCAGTCCCAAATGGCTTCACAGATGAACTTCTTTCAAACATTTGAGGAAGAAATAACAATAATCTTTCACAAACTCATCAACAAAATAGAAAAAACAAAAACAAACAAAAAAAACCCTCTAATTCCTTTTTTTTTTTTTTTTTTTTTTTTTTTTTTGAGACAGAGTTTTGCTCTTGTTGCCCAGGCTGGAGTGCAATGGCATGATTTCAGCTCACTGCATCCTTTGCCTCCCAGGTTCAAGCAATTCTCTTGCCTCAGCCTCCTGATCATCTGGGATTACAGGCACCTGACACCACGCCGAGCTAATTTTTTGTATTTAGTAGAGACAGGGTTTCACCATGCTGGCCAGGCTGGTCTTGAACTCCTGACCTCAGGTGATCCGCCCTCCTGGGCCTCCCAAAGGGCTGGGATTACAGGCATGAGCCGCCACACCTGGCCCCCCTCTAACTATTTTTATGATGTCAGTATAACATCGATTCTCATACTTACAAAGACTCAAAAAGGAAAAAAAGTTACAGATAATTATCTCTCACAAACATAGATGCAAATATATTTAATAACATATTAGTGAATCAAATATGATAACATATAAAAGGAGAATTCATCACAATCAAGTGGACTTTAGATATGAAAGAATGATTTAAAAATTTCTAAATAAATCAATGTAATTTATTACATTTACTATAGAAAAGTAGATTATACAAGTGTCTCTAAGATATAGAAATAGCTTTTGAAAAAAGTTAACAGTCATGACAAAAAAAAAACTTTTAACAAATTAGAAATAGAAGAGAGCTTTCTTAATCTCTAATGAAAAATATCCACCAAAACCCCACAGCAAATGATCAATTTAAGAAACTCCTCTGAGTTTCTTAGGAACAAAACAAGAATGCCTAATAACACCACTTCTATTCCATATTGCACTGAAGTCCTAGCCAGCGTAATAAGGCAAATAAAGAAATAAAGCAGTAAGAATAGGAAAGGAAAAACAAAGTTGTACATGACATAGTTGCAGTTAAAGACCTTCTGAAGAATCTATGTATAATTAGAACTAATAAATAAATTTAGCAACATCAACGGGTATGTAAAAATAACTGAATTTTTATATACCTTCAAAAAATAATAGAAAATACTATTTAAAGAAAAGTGTTTACAGAAACATAAAGTTTTAAAAATCTAGTAATAAGCCTTAAAAAATGTATAAAAGGATATTTTCAGAGAGGAAATAAAGACCTCAATAAATAAAAAACTTTATGGTACTCATGGCAGAAAACTGAAAACTTAATATAATAAGCTGTCAAACCACCTCCCTCTCATGTTTTGCCCTTTTTGCGAGCCCACTTCCCCTTCTACTTCTATACCATGTGATGCAATCCACCATGTTAGGACATAACGGTTAGGCCCTCACCACATGCACCCACCCAATCTTGCACTTCCCTGCCTCCAGAACCATGAGCAAAATAAACCTCTTTTCTTTATAAATTATTCAGTCTCAGGTATTCTGTTATAGCAACAGAAAATGTGTGAAGGCAATTACACATCTAACAGAATGGCTAAAATGAAAGACTGATAATTCCAAATATTGATGAGGATGTGGTACAACCAAGGCTTGTCCACTGCAAGTGCAAATATAAAACAAAATAACCACTTTGGAAAATCTCTTAGAAGTATTTACATAGGATTAATATATACATACTCTATAATATAGCAATTCTGCTGCTAGGTATACACTCAATTGAAATATATATGCATTTTAACCAAAAAATACCCCTGTACTAGAATGTTCATATCAGCAAGATTCACAACAAATAAAGAGAACCTAACTAAATACCCATCAACAGAAGAATGGATAAACAAATTGTGATATACACAGGGAGTGGAATACTAAAACAATGAGAGCAAGCAGGAAAAGGTTAATGTGGTAGGCCTGGGTTACTCAAACCCTGCACATTCCAAAGAAGGTTTGTCTTCATGACTGTTGCTTGGTCAACTCCTGGGAAATAAGCTCTGAGCCCTTAAAATATCATGTGTGATAAGAGTGTTTCTGCAGGCCTGAAGGCTTGGGCCACGATGTACCAGTGTGATCAGATAAGTTTATCCTAACAATGTGACTTATAGTGAATACCTGCTTTTTCTCTGAGTAGCTAAGGTCAGTCATGCTGTCATTATTGGTCCCAGTAGAAACTCTGGACATCAAGGCTCAGGTGAGATTCCATGTGAGCCCATGCAACTCCACTAAAGGAAACACATGAAAGTGTGGGTCTGGTTTCTCCTGGACTTTGTCCCATCTGCTCTTTTCTTTTGCTGATTTTAATTTATATTTGTTTGCTACAGTATATTGTGTGTGTATAAATAGCTTCTGATTCTTGTGAGTCTTTCTTAGCAAACCATCAAGTTGGAAGGTACTCTTGGGGAACCAAGACACAATTTGATTCTATTTATATAAAGTGCAAGAGTGGACAAATTTAATCCACACTGTTAGAAGTCAGGATATTGATGGAAGGCAGTAATGGGAAGGAAAACAAAAGGTCATTCTGGATGCTGGAAAGGTTGCTTTTCTTACGCCAGAGGCTGGTTACATATGCATGAAATTCTTTGAGTTATAAAAACTGCACCCCAAAATGTATTTTTTGTGAGTTGCCAATATCCTTTAGGGAGAAACTTTTTCTCAAAACTAGTGTCTTCTGCTGGGAAGTATCATGGGATTTTTATGAAGAACAGAATGCAGAATTCCAAACAGCTTCTTGGTGGTGATGTCCCTGAATGTCAGATATGCAAAGATGAGCATCAGCCTCCTCTGAAGTATATGTTATGGAAACCTGAAACTGACAGTGTTATATTTTTCTCTTCCTTAGAGTAATCTTATACCTTTCTTATGTTTCTTACATTAATTAGCAATGTAATTTGCTTTTGCAAAGAGAGGGAGGGACAAGTTTTTACATAAATTAACAGACTTCAAAGTATTTTCCTCACACTACTTCATGAAGATACATCTGTCTGCCCCTCACTATTACCCCCATAAAGAACTCTAAAAATGGAGAGGGGAAGGGCACACATAGAAAATAGAAATAAAATAAAAATCTGTAATGCTCTTTTCTTCATTAGCATAAATTTGATTTATTGTAGGATACTGAGACACATTCATAATTCGATTTTTATGTGAGCTCCATTTTCTATCATATACGTGTTTCATTAAGACAAAAAGCCTGAGTTTTGCTGGAGAACTTACTTATCTTATATCCCAACACAAGATCAAGGAGCAAATAAATGTTGAATCAGGTTTATCAATATTATTCAATTCAGGTATTTATCTGAGTCTCTACTGATATTTATTTTCTGGTGTATATGTATGGGAAGGGGTACACTTGCTGATAATAGTAAGTATGAAGAACAGACAGTGCCTAATTTAGAGTGTCAGAATTCTTTAATGAATAAATTTAGAAGCTTGAATGTTTTGTGTTTGGCTGGGTGCCGCTTAAGATATTACCAATCATAGTCCACAAATAAAGGAGTCCTGTTAAAATGAAACATGTGAGTTGTTTGGAATTTCTTTTTTTTTTTTTTTTGGCATTTTGAATTTCTAAAATATCAAAATAATTGTGATTAATTAGGAATTGTTTGGAAAATAAATTAAATCAATTTAGCAGTCTCCAAAGTAGAGAGTTAAGAATGTAAAATAGAAAAAGAAGAGCATAATCTACATTCCCTCTAAGCCCAGTGCCAATACCCCTTAGACTGAAGCTCAGCAGAAAGAAAATTGCTTCATGTCATTTCCAAAACTCTTTTTTGAGAAATCATTATGAACACATCAGAGGGAATTATTCAAGTGCTATTATTCTTGATTCAGGTTACAGCATGCTGATGCTACCCATGCTGTGAGTTGAGTGCTTTCTGATGAGTACAGCTCTTTAAAGATAAGAACAAACCTACAGATTATCCTTCAGGTACTGAATAGTAGTTTACTCTTTAAGAAATAATATAATTGTCTTTTCAGAAAGGAAATTTATAAGAAATATCATTTTAAAAATTAAAGTAATGTGATCTTATTGGGGGAAATTCAGCCCCCGATATTTCAATGTGAGTCCCTTTCTATTTTCCCTAAGTGTCGGCTGGTCTGAGAAATAAACGGAAAGAGTACAAAAGAGAGAAATTTTAAAGCTGGGTGTGCGGGGGAGACATCACATGTTGGCAGGTTCCATGATGCCCCGCAAGCCACAAAACCAGCAAGTTTTTATTAGTGATTTTCAAAAGGGGAGGGAGTGTATGAATAGGGTGTGGGTCACAGAGATCACATGCTTCACAAGGTAATAAAATATTACAAAGCAAATGGAGGTAGGGCAAGATCACAGGACCGGGCCAAACTAAAATTGCTAATGAAGTTTCGGGCATGCATTGTCATTGATAACATCTTATCAGGAGACAGGGTTTGGCAGCAGACAACTGGTCTGACCAAAATTTATTAGGCAGGAATTTCCTCCTCCTAGTAGGCTTGGTAGTGCTATGGGAGACCGGGGCTTATTTCATCCCTTATCTACAACCATAAAAGACAGACGTTCCCAGAGCGGCCATTTCAGAGGCCTACCCCTAGGAAGGCATTCTCTTTCTCAGGGCTGTTCCTTGCTGTGAAAAAGAATTCAGTGATATTTCTCCTATTTGCTTTTGAAAGAAGAGAAATATGGCTCTGTTCCGCCTGGTTCTCAGGCAGCCAGACCTAATGGTTATCTCCCTTGTTCTCTGAACATCACTGTTATCCTGTTCTTTTTTCAAGGTGCCCAGATTTCATATTGTTTAAAAAATTTGTGCAGTTAATGCAATCATCACACGGTCCTGAAACGACATTCATCCTCAGCGCACGAAGATGACGGGATTAAGAGATTAAAGTAAAGACAGGCATAGGAAATCACAAGAGTATTGATTGAGGAAGTGATAAATGTCCATTAAATCTTCACAATTTATGTTCAGAGATTGCAGTAAAGACAGGCATAAGAAATTATGAAAGTATTAATTTGGGGAACTAATAAATGTCCATGAAATATTCACAATTTATGTTCTTCTGCCATGGCTTCAGCTGGTCCCTCCATTTGGGGTCCCTGACTTCCCACAACATGATCTGACGTTCTATTTTTGGTTTCCTTCAGTATTCTTACAATGTACTTCAAGTTTATGAACCCTTAGATACACAAGGGTTACTTTTTTATTATATAAGATTATTCCACTTTGATATCTATTACAAAACAATGTAAAAGATACATTTTCCCATAGAGCATGCAGTCTATAAAATATGAATATTTTAGCACTTAAGAAAGGCAGAAAATGTATCTTGTAATCTTCATTTCATTTTAGTTCTATGCTGACTGATATTTGGCCCTTAGAGTCTACTTTAGTCCTGACTGTCATGGTCAAACTAAAAGAAGCACCTGTAAGCATGTGTGTACACACTAAAACACAACCTATATTCATCGTAGAGCTTTGATGATTTAAAAATACAAATTATAATTTGTCTATTTGTTTATGAAATTTCATGGTTTTTCCAGACACTTTTAAACCTGTAATTTTGTAGATGAGAAAAAGAAATTCTGAAACATTAACTAAATTCTTCAAAGTTGCATAGTTTACACTGACAAATACCTAGCCCAGGACTTTTCCTTTATACCATACCCCTTTTCATCATCCTCAAAATGACTTATTTTTGGAAATTATTAAAAATATAAAATATGAGGTTAAAATGTATCATATAATCTCTAAGGATTATAGTGCAATACCTGGGAATATTTAATTTTAATATTAAAATTCTGGTATCTTTTTTTTTTTTAGACCAAGTCTCGCTCTGTCGCCCAGGCTGGAGTGCAGCGGCATGATCTCAGCTCATGGCAATCTCCACCTCCCGGGTTCACGCCATTCTCCTGCCTCAGCCTCCTGAGTAGCTGGGACTATGGGTGCCCACCACCACGCCTGGCTAATTTTTTATATTTTTAGTAGAGACGGGGTTTCACCATGTTATCCAGGATGGTCTCGATCTCCTGACCTCATGATCTGCCCGCCTCGGCCTCCCAAAGTGTTGGGATTACAGGCGTTAGCCACTGCGCCCAGCCTCTTCTTTTTAATTTTAATTTTATCCTTTTAGCTAATACTAAGATTTAAAAAAAAAAAAATCAGGCTGGGCGAGGTGGTTTAAGTCTGTAATCCCAGCACTTTGGGAGGCCAAGGCGGGTGGATTACCTGAGATCAGGAGTTCAAGACCAGCCTGACCAACACAGTGAAACCCCGTCTCTATTAAAAATACAAAAATTAGCCAGGCATGGTGGCACATACCTGTAATTGCAGCTACTCAGAAAGCTGAGGCAGGAGTACCACTTGAACCCGGGAGGTGAAGGTTGCAGTGAGCCAAAATCGCGCCACTGCATTCCAGCCTGGGCAACAAGAGCTAAACTCTCAAAAAAAAAAAAAAAAAGAAAATCAGAGGACTGCGTTCTAATTTCTCAAATAATTTAGCATCTCTTCTAGCACCTGTTATAATATTTTATTAATACTTTATTTGAAGAATTGGGACATATATTTTACTATCCTCAGCATATGTTATGTCTTCAGATATATTCATATATGCCTTTAATAATAAAACGTATCCTAGGCCTGGCACGGTGGCTCATGCCTATAATCCCAGCACTGGGAGGCAGAGGCTGGGGGATCACTGAAGGTCAGGAGTTCAAGACCAGCCTGGCCAACATGGTGAAACCTCATCTCTACTTAAAATACAACAACTAGCCAGGTGTGGGTGGTACATGCCTGTAATCCCAGCTACTCGGGAGGCTGAGGCACAAGAATCACTTGAATCTGGGAGGCAGAGGTTGCAGTGAGCCAAGATCACACCACTGCACTCCAGCCTGGGCAACAGAGCAAGACTCTGTCTCCAAAAAAATAAAATAATGTAATATAATAAAATGTACACTACATAAATACAATATTATTTTACTTAACCTTGCTCTGAATTTAAATATTTTGAGATTCATCCATGTTGTAAAATGTAACAAATTCATTTCTTTATATTGCTGAGTAGTATTCTATTGTCTGAATATTCTAATTTGTTTATTCATGCAGTAATGGATTTTGAATTGTTTCCAGTTCTTGACAAATATAAACGAAGTTGCTATGAATATTTATTAACAATTTTTTCTGGACACATGATTTTCTTTCTCTTGCATATGTATATAAATAACTTAAAGAGACTACCAAGCTGTTTTCCAAAGTGGATGGATGATTTCACATTCTACCAAGAGCATATGAAAGTTCTAGTTTCTCCACATTCTTGCAAACTCTTGTATGGTTGAGAGTTTGGAAGACTAAATAAAAAATAACTTTTTTTATTCTAGCTCTCCTAATGAATTCTTAGTACTATCTAATTATTTCTGTTTAGCCAAAGATCATAAAGATTTTCTTCTATGTTGTTTTAAAAGTTTTTGAGTTTCAGGTTTTACATTTACGTTTATGATTCATTTTGAATTAATTTTCACATATGATAAGAGGTATGCATCCAAGTTAACATTTTGGCACATGGGTATCCAATTGTTTTAGCATTATCTATTGACAAGATTATCCTTTTGTCACTGAATTGCTATTTTACCTTTATTAAAAGTAACCTAGCTGTCCATATTAGGGTGTATTAATTTCTGGAATCTCTACTATGTTCTACTGACACATTTGTCTAACCTTACTACAGTCTACACTGTCTTGATGCCTGTGGCTTAAAAATAGTAATAATATCTCACAATAATAATCTCAAAACTCATTTTTATTACTTACATTAAGTAGTAAATTATCTCTTAAGAAATAATACATGTATTTACCAATGTACTTAACAACTTCTGGTAACTCCTTCTGCCTAAAGAATTTTCTTTAACATTTATTGTATTCTGAATCTGCTAGTGATGAATACTTCCAGCTTTTGTAGTTTGGAAAATATTTTGTTTTATCTTCATTTGAGTATTGTTTTTTTCTGGTTATAAAATCCTAAAATTGAAGTCTTGCTTTTATTATTTTTCATATGCTTCCCCACCATTTTCTCAACTTACATTATTTTCAATAAGAAATCTGTTGTTGTCCTTATCTTTGTCTAAGCAATGTCTCTTTGCTTTGGCTGACCTAAAATTATTTTCTTTATAACTGATTTGACAAATTTTCTTATGATATGCTTTGGTTAGGTTTCTTCATGCTTCACAGGGGGAAGCAAATCCTATCTCTGTTACTCCATCCTGTATGGAAACAAAAGTCATCATGTGTTTTAAATTGAACATAGTTTTTGTGATTTTCTAGGCAAATTATGCATTACCTGATTAGAACTTAAATTACTTGCCTATAATTACATGCTACTAAATAAAAATTACTTAGGTTTTAAAATTTCAAAATATACAGAGGATAGGCTGAAACTCAGTAAATATTCAAGGTAAGCTTAGCTTTTACTCATGCTGGAAGGCAAAGCAGGAGCTTACATGTCATGTGATGAAATCAAGAGCAAGAGAGAGAGACTTGGGGAGGTGCCACACACTTTAACAACCAGATCTCATGAGAACTCACTCACTACTGTGAGGACAGCTTGAAGCCATGAAGGATCTGCCCCTATGACCCAAGCACCTCCCACCAGATCCCACCTCCAATGTTGGGGATTACATCTCAACATGAGATTTGGAGGGGACATCCAAAATAAATAAGCCTCTATTTATCATTCTCACATAAAACCTTCTACTCCTCCAAGAACCATCATAAATATATATATCATCTAAGCCAAGACATGTACAAATTATCCTAGACTCTTTGGTTTCCCTCCTTCACCTATTAACCAACCAAGTTCTATTCATTGTATTTCAAAATTGTTCTCTTTTGATTTTGTCCAGCATCTTCACTATTAATAACTCTGCCCTATTTTAACCCTTTCTTTGTTTTTCTCTTTCCCTATCTTCTTCTCTCACTATTCCTCCTTTCCTACCTCCTTTTATTTTTCTGATCCCTAATAGTTGAGAAAGACCCAGCTTGGTTCACTTTTGTCGGGGAGGGGAGGGTATCTGCCTTGTATTAATTAGTTCCACTGAGAAGCCCAAGCCCTGAAAATATTTTATGTCTATGTATTTTTTAAATTCCCACATGAAGATTTGTTTGTCCATCACCACAGTCAAAATTTGGGGTTCCTCACTGCAAAGATTTCTCCAATTGCACTAACATAGCCACACCCATATCCCTTTGCCCTGTCCCCACCTTCAACCCTGATTTCCCTAAACCCTTATCCAAGCACTAATCTGATTTCCATTTTAACTATTTTGTCATTTCAATTTGTTATATAAAAAAAGCGTGTAACCTTTTAGAGCTTGCTTTTTACACTCAGCAATTCTGGCATTGCCAATTTCTTAAAACTTTGAGTCAATTAATTAAACAGTCTGTATCTCAGTGTCCTTATTTGAAAATTGAAATAATATTTGCATAAAACTCAATGAACTATGGATAAAACTAAAGGATTAGATAATAAAAGTAAAACTTTTAGCATTCTAAAAAGCACTCAGTCATTGCTCAATAAAAGTGAACTATTATATAAATTATCCTGAGAATCTTTGCCAATTAAAGCATCTTTAATGTTGGTTTAGTCTTAAGTGCCCATATTATATGCTAATTCTATTCAAATTTATAATCCAAGAAATGTTTCAGTGAAAAATGTTTTGAACATCAGAATATTTGATTAATCAAAAGGTTTCATGCACCAGTCTACTGAAGTGATAGTATACCATATGTTAAGACAGGTTAGCTGCTACTTGCTCCTACTCACAAGCTTGCCTTTCTTTTTCTTTCTTTCTTTCTTTCTTTCTCTTTCCTTCCTTCTTTCTCTCTCTTTCCTTCCTCCCTTTCCCTTTTTCCTTTCTTTCTCTTTCCTTCCTTCTTTCTCTCTCTTTCCTTCCTCCCTTTCCCTTTTTCCTTTCTTTCTCTCTCTCTCTCTCCTCTCTCTCGCTCTCTCTCCCTCTCTTTTTTTTTTTCTCACAGTCTTGCTTGGTCACCCAGGCTGGAGTACAGTGGTGTGATCTGAGCTCACGGCAACCTCCGCCTCCTGGGTTCAAACAATTCTCCTACCTCAGCCTCCTGGGTAGCCTGGGACTACAGGTGCATGCCATCACACCCAGCTAATTTTTTGTATTTTTTAGAAGAGACAGGGTTTCACCATGTTGGTCAGGTTGGTTTTGAACTCCTGACCTCAAGTGATCCACTCGCCTTGGCCTCCCAAAGTGCTGGGATTACAGGTGTGAGCCACCACACCCAGCCATCACAAGCTCTTAAGAGGTGGGCTCAGGATTCATAATCAGGATAGTCTCAGGAGACTGCCTTTTTAACTACTGTGTTATCTTGTCTCTCATACTCGTAAATTCATTATGCCAAAGTTTATAAAGTTTTCACAATTTCTTAATTTTTAGTTGTCCGCATTCCTATTTCCATTACGTAGTTATCATTTGATACTTAGTGATTTTTTTGCACAATAACCATTGTGCAACTTTTTTTTGCACAATAACTATACTAACCCTGATGTTTTTCATGTCTCATTCATGTACTCAAGCTATGTACAAATAGCTAAAGTGAATGAAAAGAGTAAGACACTGATTTGCACTTCAGAATGAAGTTGTACAAAAGCCTGTATTTAATCAAAGTTAAAAAATATTGAACCGAATGGAAAATGCTTGAGTCTTCATGCTTTATCTACTAATGGTGATATCAGCTGAGGACAGAAGAGATGTGCTAATTGCATTAGATATATATTACAAATAAAAATCACTGATGAAAATATGTTTCAAGTATGCATACGCATTTAAAACTGTATAAAAGTCAGTGTATTTGTTATGATAAAATTTTCAGTCTCATGGATAATTTTTGTCACTCTATGAAAGTGGTCTGTCTCCACAGTGTGTTGTAAAACATACTGTGAATGAATAAATCAAGTAAAGAATCTTACACACCTACAAACCCTGCTTATACATATTACTTGCATATTAAGCAACAAAAGCTCCTGTCTATTCATTGGTCTCTTTCAGGGTGACCCTCAAAAATTAATGTGCACAGCTGGTTTTCTCCCACCTGTTCTCCCTATCATCTCATTCATGCACATTCTTCTCCAAGACCTCAAAGCCAATCATAAGGGAACTAGACTAGCTACAAATATGATTGAAAATCTGAAGTTTTAGCAGTACCTGGAAAACAGATGTGTTAAAATGCACAAGATAATATAAAACAACCTCTAAATCTCTCATTGCACCTGCCCTGTAATTCTATAAGGATTCTTTCTGACAAATTGTAAAGAGTGATTAGAAATGGCTACATGTGGCAAGTCATCAATAATTGGTGAGAAAAAACTCTCAAAACAAAACAAAAAAAATCCACAAACTATAAACTGGAAGTCCTAATGTTAAAAATGTTCTTTACATAAAGTCTTGTTTGAGTGGAACATCAATTACAGTTTCATTGATGGGATAAATTGTAATAAAAAGCACAGAGAACCTTGAACAACTTCAATTCCTTTTACAAACATAATGCAGTAGCATGGGAGTGATAGCTCTTCAATAAAAGTTATACTCTCAAAGAAATCAATATCATTCTAAATCTGTTCTTTACTTTTTACTCCACAGGGCAAACTCTGATATTTCTTTTCTGTAACAGACAAATGAACATAGTGCCAACATGTCCCTGTTCAACAGCTTATAGTGATTGATGTAAAAATTCACTAAAATGTACTTTATATATACTATAATAAGATTTTAGTATAAAGTATAAATTGAACAACTGTGATTTAAAAAGGAGATGTCAATTCAAATCTGATAGTTTATATTACTGAGATTATAAACTCCTCAGGAAGAAGCCTTTACAATACAATTACTTATTTTAAGATTACAGCTGAATTGACTCAAGTGCCAGATATGCTCAAGACTGTCCTAGCAAATATGCTGTATGTCTATATATAGATACAGAAACTGATACGCACACACGAACATACAAAATATGCTCATACATTTAGAGATATATGCTGCGTTTCACCTCTCATTTCCTCCTTACTCCTCAAGTCCATGTAATAATATCACTTCTGCCCCCATATTACCAAAACTACTTTTCTTCAAGAAGACTTTTGATTTCCAGATATAATGATTACAGGCAAGAAACCTGAGAATCATTACTACCAGTCTTATTTATAATTTTTTTTGTAAAATCTTGCTAATTCTACCTCCCATATAGCTCTTAAATTTATTCGCACCTTTATATTTTCTGAACATTTCCATAATCAGACCTGCACAAACACTAATATGGACTATTTCATTCGTCTGCTAACTGGTTTTCTGCCTATAGTCATCCTGTTTTAATTCACTTCCATCCTGAACCATGGCAATATGTATAAACAGATAGGTCGACAGATAGAGGGTATTATTTTACATGTGACATTATTAACATATCAAAAGGTAACATAATTATATACATGCATTCTTTGCTTAAATCCTTTCACTATTTGCTTATCAATATTCAATCTGTTGGAAAGACAAGAGGTGAACCTGAATCACCCACTGGACTTTTTCAAACTGCACATTAACTTCTAAGATTCTGATGTATGACAGGCTTACTTGAGTATCATTTCCAGAAACAGCAGATGTTTCTAATGTGAGAGTCTCATATTCTTCAAATTTGTTACAGAACGCAAAAGAGGAGAATCACTGAGTTACTGGATAAAATACACACTCTTCAGGGTGGCAAATAGATGCTCCACAACCTGGTTACTCTCTTCCCCTTTAACCTCATATTCTCCAACTAAACTTAGGCACCTGTTGCTTCAAGAAATTTTCCTGAACCTCCCATCCACACCCAGCCCAGGCTGCATTAGATGCCTATCTTTAACTACCCCTAACACCTCTAACAGGTTGAATTGTGTCACCAAAAAATTCATGTCCACCCAGGATCTCATGTGACCTTATTTAGAAATAGGGTCTTAATAGATGTAATTAGTTAGAGATCTTGAAATACAATCATACTGGACTTAGGATGGGCCCTAAACACAATGATGTTTTCCTGAAATAAATGAGAGAGCAATATGGAAAGAGACACAACAGAGAGGAAGGCGATGTAAAGATGGAGGCAAAGATTGAAGCAACTGATGCATCAGTAAGCCAACAAACACCAAGGATTGCCAGCAGCCACCAGAATCTCTGCACGGACAATTCTCTCTGAGCCCCCAGAGGAAATCAAAAGTACTGACATCTTTATTTTGGATTTCTGACCTCTTGAAGAGGGAGAGAAAGATTGAGAGAAAAACTGTTGGTTGTTTAAACTACCCAATCTGTGGCAATTTGTTATGGTAGCCCTAGAAACTAATACAAATGCTTATATTCACCTCTAATACAGCACTCATCAGATTATATCAGATTATTTTGTTTGTTTAGCCCACTCCCACCATCAACCATATTTCAAACTCTTTAAAGAATTACATCTGTTTATCTATATAAACAATGTCTACAGGTTCTAGATAAATGCCTGCTATATTAATATATGAATACATTTTAACATTTTAAAAGATATTGGGAATTTGGGGAAAAGGGTTGGAGGGGGGTGAGAAATAAAAGACTACAAATTGGATACAGTTATACTGCTGGGGTGATGGGTACACCAAAATCTCACAAATTACCACTAAAGAACTTACTCATGTAACTAAACATCCCCTGTCCCCCAAAACCTATGAGAAAAAAAGAGTAACGAAAAGCTTCCGCTAGCCCTTTTTTTGTGCTGCTTCCATCTGTAATGAGAAGGGCCCATCTCAGGTAGGTGCTGCTTCCAGGGGAGACATATGGAACTGATCAGTACTCAACCCACCACCTGAATCACAGCCCCTCCACCCAACCCACAGACTGTGAATGAGGAAAATGTTTGTTTTTGTAAGCCAAATAAATAAATAAATAAAAGACATTTTGCCAAAAAAAAAAAAAGGTGTACAATTTGATTTTATGTTACAAGTTGCTTGTAGTCAAGGAATTACAAAGATTTTAAAACTGAAAAGAGGTCGCTTCCAAGATGGCCGAATAGGAACAGCTCCAGTCTGCAACTCCCAGCAAAATCAACACAGAAGATGGGTGATTTCTGCATTTCCAATTGAGGTACCTGGTTCATCTCATTGGGACAGGTTGGACAGTAGGTGCAGCCCATGGAGGGCGAGCTGAAGCAGGGCAGGGCATCGCCTCACCTAGGAAGTGCAAAAGGTTGGGGGACTTCCCTTTCCTAGCCAAGGGAAGCCAAGACAGACTGTACCTGGAGAAACAGTATACTTCTGACCAAATACTGTGGTCTTCCCACAGTCTTAGCAACCAGCAGACCAGGAGATACCCTCCTGTGCCTGGCTCGGTGGGTCCCACATCCACGGAGCCTTGCTCACTGCTAATGCAGCAGTCTGAGATCAACCTGCAACACTGCAGCTTGACGGGGGGAAGGGCATCCGCCATTGCTGAGGCTTGAGTTGCACACAGTGTAAACAAAGCAGCTGGGAACCTCGCACTGGGCAGAGCCCACCACAGCTCAGCAAGGACTCCTGCCTCTCTAGACTCCACCTCTGGGAGCAGGGCATAACTGAACAAAAGGGAGCAGACAGCTTCTTTGGACTTAAATGTCCCTGTCTGACAGCTCTGAAGAGAGCAGTGGTTCTCTCAGCATGGCACTCAAGCTCTGAGAACAGACAGACTGCCTCCTCAAGCGGGTCCCTGAACCCCATGTAGCCTGACTGGGAGACACCTCCCAGTAGGGGCCGACAAGCACCTCAAACAGGAGGGTGCCTCTCTGGGACGAAGCTTCCAGAGGAAGGATGAAGCAGCAATATTTGCTGTTCTGAAGCCTCTGCTGGTGACACCAAGGCAAACAGGGTCTGGAGTGGACCTCCAGCAAACTCCAACAGACCTGCAGCTGAGGGGGCTGACTGTTAGAAGGAAAACTAACAAACAGAAAAGAATAGCATCCGCATCAACAAAAAGGACATCCACACCAACACCCCATCTGTATGTCACCAAAATCAAACACCAAAGTTAGATAAAACCACAAAGATGGGGAGAAACCAGAGCACAAAAGCTGAAAATTCCAAAAACCAGAGTGCCTCGTCTCCTCCAAAGGATCACAGCTCCTCGTCAGGAAGGGAACAAAACTGAACAGATAATGAGTTTGACAAGTTGACAGAAGTAGGCTTCAGAAGGTTGGTAATAACAAACTTCTCCAAGCTAAAGGAGCATGTTCTAACTCATCACAAGGAAGCTAAAACCCTCAAAAAAAGATTAGATGAATGGCTACCTAGAATAAACAGTGTAGAGAAGACCTTAAATGACCTGAGGGAGCTGAAAACCACGGCACGAGAACTTCGTGATGCAGCCACAAACTTCAACAGCCAATTCGATCAAGTGGAAGAAAGGATATCAGTGATTGAAGATCAAATTAATGAAATAAAATGAGAAGATGAGGTTAGAGAAAAAAGAGTGAAAAGAAATGCACAACGCCTCCAAGAAATATGGGACTATGTGAAAAGACCAAATATATGTTTGACTGGTGTATCAGAAAGTGACAGGGAGAATGGAAACAAGTTGGAAATCACTCTTCACGATGTTATCCAGGAGAACTTCCCCAACCTAGCAAGGCTGGCCAACATTCAAATTCAGGAAATACAGAGAACACCACAAAGCTACTCCTCAAGAAGAGCAACCCCAAGACACATAATTGTCAGATTCACCAAAGTTGATATGAAGGAAAAAATGTTAAGGGCAGCCAGAGAGAAAGTTTGGGATACCCACAAAGGGAAACCCATCAGACTAACAGTTGATCTCTCTGCAGAAACCCTATAAGCCAGAAGAGAGTGGTGTCCAATATTCACCCTTCTTAAACAAAAGAATTTTCAACCCAGAATCTCATATCTGGCCAAACTACGCTTAACACATGAAGGAGAAATGAAATCCTTTACAGACAAGCAAATGCTGAGAGATCTTGTCACCACAAGGCCTGCCTTACAAGAGCTCCTGAAGGAAGCACTAAACGCGGAAAGGAACAACTGGTACCAGCCACTGCAAAAACATGCTAAATTGTAAAAACCACTGATGTTATGAAAAAACTGCATTAACTAAGGGCCAAATAACCAGCTAAGATCATATTGACAGGATCAAATTCAAACATAACAATATTAACCTTAAATGTAAATGTGGTAAATTCCCCAATTAAAAGACACAGACTAGCAAGTTGGTTAAAGAGTCAAGACCCATCAGTGTGCTGTATTCAGGAGACCTATCTAAAGTGCAAAGACACAGATGGGCTCAAAATAAAGGAATGGAAGAAGATCTACCAAGCAAATGGAAAGAAAAAAAAAGCAGGGGTTGCAATCCTAGTCTCTGATAAAACAGACTTTAAACCAACAAAGATCAAAAGAGACAAAGAAGGCCCCTAGGTAATCATAAAGGGATAAATTCAACAAGAAGTGCTAACTATCCTAAATGTATATGCACCCAATACAGGAGCACCCAGGTTCATAAAGCAAGTCCTTAGAGACTTACAAAGAGAATTAGACTCCCACACAATAATAATGGGAGACTTCAACACCCCACTGTCAATATTAGACAGATCAGTGAGACAGAAGGTTAACAAGGATATCCAGGACTTGAACTCAGCTCTGGACCAAGTGGACCTAATAGACATCTACAGAACTCTCCAACCCAAATCAACAGAATATACATTCTTCTCAGCACCACATCCCACTTATTCTAAAACTGACCACATAATTGGAAAGAAAACACTCCTCAGCAAATGTAAAAAAACAGAAATCACAACAAACTGTCTCTCAGACCATAGTGTAATGAAATTAGAACTCAGGATTAATAAACTCACTCAAAACTGCACAACTACATAAAAACTGAACAACCTGCTCCTGAATGACTACTGGGTAAATAACAAAATGATGGCAGAAATAAAGATGTTCTTTGAAACCAGTGAGAACAAAGACACAACATACCAGCATCTCTGGGACACATTTAAAGCAGTGTGTAGAGGGAAATTTATAGCACTAAATGCATGCCCACAAGAGAAAGCAGAAAAGACCTGAAATCAATACCCTAACATGACAATTAAAAGAACTAGAGAAGCAAGAGCAAACAAATTCAAAAGCTAGCAGAAGGCAAGAAATAACTACGATCAGAGCAGAACTGAAAGAGATAGAGACACAAAATCCCTTCAAAAAATCAATGAATCCAGGAGCTGGTTTTAGGAAAATATCAACAAAATAGATAGACCGCTAGCAAGACTAATAAAGAAAAAAAGAGAGAAGAATCAAATAGATGCAATAAAAAATGATAAAGGGGATATCACCACCGATCCCACAGAAATACAAACTACCATTAGAGAATACTATAAACACCTCTATGCAAATAAACTAGAAAATCTAGAAGAAACGGATAAATTCCTGGACATATACACTCTCCCAAGACTAAATCAGGAAGAAGTTGAATTTCTGAATAGACCAATAACAGCTTCTGAAATTGAGGCAATAATTAATAGCCTACCAACCAAAAAAAGTCCAGGACCAGATTTACAGCCGAATTCTACCAGAGGAAGAAAGAGGAGTTGGCACCATTCCTTCTGAAACTATTCCAATCAATAGAAAAAGAGGGAATCTACCCTAACTCATTTTATGAGGCCAGCATCATCCTGACACCAAAGTCTGGCAGAGACACAACAACAACAAAAAAAGAACTTTAGACGAATATCCCTGATGAACATCAGTGCAAAAATCCTCAATAAAATACTGGCAAACTGAATCCAGCAGCACATCAAAAAGCTTATCCACCACAATCAAGTCGGCTTCATCTCTGGGATGCAAGGCTGATTTAACATACACAAATCAATAAGCGTAATCCATTACATAAACAGAACCAATGACAAAACATCACATGATTATCTCAATAGATGCAGAAAAGGCCTCTGACAAAATTCAACAACGCTTCATGCTAAAAACTCTCAATAAATTAGGTATTGATGGAACGTATCTCAAAATAATAAGAGCTATTTAGGACAAACCTACAGCCAATATCATACCGAATGGGCAAAAACTGGAAGCATTCCCTTTGAAAACCGGCACAAGACATGGATGCCGTCTCTCACCATTCCCATTCAACATAGTGTTGGAAGTTCTGGCCAGGGTAATGAGGCAAGAGAAAGAAATAAAGGGTATTCAATTAGGAAAAGAGGAAGTCAAATTGTCCCTGTTTGCAGATGACACGACTGTATATTTAGAAAACCCCATCATCTCAGCCCAAAATCTCCTTAAGCTGATAAGCAACTTCAGCAAAGTCTCAGGATAAAAAATCAGTGTGCAAAAATCACAAGCATTCTTGTACACCAATAACAGACAAACAGAGAGCCAAATCATGAGTGAACTCCCATTCACAATTGCTTCAAAGAGAATAAAATTCCTAGGAATCCAACTTACAAGGGATGTGAAGGATCTCTTCAAGGAGAACTACAAATCACTACTCAATGAAATGAAAGAAGACACAAACAAATGGAAGAACATTCCATGCTCATGGATAGGAAGAATCAATATCATGAAAATGACCATACTGCCCAAGGTAATTCATAGATTCAATGCTATCCCCATCCAGCTACCACTGACTTTCTTCACAGAACTGGAAAAAGCTACTTTAAAGTTCACATGGAACCAAAAAAGATCCTGCATAGCCAAGATAATCCTAAGCCAAAAGAACAAAGCTGGAGGCATCACGCTACCTGACTTCAAACTATACTACAAGGCTACGGTAACCAAAACAGCATGGTACTGGTACCAAAACAGAGATATAGACCAATGGAACACAATGGAGGCCTCAGAAATAACACCACACATCTACAACCATCTGATCTTTGACAAACCTGACAAAAACAAGAAATGGGGTAAGGATTCCCTATTTAATAAATGGTGCTGGGAAAACTGGCTAGCCATATGTAGAAAGCTGAAACTGGATCCCTTCCTTACACTGTATATAAAAATTAACTCAAGATGGATTAAAGACTTAAATATAAGACCTAAAACTATAAAAACCCTAGAAGAAAACCTAGGCAGTACCATTCAGGACACAGGCATGGGCAAAGACTTCATTACTAAAATGCCAAAAGCAATGGCAACAAAAACCAAAATAGACAAATGGGATCTAATTAAACTAATGAGCTTCTGCACAGCAAAAGAAACTATCATCAGAGTGAATAGGCAACCTACAGAATAGGAGACAATTTTTGCAATATACTCATCTGACAAGGGGTAATATGCAGAATCTAAAAAGAACTTAAAACAAATTTACAAGAAAAAAACAAACAACCCCATCAAAAAGTGGGCAAAGGATATGAACAGACACTTCTCAAAAGAAGACATTTATGCAGCCAAAAGACACATGAAAAAATGCTCATCATCACTGGTCATCAGAGAAATGCAAATCAAAACTACAATGAGATACCATCTCATGCCAGTTAGAATGGAGATCATTAAAAAGTTCAGGAAACATCAGATGCTGGAGAGGATGTGGAGAAACAGGAACGCTTTTATACTGTAGGTGGGAGTGTAAATTAGTTCAACCACTGTGGCAGACAGTGTGGCGATTCCTCAAGGATCTAGAACTAGAAATACCATTTGACCCAGCCATCCCATTACTGGGTATGTACCAAAAGGATTATAAATCGTGCTACTATAAAGACATATGGACATGTATGTTTATTGTGGCACTATTCACAATAGCAAAAACTTGGAACCAACCCAAATGTCAATTGATAGACTGGATTAAAAAAAAATGTGGCACATACTATGGAATACTATGCAGCCATAAAAAAGGATGAGTTCATGTCCTTTGCAGGGACATGAATGAAGCTGGAAGTCATCATTCTAAGCAAACTATCACAAGGACAGAAAACCAAACACCGCATGTTCTCACTCATAGGTGGCAGCTGAACAATGAGAACACATGGACACAGGGAGGGTAACATCACACATCAGGGCCTGTTGAGGGGTGGGGGTCTGGGGAAGGGATAGCATTAGGAGAAATACCTAATGTAAATGACAAGTTGATGGGTGCAGCAAACCACTATGGCACATATATACCTATCTAACAAACCTGCATGTTGTGCACATGTACCCTAGAACTTAAGGCATTAAAAAAAAAAAACTGAAAAGATCTTGGAAGTTAAAATATTTTTTAAAAAATTTTGGTATACCATTAGCTTTTTCAACCCTGGGCACTCAACCTTTTCTTCCCTTATAAAAGTAATGTGTTTGGCATAAAATGTCTTCAGAAGAGTAATGTATGTAAAGGTGAAAGCCTGACAGTGGAATATTAGATTCCAAAAACCAAATAGTTGGAAGGAATTCTTGGTGAATCCTGACATCATTACTAAGGAAGGGATTTAGATGTCTGGTACCAATAAAACAGATCCTCTTAGACTTGATTCTAGTATCTATAGAAAGGAAAAGTTGCTTCAATTTTTGATTTTCTGTGTCAGTCTGTAATAGACAAAGTACAAGGCCCTATAATATTATATTTTGTAGAATTTATATAAGTATTTATATAAATACAGGCATATCCTGGAGATATTGTGAGTTCAGTTCTGGACCACTGCAATAAAGTGAATATCACAACAAAGTGAATCACACAGTTTTTTTTGTTTTTGCATAGAAAAGTATATTTACACTCTATCGTAGACTATTAAGTGTGCAATAACATTGTCTAAAAAAGTACATACCTTAATTAAAAATACAAAAAAGTACATATCTCAATTTAAAAATATTTTATTGCTAAAAATGCTAATAACCATTTGAGCCCTCAGCGAGTTATAATCTTTTCTGCTGCTGGAGGGTCTTGCATTGATGTTGATGGGAGCTGAATGATGAGGGTGGTGGTTGCTGAAGGTTTGCGTGCCCATGACAATTTCATAAAAGAGAACACCAATAAAATCTGCTACATCAATGGACTCTTTCTTTCACAGAAGATTTTACTGTAGTGTGTGATACTGTCTGATACCATTTTACCCACAGTATACTTTCAAAATTAGAGTCAATCCTCTCAAATCCTGCTGCTGCTTTATCAACTAAGTTTATGTAACACTAAATTATTTGTTTTCAACATGTTCACAGCATCTTCACCAGGAGTGGTTTCTATCGTAAGAAACTTACTTACTCTTTGCTCATCCATAAGAAGCAATTCCTCATACGTTCAAGTTTTATCATAAGATTGTAGCAACTTAGTAGCATCTTCAGCTCCAATTCTAATCCTAGTTCCCTTGCTGTTTCTCCCATATCTCAGGTACTTCTTCTACTTAAGTCTTAAATCCCTCAAAGACATCCGAGAGGGTTGGAATCAACTTTTTCCAAGCCCTTGTTAATATTTATATTTTGAACTCCCTCCATAAATCACAAATGTTCTTAATGGCATCTAGAATGGTGAATCTTTTCCAGAAGTTTTTCAATGTACTTTGCCCAGATCCATCAGAGGAATCACTACATCCCGCTGCTATAGCCTTATAAAATATATTTATTAAATAATAAGACTTGAAAGTCCAAATTATTCCTTGGTCCATGGGTTGTAGAATGAATGTTGTGTTAGCAGGCATGAAAATGACATTAATCTCCTTGCACATCTCCATCAAACCTCTTGGGTAATGAGGTACACTGTCAGTGAGCAGTAACCTTTTGGAAGAAATATTTTTTTCTGGGCAGTAGGTCTCAGCAGTGGATTTAAAATATTCAACAAACCATGCTGTAAACAGAGGTGCTGTCATTCAGTCTTTCTTTAATTTCTAGAACACAGGCAGAGTAAGTGCCCTAGGATTTTCAGCATGGTAAATGAGTACTGACTGCAACTTAAAGTCTCAATCTACATTAGCGATTAACAACAGAGTCAGCCTGTACTGCAAAGCTTCGAAGCCAGGCATTGACTTCTCTCTAGCTGTGGAAGTCCTAGATGGCATCTTCTTTCAGTAGAAGACTGTTTGGTCTACATTTAAAATCTGTTGTTAAATGTAGCCACCATCATCAATTATCTTAGCTAAATCTTCTAAATAACTTTCTTCAGCTTCTCCAAGAGCACTTGCCTCTTTACCTTGCACTCTTAAGTTATGGAGATGGCTTCCTTCCTTAAATTTCATAAACCAAGCTCTGCTAGCTTCAAACTCTTCTTCTGCAGTTTCCTTGCCTCTCTTAGCCTTAGAGCACTAAAACTCTCCTCATATCAGCAATAAGGCTATTTTACTTTCTTATCATTTGTGTGTTCACTGGAGTCGAACTTTTAATTTCTTTTGAGAACTTTTTCTTTGCTTTCACAGCTTGGCTAACTGTTTGGCACGAGGAACTGAGCTTTCAGCCTATCTCAGCTTTTGAATTACCTTCCTTGATAAGCTTAATCATTTCTAGCTTTTGATTTCAAGTGAGAGACACGCAATTCTTCCTTTCACTTGAACACTTAAGAGACAACTGTAGGGCAATTAATTGGCCTAATTTTAATATTGTTGTATCTCAGGAAATAGGGAGGCCCAAGGAGAAGGAGAGGGATAGGAGAACAACAGGTCAGTGGAGCAGTCAGAACACAAATTACATTATTAGGTTTGCTGTCTAACATGGCCATGGTTCATGGCACCCCAACACAATTACAATAGTAACATTAAAAATATGTAATAATGACTGATATAATAATGACAAAGTTTGAAATATTATAAGAATTATCAAGCTCACAGAGACATGAAGTGAGCATATGCTGTTGGCAAAATAGCCCCAGTAGACTTCCTTGAGGAATGGTTGCCACAAATCTTCAATTTGTAAAAAATACAATAGTTGTGAAGCACGACAAAACAAAGTATGCCTGTAGACAGCACGCACATCAGAAAAACTCATTCGAATACTCAGAGTATTTTGTTTGAATCCTCTTTGAATACCTATTTGCTGATCCATAATGATATATGTGAGCCACATCATTAGTCATATGATTTATTTCTTTTTTCTGATATTCTTCCTTAAGAATTAGCATTTAGATAATATTAACATTGTTGCAAAAATAAACATTTATGTTCTCCCCATTTCCCATCAATTGTTTTTGCTGCTCCAGAGAACCACAGCATGCAGCAAAAGATTAAACAGCTCATTTTTGTTTCTTCTAGGACTTCAAAGAATCAGTTGGTTTCCACATCAAGTTCAAGTTTATGCAAAGTAGATTTAATTGCTTGTCACTCACACTGGGAAATGTTTCAAACATGGGTTGTTACTTAAAACAGTTTCAAGTTCATATTTTTCAAATCTCCATATTCACTTCAATATAAATGCACTGCAAAGAATAAATTCTTAAAATCAGAAAACATATCTAGCTAAGAATTAGGAAATTGAAATTCTAATAAGCCAAGTTTTCTTTATTTTGTTTTGTTTTTCATAATATTTTTTCTCTATATTGGCCAAAAATGTTCGAAGTGACTGTTGGGAAAATATACAGCAGACTAAGGACAAATTCATATAATATTATCTTAATTTTGGAGAATTATTCAGATGCACGTTTTTCTTATAGAATAACCTGTCAGACTTCAGAGGAATAATCTTTCTAATTTTGTTTTCAGACATTTCCTCCAAAAGATTGCAGAGAAAATCTTCCCACATATCCTGGGGCATACTTCGATGTGCCATTAGAGGGTAGTATTGTAACTACAGAGCTGTTAACCAATATTATTGATATGCCCAGAGGATACCACACCCCCATCACCTATAATCATACTTCCTAGGTACTTTAAGCAAATGAACACTCTAACAGACATTATAGTTGATTGCATACAACTGAGTGCTGAAGACAGCACTTTATGTCTGTGTTCATAATAACTTTCAAATGAATTGGCAGCTTATCTCAAATGGATAAAAGAAATGATAAATCAAAAACTGCAGTACAGGGGAGAAACTCTACACCATTCTACCACTTATGCAATGGAAGAGCCTAGAAAAAAAGAGAGAGGAAAAGTACAAAATAATTTAGCATCTTATAAGGTTGATGAACCTAAATCCAATGATTCATCATTCTGCCACAATCTTGACCCAGTAAATGTGTTATGTGTTTTGTGGGACATACATATACACATTTTTTTCCAAATTCAAATTCAAAAAGAGAAGATAACTGAAACAATATACACAAAGAAAAATATTACATAATTTTGCAAGTGTTGTATCTATATACAGATATAAGAAAAAGCAATATGTGGATAAATATAACAAGAAAAATAATTTTCATCCTCACTAAATTTAGATTTCTCTTTTGGTCTTGTAAACTTGCCTATGAAAACTATCAAAAGAAAAATTATTTGAGATCTCCCCTGAAGAAAGAGATGGAAAATGGAGGCTTGTGATATCCCTGCTTCCCCGGACCCCTCATCTTCCTTACCTGAGTGACATTGTGTCAGAAGAAGAGCATGGTATCTGTTGTCACTCACTAGCTACAATACTGTGGATTCTCAGAGCCTCAATTTCCTCAGCTATGAAAAGATGGTTATAAGATTTACCTCACACAGTTCTATTAGGATTATATTAGGTTACGATTATAGAAATAGTAAGATACAGAGAATGACACACAGTAGAAATTCCACAAGTGCCATTTCTTTCCATCATCCCCTTTGAAACCCAATAAGACTGTAACATATTTAAAGGTCACAATTTCAGATTGGAATTACAAAACCAAGAGACTTAGAGGTAGAATATAGGTTTTTCTGTCTGTTGCCACTTTTACATAATGAAGACAGTTATTTAACTTGTTAACAAGGAAAAAAAAGTAAAAAGTATGCTAATGGATGTGTAGTATTGCAAGTATCAAAATGAATTACATTTGATCTACATAGTACTTCTTTCCTCCAGCTATATCCACTGCACTGTAATCTACTTGTGGCCTATGTCTTACCATCCTTCTATTTCTGTATTCCATGTGACATATGGAAGCTCCCAGACACCCCTCCACTCCAGCATACTGATGACTTAGCAATAACTGGGAGAAAGGTAGTGATGGAGTAGCTAAAGAATTTTAAATTCCATATGAGGAAATATTTATCACTAGAATATAACCATTCCTACATAGAAACCTTTAATCCAAAAGTGTCTTACATCTCCAGGGTTTATGCAATCTGAATATTGAGAAGATATTATTTTAAATTTCCATAAAAGAAGTAAATTATTGTTAACTAGGACATAAAATATGCAGAGACTCCCATTTCTCCACTCTTTCTTCTAATAGTTGGACAGTTTCACAGCTGCTACAAACATCTTCGGGTAAAATTTTGTGTGCTTGGGTGGGGATGGAAGTGATTGAGGGTAGGGGGTTTTAATGCCCATAATCCCAGGCAGCTGAATTCCCCAAATGCTTCGGCTGCCTGGATTCTTTTCTTACTCGTGGGTATGTAGCAGAGCTAAGCCTTCCCTCCATTCCTACTTTAGTCTTTGTTTTCTGAAGTCTGGCTCCCCAGCAGAGGGTACTCCAAATGAATTCTTGGGAACACAAAGTTCCAATGCTGTCTGTGCACTCATTTCTGACACTACTTATGTACAGCATTGATGGATTAAAGATACTGATTTTATCTCTGTGAGGAAAAAAAAGAAGGCAGTTTGCGTGTCTTATCTTGTTATGTTGCAACTCCTTTTGAATCTCTAAGAAGCCTTTGCTTAAAGGCAAACATGGATATGTGGCGATGTTTTAAAACCCACTCTGTATCCCTGGCTTTTCTAGAAGAGTCCAGTGCAGGGCAGCCTTGGGAGGTAAGCTAGGTTTCATTTTGTCCCATTGCTTAGAATGAGCCCTGGATTAGAAGTCAGGAAATCTGAATTAAAATACAAGCTCTGCTTTATTGAGTGATCCCCTAGGAGAGATACTGATGGCTGCTGATTAGAGATAAAAGTTAAGAGAAGTCATCAGAATCCAGATGATATCTGACATTAGAGCTGAAGAGAATTGCTGACTGACTGAAAGTGGGGTTATGAGGTAAAGAGTGAAGCCAAGGATGATTCCTTTTTTTGGTCTGAGCAACTGGAAGAACAGAGTTTTGATTTGCTAAAATGGGGATGGAAGGGCTGTGGCATGAGCAAGTCTTGGGGGTAAAACAAGGAATTTGGAACCTGTTAAGATTGAGATGCCAATTAGACATGGAAATGCTGAGCTGGATACCTAAGTCTGGAGTTCAGAAGAGAGATCAGGACTCAGTGTTATCAGTGCATTGAAGATATTTAAAGACATTGGAGGCCGGGTGCACTGGATCACGCCTGTAATCTCAGCACTTTGGGAGGCCAAGGCGGGTGGATCGCCTAAGGTCAAGAGTTCAAGACCAGCCTGTCCAACATGGTGAAACCCCGTCTCTACTAAAAATACAAAAAATTAGCTGGGTGTGGTGGTGGGTGCCTGTAATCCCAATTTCTCGGGAGGCTGAGGCAGGAGAATTGCTTGAACCCAGGAGGCGGAGGTTGCAGTGAGCTGAGATCGCACCACAGCACTCCAGCCTGGCGACAAAGTGAGACTCCGTCTCGAAAAAATAATAAATAAATAAATAAATAAATAAATAAATAAATAAATAAATACAGACATTGGAAAAGAGTGATAACTGAGGGAATTAGTGACAGAAGAGAAAAAAAAAGTGTGACCATTGAAGATAATCTAATGTTTAAGGTGGGAGGAAATAAGGAACCAGCGAAGGCAATATGGAAGGAGAGGACAATTAGGAAGACAATTAAGGCAAATTGTGGTCTGGGAGACCAAACAATGAAAGAGTGTGTTTCAAATTGGAAGGAGCAACCACTGCATGAACTGTTGCTGACCGATGGAAAAAGGTGTCTGTTCTGTTGACTCTCCTATCCCCTGCTTTGAATAAAGTTTCCCCTAAATAAATATAAAAATACAAGCCTTTGCCTTTGATTGTGTGACCTTAGGAAGAGTGATTTAGAATCCATAATTATTTTTCTCCTAATAAATGGAAATATGGTCGTACATTTTATTTACTATCCACTAAGTACACAAAAATTGGTCTTATAAAAGATAAAATTGCATTGGGTAAAATCAAGAGCAAATGAAAGATTTTTAAAGCTTTCCTGCAAACTTGAAAAGAGTTAAAGAGAGTTAACATTGGGCAGCCTGGTTTTCTACTTTCACTGAGATACACAAGAGCCAGGTGCTTCCCAGCCAGTCTCCAATAACTGTCAGCCAATCTCTTCCTAAGCCATAGGGAGCAAATACACTATAGTTAATGTGAAAAAGTTAAGTATTTCCCCAAAATCTTGTTGGTTTGTTTTTAAATTCAGTTGTTAAGAACCCACAACATTTTAAGGCAGAAAAAAAAATTAACAAAGGGAAAGTGTGGTGATGGTGCTATAGTATTGATATGTGTATTGTGATTGGTACTGATTGAACTTGTAGCATAGTACCAACAAGAGTAAGTTTTCCTAATAATGATACAGGATTAAATAATTTTTTTTTTTTTGGACGGAGTCTCGCTCTGTTGCCCAGGCTGGAGTGCAGTGGCGCCATCTCGGCTCACTGCAAGCTCTGCCTCCCGTGTTCACGCCATTCTCCTGCCTCAGCCTCCTGAGTAGCTGGGACTACAGGCGCCCGCCACCGCGCCCGGCTAATTTTTTGTATTTTTAGTAGAGACGGGGTTTCACTGTGTTAGCCAGGATGGTCTTGATCTCCTGACCTCATGATCCACCCGCCTCGGCCTCCCAAAGTGCTGGGATTACAGGCGTGAGCCACCGCGCCCAGAAGAATTTTTAAAATGCAAAAAATAAAACACTTTTTATTCTATATCTGGAGTGTCCAATCTTTTGGCTTCCCTGGGCCACACTGGAAGAAGAATTGTCTTGGGCGATACATACAATACATTAACACTAATGCTAGCTGATGAGCTTTTAAAAAACTGCAACAAAATATCATAATGTTTTAAGAAAGTTTACAAATCTGTGTTGGCCCACATTCAAAGGCATCCTGGGTCATATGCAGCCTGTGGGCCATGGTTCGGGCAAGCTCATTCTATATCATTCAGTTTATTAAAATAGATTCCGAGGTTTATGAAATTGATCACAAAAGCCAACTAACCCAGACTCCAAAAGTGACCTGTCCACATTTTGACAGCACACCTGGTTGGAAGTAGAGCTGGTATGAGTAACCAGGGTCACTGACTCCACATTCAGTGTTTGTTGTTGTTCCTTCCCACCCCTCCCACAAAAATGGGTTTGGTTTTGGAGTATAATTTCTAGTTAAAACAGTTACATCTTTATTCATTTAGTTCTAATTTTACTTTTCCTTTTAAATACACTTCTTGGGGAGTTCTAAAGCTAAGCAGGACTATTAATTCTAAGTTGCCTAGATCAACCATGCAATCTGATAGATAAGATTTATTTATAAATTATTAAAATCTAAATTTCAAACTCAAGGAAAACACGATCTAGCCTTGGTAGTTTACCAGGGTTTTTCTCACATGCAGTAAACATTCAATAAAGATCTGTGGCATAAAGTTTTTAAATATTTCCCTCCCGTTATCCAATTTTATACCATGGCTCACACCACACTCCCTTTGAACATCAACTTTTTCATGGGTGTTTATTTATTTAGAGACAGAGTCTGGCTGTGTTGCCCAGTTTTGTTTAAAGATAGGTTCTCACTACGTTGCCTACGCTAAGCTTGAACTCTTAGGTTCAAACAATCCTCCTGCCTTAGCTGGGATTACAAGCCTGTCCCACCACACCTGGCTTTGATTTAAATTTCACATTTTTAGTAAGACTTTCTCAGGCTATCCTATATAAAATGCAAACTCTCACTATTTAGCTCTCCCTTGATTTTTCTCCTTAGTACTTATCTAGTTTATTTTTATATATTTTCTTTTCTATTACTGAATTTTCTCTTTTATTATATATCTTCCCCATCAGAAAGATGCTCCATATGGTAGACACTTTAAGTCTCTCTCTCTCTCTTTTTTTTTTTTTTATAAGATTTGGAGTCTTGCTCTGTCACTCAGGCTGAAGTATAATGGCACAACCAGAGCTCCTGCAGCCAGCCTCAAACTCCTGGCCTCAAGTGATCCTCCCACCTCAGCCTCCTGAATAGCTGGGTATATGCCAAACATCTAGCTAATTGTTTTCTTTTTTCAAGGATGGAGTCTTGATATATTGCCCAGCCTGGTCTCAAACTCCTGGCCTCAAGCAATCTTCCCATTTCACCTCCCTGGTTGCTGGGATTAAAGGCATGAATCATGAAATGTGGCTACTCTTTTTCACAGATCAGTACCCAGTGGGGAGAACAATGCCTTGTACCTAATATTGCTCAATGAATATTGGTCTCACTGAATGAATTAGTGAATTTAATGACAAAAACTTCATACTGTTAAAAAAGATGTTTTAGATTATGTTTATTTTTGGAAGATATGAGGTTGTAGAAAAATGTTTTAATAAAAAGGCAAAGTCAGAAAAACACAGAGTTTCTTAGCATAAATAATGAACCTAGCTGGCACTACCCAGATCAATAAATTGACTCATCTGATCTTGTGGTCCCCATCCAGGAACTGACTCAATGCAAGAAGACAGCTTTGACTCCCTATGATTTCATCTCTGACCTGACGAATCAGCACTCCTGGCTCACTGGCTTCCCACCACCCACCAACTTGTCCTTAAAAACTCTGATCCTGGGGCCAAGCACAGTGGCTCATGCCTGTAATCCCAGCACTTGGGGAGGCTGAGGTGGGCAGATCACGAAGTCAGGAGATCGAGACCATCCTGGCTAACATGGTGAAACCCCGTCTCTACTAAAAATACAAAAAATTAGCCAAGTGTGGTGACGGGCATCTGTAGTCCCAGCTACTCGGGAGGCTGAGGCAGGAGAATGTCGCGAACCTGGGAGGCGGAGCTTGCAGTGAGCCAAGATGGCACCACTGCACTCCTCCTGCCTGGGCAACAGAGGGAGACTTCGTTAAAAAAACAAAAACAAAAACAAAACAAAAACAAAAAACACACTCTGATCCTGGAATGCTCAAGGAGACTGATTTGAGTAATAATAAAACTCTGGTCTCCTACAAAAAAAAAAAAAAAAAAAAAAAAAAAAAAAAAAAAAAGGATGTTTAAGGCTCACCTCTGACACCTGGTTTTATAACTCTAAGCACGTTATTTAATCACCCAGGCTTTCTGTGGTGATTTACAAACCAAAGATTATTAGATTTCCCTAGAGTACATAATGTAAAGAATAAATAAAATGATGGCTATGAGAGTTTTTTTAAACTCGAGTAGGACAGACTACTTGTTTTGAGTTGATTTCCTAAAAACTTAAGTCATAAAAATATAACTGCAGTAATACAAATATTTTCTGCTTGTTTAAAAATGTTATTTATTTTATTATAGAAATCTTAGGAAAAATAAGCAAATCACAAAAAAACCCCAAATCTTACCACTGATAGATAATGACTGTCACATTTTCATCTATGTTCTTTTATTTTTTTAAAAAGATATAATAATTTTCTAGTTTCAGGTTCTTTTTAACACAATGTTGGGATAATATTAATAAATTTCTCTTTACTTTTTAATTACAAGTTGAGGCTGAGCCCAGGTATTGTCACGACTGGACCGGGTGTGCATGCATTTAGGGTACACCAACACACCAGCCTCGTGACACCTTGGCCCCTTCCGACTTTGGTCGCTGAGAAGCACTGGAGGGAGGTTGGCAGGGGCAGGGGGTGCTGAGGGTGGCTCAGTGCAGGCCTGCAGGCACCCCTTGGCATGAATAGCCTGAGCGTCAAGGGTGGCAGGCTGATGGCAGCAGAAGGCAGGCAGCTAATGGGTAGAAAGGGGTGGGTGCCTGGTGAGGCACAACCTTCATGCCTGGGACAGCCTGAAGCCTGGGGGTCAGGCTGCCAGTTCTGTGAACTGGAGTGAGAACTTATGGTGTTTTTTTCTGGGCCCACCCATGGCTGCCTATGGACCAATCAGAATGCACTTCCTCCCCTCTGAAGACCATAAAATCCCTGGACTCAGCCAGAAGGGCAGATGTCGGGACAACCTACCTGCAGAGAGGAGCTCCCCACTGTGGGTCTCCTCTCTGCTAAGAGCTGCACTAATCGGGATGACCTGCTTGTGGAAAGGAGCTACCCACTTCAGGTCATCTGACAGCTGTACTGTTGCCTCAAAAAGCACCTCCTTGCCTTACTCACCCTCCAGTTGTCCCTGTACCTCATTCTTCCTGTTTCAGGACAAGAACGTGAATGGTGGGACTGAAAGAGCTATAACATAAACAGGGCTGAAGCATGCCCCTTGCCTGCCACATTGTGGGTGACAAGAAAGAGAAGAGAGAAGGAGAGAAGAGCTGCAGGCCTTTGGGGAGCCCAGACCTAGGAGCTTCCCAAACCAGGGCTGTGACACACTCTTTGGGAATCTGCAGTTCCTGGTGTCTTCAAGTTTGTGGGTGCCACCACGTTTCCTGGTGCCAGCAATGGAAGCAGTTGCCTAGTCCAGCCACAGCCTTGCAGGGAGCTGGGGGCTGTGCCGGTGCCTGGAGCTGCCTGCCCTGTTGCACCCAGCGTGCATGGCTGTGCACTGCAGCCAGACCCTGTGCTTGCTTGCTCACTCACACACCCTTGGCCACTCCACACCTGGCTTGCCCTTGGCAGGTATGGATTTTGGGCAGGTAGCATGAGCCAAGCGCAGCCTGCCAGGCCAAGTGGACAGAATGATCCCAGTGGGCCCAAGCAAAACTCGGGCAAAGGTGCCACCAACCACAAAGGTTTCCAGCTGGCAAAGCAACACTCCAAGGATCCTGTAACAACGATAAAGTTTTGAACATATGTACAAGTCACTCTTCAACCAGTGCTTAGTCCACTTCTTTCATGTGTGATCTGACATCATCTCTCAAAGCTATTAAAATTTCTGAGATTAACTGGATTGAACTTTTTGAAAAGATAGCCAGAAAGTTGAAAAAATTCTATTTAAATTAACTGAAGGTATTAATTGAAAATATATGAGTTTCTTTTAAGGGAATAGTTTATATTGTTTATAGCATTTCTTTCAGCTTCTGGTAGAGAGAAAGTACCTCATAAACATTATGTTGGCTTTAACTGAATGTGTAATTTGTTTTTAAAAGAGCATTTAGATGAAATTTTGAGTTCTCAACCTAACAAAATAAAAATGAGAAATTTGTAAACAAAGCTAAGAATAACAGATTCTTGAAACAAAACAAGTAGATATAGTAGATAAATCTTATAGATAAAATAGTAGATAGGCTTGGCGTGGTGGCTCATGCCTATAATCCCAGCACTTTGGGAGGCCAAGGTGGGTGGATCACCTGAGGTCAGGAGTTCGAGACCAGCCGGTCCAACATGGTGGAACCTGGTTTGCACTAAAAATTCAAAAAAAGATAGCTGGATGTGGTGCCGTGTGCCTGCAGTCCCAGCTACTTGGGAGGCTGAGGCATGAGAATCCCTTGAACCCGGGAGGCGGAGGTTGCAGTAAGCTGAGATCATGCCACTACAATCCAGCCTGGGCGACGAAGCGACACTCTGTCTCAAAAAAAAAGTAGATATATAAAATTAACAGGATTAGCAGAGAGGTTTAGTACAAACATAATCATCCATAAATTATATTTCTTTTCACTATAAAGCTCAACACTTTTCCCTGCTTTAAGTTTTAAATACTCATGTGGATTCAAGTGTGATTTCTTCTTGGCACCTAGTAAGTAACATATGGTGTAACAAACTATTGCTTCATTGGCTTCAGTACTACCCTCATCCTTGCATCCTTGTTTTCTCCTGGATGTCTCATAAGAAAAGGTGTCAAAGTCAACACATCATTACAGTTTTTCCTCTCCCTCTGCCCCTCCCCTACTCTTCATCCTACTCCTGTCTTCTTTGTTTCAGTAGCAGCCCCATCCACACTGTTACACAATCCAGGAACCTGGATTCATCCCACTTTTTCTGGTTCTGACGCCTACATTTCAGCCAATCATCAAGTCCTGCCTGCTTTACCATCCACATATTTTTCATCCCCACCTTGTCTTCTCCACCTCTGCTGTTGCTTCCTCAATATGAGTGGTCATGATCACTTCTATTACCTTTCTCTCTCTTCTGTTAAAGAAGCCTTGGCTTCTTTAAATGTATCTTCCACACATCAACCAGAGAGCTCCATAGCACAACTCTGCTTAAATATGGTCATGGGTTGCTTAATAACAGGGACATGTTCTGAGAAATGCATTGTTAGACAATTTCATTGTTGTGCGGACATCACAGAGGGCACTTACACAAATCTAGATGGTATGGCCTACTACACACCTCCGCTGTATGAGATAGACTATTGCTCCTAGGCTACAAATCCATACAGCATGTTACTGTACTGAACACTGTAGGCAATTGTAACATAATATTTGTGTATCTAAACATAGAAAATGTACAGTAAAAATATGACATAAAAGATAAAAATACTCATCCTATCTAGGGAACTTGCCATAAATGAAACTTGTAAAACTGGAAATTGCTCTGGGTGAGTAAGTGAGTGAGTGGTGAGGAGTGACTACAAAGGCCTAGGACATTACTGTACACAACTGTAGACTTCATAAACACTGTACACTTAGGCCACACTATATTTAAAATTTTTTTCTTCAAAAATAAACAGCTTACTGTAACATTTTTATAATCCTATAAATGTTAACATTTTAGAAACTTTTAAATTTTGTTTTAACTTTTTGACTCTTCTGTAATAACATTTAGCTTAAATTACAAACACATTGTATAGATGTACAAAAATATATATCCTTATTTTATTTTAAATTTTTATTTTTATTTTTTACCTTTTAAAATTTTGTTAAAATCTAAGACACAAACAAACATGTTAGTCTAGGCTTTCACAGGGTCAGGATGATCAATATCACTGTCTTCCACCTCCACACCTTGTCCCACTGGAAGGTCTTCAGGGGCAGTAACACACGGAGCTGTCATCTCCTATGATAATAATGCCTTTTCTGGAATATTTCCTGAAGGACCTGCCTGAGGCTGCTTTACAGTTAACTTCTTTTTTATAAGTAAAAGGAGTACACTCTGAAATCATAATTAAAAAGTGTAGTGTTGTAAAAAATAAACTAGTTATATAGTTGTATATTATCATTATCAAGTATTATATAAAGTACATAATTGTATGTGATATACTTTTATATGATTGGCAGTGCAGTAAGTTTGTTTACAGCAGCATCACCACAAACACATTAGTAATGCATTGTGCTATGATGTCATGCCCACTAGGTGACAAATTTTTCAGCTCCATGATAATCTCATGGGACCACCAACATGTATGCAGTCTATCATCGACCACAACATTGTTAGGCAGTGCATGACTGTACTTCACTTGGTTTCTATCACTCAAAGAACAAAGGCCAAGCTCCTTAGTATGGTATTACCAGGAGAGTATTTATCTCAATTCATTTTCCATTTTCCCCACTTTGTATTTTACTGTTTAGAATTCAGCGAGTTTTGGTTGCCTGCATATAGTAGGGTGTTATATAGCTCTTGGCTATTGCTCAAGCTTTCTCCTTCTAACCCCCTGACTACATTTCACTTAGCTTTCATGATTGTGTGGAAAACCTTTCCTGACTCTCCACACTGGGGTGAGTACCCTCTTCTGTACTGACAGTGTACCCACTGCATGTCTTTATCCTAATACAGTGAAATAATTTCATGTGTGTTTTCTCCTCAGTTAGATTGCTGAGAGCCTCCATGAAAGGGTCAGTATCTGACAGCTTTCTAATCCAAATGCCTCACTCAGAAAGAAAAATAAATACAATGCTAAACCAAACTGAATATTAGAAAGTAAAAATTCGTAAGAGGTAGCAGGTATAAAGCCCTTCCAACATGCCAGACATTATGCTCAGAATTTTTCTATAGTATTATCTTGTTTAATTTTTATAATATCCCTGGAAAGTGGCTGCTTTTATGACCCTCATTTCACAGATGGAAAGCATGAGGCCTATGGGATTAAGTAACTGGCCCAAGGTCACACAGGCACTACGGCTACAGCCAGAATTTCACACAGAGGCTGACTCTTGGGCTTAAGGATCCAAGCAACATGCTACTAGCTGATTTACAAAATTACTTTTTGGAAATAACTAGACTAAAATTTATAAGTCTAAATATCTAGTAGCCAAAGCAAAACCTGTTTTGGTGAAGTGGATGAATTCATCACTGCTTTATGTTTATAATGAAAGGTCTTTTCACCACTAGAGATGGATAGACTTAGCCCTGCACTATTTAATTTTACTCAGTTTTATTAGCAATCAGGCTGTTCACTTTCAGTATCCCTTACTGAAATAGGTTGTTTGAATGGTAAATCCCTACTTATAGGAAGAAACAGGCAGAGGAAAAGTAAATTCTAGGATCACAACTCATGAGTTAATTTGACCCCTGCCTCAAGAGAATCTCAACTATCAAACAATAAGCAAACCATCAAATGATACCCCTCCTGGTTTCTATGAGAAGTTAAATATAAAAGAGCAGAAATAAACATAAACCTAAAAATACCTGAAGGGAATTTGCACATATGACAAACAACTAACCTACAAATGCAGAAGTTGAGCAATGTCAGGCAAGCCTTGAAAATCAATGCAATCAGGAGGTTACTTACTATAAGCAAATATAGAACATCCTTCACAAAATTTATTTCTAAGGACTTTGGGGCTTCTTTGTGACTTTATTTTAAGACTTTAGAAATGTTTCAGTAAGAATAAAAATGAAATGAAGGTGAACATTTTAAACAGATTTATATCATCACATAAGATAAATGTGGGGAAAAAAGTAGACTTCATTGTCGTAAGTCAATGTTTTCAGAAACATCTTTAATATTTCTTAAATAAAATCACAACCCAGAAATAAAAACGAGAAACAGAATTGTGACTAGGGGAAATATTAATTATATCATTAGTAAAATCGAAATTTTCCTAAAGTAGATGACACTCACATTTCCAAATAAAACTTCTCCAGACTTGTCCATTCTCCAGAAGGTCTTAAACCTGCTTTCTTTTCCTTCCTTCCTTCCTTCCTTTTCTCTTTTTTTTTTTTTTTTTTGAGAAAGGATACAGTGTCATGAGAAGGTCTTAAACCTGTTTTCTTTTCCTTCCTTCCTTCCATCTTTATCTTTCTTTTTTTTTTTTTTGAAAAAGGATGCAGTGTCACGATTATGGCTCACTGCAACCTTGATTGAACTCCTGGTCTCAAACAATCCTTCCACCTTGGCCTCCAGAGTAGCTGGGACTAGAGGCATGTGCCACCATACCCAGCTAATTTATTTTTTTAATTTTGTCTGTAGAGACAGGGTCTTGCTGCTATGTTGCCCAGGCTGGTATCAAACACCTGGCCTCAAGCAATCCTCCCACCTTGGCTTCCCAAAGTGCTGGGATTACAGCTATGAGCCATTGCACTCAGCCTTAAACCTGTTTTCTATTATAACAAAACTTAAATATAAGGAAATATTACAGTTTTCATAAAGATCCACACAGTACTTTGAGGAGTGCAAAAACAACTAGATTTGAGGTTCTAAAGGTCTTATGAACTTGGGATATGGCACTAATGTGACAAAAAGCTTCTAAGTATACGATCTTGCAAGCTAATCTGCATGTCATGAAACAGGAAGTTTCACAAACCAAATTGAAATGCTTACATCACACAGCTTATTGAGTCAATCTTAAACACACAACAAAAATCAACAGGAAAGAGATAGGTAAATTAATACACTTTGCACAGGGTATAAGCACTTACTGAATCCTACTTAAGCCACATGCATTTGTCCTGAATTCCTCATGAACATTTTGTGCCTAAGTCCTTCTGGATTAGTTTGCTAGAGCTGCCATAACTGGGTACCATGAATTATGTGGCTTCAACAACAGAAGTTTACTGTTTCAAAGTTTTGGAGACTAGAAGTCTGAAGTCAATATGTCCACAGCATTGATTCCTGCTCAGAGCTTTCAAGGAGAATCTATCCCACATCTCCATCCTAGCATCTGGTGGTCTGCTTGCAATCTTTTGCATTCCTTGGCTTCTGCTACATCACCCCAATCTCTGTCTTCATCTTCACATGCCGTTATCCCTCTGTGCATGTCTGTGTCCAAATTTCTTTTTTTATAAGGACACCAAGTCATATTGGATTAGGAGCTCACCCTACTCCAGTATGATGTCATCTTAACCATTTACATCTGCAACACCACTAATTCTAAACAAGGTCACATTCTGTGATACTGGGGGTTAAGACCCCAATATATGAATTTGGGGGACACAATTCAACCCATAATACCTTCCATTCCTTCTTTATTTATTTATTTATTTATTTTTTTATTGATCATTCTTGGGTGTTTCTCGCAGAGGGGGATTTGGCAGGGTCACAGGACAATAGTGGAGGGAAGGTCAGCAGATAAACAAGTGAACAAAGGTCTCTGGTTTTCCTAGGCAGAGGACCCTGCGGCCTTCCGCAGTGTTTGTGTCCCTGGGTACTTGAGATTAGGGAGTGGTGATGACTCTTAAGGAGCATGCTGCCTTCAAGCCTCTGTTTAACAAAGCACATCTTGCACCGCCCTTAATCCATTTAACCCTGAGTGGACACAGCACATGTTTCAGAGAGCACAGGGTTGGGGGTAAGGTCACAGATCAACAGGATCCCAAGGCAGAAGAATTTTTCTTAGTACAGAACAAAATGAAAAGTCTCCCATGTCTACCTCTTTCTACACAGACACGGCAACCATCCGATTTCTCAATCTTTTCCCCACCTTTCCCCCCTTTCTATTCCACAAAACTGCCATTGTCATCATGGCCCGTTCTCAATGAGCTGTTGGGTACACCTCCCAGACGGGGTGGTGGCCGGGCAGAGGGGCTCCTCACTTCCCAGTAGGGGCGGCCGGGCAGAGGCGGCCCTCACGTCCCGGACGGGGTGGCTGGCCGGGCGGGTGGCTGACCCCCCCACCTCCCTCCTGGACAGGGCGGCTGGCTGGGCGGGGGGCTGACCCCCCCACCTCCCTCCCGGTCGGGGCGGCTGGCCGGGCGGGGGGCTGACCCCCCCACCTCCCTCCTGGACGGGGCGGGCGGCCAGGCAGAGGGGCTCCTCACTTCCCAGTAGGGGCGGCCGGGCAGAGGTGCCCCTCACCTCCCAGAGGGGGCGGCTGGCCGGGCGGGGGGCTGACCCCCCAACCTCCCTCCCGGACGGGGTGGCTGCCGGGCGGAGACGCTCCTCACTTCCCAGACGGGGTGGCTGCCGGGCGGAGAGGCTCCTCACTTCTCAGACGGGGCAGCTGCTGGGCGGAGGGGCTCCTCACTTCTCAGACAGGGCGGTTGCCAGGCAGAGGGTCTCCTCACTTCTCAGACGGGGCGGCCGGGCAGAGACGCTCCTCACATCCCGGACGGGGCGACAGGGCAGAGGCACTCCCCACATCTCAGACGATGGGCGGCCGGGCAGAGACGCTCCTCACTTCCTAGATGGGATGGCAGCCGGGAAGAGGCGCTCCTCACTTCCTAGATGGGATGGCGGCTGGGCAGAGATGCTCCTCACTTTCCAGACTGGGCAGCCAGGCAGAGGGGCTCCTCGCATCCCAGACGATGGGCGGCCAGGCAGAGACGCTCCTCACTTCCCAGACGGGGTGGCGGCCGGGCAGAGGCTGCAATCTCGGCACTTTGGGAGGCCAAGGCAGGCTGCTGGGAGGTGGATGTTGTAGCGAGCCGAGATCACACCACTGCACTCCAGCCTGGGCACCATTGAGCACTGAGTGAAGGAGACTCCGTCTGCAATCCGGGCACCTCGGGAGGCGGAGGCTGGCGGATCACTCGCGGTTAGGAGCTGGAGACCAGCCCGGCCAACACAGGGAAACCCCGTCTCCACCCAAAAAATATGAAAACCAGTCAGGCGTGGCGACGCGCGCCTGCAATCGCAGGCACTGGGCAGGCTGAGGCAGGAGAATCAGGCAGGGAGGTTGCAGTGAGCCGAGATGGCAGCAGTACAGTCCAGCTTCTGCTCGGCATCAGAGGGAGACCATGGAAAGAGGGGAGAGGGAGAGGGAGACGGAGAGGGAGACGGAGAGGGAGAGGGAGAGGGAGAGGGACCATTCCTTCTTATTTATATGTGTTACTTTCTTTCTGTCAATATATCTCACAAGCTACATACTTCTATAATCCATTTCACCTACCTTATTAATTTCTCTTATTTTCAATGGATAAAATAGAATATTCTTAAATAATGCAGCAAATTAACACCACTGGGCCAAATGTTTTCATCTAAAAAATAACACAAACAGATAAGAACCCACTGACATACAGCTTTTCTGTGGTACAGCCACATATATGAAAATCCTGCCCTTGAATTCCAATTACCCAGAAAATCTTTATTCATCATTACAGAATGATCTAGCTCTTCTATCAAAGGTAACACTACTCACCTATTCCCAGAGGCAGGATGCTAAATGATAGCAGGTTTCATATCCATAAAATCTCAAAGTCTTGTGAGGCTCAAAAGCCTATTTAGTAAATGAAAAGAAGGAAGCAAGATTGAGAGAAGAGAGATGTTTTTATCAGTGCTTTGCAAATACTGAAGAATAACATGTTTCCTGTGGGTTTCCAGGCTTAGCATCTATTCTGATTTTGTTAGACTTGATTCTTAATATAGTAGAAACCGTGACAAGCTATAAAATCTCTGCAGTACCTAAAGAATAGTTCTCACTAAAGATAAAAGACTACAAGGAATAATAAAAACGATAATTCATAGCATTTTCTAATTCTCCAATATTTGAAAATCCATAGCATAGGGGCAAAAAAGAAATAAGGTGTTAATTTTTTACAGTACAGAGTCTAAAGTTATATATAAAGATAAATACAAAGGCCAGAGATTGTTCTAGAAAAATGCTACTAGAAATATAACCTTTTCTTTCTACATTTCTATCTGTATCTCTTTCCTCTGTTCTGGAAATCTTCCTAAATACTCCTACCTATATTTGTTAAATTTGTAAAGACAATAATTAGTAGCTAGCTTATTAACTGCTAAGGGTTTAAGTCACTTCTTATCATGTTTGCATGGATGCTGGGTTTCATGGAGATACTGGAATTGATTTAGCAGATCTAGGGCTGTGCAAAGACCGTCAAATTTTAACAGACTTCTGCAGGTGATCCTGATGCTCATCCAACTTGAGAAGCCCTAGTTTATTTTTTTAGCAGCTAATGCAATAATTTGAAATCATGTAAATAAAAAAGTACTCCCACAAGCCACAAGACTCACACTGTTCTCCAGAACACTGTTTTCCAGGATGGAGGTCTCTAAAATTTTTGCTCATGATTCTATTGTTAAAACACCTTTGAATATAAACTGAAAAAAAATGTGATTTGACCTATTTATAAATAATATAGTTGTAATACTCTATACACACAATTTAGTATTATAGAACATACAGGAAGGGGCCAGGCATGGTGGCCAATGCCTGTAACCCCAGAAATTTGGGATGCCGAGGTGGGTGGAGCACTTGAGGTCAGGAGTTCGAGACCAGCCTAGCCAATATGAGGAAACTCTGTTTCTACTAAAAATACAAAAATTAACTCGCTGTGGTGATGTGCACCTGTAGTCCCAACTACTCAGGAGGCTGAGGCAGGAGAATCACTTGGATCCATGAGGCATAGGCTGCAATGAGCCGAGATCACGCCACTGCACTCCAGCCTCGGTGACAGAGTGAGACTCCATCAAAAACAAACAAACAAACAAAAAACATAGAGGAAGGGTAAATTTAACAGTGAGATAAAATGAATTAACTCAACAGTGTATGGGTCATTCTGACCACATTGAAAAGTGGGTACCTTCCACTTTGGGGTTCCCTCCACATGTATTTATTGAGAGGGAACATATTGAGAGAGAGTTCGCTTTTCCTGCCACTCTCCACAGTCTTTTAATTATGCCACCTTATGTTTCAAAAGCACTTTACAGTTTACAGAACATTTTTATACCCAGGATCTTATTTGATGCTGAAACACCCTATGACATAGGCTTAATTAATATGAATAACCTTTCATAGATGAAGATACTAAGATCCATCCAGGACATTTTCAAAGGCACTTGTGTAAAAATGGGGAAACTAAGACTGAAATCTCTTTTGCTTCAAAATTGACTACTTTATAATTCAAGGCTTAGTGGTAAGCCATATGATTGTGTCTACCTTCTCTTCTACTCTAAGGCAAAGAACAATAAATGGTTGCATTTTTACTATGCTTATTTAGGGATAAATACAGTTGCCTGCTGGAATTATATGTGTCACAAGATGTGGTAAGAATAAAATAAAATGTTATATGCCAGTAAAAAATATATACCTCTATGTATTATAATATCTGTACTGTAGTGTAGTGGTTCTCAACCTGGGATGATTTCTCTTGAGAAAGGTTTGGCCACATGTGGAGCCTGTTTTTGGCCCAAACTGGTTAGTATAGGGAACAGCGGCTACTGACACCTAATTGTTAAGGGTCTGGGATGCTAGTAAACATCCTACCATCTTAAAACACACAGGACAACTCCCACCACAAAAATTACCCGACACCGAATGTCAACAGTGCTAAGACTGAGAAACCATGCTGTCATGCGTCTACTTGTTTTAGTTATGAATCACTCTCTAAGTGACTGATGAAACCTGTGCTGTCACCCCAGCACCAGCACATACACACCAAATACTGCACGCTCTTTTACAGTGTTTATTGACTTGCTGAAACATACTCACAGATCACAGGGTGAGAACCCTAGATCTACAGAGTGTAGCAAACAATAGGTCCCAAAGACTTCCATTGAATTGACTTTGTTTTTATAGCCCCTCAGAGAAGTCAATCACTGTAAGACATGTTCTGGCACTCCTGTTATTAAACTAGAAAGTCAGAAGTTCATATGCAGCCAATGATCTGAATGCATCAATGCTTTGAGGGATATTAAAGTCATTCATAACCTAGTAAAGTAATACTTGTACATTTTAATTGAGAAGCGGTTCATTTAATCTCACTCCTCAAGATATTTTTAATTATAAAAAAAGGCCACTAATCTCAAAGTGGAATTTGTGGGTTATTTTATTTCCTCTAGCCCTTTTGAGAGAGATTAGAGGATTTGTTTCATAAAGCATATCACGTAGTGATTAAGAGGGCCCCTAGTGGATTATAATATTTTATCACATAAGAATGAGAATGAATACTCCATTAAAGTCTTGTCACCTGACTTTCTGAATTTAAGAGTCAGGAGGAAATTATGAAATAGGCACTTGTCTTCAGTAACTTTTACAGCCTTTTTCTCTCCTTTCCTTTGGGGTCAAAATTCCCTCTGCCCAGTTTCCTTATTCTTTCTTGATCAAAATGTGTCAGTTATATATACAGACCATGAATTCAACCAATATGTCCTTTTCTCAGTATACATTGTTCAAAGGTAAAAAAAATCATGGAATGGAAGTTGTTTCTATGTTTCCACTATTAAGTGTTTTAAGCCTAAAGAATAAGGTGAAGCTCAGTGTGCTGGCACGTGCCTGTAGTTCCAGCTACTTGGGAGGTTAAGGTGGTAGGATAGCTAGAGCCCAGGAGTTCGAGGCTTCAGTGAGCTATGATCACGCCACTGCAATTCAGCCTGGGCAACAGAGCTAGAACTCTAAGAAAAACAAACAAACAAAAAACAGGGTGAATAAATATTTAGGGAACAAGAGATTCTTAGGCCATGTCGTCTAACAGCATACAATAATGGTTTTGCCAAAGAAATATTGATTCAAAAAATATTTTATATAACTTTCAACACAGGTTAAATTTTACAATATCATCTATATAGACTGATCACATTTTATCTTAGCTAAAATAAATCAGTTAAAACAATTATTTTATTAATATCTATTCAATGTGCTATATACAGACTTTATATGTTTTAAAATTATTGTCTTCTTTTTCTCAGTAATAGAAATTTAATTTTACGTCTCCTGTGCTATTTGGATTAAAAGCATGGAATTTTCTGCATATGTATTTAAACTTAACAAATATCTTTGAAGGCCTGTTATCTGTAGGATCTTAAAATATTAAAATACTCCAAATTCTAAGCAAATTCTAGACCATAACTCATTCAAAAACAAACATAAAGCATTAAAAAAGGCAGAATTGTATTCAAACTGTAAACAGAATTATTCTATGTTGCTTAAAAATACGGTTACCCAAGTCTCTCCCGTGACATAAAGACGGAGAAAGATATATTCAATGTGCAAGCAGGTCAGGGAGGAGGCCAACAAGTCCTCTTCTAAAACAAACAAACAAAACTCTCAGCCCTAGGGATCATCAAGCTCTTTTTAGATTTCCAAGCCAAGCTTGCAATTGTGTTGGGCAACACTATAATGAATCTAACACAATTCTCTCCCTTTCATGGTACTCATTACAGTCAGCATTACAAAACAAAATTAAGGTTTTAGGGAAGCTATTTCACAGTGTCCCAGTGTGCAAACCAAATCAACATAACCCAACCATAGATTTGTTTCTTAAGTCTATAATTCTTTACCACAGCAGAAGGTTCATTCCAAATGTGAAATTTCATTCCAAATGATGGTCTAACAAAATTCCAAATATCACTAGCCAAAAGAAGTAATTATTTCTTTTTCCAAACCCAGACTTTTCACTAACATTATTATATATTCCTCCCCAAATACCTCCATATTTATGCAACTACACTTTTGATTTCAGGTATTTTCATTAATAACGACCCACACTCACTTTTCTCCCCTAGTGGACAAATATCCAAAGAATACCTCTGCAGAGCAAGGCCACCTGCCACAGGACCATCATGTATACCATGGCATACCATTGTGAATCTGTCTGGAGACTTTGTCATCAGCTTTTTACCTTCATTCATCAACGCCCCTCAAATATTAGCCAAATAGATAAACTTAATGGTAGACCAGTTACAGTTGTCCCTTCCCATAGTGGATACTTAGAGGCTCTTTCTCTGGTTTGATTGCCTTTTCTTGTTCCATGAACTGTACTTCCTTTTTATACTCCGGATGAGTGAGGTAGAGAGAAAGTGTTAAAAGTTTGAGTAAATCTTGACACTATAACTACCTAATAGACAAGAAAAAACATTAAATATAAAATCCTACTTGAAACTTGACATCCATGCCCACGGCCAGCTATATAATTGGTGGCTCCCAGTGAAAAATGGAAATGCTTGGTTTCTTATTCAGAAAGCAAGAAAAAGTGCCATTAAGTGTACTGAAATATCAAACGTGTTCCTTTCTTCTTCTGCCTCTCAAGCTTTCATGGTGTTTTCTATTTGTTGCTGGGAGAGTGTAGATCCTCACAGGCACACTTGGGGCCCCATCTTGCAACTCAGTTCATGTGTGCACACAGTCTACCCTTTCTCACTAGGGGTCAAACCAAAGTGCTGTGCCCTGGCTGGTGACAGGGAAGTCCATTTCCTTTTCTCCTTAGCTGCTGCTCAAAGTACACCAGGCAAATGATCCTCAAAAAAATTGCAACCTCTAAGCCAAGATGCCCTGACTACCTGCATAAGTACGTAAGAGATTGGCACCATGCTGTGACCATGGTCAACCAGCCTGACCATGTCCATTCCCACTACCTCATAAACTTTCAGTGCCAGGTCTACCAAATATAGGCCTAAGGAAAGTTTTGGGACTTATCTGTTAACACAGGGCTCCATAAAGGTAAATGAGAGAGAATGGCTTTTAGATTACAAAAGTCCCTACTTGAGCTTAGCTTTATTGCAGTTATTCCTGCCAGTCTTGCTGACTTACATTCTACTGGGATCTGTTCTGTCTGGTGTTTGGAACATCCTACAGAAAAATGGAAAGAAAAAAAGAACGGCACAGTTGGCTAAAAAAGTATCATACATATCACACTGATGGATAATGTATTGCCACCATAATGTATGACACAACACATAACAATTATTGACATATTGGATAATGTGTTTAATACCTTTAGGTAATTCACCAACCCTTGGACTGAATGCTCTGTTTACACAAACATTTTAGCTAAAGGGTAAAAACACTTTTTAAGTTACTTTTTTTAATGTTGAGCAAAACAATCCACAGGTCACTTGCTGCTTTTGTTTTAGGATCCCTCAGAATTAGGCATGAGTTAGACTGTACATTATTTATTTAATTGCTTTGGAATGGACATTTCTGAACAACAAGGGAGAAGGTGAAAATGTGTGTGTGTGAGAGAGAGAGAAAGAGAGATAGAAAGGGTATACCACCTTTTTTTTTTTTTTTTTTTTTTTGAGATGGAGTTTTGCTCTCTCACCCAGGCTGGAGTGCAATGGCCACTGTGCCCGGCCCCACCTTTTTAAAAAAATTAACAAAAATTCCATATAACTGTAGTGTAAATTACACTGTTTCAATATATGTATACATTGTGGAATGACTACATCAAGGTGATTAACACATTCATTACCTTATATACTTATTTTTTGTAATGATAACATTTTTTTTGCTAGTGAAACAGTGTTTATTGACCACATTGGCATTTCAGATGGGTTACGGATTGGCTGGAAGAGAGCTTAGTTTAACCATTCTTTTTTTAAAAAAAAAAATTTATTTCTTCTAAAAAAAAAAAGGGGGGGGAGGGTACATGTGCAGATGTGCAGGTTTGTTACATAGGTATACATGTGCCACGGTGGTTTGTTGCGCCTATTGACACATCCTCTAAGTACCCTCCCCTCACTCTCCGTCCCCCAACAGGCCCTGTTGTGTGTTGTTCCCCTCTCTGTGTTCATGTGTTCTTAATGTGTGAGAACACTTCATATCTATTCTCTTAGCAATTCTTAAGTATGGAATGCATTATTAACTATGATCACTATATTGTACAATAGATCTACTGAACTTATTCCTTCTAACTGAAATTTTGTATCCTCCAACCAGTATCTCCTGAAACCCCTCCCTATCACATCCCTCGGTCACTACCATTCTACTCTCTGTTTCTATGATTTGGACTTTTTAAGATTCCACATGTAAGTGAGATTATGCAGTATTCGTCTTTCTGTGCCTGGCATATTTCACTTAACATAATGTCTTCCAGGGTTATCCATGTTGTCTCCTCCCCCATTTATTTCTTGCAAACATCCATTCAAATTGCTATTGCACTTTCTGCAATTTCTGACTGCAAGAATTCCCAATCAAAAATTCAGCTTAACATATCAGCAAAAGATATAATTTAGTTTAGAAACCACTATTATTCTGTTTCTATAAAGTTATAAACCTAAAAGTACCTCTTGAAGTCAAAATCAAAGCATTAGAAAGTAAGATCTAAGAATGAATTTGTGTAAATGATGGATGCCTTATTGACTGAGTCCCCACACACTTGCAGAGCGCTTTCAGTGAAAACAAAAGAGAGACTAGGAAAGCTGGAGACACTTCTAATTCTTAAAGGAACTAGATTTTAATTCTGAGAGATATTTGGTAAATAAATAATGTATCAATAACAGATATTAAAGAAAATGATAGAATGGGAGACAGAACAAAAAATAACTTCAATATTTTATAACTAGTAAGTGAATTGTAACAAGAAACAACAGGAAGCAGTAAGTGGGAGGAAATTATGAGTTCAGTACCAACATATTAATTTAGGCAGAAAAGGAACTAACAATGAAGGTTATTTGGCGGTTACTGAAAAAGGAAACTTGAAAAGAACATAAGATATAATAACTAGAGTTGCTACTTTAGGTATGCCATAAGTACAAGAAGGTAGCTGAACCATGGAAGTCTCCACTCATAGTGGAGAGGAACATTAGAGCTGAAGGTTTAACAGGAGCAACTCCAAGCCTGATGATGGAAGGAATGAAAAGGAGCCAAAAGACTTAAAGAAACACAAATAGTGTAAAAGTGAATGCACTGGAGAGGGTTTGATCAACAAGTGGGAAACATTAGAATAGAACTGATAGAGTTCTGAACAGAGAAAAGCAACAGATTTAGAGCTAAGTCTGCATTTTGCGTTTGATTCCAACTTCTATTCTAGAAACTCCAATCTCGCTTGATTGAGCTAAATATGTGAAATATAATGACAAAAAAAGCGTCAAAAATCAAATATGGAGTCCTTCTCTCTGTGAATTTCCTAGTATTAATAGTTCACTGATATTTACTATTTGGAGAAATAATAAGTATTACTAAAAAACACATAAAATAGGAAAAAGTATGTCTAGTATTTGGCAGTTTTTTTCTATTTCATAATATTTGCAAACCTGAGCTTACACAGAAAAAAGGTTTTTTAACTAAAAGTGGATGTTATAAATTCATTAATATATAAAATGTAATAATGTTATATTTCTTATTATGATAATTCTCAAATTATCATTTTTCTGTTACTTTTTATGTTAACCACAGGGGATAGGTTGAAGAAAATACAGACCACTCCAGCCCACGGAAAGAGCCTGCTTTTTAATTAATATTTTAGATCTTTGGTTTTCAAATATAATTAATAATTCAGCAGATTGATGTCTTACCACTGTTCTAGAAATTGCCCCATGGAAACCTAAATTACCTTACCTGCTATTTCAAGCACCTTGACTTAACTTTTTTTTTATATTCCTTATATGTTCATGCTTCTCTTAGTTCTTGGCATTCACACCTGCAATTACATTCTGCATGCTGCCTGTAATTATCTTGCTGCTATCAGAGTCTGCATGGTTTCCCACGTTTCAGATCCACACAAGCATACTTATGATCATAATTACAGTCCTGTATTTTTGTTCAGCAATTTTAAAACCTTCTTGCTTTTAAAGCAACAAATCTTCTGTAAACAGAGCTTCTGGAACATACCCTACATAAGTGACTATCTTTTGGAATTTTTGAACCTCTTTGAAAACTGGATAAATGCCTGTTTTCCCTAGTAAAACACACACACACACACACACACACACACACACACACACACACACAGTTTTCATACAAATTTAGAGTGTTTACTTATCCCCTGAAGTCTTTCCTTATTTCATCTAGGGACCACAGGCTATTACAAAATCTACTGCATTAGATGTTTTCCAAGTAGAAAAAACAAACACACTCGCCTTTCCTCGCATTATGAGAATTTTCATAGCAATACAAAGTGTCTTTTTAGAAAAGACTCCCCTCCACATAGCATCCCTCACTCAGTCTTACTGCTATATTTTAACACCATTAGATTGAAGGAAGTTTACAGGATGTTCCATTCTCTTTCTTATCTTTGTGCCATTTCCTAATGCTCAATGTGTCTTCTGCCCCCTTTACTCTTTAAGGAAATAATACCTCTCCTCTCCCAGTATCACCAATAATCTTCATGATCTCACATTTAATAAGTGTCTTTTGGCTCTTTATTTTACTTGACTCTGCAGTAGCATTCTATGCTGTTGTGAATCACCTGAAGTCTGAGCTACTATTCTTTCTTAGCTTCCATAATCTCCTGCTTTGTTGTTTTATGTTCCATATCAGCTGCTTCTCTACTTCTATATAATTTCATTTTCTTCACCTCGAGTAATACATGTAGTATTATTTCCCAAGATTGTTCACAGTTCTGCTTATCTTACTACTCCACATTCTCTCCGTAAACAATCCATGCCTATCAGAGCTTCAGCTGCAATCCACACACTGATGACTCCCATCATATTATGCAACCAATCTTGACGTCTCCTGAGCTGCATATGCATATATCCAAATTCCTCCCTAGTATTTTCTTCTGCATGTCTAAATTAGTTATTAAGTCCAACTCAATGAATGATCTTTTAGCCCTAAACCTAATCTTTTTTCAGCTATCTCAGGGCAGTGAATGCACTTCATAAACTAAAAAGCTAAGAGATTCTTGGGACCTTGTTATCTTACCCTCCGTTCCACAGAATGCAGACACTAGAGCAATGCTGTATATGTTACTGCTTCATCAGCAAGGACAAATCACATGGAGCTGCAGTTAAGAAAGGGAAAGAGATGGAGAACCAATATGAGAATGCATTAATTGCTCCATCTCCCAGACAACTCTCACTAGTAACCACATAAATTGCATTTCAAGAGAGTTCATGCAAAAGGAAAAAAGAGGAAGAATTTATTCACATCTAATTTTCCATGAGTCAAAAACACTAAACCTCTAATCAAGCTGAGACTAATTTTGGAGGGCTGAGAAACACAAATTTACCTCTTGGGTCACTGGAATGATGGTGAGAACCACTTCTACCTCTACTCCTTGATTCCCAGATCTGAGTACTTCAGCTGTTGCAGACAGAACGTTATATATTATCTGCCAGTTTCTTACATAACTTCACTGGGGATTGTCCCCAACCTCGCACCTTAATTGAGACAAGCCACTCAGGGCTGCCTCTGGACATAGGGACATAGTAATAAGATGTGGATCTTATGGACATGGACTCACTGTCACATTGCCATTGTCACAAAACATGTTCATTGCTCTGACACACTGTTGTTTGGGCTGAAAAGGTTAATAGATTATTATTCTATGAGCTTTTTGATAAAGCTCAGAGACTGAAGACACAAATAGACAATGGCCAAACCATAACAAAAAACAGTACTCTAATTCACAGACTGAAGATGCCAGTCTGGTGAAGTCAAACCATAACCTCTGTAGCAACTAGCCCAAAATGTTTAAGACTTAATCAATAACTATCAGATTCCCTAATTTTGCCTCTATTTTCTTATCAGAATGAACTAGAGAAGCTAAATATGCTCCACCAACCAATCACATAAGATGCCTGCGTCTAGTTAGCCTGCCTTCCACTTCCCATTCCAACAGCCTCCAATCAGGATATACCTGAAGCCTTCCCTTTATTCCACCAGAAATTGTTTTCATTACCCTCCCTGCCCTTAATTATTAGCCAAACTCAATTTAAGCTGGCTGGTTGGCTTGCTATAGCAAGCTCTGAAGGGTGGCCTTTGCTATTTATTCTAATTATTGATCAGAGGGTGATCTTGGAGACTCACAAATAGCAATCTGTTCATATGCATTTCTCCTAGCTTGACTATGACCTCTTCCAGGAAATAAGCCTTATTTAATTTTATTTTTAATCCTTGCTTGTTAAAAATACACATGTGATCTACATTTGTATGAGGGAAAGCATAAAATGAAGAGAAAGTAGAGTAGTATTCACTTACAATAGCAAAAATATTAGTGAGAATCAGAAATGGAACTTGGAGAAGCAGGATAAATGTATGATTATGAAAATTTATGGACATAAAATAATATTCTCAAAAATAAACTCAAAGTTGTAATAGCGAACTAAATAAAGCTCCATGGTAAAGAAGAATAAAATGGAATTTCGAGAACACTGATGACAAATGGAAGCACAGAGCTCATTTACCATGGAAACTTGTAAACATCTCCATATTTATGAACCAGTTTACCACAGAGAGTATGATTTTATCAAAAGATGAAGACAGGCCTTGGCACCAGGTGGAATTGGTTTTAATTTTTACTCTGACACCACAATTAAACTACTTTTACCTCTGGTAATTTAAGGAAATACTTTACTGGTATTAACATGGCTTTATGTTTAACTAGAAGTATGGTTTACTACAGGCCAATTAATAAACAGAAACTGTAACTCAACACATCGCTTGCTTAATAACTTAAAACATACTGCTAAACCTTCTCAGGTCTTCAGTATTCTCATATGAAAAGTATGCATTTGCCTCATGGAGTTATCACAAGAATAAACATTTTATAATAAATGTAAAACACCTACAATCTACTTTACCTGGCAGGCACTTAATGTTAGTTTTTACCTCCACAAAGACACCAATTAGAGAGACAATTCAATGTACCTACCCATTATTTTTGAGGTAAGCCCTATAAACTCCAAGTAGCTCTCAGCTAAGACTGTTAAAAATTATCACCAAAATAAGTTCTCCTTTCTTGGGCACAATTAAATACCAACTATCAGGTAATTGTTCTTCAAATATCAGTAAAGGTATATAATTTGCAGCCTATTCTTGCAGTACATAAACTTGGTAGGGAGAATACTAAATGGAATATACTTTTTCATTGACATCATTTACATACAGATGTTTTCCTTCCCAGGTCCAATTGTTTGTTTGTTGGTTTTGAGAGCCATAATCTTTTTTTTTTTCTACCCCCACGAGATGAAGTCCCACTCTGTTGCTCAGGCTGGAGTGCAATGGCACCATCTCAGCTCCCTGCAACCTCTGCCTTCCGGGTTCAAGCGATTCTCCTGTCTCAGCCTCCTGAATAGCTGGGATTAGAGCACACACCATCATGCCCGGCTAATTTTTGTATTTTTAGTAGAGACAGGGTTTTACCATGTTGGCCAGGCTGGTCTTGAACTCCTGACCTCAGGTGATTTGCCCGCCTTGGTCTCCGAAAGTGCTGGGATTACAGGCGTGAGCCACCGTGCCCAGCCAAGAGCCACAATCTTTAGCCTAAATAAATGTTGACAACATGTTCGTGATTGACTTCAAAGTGTTTAGTAATAATTATCATCATAAGATTTCCATAGTTGTTACTGTCAAAACCCCTTCACTTTCTGCCTGGCAGGTAGAAGAGTTTGCATTTAGAGCAGAGGTACTGGTGACTAGCTCAAATGAAAAGGCAGAGAGAGCACACAGCATGCAAGGCCTCTGAGCCATTCCTTCAGTTCCGTATCTTCTGGCTCTAACGTTATTTCTATTTGGTAATTCAACAAGAAAACTATTCATGGTGAAGCAGGAGCTGATGTGATCAACTGGAAGAAAGGGTATCAGTGATGGAAGATGAAATGAATGAAATGAAGCGAGAAGGGAAGTTTAGAGAAAAAAGAATAAAAAGAAACGAACAAAGCCCCCAAGAAATATGGGACTATGTGAAAAGACCAAATCTACGTCTGATTGGTGTACCCGAAAGTGACGGGGAGAATGGAACCAAGCTGGAAAACACTCTGCAGGATACTATCCAGGAGAACTTCCCCAGTCTAGCAAGGCAGGCCAACGTTCAGATTCAGGAAATACAGAGAAGACCACAAAGATACTCCTCGAGAAGAGCAACTCCAAGACACATAATTGTCAGATTCACCAAAGTTGAAATGAAGGAAAAAATGTTAAGGGCAGCCAGAGAGAAAGGTCGGGTTACCCACAAAGGGAAGCCCATCAGACTAGCAGCGGATCTCTCGGCAGAAACTCTACAAGCCAGAAGAGAGTGGGGGCCAATATTCAACATTCTTAAAGAAAAGAATTTTCAACCCAGAATTTCATATCCAGCCAAACTAAGCTTCACAAGTGAAAGAGAAATAAAATACTCTACAGACAAGCAAATGCTGAGAGATTCTGTCACCACCAGGCCTGACCTAAAAGAACTCCTAAAGGAAGCACTAAACATGGAAAGGAACAACCGGTACCAGCCGCTGCAAAATCATACCAAAATGTAAAGACCATCGAGACTAGGAAGAAACTGCATCAACTAACGAGCAAAATAACCAGCTAACGTCATAATGACAGGATCAAATTCACATATAACAATATTAACTTTAAATGTAAATGGACTAAATGCTCCAATTAAAAGACACAGACTGGCAAATTGGATAAAGAGTCAAGACCCATCAGTGTGGTGTATTCAGGAAACCCATCTCACGTGCAGAGACACACATAGGCTCAGAATAAAAGGATGGAGGAAGATCTACCAAGCAAATGGAAAACAAAAAAAGGGAGGGGTTGCAATCCTAGCCAACATTAGACAGATCAATGAGACAGAAACTTAACAAGGATACCCAGGAATTGAACTCAGCTCTGCACCAAGCGGACCTAATAGACATCTACAGAACTCTCCACCCCAAATCAACAGAATATACATTTTTTTCAGCACCACACCACACCTATTCCAAAATTGACCACACAGTTGGAAGTAAAGCTCTCCTCGGCAAATGTAAAAGAACAGAAATTATAACAAACTGTCTCTCACACCACAGTGCAATCAAACTAGAACTCACGATTAAGAAACTAATTCAAAACCGCTCAACTACATGGAAACTGAACAACCTGCTCCTGAATGACTACTGGGTACATAACGAAATGAAGGCAGAAATAAAGATGTTCTTTGAAACCAACGAGAACAAAGACACAACATACCAGAATCTCTGGGACACATTCAAAGTGTAGAGGGAAATTTATAGCACTAAATGCCCACAAGAGAAAGCAAGAAAGATCCAAAATTGACACCCTAACATCACAATTAAAAGAACTAGAAAAGCAAGAGCGAACACATTCAAAAGCTAGCAGAAGGCAAGAAATAACTAAAATCAGAGCAGAACTGAAGGAAATACAGACACAAAAAACCCTACAAAAAAATTAATGAATCCAGGAACTGGTTTTTTGAAAGGATCAACAAAATTGATAGACCACTAGCAAGACTAATAAAGAAGAAAAGAGAGAAGAATCAAATAGACGCAATAAAAAATGATAAAGGGGATATCACCACAGATCCCAAAGAAATACAAACTACCATCAGAGAATACTACAAACACCTCTAGGCAAACAAACTAGAAAATCTAGAAGAAATGGATAAATTCCTCGACACATACACTCTCCCAAGACTAAACCAGGAAGAAGTTGAATCTCTGAATAGACCAATAAGAGGAACTGAAATTGTGGCAACAATCAATAGCTTACCAACCAAAAAGAGTTCAGGACCAGATGGATTCACAGCTGAATTCTACCAGAGGTACAAGCAGGAACTGGTACCATTCCTTCTGAAACTATTCCAATCAATAGAAAAAGAGGGAATCCTCCCTAACTCATTTTATGAGGCCAGCATCATCCTGACACCAAAGCCGGGCAGAGACACAACCAAAAAAAGAGAATTTTAGACCAATATCCTTGATGAACACTGATGCAAAAATCCTCAATAAAATACTGGCAAACTGAATCCAGCAGCACATCAAAAAGCTTATCCACCATGATCAAGTGGGCTTCATCCCTGGGATGCAAGGCTGGTTCAACATACGCAAATCGAGAAATGTAATCCAGCATATAAACAGAACCAAAGACAAAAACCACATGATTATCTCAATAGATGCAGAAAAGGCCTTTGACAAAATTCAACAACGCTTCATGCTAAAAACTCTCAATAAATTAGGTATTGATGGGACGTATCTCAAAATAGTAAGAGCTATTTATGACAAACCCACAGCCAATATCATACTGAATGGGCAAAAACTGGAAGCATTCCCTTTGAAAACTGGCACAAGACAGGGATGCCCTCTCTCACCACTCCTATTCAACATAGTGTTGGAAGTTCTGGCCAGGGCAATTAGGCAGGAGAAGGAAATAAAGGGTATTCAATTAGGAAAAGAGGAAGTCAAATTGTCCCTGTTTGCAGACGACATGATTGTATATCTAGAAAACCCCATTGTCTCAGCCCAAAATCTCCTTAAACTGATAAGCAACTTCAGCAAAGTCTCAGGATACAAAATCAATGTACAAAAATCACAAGCATTCCTATACACCAATAACAGACAGAGAGCCAAATCATGAGCGAATTCCCATTCACAATTGCTTCAAAGAGAATAAAATACTTAGGAATCCAGCTTACAAGGGACGTGAAGGACCTCTTCAAGGAGAACTACAAACCACTGCTCAAGGAAATAAAAGAGGATACAAACAAATGGAAGAACATTCCATGCTCATGGGTAGGAAGAATCAATATCGTGAAAATGGCCATACTGCCCAAGGTAATTTACAGTTTCAATGCCATCCCCATCAAGCTACCAATGACTTTCTTCACAGAATTGGAAAAAACTACTTTAAAGTTCATATGGAACCAAAAAAGAGCCCGCATTGCCAAGTCAATCCTAAGCCAAAAGAACAAAGCTGGAGGCATCACGCTACCTGACTTCAAACTATACAACAAGGCTACAGTAACCCAAACAGCATGGTACTGGTACCAAAACAGAAATATAGATCAATGGAACAGAACAGAGCCCTCAGAAATAAGGCTGCATATCTACAACTATCTGATCTTTGACAAACCTGAGAAAAACAAGCAATGGGGAAAGGATTCCCTATTTAATAAATGGTGCTGGGAAAACTGGCTAGCCATATGTAGAAAGCTGAAACTGGATCCCTTCCTTACACCTTATACAAAAATCAATTCAAGATGGATTAAAGACTTAAACGTTAGACCTAAAACCATAAAAACCCTAGAAGAAAACCTAGGCATTACCATTCAGGACACAGGCATGGGCAAGGACTTCATGTCTAAAACACCAAAAGCAATGGCAACAAAAGACAAAATTGACAAATGGGATCTAATTAAACTAAAGAGCTTCTGCACAGCAAAAGAAACTACCATCAGAGTGAACAGGCAACCTACAAAATGGGAGAAAATTTTTGCAACCTACTCATCTGACAAAGGGCTAATATCCAGAATCTACAATGAACTCAAACAAATTTACAAGAAAAAAACAAACAACCCCATCAAAAAGTGGGCAAAGTATATGAACAGACACTTCTCAGAAGAAGACATTTATGCAGCCAAAAGACACATGAAAAAATGTTCATCATCACTGGCCATCAGAGAAATGCAAATCAAAACCACAATGAGATACCATCTCACACCAGCTAGAATGGCAATCATTAAAAAGTCAGGAAACAACAGGTGCTGGAGAGGATGTGGAGAAATAGGAACACTTTTACACTGTTGGTGGGACTGTAAACTAGTTCAACCATTGTGGAAGTCAGTGTGGCGATTCCTCAGGGTTCTAGAACTAGAAATGCCATTTGACCCAGCCATCCCATTACTGGGTATATACCCAAAGGACTATAAATCATGCTGCTACAAAGACACATGCACACGTATGTTTATTGCGGCATTATTCACAATAGCAAAGACTTGGAACCAACCCAAATGTCCAACAATGATAGACTGGATTAAGAAAATGTGGAACATATACACTATGGAATACTATGCAGCCATAAAAAATGATGAGTTCATGTCCTTTGTAGGGACATGGATGAAATTGGAAATCATCATTCTCAGTAAACTATCGCAAGGACAAAAAACCAAACACCGCATGTTCTCACTCACAGATGGGAATTGAACAATGAGAACACATGGACACAGGAAGGGGAACATCACACTCTGGGGACTGTTGTGGGGTGGGGGGAGGGGGGAGGGATAGCATTAGGAGATATACCTAATGCTAAATGACGAGTTAATGGGTGCAGCACACCAGCATGGCACATGTATACATATGTAATTAACCTGCACATTGTGCACATGTACCCTAAAACTTAAAGTATAATAAAAAAAAAACAAAAAAAAAAACCACTATTCATGCTGGTTCATCTACTCTTTGGGTTTTTTACTTGTGGGAATTCTTTTATCCTTCATTTTTAATCATTCATGTTTATCCATTTGTTCATTCATTTATACATCAGAAAATATTTATTCAGTGCCTAAAATGAATAAAGTGAGAAAAATATAACTTCTATTAAGGAGTTTTAAGGTGAGGGAGTGGAATGGGGCAAATGAGACATACATGTTCAAAAATAACCATAAAATATCGTGATATTGTTGATAATTGGCATTCTAATTGGCAATGTCATAAAGCTTTTTAAAATAACATATATGAAGGAGAAATTACTTCCAACTTGAGAAATTGAACAACGTCTCACGTAGCATTTGAACTATATCCTGAAGGTTTTCAAATGAGAAGGATGTTAATAGAGAAGACTTTTAGGAAAGAAGGTTTTTGGTAGAGGAAACAGAAATTACTAAGGACCAGAGACTTGAAAGTGAATGGTGCAGTGTAAAAATGGATCTTAGTTTTGGTATGGTTGGTTAGTCTATGGGTTGTGTCCATTGCATGTGTTTGATGGAGGTAGGTGTGAAGAGTTTGGGGAGAAATCATGTAATTATGTGTCAGATCGTAAAGGGAAATGAAGATATTATGAGAGTTTTCGAAACACACTAAGAGACTTCACACGTTTCTGAACAGAGTCACTTGAATTTTGTGTTTTTAAAAAACAAAACCTGAGGTTCTATGTTCAATATATTAGAAGAAGAAAAATTGGGAATTTGGCAATCACAAACCAGATGTGAAGGTCTGAAAAAGTGAATTGCCATTAGAAATGAAAATAAGAAAACAGATGTATGACACATTTTATATTTAAAATTAAACAGCCTTCATGAACAAATGGTTATGATCAAGTGGATGAAAAACAAGAACTCAAATCACCTTAAGACTCTAGCTTGAGTATCTGGTGAAGGAATTGGATGATTTAGAAACAGAATTATCAAATTAGAGTTCATATACCATTATAGAGGCCTGGAGGTTATTTGAATTAGATATGTCCAGTCTGCCTTGGATTTTCAAACTTAGATAATGATCTCTGAAACTCGTGTTCAAAGAGTATATATCTAAATTCATACACTCTAACACTGGTACGTGCCTACCCTCACAAAATTCCAAATCTTTCCCTGCCATTGAAACAACTTCAAATAATCCCCCAAATGATAACTTTTTGGAAAAGGAACTTTAATGCACTTCAGGGTAAAAATTTGGTACCACTTCTTAATATTAAAAAGAATCTCAGGCTTATATAACTATATGGTATTTTTTTAATGGAAAAATTTAAACAACAAGATAAACCCACTCTCAAAACTGGGGCTACAGTTTTAATATAAATGAGCTTTTGATGGTTTTCATTTAAAGACTTTCCTGGTTTACTGTTTGCCTGTAGGGGCAGAAAAAGTTGGGAATTGTTAAATAAGCAAGAGGTAACTCTTCTTCTTTACCAGGAGAGATTCCAGCAGGGCAGACAGTTCAAAGTAATGGATCTGAAATTATGGGGCTGTGAATTTTACACGTAGATGTAGAAATTATTTCCACCAAATAGCAGTTGAAACCATGGAATGGTATTAGACATGCATAGAGAAATTCTATAGTTTAGTTAAGTTAAAAATCTGTATTAAAACATATACTTAAGCATGTTATTATAAAATTTTAACATATTGGGTAAAGTAATATATTAATTTATACTGCCAGCTTAGCCTGTTTTATGAAAACCACATAATAAATTTTTTTCTACAATTTCAGAATAAACATTTGCACTTACTGAGAATATCTCATTGTTAAGGAAGATTAAAAATGTGTATATTAACTTAAAATAGACTAGTAATCACTCAAATACAGCAAACAGGGCAACACCCTGATGAACGTCAGAAGACTAGGCCTGGCACCCTGTCCTCAGTGCATGCTTTCTCAGTAATGTGTACCAACTCTAGTCCTTATAACATGATGTAAGGGATAGTTTCAAAGTTTTTCTGGCTTTTATAGTGTTTCTCTGCCCTGAATTTATTAAGCAGATGAACTCAATCTGGCAATGTAGATCAGAATGTTAACATTCTGATCTACACATAATGTAGATCTTCCACAATGTACAATGTGGAATGTATATTACATTATATTACATTACATTCACAATTATACAGTGAAATCTGTGTAGATAAAGTAATCAGTGGCTCGATGAATGAAAGAAGAATATACATTTGAACTTAGTGTGCAAAAAAAGACAAATGTGACTGCCTTGAAATGTTGAGACAATTTCTAATAAGTATAGGCATGAAGCAGTTGATACGTGTTATTTTATTGTTAAACCTCTTATTACAAAAAATGAATTTGAAAGAGTATTTTCTAGGAAACAATTACAAGTTAGACTGTAACTTGTAATTGTTTGAATTCAATAACTTAATAATGAAATTATGGAACAATGACTTCAATAATTTCATTGTTCTTATTAACAGACTTTTTTTTTTTTTTTTTTTTTGAGACGGAGTCTCGCTCTGTCACCCAGGCTGGCTCTGCCTCCCCGGTTCACACCCTTCTTCTGCCTCAGCCTCCCGAGTAGCTAGGACTACAGGCGCCCGCCACCATGCCCCGATAAATTTTTGTATTTTTAGTAGAGACGGTGTTTCACCGTTTTAGCCAGGATGGTCTCGACCTCCTGACCTCGTGATCCTCCCGCCTTGGCCTCCCAAAGTGCTGGGATTACAGTCGTGAGCCACTGCTCCTGGCCTATTAACAGACTTATAATGAGCATGTTATATAAATTTAAATTTAAAATATACATTCATACAAACTTTTTAATCTGATTTATATATTGGAGTTTCATATAAATATTTTATCTAAAAATCATCAAGAAGTGAAGAGATATAGGAAACTTTTTAAATAACACTCTGATAATGTTCTCATGTTGATATAAGAAATGAAAAATACGTTAAATAAATTTTGGTACACAATATGCCTAGCTTCAAAAGCTATTATCATATTAGACTTGGTGTCTACATGAAAAACTCTCAATTGAATATTTAACTGTATGAGAACAGGTTCACATATTAGATTTTGCTGCATCATTTTGATAAAAATGTCCAGCAGCTTCTCTTTATTTTAAATGAAGAGTATCTTGAGACTTCAGGGCAGGTTGTTTGGAAAACAAACAAATGAACAAACAAAAACCAAGGATATCACTTGTAACATGTGAATAAAGATTTTCTCATTTCTGTAAAACCGAATAATACAGAAATCAATTTGATGCTATAGCTAATATAGGATTACAACTATATTCCCCAATATACCTTTCACATTTTTTGCGTGAATCAAATAATTTTATTGTTGTTAACATATTCATAATAGGCATATTATTATAAACCCAAATATAATAAAAATAGAGAAAACCACACTTATTTAAGTTTATGTTTAAACTCATTTAAACTTAAAATATACTTTACATAAAACATTTTTATCTAATTAATATACTGAAGTTTTTTAATAAGAATTTCACAGAAAAACCATTTCCTTAAACTCTACCAGTACAAATAAAGGACAAGTGAAATTTTAAAACAGAAATATTGAAGATAGGAGACACCAATGATACCCTGTATTTTAAGGTCTGAAGTAGAGTAGTGAAAGAAATTTTCTAAAGAATGTTGTGATAATGTTCTCACCTTGAAACATACTGAATATGTTTTGATACACAACGTGCTTAGCTTCAAAAAGTTGTTAACAGATCAAACTGTGTGTCCATATTCAAAAAAGAAAGAAACTAATCAAACAATTCAACGCTATGGTTCTCTGGACTAGTCTTAGGACTAAATCAACAAAAAATGAATATCATAATAATAACTTGGGCAGAGGTATGGTTGCTAGATTTAGAAGAACAAAAACCAGGATGCGTAAGTAATTTTAATTTCAGATAAACAATGAATATGTTTTAATATAAGTATGACCCCATGTAATACTGTAAAATAATTATAATTTTAAATTATTTATCATTTAAAGTTTAACTGAAAGGCCGGGGGTGGTGGCTCACGCCTGTAATCCCAGCACTTTGGGAGGCCAAGGTGGGCGGATCACGAGGTCAGGAGATCGAGACCATCCTGGCTAACATAGTGAAACCCCATCTCTACTAAAAATACAGAAAAAAATTAGCTGGGCATGGTGGCGGGTGCCTGTAGTCCCAGCTACTCGGGAGGCTGAGGCAGGAGAATGGCGTGAACCCGGGAGGCGGAGCTTGCAGTGAGCCGAGATTGCACCACTGCACTCGAGCCTGGGCGACAGAGCAAGACTCCGTCTCAAAAAAAAAAAAATTAACTGAGCATCCTGTGTTTTATCTTTCAACCCTAGGTGGATGATCAAGAGCCCTCATCTGGAATTAGACCTATCTTGCTTGTTCAGGTAATGATTTTAATATTTGACATGACTCTTTGACTCACTATGTGAATAACAATGTTGCAGTCATTATTTCTGTTTAAAAACAGAACACAGTTCCAGTTCTGTTTTATTCCTGGGCTTACAATAGAATTATACTTCCTAATTTCTCTGTAGTTAGGAGGGACTTTATATCAAATTCTGGCCAGAACACTTAATTGCCTACAAAAGCCCCTTTAGATATGTTTGATTTCATGACTACTACATTAGTCCTTGGATGACTATAATAAGCAAAGCCTGCCTTCTCTGCAGTTAAGATGTAGCATGATTGTTTTAAGCTATGAATTTCTGGGCCATTTGTTTGCACGGATAACCCATCCTATGTTGACTAATACACAGCATCCAAAGTTGAGGGCTAAATGCAGTTAAGTCATGAAGATTGAGAATGTACAGCTAACAATAACCAGACACAGATGAAAGTAGATCTGCTATTAGACTGTGAGAACATGCCGACTTGGAATCAGATTTAGTAAAAAATGAGGCCATAGGTACCTTCCATATTTTCTTTCCTTTCTTCATTTACTACACCTAATATGTAGACAAATATTTATTTGCAATTGCCTATGTTTTGGTGTTCAATTCAATTGGCCCAGTTAAGTACATTAAAACAGATTGTAAAAGCTCCATTTTAAAAAATCCAGCTCTGGTTTTATTTTCATTGAAGGAGGCTGAGAATAAACAGAGAAGTTGGAAGGTGACCACAGATGTAAGAAAAAACCGAAGTGAGTTTTTTGTCACTCTTACATGCCAAGCAAGGAGGTAAATTTCAACAACAACAACAACAACAAAACCATAAAACTTTCTGTGTCACACACAAGGACAGGATACTTGTGAGGAAAGGGGATGTCTAAAGCACACATGAGAGAGCACATTCATGGAAAAAGTGAAAAAAAATCTCTGTCCTCATGAGAAGTAGGGTCTATTAAGAATCTGAAGACAATAGATAAATAAGTAAAACACACAGCATGTCAAATGGTGAGAAATGCTAAAAAGAAAAATGAGGCAAGCAAGAAAGATAAACTGCAGTGAAAAGTGAGTGGGCAGGAAACGTGAAGAGCAGGGTGAGGGAGCCTTCTCAGAAAAAATGCGTATTTTCAAAATGAGACAAACTGAGGAAATACAATCCTCATCTCTTCCATTTTTGATTCCTTAGTGTGAAAGTTTGCAGCTTGTAGCTGTTGTAGTCATCTTACATTCTTGAGGGTCGAAATCTAATGACAATGTAGAGGAGATTTGAGAACATAAAAATTAAATACTTTTGGGCCTTTGGTAATGTTATTAAACGTATTTTTATGTGAAATAATGAAATCTTAACTTTTTTTTGTTTTGAGTGGAGTTTCGCTCCGTTGCCCAGGCTGGAGCGTGATGGTTCAATCTCGACTCACTGCAACCTCCGCCTCCCCAGGTTCAAGCGATTCTCCTGTCTCAGCCTCCTGAAAAGCTGGGATTACAGGCGCCCACCACCTCACCTGGATAATTTTTGTATTTTTAAAAGAGACGGGGTTTCACCACCATGTTGGCCAGTCTCGTCCGAACTCCTGACCTCTGGTGATCCGCCCGCCTCGGCCTCCCAAACTGTTGGGATTACAAGACTGAGCCACCGCGCCCAGCCAAAATCTCAACTTTTAAAGCCAATTAAGTCAAGGTTTTTGTTATTACTTGGAGCCGAAAGAAAGGAACATCACTGAAGATGCAGAGAAACATTGAACTGTGACAGAGGAAAGCTGAAAGAGTTGCAGTAGCTTTATCTTCTTATTGAAATAAAAATAATACAAATTTTTGAAAGTTTATGTTTCAGAAGAGTAGTGATCATTTTTGAAGAGCTGCATTAGAAAGAAAAATAAATTAAAAAATTACAGATAGTAGTGAGGTTAGCTAACTTACAACCTGACAATGTGTCAGTAGAAATTCAAACTTTAAACACTCTTCCAGTACATATTTACACTCACATAACATCCTACCATCTCCCAGGTACTCGACTCATACAGGAAAAGCCATAAACCATCTATCACACTCATCATTTTTTATGCCTGCTTCTGCTGCTTTTTCTCTGGGAGCAATTTTATGAAACTCCTTAGCAACAGAACAATAACTGGATGCGTTTTATTGGAAGTAACACTTTGTTTAATAACTTTTTCCCGACAAATTTGTTCATGCCTGACACTAATTTTATTTTTTCCAGAGAAGTAACTAGGCTTAAGACCTTAGGATTAATTTTGAAAGAATCAATCTATTTCATTTACTGATTTGTTGCTAACATGCTCATTTTCTCAAATTGTTAAAACCTCCCATGGTATTAATACTCACAATCACGCACCATTTCAGTATACCATGTGTTGAAATTAGCAGGTGAGAAAATACCCATTCCTAAAAGAACTCCAATATTACTACCTATCCTACACTGAATGATATGAGACGAGTATAGGTAATGCTAGGCAGGCATATTTAGCTTGCTATAGTTTAGCTTCCTAGTATAGATTATGTTTCCTTCAATAGTGCTGAAATTAAGACAAACACTTCTTCTTTTAAAACTCATACAGGGTAGAAAGACTGTTGACCTAATATACAACTGTGTTATAAATAATTTGCATTCCTTTAAATTCCATACCAAACTCTGAACATGACTAATGTCTCATTCATTCAACAACTATTAAACAGACCTTTTTAGGCGGTTTTGTGTCGGACACTGTGGGTGAGAAGTTTTTAAAGGATATGATTCCTAACTGAGGAAGATCACAATCTAGTAGCTGTAAGTCCACATAATCAAAATATAACTTTTAATGAATATTATACAAGTTGAATAAACTAAGGGCTGTAGACAGGCCGAGGAATGATTAGATAACTCTGTGTTAGAATATAATTAGAGGAGATGATAAGTTTGAATTCAGGATAAAGTACATAGAATGAAGACAGAAAAAAATACAAATAAATTATGAAAAGCAAAGAATAAAAACAAGATAAATACTTAAGAAACAGGAGAAAACCTTATTACTTACACTATAGGGGTCCTGTGCAATGCTTCCTACACATTAATGTTAAAATGTAGATTATTCAGTAGGTATAAGGTGAAACCTTAGATTTTATATTTCTAAGAGCTTCCAGATGACATCAACTCTGCTCATGCAGAAAAACAGTGGGATATAAGATAGCCAAGACAGCTTGTAAACTGACTGTAGACAGTGCTAAAAATCATGTCAAGAAATTCATCCTCTACCACTGAAGCCAGGTGATTTCAACTTGTGCCCTAAAGATCCCTGAAGGAGAAAAGAACTGCTGGTATCCCAACCTCAACGCAGCAAGTTTATTTTATGTGTTTTACATGATGTCCTGACCCAAAAGCTGGTTTTTTAACAACAAGATTCACAAGACGAGAAAATATTTTAAAAATATGGATTGACTGCTTGGAGAAAATTTAAAATCTTTTGAGCAGGTAAGTAACATCTATTTTGAAAATCAATCTGTTAGGCTTTGTAGAGTGGATTGGAAGGGTAGAATGAATGGTCTGAACAATTAGCAATAATGGGGCTATTTTAATAAAATAAGTAACTAAAATTAGGACATTTAATAAAGTGATAGAAGGGGAAATCATAAAGATCAGTACAGATAGATACCAGGAGAAAAGGTGTATCAAGCATTGACTTTGGTGAAGAGAATAAAGATTACAAAAATGGTTTGTGCTTATGTACTTTGTGCAATCACATAATCATAAAAAATTATTTAAGGACCAAGAAAATAGTTTCTGAACCTCTAAACTTCCTTTAATAAATTATTAGAGATTGGACAAAAAAAAACCCCAGAAGATTATTCACCTGGATAAAATATCAATTAAAAATATCCAGACTGTAGCATAAAGAGAAAAAGGGGATGGGAAATATAGACAAGAGTGTGAGAGATATAGTACCATCATGGGAAAAAATATAATACATGTGTAATTTTTATAATTGAGAGTGTGTCAGAGCAGTATATAATGAGATAAGTGTAAAGAATTTTCATAGCCATAGAAGATATTGAGCCCTGAATTCCAATGGTGATGCAAATCCCACATATAATAGAAATAGAGAAAATCACACCTAAGCACTATGGCAAAACTTCTGAAAACCAGAAAGGAAGAAACCAGTCTGAAAAACAGCAAGAAGAAGGAAATAATAAAATATTGCCTGCCACGAAATGACAGTGAGCATAACAACTGACTTTTCATTAAATTCATGGAAACCTGACAACAATGTAATGATATCTTTAAAATGCTAAATGAATATAACTGCCAACCTTTATTTCCATATCCAGTAAAAATATTTTTTTCAAAATGAAAGCAGATCATCTCCCCTTCTAGTTAGGATGTAGAACAATGTAAAATAACTTCACTCCTGTACTAATTACAAGGAAAAATGTACGAAATGTAAATCAAGCTTCTCTTTGGGGCTATCATAAGTGGTGAATGCAAGGAAGATTTAATGAGCTACATATTAAACAAAATAAGCCCTTCATAACCAAGCAGACAGTATACAATTTCCATACCGAGAATCAGGTTCCTGGTCCTGGAGCAGGCTGGAGAAGGAAAAGGCCTACCATTGACTAAGAGGATGTAAACAAATGTGAAGAAAAAGTTATGCCTTTGATTAAAATATAGCCTACTGGGATATACTGTCATATTGAAGAGCCTCAAATACAAAAGTGTATTGCTCAAATGTCTTCTGGCTCCAGTAATTGCAAGACAGATTCAATCAGAATAAGATTCCCACTAATAATACTAATTATTAAAACCTTGGGGGAAGGAAGGGAATGTTTTATGCCCTAAAAGCACTTTTAAATAGAAACAGGCCAGGCGCGGTGGCTCACGCCTGTAATCTCAGCACTTTCGGAGACCAAGGCGGGTGGATCATGAGGTCAGGAGTTCAAGACCAGCCTGACCAACATGGTGAAACCCCGTCTCTACTAAAAATACAAAAATTAGCCAGCTGTGGTGGCACACGCCTGTAGTCCCAGCTACTCAGGAGGCTTAGGCAGGAGAATCACTTGATCCCGAGAGGGGGAGATTGCAGTGAGCCAAGATCGTGCCACTGCACTCCAGCAACAGAGTGAGACTCCGTCTCAAAAAAATAAAATAAATAAAATAAAATAAAAAGAAGCAAAATAGTCAGAAACTGTAGGGTATTCGACATTCAACTTTTTCCAACATCTTTCGACATGGAACATGGAGAATTAAAGCAAAAATATGAAATTTTACTAGCTTGAACATCATGAAAGAAACGCGAGGCTGCCAGAACAATGGCAACTGACACTAAAAATACAATAAAGGGGCTGGGGACAGTGGCTCATGCCTGTAAAACCAGCACTTTGAGAGGCTGAGGTGGGAGGATCACTTGAGGCCAGGAGTGGAAGCCCAGCCTGGGCAACATAGTGAAACCTCATCTCTATAAAAAAGTAAAAATAAATTAGTCAGGCATGGTGGTATGTACCGTATAGCCAGCTACTCAGGAGATGGAGGCTGCAGTGCTACGATAGTGCTGCTGCACTCCAGCCTGCGATAGAGTGAGACCCTGTCTAAAATAAAATAAAATAAAGGAAGAAGATTCAGGGGTTGCTCCCCTCTCATATATGTATTTAAATGTCCCTCTTACCATTATCTGATCCTTGAAATGCACATGTATAGTGAAGACTTCAAGGAACCCAGGAGAAAGTAGTCTATAAGAAGACTGAAAAAGTGAGCAGTTATCTCAGATGCTGACCCCTGCAGAGAAGGCAGAATTAAGATTTTGAATCACACTAACTTAGAGGGTCTTAAATACCTGAAGCTTTCCACTAAAATTCCCAAAGGGTCATACCTTTCAAGTAAAGGCTATGTAGCAGGGATACTTGTTTTTCTTTGCATTAATGGCAATACTGAAATGTATCTGCCTTAAGAAAGTATAAAAACAAAACACAGATTCACAGTGATCAGCCAGTAACATAACTGGGTACTAGAAAACAACAAAACACTCTGCAGAAGGAGACAGAATCCAGAGGATCTAGAACACATTATCCACAATGTCAATAATTCAATAAAAAACACAAGATGTGAAGAAAGAGGAGAGCGTGAACCATGTTCAAAGTTAAAAACACAATAGGAACATAGATATAAATGAGATGTTAATAAGCAAAGAGTATACAGCAGCTATTTTTTAAATGTTCAAAAACATGAATAAATATGATCACAAAGGATATACAGGGAAATTTTAGAAATGAAAACTTAAAAAAGACTCAAATGGATATTATAGAACTAAAGTATATTTTAAAACATAAATTTCACTAATGCAAATTTGAGACAACAAAAGCAGTAGTCAGTGAACTTGGTTGCAGATCAAAATAAATAATCCAAACTTAAGTACAAAGAAAAAAATAGAAAAAAAACACATAATGTTGGACAATATCATACTCTCTAACATAATTGTAATTGGAGTCTAAAGAGAGAAAATAGAAGCATTGGAGCAGCAAAACTATGAAGAAATATTAGACAAAAATTTTCCAAATTTAGTTTTCAAAAAAGGAATAAAAACAGAAAAAGATCTAAGCAGAATAATAAAACACTAACAAATCACAATAAATATGCATACAGTCAAAAATACAGAAAAAATCCTGAGATAACCAGCACCTAAATACAGATACACAGATGAAGAGCAATAATGACTGTCAATTTCTAAAGAAAAATAGCAGAGGCTAGAAGAAAACAGTAACTTTAGACTAAAAACACAAAAAACCACCACCACAACAAATCCACAAAAAACCTGCAGCCTGGAATTCTAAAATAAGTGAAAACATCCTTTTTAAAATAAGAGCAAAAATAAATTAGAAAGCAATAACAATATAACAAATATACAACTAGAAAATGGCTAAGTATTTGAGAATGAAGCAACACCCTTCTAAATAACCCATGAGTTAAGGAATGAATCACAAAAGAAATTAGAAAATATTTTGAACTAAACGATAATGATAAGGCAATATGTCATAATTTGTGGGATGCAACTAGAGAGGCACTTACCAAAAAAGTTTACAGCAGGATAAATGATTATACTGTTAGGTAAGAAAAAATAAATGATTATACTATGTTAGATTAAATTCTTTTTTTTTTTTTTTTTTGAGACAGAGTTTTGCTCTTGTTGCCTAGGCTGGAGTGCAATGGTGTGATCTCGGCTCACCGCAACCTCCACCTCCTGGGTTCAAGTGATTCTCCTGCCTCAGCCTCCCGAGTAACTGGGATTATAGGCATGCGCCACCACGTCCAGCTAATTTTGTATTTTTAGTAGAGATGGGGTTTCTGCATGTTGGTCAGGCTGGTCTCAAACTCCTGACCTCAGGTGATCCACCCGCCTCTGCCTCCCGAAGTGCTGGGATTACAGGTGTGAGCCACCGTTTCTGGCCAAAAACAATGTTTTAAATAAAGTGACTAAACAGGCACCTTAAGAATTAAATGAAGAATAGCAAATTAAACTAAAAGTAAGTAGAAGTAAAAAAAAATAATAAAAAAATTTTAGTAATTGATAAGCAAATACAGGTTGAGCACTTCAATTGCTGCAGAAAGGACCAAATTCCAAAAATATCAGGGGTGAATGGAAATACATTCAAATATGCTGTCCTACGTTTAAAAAAAATTTTTAAAAACTAAAATTAGTGAAATTAAATGGAGAAAAACAATAGAGAAGACCAATGAAGCCTAGAATTTGGCTTTCTGTAAAGATCAATAAAATTGATAAACCCCTAGGCAGACTAGTAAAGAGCAAAAACACAAATTATCAATATTAGAAGGAGAGTGGACCTATGTTAGATCTACTGGTCTCCCTGCTGTCTTCCACTGTATTACACTTCTCCTTCAATAACACACATACAAGAAAGCCCAATTCCTTTTTACCCCCTCTTATTAGACGTTCTCGAATTGGTAAATTTGTGTGTGTGAGTGTGAGTGTGTGTGTGTGTGTGTGGTTTAACCAACGTATTTCCAATGCTATTACATAATTGTTCTCAATTAGATGTGCCTGAGGGAAATTTGAATTGAAACTGAGAAGAATTTTTTTGATAGGCAGCCAAGTAAGCCACTCTCTGCTTTGAACAAAAGTGTTTAGATGACTGAGATGTTATTCCCATATTTTGAGTCAAAATATGCTGACTTTCCAGAAGACAGTAATAAGAGTACAATTCCCAGTCAAGCTATGAACAAATTTATGCAGTTATCTGAAAATAACAGGCTTAGTAAACTCAAATCTCTACTCTGTAAAATGAAATGTCTCATGTTTTTTCAGATTCTTCAAGTTCAGTTTTATTTTGTTTTCCTAGGAATTTAACAATGTTTTATGGGAACTTCTAGCCTTTCTCAGCAGCAATAAGGAAAACCAAGAGTAGGAGTTTTAGTCCACACATGGCCAAGGGCTAATGGAGAAGGAAGTTCACCTGTTGGAGGCAGCCCGAAGTTAACTGTGGCAAAACTGTGTTACAAATTCCAATTCATTCATTTCCCTGTTAACTGTGGCAAAACTGTGATACAAATTCTAATTCATTCATTTTCCCTTACTCCTAAGCATTCCCTAGGCCTATTTCTATCAAAGTTCAAAGTTTTAAGATTATCAATTTTGTTCTATAAGGATGGCAGGTAGCCTTCTTTCTTAGTATAGGATATTGAGGCGATCTACTCCACTATTACCACCCCAAGTTTTAGCACTGAATAAAATCAGCAAAATGGGATACCATAATACCAGAATGCTATAAAGATGGCTCAGGCAAGCAAGAGGATATGGGTTTGTCCTGTGTGTTTGATGCAAATGTCTAAAGTTCCAGAAGTAAAATTTATTTATAACAAGTCAATATTTATTAGCAAAATGTCTGCATTGATATATGTTGGTATAAACCCAAGATTTATATATTTATCAAAGTATGCTCAAGCTTACACAATAAAGCTAACTTAATAAAGTCATATATTGGTTTGTTTCTTTCCCATAAATTCTTCTCTTTGTTTGTTTTATTCAGGCCTCAAAGACTTTCTTTAAATGCTTATAAACTAGAACTATAGAAATCCAAGTAACTTTCGCAAGTTATTACCTTGGTACCTAGAGAAGAATTAACATTTATCAGATATTCAGGATTATAGAGAGTTCTTCCAACGCAGTATCTATGGGAAATCATTCTACCACATTAATTTTCTTTCAAAGATTCCTGCTTAACTTATATTTCACATATTGATATGAAAATGATTTAACATAACAGCTTCTGGCCTTGCACAGTGGCTCAAGTCTGTAATCCCAGCACTTTGGAAGGCCGATGAGGGTGGATCACCTGAGGTCAGGAGTTCGAGACCAGCCTGGCCAACATGGCGAAACCCTGTCTCTACTAAAAATACAAAAATTAGCCAGGCATGGTGGCACGCGCCTGTAGTCCCAGCTTACTCGGGAGGCTGAGGCAGGAGAATCGCTTGAACCCATGAAGCAGAGGTTGCAATGAACCAAGATCACACCACTGCATTCCAGCCTGGCGACAAAGTGAGACTCTGTCTCAAAAAACGAAATACATACATATATATGTATACATATACAGGTATATACACATATATACTTATATAGGTATATATGTATATGTACACGCATATACATACATGTATATATACACACATATACATATATGTATATATACACACATATACATATATGTATATATACACATATACATATATGTATATATACACACATATACATATATGTATATATACACATATACATATATGTATATATACACATATACATATATGTATATATACCCATACATATATACACATATACATACATATAAATATGTACACATATACATATATACATATATACCTATATATGTATATACATACCTATATATGTATATACATATATACATATATACCTATATATGTATATACATATATACCTATATATGTATATACATATATACGTATATATGTATATACATATATACGTATATATGTATATACATATATACATATGTACACATATATATGCAGAGAAAGAGAGAGCAGCTTCTGTGTCTCTACATTTATTAAATGGCCATTGGTCTTAGGGTATTCATAGATTTATTCCCTGAACTGGCAGCTTTGACTCTTGCTTCTCTGCTGTAATTTGATGAATTGATTCGGATGCTGAAGGGCATCTGGCCTAGCCTGTTACTGTGTTCTCCTGTTATGGCAGTTGCCAGAAACTAAAACAGAGCTCCATTGCAACTAAATCCCATAGACAGCCTGTTTCTATCCTGGCTTTGTTCTGTTAGCTCACTTAGTAAGGTTAAAATCTTAAGAAAAATAAACAATGTCTTCTGAAACATCTGTTCTCCTTTGATTTTGTCCCAGTCCCAACTTTATGTTCTACATCTTCAAAACAACAATAATAACTTTCTAAACATATGTAATGAACTACCCTTGCTACCAAGAGAAGAGCATTACAGCTGTATGACTATATGATAAGTCAGACATCAAAGGAAACCAACTGGGGAAGATTTTTAGAGGCTTGGTTTTGATTCAGGGCTGTATGTGATGTTGACAAAATTAGGATTTAATGCAAGTATGTATACCCTTAACTACCATTTTCATAATTTCTCCTTTGCCAAGCTATGGTTTCATGCCAATATAGTGATTATTATAAAGAGTAACATAACCATTCTGATAGAATGGATTATTAAAACAAAATATCAATCTCAGGATAGGAAAGGCTATTTATTGAGAGAGACTGTGTGAAAAAATAGATCTGTCTGGGCTATTCTGCTGATCGGTATAAATTCAGTAGGCTCTAATCCTGAAATGACCAATGTCCCTATTTCTTTACGTCTTGAGGCTGTTTTCCTTCACTGATTTTCATGCCTAACATATCAGAATGTCCACTAGAGCCTGGCACTACCATTATATGTGATTTTGATTATCAAAATTATTTGAAGAACTCTTAATAACATTTCTGTTGCTCTCTGGAGTCACATATAAGTGTCTATACAATCTATAAAGTGTCAAATCCAATATACTAATTTAATGGATAAAACATGGTGTGTGAAATTAATAATCTTAAATTCTGTTCCTGACTTCCTAAGAACACAATGGGTGCCTGGGGAGGTGTCTTTTAAATTATATAATGATCCAATTTCCCCCATCACTCCAACAGGGAATACAGATAATTATATTCACATGACTGAAAATGTAAACTGTGCTAAGTCCCACAGTTAATGGGATATAAGTAAAATATGTATGGTGAATTATTAAAAAGCACTAAAGGACTGAAAATAAAATTTTACCCTTTGTCATGACAATAAGACAGATGATCAGTTTAAGAAAACTTCCCTTCTTGTTATTTAGAACTATGTTTCAATCACCTTTTGCTTTTTGTCTTTCCCTGTAATCAGTAGGCACATTCTTTTTTCCCCAACTTTTATTTTAAGTTCAGGGGTACATGGGCAGGATGTGCAGGTTTGTTACATAGGTAAACATGTGCCATGGTGGTTTGCAGCACAGCACATTCTTACCTAGGAAACAATGCAGTGCAATCTAATTCCATCATAACTTTGCAAGCCTATTTAAAACCATTCATTTTACTCTGCCTTAATAATTATATATAGCATTTCCACATTACTTTTAAACTAACGTTTAAATGAATAATAGAATCTCTATTTGCAGCATTATGTTGCTTAAAGTATTTCCAGTAATATGTTAAAGTCTGATTTCCACTATCTAATGGATTAAAGTGCTTCTAGCAGGAGAAACATGATTGAGACTCACTGGGAAAGAATTGTGTTTTTTAGTTTACTTACAAAATAACTGTAAACTTATTTCACTTCAAAATCTTTTTCTGTGGAGAGTAATCATGGAGAAGCCTCATGAAAACAAAAGTTTCACAACCAAAAAAATTTGGGAAATGTTATGTGTTCTACCCACCCTATACTAGGAAATTTAGAAATTACAGTGGTATATGAAAATGTCTAAAACATCCTAAATTCTGTGTGTCTTGGTTTATCTAATCACAAAACCTTCTTTGAGAAACATCTATTAACATCTTTCATCAGAATGGCATGAAAGTCGATCTGAGATTTGCTGATACGACATTCTCCCATTTATTAAACATGTTCACCTTCAATATCACATTTGAGCCTTGAAAATTCATGACATATTGATATAGAAGTCTTCAGAAGAGATTTTCCTGGCTTTTAGAAATAGGGCTGGAGTAATTTGGGCTATGAGCTGAAATGTTAGTTTATAGACTCTGAAATAAAGACAGCTATCACTTACTGAGAGTTTTTATGTGCTATGTACTCTCCTAGACAGTTATAGTCACTATTTCGAAACCCCAAATATACGTGAAAATATAGATTTTTCATATGAAGAAACTAAATCTCTGAAATTTTAAGCAGCACTTATACACTAAATATATAGACAGATGGTATGTAATCTTTAGTGTCCACTGACCTCCAAAATGTAGCTTCTCTGTAGCCTACGTTACCACCCAATATCTTTGCTCCCGGCATGATAGAGTAAAAACTCAGCTGCAGGTAAGTTCAGGAGTATGAGGATGAGAGTTCGTTACATTTATGTTTTGTTTTTTAACTGGGTTTCGAAAGTAAGATAGTGTGAGAAAAAAGGTCTTTCCCATTTCTGGGTTTATAGATGAGGAGGGCAGCTTTTGTTTTGTTTTGTTTTTTTGAGATGGAGTCTCGCTCTACTGCCCAGGCTGGAGTGCAATGGTGCCATTTCAGCTCACTGCAACCTCTGCCTCCTGGGTTCAAGCAATTCTCCCTGCCTCAGCCTCCCGAGTAGCTGGGCTTACAGGCGCCTGCCACCACAGCTGGCTAATTTTTGTATTTTTAATAGAGACGGGGTTTCACCATGTTGGCCAGGCTGGTCTTAAACCCCTGACCTCAGGTTATCTGCCTGCTTCGGCTTCACAAAGTGCCGGGAGCTTTTGTATTAAATAAAGTGATCTGCCCCCTTTTCTCCATTAAGAAACAGCAGGAAAGGCAGCACCGTCTTTGCCCTCACTGCAGTTCTGTGGCTTCAGCCCACCGCTTCAGGCATCTGTTGTCTCCTGTCTGCTTAGCCACTCACAGTGCCGCCCTCTTGAGCTCTTCAGGCCAGCTCAGGGCCATCTCCTATCTCAGTCACTTTGGAGCTCAGCAAAGAATAAACAAATTTGGTAGTTTGTTTTTTAATGCACAGGAAACATTTACTTTTGTGGCCCTGTGGAGACTGATAAGAGTAAGTCCTTCTCAGGATGATCAAACAAGAACAAGAACTATTCCTAAGTCAAATTTTAAAATTTGTCTCTTGATCCTCTATTATATTTTTTTCCTTTTCCTTCACAATTTTTTAAAAATTATTTTCCTCAAGAGGAAATTCCTGCCATGATCCTAACAGCTGAAACATGTAAGCCACTGATAACGATAAGTGAGAATCAATGTAGGTATTCCTAATCTTGAATTCTACTTGATATATATGGTATATTTATTACATAGATATTTATTATGTATTTATTGTAGCATTTTCTAAAATGTTGCTAAAAGTGTAAAAAAAATTGCTTTTTACAAAATTTCACTTTTGCTTTAATTTCCCAAAAGGGGATGCTCCCTTAAAAATGGGAAATGGGAAAAAACTTTCACTGCTCTAATAAATATTTCATTTTCTCTTCACATTCTATGGTTTTCTAGTTTTAAATAAGTTACTAAACATAATGTCAAGACATCTGCCAAAGTGCCTCATTTTTTCCTCAGAAATATATTATTTACTGAAACATCTGTTTATGTAAATAACATAAACTCAGTAAATATCTGATTGTTTTAATAAATAATATAAACAAAACGATACTTATTATTCCAAAATGCATTAATTGGCTGTCCCAAAAAATTAGATTACTAATCATACTCTATAGTGTTTAAGGAATCCCCAGCACTGCCTCAGCATTTCCTCAGCACAGATATTACCAAACATTAAAGAATTAGGATGTTAACCATGTAGAAACTTGTGTAGTTTGTGGTTCAAAGCTGTTTCTTACAAATTTAAAGAGCTAATTTCACCAATATTGTCATCAAAATATCAAAAGCTTTCATGGAATTTTTCAAAATAAACTAATTGTTGCTCACTTTTTTTTTTCTTAAGCTATATGACAAAAATAATTTCAGGATAATTTTCCAGATTCAAAAAAAACAATGGTTAGGATTTTTTTTTTTTTTTTTTTTTTTTTTCTGAGACAGAGTCTCGCTCCGTCGCCCAGGCTGGAGTGCAGTGGCGCGATCTCAGCTCACTGTAAACTCTGCCTCCCGGGTTCACACCATTCTCCTGCCTCAGCCTCCTGAGTAATTGGGACTACAGGCACCCGCCACCACGCCCGGCTAATTTTTTGTTTGTGTTTTCAGTAGAGACGGGGTTTCACCGTGTTAGCCAGGACGGTCTTGATCTCCTGACCACGTGATCTGCCTGCCTCGGCCTCCCCAAGTGCTGGGATTACAGGCGTGAGCCACCGCACCCAGCCAGGATTGTTTTTTAAAAAGGCTTGGGAAATACTGAATTATAGAAATGCCTACCTGGGAATATTTTAACTCCTTAGATTAGATTCTCAAACATTTTATAAGCTGGTTTCTGCCTACTCTTCCAGAATTATCTACTTACACTGTTTCCTCTTTTAATATTCCAAAATGTACTGATAATTCACTAACTGCACTTTACAGTCATACATCCAAAGCACTTTCAGTTGCCTTCTCTACCTAAAAGGAATGTCCTTTCCAAGATGGGTTGCCTACTAATTTCTATGGCTGTCAATGTGAAGTAAAAATGTCTATTTGGTATCTCTGCTACCGACCACAGGCAGACAAATGTATGAGTCTATGCTATCATGTATTTATGTTTATGCCAGTTTTTAACTTATTCCATCATGTCAATTGCATCATTATGTTTGATTGTTGGCCTACTAGTGTATTCATTAGAGAACAAGTCACCTATGAGTACAGATGATAGTTTTTCCTCTTGGTAGACATTTATTTAGGTAATTAATAAATATGTATTGAATAGATGAATAATTAATAATTAATGATAACATATGTTTAGCACCTAAAGCACAGTTTATACTCAAATAGTTGATAATCAAATATAGTTATGTATCAACTATTAGTTGATACTCAAATGCTCATTGTGTTTTCAATATGCAGCAAATGATTCATTATTCATTCAACTAATACTCATTAAATTGTTATCATATACTAAGTGGTGCTCTAGACAATGAAAATGAAGAATAAAATGATAATGAAGGATTAGCCTTTTTCTATTGTGAAGCTTACGTTCCAGTAGGAGAGACAGACAATAAATAAGTAAACCAATAAATTAACACAAACACAATAAATAATATGAAGTCAATAAAACCAAAAATAAGTAATAGTTCTAGGGTAAGTAACTTTATTTGGATGTGCTGAGAAATTCTCACAGGAGATTAACACCCGAGCTGAACCTGGATGGAAAAAAGAGCCAAGCGTTTGAAGACATGATGGGTGATCTAACAGATTTGAAAGTTAAAGGGTCTTTGGAGGAAGAATAAGCTTGCTACAACTGAAAAGCAGAAAAGGAAAGTGAAGGAAGGAAAAGTATGGTAAGATAGATATGAGGTGCAAGAGATAGAGGCAAAAGACAAATAATGTAAGGCCTTTTAGAATATGCTGGAGTTTGTGTACTTTCCTTTTCTCACTAAGTGGAGGTGGAAGCCATTGGAGGATTTTTATTCAGGGAGTGACATGGTTTTAATCACATTTTAAATTATTACTCTGGCTGCAGAGCATAGATTATGGGGAAAAAAAGGAGTGATTCGTTAAAAAAATCCATTGAAGAAAGTAAGGTGGATAATGATAGTTGTTTGGGCTAAGGGGCAGCAGTGAAGGGTGAAAGAAAGACAATTATTTTGGAGACACAGCTGATAGTACTTGTTGATTGATTTCATATGAGAGATGAGAATAATTTTTTAATTTTTTTGCCTGTTTAAGTGTTCTTTTTTTTCTTTGCTTCTTTTGAGCTTGAGCATCTGGGAGGAATAGAGAAGCAAGTAAGAACAGGTTTGGTCATAGTATCAAGAATACAGTTTTGATCATATTTAATGTGAGCCAGCCTACTGGAATTCAAGTGACTATGTCAAGTAGGAGTTTGTCACTGAGGAAAGATTTAGAACTAGAGATATACATCTGTAAGTCTTTAAATATAGGTGATGTTTAGAGAATTGGAAAAGACTTTTTTCAAGAAAGAATATAGGTCGAGAAGAGCAGAAGATTTCAGACTAAGCCTAGGGTCCTAGAATTCCAGGGTCAGCAGAGAAGGAGAATCTAGCAGGGGAGACTGAGCTAAACTACTTAGTAGATAGGAGGAAAACCAAGGTAGTGCAGAGTTCTGAAAAGGAGAAAAAAATTCAACAAGAATAAAATGGTCAATTAATCTGTTACAGAAAGAACAAATAAGATGAAGAATGATGAAACATGGTAATTTTTGTTTTGTTTCGTTTTGTTTTTTTGAGACGGAGTCTTGCCCTATCGCCCAGGCTGGAGTGCAATGAAACGATCTCGGGTCACTGCAACCTCCGCCTTCCAGATTCAAGCGATTCTCCTGCCTCAGCCTCCTGAGTAGCTGGGATTACAGGCAGTGCCACCACACCCAGCTAATTTTTCGTATTTTAGTAGAGATGGGGTTTCACCACGTTGGCCAGGATGGTTTCGAACTCCTGACCTCGTGATCCACCCTCCTCGGCCTCCCAAAGTGCTGGGATTACAGGTGTGAGCGACCGCGCCCAGCCAAAACATGATAATTTTATCTGGCAAAATTGAGATCATTGATAACCCTGGCAAGAGTAGTTTCAACAAAGTGTACAGGGGCGGTGGGGGGGTTGCCCAAATGAACTAAGTTGAGAAGAGGCTGGAATCATCATCACGTTACTGCAGAAACAAGCTTTTTCCAAGAGAAACAGCTGCACATCAGAACTTTGTAAAGAAAGAAGTTTAAAGCAACTCTATCGTGTAATTTACAATTGTTTTCCCATCCTCCACAATGAGAGTTGACTGTATGAAGCCTCTGAGGTGGTTTAGCCCACCTTACAGTAAAGTGCAGTGATAAGAGGACAGATCAATTGCATTCTCTCTTTCAGCACTGACTTTGAAGTGGAAGGATATAAGCAGTGGGAGCTGAAGTTATTCAGATACACAGAGCAAGGCCTTCGGACGAGAGCTTTGATGAGTCCTGAAGCAACTGAAGTCATGAATACGCATAAGTTATAACTTACAAGGCAAGCTATTTGGGACAGAAGATAAGGCATCCACTTCTTAGGAAAAATGAGCTACGCGCTCTACGGTGTCTGGGGCAACAGAGATGAGAAGGGTAGCTGGAGCTCATTAACAACAGAGTGTTAAGAGTAAAGATTTACAACCTCTTGATGCCAACATCTCTACCTAACTTCAATTTCCCATTTTGATACCTTGGTTCCTGCTCTCTCACAATGCCTTATTCTTTGGATCTCAAGGCCTGACTCATCTTTATTACCGCTTTAGCATTTGCACCCTTATAATAAATCATTAACTCTGGAGATTGCTGAGAGTGTTTCTGTTCTATATAAGCAATAGATTCTCACTAATACAAGGCACAACATACAAAGAATAGTTTATTAGATGCTTGGAAGAAAAAGGTCAAATAATAACCACTGACAGAGCATTCAGAAAATTGGTAGATTCAAGAAGTGATTTAGAAAACAAAAACTATTCAGTGTTTTTTCTCAATGAATATATATTTATTCATTGAATTATCTGCATTGTGCTTATTCATTTTATAATAGAAAATAATAAAGTATTGAAAGTAGAAGACAGGGTGGTTGATTCTTCATAAGCAGGAAGGGACAGAGATATGTTTAATTTTTTGCTATTTAACTTTTGCTATTAGCAATCTCTAGAAGCTGATGCATTTAAGTGTCATCCAATTACGTGTGTGGGCAGGTGTGAGGGAGAAGAGATTCTTACCAGGAAAATTCCATAATCCAAAACTTTATAAAAACGATATGCCGTCAGGTACTTCCATCCTTCCTTATTTTATTTTTCCAAAACATTGGCAATCTTGCCAACAGAAATTTTTCTTTAAGGATATGCTATACAGGAAGAGAGAAAAAAATTGCTGTTTCTTTTAAAAATAAATCAAGAAATTATATATTATGCCATAATTGAAGATGATTAAGTTTCTTAATTAAACTTCTCTCTTCTTTTAGCCAAAGTAATGGAGCTTTAAAAAGTTACATTCTAAACTTTGGTAACATGAGTGGCCAAAAAATAAAAAGATAATAACACTTAAAATATAACAAAGAGATTTTTTAAGAGGTTTTCATAAAGTGCTGAAAGACCTTCAAAATAAGCCTCTCAAGGTTGTATTATGGTAAAACTGCTGGTTAGGATGATGAAACAAGGCTTTTTGACCTTAAACACATCACAGCTTCTCTTAAGGATCCTAAGTACACCGTGGCTGAATAAGAATGGACTTTTCCATTGCCCAGATAATGGGACCTGGAGCCCCTTGAGCTGAGCCCCTCATAACGTAGCTGGAACAGCTGCAATGTAAAATCAAAGATACTTCTGTGCTTATAATTGTGACAATCTCTCTACTAAATAATTAAAGGATTCCATACCAAGAACAAGGACACATAGGGAAGGTGGCAAAGACCAATATTTGATATTTTTCCTACTACTCTAAGTAAACCACAGAGAAATTGTTAATTACCTTTCATATCAATTAACAGTATAAGCCAGAATAAATATGATTTTCTGACATTCTGAAACAATGAAAGAATGACAAGCTTCTACATCGTTAATAAGTGTTTCTTGATAATTTTCCATGTATTTCTCTTTCATAATCTTCGACATTTCTGAAAATGGATATGGCTCTTTTGCCTAAACATAAGAATGCATAGAGAGTAAACAGAATTACAAAACCTCCAAGTTGAAAGTGACCTTTCAGGTAATTCAAGAACATGACTAATATTTCAATTTCCACCAAAACAATCCTTAGAGTAGTTGTTCAAGTCTATATTTGAATGCCTTTAATGGAGAAACTACTTCTATCTTTTAATCTTTTTTCATAAGACATACAGATTTTTTTTTTCTAAATTGTCTTCAGGCGAAAACAAGACTTTTAATCCCACTGTACTTACACGAGTGTTATCATGAAGCTCTGCGAATGCTGGCATCTGCACACTTAGCATATGCCTTCAATAAAGACTTTGACATTAAGAAGAGGCTCACACACACATATCTGGTTTTATTTTTACTTTCAAAGTCATTTCTTAAAAAGTATAGTAACCTATACTTAGGGCAACTGCATATCTCAGTTTGCCCCAGACAAGAACAAGTTACGCCTTTTTTTTCCCATCAGAGTAATTATCACCAGTGTCGCTTCACTTTCAAAATGGTCTCACTTAGACAACACATTAGATAGGCTCACCATACATATAAGGTTATTTATTCTCCCCAGCCTAGTCTGTCGGCACTCTTTATAATAAATAAGAACTCAGTGGCTCGTCCTTTTAAATTTCAGAAGTATTGACATCCATTATGATTTCCACTCATATGTTTTTCTCCTAATTCTCTAAACCAATGTCTATATAATTACATCTAAAATCTAGCAAACTTCTGCTTCAACAATATGGTAGATTAGATATTCTGCACAACCCTCCAATGAAACAATAATGCAGTATAAAATATATATTTAAAAAGTCATTCTAAATGCAACACTGAACTGACATCAAAGTATGAAAAACACAGAGCTTCAAAATGAAGTACAACCCAGAACGCTGAGATGTAACCTAGTGTCAAATACTCTTTCACCCTTAAAGTTTCTGCTAGACCCTGCCAAGTGGATTTTGGTAACTTACAGAAGGTAAAGCCCTGGACCTGCAAAATGCTGACACATCAGTGATCTAAGAAACAAACACTGGGTATTCAAGTTACTATTATTTCAACTTTTCTCTAGGTTGAAACATTAAAAAAAACTAAAAAGTTGTAGAGAAAAGTTCACACACAGGCAGACTGGATATTAAGGTGATAGTTACTTTTGGGAAGAAGTGAAGAAATGGGCACCGGGAGGTTCCTGACAAAGTCCCATTATTTTACTTGAATGATTAGTGTCTTTAGCTTTTAATAATTCATAAGGTCAATTTTTGACTTAACACACTTTTCTACAGGTAACTTATATTTCCATAAACATTTTTCAATGTCAAAAATATTGAAATAACGTGGCCTTTATTTGATAGTTTTCCCCAGTCTCTGACACAATTTCTTTTCTGGAGAAACTATCTATAAATCAAGTCTTAAAGAATCTTCACACATAAGTTCTCAAGGAAAATGAGAACTCAGAGTCTTGAAAATTTACAAACACAGCAGGAAACTAAGCACCATAAGAAAAAAACAACTAAAACAAAAAGCCAATGATACAGACTCTCACAATTTAGACATAAATTGTTAGACATAGATTATAGGTATGATTTATATATCTGAAGAAATAAAAGATAAGCTTGAAAATATAATCAGCAAAAGGGGAGAGTTAAAAAATAAATTACATATTATATGTAATATAATATGTATATTATATATTATAAATTATATATTACACTTAAAATAGCATATATATTTGTACACATGATAAATATAAAGACTCAAATAAAGATTTTAAAAGATGTTTATTCCAGCTTTTTAAAAAAACTGAATTACTAGAAACTAAAGAAACTAAATTGCTATAGTTATTGGAATTAACATTAATATGCTAGAAGATTATTTCTAGGAGGTTAGTCTGAAAGATGAAGGGAAGAGGACTTTTACCTATTTCCATATTACAAACTAAAAACAATTACATAATGCAGAACAATTTTAGCTTCCATTTTGTGTGCCTCTTACTTCTTGAATATATTCTCTTAAGAAGTGAAATCTAGAAAAAAATTATCAAATTGTAGAAAGTCCAGGAGGATCTGGCCTAAGAAAATATCACTGGACTTGGTGATTCACTGGACAAATGGAAGAAATAAAATTGCAGTGTTAGAATATGCTGAGAGGAGGTGGAAGTAGCATGTAGAGGCCATTCATGTATGAATAACTATTCATGAAAGGATAACTTGATGATTGATAAAGACAATAAAACCAAGTGACCTTTTAAGAGGCTGGTATATTTCAAAATTGAAGGAAGAATCCTAGACGGGAGATTTTTGAGGATTATGAAAAGAAAAGGAAAGACTGACAAGAAAGTAATGGATGAGAAGAATATAAAAATATGGCAAGACAAAGCTTGGAAATAAGGGTGAAGAAAACTTTCTCTAAAATGAAAGGAAAGAAAAAGATAATGGAAGAAAGATATGAAAGTAGAAATAAACAGAACTAAATGAGGTGTAGTTTAAGGTTTGTGGCCTCAATCTTCTCATTATGTAGATAAACAGGAAAGTCATTCTGGGAAAAAGCAGAAACTACGGTTTGATGGAGCCAATTTTTTCTTGGTAAGTAGGTAATGGTGATCCCAGGCACTGACGTAAGTGATCAATGCCCTGTGAGGCTGTTCTAGGCTCAGAAGAAACATATCCTTAAATGATTAGCTCTGTATAATCATTAGACTGCACACTTACAATATCTATATTGAATTTTCTGTTTTTCCTTATCACCAGGCAAGGAAACAAATCATCTGTTTTTTTGTTTGTTTGTTTGTTTTGAGGTGGAGTCTCGCTCTGTCGCCCAGGTTGGAGTGCAGTGGCGCAATCTTGGCTCACTGTAACCTCTGCCTCCTGGGTTCAAGCAATTCTTGCGCCTCAGCCTCCCAAGTAGCTGGGACTACAGGCACGCGCCACCACACCCAGCTAATTTTTGTATTTTTAGTAGAGACTGGGTTTCACCATATTGGCCAGGCTGGTCTCAAACTCCTTACCGCGTGATCTGCCCCCCTCGGCCTCCCAAAGTGCTGGGATTACAGGCGTGAGCCACCACAGCTGGCCCACATCATTTGTTTTACGAAGGCAAATTAATGAGATAATAAACAAGATAGACAAATAACACTGCCAAGTTCTTTTAAAGATAAAGTAAGTACCGCCATGGCGAATGAGACAAGTTATTGTGCGAGTGGAGAACAGAGAGCACATGGGGGGAGAAAGAAAGATGAGAATTAAAGAGAAGCAAGAAGGTCAGAGACAAAGACATGAAGAGAAGCAGAAGGAGAGGGAAATAGAAAAGTGGAAACTGTTGACTAGAAGACCCACATGAGGAGAAGCAGAAAGAAGGAGGAGGAACAACAGAGAAAGAAAAAGAAGAAAACTGCAATGAGTAAAACCAGGGAGCACAAATTGATAGGGAAACAGTAACAGCTGAGCAAAGTGAAAGAGAAAGGACAAAAAAGGAAATGAGTTGATATTTATAGAATGCTTACATTTTGCCTTAACTTTCATAAAAAAATCTATGAGGTAGGTGCTATGATGTCTGCATTTTATAAAGTTCTCATGCACGGAGAGAAGAATTCACTTTCTAAGTTTACAAACCATTATAGAATATGTAAATTTAGGTCGTTGGATTTCTGTGTTTTTAACCAATAATGTCATACTACAAGAAGCAAGGGGATGAAGAAAAAGGAAGTGAGACAAAATATGACTTTTGTTGTTTTCTTGGACTGGAAGCAGTTTGCCTCTGCACAAACTCCTGCCCTTTTCACATCTCATAAGCCTGTCCATCTTTCCACGCTCGTCAGTTCTTCCTTTTCAGTGACTAACAAACTTTTATCTATAAGCGGAAGATCAAATCCTGTCCAAAAACCAGACCAGGAAACTCCCTGGAAATGAAGACAATAACCAAGTTAGTTTCTTGGAAGCTAATGATAATTGTCCTTCTTGGTTCTAACGAACCTCACTTTCGTTTAATCAAGCCCTGTTCAGGTTTAACTGGGAAAGATTTCATGACTGCTAAGGCCAGTGCAAATTTTGATGTCTAATTTCCACATTATATTTATGTTTACTAAACTGACAAGCAAATAACCTAACAGGTTCAAGTCTTTATGAATAATAAAGGATGCATTAAAATCTTAGGTATCATTTTGGAGGAAACTGATAAAATAGTTGAAGCAACGCTTATATGACCACAATGGTTATGACATTAAGGATTTTATAAAATAGGCTTTTTTTCCCTCAGAAGAAAGAATAATTTGGAAAAGACTGAAAATAGCCTGCTAGCAGATTCTAACAATCTCAATCCCAGTAAAGCAGAGATTTGGTTATAGAAACAAGATGAAACTGCTTGACCACATTCTCTGCTACTGTTGCACTGGGATTACCTGATTATTGAGCAGGGTTTGATCACTACTTCTCACTGACAGCTTCCCAAAATTAACATGAAAGAAACAATGACCTGATATTCTAGCTAAACTGTATCTTAGCTGTAATATAAACTTCTTTTATTTATTATCTCGATTAGAGTTTGAATATATTATCAATTATAGGTCCTTTGCTTTTCTTGTTGGTCTCTCTCTCTCTCTTTAATATACACACAAACACACACACATTATTCTTCACACATTAGCCTAGACATCAGCAGATTTGATGGGTGCTTTCAATGTTTTGTTTCAAATTATTATTCTAGATAATTCCAGTTTACAAAGAGAACTGAAAATACAGACTAACTGAAAATCCCTTGGACGACCAAATTAATATACATATATATTGCAAAAGCCAGTTTCAGCCTTCCCACTCAAGGTTAGGTATCTGGGATTATTTATTGCATTTAGTATCAGATTATTATATTGATTAGACCTACGGAGTTTAGTATTTTGCCTACTCAACAGCATCTCAATAAACAGCCTATCTTCTAAATAATATCCAGGATCTATGTTGTGTAAGGAAAAATGAAAACGAAAAAACACTCCTATCAAAATGAACCTAAATATAGGAAATTGTTGGACTGACACAGTTATGTACTGTATGGGTTAGCTGCCTCTTGATTCTCAGCTTTATTTCTATCCTATGCTTCCTGTGTAACTCAGGAGGCTAGAAAGGTACACACTACATTTCCCATTTGCTGGGAAACTCTTGGTTAGTTTCTACAAGTGGTCGCTCTGACAGGAAGTAGGAAGACAGACAGAAGCAAGATTTTTGTTCTGCTTTTCATAGCCTTGCAGCACAAGCAACAGCAATAACAGATGGCTGTGGACTACTGTGGGCAAATGTGGGTCTAGTAACAACTGCAAGTGACTGTTGGCTTTAGAATTTTTGCTGATTAGCTGCATCAGGAGGCTAAGATTTTATTTAGTAGCATCAATAAGGTTCCAGCAGCAACACTAAAAACAACAGTCATACTGCTTGCTAGCAGATTAGCACACAGTGAGTTTGTAAGTTCCAGCCTACTGGTTCTCTCCCGCCTAAAATTAGGCTTGGTTCTAGGGATCAGAACAGGGCTCTATGGAAATTTAATAGCCCCTATCATAGGTAGAGAAAACTAGATATGGCTTAACATTCACAAGTATTTGTTAATATGTTTTTCTACACAATGGTAATCCAGCTCTTTCATAGCTGACTTGGGGTAAGAGTGTAGCAGACGATGATGATACCTGAGATCATGATTATGGATCAGGAAGGTGGAAAAGGAATAGCCTCAGGAAGCAGCAGGCATAAACGAGATAGAATAGGAAGCAGAAACCTGAAGCAACACCGAAGAAGGAAAAGAACAACTAATTGGAGTTTTGCATAATAAGTTGGAAACTATCTAGAGGATCGTATTTTTATATAAATCAAGCATTTGTTCACAACCCTAGAGAATGCCAGCTCCATTGCACTTTTTATAACATTGATACATACTTCTATTTATAGTCTGTTTTTCTTATAGTCTGTTTTTCCTGTTTGTTTGCTTTTTTTTTTTCAAAGTAGGCGGAGGTAATAGCCATTTGGCTGGCAGTGCAACTACCCAAATTGCTACTCTCAAAAGGAGAAAAGGTAGTTAAACACAGATGTAGGGTACTGTGTCATGGTAATGAACGTAGAGCAACACTATATTTAATATTGGCCTTGCTCTGAAAGTAGGAGTTATATATAAACACTAGAGAAGAATAACGTGAAAAAATGCAATTCTACCTCTATAATGTCAGTATCCTTTAAAGTGTACCAGTTTTCCTATCATGAGAATATCTGGCAACATAAGGAAGACATTATCGGAGGATCACACTGAAAAATGAATTCCATTCACACATCATACTTCATGCTTCCTCTCTGTTGTAAATATCAGTAGTTTACTCCTATTTATTTTGAATACAATTCCACTGATGAATATACCACAATTTTTCAAGGTCACCTATTGAGGTACTTTTGGGTTATTTCCAGGTTTCAGCTATTATGAATATGACTTCTGTGAACATCCATTATTAAGCATCTGTGTACTTATAAGTTTTTATTATTTTGGGGTAAATACTAAAGGTAGAATTGCTGAGTCCTAAGATAATTATATGTGGATTTTTGCAAGACCTAGTAAGGCAGCTTTAGGCAACTATTACAGTCAGGAAACTATTATCCTGGTTTGGATAACTGTACTGAAGCTATGTACAATGTGAGCATTTGGGAAAGAAGGAGGTAACGGAACCAGGAACACTTTACTCCTGTTCCTTTTTTTGTTTTCTATTATTTAAAATTGAAAGATTTGAATAGTGTAGTGGGCAGGTGGGTAAATTTTCCTTAAAATCAAGATAAGTTTTGTAGCTTCTCTTACCTTTAAACAACAACTACAACAGAAGCAACACCCAGATCACAAATCATAGATAACTTAGTGATAATATCACTTGCGAATACCAGGATGGTGCATTTTAACTTCTTTAACACATTTTCTCATTAGAAACAAATAGTAAAAATAAAGAAAGAAATAAAGAATAACAGACAAAAACACTGGCTTAAAGTTTTATTACAGGCTCTAATGCATCTAACTGTTACACATGTAAATGAGATCTAAGTGACCATAAAGGACAAAATTAAAGATGTCCCTAAGATGGAGATTTTTCATATGCACATTATTTTGTTAAATTCTAATAAATTTCTCTTCAAGCCCCAGGTTTTCATGGTAGTTAGGTGGTGATTCAACTTCAAGAACACTTAGTGTGGCTGGGCACAGTGGCTCATGCCAGTTATCCCAGCACTTTGGGAGACTGAGGCAGGTGATCACCTGAGGTCAGGAGTTCAAGACCAGCCTGGCTGACATGGAGAAACCCTATCTCTACTAAAAATACAAAAATTAGCCAGGTGTGGTGGCATGCACCTGTAGTCCCAGCTACTCAGGGGCTGAGGCCAGAGAATCACTTGAACCCGGGAGGCGGAAGTTGCAGTGAGCCGAGATTGCACCACTGCACTTCAGCCTGGGCAACAGAACAAGACTCCGTCTCAAAAAATAATCACAAAAACAAAGAACACTTAGAAAAGGGCCAGCACTTATTTTTTCATTCACCAGGTAACAATCTAAGTTTTGTAGGAGCAGTTAGAGTTTGTCATCCATGAGTTTGCCATTTTTTTAAGGAAAAAAATCAAGGGTGTGAAAAATCTTGGGGCTTTTTATTCATATTCAAGATAGTTTTATGTAAGAGAAACAGGAAAAGAATACATGCATAGACACACATAAATGAGACACAGAAAACACAAGACTATATTGAAATGGTTTCTGTGAAAAACACAGGGGTATCCCTGTAAACCTAATGACTGTACACGGCTGCTGAGTGGAGAAACATAGAATTTACCTAAAAGGATTTACCTAAAGACAAGAACAGTTATACCAACATCAGTGGCATATGATTCTTCTACTCAAAATACATTATCAAATGACATTCTAGGGGCAAATAATTTTCAAGAACAAGATACTCCTCTCCCCGTAACACAGCTGATTTCTAGGTCCTTCCTTTAAAATCTCCTTTGCTTTGCAATTAGAAATAATAAGAACATTTGTTTAAGAAATGCAAATGACTGGATTTCAACTTCAGAAACATGGCAGTTAATAACTACCCTCTTCTTCCTGCAATCTCATAGAAACTTTGTATAAAATATAGTATTGAAACAACGGAATACACAGGTCATTGGAAGAAAGCAGCAAGCACTGAAATCAAATTCTAGATATAAATGAAATTAAGAAATGACAAATGTGAACTGAAGAGAGAGTAAAGATTGTCTATCAATATAGAAAAAAATCAGATACTATGTTACCTAAAGAAATAAGTTTCAGAAGGATTAGAACTCAGAACATGAAAAAACATTAAATTTAAAAATAAAATGTGCACAAAATCAAAGAACTGAAAAGATTTTGAATTCGCTATATAAGTATTTATATGTTCAGCATGACAAAATTCACCACAAACAAAATTAAACACAAGCAACTGATGGGTGATGTCTACAATGCAAATATTCTGCAAAGAATTACCATCTCAACTATAAAGAACCCCTACAAACCAATAAGAAAAAGATAAAAACCTATTTCTTAAATGGGCAGAATATTAAAAACTGGCAATTTACAAAGGAGAAAATCCAAAAGACCAACAAACACATGATAAAATAATTCACTTTACTAGTATTCAAGAACATGCAATTTGAAGCAAATATGATACCATTTCATATCTAATTAGCAAGAAACTTGGAAGTTTTTTTGTTTTTTTGAGACGGAGTCTCGCTCTGTCGCCCAGGCTGGAGTTCTGTGGCGCGATCTCGGCTCACTGCAAGCTCCGCCTCCTGGGTTCATGCCATTCTCCTGCCTCAGCCTCCCGAGTAGCTGGGACTACAGGCGCCCGCCACCATGCCCGGCTAATTTTTTTGTATTTTTAGTGGAGACGGGGTGAAACCGTGTTAGCCAGGATGGTCTCGATCTGCCCGCCTCGGCCTCCCAAAGTGCTGGGATTACAGGCGTGAGCCACTGCGCCCAGCCAAAACTTGAAGTTTTGATAGTACTCAGTGTTGCTAAGGAGAAGACTCAATGAGACTCTGACTTTCGTCCCTCAGACTTTAAAGAATGATGTGTTCTTATCTAAGCTGTAGCTTGAAGTAGTAGAGTTTCAAGAGTAACACAGATGGTCTATGACTTATGATGATTTGACTAATGATTTTTTGATTTGACAACAGTAAAAAAGTGATGCACATTCAGTATAAACCATACTTCAAATTTCAAATTATGATATTTTCTCAGGCTAGAGGTATGTCGTTTGATACACTCATGAGGTTCTAGGCAATAGCAGTGAGCTACAGCTCCCAGTTGTTCACATGATCTCTACTAGGATAACAACCTATACTCTACAGTGTACTATGTTGCCAGCATTTTTTGGATACAATTTTGCCCAAATGTGCATTAATGTAAGTATTCCAAACATGTTTATGGGAGACTAAGCTAAGCTATGATGATCAAATGTATTAAATGCATTTTCAATTTATGATATTTTCAATTTACAATGGGTTTATTGGGATGTAACCCCATCATAAGTTGAGGAAAGTCTGTAATGAAAATAATTCCACTTCCACGCATAAATCCTATACACACCAGAAATACTCAAGGAGACAAGTACAAATATATTTTTCAAGGATTTGTTTGTAACAGCAAAAACAAAAAAGCTGAAACAAAAAAAATGCCCATCAATAGGAGACTAGATGAATAAACAGTAGTGTATTTAGATAATGAGATCATACTCTGCAGTATTCCATTTCAGAAATGACAATAACAATGAGTGACTAGATCTGCATATATCAACACAAATGCTTCTTGAAAAAAGTGAATGAATAAAACAGATTAAAAGAGATGCAAATAACACGTGTAAATATTAAAGACATAGACAATAAGATATATTACCATGGTACACATATTAAATAAAATGAAGTATATTTAATAAAATGCAATATGTTTTCCAGAAAACATGCAGGAAAAAATATAGCTACCATCTCAAGATGTGTGTTACCTGGCAGAAAACAGAGGAATGGGAGAGGGCCTGATGTCTTGGGTCCCTCTAAAACATTTAATGTCTTTAAAAAGTAATAGCAAAATAAGCAAGTAAGCCAAAATAATATTACTCATTAAATCTAGATAAAATGGAAATGTGTCATATTCTTCTCTGTACTTTTTTATATATTTGAAATATTTTGCGACGAAAATTAAAATTATAGTTTAAAATATTAAACAAAGAAAGAATATGGTAGGGTAAAAGAAGGATCAAATAGATCAGTGAGACTCCATATTGACTTTCTTAAATTATTATACTGTGCAATATGTCATCTCTAAAATCTGAAGTGTTCTACTGCCAGGAATCTAATACACTTAATAAGCTGCTTTATCTATGTGAGTTGACATGAGTTCATATAATTTTACTTAGTTTTTGTCTAAATATGTAAACTGAAGCATATTTGCAGAATTGCTTATCATTTTGGGGTAAATACTAACGGTGGAATTGCTGAGTCATAAGACAAGTATATGTGTACTTTTGCAAGACCTATTAAAGCAGCCCTAGGCGACTAATACAGTCAGAAAACCATTTTCCTGGTTTAGATAACTGTATTGAAGCTAGGTACAATGTTAACATTTGGGGAAAACTGAAGTATTGTTAACTGGAATACTGACTGGCCTGTAATCACTTTTAACTCTAGTATGAAAAAGGACACATGTATTAAAAGTAGTTGTAACTAAAAAGATGTTAAAAGATACACAATATTAATAGATATAAATTGTGACAATAACATAAAATTGGGAGGCCTTATGTAGAGTTTTTGTATGTGATTGAATTTAAGTTATTATAATGTCAATCACATGATGTCATTATGACTACCAAAACTGTTGCATGGTATAAAAGATTTTTGAGTAGCGTTTGTGATGTTATTTTCTTCCTCATTTATTTTTTTAAAAATTAGTATTTGCAACATTGTATTTCCTAGACTAAAAGTGGCACCTCACCCCTTTAAAGCATTACTAGTTCTAGGAACTGAACTAAACTAAAAAGTGAAAGAGTGTTTATAATTATATTGCTTGTTTTTGTCCAGGATGGCAGCCAGAAGTTACCATGCTGAACAAGCTAGAAGGAAGAATAGCCACAGAGAAGGTATTATGGCATTTCTGCCTCCACATAAAGACTGACATTGTTTTCAGCTTTTATTTTTCATTTACAATAGCACAATACGTTGGAATAACTGTTGCTTTTCAGCAGTTCCATTCCAGGCTATGTTCTCTAGTTGACCTCTAGGCCCTAAAGAACAGTTTAGTCATCTGTTTCACTTTTGAATCGATTAAATTTATATTTATACTTATTTTCAACGCTCCTTTTTCTCCAGAGACTTTGAGAAGGGCTGTAAAATAACCATACATTGTCCTCAAACTGAGACACTTTTGAAAGTTGAAGAAATGCTATTAATAATTATCTCAGGACTACAGGCATAAATTCATACTATTCCAAGCAAACTAGGACATAGGGTCAGCATAACTATATATGTTAGGATAACACTCTTCTTTCTGATCCTTGAGCCCTAAATATTAAACACAGATCACACATCAAATTGTTCTATCAGTTTCTTTACAAAAAGAAACTGGCAGCTCTAAACATGTTTTTAAGAAAACTTCAGTGTAATATCAACCCATTAAACCAAAGTTAAAATAGAAAAGGAAGTAAAAAAGATAGTCCCTAAATTTTTGTCTAAATAAAAACATATATGTATGTGTATCATACAAGAATATGTGTGTCTGTGTGTGTGTGTTGAGAGAGAGCAAACGCTCAGTCACATACAGAAAAAGGACTGAAAGCTAGAACCCCTGAGATTTAGCTTCATTTATGCTACTATATCATATTTCATTTTGTATACCTCAGTATTTTTTTATTTTAAAAAAAGAAGAAAATATCTATGTTGTCTCACAGGGTTTTCCTGAGAGTAAATTGAAATAGTCATTGAGAAAAGTAATTTAAAAACAATTTAAGGGTTTTTTTTTTTTTTAATGTATATTGACTTGAATCTAAAGATTTTGAAAGCCAGGCATTGTATAGTATAATTATACAATGTGTAAACTCTTGGCTTTTAGGCCCAGACAAGTTACCAGAAGGCAGCCTTATTTAAAGAATAGAAGACTCTGGCTAGGCGGGGTGGCTCACACCTATAAACCCATCACTTTGGGAGACCTAGGTGGGCGGATCACTTAAAGTCAGGAGTTCAAGACCAGCCTGGTCAGCATGGTGAAACCCCGTCTCTACTAAAAATACAAAAATTAGCCAGGCGTGGTGGCGCGTGCCTGTAATTCCAGCTACTTGGGAAGCTGAGGCGCAAGGATTGCTTGAACCGGGGAGGCAGAGGTTGCAGTGAGCCAAGATTATGCCACTGCACTCCAGTGGGTGACAAAGCAAGACCGTGTCTCAAAAAAAAAAAAAAAAAGAAAGAAAGAAACAAAGAAAGAATAGAAGATCTGGAGCCAAAATTTCCTTGTGAAAAGAATCTCTGAATTGAGTGCTCCATGTAAATAAAACATAGAATTCCTTAATGTTAAGTGTTTAAAAAATATGTTGGCAAAACACTTTTATCAAATATTTTGGTGACACTAATGTACAATTAAGTAAAATAAAAAATATCTTTGTATGTCCAATTTTAATACTATTCCAGGACAACAGTAGATATCAATAAGCTTATCCTTATAGCATGGCTTTTGATGAGAGAAAAGTAACTTTAAAAAAATCAGATAATCATCAGTCAAAGTTATTTTCACAGTATTATTCTCCATAATGATCCTCACAATTTTAAATTAAATAACTTTATGTGTTTATACTCTAATTACCAGGAAGTTCAGAAACAAATTTGATTGAATTCTATATACTTGTGTTATCAATATATTTTTGCTATCTCTCTGTAATACTTTTTTTTATTTTTATTTTATTTTTTTACTAAATGCATTATCTAAAAGTCTTTTACCTTTTCTTGATGCTGCTGCCTATAGTTTTGGAAGGAGAAAGGTGAAAAAATAAATTGTCCATCTGTTAAAGCCCAAAATGTTCAGCCACAAAATACCAGTATTCCCAATGTAACATAATATTTATCTCAATAAATAAAACTTATCCTAAATTTGTTTTTGAGTGTTAAAGTGCTATATTGGTCTTCCATTACCATGGTTACCAAAATAATCTAAACAACAAAAGTAAATTTCAATTTTCCTTCCAATTGTTGTCACTCTGTCCTTGGCATAGAACTCCCATTGACGGTGTAAGAAGCTGTATGTGTGGGAAAACCATGTGGCTATTAAAAAGAGAATAAATAATCATTCTACCTAATTCCTGTTCTTAGGGTTCCTTTACTAAACATTAGCTTTCTAAAAGCAATAGATGCTCCTAAACAGAGGGAAATGGCAAAACAAAATGCAATATTACTTACAGAGACTTCACTCTCTCCCTTTCATTTGGCTTTCAGCATATTCTAAGACAAATACTGTTACCATCCATTGAATTTTTCTTTCACAAAACATCACAATTAAAAACTACATACGAGAGTTAAATTAAGAATCAAGTCAGTCAACAAAAAAAAAAACTATTTATTTATATAGGTCTATTCATACAGATAGATTTTATATGTGTATATGTATAAACAAATAAACATACATGAGGATCTATATAAAATTATATACCATCACCCAATGCAGAAACTCACTCATTAAATAAGTAAATAACATCAGCCTGAGACTGACGTTAAAGTGACAATTGTTTTTAATATCCAAATATCTTTTCAGTACCTCATCAGGATCTCCTAGGCAAAAGCTGTGAGACAGATGATGCCTGGACATGAAATTTTAAAAACCAGGGTGAGAGCCAGAAGTTACCATGCTGAACATGCTAGAGGGAAGAATAGCCACAGAGAAGGTGATGATGGCATTTCTAATACCATAGCAAGCTAAGTTTAAGAATTTTCTTCTATGCTTTATCTTAAAGTCCTTTATTTACTAGGTATATCTATCTTTAGGGAAGTGGTTGTCAAACAATGGCAATATTGTCTGGGGACATTTTCTTTGTCACGACTTGGGGGTAGGGATAAACAGAGTAGTTGCTACTGGCCTCTAGTGGGTGGTGGCCAGAGATGCTGTTAAATACCCCACAATGCACAGCACAGCCGTGTAAAACAAAGAATTATCTGGTTCACATTGTCTATAGTGTCGGTGTTGAGAAATAGAGCCCTAGCTCAAGGATAACAAAAAGTTTCAATCCTACGTCACTGTAATCTGTAAGAAAGGTTTTGAGGCTATTTCTAACTATGAAGAAAATAATGTTGGTATTTTCATGATATCTGACATGGGTAAAGGATCAAGATAGGAGGAATATTTTACATTTATAGCCTGGGTTCTGTATATCTAAGAGTTCTAATTGCTTTTCATGCATCCAATGACTAAGAACCTAAGAGCTTACTATTTGAAATAATTCCTCATCTTCTGTTTACTCATTCTTCCCTATGTGTCTTGGCAAAGAAAATTTACTTGCGAGTGGTCAAAAATGTGTGGATTTTTTTTGAGTTTGGAGGTGTTTTGTTTGTCTCTGAGCCTACAAGAGTCCTGCATCATAACCTATTTTCATTCTGATTTCCATGAGCCATCTTTTACATGTATTCATAAACATCTGAAATTCTACCACTATTGTTCACTGTACAATGTGATATAGCAATGAAAATGACACATTTGAAATTGTAACAAAAAATCATTAGGCTCAATGTCTTATTTTATATGTTAGATCACTACTGGTGGTTTAGATGTTTCACATGCTAGAAACAAGACAGAAATTGACACGGTCAAGTTTAGCCATTTCTAAAAAGTATTTTCTAGATTATACTTATTTACACATAGAATATAATGCAGTTTCTTTACCAATCATAGAGCATAACATATTTAAAACTATCCAAAAATAACACCCTGGTGATGACGTCCAAAGTCTAATATGTTTACTTTCCTGAAGCAGCAAGCAACAAAAACACGTTTTTCAGAAAATGATATAACATATGTCAAGATGGGCTGGTAATTATCATCAGCTTTTATGTTTAATGGTGATAGGATGTTATTACAGCCGTCATTATCTACCAGTGTCTTATAATCAAGTTTAAACATAGTCTCAGGGTAGCAGAGCCCAACTCTGTGATTTAGCAACAGGGAAAAAAGTGCACTTCATGAAAGGTTTTAAACATACCAAAGAAGAAAACAAAGTCACTTACACAGAGTTACAACTAATGCTCACTTCTTCCTGGGTTTCTCTCCCTGGCCTTAATGCCTGCAGAAAAGCAGTCTCTTTGTAGTGTTTACACGTATCATCACTTCTATGATTATGAGATCATTTTTTCTCCTCAAATTTTTTCAGTGATTTTTCTGTGTCTCAGAATAAAGCAAACATCCTTATAATGGTCAATAAGGTCCTGCATAATCCAGCCATTCACTGACTTAATCGACATGTTTCATTCTTGCCTATTACTCTGTTTTAGCTTCACTGGCCTCCTTGCAATTCCTCTAAAAGAGTAAACATGCTCCTGCCTCACGAACTTTAATTTCGTCCAGTCTTGGTCACCCTCTCTCTTCCCTCCCTGCATCATTTTTCTCCATGGCGTATATTCTCTTTCCTGTCATGCTTCCTCCTATGTAGTCTGAATAAATTTTGCATTAATCGGAAACTTTTTACCTTACGTATTTTCACACCATTGCATATAGTGTACTTAAATACCGTTACTGACATCTGAATGATCTAATCTGAAATAAATCTAAGCCATTATTTAATCACAAATCATTCTTATTTTCTTAATTTCCCTTATGCACATAAACTTTCATGAGTTTCCATAAAATGCAATTTTTTAATGTCAGCTGAAATAAAGAGTATACAGTAATTCAACAATCACATGAGGGTAAACATGAATGACTTTGTTGTTATTCTGCCTTTCCTCTCTTTGAGTTGCTTTTTAATTATTAAATAAAGAAAATGAATTTATTTTGTGGATATTTATATTTCCAGCACCTTGCACCGTGCCTGGCACATATTGGATAATTAATGAATGTTAGTTACATTAAACAATGTGTAATTTAGTAATATAATTACTTAATAATTAGTAATTTTAATTAGTAATAGGATAATTTCTAAATCCATCTTTCAAACCATGCACTCTATAATTTTTTGTCTTTCCCTAGTTTCAAAAATATGTAAATATTAAAACAAGCTAATTCCTATGATCTTTCTGTTTTCAAAGGCATACTGATTAACTTTTTCACTTTCCAGTTAAATTCATTCTTTACAATGATGTCAACATCTACATATCTCTTAAAATGATATGTGTTCTCATTGACATCACATAAATATACTACAAATTTTCCGAACTTGGGGACTAATCTTTTAAATAAAATTCTATGCCAAAGAAAAAGCCAGCGTTTCTCTGAGTTTCTAAAATTTAAAAAGGGCATTCAACCAATTTTAATTTTAGAGTTACACATTCTGAGGCTGTGACAAGTTTAACTTAATATTTCACATTTTGGTCTAAACTGTGTTGTTTTGTAAATTGTAGTAGATTCACAGGGCTGCTGTAACAAAGTAACACAAACCGGGTGATTTAAAATTACAGAAATTTATTGTCTCACAGTTCTGAAGACTAGAAGTCCAAAATCAAGGTATCAGCAGGACTGTGCTCCCTATGAAACTTGCAGGGGAAAAATCTCCCTTGTCTCTTCCTAGCTCCTTATGGTTTCTGGCAATCGGTGTTCCTTGGCTTGCAGCTCCCATCTCTGCCTCTGTTGTCACATGGAGCTCTCCCCTTGTGTGTCTCTGTGTCTTTTTCTCATAAAAATACCAGTCCTGTTGGATAACAGAACCACCCTACCCGAGTATGACCTCATCTTAACTAATTATATGTGCAATGACCTCATTTACAAATAAGGTATCATTCTGAAATACTGGGAATTTCAATATATCTTTTTTGAAGACACAAATCCATAGTATAATCATTTTCCTAAAGATGGTAAAAATTGTAAGTCAAGACTTCAGACGTTAGTAAGAGCATTTCATTGATTCTTGCAGTAAAACGTGTTTGATAACAAGACAGGAGAAAGGTATTCCAGACTATTCCCATGGCACGTATGTTTAAAGCCACAGTGTTGTACAATTCATGGTGAATCTGAGGAATTATGTTTTGAAATAAATGAGGCAGAAAAACTGGTTTCAAAAATAATAGAAAATAATGCCTACAGAAAAATCCAAATAATAAATATAGAATTAGTAAATTTGTTTTAAATCACCATTAAATACCACAGTAATAATTATTGCAGTGAAGATTCACTGATTAATGCTAAAAATTAGTGAATAAAACTTTAAGAAGAAATAGATATTTACAGAAGAGTCTCAAATACCTCCCTTAAATCATTTATTCATTACCACGTGGTTTTGACACAACTTTAAACTTTGATATTCCTTCCTCCTTCCAGGTGATATAGCATAATTCTCTCTCCATTAACTGTGGGCTGAACTTAGTAACCTACTTCTAATGAACTAAGTATGGAGAGGGAAAAACTGTAAAGCTTACGGTAGAGAAACCTGACAGACACTGCCTTACAATCAAAAGATCAAGGTGAACGTCACCAGTCATAAGTCATGTTGATATCATGTACCCCTATACTATGTGATGAGAAGGGCACCTGGCCTCTGTGATATTCTTCCCCAAATTCCACAACCCGAGTCTAATCATAAGAAAACCCCAGTTAAGGTACATTCTGCAAAATACCTGACCTGTACTCTTCAAAAGTGTCAATGTCTTCCACGACTGAGATACGTTCATATATTGCCAACCAAGGAGACATGACAACGAAATACAACATGGACCTGTGAATTCAATCCTGCAACAGAAAATGGAAACCAATGGGAAAACTGTTGAAATCCAAATAGAGTCTAAAAATCCTACAAATGTTAATTTTTAAATTCTGTGGTTATATGAGATGTTACACAGGGGAAGAAATGTGAGAAATACACAAGAACTGTCTGTGCTGTCTTTGCAACTGCCCTGTAAATCTCAAATTATTTCTGAATCAGAGGTTCTTAAAAAAAAATAAAAGAATGGAACAACAATTTTAGTAACATTAGTATAAGTAAGGGAATCCTCTCCCCCAAAACTAGTGAAAACCTGGGAAAAAATGTAATATCAATTTCAGGGCTCTAGCATTTGACCAATGGGAAAGCACACATTGAGAAGTGTTTACACATACAAAGCTGCTAGATCTCTGGCTAATAACAATGGGAATCTACAGTCCCATCCTTGCTGGGCAGCATACAGCACAGGCAGAAGGTATAATCCAACTGTGAGCAGAGTGTAAAACCAAATGTCTAGTAGTGTTGTCAGTGAAAGTAACAAGTTCAGTAGGAAACAAATAGTAAAACCTGTATCTCTGCAACCATGAGGTTACTGTCCCAATTGGGACAAGCAATGCATGATCCAGAAATGTAACAGGGACACCCTGTAAATAAGAAAGCCATAGAAAGAGTAGGTAAGCACACATTCCTGGCTGACTCAGAAATTACACATATTTGCAGGAGAGATCCAAGGGCCTGGCAGAAAGTAAAAGCTGAAACAGACTTTAAAGTTGCTTGAATTTTGAATGTTTTTCTTTTACCTATACACAATTACATTGTCAAATAGAAGCCTCATAGGTTTGAGGCATTTGACTGTAAGTTCTGCCCAAACCATTGGTTAATCACATAGCAGTGCCTACAAGGAAATGACCCCTGGAAATCAGGAATTAAAAAAGAAGAAAAATATTGTAAAGAGATATAAATAGCTGAATACCATGGCAAGACAGATCCCACAGTTTAAGTACAGGCACAAACAAAATCACAAAATAAAATAATATCCAAAAACCTTTAGAAAAAGCAATCAAAATCCAGTCTTACTATAGTATATCACATAAAATTGTCCAGCTTTGACCAGAAACTTAGGAGTGATGTGGAAATGCATATTTGAAAAGCATATGGAATAAATTAGTCAATAGAAAGTGATTTTGAGTGGACCCTATGTTGGATTAAGCAAAGATTGCTACAAAATAGTTACAAAGTAGCTATTACAAATACATTTCAAAAATTAAGAAAAACTACGTTAAAATGAGTAAAGGATAATATGCTGACAACGATTCAAGAAATAGGAAAATTCGATGGACAAACAGAACATATAAACAATAAACAAACAGAGAATCCAGGATAGAAAAGTGTAACATTTAAAATAATCCACAGGCTGGGTTTTTTTGTGAGACAGAGTCTCGCTCTGTCGCCCAGGCTGGAGTGCAGTGGCGCGATCTCGGCTCACTGCAACCTCCCACTGCCGGGTTCAAGCGATTCTCTCACCTCCGCCTCCTGAGTAGCTGGGACTACAGGCGCACGTCACCATGCCAGGCTAATTTTTTCTATTTTTAGTAGAGATGGGGTTTCACCAGGCTGGCCAGGCTCATCCTGAACTCCTGACCTAGTGATCCGCCCACCTCGGCCTCACAAAGTGCTGGGATTACAGGCATAAGCCACCGCACCCGGCAGGCTGGTCTTAAATACAGTTATGAGGTAGCCGAATGAACCGTCTTCCATTTATGATTCACAGTTCTTTGAAAGCAGGTGCCAAGTACTTGCTTCATATTAAGCTTAATTTTTATCCCTCTTTGCATTTACAAAGAAAGTGGCAGAGGACATAATAACAAAATGAGACTACACACACATGCACACACACAGACACACACACGCACACAGACACACACACACATACAGTGACAATGACAACCATCACGAACTAAAAACAGAAATCTGAAGGCTATAAATAGGTTAAGGAGAGATGTGGCATGTGGCAGAGACAGACAATAGTGACCAATATTGATTACAAAGTTTTTAAAAATCATATGTCTTAACGTATTAAACACTACATAAAGTTTTTCATGACTTTTTTTTTTAAAAAATATTTTACTGAAACAAAAAAATAGTGAGGATCAAGGTGAGAATTTCTGGCCACGTAATATATAAAAGTTACATAATAAGAGATTTGCCACAAACAAACTTCCCTTGTTTTATCACTATGTAGTATGTGGACCTAACTGTGTCTTGACTGCAATTAAATGAATTAAAATAAGCCAACATATAGGTGAATTAAATTTTTCATCACAATACTTGTAAAAAAAACTTTTCTATGTCAGATGCTAACACCTAAAGAATGTGAAAATCTGAGTTGCAATGTTTTTTATTTCATTTTGCTTTTGTATTGTTTTCTTTGCCCTCTATTTTGAATTCTAAAATTTCAAAATAACTTTTGATGATACAATTGATTTTTCTCTCTAGTTTGTTGTAAGACTAACTTAATAACACCCCTTGCTATGAAATCAATTTAAACTTATTGCGCAGTGTTATATTAATAAAGAAATGTCAGTTTTGCCTTAATTATTTCTTTTCTTTTATTTTTATTTATTTATTTATTTTTTTGAAACAGAGTTTTGCTCTTGTTGCCCAGGCTGGAGTGCACTGGCGCTACCTCAGCTCACCACAACCTCCGCCTCCCGGGTTCAAGTGATTCTCCTGCCTCAGCCTCCCAAGTAGCTGGGATTACAGGCACGTGCCACCACGCCCAGCTAATTTTGTACTTGTAGTAGAGACGGGGTTTCTCCATGTTGGTCAGACTGGTCTCGAACTCCCGACCTCAGGTGATCTGCCCACCTCAGCCTCCCAAAGTGCTGGGATTACAGGCGTGAGCCACCACACCTGGCTGCCTTAATTATTTCTATATTAACTTTTAGTTTGATACTTTGTCTCCTTCTAGAATTGGTTTGCTGTATTGTTGTTTTCTATCTATTTTTGTGGTTGCTGAATATCTCATTTTGATTTGCATGTCAACAAAGAGAGAGTCCAAATTCTTTTTTTCATCTCTTATCTTGAAATCTTGCAGTAAATGAAAGATATGTTGATGTGAATTTGGCTTTAACCTAGACAACCAGAACTATGGTTGTCTAGGTCAAAACACAGACACATGTTCTCCATAAATTCTCACAGGTTAAAGTAATCTTACATAAAATCTCACAGGTTAAAATTATTTCATGTGGCACAGACAAGCTGATGTTTGCTTTATTTTCCTTCTACAAATGAAACCACTGCAACTTGGGCAAATGCTAAGATAGCAGGCAAGAGTGGTATTGTTCCATTAGACTTATTTTGTTTTCATTCTAAACAATATATCAGATGTGAGTAGCAGACAGGCTCACAGATTAGGTGAATGAAAGGACACATTATCAGCAAAGGTAGATATGAAATGAAGCATTTTTATCTAAACATCATTTAAGAGGAGAGTTCAGTATCTCAAATTTAATTTCTTTTCTTTTAATGAATCTGTAATCATTTTAGAAAATAGTACTGGTCAAAGAATAAAACAGAGACATGAAATACACCAATTGTGCATCATCATTACTTCAAATTATAATCACCATGTAGTGGATCTGGCTCTCAATTTATTTCTCAGTTGTGTAAGAAATAAAACTTAATTTTATAAAATTATTTTAGTTCTTAAACCCATATCCACTACTGGAGTGGTAAAAATCTAATCTCAGTCAATCTTGGATTCCCCATTTTCCCAGGTCAGTTCTAAATTCCAGGATCCATACCTAGTTTTAAAGGATTGGAGAGGAAGGAACTACCTGGTTCTCAAATGTCTTTTCTGTTATCTACAGAATAACAGAAAATTTTCGCATATCATCATGGAGATCTTCCTTTTGGGTGGTGACCTGGCCTCTTCCGATCCAAACAGTTTTGCCCACAATGGAAATCCCTGGGTGATGGAAATCACGTTGCATTCTCCATGCTACTCTAGGGCATGACCTACACTCTGATTGTGCCTAAAACCATCTGCCTGAACTCATTATGCAGCCAGTCTAGGTCTCACTATGTCCCTGAAGGCAGAGAGTGCACTTTTCTCTCAGATCTCACAAATATTGGGTTTTGCTGCTTCCTTTTGATCACTTTATCTCTCATTTCCCTCTCCCAACTAGGGCAATTTTTTCTGTCAATCAGGTACTGGGGAGTATAAAATTGCATAGGTGAGGAAGAGAACCTTGACCCTCCTCAAACACAAAATTTTCAAATATGTATTCATTAAATTAAAAAAATATAGTTCCTGTGCAAGCAAAATTGGCATCACCCAGAACTTGTTAAAAATTCCATACTCCCACCTATGAATTAGAAACTTTAAAACTGGGGGAAGAGATAGTGTAATCCATGATTTAACAAGCTATCCATGTGATTCTAAAGCATGCTACATTTGAGAGCCACTGATTTATTCCACTCTAAACCAAGATTGGCTTTATTCCCCTAAAGGACATTAGCTTTTAAATATAAAAATCATTAAAAAGAAGTTACTTTTTTTTCACTTTTTATGTGATCACATCTGTCTCCTGGGTTCATAAAGGATAGAGTATTCTAGGTGTTTGAAGAGGAGGCAGCACATGGGGAAAACATTAATTATAAGATTAAAAAGACACACTGGTAGTATTTCAAATACATTGCCTCCCTAAAACCTTCATGAAAACTCAGGACAATCATCTTTAATTGATTAAAATGATTAAAGCCGAAACAAAATTTAATTTAAATTGATTAAAGCAGAAAAATATTAACACCTTTTGTAGATATGTTCTAAGTTGTCTATTAACATGTAGGTTGATGAGGACATGTTGCTCATCTTGATGACCTACATCAGGGATTTTGAAGCTTTAATATGCCCAAGAATATTTTAGGAAGGTAATTTTAAATACAGATTATCAGGCCTGACTTTATGGTTTGTGGTTCTAAAATCTCAATTTTTTTAAACAAAGGCCATGAGTATGCTTTAAGTGGTTCATGGATTATAAGTCTAAGAATATTTAAAGAGTCCTTGCCCAACACTATACAGTTTTATATGTACATGCGTATTTACTACCAAATCACTTTACCTCTTCAGAAAAAATTAAGTACAGCATATTTTATTTAAATATTGCAAAACTTCAAATATTGTTGAGAAACTATGCATTCGATAAAGTTGACTTTTCTTTAGAGTTTAATAATTATTCTTCAGTAACAGAACTTTTAAAAAAGAGCCATTTTAATTGAACTTGTTCCCTTTCCTTCCAAATGGAGATGAACAAAACAGTAGCTTTTTCTTAATGACTTGAAGTCAGGGACTCTGTATTTTTACCATATATCCAAAAGTGATTGGTAGAATGCCTTGTATATAGTAGATGTCAAGTAAATGCTTAATAGTTGAATACAGAAGTGTTCACATTGAGAGCTATTAGGCTTTTCAAAACTCTGGTAATGTTCCTTGGCTCTATTAGGATTCACGAATATTTGAAATATTTCCCCACATGGTTTCACTATTCACAAATTGAAAAATCCTCCCTACCCCCAGGCCAGGCATAGTGGCTCACACTTATAATCCAAGCACTTTGTGGGGCCAAAGCAGGTGGATCACATGAGGTCAGGAGTTTGAGAGCAGCCTGGCCAACATGGCGAAACCCCATCTCTACTAAAAATACAAAAATTGGCCTGGCATGATGGCATGCACCTGTAATCCCAACTACTCAGGAGGCTGAGGCAGGAGAATCACTTGAACCCAGAGGCAGAGGTGGCAGTGAGCCGAAATTTTGCCAATGCTCTCTAGTCTGGGTGACAGCAAGGCTCTGTCTCCAAAAAAAAAAAAAAGAAAGAAAAGAAAAAAAGAATCTTCCCCAAATCTTTCTGGAACTTCAGATAACATGCTGACAGGGTAGCAAATATTTCCTCCACTTGTAAGTTTCTCTGAGTGTTCAAAAACCAGCTAAACATGCTCAGTAGAAGTGTTTATAACTTGTATAAACAGGCTTTGATAAAGAGCTTGCAGTCGTGGACATAATATCCAATTTGCCTACTTAGAGGATGGTGCTTCCTTTGTGGCTTTCCACCATGTTCTAAACAAAACTTTCTTATACAGATGACATTATTTTAAGATTATCTCACTTGGGAGCTAATACCAGATTTGTTGAGTAGTCATAGGAACTGACTATGAGGCTTTCCTGTAAATCTTAATGATGTTACATGGTTGAAGTGTTTTTATTTGTAACAAGGAGGCTGAGAAGACCCCAGTATCTTTAAAATACAGTGATGGTCATCCATAAACAAGATACTAACTACCTACTTGTTCCTCATATGGATAGACTGGATTACATTTTTTCTTTAGGAATTCAAATGATACCTATATTATTTTAGAGGATGAAAATATATGACATTGCTTGCATTCTCATTCTCACTTTCTATGGAAGTACCCTATCACATTTTCACATAATCTATTATTATTATTAAAAGACCTATGTATAAGCACAGGAGAATTCACTTTGAGTTAGGTTGGATGAATTGGGGAGATGAAATTCTTTCTCAGGTGTTGGGATAAGAAAATATTACATAAAGGTCTATTAAATGCCTACTATATCAAGAACCATTATAACCAATAAACACCCAAATAACATAAGCAAAGGGGAAAAAAAAGGAAGAAAAGGCAATGTGTTAATTCAACTGAAAAAGAGCAAGATATGACTGCCTTTAAGTAAAACCTGCCTGATCTGGTAGCTAAGCCCATAAGACTGAGGATAGATTTTTTTCTATTTCTCTTTTCTGTCTACTTGTGATGTTGTTACATTCTTGGGAACTTTCCACTGCAGTCCCAAGATGGTCACCAGTTGCCCTTGTGACTCCATGAGAGAGGAAGACATTATTTCCCAGCATTTCAGTAAGGATTTCCAAGGTTCATTTTGATTGCATCAATGTAGAGTTTAAGTCTATCCTTAAACCCTAAGCCAGCTGGGGGCTAACCTATAGCTGTTGTGTTAGTCCATTTGCACTGCTATAAAAAAAAAATCCTTGAGAATGAGTCATTTATAAAGAAAAGAGGTTTGTTTTGGCTCATGGTTCTGCAGGCAGTAAAGAAAGCATGGAGCATTTTCTTATATTTTATTTTATTTTATTTTACTTTATTTTTTATGTATTGTATTGTATTGTATTGTACTGTACTGTATTGTATTGTATTGTATTGTAGATGGAGTCTTGCTCTGTTGCCCAGGCTAGAGTGCAGTGGCGTGATCTTGGCTCACTGCCATCTCTGCCTCCCTGGTTCACAAGATTCTCCTGCCTCACCCTCCTGAGTAGCTGGGATTACAGGCGCATGCCACTGCACCCGGCTAATTTTTGTATTTTTAGTAGAGATGGGGTTTCACTATCTTGGCCAGTCTGGTCTCAAACTCCTGACCTCGTGATCCACCCGCCTCAGCCTCCCAAAGTGCTGGGATTACAGGCATGAGCCACCACACCCAGCTAGTGCCTTTTAATTAAAAGTTCCAACTTTAAGTTATTTCTTTGTTCTCACATCTAAACACAGGTTGTTAGAAGCAGCCATGCCACATCTGAAATGCTCTGCTGCTTAGAAATTTCTTCTGCCAGATACCCTAGGAGAGCAGTTCCCAGCCTTTTTAGCACCAGGGACCTGTTTTGTGGAAGGCATTTTTCCACAAACTGGTGGTGGGGGAATAGTTTCTGGATGAAACTCTTCCACCTCAGATCAGGCATTAGATTCTCATAAGAAGTACACAACCTAGATCCCTTGCATACAGAGTTCACAACAGGGTTTCACATTACTGTGAGAATCTAATGCCAACACTGATTTGACAGGAGGCAGAGCTCAGATGGTAATGCTTGCTCACCTGCTGCTCACCTCCTGCTCTGCAGCCTGATTCCTAACGGGCCACAGACAGGTACCCATCCATGGCCCATGGGTTGGGGACGCCTCTCCTACATCATCACTTTTAAGTTCAGCCTTCCACAGATTCCTAGGGTATGGGCAAAAGGCAGCCAAGTTCATTGCTAGGGCGTAACATGGGTGACCTTTGCTCCAGTTCTCAACAAGTTCCTCATTTCCATCTGAGATGTTCTCAGCCTGGACTTCGCTATTCATATTTCTATCAGCATTTTGGTTACAACCATTTAACAAGTCTCAAGAAGTTCCAAACTTTCCCTTATCTTCCTATATTTTTCTGAGCCCTCCCAACTCTTCCAACTTCTGCTTGTTACCCAGTTCCAAAGCCACTTCTAAATTTTCAGGTACCTTCATAGCAACATCCACTCTCAGTACAAATTTTCTGTGTTAGTCCATTTGTGTTGCTGTAAAGAAATACCTGAGGCTGGATAATTTATTTTAAAAAGAGACTTATTTTGGCTCATAGTTCTGCAGGCCATACAGGAAGTGTGGTGTCAGCAACTGCTTCTGGTGAGGGTCAAAACACAAAGGGGGACTGGATGTATCAGATGGTGACAGAGTAAGAGACAGAGAGGGGAGGTGCCACACTCTTTTTCAACAATCAGATCTCAGGTGAACTCAAAGTGAGAACTCATTCATTACCATGAGAATGGCACCAAGCTATTCATGAGGGATCCACCTCCATGACCCATACACCTCCCACCAGGCCCAACTCCCACATTGGGAATCACATTTCCGCATGAGATTTGGAGGCAAGAAACATCCAAATTATATCAGCTGGTATGTAGTGAAACAAATCAGATGAGATGGTGGGCTTACCAAAATGGAAATCAGAATACTGATCCCAAAAGTATGGTAATGCCAGTCAGTGAAATCACAGATGTCTGCCACTTTGTCTAGGTCTTGCTATATATATATATGTGTGTATATATATATACATATATATGCTTTTTATGTAAGGTAGTTATCATTTTTATTTTAATAAAATTAAAATTCTAATTTTATTGAGAAGAAAATTGAGGGTTTTTTTTAAATTGTGGTAAAATATATAACATAAAACTCACCATTTTAACGATTTTGAGTGTACAAGTCAATCACATTAAGTACATTCCCAATGTTGTTCAGCCATCACTGCCATCTGTTTCCAGAACTTTTTCATCATTCCCAACAGAAACTCTGAACCACTTAAATAAAAACTACTGATTTCCCAGTCTCCCCAGACATTGGTTTGCCTAGTTGAGGTACCTTAAGTAAATGGAATCATACTATATTTTTCATTTTTTGTCTGACATACTGCACTTACCATGTTTTCAAGTTTCATGTATGTTGTAGCATGTATCAGAATTTCCTCATATGACTGAATAATATTCCATTGTATATCACATGTTATTTATTCACCTGTAGATGGACATTTGTATAATTTTCGCTTTTGGGCTATTGTGAATAATGCTGCTATGAATATTTGTGTACTAGTGTCTATTTCAATCCCTGCTTTGTTATCTTGAGTATATCTAGAAGTTAAATTGTTGAATCATGTGGTCACCCTATGTTAAGTTTTTGAGGCAAACTGTTTTCCACAGTAGCTGCCACTATTTCATATTCCCACCGCCAAGGCACAAGGATTCTAATTTTTCACATCCTCACCAACACTTGTTATTTTTCCTTTTTTTAATAGTAGCCATCATAATGGATATAAAATGATATATTATTTTGGTTTTATTTCCATTTTCCTAAAGACCAGTCAAAGTTGAACATGTTTTATGTGCTTTTTGGCCATTTGTTTATCTTTTTTGGGAAAATGTGAAAATTTTTTGCTCATTTTAGAGTTGGGTTTTCTTTCAAGAAAACTGAGATTTAAGGAATATGCAATTTGCCCGAGATTGTCCGATGTAAAGTGGCAGAAATAGCATTCAAAATCCATGGGATAGTTTCTCAAGCCCTTGCTCTCTTTATAATTCCACCAGCCCTCCTAGTAAACCAGTGCATGCTTAGTTAAAGTTCATTCTCCCTGACACTCTGGGATTAATCCAAGAGGGAAAACAAACATTTATAAATTATAATAGCTGCTGCTCTCACTATGAATATTTCTCAAATAACAAACTCAGACTTTGCTGCTATAAAAATGATAGGCACACCTCCAGGTAGTGGCCCAATTTTATTGTTGTTTTTTTTTTAAAGAAATAAAAGCTCTTCAAAAGTTACTTTTTTATTTAGGTAACATTTTCTTTTCACATAAAATTCCTGCTACCACAGACATGTTTTTAGGTAGTTTCCCTAATGGGGAAGTACACAAATGGGTACTAAATCTCTAAGTGCAGTGTGTAGAAAGCACACTATTGAAAAATGAGGAATAAAGAAAACTCTCCTATGAAATAAACAATAATAAACACAGACTCAGTTTTTTCTTTGCTTCTCTTAGGTTTTCTATATGCGGGAAGAAATCTATATGCAATCATGGATTGTATTTAAGAAAGCTGTTTGAAGCTGAGATTGTTGTTTCTTGTCAAGACAAAAACCAGTTGATGTAATATATATGTAAATGATTGATTGGTTTTATATCATCTGTGGGGAACTGAGATCATCTTTTTATATGGAAATAAACATTTTTTTTCGGGAGAGAAAGCCAGCTTGATTCTGGCTGTGGAGACACTAGTTTAAAAGGACTTTGATCCTGGTGCCCAGGAAAAAAGAATTATAGTGCATCACAGAAAGACTTGCTCAGGCTTTAAAGAAGGAGGCCACAGAAGAGTCTCATTTACAATTGCTGCCTGAGAGTCTCCAGACAACAGTGACTCTCAGGGTGAATGAGGAGGCAGCCTCTCAACTGCTCCCCAGCAGGTGGCAAAAAGACGTCACCTCATCCATCTGCAACTGAACAGGGTTATAGCATGGTCTGACATCCTTTGCCAAATTCCCATGAAAAAAGTGACTATTATCAGAGCAACAGTGAAGAAGGTCACTGGAAGGGTAATTAGAAACTCACAAAAGGCAAAACAGTACAACAAAAATAAGGTGATAAAATAAAACATTGCTTCCAAGAGTGTTAACGAACAGTTTGGGCTATTTTTAACCTGCATTTTATTTTTCAACTCTAGTTATAAGTTTAAGAACTAAATTGGAACCCACTCATTTGGGAAAACTGCACAAAAAAGCATTCCTGCCTTCATTGTCTACAGTCCAAAAGAGTTCAAGTCAAGCATGAAGGTGGCCAGGAGACAATGTGTCCTTAAGGAGAGCATCACACAGCTAAGGGAGGCCAAATCTAAAAAGCCTTTCAGCAATTTGATCTGCAAAGATCCCTTCCAATTGTTCTATCCATTGATCTTTGAAACTACTTTTCATCATGTAAAATTCTTCGCAGCCTCTCTGGAATGATGCTTGCCTTTCCTTTTTACCATTCCCTCTCAATATTGTCCCTTTGTAGAGACAGCTCCAAACATGCGGATAAATAAAGGCCTCTGAGAATCTTCATCAGCAGACATCTGTGTTTGCAGGAAGAGCATCATTAAGCTCTTGTCCTTTACTGATATCTTTTTTAAACTGATGATCAAAGTTGATAAACACGTGGCTTTAAGTTAGTAGACACTGATTTTCTACCCATAACTCAAGGATATCAATGCAAAAAAAAAAAAAAAAGTGTGTTTTAACCTGAAATCACCCTGGGCATTTTTGAAAGTCAGCACATAAACCTGTGGCAAAGAACTTGGAACATATGAATTGCTGCCATCACCCCAAATACTGGAATTGTTCTCCGAACTTTTTATGAGTCACACACAAAAATTAGTCTCATCATTTCAATTAACCCAGTCTTGATCAATCACCTTATTCATCAGGTTTGGCTCCAAATGCCTGTTTTCTCAAATTGAATTCTTGGGCAACTGGTGAAGGTTATCAAGCACTGACTCATTGTGGATATGTTTGTAAATGCCACTGGCGAATTCCAGATGAATATCTCAAAAATAAGAAGAAGACAACGTCTTTTGGTGAATAAATATCTATCTTTCAATTAGGGATTACTTTGAAGTTAGCTCACTCTATTTTACTATCTTACTTTGAACATAACATCAAGGATTTGTGGGGGGATTTGTGGGGTACACTTTTATCTTAGCACTAAGCCCAATTCCGCTTAAACATACAGATGACACTCTAGGTTAGCACTAATGCACTTGGTAAAGTTTAGTCAAGAAAAACGTATTTGCCATTTACCAAATCTAATTTGGAATATAGTAATGATCCCACTAATTTTGAAATATAAATTTATAGCTAATAATAATAATTAACATTTATTCGGTGTTATAGCCCAGCTGATTTTTGCTAGATATGGGATTAAGGTGATTTATGTGCATTTGTACCATTTGTACCACAACATATTATTTGTAATTATTGTGCCTGTGTTACAGATGGAGGAAAAAACAAGGTTTTACAAATTAACAGAGAAATAAAAATAACTTGGCAAAAGTTGGTAAGCTATTTAAATACAGGCAGTGAGGCTCCAGAATCCATTCTCTTAATTATAATACTATATTTCCTTTTAAATTTTGTGGATAATTTATAATAGAATGTTAGTATGAATACAGAGAAGACAGATTTATTCCTATATTCCTTATTTTCTTCCTATAATCTCCTTACTGACTTTGACCTTAACAAATAGACACTTCCATTCTTTTAAGATTTTGAATATAAACCGATGATTATGTAAATCATTTGTTTTAAAAAAACTCTTATGTTAATATTGTTTTAAATATTTGCTATATATTTCACTTGTCTGTCTTACGCCAGTTAAAGTTTTATTAGTTTGGCAAGTTCATATATCACATTTTTCTAGCTTTTACAATTATTTGGAATACATAATAAACCTGATGAGCTCTGATTAAGGTTTTGAAGCACAGAGAAGTGGGTTATACTTCTAAAATACTTGGTGTCTTTTGCGAGTAAAACCTAACTAGATTTCCTTGCTCTAAGTTCTACATTTTGGGAAGCAAAGTAGTCCAGGTAAGTGGAACATATATGAATTTGATGTCTGACAGTTCTGAGTTCAAGTTTAGATGCTGATACCAGCTACTGTACTTGGACAAATTACTTGCCTCACCTTTCTAGTCTTAATATAAGCCTAACATCACTTTTTATCTAAGCCTAAAATCACTTTTTCTTTCTAGAGAAGTAAATTAGATTTGTGTAAGTTGCCACCATGATATTTCTTCATTTGAATTAATAATTTTTAATGCTGGGTGGCTAATGGTGGGTGGAAAGGGAGTGTCTTTGTTTCTTTTTCCAGTAAAATACTACGCTGCTCGTCCTGGTCAGCATTTATTTTTTGTCTTTTTGATAATAGCCATTCTAACTAGAGGGACATATCTCATTATGGTTTCAATTTGCATTACTCTGATGATTAGGAATGTTTAACATTTTTCATATACTTGTTGCCCATTTGTCTGTTATAAAAAATGCCTACTCAGATCCATTGCCCATTTTTTAATCAGATTATTAGCTTTCTTTGCCGTTGAATTGTTTGAGCTCCTTGTATATTCTGGATATTAGTCCCTTTTCAAATGTGTAGTGTACAAATATTTTCTCCCATTCATAGGTTGTCTCTTCATTCTGTTCACTGTTTGCTGTGCAGAACCTTTTTAGTTTAATATAGTCCCATTTATCTATTTTTGTTTTGCCCGTACTTTGGAAGTCTTACCCACAAAATCTTTGCATAGACCAATGTTGGTAGGAATGTAAATTAATATATCCATTATGCAAAACAGAATAAAATTCATCTAAAAACTAAAAGTAGAACTACCACATGATCCAACAATCCCACTACAGTGTATTTATGCAAACAAAAGGAAATTAGTATATCAAAGCAATAAGTGCACCCTCATGCTTATTGTAGCACTATTCCCAACAGCCAAAATATGGAATTAGCCTAAATGTCCATCAATAGATGAATGGAACAAGAAAATATGGTACACACACACACACACACACACACACACACACACACACACAACGGAATACTATTCGGGCATAAAAAAGAATGAAATTCTGTCATTTGTAGCAACATACATCAGCCTGCAGGAAAACTTTTTTAAGTTAAATAAGTCAGGCACAGAAAGATAAATGCTGCATCTTCTCATTCATATGTGGGAGCTGAAAATGTTCAGTTCATAGAAACAGTAGAATTGTGGTTACTAGAAACTGGAAAGGGTGGAGGGGAGAGGAGGATAGGGAGAGGTTGGTTAACAGATATGAAATTGTAGCTAGAAAGAAGGAACAAGTTCTAGTGTTCTATAGCAGTGCTGGGTAAATATAGCTAACAATCATTTATATTTTCAAAAAAGTAGAAGAGAGGATTTTGACTGTTCCCAACACAAAGAACTAATAAGTGCTTGAGGTGATTAATATGCTAATTACCCTGATTTGATCATTACACATTGGATACATGTATTGAAATATCACTTTGTGTCCCATAAATATGTAGTGATTATGTCAACTAAAAGTAAAAAAATAAAAAAACTGTGCTAGGGCTTATAGTCCAAAGAAAATATACTTTCCTTCCTGTTATCCTGTTTGTACTGTTTTTCATATGCCTTTGTAGTCTGCAGTATCTCCCATGAGATTAATTTAATGCGCTTTTCAACAGCCCTTTTGTATCAATAACAAAAACATTAAACACAACCAGATGTAATAGCATCTCCCCAAGACGTCCTGACAACCATAGTAAATAGCTCCTTTGCTCCATCTCCTGTTCCTTAAGCCATGATAACTTCTAATAAAATTCTACTCCTAGGGATCAAAAATTAAAGGTCATTCTGTGGATCTAGATTTTAAAAACCAAGGAAAGAAATGTTCAAAGAAATGCTGAGACTGGCCTCAAGAGATTCAGATTTAGAATATTCCCAGGTTATCACTGTTTCACAGAGCCTTCGGGGTGCCATGCTTCACATAAAATACTGTGGAACCACAGATGTCCCATCACATCACAGAACGAACAGGCAATGATGTCAGAAGCTAACTGTTTAGTAACACAACATATCTCAGGGTCACAATGGATTCCTCTCATTGTTTATCATTAATAAGCGAAAACACTTATCTTTTTATAATTAATTTTGGCATTAGTTTAGTTATGTTTTTGATTCAGGATATAAAATAAGAAAGAGAAGCTGAGTTTATTCCTTAAAAATAGAGTCTAAACATGAAGAAGTTTTAGAAACACCTCAAACAATTTCTAGGAAGCATAAGCAACGAAAGAACAGAAAACATCCTAATCATAAATTACATTGGCTCAGCTTCAAGGGGTGGAATTTTTTACATCATTTTTATTTTTACATTGTTATCACAATATCCCTGAGGTTAAACTCAGAACAATGGTCAATTTTGAAAGTAAACCACAGGATTGTTAATACTAACATGAGGTAGATTTTCTTGTTAAATCTTTTAATTAATATGTTAGCTAAACTTAAAATATCCTATTTTATTTTATAAAATCTAACTTAGAATAATACTTTGTGTATGAACTCTACTCAAAATGCTTTTGAGTGGAAACTTTAGTTCTTTCACATTCCAATTTATTAGATCCCCTTGTGAATATTTATTAATGTCTAGGTTAATATGTTAATAAAGAGTCTACTGAGAAGAGTCCATTAAGAAAATAGAGGACAGGGATTTTGTGTTTCTGGTATAAGTGTGAGGATATATAATTCTGGATATTTACAGAAAGATAAATCCTTGACAATAGTTTTACCAGAAAAAAAAGATAAAATTATTAGGAGTAGTACAAAGAAATATGTTTCAGTAATTGTGGTATTAGGTAATATTTAAAATAAATGTTGACCATATACTCCATAGCACTAGATTTGGGGAACACTGCAATTAAGTTTATGGTTACATTTTATAAAGTAGCAAATGAATACCAAGTTATCTTCAAATAATATGCATGCATTATTACAGGCCAGTATGTTATACTTGGATCTCTCTGATGAAAGTAAGATAAAACAAAGATTCTTTGTTACAGTTTTGGGGAAGTTGGCAAGAAATTACGCATCTGTTTCTGTCAACATTACAGTATTGGGGATATGTAGTTTCTACATTTCTATGGATGTTCAATGTTTATCCTGTTATCGATGCTTATTCTTTAGAATTATCCTAAATTTCTTATTTTCTTTTCTGTTGATATTGTAAAAAGTTTATGTTATAAGCTAATTTTTAAGGGGAAGCCATATTGTTTAGCCAAATGTAAACAAAAGTAGCACCCTGGACCTTACATATACCAACTGTGAAATAGATGCTTTTCTACTATCTTTGGTTTCACTTAACGACAGAGAAGCAGAAGTCAACATTACACACTTTCAGCATATTTTCAAACAAAGCTCTCATTGTATGCATAATATTAGGTAAATGACTACATGTGTTGGATATGGAAGAGATGTAGGAATGGGCGGTTGGGTGCAGGTGAAGAAAGATCTGTATGCTAGGTACATGTTTAAATAAGCATATTTGATTTATACTTTATGCAGTAAGACGAAAATCTAGGCCGGTAGTGGTGGCTCACGCCTGTAATCCCGACACTTTGGGAGGCCAAGGTGGGCGGATCACCTGAGTTCAGGAGTTCAACACCAGCCTGGCCAACGTGGTGAAACCCCATCTCTACTATAAACACAAAAATAAGCCAGGCAAGGTGGCGGACGCCTGTAATCCCAGCTACTTGGGAGGCTGAGGAAGGAGAATCACTTGAAGCCAGGAGGCAGAGGTTGCAGTGAGTTGAGATCGCAACACTGTACTCCAGCCTGGGTGACAGAGTGAGACTCTGCCTCAAAAAAAAAAAAAAGAAGAAGAAAATCTAAAATAATTTGGATATACATTCATATTTGTATATATTTAGACAACATATGCATATAAGTATGCATATGTAATTATATGTAATGTATATGCATACATTTGTGAATATAGAAATGTGTCAAATTATATAGCTAACATCTATAAAAATACAAACTTTGTTCTGGGAATGTGTTCAATGCTTTACACATATATCATATTTTAATCTTTAAAAAATCCTTTAAGGTAGATCTTAATATTATCTGTTTTTATCAAATTAAGACATTTAGACTCAAAGAAGATATTTTTGGACTTCACACCACAAGCAAGCGGCAAAGCTAGTTTTAGAATTAATATTACCTTGAATCTGTTGCTCAGTGACTTAATTCCATTTACACAGAAATCACACAGAAAAAGATGAATGTACAGTTCTTAACTACAATTGATGTATTCAGGGTCTATCATAAAAAAAGAAATTTGACCCTCAATACTATGGTCAACTTCATATTTTTCTCTAACAGAGCCATATATAAGTGCTAGACTGATTATCAGGGTATATATTATTATAATAATACTATGTTAGGTATCATTTTATACCCAAGACCCAATACTGGTATCAATATTTCCTGTATTGATGACTATAATGTTGAGGTTCCTTACCCATTTGTGGGTTTTTTTTTCTTTTTTTTAATTTTATTATTATTATACTTTAAGTTTTAGGGTACATGTGCACAATGTGCAGGTTAGTTACATATGCATACATGTGCCATGCTGGTGCGCTGCACCCACTAACTCGTCATCTAGCATTAGGTATATCTCCCAATGCTATCCCTCCCCCCTCCCCCAACCCCACAACAGGCCCCAGAGTGTGATGTTCCCCTTCCTGTGTCCACGTGTTCTCATTGTCCAATTCCCACCTATGAGTGAGAATATGCGGTGTTTGGTTTTTTGTCCTTGCGATAGTTTACTGAGAATGATGATTTCCAATTTCATCCATGTCCCTACAAAGGACATGAACTCATCATTTTTTATGGCTGCATAGTATTCCATGGTGTATATGTGCCACATTTTCTTAATCCAGTCTATTGTTGTTGGACATTTGGGTTGGTTCCAAGTCTTTGCTATTGTGAATAGTGCCGCAATAAACATACGTGTGCATGTGTCTTTATAGCAGCATGATTTATAGTCCTTTGGGTATATACCCAGTAATGGGATGGCTGGGTCAAATGGTATTTCTAGTTCTAGATCCCGGAGGAATCGCCACACTGACTTCCACAATGGATGAACTAGTTTACGGTCCCACCAACAGTGTAAAAGTGTTCCTATTTCTCCACATCCTCTCCAGCACCTGTTGTTTCCTGACTTTTTAATGATTGCCATTCTAACTGGTGTGAGATGGTATCTCATTGTGGTTTCGATTTGCATTTCTCCGATGGCCAGTGATGATGAGCATTTTTTCATGTGTTTTTTGGCTGCATAAATGTCTTCTTTTGAGCAGTGTCTGTTCATGTCCTTTGCCCACTTTTTGATGGGGTTGCTTGTTTTTTTTCTTGTAAATTTGTTTTGAGTTCATTGTAGATTCTGGATATTAGCCCTTTGTCAGACGAGTAGGTTGTGAAAATTTTCTCCCATTTTATAGGTTGCCTGTTCACTCTGATGGTAGTTTCTTTTGGTGTGCAGAAGCTCTTTAGTTTAACTAGATCCCATTTGTCAATTTTGGCTTTTGTTGCCATTGCTTTTGGTGTTTTAGACATGAAGTCCTTGCCCATGCCTATGTACTGACTGGTAATGCCTAGGTTTTCTTCTAGGGTTGTGGGGGGTTTTACGGGTATATAAGAATGGTATGATCTACAACTCTCATTAACACCAGCCATCATAACAATTTTCAGGTGCAGTGAAAGTTAATATGACCTTAAATATCATTAAAATAATAATTATCAAGAACTAATAGAAACGATCCACTTTATAGAGATATGAACAATGGGAAGATACTTTGTACAAATTTTAAGTTATTTTTATGGACTAGGATGCAGGCTAGTTACACTTTTTTGGCTTCAGTCTGTTGTGTTAAAGAATCACTTTCAGAGGTTCATCAAATATAGCTTGTGGTCCTGTGACCATCTGACGTTAAGAATTTCAACAATATTCATAAACAAGGATATGCACATAGATGAGGAAATAAAATGATTGCTTTGGTTCTCTTCCCAAAACCATCTTGGCAAAGAAACTTTCACACCCCAAAGCTCCACATCTGCAATTGCAAAATAATTAATTTGTTGCCAAGCCATTGTGCATATTCCAGGATACCAGCCAAGATCTAATACTGGCATCATTAAGTGAAAAATATTGTAATGTTAAATACTGTATTTCCCTGCTTCATTTTGCCAATCATTGATGTCAGTAGTATCCTGTTCTTTAGGAAACTTAATTAAATTCTTTCATTCAGATAATCAACATTTGTGCTTCCAACCACTCTTTAAATAGAGTCATTCTTTGTCTGGCAGCTGTGAGAACTTTTTACCCCATCCCCTCACAGAAACAAATAGAGAAAAAAAAGTTCATTTAACACTAGATAATGAAATCCTTTTTGAGATACCATTCACTGGCATGATGCAGTTTTAACAGTAAAGCTTAATCCTAAAATTTATTCAAGCCAAGTGAGAATCTGAGTCAATGAAGCTTGGTAAAAATGAATTAGCTGCCTCAAGTGACCATATCAAAATGCCATTCTCTCCTTTCAGATAGACAATATAAATATTGCTAATGGGACAGCTTTAAAATTTTAAGATACATCAAGCCAAATTCATGCAATCATACATTTTTACATTATGGTTAATGTAAAAAGGAATGTTTTAGCTACAAATAGACACAAATCAATTTAATAAAATCTTCACACAAATCAAAACTAAACATCTGTTAATTTTACAGTATCTTGGTAAAAAGAGATTTATGGATGTGTGCGTGTGTGTGTGTGTGTGTGTGTGTGCTGTCAAGGGTAGGGTCTGTTTATTTGTTTAATTTCTTTGGCTGGCATATTTCTGCTGTTTAATATAACAGCTGGCATATATGTATCAATAGTCATTCTCTCTCTCTTTCTCCAGCTCCCACTCTTTCTTCCTCCCCTTACCTTATATGCATACACATACACACTTTAGGTCATTTTAAAAACTTGTGTCTAGGCCGGGCACAGTGTCTCACACCCGTAATCCCAGCACTTTGGGAGGCTGAGGCAGGCGGATCACGAGGTCAGGAGATCGAGACCATCCTGGCTAACATGGTGAAACCCCGTCTCTACTAAAAATACAAAAAATTAGCCGGGCTTGGTGGCGGGCACCTGTAGTCCCAGCTACTCAGGAGGCTGAGGCAAGAGAATGGCGTGTACCCAGGAGGCGGAGCTTGCAGTGAGCCGAGATCACGCCACTGCACTCCAGCCTGGGCAACAGAGCAAGACTCTGTCTCAAAAAAAAGAAGAAGAAGAAGAAAAAAAAAAACAACAACTTGTGTCTATACTATACTTAGGTCATTACATGAAGATTTCTTACCTATTTACCCTGCATATCTCTAATACAAATTGTGTATTTGAAGACTTTGGATCAAATTGTCACAGAACTTTAGAAAAAGCCATTTGGAAATATTTAAAATGCTTATGGAAATACTGATCTTTGAGTATCCTTGGGAATTAGGATATAATTTAAAACAATGCATTTATTACTGTTATATGGCTGCCTCAAATATTAGCCCTAACAACAAGAAGCAGGCACTAGAAAAATGCATTTATAAAATTCATCCTCACCATCTACTTAACCTACCACCAGACTGCAGTTGACTATCATTTGCCTTACATGTCTTTCACATTTCAGATTGTATAAACATTTTAGATAACTATATAATAAAAACTGTGGAATTGACATATGTAGTTAATGAGACAACATCAAAACACAATCATGTTAGAAAGTTCATGCCCTTCAAATAGCTTTTATTTGGATTTAATTATTTTATTTTATGTTAACAAAGCTTAAATTAATTATAACACTTAACTTTTTGCTTTGCATGCATATGAAGTCTTTTCACTCTGACTCAGTTGGAGGAACTGTCTCCCAAGAGGTATCAAGACCCCTTTGAATCCAGCTGTGTTTGACTTCCCCCTCCTGAACTCTCCAAGCCAAATAATGGCCCAGCATCCATATAATTATCTTTACAAACACACTTTTAGCACTAAGCATATTTGGCATTTACTAGGAAAAAGGAAAGCTTTGCCTCTGAATCTAAAAAGACAACGAACTAATCATATACTGCATGTGTGTATTGATCAAGTCTGCTTGATGTCAAAGCAGGGCACATGAAGAAAGAAAATCATAAATCTATTACTTACTAAATTCAAACATACAATCATTGTGGTTTAGTTTCTTAGAGCTCAGTACACATATTTATTAGGATCAAATTCAAAATAATGTAAAAAGTCTTGTTCCGATAGAACAAAGCTACTGTGAATGAATAGGAAAATATTTTCTTGAGCAATGGAATGAACAGTGCCTTTATTCCTTAATGGATTTTCTATTTTTACACTAAAACTATACAGTACTGTTCTCTTTATCACATGCAAGAGGAAAGCATAGTCATCCAGTGCAACTGCTGAAAATAAAATATTCTTTCCTATTTGAAGCTTTACCCATAGCTCCTCGTCCATGTGCTTGTTTCTAAGATCAATGCTAAACCCATGTACGATTTGCATGTAAATGCTTTGTGATCCTAATATTGTAATTCCTTTCTTAAGATAAACATTTCAGTCACTAAAAGTATGTATTTTTACAATACCTCAGAAACCTTAAGGGTGTTTTCAACTCAATGAAAATATATGCAGCCCACACATAATGAATTTCAAAATCCTTGAACAGATTGTGTGCATTGTAAACAGTGCATAATGCTCTTTGCTGTGAATGGACAGGCATGTGTGAGCCTTTAACCACAGAGAGGCACATAGGTCACATTCTCACAACAATGCCTTCAAAATGAGAAGGCCCCGCCATCTGCAAAGGAGCATGGTAAGTTTTTCTGGGGCGGCTTTACGGTTTATCATATTGTCAACACTGCATGTGTGAGCTGAGATTCAGTTGGTTTTCTTAGAGTTGTAATATACACCATTGTTTTCTTTGGTCCTCACCAAAACACAATCTCTTCTGATAAATAAGCAGTGACTAAAGGAGAGTAAACTCTATCAGTTGGATTAGAGTTATAAGATTCTATGGTTGTTTCTTAAACAGACATAGTTGATGGAAAATGTTAAGGGCTCACAAAAGTATTTCTCTGTGTCTGATTTTTCTCTAACTCCAGCTGCCTATTCCACATTTCTAAAATTTCAAACTTATCATGTCCAACACTGAAGTTCTGACATCTTTCTTCAAACCTGCTCCTCCCTGTCTTTCTCATCTAGTTAATGGCCATTGCATATTCAAACACAAAAAAATGCTTTGGAGTCATCTTTGATTATTTTCTTTCTCTCACTTATTTCCCACACTTATTTGAAATTATTCTTATATCTGGTAATTATTAAATATAAAAAAGATGGTTAAAAATATAAAAGGGAATAAAATCTATTGGGAAACGTTTCTTTTTTTGGTCACTAGACCAAGGCATAATAAACCATTGAAAGAAAATCCTGCTGGAAAATCAAATCACACAGTGACTCCAAGGATTTCTATGCCTTTACCTTGGTTTAGAAATACAATTATTGTAGTTAAGTGTTATTTTTTGTCCCTCACATTGTCAAATCGGTTTTAAAATAATAACACAGAGCAAAAGAAACAGAAACTCTCATATATAGCTGATGGGAAAGCAATAGGTGAATCATTCTGGATTTCATCTAGGCTCATGGTTTTAAGTATGATACACATACCCATGGCAGAATTAATTAGTGTTCTCATTGCTTCACTTCTGTCTGTATCCACAGGCTTTACTAGGTAACTTTGAATTTTCTCCCAGAAGAAGGGGAACGGAACTCCCTATTTCCTGACTTCGGGATTGGCCTTGTGACTTGGTTTAGGCAATGAGACAATATTAGATATGAAATGTGTTTGGGCAATGGTACCCACCCTCTTATGTCTATGACCGTAAGAAGAAAGCTGAGTCCCAGCAGGGATACAGGTGGAGAGGACTAAAACCCAGATCGTAGAGAGTAGCGACGTCCAGTGCAACCCTTAGCTTAAGCACAGCTGCCTAGCTAAGGCCAGTCTAGAAGAGCCAATCATAAGTCAACTAGCAGACACGCGAGAAATAAAATCGTATCGTCACATTCCACTGAGATTCTATGGTTGTTTCTTACACAGCAATAGCTAATGGAATGTTAATGGCTCGCAAAAGTATTTCTCTATGCCCGACTTTTCTCTATTTATCATGTCCAACACCAAAGTTCTGACATCTTTCCTCAAACATGCTCCTCATTGTCTTTCTCATCTAGTTAATGGTAACTGCACATTCTACTCAAATACAAAAAAATCCCTTGGAGTCATCTTTCACTATTTCTTCCTCTCACTCCCTCTTACAATCTTTCAGTAAATCCTATCAGCTTTAGCTTCAGGATTTGACCAAATTTCATTATTTTCAGCGCTATTACTTGTGTCCTACTTGCATCATTTCTTTCCATGGTATTGCAATGGTCTCCTAACTGGACTCTCTGCTTCTGCTCTTATCCCAAATAATGCTAGTTTTGGGATTAGATTTAAGATTAGTCCTAAGATTAGTCAGAATGCTAAGTTCAATCATGTCATTTCTGAACCCAAATCCCTCAACCACATTTCATGTGAAAAAAATTTTAAATGTGAATTACTTTTGATCAAATAATCCCATTTTCAAAAAAAAAAACACAAATAATGAGAAGAATATGTAGATCTATATCCATAAGGATATTTATTACAGGTTTATTTATAAAAAAAGAAAAACAAGAAAAATCAACCTAAATATCCAACTTAAAAGGCTTATAAAAATATGGTATAGCTATATCATGAAAATAGTACAACTGAAAAAATGCAAACGGAAACATCGTGTAGACTAATAATCACTTTAATCATGTGGTATGGAAACACGTGAAATCAACCACCTTGCCAACCATATTGATATTAATAACCCAATTTTTTGTAAAATATTATTTAATAATTAATGAATAAGTAGATATACATCAAAATTAAAACTATCTCTGTGTCTAGAAAATAAGAAAATTGTGTTTTTTTTGTGGTGGGGGTTGTTTGTGGTTTGAGAGATTTTTTTTTAAATTTTCACAGTGAAAGCAGCTACTTAATCCAAAAAACAAAATATCTATGATACATACCTACATCTAGGGAGCAAGAAAATCCTGTTGTTTTCATCCAAACCACAGCTTTTAAAAAGCAAGACAAAACTTTAGGTGACAAATGTATCATAAGTATCATAATTCCTACCTTAGCACTGCCTGAGTAAGACTTCACAGGAAGTTTAGAAAGATAATCCAGAACTTCAAGACTAAAACTGTACCAGAAGAAATTAGATCTGTTGATATATATGTATTTTAAATCAACTACAATTATTCATTTATGTCCGTTCCCATTTGAAATAGCTGCACTGAGCACCTGAGTGGCTCTGGAGTGAATATGTGTAAGATCTTAGAAGAGGCCACATGTGTTTGTTCCTGACTCAGGCCCTCAGTGGCTGAGCTGAAATAGATGGCCTTCCATGGTGATTTTGAACAAAACAGTTTTGAATTGTTTTAATCCAAGTCATATATTGTGAACTTTCCACCCAAGGTAGACCATTGCTTGCGGACGTAAGAAACATTGATATTGAAGTGCAAATTAATGGGGCAGATACAAATAATAATTTTGCAAGTGTGTCTCCTGATTTATCAGATTCATAATTTGCATTCATCTCACCAATTTTCTTATTTAGCTTATTTCTTAGTTATTTCTTGTATTTCAAAAACATAGGAGAGTACAAAAGTACTGTATTCATTTTAGTCTTTCATTTATTGAAAAACTATTCTATCCTTGCCCAGAATGTGTTATTTGGATTTGCAAGAACTGGAAAGTAGCCTTAGCATTTTTTATCTTTTCATTTACAAATAAAAATCAAGAAATTATTTTAAAAATGAATTTAAGTGCAAAATGCAAGAATTACAAATACTAGCTCACTGAATCATTTTTTCATACCCTAACACATATTTCAACTCAGTGTAAATTTTAACATACAGTCAATCCTTAATTCAAACATAACAAAGCAAGTAATCTTTAAATTAATTTGCCAAAAATATTAATATTCTGCGTGAATATTTAATATTGAATACTTCTTTAAAATATTTCTTTAAAATATTCTACATAAATATTTTTTAAAAATAAATTTAAACATACTATTTGGCTATTTGTAAATAATTTTTTTTAATATTAGAAGGTATCTTTTTATTACACAGAAACTCAAATCAAGAAATAATTTTTAAATCCCTAAAAAGGGGGCAAAATATATTTGTAAATATCTCTCCTTAAAGGAAGACAATTCACTTTAGGAAGGTAGAAGAAATGAAACCCTGTGGAAACTGCTGCAGGGTAAGCTTCTCACACAGTAAGGAGGCAGGGCTAAATCCTAAACTCAAGAGTTCAGATTCTATTTCCTTAAGACCTTTGTGGTTTTATAGTCTGGCCAATTTACACAAAGAGGAAAACAGAAAACAAAGGTAGTCATTGCCCTAAACATTACTTGTGAAAATTTAGAGCCACATTTTTTCACCTTGGGTAGGAAGAAAAAAAAAGAAGAGGAAGAAAGAGACAGAGGGAAATAGAAAGCAAGCAAGCAAAGGAGCTTATTTATCTCCAGAAAATTCATTATTTTCCCAATGGTGGGTAAGCTGGAACAGGAAGGCAACACCAGTTTTATTTTGGATGATAAATGTTATCTTGTGCAATTTCACATATAAGGTGTGTTCCTTCTCCTGCCTACTAAGTTAAGGCATGTGGGCGTCTGAACATTTGGCTTAGAGCTAAAAATGCCACGCCGAGATTTGTCTTTGCTCTATAGGACTCAAACTGGCAGAAGAACATAAACATGGTATGTAAAACTTGGTGTTCCTGCTCCTCCTTTAAGACTTAAAACAAACAGACTGGAATCCTACAGCTGTGGATGACTCAGATCCACAAAGGAGACAACTTCAAAAGCAGCCTCTCTAGTCTCCCTTTCATCCTATCAGTAGCGAATTGATTAGACTGCTCTCCCATTATCCAAAGCATTCCACACTCTGTGGGCCTCACACAACCTTTGTGTGCTAGAGAAGCTGAGGCTCCCACACAAAGAAAAAGAGAGAAAGGTCACCCAGGACTGGCAGGTATGGATCTCATTGAAAGCAATCACAAAAATCACATTGAAAAAAATCTATGTAAATCAAACTAGATAATCTGTGCAATATCACTAACTGATTCATTTTCTTCACTTCAGATCTTCAAATCTTGTCCTTTAATATCTGTTTCTTGACATTTTATATGTAATGTACATATATAATGTATTGGAGAGAAAAGCAATTATGAAGGCGGCTTTTGAAGTCTGTGAGTCATGTGAAGTTACAAAGTTCAGTGAGAAACAGCTTGAAAATGGAAATTCAGTCAAAGATGAGTGATTCAACCTGGCAAAGCTTTGTTAATCGGTGCTTTAAAGTAACACAATGATTAAAATATAATCATTGTTTTTTAAATTTTTATTTCAAAATATCTTGCCACCTTCTTAGCATAAGGATATATGCATTTTAGCTGAATGGATGTTTTTCAAAATCTGTTTGTGAAGAATGTTAGTGAAACAGGAAAGGTTCCCTTGTCCCCCTTGGAGGGCGTGCAACAGGGTGACTGGCTTGCTTCTTCATTGCCCACTTCTCAAACCTCTAGGGGAGCATACAGACGGCAGGCTGTGAGGCTCCGACCCCACGTCAGTGTCTTGGGGTGAGTGTTTACAGCTGAAGCATCGGTGGGTGTGTGTTACAGGGTACTCTCTTAGTTGGCCATCTATAGGCGGCTTGTGTCAACCAGCTCAGTTAGACCCCCTTCCGTATCACAAGGACAGGGGGATTTCTGTATCCTAGGATTTCTTGCTTTGGTGTACTGGAAGAATCAGATCACATGTGGGCTTGGAGAATGAGTGCAAGGTTTTATTGAGTAGAAGTACCTCTCAGCACATGTGGGAGCCAGATGGGAGATGGTTTTCCCCTGGACCAAGTGGCTGGACTTTTCTCTGACTGCTCCAGCCAAACTCCATGTCCTTCCGCTGGTCGATGGCCTGCAGGTGCCCATCAGCGTGCTCGTCTGCTGGCGTGCTCTCAATGACCAGCCACTTGTGTCTTCTTCCCCGGATGTGTTCCTCTCCACATCTAGCTGCTTCTGTGTGTCTGCCCACTAGGGTCTCGGGTTTTTATCAAGATGGGGGCATGGTGGGCCAGGGTAGTCCTAGAAAATGCAACATTTGGGCAGGAAAGCAGGAGTGGCTGTCTTCACCTAGGCCCGTGGGGGTGGAGCCCTAGCCAGGGACCCGCCTTTCTCTTACCCAGCACTTCCCTTCCCCCTTCCATATAATTTAAAGGGACCATGCTCTTTCCTTCCCAGCACTCCCCTATCATTAGCATGGTTATTATGTAAGACTTGCTATGTCAGCAAATAAGTTTATTGTATCATACACGAATTAGGCAACTTTTATCGTCTTTTAAGATGTAAAGAATTCCATCATCATAACAAGCAATTCCGTGCAGTTGTGAACACACTCTCTGTTCTATGGCTGTGAGTTTGAAATGTCATCTATAATCTAAAGAATGGATGAAGTTTAGATTTCTTGGAGTTGGGCTATAATAAACTCAAGACATCATCATTCTCTGTAACGCTCATTCCTGGCTCTATGGTGTGGATACATAGTTACTGGATTTCTCAGGTGTTCCAGGAAATGCAATTTAAAGGAAAGGAAGAAAGGAGACATCTTTCTAGACAGCTTTAAGCTAGTTATTTTTCACATTTCTTTTCTTTGTTAATATAAATATTTCAAATACAAGATAAAAAAGGAGGTCCAACCTATGTGTATATGAAGCCATAGACGTACCACCAGATGCAATTCAGGGGTCTAAACACCATAGCTGAACAGGGCTGCCTTTGCACTTGACATAAAATGCAGATTATCTTCCAGTTCTACTGCCATTTTCTTTCCTTCTATTGATGAGTTTTCTATTACCTGCTGGACTATTGTGTTACTAGTAGTAACACACAGTTCTTTGTACAGAAGGACCATCCACAAAATAAGCAGTCCTTTAGCCGTTGCAAAGCCTGTTTTTAGAACTAAATACATTCTTCCCAAAATGTGAGGGTTTTATCAGGTTGGTAAAGGAAGAAGTAAAATATAGAGAAAAAGAAGAATATTCACTTTTGAGCCTTTGCATTCCTTAAATAACAACAGTCCTTGTTTCTCTCAATTCCATCAAAGCATATTTTTTCATTTATCATTTTAAATTCTGAATATTGTAAGCAACAAATGAGGAAAACTGGGGAGTAGAAGATATGGAATCTGTCAGTTTATTCCTAGATTTCAGGTGGAAAAATATGAAGTGACCTATTATGCCCCTGTATAAGGATTTTTGATTCTTCAAAAAGCCATAAAATTAATCATGATTAAAATTACTTTATAGTGTCAGATCTCTGGTATAGCATAAACAAATTTAATCTTTACTTATTGGTAGTAGTAGTAAAGCATAATGGGCCTTTTATATGGTGAGCCAAAAATATTTTTTTGTTAATATTTTCTTCTTTTGGATAACTTGGACTATTCAGTTGACATTTAGTCAGCTATTCTTGCAGTAATATAAGCCATTCTGTCCACTGGATTCATTCTCCTCTAAAGTGGTGTTTCACTCCAAATTGTGGGTGGTTCTGATTGCTAGTGTTACCTAACTGAAAAGATGACTTTTTCAGATAGCTAACTTTAAAAACAGATGTCTACACAAAAGTAGAGTAAATAAATAAACCATATAATAAGAATGGCTAGTAGCTACCTTCTAAAGTTGAAACAGTATTGTGCAGGAAAACATAAAAATTAGAATGCAAATAATTGTCTTTTGCTGATAGAGTTTAAAATTTAACAAAATAGACAAAAAAGCATACATGTGTTTACATGAATCTTCTTGTATACAGCAATGTGAAATTTACTTAAATCTCCTTCAACTTGTATTCATTTTGCTAACTCTGGATCAATATTTTAACATCAGCTTTTAAAAAGCAGATCTCAATAAATACTATCTCATCCGAATGCCTGCATTTTTCAATTTTATATTGAAAGGGTAATACTGAGTTATCACTTCTACTCATCATATTATCCTAAAACAGGGTTTTTTAAAATGTGATCTATGCAGGAGGTCCCTGAAACCCTTTTTGGGATCTATTAGGTCAAAACTATTTCATACTAATACTAAGATATTATTTTCCATTTTATACTGATTTTCTCATGAGAGTACAGTAAAATATTCCAGAGGCTACATGACATGATATTGCAAGAGATTAAGTGCTGAAGCAGATATAAGACTCCAGCTGTCTTTTCTAAACCAGACATTAATGAGCTTTGCAAAAATGTAGAACAAGGCCAATTTTCTCATTTTTTTTGTTGTAGAAACATTTTTCACAAAACCTACTATTTATGTTAATATATAATAGATTTGTTTTTGCTGTTTGAAACCGATGAATAAATATTTTTGAACGTCTCAATTTTAATTTCTAACATGGTAAACACTGACAGATATTAAGTACATAAGAAAAAGTTATTTGGATTCCTCAATAATTTTAATAAGTATTTGAAAATCTTGGCCTTAGAACATACTTGAGCTTTACGATATATTTCTTTTATAAAACTTAAAAATTAAAATAAATTCTGAATTCAGGTACCGGTCCTACCATTTTCTTTGAATCTGCATTTTTCACCTACAGTAATGTGGCCATAGAATAAGAGCTCAGTAAATACCTTTAATTGATTGACAGGCAATGTTTCATTTGGAGAAAAAAGAAAAGACAACATAAATTTATAGACACTTGGCAAACTACAGATATCCCCTTTGCTGGCTATTTCATTAAGTTGTATCAGTTTTCCTCTACCAGATTTTCCTGATAGTGTAGCAAACTATCTAGAAAAATAATACTCCAAGCAGTACTGAAGATAATGAATCTGTTAGGTCTAAAAGTAATGATAGATAATGTCTGGATGTGAACTTGCATCTTCATTTATTTAATGAGTTCTCTGTTCTCTCCCCAGGCATGGTACAGTGTAGCTAGTATAAAGTTGGTCTGGTAATGTTTAATATCATTCCACCCGGCATATTAAAATCAGAGCTGTTCCCACAAGAGGCGTCAGAAAAATCAAAGGCCATTTTACCGATCTCCTACATAATTCTGAGTCATTCTTCTCCTGTCCTGATCTGACATATTCTCATTTGAATTAAAACCTAGGACACATAAATTGAGATTGTTCAATAGATCTAACTTTTTCTCAGCCAAACTCTCTTGGGACCAGAAATACTAAACACTGAATTTGTTCTCCCAAACTTGGGTGTAGAATTCATTTTTTTCATTTCTGATTGATGGTTGCTAACACTTTGACTACCAAGAAAGTCTCAAATGTGGTCTTGATTTCATAAAACAAGTCTAGATAAGGAATATTTTCCCTACATGCTAAAGCATAACTAAAAACAAAGAGTATTTCTCTTATTTGGACTGGAGTATTTCTCTTAATTGTACCCTTCTATCCATTGCTGTTCTAGATAGAATGAAATTTCTAACTAGCTGGGCACCACCAAGTTTAGCATGTTAGCGTACATTTTATCAGGTGAATCGATTAAGTGATCCATGTGCAGGATGGCACTCCCTCCATCACACAACCCCAATTGGAATCATGAAGCTGATCTTTTCAACAAGTGGAGGGTGGTGTGATAGAAATTGATCAGACTGTTAAGCCAGGAAGGCCTATATTTCAGATTCAGCCTTGCCGCTTGCTAGCTTTGTGATATTGACAAGTTCATTTTAACCACCCTGAACCTCAGTTTCCTTTCTGTAAAACTGAGAAAAGCAATGGATATGGTGAAGAACAGGTATGAGGCTATATGTAAAAAAAGTCCTAGCACATTAACTGTCACATAGTAGGCAAGTAAATACAGTAAAGATTGTAGAGCTAATCAGGTAGATATTTTGTTATTTTATACAAGGGTATCTATTGATATACGGAGTTTAACGAAAGCTGGAGGAGAAAAACTAAATTTGCTTAAGAAATCTAAGAACTTGATATAATAAATGAGATAAAAAAATCCCAATTCCCCTTTCAAGAGAAGAAGTTTTGAATTTCTCTAGATAGACTAGAATAACAGAATCATACATGTTAAATAACGTTAATGGTTGGACTTTCCAGATTTGGGGAATGATAATAGTAAAAATGACTTCTGAACCCAATGACAGTAGCAGTCATGGAATCATCCAGAATTTGAAGAAAATGTCTCAGTTCATCTCAAGCTACTAAGCAAAAGCAAATACAAAATCAATTAACCACTACCTTGAGAGGTTTGTTGGCTGGAAGACAGGGGTGGTGTGAGCAGAGGTTAACACTGGACTTCATGCTAATTTTGATAGATGAGTTCTTTAGTGTTATAATTTATCACCCTATTGGGTACCCCAACTAAAAAGGAATATTGAAGGAAAATTAGGCAAGTACACATGGGATATTACAACTTTTGTTCTATGGCACAACCCATTTTTTCCAAAGACAATTTTAGTAATATTAGATTACAGCCAGTACTATCTGCTCATTTTCTTGTGTGTTATTTGAGATTACCCTGTAAGGATGCAGCATGAAAATGGAACTTGACTTGCCCAATCTTACTGGTGCTGAGAAAGCAACTTATTGGTATTGTGATCAGGAAGTGATTGTAGACACCTTAATCACTAAAGCACTACTTATGTGATTCTCTGTGATGTTTTCACAGCCATTCAAATGAAGTTTCATTGAAAGTTATTGAGAATGTGAAAAGTATTCTGCAAAAAGAAATATTTTAAAATCGTATTTCTTAAGTGGCATATCAAGATCAATGTATTAGATAGCTCTTTTAGACTAGATTTTTGTCTAGAGCAACTTACATAGATTAACTCTCAAAACTAGAAATTATTCATCCTCTTACTGATGACATTACTATATTAGGCCAGTCTCACATTGCTATAAAGAAGTACCTGAGTCTGGGTAATTCATAAAGAAAAGAAGTTTAATTGGCTCATGGGTCTGCAGGCTGTACAGGAAGCATAGTGACATCTGCTTCTGGGGAGGCCTCAGGAAGCTTCCAGTCATGGCAGAAGGCAAAGCGGGAGCAGGCACATCACATGATGAAAGAGGAGCAAGAGAGAGCGAGTGGGAAGGTGGTAAACTTTCTTTTTTTTTTTTTTTGAGACAGAGTCTTGCTCTGTCACCCGGGCTGGAGTGCAGTGGCGCGATCTCGGCTCACTGCAAGCTCCGCCTCCTGGGTTCATGCCATTCTCCTGCCTCAGCCTCCCAAGTAGCTGGGACTACAGGCACCCACCACCACGCCCAGCTAATTTTTTTGTATTTTTAGTAGAGACAGGGTTTCACCGTGTGAGCCAGGATGGTCTCAATCTCCTGACCTCGTGATCCGCCCACCTCAGCCTCCCAAAATGCAGGGATTACAGGCGTGAGCCACTGTGCCTGGCCTTTTTTTTTTTTTTTTTTTTTTTTTTTTGAGACAGTCTCACTCTGTCGCCCAGGTTGGAGTGCAGTGGCATGACCCCCACTCACTGCAAACTCTGCCTCCCAGGTTTAAGCAATTCTCCCACCTCGGCCTCCCAAGTAGCTGGGACTACAAGTGGGCACCACCACGCTGGCTAATTTTCATATTTTTTGTAGAGCCTGGGTTTCACTATATTGCCCTGACTGGTCTCGAACTGCTGGTCTCAAGTGACCTGCCCGCCTCTGCCCCCCAAAGTGCTGGGATTACAGGTGTGAGCCACTGTGCATGTCTGCTACACACTTTAAAATGACCAGATCTCACTCACAGTTATGAGGACAGTACCACAAGGGATGGTGGTAAACCATTCATGAGAAATCCACCCCCATGATCCAATCCCCTCTCACCAGGCCCCACCTCCAACACTGAGGATTACATTTCAACATGAGATTTGCTCAGGGACACTCATCCAAACTACATCAACTACTATCAAAAGCTGAAATAGTTCTCAGGATGTGCCATTATCACACAATCTTCAAACACTGTTAGCACATTATGTTAGCTCAGATTTTCTACCTCCATGTGGTCTCGCCAAAATATTGAAACTCCTACATCCTTATGACAATAAATTCTTCCCCATTGAGCTTTATATTCAGCCTTTCCCCAAGATAACTCCATTCAAATTCATTTTCACATGTTCTTCTGGATCCTTTCTGTGCTTCGAGTTTTTTGGAGTAAAAGCTATTTCTTACTGGCAAAGGTCGTTCTTATACCTCTCTGCTCAAGCTGTTTTAAGACTTGATTTCTTTTCTTTTTTTTTTTTTTTTTTTTTTTGAGACGGAGTCTTGCTCTGTTGCCCAGGCTGGAGTGCAGTGGCGCAATCTTGGCTCACTGCAAGCTCTGCCTCCCAGGTTCACGCCATTCTCCTGCCTGAGTCTCCCAAGTAGCTGGGACTACAGGTGCCCGCCACCACACCTGGCTAATTTTTGTATTTTTAGTAGACACAGGGTTTCACCATGTTAGCCAGGATGGTCTCGATCTCCTGACCTCGTGATCTGCCCGCCTTGGCCTCCCAAAGTGCTGGGATTACAGGCGTGAGCCACCACGCCCGGCCAAGACTTGATTTCTGTTACATATCTAGGAGCAATGAATGGTGGTGACAATAAGTCTTGTGGAAAACAGACATTGTCTTTAAAGTCATCTGCTTCAGAAAAGTCATTCCAGAATTCTCCTCTGGCAATGGGGAGGTTTTGTTTTCTGGGTTGTTTTGTTTTGTGTTGTTGTTGTTGTTGTTGTTGTTGTTGTTGTTGTTGTTGTTTCCAGCCAGGAGATTCTAGGAAATTTGGGAAGGGTCCAAGATTTTTTAGCTCATCCACTGAAATGTCACTATCCCAAGTCTCAGAATTCCACCTCTTCTCCATTAGGATTCTGTCTTTGGTGGAAGATCTGTTTAGGCTGAGGATTTATTCTCCTTTTAAGTATATAACCAAATCCTAAGCCTGGTGTTCAGCAAGAATGCCCTGTGGCTGCAGGAAATAAAAATCTCCTTTACAGCTGCCATACAGGTCCTCTGGCTGTAGAACATGAATTTTAAGTTTGTAATTAGCTGCCTAAACCTATCATTTTCCTTTTAAAATTTCCTGTGCCATTAAAAGGAGTTACTTCACTTTATTATCCTTGAAATTATCATTGTTCCTATAATGATCAAATGCTGCAGGTACTTGATTTCTACATTTCTTCCCTCCAACTTCACTTATTCCTTATTAACTATAGTGATAGCTTGAGGTAATTTTGATACCCGAAGTTAGTATCACACCACTATCTCCATACAAGGGTTCTTATTTATTTTATAGAAATGAGCAGTCCATCTCCAATTCTCTTCCTAAGGGTTTGCTTCCTAGAACTATCCTGGTTTCCTAGAAAACAGAGCCTGAGGCAACGATTAACGGACAGTCATTTATTTAAAGATGAAATCCCAAAAAAGCAAAGCAGAGAAGGACAGGAAGTGAAAAAATATAACATGTGAATGCACTGGCTTCTGCTTCATAAGACCTCATCGGATATACCTGCCTAGCCACATGAGCAATCTATAGAAAGGAGGAATGGTGGAATTGTGCCTAGGAAAGTTCCATCCACTGGAGAAAGTGAAAGGTGATTTATCTATCTACTTTATTCTTCTGTCTTTCATTGGTCAAAGTTTTCTTCAGCTGGATTTAACTTCATCACAGTTTTAGGTTGAATCATCTGGGCTTTTTGGCAGCTACTTGAAAGGCAAATCCATGGCTTGCTGTGTGATATTTTATTAGAATCCAGAAGTAATGAGAGATATCACAGACTCAAGATGCCATTGATCTCAGATGGGTGAAACCACTTCGGCTAGTAAGGAGTCGGTTATCCACAGTGATTGCTGGAGGAGGAGTATTTCACCTGAGGCTCCAGGAGACAGTTAGGCCAAGACTACTTACATATTAAAAATTACATAATATGTACATATTACACTCAAATTTATGAGTGATAAATTCAACAAGCAGCAAACAGCCAATATTGAGGAATCCTTCCATAACTAATATTTAGACCTTTCATAATCTTAAGGTAAATAATGTTTGATGATGATGATCAAGTGCTACAGAAAGGATTTGGGAAAGTTCAGAAGCAGAGGGCTGTATTGTTAAGCCTCCTGACCACATTGCAGATTGATGGAAAAGAGATGTTTGCTCATAATTCAAGGCTAAAGACCATATAATAGACCAGCGAAGAAGACAGCAAAGTGTTTGGAAATACAGATCAAGCCTCTTAGTTTGAATAGAATCATTCAAGCTCTGACTGCGAAACCACAGACCTTGCCCGACATATTCAATTTACTGAAAGATGGGTAAGAGAAGGAATAACTTTCTTAGAGCATCAAGAGAGGATAAAAAAGCAGAAAAGTAATAAAAGCTACTAGCAAAGCTGTGCTCACATACCATGGCAGTGCTTCTCAAATTTTATGTGCATATGAATAATCTAATCATCTTATTAAAATATAGATTCTGATTCACTGGTTTTTCAGTGGGGTCTGAGATTCTGTGTTTCTAAAAATCTCCTGAGTGATGCCAATGCTACCGGTTTGCAGATCACAATTTGTGATACTACAAAATATCATACAGTATTAACAACTAGTACAGATAATACCCAACACTACAGGGGAAATCCTAGGAGAGCGTTATTTTTTTCCAAAAAACAAGATTAAGTCCTGTTTCATAGTCTGTAAGGGGCAGGTTACTGAATCAACATCACAAAATGGGCAAACCCAATCTTACCAGGATGCAAATGAGGGGCACAGGCAGTTAGTTATCAGCAAAAGAAAAAACTACCTATGCTACTATGAAGGCAAGGTAAAAAGAATCTAGGCAAAGTTGGAAAACAGTGAAAGGACTTGAGGAATGGGCTGCTCTTGGCACCAATGTGGTACACTCATGCCAAATGGGATTATAAACCCTACTGCCAATGGTCTGATGAAGTGGAAGGCAGAGGTAGCAGAGACCACAGAAGGAATTTGGGTCTCGATATTTCTGAATAATTGGTCAAAAAAGTGGCTGTGGTTTTAAAATCACTTAAATAGAGAAATATAATCCATATCCCATCATGGCAAGCAGAGATTAAGATTTGAATGAAATTGCCATTGTTTAATTGTTTTGCTATTAGAATTTTGCTAATCAAATTCCTGGGCAGCCAAGTGATGTTCAGAGAAGAAAAAAAAAAAACACTGATTAAAGTTATAAGCCCATATGTAAGAAAATATGTTTGTGGAGAGGGCAGGGGCTTATGTTGATCAAGACTTTTACTCTGTTGAAACACTTGCCTAGTGTTACAGATGTCAGGCTTGCACAGAAGCCTATAAGAAAATAGGAGCAGAAAAGATAAAATTCTTTTATTCTCCATTTGCTCTTTAGCGACAAACTCAACTGGATCCTTTAAATTAAATTTAAAAAAATGTGTTCCCAGGGAATTTTTAATACTTAAAGAGTAAAAGAAAGAAAGAAAAGTGAAGGAAAGCTATAAAATGATATAAGGAACATTTTTTCCTTTACATAAACAAGGTGTAGTCTCAAAGTGGATCTTTAAGACCCACAACACCCAAGACATTTGGAATAGGTCTATAAGATTGTGAGGTTTAATATGTGCTTTGTAAAATCATACTAAGAACCTCCTGATAAAAATCATCATGCTAAGTGCATTAACATGTTTCTCCCATTGTACAGATAGGCTGAACATTCCTAAGGATAGGATGAAATTGTTTCAAAGAATCCTGTGAATAAAATTGATTAAAATGTCCTCAATAATTACCTCCGCAGATTGAAAAACTTCAAGATAAAAACACCAATATTTGTGCACCAGACATGTCTCTTGAACTTCCAACTATACTTAATAAAAGATCTTGTCCTTGATGTTCTCTGGGAATCCCACACTCATTATATGCAATAATCATACTCATCATCTTATCCCCTATCACAAAAACTTATTTTTTTAATTTCTTGTCTTACTGCATTTTGGTTAGTGTTGACATCATATACATCCAGTGCTCCAAAATCAGATACCAATAATTCACAAACAGAGAATTAAAAAATAGAAAAAAAAATTAAAACACAGTTGATTTTTTAAGGTAAAATTGACAAACACTTAGCTAGACTAACAAAAACAAAAAAAAAAAAAAACCACGAGAAAACTCAAATAAATAAAACCAGAAATGAAAGAGCGGACATCATAACTTATGCTACAAAAATAAGCAGGATGATAAAATCTAATATGAACAATGATATGTCTCTAAATCAGATATTGTGATGAACAATGATATGTCTCTAAATCAGATATTGTGGTATGGATGAATTCCTAGAAATAAGCAACCTATCAAGACTGAATCATGAAGAAATAGAAAATCTGAATAAACCAATAACAAATAATGAGATTGAATTAGTAATCAAAACCTCCAAACACAAAAGCCCAGTACTAGATGGCTGCACTGGTGAATTCTACCAAACACTTAAAGAAGAATTAACACCAATGTTTCTTAAACTCTTTCTAAAAACTGAAGAGGAGGAAACAATTCCAAGCCCATTTTACAAGGCCAGCATTATACTGATACCAAAACCAGATGAAGACACTACAAGAAAAGGAAACTACAGTTCATGATGAACACAGATGCAAAAATCTTCGGTAAAATGCAAGCAAAGAAAATTCAACAGCACACTATAAAGATCATATACCATGGTCAAATGGGATTTACCCCTGGGATGCAAGGATGGCTCAACACAACCAATGCAATTAATGTGATGCACTACATTAACAGAATGAAGGATAAAAATCACATCATTGGCCGGGCATGGTGGCTCACACCTGTAATCCCAGCACTTTGGGAGGCCGAGGTGGGTGGAGCACCTGAGGTCAGGAGTTCGAGACTAGCCTGGCCAACATAGAGAACCCCTGTCTCTACTAAAAATACAAAAAATTAGCCAGGCGTGGTGGCAGGTGCTTGTAATCCCAGGTATATAGGAAGCTGAGACAGGAGAATCACTTGAACCCAGGAGGTGGAGGTTGCAGTGAGCCAAGACCACTCCATTGCACTCCAGCCTGGGCAACAAGAGCAAAACTCCATCTAAAAAACCAAAACAAACAAACAAAAAAAAACAAACAAAAAAACCCCACATCATTATCTCAATAGATGCAGAAAAGCATTTGATAAAATTTGACTTCCTTTCATCATGAAAACTCTCAACAAGCTAGGTATAGAAAAAATTTACCTCAACATAATCAAAGGCCACCACTACTCAATGGTGAAAAATTGAAAGCTTTTTCTCTAAGATCACAAACAATAAATGGATGCCCACTCTTGCCACATCCAGTTAACACAGTACTGAAAGTCCTAGCCAGGATAATTAGGCAATAATAATAATAATAATAAAAGAAAGAAAGAAAGAAATAGAAAAGGAAGGGGTAAAATTACCTTTGTTTGCAGATGTCATGATTTTACATGTAGAAAACCCTAAAGATCACATCAAAAAAAAAAAAACTGTTAGAACTAGAAAATGTTCAGTAAAGTTGCAGAGTTGCAGGATGCAAACCAACATATAAAAACTAGTTGTATTTCTAGACACTAACAATGAACTATCTGGAAAGGAAATTAGGAAAACAGTCCCATTTACAATAGCATCTAAAGAATAAAATACTTAACCAATAAACTTAACCAAGGTGGTAATAAGACGTACATACTGAAAACTATAAAACATTGATAAAAGAAATTAACATAAGACACAAATAAATGAGAAGGTAACCTGTATCCACGGATGGGAAGAATTTATATTATTAAAATATCCATACTACCCAAAGCAGTCTCCAGATGTGATGAAATCCCTATCAGAAATCTCAATAGTAGTTTTTACAGAAATAGAAAAAACAATCTTAGAATTAATATGGAACCACAAAAACTCCCAAATAACAAAGTAAATTTGAGCAAGAACAAAGCTGAAGGTGTCACACTTCCACATTTTGGAATATTACAAGTCTGCATTAATCAAAATTATATGGTACTGACATAAAACAGACACATAGACCAATTGAACAGAATGGCCCAGAAACAAACCCAGTCATATATAGTCAACTAATCTATGATGGTGTTAACAGTACACAATGAGGAAAGGAGAGTCTCCTCCATTAAAAAATGTTGGAAAACTGGATATTCACATGCAAAAGAATGAAACTGAAGGCTTCTGTTACACCATACACATAATCAACTCAAAATGGATTAAAGATTTAAATGTAAGATGTGCAACTGTAAAATTCCTAGAATAAAACCTAGGGAAAAAAACTCCTGACATTGAAGTTGGCAATAATTTCTTAGATATGACACCAAAAGCACAAGCTTTATACAAAAGCAAAAATTAACAAGTGAGACAGCATCAAACTAAAATGCTTCTGCACAGCAAAGGAAACAGTCAATAGAGTGAAAAGGTAACCTATGGAATGGAGAAAATATTTGCAAACCACATCTGATGAATGGTTAATATAAGAAATTCTTACAACTCAATAGCAAATATAAAAAACAAATAACCTGATTAAAAAGTGGGTAAATGACACAAATAGACATTTTTCTAAATAGGTTCTCGACATCACTAATTATCAGGTAAATGCAAATTAAAGCCACAATAAGTTATCATCTCATTAGGATACTGGGATTGCTATTACTTAGAAAAGCAAAACACAACAAGTGTTGCTGAGGATGTGAAGAAATTGAGACCCTTCTACACTACTGGTGGAGATGTAACACGGTTCAGCAACTCTGAAAAATAGTACGGAAGTTCCTCAAATAATTAAAAGTAGAACTACTGTATAATCCAGCAATCACAGTTCCATGTGTATATCCAAAAGAATTGAAATCAGTATCTCAAAGAGATAGCTACACTCCCATGTTCACTGCATTGTCCACAATAACCAAGATATGGAAGCAACTTAAATGTTGATCAATGCATGAATAGATAAAGAAAATGTGGTTTATGCATGCAATGGAATATTATTCAGCCTTTAAAAAGAGAAATTCTGGGGCAGCTGACAAGATGGCTGAATAGAAACAGCTCCATTCTGCAGCTCCCAGCGAGACCAATGCAGAAGGTGGGTGATTTCTGCATTTCCAACTGAGGTACCCAGCTTATCTCACTGGGACTGGTTAGACAGTGGGTGCAGCCCACAGAGGGTGAGCAGAAGCAGGGTGGGGTGTTGCCTCACCCAGGAAGTGCAATGGGTTGGGGAACTCCCTCCCTTAGCCAAGGGAAGCCATAAGGGACTGTGCCATGAGGTATGATACTATCTGGCCCAGATACTATGCTTTTCCCACAGTCTTCACAACACACAGACCAGGAGACTCCCTCGGGTGCCTACACCACCATGGCCCTGGGTTTCAAACACAAAACTGGGCGACCATTTGGGAAGACACAGAGCTAGCTGCAGGAGTTTTTCTTTTTCATACCCAAGTGGCACCTGGAACACCAGTGAGACGGAACCATTCACTCCCCTGGAAAGGGGGCTGAAGCCAGGGAGCCAAGGGGTCTTGCTCAGCAGGTCCCAATCCATGGAGCCCAGCAAGCTAAGATGCACCGGCTGGAAATTCTCGCTGCCAGTACAGCAGTCTGAAGTCAAACTAGGAGGCTGGAGCTTGGTGCGGGGAGTGGCGTCTGCCATTACTGAGGCTTGAGTAGATGGTTTTCCCCTCACCTTGTAAACAAAGCCACCAGGAAGTTCGAATTGGGCTGAACCCACTACAGTGCGGCAAAGTCACTGTAGCCAGACTGCCTCTCTAGATTCTTCCTCTCTGGGCAAAGGCATCTCTGAAAGAAAGGCAGCAGCCTCAGTAAGGGGCTTATTGATAAAACTGCCATCTATCTGGGACAGAGCACCTGGGGGAAAGGGTGGCTGTGGGTGCAGCTTCAGCAGATTTAAACATTCCTGCTTGCCGACTCTGAAGAGAGCAATGGATCTCCTAGCACAGCACTCGAGCTCTCCTAAGGGACAGACTGCCTCCTCAAATGGATCCCTGATCCCCATGCCTCCTGACTGGGAGACACCTCCCAGCAGGGGTCAACAGACACCTCATACAGGAGAGTTCTGGCCGGCATCTGGTGGGTCCCCCTCTGGGACGAAGCTTCCAAAGGAAGGAGCAGGCAACAATCTTTGCTGTTGTGCAGCCTCCAATGGTAATACCTGGGCAAACAGGGTCTGGAGTGGACCTCCAGCAAACTCTAGCAGACCTGCAGAAGAGAGGCCTGACTGGAGATCGAGACCATCCTGACTAACTCAGTGAAACCTCGTCTCTACTAAAAATATAAAAAATTAGCCAGGCATGGTGGTGGGTGCCTGTAGTCCCAGCTGGTTGGGAGGCTGAGGCAGGAGAATGGCCTCAACCTGGGAGGCAGAGCTTGCAGTGAGCTGAGATTGGGCCACCGCACTCCAATCTGGGCGACAGAGCGACACTCCATCTCAAAAAAACAAAAAAAAAAAAAAAAAAAAAAGAAGAGGGGCCTGAATATTAGAAGGAAAACTAACAAACAGAAAGCAATAACATCAACATCAACAAAAAGGATGCCCAGGCAAAAACCCCAACCAAAGGTCACCAACGTCAAAGACCAAAGGTAGATAAATCCACGAAGATGAGGAAAAACCAGCGCAAAAATGCTGAAAATTCCAAAGATCAGAATGCTACTTCTTCTCCAAAGTCACAGTTCCTCACCAGCAAGGGAACAAAACAGGATGGAGAATGACTTTGACGAACTGACAGAAGTAGGCTTCAGAAGCCACTGGGTAATAACAAACTCCTCCAAGCTAAAGGAGCATATTCTAACCCAATGCAGGGAAGCTAAGAACCTTGATAAAAGGTTACAGGAACGGTTAACTTGAATAACCAGTTTAGAGAAGAACACAAATGACCTGATGGAGCTGAAAAACACAGCACGAGAACTTTGTGAGGCATACAAGAGTATCAATAGCCTAATTGATCAAGTGGAAGAAAGGATATCAGAGACTGAAGATCAACATAATGAAATAAAGCATGAAGACAAGATTAGAGGAAAAAACAATGAAAAGGAACAAACAAAGCCTCCAAGAAATATGGGACTATGTGAAAAGACCAAACCTACGTTTGATTGGTGACCTGAAAGTGACAGGGAGAATAAAACCAAGTTGGAAAACACACTTCAGGAAGAACTTCCCCAACCTAGCAAGACAGGCCAACATTCAAATTCAGGAAATAGAGAACACCACAAAGAAACTCCTCAAGGAAAGCAACCCCAAGACACATAATCGTCAGATTCACCAAGGCTGAAATGAAGGAACAATGTGAAGGGCAGCCAGAGAGAAAGGTCACGTTACCCACAAAGGGAAGCCCATCAGACTAACAGCAGATCTCTCTGCAGAAACCCTACAAGCCAGAAGAGAATAGGGGCCAACATTCAACATTCTTAAATAAAAGAATTTTCTACCCAGAACTTCATATCCAGCCAAACTAAGTTTCATAAGCAAAGGAGAATAAAATCCTTTACAGACAAGCAAGTGCTGAGAGATTTTGTTGCCACCAGGTATGCCTTACAAGAGCTCCTGAAGGAAGCAGTAAACATGGAAGGGAACAATAGGTACCAGCCACTGCAAAAACATACCAAATTGTAAAGACCATCAACACTATGAAGAAACTGCATCAACTAACGGGCAAAATAACCAGCTATCATCATAATGACAGGATCAAATTCACACATAACAATATTAACCTTAAATGTAAATGGGCTAAATGCCCAATTAAAAGACACAGACTGGTAAACTGGATAAAGAGTAAAGACCCATCAGTGTGCTGTATTCAGGAGACCCATCTTACGTGTAAAGACACACATAGGCTCAAAATAAAGGGATGGAGGAATATTTACCAAGCAAATGGAAAGCAAAAAAAAAAAAAAAAAGCAGGGGTTGAAAACCTAGTCTCTGATAAAACAGACTTTAAACCAACAAAGATCAAAAAAGACAAAGAAGGGCATTACATACTGGTAAAGGGATCAATACAACACTAAAAGTTAACTATCCTAAATATATATGCATCCTATATAGGAGCACCCAGATTCATAAATCAAGTTCTTAGAGACCTACAAAGAGGCTTACACTCCCACAAATAATAGTGGGAGAATATAACACCCCACTGTTAATATTACATCAACGAGACAGAAAATTAACAAGGACATTCAGGACTTGAACTAAACTCTGGACCAAGTGGACCTAATAGACATCTATAGAACTCTACACCCCAAATCAACAGAATATATTTTCTTCTCAGCACCACATAGCACTTTTAATGTAAAATTGACCACACAATTGGAAGTAAAACACTCCTCAGCAAATGCAAAAGAATGGAAATAATAACAAACAGACTCTCAGACCACAGTGCAATCAAATTAGAACTCAGGATTAAGAAACTCACTCAAAACCACACAATCACATGGAAACTGAACAACCTACTCCTGAATGACTACTGGGTAAATAACAAAATTAAGGCAGAAATAAATAAGTTCTTTGAAACCAGTGAGAACAAAGACACAATGTACCAGAATCTCTAGGACTCAGCTAAAGCAGTGTATAGAGGGAAATTTATAGCACTAAATGCCCACAGGAGAAAGCAGGAAAGATCTAATCAACACCCTAACATCACAATTACAAGAACTAGGGAAGCAAGCACAAACAAGTTCAAAAGCTAGCAGAAGACAAGAAATAACTAAGATCAGAGCAGAAATGAAGGAGATAGAGACACAAAAAACCCTTCAAATAAGGAATGAATCCAGGAGCTGGTTTTTTGAAAAGATTAACAAAATAGATACCAATAAAGAAGATACTAATAAAGAAGAAAAGAGAAAAGAATCAAATAGACACAATAAAAGAATGATAAAGGGGATATCACCACCGATCCCGTGGACAAACTACCATCAGAGAATACTATAAACACCTCTACACAAATAAACTAGAAAATCTAGAAGAAATGGATAAATTCTTGGATACATATACCCTCCCAAAACTAAACCAGGAAAAAGTCAAATCCCTAAATAGACCAATAACAAGTTCCGAAATTGAGGCAGTAATTAATAGTCTACCAACAAAAACAAGCCCAGGACCAGAAGGATTCACAGCCGAATTCTACCAGAGGTACAAAGAGGAGCTGGTACCATTCCTTCTGAAACTAATCCAAATAGTAGAAAAAGAGGAACTCCTCCCTAACTCATTTTATGAGGCCAGCATCATCCTCATACCAAAACCTGGCAGAGACACAAGAAAAGAAAATTTCAGGCCAATATCCCTGATGAACATTGATGCAAAAATCCTCAATAAAATACTGGCAAAGCAAATCCAGCAGCACATCAGAAAGTTTATCCACCATGATCAAGTGGGCTTCATCCCTGGAATGAAAGTCTGGTTCAGCATACTCAGGTTAACAAACAGAATCCATCACATAAACAGAACCAATGGCAAAAACCACATGATTATCTCAATAGATGCAGAAAAGGCCTTTGATAAAAATCAACACCCCTTCATGCTAAAAATATTACAATAAACTAGGTATTGATGGAATGTATCTCAAAATAATAAAAGTTATTTATGACAAACCCACAGCCAATATCATACTGAATGGGCAAAAGCTGGAAGCATTCCCTTTGAAAACCAGCATTACGCAAGGGTGCCCTCTCTCACCACTCCTATTCAACATAGTATTGCAAGTTCTGGCCAGGGCAATCAGGCAAGAGAAGGAAATAAAGGGTATTCAAACAGGAAGAGAAGAAGTCAAATCATCCCTGTTTGCATAAGACATAATTGTACATTTCGACAACCCCATCATCTCAGCCCAAAAACTCCTTAAGCTGATAAACAACTTCAGCAAAGTCTCAGGATACAAAATCAGTGTGCAAAAATCACAAGCATTCCTATACACCAATAACAGACAAACAGCCAAATCAGGAGTGAACTCCCATTCACAATTGCTGCAAAGAGAATAAAATACTTAGGAATACAACTTACATGGGATGTGAAGGACCTCTTAAAGGAAAACTATAAACGACTACACAAGGAAATAAGAGAGGACACAAATGGAAAAACATTCCATGCTCACGGATAGGAAGAATCAATATCATGAAAAATGGCCACACTGCCCAAAGTAATTTATAGATTCAATGATATTCTCATTAAGCAACCATTGACTTTCATCACATAATTAGAAAAAACTACCTAAAATTTCACATGGAACCAAAAAAGAGTCTGTATAGCCTCTAAGCAAAAAGAACAAAGCTGGAGGCATCATGATACCTGACTTCAAACTATACTACAAGGCTACAGTAACCAAAACAGCATAGTACTGGTACCGAAACAGAACAGAGGCCTCAGAAACAACACCACACTCTACAACCATCTGATTTTTGACAAATCTGAGAAAAACAAGCAATGGGGAAACGATTCCCTATTTAATAAATGGTGTTGGGAAAACTGGCTAGCCATATGCATTAAACTGAAACTAGACCCCTTCCTTATACCTTATAAAAAAATTAACTCAAAATGGATTAAGGACTTAAACGTAAGACCTAAAACTATGAAAACCCTAGAAGAAAACCTAGGCAATACCATTCAGAACACAGGCATGGGCACAGACTTCATGACTAAAACATCAAAAATACTTGCAACAAAAGCCAAAATTCACAAACGAGATCTAATCAAACCAAAGAGCTTCTGCACAGCAAAAGAAACTATCATCAGAGTGAACAGGCAACCTACAGAATAGAAGAAAAACTGTGCAATCTATCCATCTGACAAAGGGCTAATATCCAGAATCTACAAGAAACTTAAACAAATTTACCAAAAAAAAAATATAAAACCATAAAAAAGTGGGCAAAGGATATGAACAGACATTTCTCAAAAGAAGACATTTATGCAGCCAACAAACATATGAAAAAAAGCTCATCATCACTGGTCATTAGAGAAATGCAAATCAAAACCACAATGAGATATCATATCCCACCAGTTAGAATGTCGATCATTAAAAAGTCAGGAAACAACAGATGCCGGTGAGGATGTGGAGAAACAGAAACACTTTTACACTGTTGGTGGGAGTGTAAATTAGTTCAACCATTGTGGAAAACAGTGTGGCAATTCCTCAAGGACCTAGAACTAGAAATACCATTTGACCCAGCAATCCCATCACTGGGTATACACCCAAAGGATTATAAATCATTCTACTATAAAGTCACATGCACATGTATATTTATTGCGGCATTATTCACAATAGCAAAGATTTGGAACCAACCCAAATGTCCATCAATGATAGACTGGATAAAGACAATGTGGCACATATACACCATGGAATACTATGCAGCCTTAAAAAAGAATGAGTTCATGTCCTTTGCAGGATGAAGCTGGAAACCATCATTCTCATCAAACTAACACAGGAACAGAAAACCAAACACTGCATGTTCTCACTCAAAAGTGGGAGTTGAACAATGAGAACACATGGACACAGGGAGGGGAACATCGGACACAGGGAGGGGAACATCACACGCTGGGGCCTGTTGCGGGGTGGGGAGCGAGGGGAGGGATAGCATTAGGAGAAATACCTAATGTAGATGACAGGTTGATGGGTGCAGCAAACCACCATGGCACATGTATCCTTATGTAACAAGCCTGCACATTCTGCACATGTATCTCAGAGCTTAAAGTATAATAAAAAATAAATGAATAAAATAAAAAGAGAAACTCTGCCACACATGACAATATTAATGAACCTGGAGGACATTAATATGCTAAGTGAAATAAGCCAATCACAGCAGGACAAATATTGCATAATTCCACTTAAATGAGGTATATAAAATAGTCACAAACATGGAAAAATACAGAGTAGAATGGTGGTTTCCAGGGCTGAAAGGAGGGAGAAACAGGCAGTTGCTGTTCAACTAGTATAAACTTTCAGTTGTATAAGATTAATAAATTCTAGAGATCTGCTGTACAAGACTATGCCTATAATTAACAATACCAATTTTAAACTGTAAAATTTGTTGAGGGTAGATTTCATGTTAAGTGTTCCTACTATAATTGAGAAAAAGAAAGAAAGAGAAAGAGGGACAGAGAAAGAGAAAGAGAGACAGGGAGAGAAAGAGGGAAAGGAAAGGAAAGGAGAAAGGAAAGAGGAAAGGAAAGGAAAGAAAGAGAAAGAACGAAAAGGAAGGAAGAAAGGAAGGAAGGAAAGAAAGAAAGAGAGAAAGGAAGACAGAAAGAAAGAAAGAAAAAGAAAAAGAAAGAGAAAGAAAGAAAAGAAAGAGAAAAAGAAAAGAGAGAGGAAGGAAGGAAGAAAGGAAGGAAGGAAGGGAGAAAGAAAGGAAGGGAGGAAGGGGAGAGAAGACTGACTCACCTTAGGTTTCTTTCTTTCATCTCTTATATCCAAATCTTGAGTGATTCTTATAAAAAATTATTTTTACTTTGAAAATCTGCATTATTCAAAACCTCATCGACTTTTAGTCAGACTGTTGAAACAGCTTTCTAACTACTTTTCACCACTTCTTATCTCACTCCTTCTCAAAATATATCAAAACTGCCAGCATTTTGTAAGTCCCATCATGTCTCTCACCTGGAGTTAAGATTTTTACTGATTCTTTATTTTCTATAAAGTTCAAATTCTTTAATATAGAATGTTAGGCCTTATATAATTTATCTATCCATCTCCCACCACTTCAATAACTCTTGGTTCTGCAATGGCAAAAAAATAATTTAGATCCCTAAATATATCATGATCTGTGCCCTTTCACATGCTGCCCCCTCTTCCCGAAATGATCTTTCCGGCCACATTCACTGGAATGCCTAGAAATTAATATTCATTTTCAAAACTCAGCATAACCACTACCACCTAAAAGAAGCTTCTTTTCTCCTCTTCCTTTCCCTGAAGACAGAATTAATCACTCCTTTTCTGTGCTGCTTATATATTTTAGACATAATTATATCATTAAGTAGATTCTGTAATTGTTTACATATCTATGTTCATTACTTGAATGTGATATTAAAGTCAAGAGTATTGTATCTATTCCTCTTTTATTCACCCATGTCAAGTACTGTAAACTGTGACCATTAACAAATCTGTATTGAATGAATCAATGCCTATTTGCATGCAAGCATGATAAATCAACTGATTAATGCCATTGCAGTTTCCAGCTATCCAACTTGCTTGAGTTCTCTGTAACTGGCAATCATCTTGATCCTCCTTTGGTATATTCTTAGTCTTCATATAGTAACTGGATATCATCAGAGAGATAATTATTTTCTTCATATACGCAAAGTAAACTTAGATTATTCCCATATCATAACTGCAGGACTCAATATTGACTGTATATTAGAGTCACTTTGGGAAGGCTTTCAAAGAATATTCCAATATCTAGATCCTTACCCCAGAGATACAATTTATCTTTATTGGGACTCAGGCATTATATTGTAAAAGCTTCCCAATGATTGTAATGCACAGTCAAGGAAGAGATCCACCATTAATAAATTTCAGAGACACTAGTGGAAATTTAAAGTACAAAGCATTGGATAAATAACCCTTCCCAGATACAACAGCAGGTTTGAACAGGGAGAAATAATGCCAAAACCTAAATACATATACCCCATCTGTGTGCTAAGAGGTGCAATGCCGTTTCACAAGTGTCATCTCTTCTATCCTCTAATCCCCTCTGAATGGTCTTCACTATTTATCCTTTACTCATCCAACTGGTAAGCCAGCCAGGTGGAGAAATGGAAAACCTACCTATTCTGGCACATTTTCCCTTGACAGTTGGTAGATAGCAATTTGGTTCTGACCTGAAGGAACACAAGTGGTAAACTAATCACTGGTGTGAATAGTTCCCAGCCACTGCCCAAATAGAGCTCCCTTGGAGTGGACAGTGGTATAAGCAATTAAACCGAATAATCTATTCTCTATAAGCATAAGAATCTTATGAGCATGATGGTCAAATAGTGCATTTTTATCCATATATGTTATTCTCAAACTCCTCCAAATTTTCTGTCACCTACATCTGTAAGGGAAGCCATTAATAAACTGCAAATTAAATGGGTCTGTAATTCTATCTTCTTTCTCTGCTCTTATGAAGCAGTGAAGAAAAAAAGTTTAAAAAAAAGCAAAAAAGAGAGCAATATTCTAATTCTAATATAACCATAATGGGGAGGAGAAAGAAGGAGAAAAAGAGAGAGAATTGGAGAGGGATGGATAGGGAGGGAGAATCAGAAACTTTATATCAGATTAAAGCCTACGTAGAAACAGATGTAGACATCTTTACAATTAAGAAGTTTAACCCAGTTTGAATAAAATAAATATTATAAGACCTTAGGAGGAAATTTTAAAACTGGAAAGATGATGGAGGTTTTGAAAATATATGTTTGAAACCCTGTGCTTCAGTATCAGTGATTCTTTTACCAAAATTACACTTGCAGGGTGTATGTCTGTGTGTGTCTCAAAAAGTCTTAAATCTGAGAAGAACTTATAAACTTAGTGAAGTACAAATTAAGAGTAATTAACATTAAAAACATTCTGAGAGGAAAAATTGGGGGAAAGGGATTTCATTAATAAATTATTTTTTAATATATAATGGACTAATCAGTCTACAATCTCTCTCTCCAAATGCATACGATATTTTTACAGCGCATATTTATTTGCATATTTATTAAGCACTTGTGGTATGACAGGTACAAGTTGTTAGGGACATAGGGATGAGCAAAACAGATATGGTCCCTTTTCCTGCAAAATTTACATTCTGGTTTGGGAAGGCAATGAGAGACAACAAATGAATAATTCTGGATTGTAATAAATGTCATAAAAAATCTGAAAAAATAATAAATGTTGCCTGATAATTTTATCTATGGTAGACAGAAGTTTGACATTTCCAGGATAGACAACTTTAGGTATATGGAGACATTTTAACAGTGTGTAGCTAGCAAGATATTGGGTGCTGAATCAGGAATGGTTTATGGGTTATTTTATCCGTGATGTAAGCATATAGCTTTCTATTTCTGGTTGCTGATATCTGCTTATTTTTTCCTCCAAGCAATACATACTCCAACACATACAGTCACAGAATGCTGTAGTTTCCTTTTTGGGGACAGAACAGTTTTATAGCCTCAATTTATTACACAGAAAATATATGTACACACACACACTCAGATATCTCTAGTGATGGGTTAATTTGCATGATTCATAGTCTGCAGAGAGAGAAATCTCATGAAAGACCTTCTTTAAAATAACCTGTTGACACACTGGAAATTCATACTGTTGATACAGTAAATATGGTTGGCCTAATGTGAGTGAATGGGAAAATTTTCCACTTGTCATTTTGAAAATCTAACATCTATGCAGCTATTAACTAAAAGCAAGGTTGGATTTTTTTTAATCTGAAAATTTTTTTTAAAACCTAAGCAATTTTGAGTCTTATATGAGGCTTTCTGTGGGTACATACATGTTGGGAAGAGGAACAAGGAAAGAATATTAATATTATAAAGGAGTTGCTACGGAGATGTGGTCATCTTTTATTTCTTCAACATGTTTGAAAATGCACGTACATTTTCAGAGACATTAAGGAAACAATTTTGGTTAGTACATAGGGTTTTCTTTCAGTCTCTTTTCTTCCAATCATGTGGAAAATAAGGATGAGGAAAATATCACCTGTGCTCACAAAATTTCATACCTACTCTTATCCTCAGTCTCTAACAAGAAGAATGACACCAGTTTTGAAACATTTATGATTTATAGATATGGAAAATGTCCTAACAACAGCTGGGTTGGAACTGGTTTATTATTACTTTGTAAAATTCAGGTATGCAAAATAAAACATAAACTTTGATAGTTAACCTCTCCATCACCCTCCTAGAAAGTAAAAATAATGTTTGATTGTTTTCCTCAAGTTACAAGCAGTAGAGCCCACCACATAGCAAAGACACGAAAGACGGAAGAATTAGTAGAACAGCATGGAATGAAAAAAACTGGTAAAAAGGAACTCCAGATGGAGTGCTCCCAATGGCAAAGTAGTTGAAATGTAGGCCTAGGGGTGGCATGACTTTACCTATAGAGCTGTAACCCTCAGAGTTTGCTAAAATATGCAGAGCTCAACAAACACATTACAGACTGGAGGTGCAGTGAGATATTTCTGCTTACCATTTCCTACAGCGAAACGATATAAGTGAGTAAACTATGGTGCAGTTGAGATGAGAGAACTGAGTGTTAATCCCAGGACTCCCACAATATTATTTTGGGACCTCGGTATGCAGGAAAAATGTCTGCAAAACTAATTTGTTCCTCCCTCTTAATAGACTCAAAGATCACTAGCAAGGTGAACAGTAGCAGGCATTTCATAAACACTGATCCTGATAATGGCTGTTAGGGGAGACCACTAAAGATAGGCCATTTAAAAGCAAAGTGATGCACAAATGTTGAACACTAGCAGAGTCTACCTCTGAAAAGGGAGGAAACATATATTTTATGGGAGCTATGGAATAGGTAATAAGATTATTACATCTGGTTTGTAGCTAGCCAAAGAAATGGGAAATACAAATTTTCCTGAGTATCAGTTTCATGACTATCATGTACATAAAGCTAGACTTTTTTCAATGCACATAGATAACCAAGCAGACAATATATTGAAAATGTCCTTTTATAAAAATAGTTCAATTTTATCTGCTATTATAAACAGTAGTAGTAAAAGTAGTGATCAATTTTATCTGTTGAGTATCTCAGGAGTGAGGTACAAAAATAGGATACAAGGGACATAATTAAGAACTATGGAAAAGAGAAGTGAATTTTAAACAGATGTATACCATTGCCTTCACAGATCACAATTGTTTTTTAAAAAACAGCTTTATTGAGATATAGTGAACATACTATTCACTCATTTGACGTGTAAAATTCAAACATTTTTAGTATATTCATAGGATTGTGTAACCATTACCACAAAATCTGACCCTAAAACATTTTCTAGCCGGGCACGGTGGCTCACGCCTGTAATCCCAGCACTTTAGAAGGCTGAGGCAGGTGGATCACAAGGTAAGGAGTTCGAGACCAGCCTGACCAACATGGTGAAACCCCGTCTCTACTAAAAATACAAAAATTAGCCAGGTGTGGTGGCACATGCCTGTAATCCCAGCTAATCCCAGCTACTCAGGAGGCTGAGGCAGGAGTATCGCTTGAACCCGGGAGGCAGAGGTTGCAGTGAGCCAAGATAGCGCCACTGCACTCCAACCTGGATGACAGAGCGAGACTCCATCTCAAAACAACAACAAAAAAAACCATTTTCTTTCTCCCTAGCCTCCTGCCCTTTAGCTGTCACTCCACATTTGCCCACCCTCACCCCCAGTGCTAGGCAGTGAATATTCTTATTTCTATCAATAAAGTTGCATATTCTGGACATATCCTATAAACGAAATAATATAATATGCTTAGCATAATATTTCCAAAATTCATCTGTGTTTAGCATACATCAGTACTTTTCCTCTGTATAGGCAAATAATAGCCTATTTTATGGATTTAACACACTTTATCCAATCATCAGTTGATAGATATATGAGTAATTTACACTTTTTGGATATTACGAATAATGCTATTATGAACACTTACATACAAGGTTTGTGTGGATCTATGTTTTCGTTCTCTTGAATATACATAGCTGAGTAGAATTGCTAGGTCATATGGTATCTGTTTAACAGGTAAAGAAACTGCTGAAATGTTTCCCAAAGCAGCTGCGTTTACCTTCCCATTAGCAAAGTATGAGAGTGTCAGTTTCCCAACATCCTCACCAACCCTTCTCATTATCTTTCTATTTGATTTTTTTCTTACTTTCGGCACTTTGGTTATGACTTGCAATGCCTTTGACCTTCATTGTTTTTGAGAAGTTAATTCTTCATGTTACTGGACTTCCCTTGTACATGATGAGTTATTTTTCTCTTGCTGCTTTCAAGATTTGCATCTATCTTTCAACATTTTGACAATAATGTGTCCGGTTGTCTATCTCTTTCCATCTGTCCTACTTAGATTTTGTTGAGCTTCTTGGAAGTGAAAATTAATGTTTTTCTTCATATTTAGGGAATTTCCAGACATAATTTTTTTGATATTTTTTTCTATCCTTTTCCTCTTACCTCTGGTACACTCATTACACGTATTTGTGTGTGTGTGTGCGCTTAATAGTGCCCTTTATTTCCTTAAGTTTTTCGTTTAATTATTTTTCCTCTCTGTTCTTCAGATTGCCTAATTTCTATTGATCTATCTTCAGTTTGCTGATTCTTTCCTCTGCCAGCTAAAATTTTTCATTTGGGCTTTTTCTTTTTTTACTTTTCAACTCCAAAATTCAATTTGTTTCTTTTAAGTATTTTTTCTTTATTGATTCTCTATTTAATAAGGCATCATCATCAGACCTTCCTTTAATTCGTAAACATGACTTCTTTTAGTCTTTGAATATCTTTATGATAGCTTTTTTGAAGTCTTCGTCTGCTAAATTCGCCATCCTACCATTAGGATATCTTCAAAGGCAGTTTTTATTGCCTGCTACTTTTTCCTGTGTTTGGGTTACATTTTCCCGTTTCTTTGCATATCTGATAATTTTTTTATTGAAAGCTAGACATTTTAGGTTTATTTTTAGCAAATCTGGATACTGAATACTGTTGGGGGGGGTTGTTCTTCTTGTTTGCTGGGTCCTTTGCTTATTTGATTAATTACTTAATTAAACCAATTCTGCAAATTCTAATTCCCTCCAAGTGTGCAGCCTCTGATGTCCCTGCACAGATTTCTTTCCCTTGTTTTAGCTCTTGGCCTCATTCCCTAGGGATCATCCTTGGGTTTGCATAAGCCACTTACTCATCAAGGGCTGGTGGCCTGGAGGCTGCTATCAGAGTTCAGGGAGTTTATATTTGTTGCCCTGTGTTTTTGCCACAGCCAAGTATCTTGAAAGTTATCTTTCCAAACTTTGTCAAGAAGGAAGTAGCTTTGGGCATATACAGTCATACAGACTGTCTGGAACTAGTGTGATTCTATTTTATATTTATCCTCCTAGGAGCAGCTCCCAGGTTAGAGCATGTTATTGTTTGATTTGTGTTTGATCAGAAGCTGTTCTTAAGCCTGTGGCAGTGCGGGCTCTGCCTTGTGTTGATGGGCCTGTGCACTTTGTGGGGATGCTTCAAGTCTTTCCATATCCTGCTTTGATTGTTTTTTTGAGACGTGGGCGACAGCCCAGGCTAGAGTGCTGGAGTGTAGTGGTGCGATCTGGACTCACTGCAAGCTCCGCCTCCTGGGTTCACGCCATTCTCCTGCCTCAGCCTCCCGAGTAGCTGGGACTACAGGCGCCCGCCACTACGCCCGGCTAATTTTTTGTATTTTTTAGTAAAGACGGGGTTTCACTGTGTTAGCCAGGATGGTCTTGATCTCCTGACCTTGTGATCCGCCCGCCTCGGCCTCCCAGAGTGCTGGGATCTCTGGTTGTTTCTGAAAGCACATGTGCACAGTCTTCCTGCCCCCAAGAATTGACTATGATCCCAAGAGGGCTCTTTTTGGTTATCTTTTTCTCTGTCACTCTCTATTAAACCTTTGGTTGCTCTGCCATTTTGCATACTTCATAGAGCTACCAGCCTTTTTAAATCACTTTCTGCCAAGATCTCCATAATTTTTAAAAATGCTCTTAAGTCATGGAATTCTCTATGCTCTGTTCCAAATAAAGGCAGTTTCCTGAGGAAAAGATATAGAGCTCCTTGTCTTTATGGCCTGCCTTTCCTCCTGGGTGGTACCCTTGTACTATTTCACCAGAGCTGGGGTAGGGACATACTTTTTCAAGAGTACATCTGCTCTATGAATTGTGACGAGCAAAAGGGCAGGGTGGCTGCCACTATTTTCTTAGCTTGCCCCACTGACATGGAACTTTCGCCCTATAAGTATGTTGGGGCAAAGGTGATAGGGGTCCCAGTAGTTTCAGCGTGTTGCATTTGGGGTTGAGCTTCATCTTTATGAGTAGGTACTGAGTAGGGAAAGGAAGATCTATTTCTCTAAGCCACATCCGCTTGGAAGAGAACTTCTGCAACAGTGGACTAGGATGACGGTGAGATGTAGAAACCATGGCCCGAGACTGGGAGGCTGGAGGAGAGGGAGCACCTCTCTTCTTGGTTGCAGCTGCCCAGAGAAGAACACCTGGGGTAGCACCTCTGTTAACATGGAGCTGGGGGTGGAAGTTAAATGGACACAACCTCGTGGCTCAAATGCCACGGCCTCTCACTGTTTCATTTACTCTACGGTTTTAGGACAATTTCCAGGGACTTTAAATTATTGTTGTTTTGCTGGGGGAAGGGTTCATCAAGCACCTTATGCTGCCATCCTGGAATTTCCATGTCCTTCACATTCCATAGTTTGATATTTAGCCAAGTAGCATAAATATATTATTCTGAATGACATGCCCCTTTTAAATTTCTTTTCCTACTTTACAAGGTTAGGAGTACGAAATGAGAAGAATGGCAGAAAAAGTATCCATGTGGAATACATTTTAATATGCTGATAACTTCCATGACCACATACACTGTACAAATAGGACTGATATATTCTCAGATACAGGAATCAAAACTATTTCAGAATCAGGCTTTGTCTATAAAGGCCCCCTCCGACTTCTGGACTCCTAAAACCTAGTTAGGCAGCAATGACATTTATGCTTTTTCCCTAAGGTGGTTTACTTTTTAAAATCTGAGGTTCTTTCAATTTGATAAATACTTTCAAGAATGATAAAGCAAGTTTAGTTCTTTTTTTTCTTTTATTTCCAATTCAAGAGAATCCCTTGAAAAGATATTAAATGTCAACTCAGGTGATAGGCATCTCCAGCTGGAATCAATATCCACAAGTATTAAGGATATTTTCTGACTATTCATTAAAACAGTAGGTTACATTTCTGGCAGAATTAAAATACTTAAAATTGCCTGAAGGGGTTAAGCAGGTCTAAGTTTCTGCAGAGTGTTTGTTTACTCATTAAATTGTGTTGGCTGCCAAACCTGGTAACCCAACCTTTATACTGATAGAGCACTATACCTTTTTCAAGGAGTTTGGCTACTTGTTATTTGAAGAAGAAAGTCATTCTAAAAACAATACAACATGGTTAGAAATGGCACAAATGAAATTGCACAGCAAAAGAAAAATCCAAGATTGGTTATTCAACAGGCAAGATAATTAAACTCTAAATTGATAGTTCAAATGCAGCAATGTAACCTAATATTATACCAAATATTATTCTGACTATACAAAAATAATTAGCTATAAACAGCATGGTTATCAAGAACCAACTCCAAGTAATATGGGTATGCTGATACGTCCCATCTCTTATTCTACCAAATATCTACCACTAAAAACTCGTGAATGTAATATTCGTTGGCAAAACTTTTCTGTATTTTTAATTACATAATGTCATGTTTGCTGTTCTTAAAAAGGCTTTGTTTCCAATAGTCTTTTTCACGTGTTCACTTATGTTTTTACTTATTTCAAATGAGATTTTTGTGTTGTAAAAGAAAAGCTATTGATATGCTAACAATGATGGTATTAGCATTTAATACTAATATTAAAATGTTATTGTTTTTTCCTCTCTATTTTCCAAGTTTCTGAAGAAATATTTTTAAATACATGGATATATACTAATTCGTACAGGCACAAGTAGCCAGTAATTTTAACTGGCTGTTTTTTCCTCATTGTTTTTTCCTCTTTATTGTCTACGTTTCTGAAGAAATATTTTTAAATACACGGAAATTTACTAAGGCATACAGGCACAAGTAGCCAGTAATTTTAACAGTAAAACATCAAATTTTTATGAATTATGTAGTAAAAACTAAAATATACTTTGCAAAGGTCCCCTGGAAATGGAAAGATCTGGAAAGCTGAAGTGGAAGCTTTTCTGGCCTCTCAGATTCATCTGAATGAGACTTTACCTCAAGTCTCCATATACTCTTTGAATCAGCACTAAGAGAAATAAAATACAAGTCACATATATAATTTTTAATTGGTAGCCATATTTTTAAAAAGTAAAAATTAAAAGGTGAAATTATTAATCATTTTTGCCATTTCTCCATGTAAAAATGGTTTCTTATTTTTAAAAAACCTAGCTTATTTACAAGCTTAGATCTTTTGAAAAATCATTAAAAACTTTTTGTTAGTCTTTTAATTCCAATTCTAACCAATTCATCAGTTCGTTTTGTCTGTTCTTTTAAAATATTATTTCAAGTGGCTAAACTCAATGACTTTTTGTTAGAAAAAATATCTTATCAAATTTACTATAAATCTGTTGAAAATGTCTCATGTTGTACACTTCTTCCACAACAAAAACGCTGCCCACTATTTTTACCTTTTTACATAAAAATAAAAGCGCTTTTTTGTTCTGCTGTGCCCTACTGAAATGCAATTCCATTCCTCATGAAATTTGTAACATGACTACTAATCTCTTGTTTTCTGTTTACTATTCTGGTGGTAGCATTTTCACTCAATGTTGCATCAGTAGTAAGCCTTCATTTAAAATGTAAAATGCATTCAATCTGAATCAATCTATTAACAATGACTAGATGCATGCAGCCAATCTGCATGTTAACAATAAGGCAATAACATCTTATGCAATGTGAAATGTAAGTTCTACCAAAACAATAAAGTTGGTTTAATGGAAAAATATTTTATACTACTTTGGTGTTGTAATTTAAATTAAAATTATATAAAATTAAAAATTTTTTTTCTTAAGTCACACTGTTTAGTGGTTGCTACAGTTTTAGATAAACACTTACCAGATCTTACTAATTAAAACAGATACTCCTAATATTCCCAGGTAATCCCCGCATGCTATTTCTCAATGATTTAATCTACCCACAAACAGCTTTGTTATCAGAGCTGGCAACTGTCAAACCCCTGGTGCAGGTGGACAAATTGGAGCCTGCAAAGGAATCTAGGGAGAAAGGCACATACAGCTGTGGACATGGGGCCATGTAATGTTGCTGGGGTAGTTGTCTATGGAAAGCTGTTGCCTTTGTGTAGCTACTGCTTCTGTTAGTCAGCAGCCCAAGGTCCAGTTATGGGGCCTGAAGGCCATGGCTGGGCAGCAGAGCCAGCAATCAGGAGTGATAACCTGGGGAGAGTGAGGACACACTTGAACCTGCCCTCACATCTGGGTTTTTTGACTGCCTCTCACAACACTGGCCTTCAGACACTAACAGCTACTAATTCACTTCCACCTTCCAAGTCTCACACAACCCAGGACCACAGAAGGGTGAGGGTTTGGAGAAACATCATTCCAGTGTAACCAAGCTGACACAATACAAACCATCACAGATACTGTGCTCAAAATCTCCTCTAAAGCAGAAGACATAATGATTTTTTTTTCAAATCAGTGTTTGAAAAATAAAACCAGAATTCCAGTTTCAACTATGATAATGTGAATAGAGATTAAATGCTTACTTCTGACAGAAATTCTACATAGAAGGGTAGCAAAGTATTGGATTTATAATTCCCTCACTTGAAAACAAGTACAAATCATGCTCTTCTCAGTAAATATATAATTTCAGTCATATTGTGCCCATCTTTGGCAATATTCTGACAAAAAGACAAATACTACCAATCTGAGAAGAAGTATTTCTAAATAATTTAACACTCCATTTGTTCAGGACACTGTCATTGAAGGAAGCAAACATTGTCTGTGGTGCGCAATCCTTCCTATTTATTGCTACACATATGGGCAAATATGAATTATTTCTATTTTCTGAGTAGTATAAAGATGCTGAAGTAGATTTAGGAAAACAATGTTAATATAGGATTTAAAAACAAGATTATATGTGAGAAGTGGTTCAGCCTTACCCAGACAGACACCTGATCTGTAATTCACATACTTCTCAGAACAAGGTAAGTGCATTATTAAAGACCAGGCTTCTTAGTAATTATCTATTAGTATTTTTTTTTTGCAGGAATGCAATTTCAGGGAAATAAATCTGAAGGCTACTTTCATTCTCATAAGAAAGGTACTCCCAGACCATTTTAAGTTTCCATTTACCCTAAGGCTAACAATTGGAAAGTTGTGGACCTTTTAAACTTTCAAATGGTCAGGGGACTTAGAAAAGCTCGCACGTGGCTTCAACCAGTAAAAAGTTTCTTTCAATTCTGCTCTTTGGCCGGAAGAACAGTCAACATTAATGAAATGATTTGTTAGATTAACTGTGTAAAGTACGCTAAAAATACAATCTTTTTTTTTCCTTGGTGGAAATTACTCTGACCAAACTTTACTCCTTTTGGTGAATTAACTTTTAAAATGACTGAATGGGAAAGGGCTTTTTGCTATTTTGCCTTGTATTGGTTTAATATTATTACTTTCAGTAGTTTGCCTGAGAAAAACAATGACCTCCTCCACTAATACCAGGAAGACCTTTCCAGGAAGCCAATGCCAAGGAAAGGAGAAAGTATTCACAGATGAAGAGGTACATACATCATGTGACACTTCCCCAGATTGCTTCATCCAAGTCTGTTGCTAATCCCTCCATCCTCTCCTCCAAGCACCCACCAGAATGCATGTCCCAGTACACCAGGAACAACTTCTGGCACACTATAAAGAATGATTCCAGTTGTGAGCAGAAGATACCAGGGCTTTTCACACAGAAAGCCTGATTGGAGAGACAAACAGTATTCACAACCTTCCTGGAAAGGAATCAGAAGGAGAAACTACTCCCCAGCAAGCATGGACCATTTCTAACAAAAAAGAGAAAGTGACTCAAGTCATGAAGCTAAAAGCCCAGATGAAGGAGCCAAGAGCCACAGAAACCCACTCCCAGGAACTCAAATGGCAACCTAGGTAGAGCTAGAGATATCTGCCTATCTACATCTCAGAATTTGCTTGGGACTAGTGACCGCTACATTTCTCCTGTTCTCTCTCATCGTCTCTGCCATCCAGTATCCTACTGAATAGGAGTATCTGTAACGGCTATTCTGTCCCTGTCTCGCCACTCTTATTGGGTGTATGGAAGGCAGCTAACTTATCTCTTTAGTTCACAGATTTTCCAATTGAAAGAAACCATATTTGTCTCATCCTTACCTGGAACCGATTGGAATATCAAGATTCTACACCTCAAGCCTGAGCCTAATCCCAGAATGGGCTGAGACACTGAGACATCTTGGGAAGGTGGAAGTATATTCTCCAGTTGTTAAGAACGTGGATTATGGTGAGTATACTAGATGAAGAGAGGGCAATTAGGAACCATTACAATGCTCCAGTAAAAAGTATGTATTATTACCTACATTAGGAAAATGTCAGTTGACCTACAGAGAAGTGGAGAGATTCAAGATATATATACAAGGTAGAATGGGCAAGTTTTGAAGGCTGATTGGATGTCAGGGTTGAGAGAAAGGCAACATTTTTGAACGATGCAACTTTAAAGTTTATATCTTACACAACTGAGTGGATAGTGATCCCAATTCACTATAAAACATGGGCAAAACAGGAGGTTCATTGCGGAGAATGAGAGTTCACTTTTAGACACTGAATTTAAGGTGCTTATGGAGCATTCAAACAGAAATATCCAGAGTATGGTTACATATACTGGTTTAAAGCTCAGGAGAGATCTGAGTGAAAGATACAAATTTTAGGCTATCTGTAATAACTAAAACAATGAAAATGGATGATAGAGGCTAGTGGTAATGTGTAGCATGCTAAAAGAATAAAGCCTAGAGTTGAATCCTGATAAACACCAGAACTTAAGAGTAACGCAGAGAAATAGAAGGCAACAGAGAATAAAAATAAGCAGTCACAAAGTAAGTGCAAAGTTGTAAGACTGCAGTGACAGGAAAGGTAAAAGTGTTCTGTGAAAGCAAAAGTGGTAAGCTCTGCTTGCTCCCTGAGAAGCAGGAGGAGATATGAATTAGGACAAGGCTAGAGGAACAGAACTAACTAGGAGGAGAAATAATTGTCCATGGTAGTAAGAGGTATGAGAGAGTTATGGGTAAATTTATCTGATACTTTCAACTTTCCCCCTTCAACAAGTATTAAAGTAAATAGAAATGGAAACCAGGACTGAAAAACTCCTGAGCAATCAAATCTAGTCAGGCCTCTTAAGCGACTTTAACCTTGCTCAATATGCAAACATAAGTGAAACTTAACTTGAGCTATTTATTGTGAATGCATACATTAAAGAAAAACAGAAATTAAGCTCAATCAATTGGAAGCAGCCAACAGACTTATAATTATATAACTCAGGACTATCCAATAGTATATACCAAATAAGGCAACTGTATAGCTATAGCCAATCAAGTATCTTCTTTGCTTTACTTCTGTGTTCATTTCATAAAAACCTCCCTCTTGCATTTTCCTGGTGGATCTCCTGAACCACTTCTTGTCTGGAACTTCCCAATTCATGAATCATTGTTTGCTCAAATAAACTCTATAAAAAAAATTACTGTGCCTCAGTTTACCTTTTTAACAAGGGGGTTATTTTTATGTTTTAATAATAAATGAGATGGGAGGTAAAGTTTGAACAAGTACAGATGATTTGATAGAGTCACTACAGAGACCTGGAGAGTCAACCAACCAGAAGACTTTGGAGAGAATTCGAGAGCTCAGTTGAGATTTGAGATCACAAATGTATACTTTCACCCATCTGCCATGGAGAGTAAGTGTTCATTACACTTAGCAATAGGCAGGCCAATGTAAACTTGCAAAGGCAGTTTCAACAAAGTGTGAAGGCAGATACCATGGTTAGGAGTATAAGCTCTGGAACTTGATTTTTGGGCTTTGTAGCCTAGTTCCAAATCTCAGTTGTGCCACCTTAAGCCATAATTTTAACCATATTTTCCTTTAGTTTTTTTCATATGTATAATGAGGATAACACAAAAGTTACCTATGGAGTGGTGAAGATTAAACTAGGCACTACATGCACAGAGATTAGAATAATGTTGGGCATGTAGCAGGTGCTCAAAAATGTTAACTATATTAGTACTGGCATTAAATTTAATATTAGTTTTAACATGGAATTAGTATTAATATTAATACTATCTGTGTAGAAGAAGAGTGGATGAAGTGATAGGTCATGAAATCTAACCTTGCAAAGGTGGAAAGTTACTACAGAAAGTGGCTGATGCTTTGAGGCAAAGGAAAACATTCAGTGGACATGAGGTTCAACCCTTAGATTCAAGATTAGATTTAGTTTGAATAACTGGCTGAATAACTGAGTTTAGTGCAAAATAGGAAATCACGGTCAGAAGACTACAGGTGGAAACTGATTATATCAAATGTGAAAGCTTTGCAAGTGTTGGCAAGGTTCAAGGTGTGGTCCTGGGAATGGGCAGCTGAAGGGGAGAAGGGAAAGGATATTGGAAATGAAGATGAGAAAAGCATTGGATGCAATATCTACCCAAGATCCTGTGGTCAGAAGGCTATTGGGATGTGAATGCACATGACCAAATGAGAGAGGGCAAATATATTGTTTCTAGGAAAGCAAATTGGATGTTTTAAAAAAACTACTTAAAATATCAATTCTAAAATTTATTGTGATTTTAATTATTAATATAATCATACCCTTGAGTTAATGTATTTTACCACAGAGGCGCTTCATAAATATTTTACAGATTCTAAATTTTTAATTAATCTATTCCTCTACTCAGTCTATTAAGAATGCTTTTAAATCCTTCCTTAAGAGTTAAATCTCTAGCCTTGCCTAAAAATGTATTGTGATGTTTTGCTTTTATGGCTAGGAATTTCTTCCATATACCTTCATTTATTCACACATATTTATTGAACGCTTATTATGTGTAAGCATTATTCCAGGTGCCATGTGTACATCAGAGAACAAATCTACACAGATCTCTATCCTCTTGGAAGTTAGGTTCTGGGAGGGGAGATAAACACAATTATAAATATAATAAATAAGTCTATTAACTTTTAGAAGGTGGTAAGTGCTATGAAAAAGGAACACACAGAACAGAGTAAAAAAAAAAAAATCCAGATGAAGGAATGGGTGGGCGAATACAGTTTTTAAACGGGATGTGGTCCAGGTAGGTTCCATTGAGAAAACGCCCTTTGAGTAGATATCTGAAGGGGTCTTGTACCATTCTAAAGAAGATCCATTTAATTAGATGGTATTGCACTTTCTGGACTAAAATCTATTTGCATCTCACAATGTCAAATGTGGTTTGAGGAATAACATCTACCTCCATAAACCTTCTCATTTTTTGACTTATTTCTTACATTCTTCACTGTTTCTTGATACAACCAGCAAATGAAAATAAAGAATGCTGATTAAATATCTTTTTATCTTGATTAGCTAGAAATACCTTATACAGACAAACTCAGATGCAGAATAACTCAAATCCTTTTTTTTCATTTTCTACTCCACTGAAGTCCAGAAGAAAATGATTCTTGAACTTGTGAGCTAAATAGCATTCTCAATTGTTTTTGATGTAAACTTTAAATAAAACCATATTATCTAAGAGATGGATTTTACATAAATAAAAACCCAGACTCCTTCTTCGCTGATGACAGAATTGCTAATCTCATAACATTTTTAGTAATTTGTTTTAAAGAATATATGAAATATGCACTACAAATCAAACACTTGTTCCTTGTTTAATTTTGGTTGGGCTTTCCTGTTGTATTTTTCTCCATCGTATATATTTACCAGACACTTTTTAGAGACTGTGAGCCACCATGTTGTACACTAAAAGAGTTGTGAGATTCTAACAGGAAGGGAAGAAATAATGTGGTTTTAAAAATTAAAATTTTGACAAGATATATTTTTTTTATTAATTTAAATAATGTTGTCATGAAATATTAATGACATATTTCCTGGAACTGAATCTAATTTTAGCTAATTGAGAAAAATAATTAGAAACAAATCCAGATATCTTTGATGTCTTCCCAAGAGCGTTATTTTATTCCCTTTTTCTTTTTTATTTATAACTCTTCTCGTTTTGTTCCAATCCCTTTGAGTTCAAATTATCTTTCTGTAAAAATAAGACCACAGATCCACAACGCTCTGCAGTTGGCTCTCCTCACTTCCATTGTAGACATCCTCCCTTTAACTATCTAACAAGTTCATTAATAAATAACATGCACTGGTTAATGTACAATAAAATGGTATGTCACTTTCATTTCACAAACCCACTTTCTATCCAAGGCACAAACACAATTAAAATTTTTTCTTAACATTTGAAGTTGAAATTTAATATTACAGAAGACAAATGTGACTATATCATTTTCTAAAAATGTGAGTACATCATACTCTTTTGCAATTTAATTTCTCCCACAAATATCACTTATTCATTTGTGAAAAGATGTTCATTTTAGCATTGCTTCTAATATGGAAGTAACTGAATGCCTAGCCACAGGTTATATTTACATAAGTTATAATATGGTCCTAAATAAAAAAATATGTGTTATTAAAGTAATACAGATGTTTGCGTGCCAGATCTCAAAAGGTTTCTGTGATGCACTGTTCAGTAAAATCTATTCACCAATGTTTATTATCCCCTGGTTCATTATGAATTCAATTTTATTTTTAAATTTAAAAAGAGTTCAGAAGAAATGCAATATTTTTCCCCAAAGAACTAACATTTGCCTCAATACTACATACATAAATACTTGAAATCAAATTTTATGCTGAATTCTCATACGAAATTATAGCTATTTTATACTATTCTGTTCTATTTTTCTATCCTTGAAAGAGATATGGAAAATTATTTTAAGCATTATAACGTCTCCAAATGAACTCTGAAACCAAATTGTCAAATTATTTCTTTTAATGCTAGTTTTTTGTTGTTGTTTGGGAGCACTTTTAATTTAATGAATTAATTTAGAGATTTCTGACACATTTTCAGGACGCTTTTTAAATCAAGAACAATGTATTTCTACTTAGTTGAGCTTTCCTTTATAAAAGTCCATAACTAGAGTCAAAATGTTTTTTATTTAGATCCCTTAGATGTCTTCTTAAATTTGTTCCAATATATTTTATCTTTTACTATTTGAAATAAGATACCTTTTTATATTTTCTAATGCATTTTTTTGTTCGTGTATACGAATGCTATTGATTTTTTAAACTTATTTTTTAGTTGACAGAAATTGTATACAGTTTTTGGTATACACTGTGGAATGACTAAATCAAGCTAATTAACATATCCATTACCTCACATACTTATTATTTTGTGGTGAGAGTACTTAGCAATCTACCCTTTTAGCAATTTGCAAGTATATAACATATTATTATTAAGCTGTTGATTTTTACATCAAATTTGTAACCAGAAATTTTAGTAAAATATTTTTTCTTTCATATCATGTATCATTTAAAACTAATTATTTTGGATTTTCCAGTAAATATTATATCAACTGCAAATAGTAATAAATTTGTCACTTCTTTCTCACTACTCACACTTTGCCTTCTTCTAATCTTTTTGATTAGAATTTATAGAATGATATTAAATAGAAATGACAGTGAATGGCAGTTCTTCCGCTAGACTTTAATAGAAATGAATCCACTGCTTCATCATTGACAATGACCCTGGTTTTTGGTTTAATCTGTTTCTTTTTGATTGGGTGTTTTTTAAAAATAAGAAATGGATATAAATCATATCAATTGCCTTTTCAGCATCTCTGGAGACAAATAGGATTTACCCTATTAACTTATTAAATGATAAATTATAGATTTATTAATATTGAATTTCATTATTTTCTTGATATGAAGTTTACTTGTCATAATTCATTATTTCTTTAATGTGATTATTTATCTGACATTTTATTTAGGATTCTTCAATAACACTTGTAAGTAAGCCTGGTCTCTAATTTTTCTCTGTTGCATTAGTTTGTCAGATCAATACTATGCTGCTTATTTTTTAAAAATGAAGCATTTTTATTTTTCATTCTGTGTGCTTGAAACATTTTTAAAGCCTCAAGGATATCTGTCTAAAAATGTTTGATAAAATTCACCTAAGAAGTCATCTGAGTCTGGAAACTTTTAAGGAAAGTAACCACGACCATTTTATTTTTTGCCATCTATGCTGTCTATTAAATTTGTGCATATTTTCTTGTATAAGTTTTAGCAATTTATAATTCTCTGTAAATTTATTTACTTATTGTAGGTTTTTTAAAAATTCATTTGCGTAGAGTTGAGTCAAGTCACCTCACTTATTTGGTAAATATATTTTGAAACTATAGTAAATCCTCCCTTCTCATACTACCACATTAATGGAAACATATGTGAACCAAGTAAAGAAAGAAAATGATTCCAACGTGACAGATTTTAGTTAACACAGTGTAAAGCAAATGACTACAAGAAAATGATAAAAGCAGCCAGAGGGAAAAGATACATGTACAGGGAAACAAAGGATCACCATAGACTTCACATCCAGAATCCATCCAGGCAAGCCAAAAACTGGACACCATTAAAATGTGCACCAACAAGTGAATGATACACAAATTATGGTACATCTAAACAATGGAAAATCACTCAGTAATGAAAAGGAACAGATTTCTCATTAATGCAATCAGGTAGACATATTTCAAAGTCATAATATTTTCTTTATGCTAAAGAAGTCAGCCAAGAAAGAATGCATTTGGTGTGATATCACTTATACGGACTTCTAAATAATAAAACTAATTATATTACCAGAAAGCAGATGGAGTTTGTCTAGGGCCTGAGGTATGTGGTATGAAAATCAAAGGGCACAGGGAAGTTTTAGGGACAATTGAGATTTTTCTCTATGTTGACTGTCAAAACTCATAAATTTGTACCCTTGAAATTAATACATTTCACTGTATGTAAATTATTTTTTGATAATGTGGATTTTAAAAATACAACAGGTAGAGAGATAAGCCACCAACAGCAGTAAGATCTATAACTTAGCATCTGTGCAGGAGAAAGCATGGGAAGCAACAGAGAATCTGACAAATTTTAGAAGCAAAAATTGCTATTAGCCAACAGGTACTCACTGTAAAGAGGCAGCCCAATTTGAAAATAACTTTAGAAAATGGAAGGACCATTGTCCATTCGTAATAAGGGTGACTGTGGGATACCCACGGTAAAATGTTCTGAAGGGTCTACAGTAATCTAACTTCTGCGTGTCTCAAAACTATTCTGTCAGGACTGTCTTGCAGGATACGACCTCATCATGAGGAATAATCAAAACTAGTGGTATCCAAGGCTGGGGGATGGAGGGATTAGGGAGATATTCATCAAAGGATACAATATTTCAGCTAGAAAGGTGAAATAAGTTCAAGAGATTTATTGTATGTCATGACAACTATGGTTAATAACAATATATTTTATAGTTGAAAATTTCTAAGAGTAGGTTTTGTGTTCTCACCACAAAAAATAAGTATGTGAGATAATCCATATGCTAAATAAGCTTGATTTAGCCATTCTGCAATGTATACATATATCAAACATAATATTGTACACCACAAATATATACACTTTTTCATTTAAAAAATTAGAAAATAGTAGTATTATTGGTATGAAGTTATATGTGTAATGTGAGAATTTTAATAAATGAACTATTGTCGGATACTTTCATCTCTGTGTTCTTAAGAACCAGGATTCTCAGCATGGAAGAAAAAATAAAAATTTATATAGAGGAGTTTAGGAAAAAGCTTCTTAATCCTCAATCTGAATTGACAATATCAAACTTATGCATAAATTACTTTATCTCTAATTCCTTTATCTCTAAATACATCATATCCTAGCTTTATCTAAGACATTCTAGAAACACTAACAACTTAGTAGCAACTTATTCCAGAGAGTTGTCATAAAATACTATTTCCTATTAAAAGAAACCAGAGCTTCTTGGATACATGGCTGAATCCAGGCCTGGGTCAGGAAATACTCTGAATGAGCCTGGAACATTTTGACATACCAGACACCTAGCAAGCTTCCATAGACTACTCTGCTAAAAAAAACCTCAGGAGCCAACTTAAACAGATTCCCACTAGCCAAAAAATGGGGCAATTTGAGTTTGAGTTACAATAAGAATTACAATGCATTGAATATAAAAAAATGTTCAGTTCATCAGTTCATAATGACATATGATTTTTTTAAAACTACCTAGTTTCTCAAGGTGATGACAGGAACTTAATTTATAAATGTTGAAAATGGACAAATAAGATAAAAATATTAAAAACATATTCTTCCTTTCCTATATAAAATGACACTATCATAAAAGATGAAAGGAAGCATATTCTTATAAAAATCATCTAAGTTAATAAATGTAAATGAAATGATAAAACATAAGAATATCACTATTTTGTCTTCCCCAATTAATTAATGAACCAGATATTGAGAATTAATGGCTGGTAACTCAAAAAGGAAGGACAATCACGCATTATGGATTCTCTGATGAAAAAACACACTACCATCTATACATAGTCTTTGCAAAGGGATCAAAACTGAGTCTGATTAGATTTCTGAATAACGTTGCCAATTTCCAGAAAAAAAAGGCAGAGGAACCTGTCAAATTGCGCCATTAGTCAACAACAAAATCCAGATGCAGGAAACTGCAGATAAACTGTCCCAGGTTCTTCAATAGATAAATTGTGAGGAAAAGAAAAGGATAGTGGTAGAATACGAAACAAAAGTAGAACTACCATTTGATCCAGCAATCCCACTACTGGCTATCTATTCAGAGGAAAAGAAGTCATTATATGAAAAAGATACTTGCACATGCATGTTTATAGCAGCACAATTTGCAATTGCAAAAATATGGAACCAGCCCAAATGACCATCAATCAACCACTGGAAAAAGACATTGTGATATAGATAGATAGATAGATAGATAGATAGATAGATAGATAGATAGATGGAATACTACTCAGCCATAAAAAAGGAATGAATTAATGGCATTCACAGCAACCTGAATGGAACTGCAGACTTCTATTCTAGGTGAAGTAACTCAGTAATGCAAAGCCAAACATCATATGTTCTCACTCATAAGTAGGAGCTAAGCTATAAGGATGCGAAGGCATAAGAAGGATACAATGGACTTTGGGGACTTGGGGGAAAGGGTGGGTGGAGTTTGAGGGAAAAAGACTACAAATTGGGTTCAGTGTATACTGCTTGGGTAATGGGTGCACCAAAATTTCACAAATCAGCACTCAAGAACTTACTCGTGTAACCAAATACCACCTGTTACCCAAAAATCTGTGGAAATAAATTAATATATATTTATATATATGAAATATATATATAAAATTTAATATATATTTTATATATATATAAAAACAAAAGATATATCAACTTAAAAGTTGGCCAAGACTACACTATAGATTCTAGAAATTCACATCTGGATAATAAATACACAAAGAAATGCAAAAAGGAAAAAAATGGTTACCATAAACTTCAGGATAGTGGTTACACTTTAGGGAAGTAGAAGGCTATAAATGAGATACGGCACATGTAGGAGATGCTGGAACAGCTTGGCAATGTTCTGTTTCTTAACCTGGGTAGTAGTTGTGAGGACAGTTTCCTGGGAGCTTGTTAGAAATGTGGTATCGCAGTCCCCAGATCTACTGACTCAGAATCTGCAGTTTAACAAGATTCCCAAGTGGTTCTTATGTGTAATAAAATGTGAGAAGCAGTGTTCTATAGCATCCTTAACAGATTATTATTTGAATAGTACTGGTTACATTAAATTTAATATTTCCCAAATTGTTTATTCCAAGTCTGCTAATTACTAACCCTTTCTTTCATTTAATGAACTGAGCACTTTCTTCTTATAAATTTTCTCTATAGAAGTACAGCATAAATTGAGCATTTTCCACATGGTATGCACCTCTATTTCAAAATAGTCTTCTATTCCACAAGCTAGGCATCCTAAGTTGTTCAGTTATTCATTGTATGGACTGATTTTCAGACCTTTTCACAATCTCATTATATTTTTGTGAATGTACAATATCCTTTGGAAAATGTGGCTATCCAATGGTCTAAGCATGTCGTAGACCCTTGCAGTTTATGTAGGAAGAAGTAAACACTCATGAGTATATTGTTATAAAATGACAACTAATATGTATCATTTTCATTTTAGAACAGAAAGGAAAACAAAGGTCCAATGTGAGAAAAATAGTAAACGGCAAAACCTGATATTTTTATTAATCATGATCTGCACACTCCATTTTTTGATGGATACTTTTCTGCACCTTCGGATTATGATAGGCTTGGAGATAATTTAAAATTTCTGAATATTTTGCAAATGAACTTTTTTCTTTCTTGAGACAGAGTCTCACTCTGTCCCCTAGGCTGAAGGGCAGTGGTGCTATCTTGGCTCAATGCAACCTCCGCCTCCCAGGTTCAAGCAATTCTCACGCCTCAGCCACCCAAATTGCTGGAATTACAGGCACACACCACCACATCCGACTAATCTTTGTATTTTTAGTAGAGACAGGGTTTCACCATGTTGGCCAGGCTATCTTTAACTCCTGACCTCAAGTGATCAGCCTGCCTCAGCCTCCCAAAGTGTTACATATGAACTTCTGTCAAGCTTGCATTATTCTTTTCTTGACGTATATGATTGATTTTTATTATTAAAATGTAAGTTTCTACGCTTATTCATGCTAAATCTCATCTTATTGTGTAAATAAGGTTTCCTTCCTTATCAATACCTAGTCAACCATACATCAATAATGTTGTCAGGGAAAATACTACCTTTGTACTTTCTGAAATTTTATGCTGGAAGTTTGGAATATAAACTTAGGACAATGTTTGGAAACCAAGCGTTACCAGAGATGAGCAGAGTAGCATATGAAATACATTATTTGTTTATTGTTACATTACAGTAAATGTACTCCACCTTTTTATTGAATAGCCAGCTTTTTAGTTATATCTTGTTTCTTTTTTTTTTTTTTTTTTTTTTTTTTTTTTTTGAGACGGAGTCTCGCTCTGTCGCCCAGGCTGGAGTGCAGTGGCGGGATCTCGGCTCACTGCAAGCTCCGCCTCCCGGGTTCACGCCATTCTCCTGCCTCAGCCTCCCAAGTAGCTGGGACTACAGGCGCCCGCCACTACGCCCGGCTAATTTTTTGTATTTTTAGTAGAGACGGGGTTTCACCGTTTTAGCCAGGATGGTCTCGATCTCCTGACCTCGTGATCCGCCCGCCTCGGCCTCCCAAAGTGCTGGGATTACAGGCGTGAGCCACCGCGCCCGGCCAGTTATATCTTGTTTCTAATAAATAAAGTCTTCTATGTATTACCTCCACTTTTATCTAAAATTCAATAGAGGAGGATGAGGAACTGATGGCAGGTGGAGCAAAGAGTAAACTTACTAGTTCAGGGAAGGGCATCTCATTTATTGAATAATTACTGTGTGTCAGACACTACAGATACCAAGATTAATGTAGTTCTTGTGTTAAAGAGCTCACAGCCTAACTAATAGGAGAGCCACACGTATTTATGAGTTAAGAGTACTGTTCAGTGTTCAAAATGCAATTGTGGTACAGAAGGGATAGCTCATTTAGCCTGGAGGCTCAAAGTCATGGCAACTATTAATAAGCAGTGAAAGTACAGTTTTTTCCTTGAGACTATGACCTACTTTGGAATAAAAGGGGAATATGGCTACAACCACACAGAAGAGTGAAAAGTACCCAGGATGAGTTAAATTTGAATCTGACTCTGCCACTTTCTTTTATTATTATTTTTTTTTTTTGAGATGGAGTTTTGTTCTTGTTGCCCAAGCTGGAGTGCAAAGGCATGATCTCGGCTCACCGCAACCTCCGTCTCCCAGGTTCAAGCGATTCTCCTGCCTCAACCTCCTGAGTAGCTGGGATTACAGGCATGTGCCACCATGTCTGGCTAATTTTGTATTTTTAGTAGAGACAGGGTTTTTCATGTTGGTCAGGCTGATCTCGAACTCCTGACCTCAGGTGATCCGCCCGCCTTGGCCTCCCAAAGTGCTGGGATTACAGGTGTGAGCCACCATGCCTGGCCTGCTCTGCCACTTTCCAGCTTTGGGATTTAGGGCACAGTTTGAGTTCCCTCATCAGCAAAACAGAGATAATAATGCCTAGAATGTTGGGTTGTGGGAAATTAAACTTAATGCACCCAGTATGTTATTTGACACATGGTAGATATTTAAAACAACAATCGATACTGCTACTAACAATAATAAACAAATGAACAAGCAAAAAAAAGAAGAAGGAATGAGGGAATTAGCCTGAGACATGTAATACTATTGAAATTAAAGACTTTATAAAAGCCTTAGAGACCAGCTTTTCTTTCGGGGATGACTTATACTGGAGTTATAATTTAAATGCCCACTTTGTGATAATAAAGACACAGCAGTTATTCTTAACCAGACATTCAGACTTATTTAGAAAAGAATTTAGGACTGTGAGAAGGGGAAGTGAGAAGAGGTTAGGACATAGCGAGGCTAAGCTGCAATTGGGGTCTCTCAGGTGGACAATGCAACCTCAGGGAGGTCACAGGAGATCTGGCTGTTTCAATTCAAGCCCATCTGTGTTCACAAATTGCTCCTCTCCAAGTAAGCACTTTGCCCTGGGCCATCACACAATGGAAATTAGATTATTAAGAATGTAGGCTACTCAAATAACAAAAATAGGTGGCATTCTAAATCAGCTTTGTATTCGCCTCAATTAAATAAAAGCCAAGCATTTGCGTCAGCCAAAGGTTTGGTTGAGAAACACTGCTGCAATTTTCTGCATTGCTGGTCCAATGTGAGCATTCCAATGTCTTAATAAACTTCCATCCTGACATGCTGATAGTCTCTCCTATAAATGTGAATTAAAATGTGTATAAAAGAAGTAAAGTTTTAGAGAAGGAACCTCATACAGGCTGTTTTTGCTTAGCTCAAGCATTTATGAAAACAATGGCAATTCAAGCAAAAAGATCAAAAACTAATTGCCTGGTGGTTGTTAGCCTTCAGAAGGATGCTGAAAATACTGCAAAATTCAAGAATGCTGAAAACAGAAGCAGTTGTTTAGGTTGATTTCAAATTATGCTAATAAGCCATATAAAAGAAAAATCATCTCTCACCCTCATTAATTCCCACAGCCATTAATTTAAACTTGCATGCCCCTTTGCTACTTGCTTAGATTTTTTTTACAGCACATCTCTCTGTATATAGGTCAGACTAAGCCTTATAAAATGTGAAAGAGAAACAGAACTCACAACCCAAAGCATTTTAAAAAGCAACTGCATAATTACCTCAGTTTTTAAAAATGAGATAAATATCAAGAGATTCATTAGATTCAGGTCAATGTGAAGATTAACCTGAAAGAAGAAGAGTTTTATATTTTTCCTTGGTGGACAGAGGCCAAAATATGTATCATTCTTTGTAAGTTTTCACTAGATAGAGCTTTTTAAGACTGAAAAATCAATAAACTTTCACTATTTCTTAATGCTTAGCTTTTCTTAAAATAATGCCTAAAAATGTCTTAAAATATTCCAGGAAAATTTTACTACTCTTATTATATTATGTTTTCATTGTTAAATATAAATGGCAAAAACAATAACTATTAATTATCAATTTTTCTAAACAGCTATACAAAAACTGGCAAGCAAACAAACAAAAAACACTTCAATTAAATTATTCGCCATGCAGCAATTAACCACAGTTGATGATTTGGGGTTCACACTGCCAAATTTTAGATATTTTTTGTCATTGTCAACACAACTACATATGTGTCTTATTCTCAAAAATGAACCATACAACAGAGGAACATGTTAAACAATATGGGGGGGTACAATTCTCAATATCTAGACGGTAGGAAATGCTAAAGGAAAAGCAACCTGGTTTCCTTCAACAATAACATCATTAAAAAATTGCAAAGCAGAGAAAGAGAGAGATTATCTTTTGATGTATACCAAATCACATAAACTTATCGTATAAAATAATAATCAATTAATAATGGATTTAGGAGTTTATGGGTTCAATCCAGTGGTTCTAATTTGGGATCTCTGATGTTTTTGCATTAGGACAGTGGTTGGGGCTAAATAAATAAGACACAGGTTTTTTTAAGTTAATAATTGATTATTACCTTTAAAAAACAAAACGTGAAAAACAGAAACAACTAGTGGTTCTTTCTTGACGTATAAAGATGCTTATGCATAAAGATGGTTCACCTCTATACAACAAGGAGAATGTATGCAAAGTCAGATTCCCTCTATTCAGGAGAAGTTATTTGTCTGGACAGACTCTCTGCTTTAATCTCTTCATTGAGAGTCTTTAATTCTCTGCATTGAGTACCGCCAGCAAAAGTGCACTCTGCAGTTCTAAGGCAGTGAAGCAGATCTCTGCTTGCAGAAAGGATGATACAAGGCACTCCTTACCCCATTCTAGAGGGAAGCCTGTTGGCTCAGTATGTCTTATCCTCTCTTCAAAACCATAGCCAGGGCCACTTGCTGCTGGTTAGAATAGCTTGCAGTTTTCCCAAGGTCATGAGTTCTAAAGTAACTAATTCCTGGAAAACAATGCAAGCATTTGATAAAGTCTAGTCGAGTTATTTCTCAGTTCTGACCCTTTGCCCAGCTGGCTGGCAGAATCTAGTACAGTAAATCCTCATTTAATGTCATTGATAGGGTCTTGGAAACCACAATTTTAAGCAAAATGACACCTCAAATAATGTCGTTTTATTCAACATTGTTTCATTATATGTTGATGAGAAGGAAAAAAATGATTTTCTTATACAGCGTTTTGCTTAAAGTTGCCATTTCCAATAAGCTATTCATGACATTAAGTGATAACTTAGCCCAGCTTTTAAAGTGGACAGACCCACGGGGAGAAAAGTTGAAAGCTTCATAGAGATGGTCCTTTGAGAGTTAAGTATCCGAGAATGAAAGCAATGAGACCATATGATTGAGAATTATGAGTAACTTTGAATATATGATTTTGTGTCCAAAATCCCTTATACATGGGAAATCAAAAACTGAATCTTTTTTACTATACACACGAGTAATTACATTGTTATACAGGTGAGGATTAAACAATAAGAACAGAGATGGTAAGAGAAGGCAACATTCTTTTGGTTACAGTGAAAGTTATTGGAGCCAGTGAAATAAAACCCTCCAAGTTTCTATTGGGAAAGTTATGTCCTGAGTTGGTTTCACTTTAGGAAAAAGAGTGATGACAAGGAAATATGAAGAGAAGATTCACTGTCTAGAGAATGCTACTCAGTAACTGAAGGCTCAAGGGAGTAAAATCCATACATTAATGGCAAACCCTAGGGACAGAGATTGTAATATTAGGTGTAATGAGGTAGGGCCAATGACTGAGCCTACTTTGATCACCTCTCCCATGAAATGATTTGACACAGAACAATAGCCCATTGATATTTACTTTTGTTTTGGCATGAACATAAAACTTTATATGAATACTGATTTCAGATTTCTATCTTTCCGTGAATACTGATTTGTGAATGCCAGCTTAGCTTTATCAGACAAACCCACAGAGTTCCTTAAATATTCAGACTTCCAGGTCTCAACTGTAGAGATTCTGATTCAGTAGGTCTGGTTTAGGGTCTGTAAATCTGTATATACAAATTCCCTGGATACCACTAATGTATAACTAAACTTCAAAACTGACGGCATGCTCAGCAAGGCACTAATTGACTAGAAAACATCCATTGAATACAAATTTAGTACGGATACTAGTTTAAGAAACCTTCAGACTATGTGTCTGTAACCTACATGTTTAATCCTAACAGCATAACCCATTAGATTATAAACACCATGAGATCAGGGATGATGTCCATCTGATTCACTGTTTTCTCCTAAGTAACCGGCATTGGTTAAGTCGAAGGCAAGGAGTATTTGATGAATAAATAAACAAGTAATTCACTTGTTAAATAATGTTTAATTTCCAAATAACCTTATGTTGCCAAAAAAAGCAAATCAAAAACTTGTATTTTTTCATTTATCAACTTCTTTTATCAACTCACAAAGTAACAACTATTTATTGAAAGCTTACTGAACGATAGATATGATGCAATATTTGTATATCCTATGGTATAGAAAAGTGCCTCTTTTCTAATGAAAATATAAAACCTTTTGAGTCTCCAAAATGAGAGTCATTCTTTGAGTACCTGAATGCCTCTATTTTCTGCAAAGGTGATTATTATGCAGCTGTGAGACACTACAATAAAACCCCAGACAAAAGTTCATGCTCTCTGTGACTTTTATAGCTGAGGTCTTGAATCTGGTTCATTTTCCCAATGATCTGTGTAGGGTTGAATGCCCATTTTCCCATAACAGTCAGAAAATTTCAACAAATTCTTTCAGAAGCAAACCTTTCAAATTTATGACCTCTTAACCAAAAGACAATCTCTACCAGTTTTTTTATTTACTAAACAAATGATTTTTAAAAAATCAATACATAACACACATGCACACCTATACAAATATTTTCCTAGACATGCATATGGAAGGTATTACATCAAGACTGAAAAAGATAGCTAAGGAAGGTTGGCTTAGGTAATCAGAGTAACTATGCAATTATAAATGACAGATACAGTCAAACCAGAAAAAAATTTCAATCTATTTCCTATCTCTGCAGTATTATCATGGGAGAGTGTTAGAATAGACCTGGCATCCTATTTCCTTGGAAGCAAGATGAACCATTTCCTCATTGCCTTCATAGAAAATCCCATCAGAAAAACATCTGTCTCTAAAATTTCAGTATTTTCCACAGTTCTCTAAGCCATTTTTTATATCAAGCTATACTCTTTGAGACAGTTGTGTTTATCATTTAGGGAATGTTGTGAGTCTCATACCCCTGGCTCAGAGCAGCAGGGCATAACTGGATTTGAATTTTTACATAGTCAAAGGGGTCCTAAATGGTGGGCACAGGGGGTGGTAATATTGTGAATAAACAGAACCAAACTGGTATGCCTTTTATGTGTGCATTGTTTTGTGAGAATCCAAGCATTTTCATTTTTCATTATCTAATTATGGCAACAGTGAAAAGAATATATTCCAGCCAGTTCACAGCCTTAATAAGTTATAGTCTGTTTTAGTTTATTTAAGGAGGGTGGTGGTCTTAGAAAAGTACTCCACAAAAATGGGATTTATTATGATTATAGTTTTAGAAATTTATGTAGGAGACCTCAATATATCAGGTCAAATACCCAATAGATCTTAGAGTTTGTTTGAAATAGAAGATAACAGTAAAAGGCATTCCCTGAATTATTTCAATTAAACCCTTAATTTTCTTGAAGGTTAATAATTTCAAGAATATTCAGAGTGGTTGCCTCACTTCAATTTAGTTAATTAAATTATATTAATCTTGGTTGATTGTATCATACAACACATGATTGTATAATCATCCATTATCTGGTAATTTGGCATAACCTGAGCCAAGGAGCTGACATAACAGATTGCAAATTTTATTTTATCTGGTTTACTTATTAAGTTTAGTTTGTTGACTAAACTACTTGAATCAAACGTTAAAAAGAAAACACCTTTCAGATTCTTAAAGTAAGTGTTTATCAGAGATCAAAGAAAACTGTGACTCATTCCCAGGTGTGCTGGATTCACTTCATCTTCAATGGGGCATTATGTAATTTTTTTACAATAACCTATGAATACTGAACCAATGAGTGGCCTCTCCTAAATGGCATGGCAATCATGGCAACATGCTCTGAAAAACACTAACCTTATTAAAAAGTGATGAACAGATATGTCAGTTTATAAATGTCATACCGATTTCAAGTCCCCATGCTTAAATAGGTTTTAAGCAAGGAAACCCACAACTTGGATTGTAAAGTAGCTATCTATTCGTAATTACTTGCAATAGCAGAGCTAAATTTAGGTCAGAATTCTAGATATTTATAAGACTAATGTAAATATAAAATGTACCTCAAAAAGTTTCAGACCTACCAGGGTAGGTTAAAGACCTGTTTGAAATTTTTCTAGAGTTGGTTGTTTAAATGACACAGCAGTAAAACACAATTTTCAATATTATATGGCATAGGTTTTCATAATATAATGGGTGTTAGACCTAATTAGATACATAATTCAAAATATAATGGAATGCAAAGGAAAGTATAGGAAATCTATGACAGATTTCTCTCGCAAATACATTTCACCTTAGTCTTCAATAGAAAGAACATATATCAAGGAAGGAAAAGTAAGAATGCAAGCAGATCAATGTAAGCTGCACTTGAGAACAGTCAATGAACAAGATGATTCGTTGGCCACTTAAACTCTATCTAACCCAGAAAGCTTCCTGAAGGTGAATTTCTCATGGTAGCAGTGAGGATGAGAGGTATGCTGAAGACTTTAAAAGATGTGCTTATGTGGAAATGAAAGAAGTTTAATTAAAACCTAAAAAGACCCTTTTTGGGGAATACAAATAGTATTTTCTAAAATCAAATTGTGAAGTTATTTTGTCTAACCAAAAATGCCTCCAACTAGAGGCAACAAGCCCACTGCCATTCCAGATGATTCACAGCTCTAATCAACAGAGCAACCAGAGGACCCATTTAAAATACAAGTCACATCATGTACTTTCTCTACTCCAAATTATCCACTGTTTTCCCTTATTCAGAGCGAACCCAACCCGCAGGTGCTACAGGATCGTCCCCTCCTCACTTACTGCTGGCCTTCATTGCCTGCTCTGCTCCACTTTCCTCCCTGCTGCCACGCTGGCCTCCTTGTTCCTCCTGCAACATGGAAAGCAGGAGCAGGGCATTCATTTTCCTGACATCCACATCTCCTTGAGGTTTTGCTCACCTTCTCTATTTGAAATTATGATCCTCTTGCCTTCCCCATTTACAATTCCTACTTGACTTCCTTGCTTTACTTTCCTCCACAACAATTATTTTCCATAGATAGAATATGCCATATATTTTGCTTCCTCAAACTATGTCAGCTACATAAGGGCAGAGGTTTATTCTGTTTAGTCACTGCTGTGTCCTCTGCCCCTAGAAGAATTCTGGGCAAACAACATGTGCCCAATAAATATTTGAGATATAAATAAATTAATGACAACCACAAATCCCCAAAACTCTGGGAATATTAGCACATAAACTATGTATTGCGAATTCCCAAGTGTCTACTTTTTTACCTTAAGTTTCAGCTCTTGCCAGCATCCTCCAACACCATGTCATGAAAACTGCATGTGGGAGGTTGATCTCATTTCTTCTACTTGCCATTCGTGTAAATTCTAATTTTTAAACTCCTGATAAAGATACATCTCCTCTTGGAAACATAACTTCTCCAAAAATATGTATCAAAACTTGCAATATATTAAGTAGTCCTCCAGGCATAACACTCCTTATAGATATAATATTTAAGAGACAGAGTATCTCTCCTTGAGTAGTTTTCACCCTGTAAAATTTGGGGAAATGTGTATACCCAAGAATTTCCTATGAATTTCCCAGTGATTATTACCTTTATCAACAATTTGGCTCTTGTGCAGTTATATGTATCTTCATTAATAAGTTCCTTCCTTCGTTCACTTAGTAAGTACTTATGAAGTCCCTATCACGTGGCTGGCATTGTTCTAGCTGCTGAGGATACAGACACAAACAAAATGGACAATGTTCTTCCCCTCAAACAACTCACAGACTAGTGGCCAGAGACAGCTGGTAAACAATAAATAAGTACATCAGATGCGTAAGTTGTGTAAGTATGTATAAATTGATTATTGTAAGTGTCATAGAGAAAAATAAACAGGGTAAGTGGAATGAGGTATATCTGCATATTTTATATTATGGAGTCAAAGGAGCCCCTACTAATTTCTTGATATTTGAGCAGAACCCTGAGGGAAGTGAGGGAATGATGTCTTGAAAGGAGAAACCCCAGAGGAGAAAGAGCAAATGCAACCTCCCCTCCCCCGCCAAGAAAAAAAGCCTCAGAGGCAAGTGTGTGCAATGTCTTATGGATGTCAGTGTGGGTGGGGCAAGGTGAGGGAAGTGGGGAGGGAACTGGGACAGTGGGGGGCAAGATCATGGTAGGTCTTGAAGGTAATGATGTTTCCATCCTGCCTCCCCAACTCCCAGATAAAGTTTCTTGAGTAGAGAACTGTCTTATATATGTACTTTATACCTTCCACAGAATGTGCTATACGATCTTGCAGAGTGGATGTTCAACAACATTAACTGTGAGTAGAAATTACCGTTGGTACCCACAAAAAAATCAGCTACAAATACCTTGATGTTCCTCAAATGAGAACAATTTACCCATGGAAACATGAAATAAATTCCAAACCTACTGAATTATCCTACCTGTACAAATGTATACAGTTCAGGCCAGAAATAGAAACTTTCCTAAAATTTATGGCATCTCTCTCTCTCGCCCTCCCCTATAGCCCCAGAAACTACTGAATCATTCTAAACCTTTTATTACTATGCTTAGTCATTTTTAAAAACTTCTCAATTAATCTTTATAATTTCAGAGTTTTTTCAACAATTAAAATGTTTTCAATTGAATTTTTTTTTCAACAATTAAAATCCTTTGGCTCCCTATGCTTTTCTTTCTTTAGACATGCTGTTTGCACTTTCAGGCTGTCCTGCTGCACAAATGTTAATATGTAATCAGTCATTCACTAAGTAGATATGGATGTTGGACACTGACAATGCAAAGGCAGGGTACCATATAACATTTGAGATTCAAACACAGATGTTGAAATTGGAAAGTCAGACCTGGTTTAGAATCTCTCTGCTAGCTGGAAGATCACATTTATAAAAGAAGGATGAGAACAGTAAGTAACTCATAGACCTCTTGCAAGGTTTAAGTGAGAGAATTCATGTAAAGTGCTTATCATAAGCTTACAACATAGTAAAAGCTCCATAAACATTAAATATAAATAGTATATTAAATATTACTCATATAAATATTAATATTAAAGATGATAGACAATTTTAAACTTTCTCTCCATGCCTACTCTTTCTCCTGAGCTTTGTTACCAGGCATGTTTCTACCTGATGCTATTCCAGTGACTACCATCAATGAATCCAGAACAGAAATTTCATCATCACATTTTTACAGTTTCTGCCTTACAATAGTATTTCAACAATTGCCCCTGTATCTGCAGACCCAAACATAGCACAAAAACAGCTTTCTAAATGATCCGTCTGCCTCAGATCTTCCTCTCCTCCAAAAAAAAAGGACATTACCTAACATTAATATTAGTAGCCATTAGTATTATATGTTGCATGAATGAATCAATGGATAAAGAAAAAAGGCAATGTGATAGAAATTCACGTTGGCATGTTCATTGGGTTCTTAATTATTAAATGATGTGCTTTTTTTTCTCTCTCTCTCTGGTTTCTCTGAGGGGGAAGGTCTTAGAACAAACTCCTCTAAGGCCAGCCTGCCGCCAGCTTACTAGAGTGAAAGTGATTAGCTGCCTTGGGCAGATCACAAGGCTAAAGCTAGGCATGTGGGACAATGATAAGCAAATAATCTTTCCATGAACTATAATGGGAAGGTTTTCTCTCCTCTCTAAGTACTTTTCCTTTCCTTTGTTAGCTGCACCTAAAATTATGGTTAAGCATTTTGCTCTGCATCTTGTCCTATTTATTTAGGAATCCTATAAATAGCATGCTTTGCAAATCTGTGATTTTAAAAGCTAAAATATCCACGTTCAATTCAATTGTTTCAGAAACCTCAAGTAACAAGCACACTCTGATATGATTTCAAAATACTTTTAGATCAGAAGATCCTAAAGTGTTTATCTATACCTATAGAATTAAAATAGTGTCATTAATAGATTAACTGCACTGGTCTTTTTTACCTAGTAGTGAATAAATATAAACTAATTGGTACATATGATATTTCAGTGTGACAATAATGCATATTAATTTGCCTTTAGTGTTTTTATTTGGCTTTTTCAGTTTAGCCAAACGAAGGCTAATATCAAAACAAATACCTTGAGAAACTCTTGAGAACTGTGTTGTTTCAAAATAAATTTTCAACAATTCAAATAGAGTTTTTAGATGTTTAATAAAATTATAAATTAACTGATTATCACACTGTGCTTCTCTGGGTTTGAATACAGTAAGCAACATGGAAATGGCTTTATCTCCATAATTTCTTCATTACCACATATGTTATGAATGCAAGTTTTCTTTTTAAAAATAGATAACTAAAACCACATAATTACATAAAACCATTATTTTAGCTGGTAACCGACATTACCAATATGTCAGAATTTTATTAATAGGCTCCCTTGCCCTTTTCTCTGAAGTAAAAATATATAAACTGCTTACTCCAAGAATTGTGGGCTTTCCTGTCCCTTATCTGTGATTCTTTCATTTGTTTTCTGCTTACAGTGTCTGTCTGGTTCCCCATTATTCTGCAAGGCATAGTGCATGGAATTTGAAATCCAGAAACTTTTTTTCAACTAGAAAAGCTTTCCCTTTTAATAAGTCACTTAGAAGAAGATGTTGGTCCTAAGGAAATTCCTTAATATGGGGAATAGTAATCACTTTTTCGATCTTTCCTACATATAAAATATTTCTTGCCAATTCTATGAGAATGGATTTTTTTTCTTGGAAAAGCGCTCATTTTTAATCCATAATAACATAGCAGAGGTTTTGGTTGGTGAATACTTGTTAATTAATTTTGTTTAATTTTCTTTTTAACTATGTTCTCAGGTTTCTTTGGTGTCAGATTCTCAAAACATAAGACAGGATCGCAGCCAACAACTTTAATTTTCTCACTGTTGTTTTCTCTCTCCACATCTCATCTCCTTTCTCTAAATACAGAAGATGTCAGAAAAGTTAGAGAAAATGTGAAGCGTGGAGGCAAAACTCTCTCTAAAGTGGCAGGATCAAGCATTGGGCTGTACAATTTTTCTCAAAAATTTTTATCACAGTGGAGCATTCTGAAGTTCTGTAGAGGAGATTAAATACACCACATGGCAGTGAATGGTCCATGCTGAAGCGAACTATTACAAAGCTTGAAATTTGTTATTTTACAGTTTTCATGTGAACATGGATTTCGTATTCTACATTCTGCACCACAGTTTATATAAATGTAGGCAAATGTATAGATGTATAAATAGACATACACACAATAACTGGTCAGTTTTCAACTTTTCATTATAATGGCTCTTGAAAAGTTACACTATGGTTTTGTTTGTTTGTTTTTTTGTTTGGCTGGTTGGTTGATTTTTTTGTTTGAGACGGAGTCTTGCTCTGTCACCCAGGCTGGAGTGCAGGGGCGCAATCTCAGCTCACTGCCACCTCCACCTCCTGGGTTCAAGCGATTCTCCTGCCTCAGCCTTCCAAGTAGCTGGGACTACAGGTGCGTGTCACCACACCCAGCTAATTTTTGTATTTTTAGTAGAGACAGGGTTTTACCATACTGGCAACACTGGTCTCGAACTCCTGACCTCGTGATCCACCCACCTCAACCTCCCAAAGTGCTGGGATTACAGGCATGAGCCACCGCGCCTGGCCCCATGTTTTATATAATGATTTCTTTGACATTCTCCCTGTGTAATGACTATTCACCCAAAGCACAATAAATATGTAAGAGTGCTATGTCTACAATATTGCTTGAGGCAAATACACTCTATTTGCTGGTCACTGCGAATTCTAAGCAGAGAATATCATATAGAAAATATAAATTGTGCCCTATTTTTGAATGAACCAAAAAAATGCTTTTCCTTGAGTACATACACCAAACAGGAGGAATACTGGTACAAAAGTAGATACATATACCAGTGGTACAGAAATAAAGGCAAATACTTAAAACAAACTGATCTTTCACAAAACATACAACAATATAAACTGGGAAAAGGACACCTTATTCAATAAATCATTCTGGGGAAACTGGATAGCTACATGTAGAAGAATAAAACTGGATCCCTATCTCTAACCTCATATAAAAAATCAACTTAAGGTGGATTAAGACTTAAATATATGACTTGAAGCCATAAAAATTCTAGAAGAAAATTTAGGAAAAACTCTTCCAGACATTGGCTTAGGCAATGAACTAAGGACTAAGACCCCAAAAGCAAATGCAACCAAAATATAAATAAATAAATGGGACCTAATTAAACTAAAAAGCTTCTGCACAGCAAAATAATAATCAGCAGAGTAAACAGACAATTCACGGAATGGGAAAAAATATTTGCAAACTATGCCTCTGACAACTAGTATCCAGAGTCTAGAAGGAACTCAAACAAATCAGCAAGAAAAAAAAAATAATCTTATCAAAAAGTGGGCAAATGACATGAATTGACATTTCTTGGAAGAAGATACATGAACGGCCAATAAACACACAAAAAATATGCTCAGCATCACTAATCATTAGAGAAATGCAAATTAAACCACAGTGAAACCTTACCCAAGCCAGAATAGCTATTATTTAAAAGTCAAAAACAACAGATGTTGGAATGGATGTCATGAAAATGGAAGGCTTATACACTGCAGGTGAGAATGTATATTATTACAACCTCTATGGAAAACATTATGGAGATTTCTTAAAGAACTAAAAGTTAATATACCATTCGATCCAGCAATCCCACTTCTGGGTATCTATCCAAAGGAAAATAAGTCATTATATCAAAAAGACACCTGCACGTGTATGTTTATGGCAGCACAATTCACAATGGCAAAGATACAAAAACCACCTCAGTGCCCACTGATCAATGAGTGAGTGGATAAAGAAAATGTAGTATATCTACACCATGGAATATTACTCAGCCATAAAAGAGAATAAAATAATATATTTTCAGGAACTTGGATGGATCTGGAGGCCATTATTCTAAGTGAAACAACTCAGGAATGGAAAATCAACTACTACTTATTCTCGCTTATAAATGAGAGCTAAGCTACGGGTCAGCCCACTGAGGCTGGCAGAGATCAAGCTACCTGCCCAGGTCCACACTACAGGTGGACTGAGACTCACACCTCAAGTGCCCTGGAGTCCCCATAAATCTCATTAAGGATGCTGGCTCATCTGCTTTGGGGTGATTCAGGCTTTGAGGGTCATAGCAAGCAACAAACCCAGGCCAGGCTAGATCAGCACAGAACAAGATTATAGAGTCCTTCCCAGAATTGTGGGGCCTGAGACTGCTGTGGCACTTCTCTAAGCCTCTGCAGGGAACCCTTCTCTGGCCCCAGCCCTCTCTTCCTCAGAATTCTTTAGTTGGGGGGTCCTGGCCTTTCAGATCCCATTTCTCCGGATGGAGGATTAAAAATACCTATGTCATCAAATACAAGACATCTTTGGGAGTGAGATGCGCTATCATTTTGTGAATTACCATGGAATTCATTAATTTGATGACACTCTGGATTTAAACAGTCAGGGTGACCTCCAGGTTGATAAACTGTGAAAAATGGTAATACTATAGTAATAAGAATAAGTGATATTTATTACAATTAAAAAGAAAAAAAGAAAACGCTGGGAAATCTCTGCACTACCTTCACTTACGTGCAATGACGGGGGCAATCTTAATCAGTTCAATCAATGCAAGTGGAAATAACTGAAGAATGAGTGGTTGAATACTTAGATTTCATTTTGCTTCAAACCGATCATCTTTACAAGTGTTTCTTAATTCAAGGCTAAAAGCTGGGGATATGGGACTTCTGTATGAAAAACAGTCTTTAGCATCAGAGCACCTCTATTTTGGGGAAAAAAAAAAAAAAAAAGGAGGCGGGGAGAAATGCATTCTGAACCAAAGATAAACTCTCAGCTCCAGTTGATTGAAATTCTGTCCTAGAAGAAAAATGAGTTTGGTGTAGTTTCGCAAGGAGCCTGTGCGAAAAACTCATGAGCAGGCAGAATTACCCTCATTCTACACTGTGCTTTTATTACTCCAGCTAGTGCTGCTGTGATGGCGTTTATCACCCCCTTCCCATCATGAAATCAGTAGTCCACACCCTGGCCCTCCCTCTAGGCACTTGGGCTGCACAAGACCAGGCAGATTCTGTCAATCTTCTGTTCTATTTCTTATCAGTCAGTGTATGACTGTCTTGAACAGTGTTTGGTGCAGAACAACTTTAAGAAATGATTATCGAATTAAAATGTTCAACTGCAAATTAACTGATGTCATGAAAGATATGCATCTTTCTCAGATAAAGTGTGAAACTAACCAATGTTCTTGCATGTAGACAGTAAAATATATTTAGAGATTTTTATACTGCAACGGGAATTTTGAGTCTGAGAAGGCAAATGGAATGCTGACATTGCTTATATGAACATTTGCTTCATCCATTTCCCATTTCATTTTATAAAGGAAACAGCCTATCCTTTTCCCTTTCAAACTCCTATGTTAGCTTTATCAGATTGGTTTTTTACTCAACACTGTAAGGTTTGATTCCATTCTTCCTTCTAACTTTCCTTCTTCCTCCCTGATACTCACCTTTTTTCCTTCTTTCTTTCTTCTTCCCAACACCCACTTGTTTTTTTACCCTTTTAAAGAAAAAAGTTTTTCTTAATTCTCAGATTTTTATGTGTAGGCACCCTAAGGACAGTACCTTTCTTTCACATCACTTATTATTCTCATTTCCATCTCACCTTTCTTGCCCTGTTTTCGAACATAGATGACACATGATCAGGAATACTTGTGGGGAACAAAAAAATACATCCCTTTATTCTTTCTAAAATAATAAAGCTTGGAGGAATTATTTTCACAGATTTTTATGTTTTCCCTCTTTTTTTTTTTTGCCATCTCACTTTTCAATACTATTTTACCATTTGAAACAATTTCTCATGTCTCATTTTACTCATGATATCTAAGAATACTTTATCTTATAGAGTCTATTCAAAAGTCTCATAAAAATGAACAAATATTTTCATAATGAAATCAACGTTTTTGTTCTCAGATTACTTAATGTCTCGGATAATATTAAATAACTGCTTTTATTTTATTTTTTGAAACTCTCCCTCTATGGATTCTGCCTTTTATTGTACCTGATCTTCTTACCCCATGTCATGGGGTTCTTTTTGTTGGGAATGGTAATGGTGAATGTGAAAATAATAAAAACAACGCTGATTACTTATGTATCATTTTATATTTTACAAAGTATTTTCATAAGGATCATCATGCTTTAAAAATATTGATTTATCACACAGTAATCACAGATATCATATGGGTGCACATATGTACATCTACTCCGCACATCTTCTTTTTTTTCTTTTTTTCTCAGATGGTCTCCTTCTGTCACCCAGGATGAAGTGCAGTGGCATGATCTCAGCTCACTGCAGCTTCAACCTCCCAGGTTCAAGTGATTCTTATGCCTCAGCCCCTGCAAGTAGCTGGGACTACAGGCACCCGCCAACACTCCTGGTTAATTTTTGTATTTTTTGTAGAGACGGAGTTTTGCCATGTTGGCCAGGCTGGTCTTGAACTCCTGGGCCCAAAGGATCTACCTACCTGAGCCTCCCGAAGTGCTAGAATTACAGGCGTGAACTACCAATAGCCCGGGCTATTCCAACATTTTCTTTTTTTTTTTTTTAGTTTTTTTCGAAGAAAAGTGACTCTTGTTCATGTCATTGCTTATTTATTTATTTATTTATTTATTTATTTATTTATTTTTTGAGATGGAGTCTCACTCTGTTGCCAGGCTGGAGTGCAGTGGCGTGATCTCTGCTCACTGCAACCTCTGCCTTCTAGGTTAAAGTGATTCTCCTGCCTCAGCCTCCGAAGTAGCTGGGACTACAGGCGCATGCCACCACGCCCAGCTAATTTTTGTATTTTTAATAGACAAGGGGGTTTCACCATGTTGGCCAGGATGGTCTCGATCTCTTGACCTTGTGATCTGCCTGCCTCGGCCTCCCAAAGTGCTGGATTACAGGCATGAGCCACCGCGCCCGGCCTGTCATTGTTTTTTTTAATCTTTCCTGCAACCTCGTGACATTTACTTTCTTATACTGATGACTGTGACGTAGTTTGAGGAGATTTTTTCACTGACTCGAGGTTGGATAACCGTATTAATAATAGTCAACATTATGCTAAGTACTTTATGTGCATTGTTTCCATTTAACATCACAAAAATCCTCTGAAGAAGGCACCATACCGTACTTTTTACAGATCAGTAAAGTGGCGTGATGTGTAAGAAACATACCTGAAGTCACTAAAATTCTTGTATATGGTATTAATAAGCCTGTATTCTTAGCAGTTACAATATCAGACTCTTCTAGAGCTGCCAAAACACAGCCTACTGTTGGCCACTCTGCTGTGAGCTTAGGACATAAAGTGGATCAAAAGCTAGGTTATCCTCTAATTTCCATCCCAAGGTCCATCTCATTGCACTGTTATTTTTTAATTCAGAAGACACACAAGATGACCAGCTATGCAAAGTGTACATACATGGTCAATAATTTAAAGAGATATATAAATTAAAACGATCTATTATGTAAAAACAAAATTACAGGTACACTTTGGAAGTCTAGGCCTCTGCATTTGTAGGAAAACATCCCTTGCATAGTTAACAATTTTTAATCAGGAAAGCCTTCTTCCAGAAATGAAGATTCCTAAGCTATTTGAGGAATGGGAGAAAATGACACATTGGGAAAACTGAGAAGGGCTAGTCTTGCATAGGGTGTAGCTTGGGGAAAATGGTGTGGAGTGTCAGGTGATGGAGTGAAGAGTCCATGTTCCTTCCAGGAAACCATCAATAAATCATTTTGTGGAAAACCTATGTAACCTTCACAGAAGCCTGGAGCATGTTTTCCCTCTGAACATTATGGCATCTGGCATAATGAATGGATGTTCCCCACCCAGCTATGCTTAAAAAATATCTGGGGAATACCTCAGATATTAAGGGCTCACTGGAATATTCTCTGCCTCATTTAGTCATCCCAAACAGGCTGCTGACATCTGAAATTAGAAATAAAATGGCTGAAGCACTTCAAAGAAAACAGATTCCACTGATATTCTTATTTCCTCATAAAAAAGAAATAGTATTTCAGTATGTCAGCTACTCCAGATTCCAAAGCAGGCCACACATTTTGTGACAGCTGCTGACATAAGCAATTTCCTCAGATTAAATTTTCCAGTGTATTTCATACAGAAGTAGAAGCCTTTGCCTGCAGACTGAATTTTAACCTAAAATATGGTCCCATTCTGTTCTCTCAATGTGTATATAAAACAACATAAAATAACAACAGTAAATGCTACTAATGTCTTTAAACTATTTATAGAAAATGAATAAAGTACTAAATAAAAGAGGTGTTGAGAAACTATTTAAAATGATTTTGGGGGTTGTCAGAGTAGAATAACTTACACTCTTGAGAACTACATGAAACTCTACTTTTGAGAATCCAGGCCTGGCATCAGTGGCACTATGAAGTTTATTAACTCATCTCCCCAAATCCAGCCCTTACTCCTCCAGACTCACATTGATGAAGCGCAAAAACTAGACAAAATATTCTATTTCTAAAAGAGGTTTAAAATATTTTAAAAAGCACTAAAGACCTTACTGAAATACATGTAAATACTGAATATGTTTTTAGGTAATTCCTTTTGCTCTGGAAGACTGAAAACAAACATACAATTAATGAGGGAAAAATGCCACCATCCACAGAAGAAAAGTACATATGCTCAAAGGGAATGGAGGTGCATTAGCCAAGTATGTGAAGCTCCAAAACACTTTTTCCAGGAAGAAGATAACAGGCATTCTTTGTAAGACAAGTATCCTGCTCTGGAAATCATCCAGACAAGCTCAGGTGATGACCCACTCCTGGAATTAGACTTTTTCTTTTAAATGCCAGGAATAATCCAACCTCCTATTAGATGGCAACAGACTAAGAAGGCACCACTGTGCTCTGTATTCTGGTTATCTCCAGGATCTAGATGAATCCTTTTTTTCATAGAGAAAGTAGTCAATTTGGCTCGTGACACCACAGAGATGTGACTTTAGTCAATCCTGGAGGTGGTCTTCATGTATTACTTTATTCTGTAAGATTCCCAGGTGCATTCAGACTTCCCATATTTTATATCAATTTCAATGTAGGACACTATTTGAAGATGGTTGGATTACAATAAACTTCAATCCAAAATTTCATTCCAGAGAGAAAGATGTGTTCCTGTTTAGCAGAGATATTTAGTACTTAGATCAAAAATGATATATCCAGCCTTCTTTTTCAACAAATAAGAAGGAGCAACATATAAAGGCAAAAACTTGGCTAAGCCCTGTGTTGCCTACATCTCACGTTAGGTCTCTGCCAAATCTTGCTCTTCTGCTCTAGACACTGACTGTTTTAGAAAATAATCATGCTCAGAAAAATGTGTTCTAATTAGAATTATTCAAGGACCATTTTAGATTAATGGGAACAATAAAATGTAACCATTTCACAATAATGAAACTAAGCTGAGAACTGTATAGTCCTAACGTTTGTGTACTGAAATACACATTGTTTATAGCAAATATAGGGCTTTAGAAGATCTTATTAATATTTTTAGGCCCATGAGGCGGTAATGGAGTACAGAAATCTGGATTCATCTCATATTAAAATTGCAAGGTTGAAAGTATTCTTAAAGATCATCCAGTTCAACTACTAGTCTACAGTCTGAATCCCTTTGCTATCATGTCTTTAATGATATTACTCAGCATATGTTTGAATGTATCCATTAAAGAGCTTTTTAAGTGCATCTAAGAGAAACTCAACTTAAAATTAACTTAAATAATAAAAGTAATTTATTGGTTCGCGATGCTAAAGTTCAGAAGTAGAATCAATTTCAAGGAAGTCTTAATTGAATGGCAAAAAAGGCCATTATGGTCTACCTTCTATCCATGTCTCTATTGGGTCCTTCATGATGTTAAATCCTCCTAAAGGCAACCCCTCTCATGGTTAGAAAAGAGCCAACAGCCCCCAGGGTCACATGCCACCTTCTTCACTTACAGGAAGAACTCTGTCCTGACAACCCAAGCAAAGGCCCAACTTTGCTAGGATATGCTACCTTAAATCACATGCTCACTCAAGAACCACTGAATGTGGCCCAGGGGCTGAATCACCTACTGATGTAGCCTTGATCATGTGCTCCTACTCTCAGAACAGGATTTAAGTCAGCTTTTCTAGAACTATACGGATTCCTCATGATAAATCCAGACTTGTGAGGAAAAGTGGGGGAAAGAGAATACATGGCCACAACATTGAATGTGTCCGATGACAATGATCTCATTTATTCCCAAATTGTTCCTTCTGTATTTGGTTTTATCTGATAGAACTATTCTAAACCATAGGTAAACGTCTATATAATAATTGATCCCACGTCATATGTGTGAACAAAGCATTAAAATAATCATACCTATATTAAATTTTCATCACCACAGAAGAGTTATATCGAGTGAAAATGTTGGCATGTTACCTGTAAGTATTGCTCTATTTTTATTTAAAAAGACAACACCAATAAGACAAGGCAAGACAGGTAAATTGTGGTTAAGTAAGTAGCATGTTTTGTGTAGCTCTCATCTATTTGAGCTGTTGGTGAAGCGGCAGCCGACAATTGTAATTGGAGTCTAACAGGCAAATTTTAGTAATACGGATAACAGATATGTCTTCAAAAATATACATGCCCTCATAATATTCAGAGAATGCCACATTTGTGCATGTATATGGTTATTCCCACATACCAGCTGGGGTAACTCAGATCATCTAAGTTGCTATTTACAAATTCTTATTTTACTTTTGACTCTAATGTTACCCAAAAAAATGTGCTTTTATTTGTTGCCTTGCCAACCCTGGATTTATTTTCATGACCTAGGCCATATCCCAAATAATAGGAAAATCAGGAAAACTGAATTCTTCTGTTAGTTCTTCTTTAGCCTTCAACTTTTCTCAGAATTACCTTCTTGATTTGACATCTGTGACTTACAACTGAAGCTTTGTTTGTTTAAATGACTCACTTTCTTATCCAGTCATCTTCTCAACATACGGTGTGAGTAAGTGCCAAGAGAAATGTGATTGCTTGTGGAGAGAAAAACAGAAAGAAGCTAAAATACTATTCTTTTAAAATGTTTGCTAAATTAATTAGAAGATAAATTCTTGCTCTGTCACCCAGGCTGGAGTGCAATGGCGCAATCCCGGGTTCAAGCGATTCTCCTGCTTTGCCTCCCAAGTAGCTGGGATTACAGGCACCCGCCACCACTCCCGGCTAATTTTTTGTAGTTTTAGTAGAAATGAGGCTTCACCATGTTAGCCAGGATGGTCTTGAACTCCTGACCTCGTGATCCGCCCGCCTCAGCCTCCCAAAGTGCTGGGATTACAGGCATGAGCCACAACGCCCGGCTAGATAAATTCTTTAATATAGAATTATATTTCATAAAGTCATAGTAGCTTGTAAGTTTCTGAAGAAGAGATAATTTCTTATTTTTATTTAACCCTAGGTCTGAGACCAGTGCCAAGAACAACACAGGTCTTAATGCATGTTGGACAAATAAATTTGACAGTCTTTTGACATATTTGACCGTATATTGAAACAGATTTCCTTTAATAAACTTTTTAGATAAAATAATGATTTAGCAATTTTAAATTATTTTTACTTTATAGGTACAAATGCCAAGTGAATGAACTGAAAATATGTGGTCAGTTATTTCCAATTATTTTCTGCTACCATAAATTTCTTATAAACAAGCACTGGAAAGTGGAGCTGGAGATAACTAATTTTCCTGTTGTTTTGGGGACCTGTTGTGGCACAACTGACAGACTCTTCAAATGGTTTCTTTATAAATATAGTCCAAGACTCTGCCAGGCATCATCCTTACACACTTGGTGACAATACTTTTTCATTAGCAGTATTTGACTCTTTTTAGTATCTATTTCAGATTCCTCCATAGTCTACAGCATGTGAAGTAAATGGGACCATATTTGCAGACAGGAAGAATGACAAGAATAAATTAAAGTGCAATATTTTTTCCTTTGGTAACATGAACCATTTTATATATTATAGCAGCTATCATATACAAATAACAAACATTTAACTACAATGATATACATTTGGTTTTATTTTTTAAGTGAACTAAAAACTGACTTTTGCTGTCAATCACATCTTTACATTTAATACGTGTACATCAACATCTTTAGTTGATAATATATAGAGTTCTGCATTACATTAGAAGGTATTACCTGTGTACCATTCCATCTTCTACACACCTTTGTGTAATCACAGAATGTAGCACTATTACAGTGTAAAGGTTTATTGTGTGATTGAATAATATCTTTAGACACTGCCAACTGAAAAATCATTCAGTACATATAATCCACATTAGTGACCTATACTTTTTGGTGGAGAAAAGAAAGACAGTCTGAATTAGAAGATGAAACGAAGCAAGTCCATACAGGCTTTGTATTATATATATACATATATATATATATATGTAGTCCTTGTATGTGTATCTACATGTGTTTGTGTACATATGTGTATATATACACACATATATACATATCTCTCACAAATTATATTCCTTATAAAGCTTTATTTTCTACGGAGAAAAAAGAAGTTTGGAGTTTTGGGGCATAGGGATTCTAACTACATGTAATATCATCTGTCATTTTACTGCTGGACTCTGAATATCACCAGCAAGCTCATTCTCATGTCTTTGCATCTTTGCAAACTCATAGCTTGTTTGGACCCACAAACTGGGTTTGTACTTGTAGTCCTACCATTAATCCTGTTATATAAAGACAAGTTTGTCTGGCTGCTGACCAGTTTAAAGACAAGACAGAATCTCTTTGTACTCAGTGCACAATTATGAAGCTGTGCTGCTCAGAAAGGACACTTACATATTGACATCTCTTTATTTTTTTCTTTGGAGGACTTTATATTTAACTTGTTACCGCCACATGCTTGATGAAACATGTAGATAAATACACAAAGAATGAGCGCTGACTGGGATAGCTATGAGAAGAGTTAAAGCTGAGTTAATGTGAACTAAATTAGGCCCTTGGGAAATTTTCACTTGCTACTTCTAAAAGTAATAAGAAACTCACAGGAGGTGATGCAAGATACTGCACTTGTTTTTATTAGATGCGAAGAATGCTTTGACTTAAGTCAGTGGGCTGCCACTGTAATTCCCTATCAATGCTTATTCACAGGCACTGTGTAAACAGGACACCACGGTCCCTTCTAGTGCAATGTTTTTACATAGTACACACACACACACACAAATTTCTTACCTGATTTTTTTCACTTCTGCTGTAAGCATTTTTATGTCTTATCATCATCTTCATAGTCATTGTTTAATGGTTACAAATCATTTTATCCAGTTAAACAGATTTATTATTGGCTCTTTCAGTTTCTATCTAGCACTCTGATAAGGAGAGAACCTTAAATTGGCAGACCTTAAAACTGGAAAATTTGCATGCAGCTGATGTTATCTGTAGAGCTATTGTCTACAGGTATTGTTTTAGGGGAAAAAAAGGCCACTTAACAATTTTATGTCTTTTGAAAGTTAATGCCATGATTTTTCCAAAAGGAACAGATCAATTTTCACTGATATAGTAATATAGGAGTGTCCCATTTTCACTACACTTCACAAGGGGATGGCACTTTTCCTAGAAATCCTCTTAATAAAAGTTAACATGTGTTTAGTACTTACAGATTTCAGACATAACAATGAGGATTTTGGGATATAATCTCACTTAATCCTGCAACAACTATATGAAGTGGGTTCTACTTTTATTCCCACTTCATAGCTGAAGCAACTTAGTCCAGAGTGACTTTGTAATTTGCCCAACTTTACACAGTCTGTAAGCAAAGAGTCAGGGCTCATCTGCGGTAAAACTGGCCAAAATCCATGCTCTTAACCTACAGATTCATACGATCATTTCCTATGTATAAACTGTCTCTTCTAACATTTGTCTACTTATTTACTGATTATGCTATATTATTAATCTATACCTTATTTCCATTGGGAAATGGTATGCAATAAATATGCCAATCTGCTTTTTCCTTCACATTCCAATATCAATAATCGATTATTTAAAATCTAGCTTCAAAAATACAAACATTTTTCCAAACTATACTGCAGATTTACTATTTAGCCATGGAACATCACTCTGCCTCAGTCTTGCCTTTGTTATGGAGTGAGCTATGTAACTTCACTAATGAAAGGTACTAGGAAAACAACGTGACATTGCAAAGAGGAAAATGATTTTAAAGCGTTATTGCATTACTGATGACTTTGGGAGGTGGATATCTCAAGCTAATATCAGTCTCTAAGAAAAAAAAGCAAGGAATAAAAAACTGGTAATCAGGTCTTGATTTTCATCAGAGATTTATACTCTAAAGTTTATTATTGGCACCCAGCTATCAATTCAGAAAAGATAAATCAGGTTGGGCGTGGTGGCTCACGCCTGTAATCCCAACACATTGAAAGCCAAGGCAGGAGGATGGCTTGAAGCCAAGAGCTTGAGACTAGACTACCCCAGGTAACAAAGCAAGACCCTGTCCCTAATAAAAATAAAAAATAATTTAAAAAGTTTTTAAAAGGAGGAAAAGAAAAAAGAAAAAAAAGCCAGAAAAGATAAATTAAATTGTTTAAAAAACCTCACATAAAATTACTACAGAATTTTTCATTAAATATTTTATAGAGCTTTTAGTTCTAGTATATAGTTTATCTTGTCTCTCAGTAAACAAAATCCCTTTGTATTTTTGTGCCAGATACAATGCTTCTTATGCTACGGTTTTAAATGGAATTTAATATAATGTCATATAGGTTATAAGAATGTATCTTAAACTATTCTAGTTGTCTTCAAAACGCCTCTTGGTATTCAATATAAGCATAACATAAAAATATGGATATGTGAACAAACGAAAAGCCAAGAAAGAGTTCCACATGTCTAAAAACGTTATTGGAGGGATAACATTCATAGCAGCATTATACGAATGCAAAATCCTGAAAACAAAGCTAATGTCCATAGACATGGAAATGAGTAAGCATATTTTGGTATCATTCATGCAATACAATTTTAAAGAACACTGAAAATTAGTGAACTACAACTTTCCTTATCACATAGAAGACTCTTATAAAAATAATGTGTAAAAAACGTATGACAACATAACACATATTACTACTGTATTTATGTAAATTTCTAAAAAAATTGCAAAACTGAAAAATATTGACAAAATTATTTTAAAAATAAGAGGATAATTAACTTCTAAAGGATAGTGGCAGGGTAGAGAGATTAAAGATGAATGTACCTGTCACTTCAAAATTTCCTTAAACAGGATTTTGGATTAGTAGTACAATACATACTTACATGTACATTATTTATTATTGAGTATGTATGTCATGTTTAATTTCCAGAAATATAAACTCTAATAACATCCCTATGTTTGTAAAACAAGAGAATTAAAAGGATTATTTTAAAGATAATAACTAATGGAAACAGAGTAACTAAATAGCAATTCGGAAAGAAAACTTGGAAATGTATCTTGAAAATCAAACCAAATACACCCCAGGTAGAGTTAAAAGTTCAAGAAAAATTTTGAAGGTCAGAGAAATTTACAGGCTGTTTATCATATCTGGAAACAAATTATTATTTTGTCAGCAAAAGAAAAAACTGTATAAAGACATCACTGACAGATTAAAATAAGTTAATATTTTAAATATCTGTACCCTGCAAGAGGCCGGGCACAGTGACTCACACCTGTAATCCCAGCACTTTGGGAGGCCGAGGCGGATCACAAGGTCAGGAGATCGAGACCATCCTGGCTAACACAGTGAAACCCCGTCTCTACTAAAAAAATTTAAAAAAATTAGCCAGGCATGGTGGCAGGCGCCTGCAGTCTCAGCTACTCGGGAGGCTGAGGCAGGAGAATGGCATGAACCTGGGAGGCGGAGGTTGCAGTAAGCAGAGACCGCGCCACTGCACTCCAGCCTGGGTGACAGAGGGAGACTCCGTCTCAAAAAAAAAAAAAAAAAAAAAAAAAAAAAAAAAAATCTGTACCCTGCAAGAAAATAAAAAGGCAATGAAAATTATTCAACTAAGATAAAGCTAAAATATATTAAGACTTCTTAAATTTAAAATAATCCTTAAATGCTCTAACTGGTAAATGATTGGAGAATCTTACAGAAACATGAAATTATTATTATTATTATTATCACTATTTTGAGACTGAGTCTCATTCTTGTCGCCCAGCCTGGAGTGCAATGGTGCGATCTCAATTCCCTGCAACACCCACCTCCCTGGTTCAAGCGATTTTCCTGCCTCAGCCTCCTGAGTAGCTGGGATTACAGGTGCCCCCCTGGCTAATTTTTTTGTGAGAAACATGAAATTATTTAGGGATACCTACACAATTGCTTCTTTATAGAATTCACCACTCCTGAGTTTTAACTTTCCCAAGGATACTGGTCTTCCAAAGGAATTTTAAAAACAAATTAAAGAACCACACTAGGAGTAAATAAACGTATAATTTTTGCATTATCTTACTTACGTGGCTTCAGATTTTATCTACCCATAAGAAGAAAAACACAGTAAATACTAACTGGCTTCTTGCCATGAATCCAGTGGCAAAGCAGGCACATTATTTTGCATATTATGTTTACTTTTATTACATTTCTCTTGGCAATAGAAAATATTCTTGTGAAAGAGGATGACCACAAAGACCATTTGAAGTACATGATATATAAAATAAGTCTTTCCAAACTTATACCATTAAATTGGATTATCAAAAAAAAATTATGATAGTTGTTGAGAATAAATCTCCAGTTTTTATATCAGAATTGTGAACTACCCAGAAAACATTTTAGCCTTAGATAAGAAAAATTATAGAAGTTTATAGAATTAAACAAGTTCCTAAAATAGAAATATAAATTTAAGTTAACCACAAAAAATACATTTTATTTCTCTACGATGACTCAAAAGGGGTATTTACATGTGTAAAAATGTATCTTTGTGATTGAAAAGATTATGTGAATTCACTTTCTTCACTGATGTAGGTACAGAATACACTTAATACCAAATAATTATTTTAGATATGTATTTTAATGTCATATCAACAATTTATTTTCCTGAATCTAGTAAGTCAAACTATTAAACTGCCCTCTAAAAATTATTTCATAGTACATTTACACTATTTGAATAATTGAAAGATCAATTTACATATGACTAACCTAAATTGTCCAATGAAGTATTATTTTTATGAATTTTGCTAATCACACAGATGAGACTATTTGATGGGATTAATTATTTGATCTCAGATATACTTAAAAATGAAGGAGATTCTCTGGAAGAAAATTTTCCTACATTTTTATATTATTTCCCTCCCATTGTTATAAGTAGGCTATTGGTTCTATGCATGCTCCATAAGTGGATGTACTGCTGTATATGAATGTGTTATGGCTGGGGTGAAGAGAATTTAGAAGTAAGCTAAACTTGCCAGGCCAAGTCCAAGGATCTAGGCGGAATAAATAAAGTCCTGTGGACAAAGGATACACTTAAAAGTCAGTGTGTGAATTGTGAAACATTCCTGGGAAGATGAATCTTGAGTTTTGGCTCTAAAGATCAGTGTGGTTATTTTCATTCACTGACCAAAGATAGTCTAGGCAAAAAGGTAACGTGTGGAATAGAAGGGAAGGCATTCAAGAAGTTCAATACAAATTAGTCAATATAAAATTGATGACAGAGAATCCACGCATAGATTAGATTTTAAAATGCCTAAAGGAAGAGACACAATCAGCATTAGGAAAATATTTTCTTAGAAAGCAAAGCCCATGACCACTAGGCTTGAGTGAGAGGAAAAAAATATTATACAAAAGTGGGGAAATTCCTGGAAGAATTTTAGAATATTAAAAAAAAGTTTGGTTGGGCGCCGTGGCTCACATCTGTAATCTCAGCACTTTGGGAGGCCGAGGCAGGTGGATCACAAGGTCAGGAGATTGAGACCATCCTGGCTAACACGGTGAAATCCTATCTCTACTAAAAATACAAAAAATTAGCCAGGCGTGGTGGCGGGCACCTGTAGTCCCAGCTACTCGGGAGGCTGAGGCAGGAGAATGGCATGAACCCAGGAGGCGGAGCTGGCAGTGAGCCGAGATCGCGCCACTGCCCTCCAGCCTGGGTGACAGAACGAGACTCTGTCTCAAAACAAAAAAAAAAAAAAAAAAGTTTATCAGAGAGAATACGGTGAGAGGAAATTGGCATGCCAACCAAGATTCTGGCACAGGCATACAGAAGTAAAAATCTGGGTGCAATATTGAAGTTGGGGATTGAACCTCAAGAATACAGACAGAAAAAAACCCTGTCCAATCATAATTCGGGAGCTAGTCTAAATGACAAAGGTAAAGGTAAAATATAGATAATCAGGCTAAAACTCCTTGAAAACCCCTCCTGCTTATATTAAGATTATTACTGAAGACAACAGTGAGTATGTAAAAATTTGGGAATATCCACAAATGTTGGGAAAAGAAGAGCTAACCAGTGTTGGTAATTTAGCAGAAACTATAGCTAGGTCTTAAGAACCAAATCTACATTGTTACTCGTAACATGGAAACTTCATTTATTTATGCACTATGCATTTTGTTCTATGAATGATCAAGGCTTTCACAGAGCAGTGGGTGAGTCAGAAGCAAACCAACAAACAATGGTATATGATCAAGGCTTTATTTCATTCGAAGGATGAGTGCAGGTAGGAGGCCTAACCACAGGTGGGAATGTTTCTCTGAGAAGGTAATGTTCCTGCTGCTGGAAAAGAGGTATTTGGTAAGGAAGGGAGTTAGATAAGACAGGTAAAGGGGACAGCACAGTAAAAAATGTGTGAAAATATTGCAAAATCACAAAGCTGTAATACAGTGTGAAATAAGAAAATTTATTTTAATTTAGGCATTTGAAGTCTAATCCTCCCTCCATTTTACCCAAGATCATCTACAACAAAAATAAACAACTGACTTGGTGTCTTAGAGCAGTCACTTTTCTACTGTCTGGATTTCCTTAGTGATAAAACAGGTATAACATCTATCATATTTATCTAGTGGAATGTCAATATCTAATGGAATGTAAGGTTCAGGAGATAGATAGATATGCTGTGTTAGTTCATTCTCACACTGCTATAAAGAAATACCCAAGACTAGATAATTTGTAAAGGAAGAAGGCTTAATTTACTCACAGCTCTGTATGGCCGGAGAGGCCTCAGGAAACTTACAATCATGGTGGAAGGAGAGGAAAAGCAAAAGCACATCTTACATGGTGGCAGATGAGAGATAAGAGAGTGTGAGGGTGCAGGAAAAACTGCCACTTATAAGACCATCAGATCTCATGAGAATTCTCTCACTATCACAAGAACAGCATGGGAAAAACCACCCCTATAATCCAATTACTTCCCCAGTTCCACATGTGGGTATTACAGGTCCCTCTTTTGACATGTGGAGATTACAATTTGAAATGATATTTAGGTGGGAACAGAGACAAACTATATATCATATACATGATATATATGACATACATATATATGGCATATATGTCAAATGTAAAACCCCAAGCCATTTTTATAAGGCTGCTTGGTATCTAGTATATAGGCACATATAGAATTCTTCACGCTATCCCCCACAAAGACAGTGGGTGGATGGGAATCTAAGGTAACCTATTTCCAGCCAAGTCCAAGATAGGGTAATAAATGTCCTGGAACTACCCAGGTGGCAGCTATTTCTGACCACTGAAGACTTGGAATACATATCTGCTTATCTGTTTTGTGGTCTTTATTCCAAGTCCAACTCTCTCGTTAAGGTCTAGGTTAATTATTGCCTGAGCCAAAACAAGCTGGCAAAGCAAAAAATCCAGCTGAAGAAATCCAAACAAGCTATTGTTGACATAGCTAACATCATGTCTGCCTTGAAATTTTTATAGGGCTTAACTACTTGCCAAGCACTTTCGCCTACAATAATTCACTTATCCTTGCACTCATCCTGTAAAGTGAGAAAAACAGATGTCACTGTCCCATCTTAAAGGTGAACACAGCAGACTCTGCATTAAGTGACTTGTGCAAGGTCAAGTTACGAGGAAGGCTAGAACTTAATTATTGTTTAAGTAAAAAGGCAGTGTTTTTTCTTACTGTGACCTACATTCTATCTAAAGGCCACCTAAATCACGAAAGAAGGAATGTACCTGTTTAAAATGCCACATTCCTTTCTAAGTTCACTTAAACTTCTACATTCCTCCATTGGAGAAGTAGTTCATTTCAAAATATTTAAAGTGGTTAAAAATAGCTTTTTTGTCAAAAACCACTTAGTGTTTATTAACAAATGGTTATTAACGTGTGTAACAGTTATAAAAGTGTGGCTGGATGCTCACTTTTAAAAGAGAGGGGTATTTTATGTTTGTATATGCTTAACCAACTAGTCTAGTACATGATATAGGCAGAGAGAAAGATTTGGATCCCAGCCAATAATTGGCACTGAATTATAAAACCCTAAGAGAACAAGAGAGTGAAAATTTCATATAAATCTGTCTGTTTTGAATCAAATTGGATAAGAACTCATATCCTAGTTGACATATTTATAAACATATTTTCTAAAATATTTAAGTATCTTGAGAAGGAGGCATGCTGTATAAAACCTGAAAACCTTTATCTGGCTCTTTTTGTCTCATTGATATTATCCATGTTCTTAAGCAGATAAAGTCATTCTGGCTTCTGGAATATCCCTACAGGAATAAACGGGGATATCTCAAGATGTCAAGATTTTGGTGGATTGTACATGAGTAGATAACTCGTATTTTCAAATCGTTCTTAGAAGAGCCCACAGGCAAATAACTCTTCGAATCGTACAAAGATATTTAAGTCAGTTTCACATAGGATGAACTGTACAGACTTGTCGAGTTCCCGGCTGAGTTTTCACGTGTCCTTCATTAAGTACATGGATCAGCCTGAAAGGAAGTCAGGTTCTGCTTGTGCAATCTAGTGTGTTTATACCTTTCTGTTTGACAAGGAGGCTTTTTGTTGTCTAACTCTGCCTGTTCACACAAGTGAAGGACAGATATAATCTCAAACTCATATACCTAGCAGAAAAAGAAAATAAAATTGAAATCTACGTATGCAGAGTTTGATTTCCTACCTTGTTTTTTTTTGTTTTTTTGTTTTGTTTTTTTTTTTTCAGGTAACTCCCAGATGTTCTCTCATTTAACAGAAATTGTAAAGGCAATTATAAATATGTCTATTCATTAAGAGCATCAACATATTTAATGATATTGGTGCATTCACCAGTTATATTTATATTGTGCTTTTCTTCAGTTTTCCAAATATTTTGAAATATTATAAAATTAATAATGTACATTAAAGAAACTTAGAAATATAGGTAGGAGAATAAATCACCCCAGTCTCATCACTCACCTGGTCATGCTGACATTTTAGAAACTTTTCAGACTTTTCTCCTATGTAAATATATCATCATTTTCATCATATCGTAGATAACCTTAACATATTTTTTAATCTTATATGCATTTCTTCCGTGTATTCATTTGTTTCCTCACTCTTTCATTTATTGCACTCAGAAATGTATATTAGGCACATAACACAGATTAGTACTCTGCTAGATGCTGGAGATTAAACAAGGAAAAATGTAGTTCTCATGTTCATGGAGAACATGCCCAGGGAAAATAAAGACTTGTGCATTAGAACTTTCCAAACAGTTTGATAAGTGCTGGAATAAAAAACTATATTATAAAAGCACGTAGGCAGAGTTCCTCCTGGTAGGGGAAAAGCATGTGTAAAGGACTAAAGACAAGAGAGGGCATGACTTCAGAAAACTGAAAATAAATTCAATATAACTGGAACATAAAGTTTAAGTTGAGGGGATACAGGCAACAGAAATGACTAGAAATGCAGCTGTGCCAGATCACTCTTATATTCATTTAGCAAATATTTACTGAGCATCTACCTAGTGCCAGGCACCTGGGATAGACTGATGAACAGAGTACAAGCACAATTTCTATCCTCACAGATCTTGCGGAAAAATGCAAATGACCAAAGCCTTCAGTGATGGCCCAGACTTAGCCAGATAACTGAGGAGTAAGGAATGAAGAGTCAGAAGGAGAAAGAAATGTTGAGAGGCTTCTAAACCATGTTAAAGAGTTAGGTTCCATCATGAGAGTTTTAGGGTTTTAAGTAAAGAAATTAAATACTCAAATTCTCATTAGAGAAAGATTTGCGATGAAGAGATTGGATCAGAAGAGCAAGACTACTGGCTTGTGAGTGATAAAGTGGTTGCATTGGTCCAGATGAAGAAAACAGACACTCAGCTAGGGCTGTGCATTGGGTTGGACCTAGCCAGATACCTAGAATAAAGATTCAATAGTACCTGTAAGTAACAGAATAGAGACAGAAAGAAGAAAATTATGAGTAATACTCACCCTAATTGAAGATAATGGCCATTTTCGTTCCAAGATGGCCAAAAAGGAACAGCTCCAGTCTATAGCTCCCAGCGTTAGCAACACAGAAGATGGGTGATTTCTGCTTTTCCAACTGAGGTACCGGGTTCATTGGACTGGTTGGACAGTGGGTGCAGCCCACAGAGTGTGAGCTGAAGCAGGGCAGGGCATCACCTCACCTGGGAAGCACAGGGAGTCAGGGAATGCCCTTTCCTAGCCAAGGGAAGCCATAACAGACAGTACCTGGAAAATTGTGACATTCCCCCCCTAATACTGCGCTTTTCCAACAGTCTTAGCAAACGGCACACCAGGAGATTATATCCCGTGCATGGCTTGGCGGGTCCCACGCCCATGGAGCCTTGGTCACTGGTAGCACAGCAGTCTGAAATCTAACTGCGAGGCGGCAGTGAGGCTGAGGGAGGGGTGTCCGCCATTGCTGAGGCTTGAGTAGGTAAACAAAGTGGCCGGGAAGGTCGAATTGGGTGGAGTCCACCGCAGCTAATGAGGCCTGCCTGCCTCTGTAGACTCCATCTCTGAGGGCAGGGCATAGCTGAACAAAAGGCAGCGGAAACTTCTGCAGACTTAAATGTCCCTGTGTGACAGCGTTGAAGAGACCAGTGGTTCTCAAAGCACGGAGTTTGAGAACTGAGAAAGGACAGACTGTCTCCTGAAGTTGGTCCCTGACCCCCGAGTAGCTTAACTGGGAAACACCTCCCAGAAGGGGCTGACTGACACCTCATACAGCCAGGTGCCCCTCTGAGACAAAGCTTCCAGGGCAAGGATCAGGGAGCAACATTTGCTGTTCTGCAGTATTTGCTGTTCTGCAGCCTCCACTGGTGATACCCAGGCAAACAGGGTCTGAAGTGGACCTCCAGCAAACTCCAACAGACGTGCAGCTAAGGGTCCTGACTGTTAGAAGGAAAACTAACAAACAGAAAGGAATAGCATCAACATCAGCAAAAAGGACATCCACACCAAAACCCCATCTGTAGGTCACCATCATCAAAGACCAAAGGTAGATAAAACCACAAAGATGGGGAGAAACCACAATAGAAAAGCTGAAAATTCTAAAAACCAGAACCCCTCTTATCCTCCAAAGGATTGCAGCTCCTCGCCAGCAACGGAACAAAGCTGGATGGAGAATGACTTTCACAAGTTGACAGAAATATGCTTCAGAAGATCAGTAATAACAAACTTCTCCAAGCTAAAGGAGGATGTTCAAACCCATCGCAAGGAAGCTGAAAACCTTGAAAGAAGATTAGAAGAATGGCTAACTGGAGTAAACAGCATACAGAAGACCTTAAATGACCTGACAGAGCTGAAAAACATGGCACGAGAACTACGTGACGCAAGCACAAGCTTCAAAAGCTGATTCGATCAAGTGGAAGAAAGGGTTTCAGTGATTGAAGATCAAATTAATGAAATGAAGTAAGAAGAGAAGTTTAGAGAAAAAAAGAGTAAAAACAAACGAACAAAGCCTCCAAGAAATACGGGACTATGTGAAAAGGCCAAATCTACGTTTGATTGGTGTAACTGAAAGTGACGGGGAGAATGGAACCAAGCTACAAAAACACTCTTCAGGATATTATCCAGGAGAACTTCCCCAACCTAGCAAGGCATGCCAACATTCAAATTTAGGAAATATAGAGAATGCCACAAAGACTCCTCGAGAAGAGCAACCCCAAGACACAAAATCGTCATATTCACCAAGGTTGAAATGATGGAAAAAATGTTAAGGGCAGCCAGAGAGAAAGGTCGGTTACCTACAAAGGGAAGCCCATCAGACTAACAGCAGATCTCTTGGCAGAAACCCTAGAAGCCAGAAGAGAGTAGGGGGGCAATATTCAACATTCTTAAAAAAAAGAATTTTCAACCCAGAATTTCATATCCAGCCAAACTAAGCTCCATAAGTGAAGAAGAAATAAAATCCTTTACAGACAAGCAAATGCTGAGAGATTTTGTCATCACCAGGCCTGCCTTACAAGAGCTCCTGAAGGAAGCATTAAACATGGAAAGGAACAACCAGTACCAGCCACTACAAAAACATGCCAAATTGTAAAGACCATCGATGCTAGGAAGAAACTGCATCAACGAACGAACAAAATAACCAGCTAACATCATAATGATAGGATCAAATTCACACATAACTACATTAACCTTAAATGTAAATGGGCAAAATGCCCCAGTTAAAAGACACAGACTGGCAAATTGCAAAAAGAATCAAGATCCATCAGTGTGCTGTATTCAGGAGACCCATCTCACGTGCAGAGACACACACAGGCTCAAAATAAAGGGATAGAGGAAGATCTACCAAGAAAATGGAAAACAAAAAAACCCAGGGGTTGCAATCCTAGTCTCTGATAAAAAAGACTTGAAACCAACAAAGATCAAAAGAGACAAAGAAGGCCATTACATAATCGTAAAGGGATCAATTTAACAAGAAGAGCTAACTACCCTAAATATATATGCACCCAATACAGGAGCACCCAGATTCATAAAGCAAGTTCCTAGAGACCTACAAGGAGACTTAGACTCCCACACAATAATAATGGGAGACTTTAACACCCCACTGTCAACATTAGACAGATCAACGAGACAGAAAATTAACAAGGATATGCAGCACTTGAACTCAGCTCTGCACCAAGCAGACCTAATAGACATCTACAGAACTCTCCACCCCAAATCAACAGATTATACATTCTTCTCAGCACCATATCGCACTTATTCCAAAACTGACCACATAGTTGAAGGTAAAGCACTCCTCAGCAATTGTGAAAGAACAGAAATCATAACAAACTGTCTCTCAGACCACAGTGCAATCAAACTAGAATTCAGGATTAAGAAACTCACTCAAAACCGCTCAACTATATGGAAACTGAACAACCTGCTCCTGAATGACTACTGGGTACATAATGAAATGAAGGCAGAAATAAAGATGTTCTTTGAAACCAATGAGAACAAAGACACAACATAATAGAATCTCTGGGACACATTTAAAGCAGTGTGTAGAGGGAAATTTACAGCACTAAATGCATGCCCACAAGAGAAAACAGGAAAGATCTAAAATTGACACCCTAACATCACAATTAAAAGAACTAGAGAAGCAAGAGCAAACACATTCAAAAGCTAGCAGAAGGCAAGAAATAACTACGATCAGAGCAGAACTGAAGGAGATAGAGACACAAAAAAACCTTCAAAAAATCAATGAATCCAGGAGCTGGTTTTTGGAAAATATCAACAAAATTGATAGACCGCTAGCAAGACTCATAAAGAAGAAAAGAGAGAAGAATCAAACAGATGCAATAAAAAATGATAAAGGGGATATCACCACAGATCCCATAGTAATACAAACTACCATCAGAAAATACTATAAACATCTCTACGCAAATAAACTAGAAAATCTAAAAGAAATGGATAAATTCCTGGACACATACACCCTCCCAAGACTAAACAAGGAAGACGTTGAATCCCTGAATAGACCAATAACAGGCTCTGAAATTTAGGCAATCATTAAGAGCCTACCAACCAAAAAAAGTCCAGGACCAGACGGATTCACGGCCGAATTCTACCAGAGGTACAAGGAGGAGCTGGTACCATTCCTTCTGAAACTATTCCAATCAATAGAAAAAGAGGGAATCCTCCCTAACTCATTTTATGAGGCCAGCATCATCCTGATACCAAAGCGTGACAGAGACACAACAAAAAAAGAGAATTTTAGACCAATATCCCTGATGAACATTCATGCAAAAATCCTCAAAAAAATACTGGCAAACCGAATCCAACAGCACATCAAAAAACTTATCCACCATGACCAAGTGGGCTTCATCCCTGGGATGCAAGGCTGGTTCAACATACGCAAATCAATAAACGTAATCCAGCATATAAACAGAATCAAAGACAAAAACCACATGATTATCTCAATAGATGCAGAAAGGCCTTTGACAAAATTCAACAGCCCTTCATAAAAACTCTCAATAAATTAGGTATTGATGGGACATATCTCAAAATAGTAAGAGCTATTTATGACAAACCCAAAGCCAATATCATACTGAATGGGCAAAAACTGGAAATATTCCCTTTGAAAACCGGCACAAGATAGGGATGCCCTCTCTCACCGCTCCTATTCAACATAGTGTTAGAAGTTCTAGCCAGGGTAATCAGGCAGGAGAAAGAAATAAAGGGTATTCAATTAAGAAAAGAGGAAGTCAAATTGTCCCTGTTTGCAGATGACGTGACTGTATATTTAGAAAACCCCATCGTCTCAGCCCAAAATCTCCTTAAGCTGATAAGCAACTTCAGCAAAGTCTCAGGATACAAAATCAATGTGCAAAAATCACAAGCATTCTTATACACCAACAACAGACAAACAGAGAGCCAAATCATGCATGACTTCCCATTCACAATTGCTTCAAAGAGAATAAAATACCTAGGAATCCAACTTACAAGAGATGTGAAGGACCTCTTCAAGGAGAACTACAAACCACTGCTCAACGAAATAAAAGAGGACACAAACAAATGGAAGAACATTCCATGCCCATGGATAGGAAGAATCAATATCGTGAAAATGGCCATACTACCCAAGGTAATCTATAGAAAAACAAATGTATTCTAGACATGGTAAGAATACTTTATCCTCTCTTTTATACTTTTGTTGTTTATTTATGTAATACACAAGTGTATTATCATAAAAGAATCACATAACTCAGTTATACAGAACAAAACATGAAAATCACTTTACATTATTATAAACCTCTGACTTTCCTGGAAAAAAACCACTATCAACAATTTAAGGTAACCCTCTATCTAACTGTTCCCCCTTTCCCGTTTTCGTGAACTATTAAATACCTAGGAATTTAATGTAGTCACTAACCTCCAAGGAATAATAAAGAATCTGCACACATTGACTGCAGGCTTCTACACAATACTTCTTTTGAAATTTTAAAATAATTGTATTAATATTTAGAATGTATAAAAACATATTTTTACAAAGTAGCAAATCCTTGTGTCCTGACCCCTTTGTTTAAGCCATGAAACACAACCAAAATCTTTGAAAGTTTGTGGATACCATTTCCCCACCCAACTCCTCCATCCCAGAGGTAATTGTTCTTATGAAATTATGGTTTCTCATTCGTGTGCATTTATTTACATTTACAGAATAACAATGTTATCACTAAAAATGTATTTTTTTATATTTTAACTTATATTAATGACATTAAAAACCTATATTCATCTACAGCTTTTTTCTCTCATTCAAAATTATGCTTGCAAGTTTCATCAATGTTAATCCATGTAGCTGTAGCTTATTTATCTTCACTGCTGAATAGTATTCCATTGTGTGCGTGTGTGTGCACATGTGTGTATATATGCATACATATATCTTGATGTTTCCAATATTTACCATTAAAATAAAGCTCATATATACACCCTTCTTTATTGTGTAAATATTTCTCTTTAGAGCTCACAAGTGGAATAAGTTGGGACATGGGATGCATATGTCTTCAGCTTTGCCTAAGATAGTCAAATTTTACTCCAAAGGTTACCAATTTATCTCTCTACATAAGGTGCATGAGAATTCCCTTTGCTCCATATACTCCCTAAAAACTGTCTGACTTAGAAATTTTTTCACGAATTTGACTCATAAGAAATAATGCTTTTAACGTACATTTTTCTGATAATTTCTGTAAAGCAATATCTCTCAATGATAAAATTTTGATACAAAAATATGCAAGGGTCACGTATTTATTAATATCTGTTGCATAAAAGGAGAAAAAGTGCATACATTAAATATGATTCCATTTTGCTTAACAGAAAATTTAGATGCTTGTATAGTTGTTAACAAAAACCAAGAATTGATGCATTTTATGCGACCACTTTCAGTCTTGGAGACTACTGATTCCACTTTATCGATTAGATTTTTGTGGTCAGAATTCTACTAGAAATTGTTAGAAACTTAAAATGTAATAATGTTATTTATATGCACACTATGTTGTATGGATTAAATCCTGGACAAAATTAGCCAAAGTAAGAGAAATCTATACAACATAAAATCTTAGAACCAATGCTCTCAGATATATCTTCCTTATTTGTCATTGCTATATCTACTAAACAAGAGTTGTGTCCATTCGTTTATTTGCTTGAATCATTTGGAGATTATTCTTGCAAGTTGTACTCCTCTTTTGCTGTGTGAACATTAACTTTGGTGGAGAAAAAAGGAAGTATGATGATCCACATTTAAATCTATTTTCTCTTTTGTTGCAGGTAGATTATTTAGTTTGAAAAATAGCCATATTTTTTAGTTCATGTGCAGATACAGTGCCACTGTTAATCTCAGTTCTTTAGGGCTTTTGAAACAACAATATTGACAGACCAAATGATACCTCTCAATATATACCTTCAGATATAACTTCAGCCCATGGCTGCCTCATTTTTTTATTTCCTGAGGTCATTTTTTCTTACTAAGAAATCTCCCCAGGCATCCAACCTTCCCATGATACTGGATAGCTACTTTACAAGAACATTATACATGTTTATATACAAAATATTATACGTTGAATATTTTATATATATAATAATATAATATATATTTCCGTAATCTTATTTTCTATAGTCTACATATTTTCCAGCACTCCTCTCTTCCTATATTACATATATACTAAATACTGTACAATGTGTATTTTTCCTTGTAAATATTTTATCAGCAAGATGAGGTTCCTTTGTAAGTCTGTTACAAATTTAATATTTATGACTGATAGGATAGACAAGTATTCTGACAGCACGTACTTACTTTTAAGAAACTAGAACTCTTTCAATGGTTTACAACCTCTTCAACTGTTTAAGATTGATGAAGACAACTGCATCAACTTTTTCCATGCAAAATTTAAAATAACACATAAATTAGGAGGGACTTTGCTCAGAAATCACATAAAAATTATTAAAATAGTTATTAACACTCACCACTGAGAAGAGATGCTTTGGAGAACAAGGTAAAACCACCAGTCATGGCCACTACACCACTTACCTAACCACTAAACCAAGGCCCATATGTCTGAAAATATTTCTGCCCAACTTCTTCCTTTTGAAATCAAAAGGTCTTATTCAAATTATCCTTCAAAGTAATGTGTGTGAGCATACACAAACACACAGACACACACACACACTCATGTTTTTGACACCAATTTTTATACTGTTTATTGAGAGATTTTTTAAACGTTTAAAAACTTAAACTTGAGAAAGCATCTTGATGAGTCAAGCTATTTCTACCATTATTACTAGATTGTCCCCAAAACTAAATTCATGCATAAATGCATATAATATTTAAAATTTTTCCTTTGTGTTAAATGCATCTTGATTTAAAATTATGTGCACTTGCATTTTCAGGTATTTTTCCAATGTTCTGACCAAATAATTCCTCACACACACAGATATAATCTTTATGTTTGCAGCCCAACCACTCACCTCTGCAAATAGGCTACTGGCCATATTGCACAAACAGTCTTCAAATGTATTTTTTACAAGAGAAGAACAACACGGTACCATAATCCTGCATATGTAACAATATCTCTCAATTTAAGAACAAAAGCCTCAGGATTGAACCACATCTATGTGTCAGATTGCTTTGTAGCAGAAACCCTGGCCACAGACAGTGTTTTAGGAGAAAACAAAAATGAAAACATTTATTATTTCACATTGCCAACAATATAAAACTTTTTAAGTCACTCCATATTTTTAAAACAGTATTGCTATAGATTAGTATGTCGTGCAAATTTCACGAACTTCCACATTTTATGTTCCAATTTTTTCAGTACCTGAGGTTTTGTTCCAAAATAAAATCCAAAATAACAAGTAGAAAAACAGGCTCGTTGTGATAATACAATTATCTGGTTCATTGTGATAATACAACAGAGTAATATGTACCATTATATATAGTCATGTATATGTATAAAGTTTCTTTTTTAAGACACTTTCCTGTAATATTTTTAAAGCTTTCCATATCAAAGTAAGAGCTTGCATTTCTTAATGATAATATAGCATAAGAAAATGTGCTGGAATTACAATAATGCAGACATAAATCTATTTTCATTTAATTTTTCTATAGAGATACAATACGGCACGACAAAGCAAGTTATTTCCAAGGGCACTGCCCCTGACCCCTCCAGATCTCACGTCCTCACATTTCAAAACAACCTCAGCCTGGACTTTATCGTCCATATCACTATCAGCGTTTTGGGCAAAGCTGTTAAACAAGTCTCTAGGAAGTTCCAAACTTTCCCACATTTTCCTGTCTTCTTCTGACCCCTCCAAACTGTTCCCACCTCTGCCTATTACCCAGTTCCAAAGTCGCTTCCACATTTTCAGGTATCTTTTCAGGAACACCCCACTCTACTGGTACCAACTTACTGTATTAGTCCGTTTTCATGCTGCTGATAAAGACATACCCGAGACTGGGAAGAAAAACGGGTTTAATTGGACTTACAGTTTCACATGGCTGGGGAGGCCTCAAAATCATCGCGGCAGGCAAAAGGAACTTCGTACATCGCGGCAGCAAGAGAAAATGAGAGACGAAGCAAAAGCGGAAACCCCCGATAAACGCATCAGATCTCGTGAGACTTATTCACTATCACGAGAACAGCAGGGGAAAGTGCGGCCCCGTGATTTAATTAGCTCCTCCTGGGTCCGACACACAACACGTGGAAATTCTGGGAGATACAATTCAAGTTGAGATTTGAATGAGAACACGGCCAAACCACATCTGGCACCTAAAGCATACACCTGCTGAGCTCTCTTCTTGTGAAGGTTTTTGCTTAGGGATTAAGTTGCCCTCATCCTTTCTTTCGAGTGTTAGATTGGTCTTCTGTGTACCTGCATCTTAGCAGTAAGACAAATAAGAGATGTTAAGACATTTTAGATTTAAAATTATCTTCATTTTATACACAAGGAAAGCAAGAGGTAGAAAGTTTTAATGACTTAATCTGAATAACCCAACCAGAGCTCCCTTTCCACTCTGTGCACCCAATCCATGTTTCATTATGCCCTGCTCTTGATCTTTAAATGTAGCACGTCTTCCCAACCCCACCTTCATTCTAAAGATTAAAAGCTCACCAAATCAGTATGCCCTCGAAATCTTTGTTTTTGTTCTTTTACCTTAAACTATATATAATCATAAGCAAATCATCAACTAGTTTTCTGATCACTAAAAGTGGTATATTGATCCTTGTTTCAGTTCTTCATTGTAGGGACCAGAATTATCTACAAAAGTTATCACCATAATCATGACTCTATTTTAAAAACAGGATGAAGAAAAAACAAAGCCATATGCTAAATTCTAAAGCCCTTCTATCTAAACTGTGTAAGTTTAAGGGTCATTTGCTGTCTTGAAGCATATGACCTAAGTAGGATACGTTATCTACAGACATGCTTATACACAGGAAATTTTGCACATAGAGATAAACATACTTTATTGAAGACTTCTTGAAAGATAGTGCAAAGTATATTCATCGCATCAACTCTTGATATATTCCTCTGATAACCAGCAAGCAGCTGAGTCACATTATTTTTTTTCTTTGTGTGTGTATGTGTGTGTGTGTGAGTTATTAAAGTCTTTGATGCTGTGTTGCAACAGGGTCTTGTGAAGTAAATCTACTGTCCCTATGTCTGGGAGAATTTCTGTCAAAGAAACTATAAAGCATTTTTATGTTATTCAATCTATGTTCTGCTACGTTTTTTCCCTCCTTTCCTAACAAAGAAAGAAAAAAGAGTAAGACATCAAATAGGAAGAGAGACCAGAATGGGGATCAAATAAGAATATATATGATATATATGAAAGCGGTTGGAAACCATGGATTTCTATATAAACATCAGGGTTTATAAACCTGGTGATCATCCATATATGGAAGAAAAATAGTTATGTCTTTACTCCTCAACACACAAGTCTCCCTATCATGTCCGTCACCACAAAAAAAGCACAAATGAATTAATTTAAATTTTGTCCAAAAAATGAAGTCTCCTGAGACAAGAAATGATATTTCTGTGATACATTCCTCAATGAATATTAGATGGTATCTACTTAGGTGGACCTGAAAATTAACACAAGTCAAACAAAACAACAACATTACAACTCAAAAACAAGAAAGAAAGTGAGAAGGGGATGGATGTATCAAATTTTGTAGCCAAAGGGCATGATCAAGGATATTCAAGCTGGAAAAATTCATGAAAATGGGACTTGGCTGCTTTTGTTCTCTGAATCCTCAAACTTTGCCATATAAGGGCTGATCTCTCTAGACCTGACACTGTGGTGATTTCACTTTAAAAAACAAAAAGCATTTAAAAACAGGCTCTTGTTGGTGTCAGAGATAGTCAGTTCTCTTACTAATCTTCTTGAAGGTCCTGTTTCTATCCAAAGCCAGCTGTTAGAGCCTATAGGTTACAGGTCTTTCAACAATCTAATCTTTAATTCAAAGATTAAAAAGCTTAAAATAACTTTTGACCTACAAGCAGGTTTTGCTTGTTCATACAGACATATTTATATGTAGTGTTATCAGAAGCCTCTAGAAGTCTATGAGATAGTACTTTATGAGATAGTGCATTTGAATGAATATCTCACTTCAGCCAACCTCCTGAGGTTTTAGTAGGTATCTCCTCTCTGGGGACCAGTGACTCAACTCACTGAAAGTTAATAAGTTATTAGTAAAGTATAGGGAAATTTTAAAAAGCAGTGAAGAAATACTGATAAGTAAGTTAGATAACGGAATACACTCCCTGCCAACTTTTATAAGCAAGTATTCCATTGAGAATAGAAACTTAATGTTCCTTTGTTGGATTATCAATACACAAAAGAAGAGCAAGGAACTTATTTTAGATTTCGGTTTTGTGATAAAATTCCTAATTTTTCTCCAGTGGTTCATAACTAACATACTTCTTAAAGCCTTCCCTGGCTGTAATTTTCTCCCCCCAGTGTTCTTTCCTCTCTTTTTGAAAGGCTACAGAATTGTTCCTTAGCTTCATCTCTGTAATATTTTTGTCTCCCCTCCTAAAGTTATAATCTCTTTGAGGATGGATTCCATAGTTGTGAAGTCTTTGTAACTCCGGAAGTACAATATTGCTACACAGAATATACAACCAACTGTGGAGAGAGAAATGATTTGTTCTCTTAGTCTCATTTCCCCAGTATGATACATGAGATTTTGCCTCTATTACCTCCTAATGCATAGGTAGTTTGGACTTAATATATATTATTTCCATAGGACTTATCTTTTGAATGTCTTTCCAGAGATCCAAAAAAGATATATTTCGTATGTAATGTATGTTTACCTTTCAGAAAGTGACTTGTAAGTTACCGATGCTTTGAGGGTACGAGAGAAGAAGGACTGGGGCAAGGAAGGCAAAATATGGGGAGAGGAATGGACAGTGCTGTGGGAAGGAGGTGGCGTGCCCTGTGGGCAAAAGACCTGGAGAATCACCAAGCCCAAGATTGACATTTCCAATTCAGACTCATAACCTCAGCAAAGATTCATCAAGATTTGTAGCCTTCTCTTTTGAATAGAAAATAATCTTATCAAGGGCTTGTAGGATCAATCATATTTAAATGTTACTGGTTTTATCAGCTACCACAGAGGGAGAAGTAATTTTGCACCGTTGGATAGTTGAAGGAAGGCAGGCCCAGGCGAGTGACCCTTGACAGATAGATCACAAAGAGAAATTGGAGAAGACAAACTTTACCTACTTGGCCATTATGCTAAGTGTTGGCAGCCACTTTTCCTTGTGTCAGAGGGCTGTAGTAGAAAGGACACTAAATACATTTCAGAAAGGACACAGGAGACAATGCTACTAGTGACAGTAATGACAACTAAGCAACAAAAGGAGCCCATCATTTATGAAGGGCTTTCTATAGACCAGGCACTACCTCTTCACCCTCTCTACTGGTTTTTATTCGTTAATTTATTTACAATGTTACACTGACCTCTCCCTGTCTCATAGCCTTCCTTCTGAAAAATGCTTCTCTAATTATATGTTTGCTGTGGGTGTGTCAGTCTTGGATCTCTGGAACCCTGCAGAAAGGTATTTAAACTGTACAGTAGGTGAACCTTGGTGATGTACGCCACTCACCAAGAAAGAGAGAGAGAGAGAGAGAGAGAGAGAGAGAAAGGAAAGGAAAGGAAAGGAAAGGAAAGGAAAGGAAAGGAAAGGAAAGGAAAGGAAAGGAAAAAGGAAAGGAAAGAAAGAGAGGGAAGGAAGGAAGGAAGTTAGTTCAGAACACTCTCATGCATGTTTTTCAGTCTGGCTAGAAGAAAGGAGACTTTTTGTTCTCTAATAGCAAAACTGTAAAAATGTGATGCTTGGTATGTAAACGACTGTAACCTTTATCTCACAGAGACACATACACAAAGAGAGAAGCAGGGAAAAGAGATAGAGAAGGAATCTGGCAGGGTTGTATGTTTAAGCGGCCCTTACTTCTAGGGCTCCCTAAAGCTAGCTCAAATCTCTCCTTCCTACAGTTGCTGATGTGAGCCATTGAGTGCATCCTTTTCCTCCCTTTGAATCCAATTGAACTCTTTTCTTCATTCACAAATATGCCTGGAACATTTACTTCTCACAATCTTATGCTTCAATTTATTATACAAAGAAACAGCAACTTAAACAGTGTAGTTAAATAACTTTCCTCAAGGTCACGAAATTAATAAGTTGTGGCCGAGGTCCAACTTGTTGTCCCTGCACTTTTAATTGCTTGCTTGTCCACCAGGATCCTTAACCATCTTAGCCTTTGTTCCTCAAGGTCAATTTTATTGGACTTTTTTTTTTTTTAATCTCAGGAGGGTCAAATTAGATAATCTAAGGAAAATCATTCTGACTGCTGTAAAATGCCATAGGCAAAAGTATTGTCCCACTGGTCCAAGTGCCTAATGCCTGCTGGAGGCTACATGGCATTAAACTCAATATATTCTATGTTGAACTGGGCTTGTAAAATTGTTTAACGATTGTAACATTTATGTATTTCTGGTCTGTTTAATCTGAGGTTTATTTTCTTTATACTTTACAAAAAACTTATTATCAATTATATGTGACTACAACATAAATTTAAACTTTAAAACAGACAGTGCAGCCTTTAAACCTCTGTATTCAGCATGAAAAGATGTGAGCACCAGGGAGGGCTTTAGAATGAATATCCATGAAAATAAATGACAGCTCCCATCATTCTCAGAAAAAAGAAATACTACATCATTCCAAAAAAAAAAAAAAACAAAAAGAAAAAATATCTTACATGCTACTGCTACCAACATGTGTAAAAATAAGAAGGTTGATGTATCTGATGAATTGTAATCCATGGAAGAAAAATACTATTTTATAACATTTATTGAGCCTGATACTATTCATGCCAAAGAGTTAATTGCTCACTGGAGTATCAATAATTATTTTAGACCACTAAAATATGATCTTTGTGTTACTAGGGAAACAAAACCCAGTTTTCTTGCATGCAAGATTCTAACCAAGTCAGAAATTATATACAGATTTCCTAAACCCTGTGCTCTTTTAAATAATGATTTTTGCAAAGAAACAGAAAGGCATCCTTATATTCAGAATCTCTAGACAGACCAAATCAAAGCTAAATTTTATGAGACACGTTAGGATATTTCTGTTCAAACAATAAACAGTGATTTTGAGCAATGTCTAGACATATGAGAAACCAAGTTGAACCAAAGTGGCAAGAAAATAAGCAAAGCTAAATATTGTCCCTAATTGTAACAGAAAATACAAGTCTCTAATACTTCTAAACATTTCCTGTCTGTAAAATCCAGGATGGTGTGATGAAAGCCTCTTGTTCTCTCTCAGCCAGGAACAAGTTAAAGCTGACCTCAGCCATAACATGGTTCTCAGAGGAGGGGACTTCAATGCCCTTAATTCTTCTGGAAAGCTGATAACTTTTGAATGCAGGCAGCAGGGAATCTGGCACAGGCTGCTTTTTCTTTGGGTTTCATGCAAAGATACTGCCAGGTTGACTAGAGCTACCCAGGGCAGGAAAGTAGGGCAGTAGTCTCTAATAAGAGGCTAAAATTAACAGGAAAAAAAAAAAGCCTTCTTTGCAAATTTCACTTAAAAATAGTTTAAATATTTAATAATTATCAACAAACTTATCTACAGATTTTTTGAAAAGGACTGAATTATCTATCAGTAATATGTACATGACATTGCTCATGTTACCAACTGCTATTATTTGTCATAAGAAAATAAGCATTTCAAATGTAAAGCCTCTCTTTTTCTTTGAAATAATTTAGGTTAAGCGTCCTTTCTTCTTCACTTTGAAAACTCTTGTGCTCCCAAATTTTAATAATACAATAATTAAAGGTAAAACATATTGCTTTTATTTCCAAAGCATCTCTAGCTGAGAAGTCTGCAATGTTATAATAAGAAACCCCAGAGGTCAATGGTCAGTAGTGGAAAGATGGCATGCACTTGAGCAAGCAAACAAAGCAGGCCAGCTTTGCCAGCTATATACCTGACATCCAAAGCATACAGATCTCCTTCTGGTCAACAGTGGAGAGCACCTGAATTTTAGAAACTTGTTAGCTTTTGATAGACCCACTATTTCATAGCTTCTGTCAAAATCTCAGTTAAGAGAATACATATTCAAGGCAGATTAAGAGACAAGCTGTTCAATTATTTCTCAAGATCAGCGGCTCTTAAATGTTAATATGCAAAATACACACACACACACACGCATCACTGGGGGTCATATTGAAAACGTGTATATGTGGCCAGGCGCGGTGGCTCACACCTGTAATTCCAGTACCTTCAGAGTCCGAGGCAGGTGGATCACGAGGTCAGGAATTCGAGACCAGCCTGGACAAGATGGTGAAACCCTGTCTCTACTAAAAATACAAAAAATTAGCTGGGCGTGGTGGTGGGCCCCTGTAATCCCAGCTACTCGGGAGGCTGAGGCAGGAGAATCACTTGAACCTGGGAGGTGGAGGTTGCAGTAAGACAAGATCATGCCATTGCCCTCCAGCCTGGGCAAGACCCCATTTCAAAAAAAAAAAGAAAAAGAAAAAGAAAGTGTGTATATGTGAGATTTCAGAGATTCAAATTCAACAGGACAGAAGTCCTTATTTTCATCATGTATTATAAGCAATGCTAGTGAGAATCACATTTTGACAAGCATTCCTAGTATCCTTAAGCTTCATTCATTTACCAAATCATAGCACCAGAAAATTTATATAAGAACTATCTACTCTAATTTCTCACAGAAGTGGCTTTGCAGAATTATAATTCACTTTTCTTCCCTGATTTTCATAAAGGATTATCATACGAAGTAACTACATGAAAATCCATTTTACATTTTAGAGAAACTTAGATTGACAGTACTGTCCATTTTTGTTCAAATATGCCTTTTTAATGGGCAGTATATTTCTCATAGCACCAAGGACCAGAAAAAAAAAAATGTATCAAACAATTTGTTAACAAGTCTGTAATTTATCATAACAATGTTTGTCTTGGATACCTGAAAACACAGAGAGAAACTTTGTTCTGAATCACAGTGACTTTGTTTGAGCCTTTACCTTGATTTTAATCATGTGCTTGTCTTTAATCATAAGTATATCAAATTCTTTTTGGAAGCAACTAGACTCATAATAATCAGTAAAATTGCAAAGCCAGATGTCATTCTGTAATGAGTGCCTGTGCACTGGGGCTGGGACGGGGGGTCCAACCAAGTTTGTTGACCCATTTATTTATGTAAATTTTCAATACCATAAATTCAAGTTGTATAAGCACAAAGTCAGGACAGCTTACCAAGACACACTGTTAGTATGCAGTGTATTCATACTCCTTGTAGAATTAACTCTGAAAAGGGCCACTATTATGCTGCCCTGTTAAAACCTATTCATATATTTCCTTCACTACGTCAAACAATGCTTCTCATATCCCTCCATGTAGTTTTCTAGATTTAGATGTAGTTTTAGATCCCTGTTAGTGCTTTCCTCTGTTCAAACCAAGAGGTCTGACAGATTGCTACCTTTCACCTGGATTGCGTCAGCCTTGGAACAAATCTTCCGAAGCCAAAGTCTTTTACACATCACTGCCAGATTAATCATCCTGGAGACTAATTCTAATGAAATTTAAATTATTTAGCTGGTCATCCAAGGCAATCTATGGTCTTGATGCTACTTGTCTTACAAAATCAATTTTCTACTATGTGTCCCATAAGCATCCACTCCAGCCTAGCTCATTTTCTACTTTATTTCCCTCTGCTTTCCCACTCCCAGGTAGAACGACATTTAGTTGGTCTTTAAGAACATAAATTGTATTCATCCTTAAAGCCATCAAAAAGCCTCATTAGAAACTGCTAATAAAAGTAATTTCTTTTCCCCGTGTGACTCTCATAATACCTTTTAGATTTTCCCTTACTACATATATCTTTCATTATCATTATTAAGGAATAGGTCATATTTCCCCCTCAAGATTAAAAGCAGATCTGTTATTACCATAAGACAAACCCAGTACATTCTGTATCATATAGGTTGAGTTCAATGACACTTAACCACTTGGAGAAAGAACTTAACAAACTGCTTCATTTTCAAGAAACTATTCACCATTTGAATTTATCTCAGCAACATCTTACACAACAAAGAGGTAAAGCAACCTGAATATCGTTGTGCAAAGAAGGGAATCAGCCAAACAGGGCATATATCTGACTTCTGGAGCAGTGTTCACCAGAGAAAGCTTATGGATTCAGGATCAGTAGCAGGTAACCCTGTCACCGTCGCCCCATCACATTCTGGGGCAATGCACAGCCATCTCACAGGATCAGACAACTGACTCTGGAAGCCAGATGTCCCCCAGATGTGTGGTGCTGAGGGGTTTTTAAGACTTGTGTGACATGGCAGAATCTTGTGTCCAGCTCTGTGGGGCGGAATACTAGGCCTTTATATAATCAGGCATCCAAGCCTTAAAATTACAGCTACAAGGCATAGGAAGGTCATAGTAGGATTCATCACACCAAGATTCTGGTCAAGAATGCACTAGCCCCTGCCTTGGCATGATGGGGAAGCTGGGTTCCAAGTTCAGTAGCTTGTTAGTACCAGAAACATAAAGTCATAACTGCTTTCCATGGTACTTTGCAAGAAGCAGTTCTTTCTAAGGGATCAGCTTGCAGGAGATCAGCCTTAGACAAATTTCACTCTTATCTTTCCTACATTCAGAGTTCTAAAACAACATGAATTGTATTTGCGACACAAAATTCAGGTATTAGGAGACTGACCCGTATGTACACCATGCAAACCACTCCCAAAACCTGTTACATATGTGCAAAGCACTAGCTGGCAGAGATGAATCCCTTCACTAAAGTAAAGCTCATCAATGAGCTAAATTAGTAGGAGCCCCCCAGCTTAATATGGTGCCTCAGATGTCTTGGCCCTCCACTAGCAAGGACAGGCAGTAAATCTTTCTCGAGGGTCTTGCTTAGAAATTAACTGAACAGGTATATTATGACCTATTCTCACAATATGGAAAAATATTAACATTAATCTTGTATGGAACAAGAAATCTTGTAAATCCAAATTATTCTCTTTTATCATTGCTTTGAAGTTCAGAAACATGATTCTGGCTGTTGTCAAGTTTAATAGACTAAAGATCAGAGGAAGAATCACCTGAGTCAACCACATACCTAACTATGGGCCCCATAAAAACATAGAGACTATGGATTATTAAACACTGTGCTCTGGCAAGATGGTGGTGCTCAGAAACACTGTCCAAATTCATATCCATATAAAGTTCCCTCCTCCAAAAGTTTTTGTGTTTCATGAAAACACGAAAAACAGAAACAAAAACTATTTACTCTGTCAATTAACACTTAGGCAGTGCAGAACAGCTACCTTCTCCTCACCACACAGAGGTAAGATTAAAAAGAGAAAGGACAACTCTAATTTATATGTGCTGGGGTGCGGTAGCAGGGCAGCTGTCAGAAATCTAAGTCCAGAAGCTCAAAGAGAGGCAAAAGCTCCCTACTCCCCAAGACCTGGGCTGCTTGCCATGATGAAGTAAAGGACCCAGCAAAGAGGAAGGAGGAGGAGGAGGAGGAAGAGGAGGAGGAGGAGGAGGAAGAGGAGGAGGAGGAGGAGGAGAGGGAAAAAATCAGGGCATAAGCTCAATCCCCCTAGCAATTGCAGGAGAGAGAAATAAGAGGAAAAGAGTCAGGATAGGGTCAAAGGTGGAGCTCACACATGCATCCTGGCTCCCTGGAAAATGGTCTCAGGGTGTGGCCGCAGAAGGAGGAAATCCTAGAGCATAAAGAAGCAGACACTCCTGGGCAGAGCCAGCGCCCTGGGTTTTGGTGACTCCTGGCTTCACATCTGAGCTTTGTTCTGCTTAGTTGCTCGACTTGGAAATAGACTGTGATTTTCAAAACTCATTTGCTATTTCTCCGAATAAAGTCCCTGCAACTGGGGGAAATAAGTCATTAGCAATAATTTAGGGTTCATTGTCTTCACTTAGATTGTAGTTTCAAATAAATATTCAAAAGAACCATATTTAAAATGTTCAGAAGTCTTTCCATGGATATAATTGTTAAAGGAAGAGAGGAAAGTGAATTTTTGAAAATAAAAAATATTTCTCAAAGGAGACATGGTTGCTTTTTTTGTTAACAAAACTTGACTCCTTCTTCATTATTCATAATTTAAACAGTACCAAACATTATTATATACAGTCTTGAGAAATTTCTAGCTTTGTACACTGAAAGTATTGTATCCCACTACTATATTGAACAGCATACAATATTTTATTCCTGATCTGTAGTTTCATAAAATTGTACAGCTTACCCATAGCAGGATACAAATTAATAATTAACGTGGCCCTGTCCCCATTTTGATAATGATATATTTTTACTTTTGAGCAACAAAAAGGAAAAAGAAAAGAAAGGAAAAGTCTTATGTTTTTATAGTTTACCATGTTTTGTATGTCTAAAATTTTAAGAATCTACTATATTGAAAACTATATTACATTCCATATTGTCATGAAAACAGGAAAAACAGAAACTGGTGATATTTTATTTAAAAAGGGGGAATTTATATTTTCCTTCAACCGACTTACCAGATGTTAGAGCTTTTTAAAAATTCTATATCTAAAATTTCTTTGCCACTGATTCAAAGCAGCAGCCTGGCATTTCATTTATACATTTAAAAATATATATGAGAAAATATTATTCACTGAAAAGAGTAAAATATTACTTGCTCTCAAGTGGGTGTAAGACAGAAATTGAGTTAATAGTCTCTGCCTTGTCAGAACTGCTAGGCCAACATTTTCTTAAGTCTTTAAAGTAACAAATGGGGTATTTGCAGTTATACAAAACACGAATTGCCCATGACGTTTTCAGAAGAATTAGAACAACCACTATGAATAATTTATTTGCTTTCACCAAGATAATACTTACTTTATGAAAAATAAACATTTAACCGCTAGAAGGGTAATCAGACTTCATTTAATTTTTCCTTTATAAAATTTAAACCAATCCACAGATGTCTCAATTTCTAAAATGCTTAAATTTAATATTATACTCTCTTATGCCATTTTATCATTCTCTATATTGCAACATTTTCATATGGTTTCACAAGGACACCAATTAATATGACTGAGCACAAGACAGAGAAAGGAAAGAAATAATTAAGAGAGAAGTAAAGAAAGAACAAAAGATAGAGTAAAGGGAGTGAAGGAGCAAGGGAGGCATGGGCGGGGGGAGGGAGAGAGGCAGGGAGGGTAGGAAGGAAGGAAGGAAGGAAGGAAAGAAAGTTATCCAGAGGTTTATGGGAAGACACAGATATTCGTAGCTGCCCATCATTTTGAACACCCTTTTCTACCTTGAGTTCTACCTTTCCAAAATGGAAATAATTACAGAACTTCTGGTGTCCCTGCCTAAGGATAATCAACACCACATGGCAGGCTGAGGCCCAGAGTTATCTTCATGTAGAACAGATCCCATGTTTTGTTGAGAACTCTCCCAGCTAGATAATTTCTCATCACTTTTTTCTAGCATCTGATGTTGCTACCTTTGTGAAAAGACAGGCCCTGACTGTCACACATGGTTGACTTGTGACTCCCCATGTTTTCTTTTATTATTTCTCTATGTCTTATATCGAGGCTAAAAGAGTACATGCAATTATGTGAACTCTTATTACAGCATAGATTTGTTTGAGAAATATCACATACCCAGCTATTGCAAATTTTAATACAACGTGTCAGTGTTTTTCACAGTGCCTCATGCTGGAATAAGCATCCAGTGAATAAATGTGATAAGTCAAATGGGTTGTCAATAGTAATAAATAATTAAAATCTACTCTTTGCATGGCATTTGATGGGGCATTTAAAGTAAGTTTAAAGTTATTGCCCCTTCCCAGTAATTTCACCCTATTTGTCTCCACCTAATATCCAAATAAAAGTAAAATAAAAAATTGAATAGACATACCTCACAAGAATGTATACACACATATTGAATAGCACATGTAACATGGCCAATATTATTCAGTACAGCCATCGGAGCAGTTTGGATGATTCAAGTGGAATCAGTCATCAAAGTGAAGAAGAGTCCCTTTTACTTTCATGATTCTTAATTAGGGGGATCAATAGAATAGCTGTCACATTATAGAAGACTTTAAAATCTGCTAATTAATCAAAAGCAAAGCTCATCAAAGCTTGGTGTGTACTAATTGTACTTCATTTTCTACCATTAGCAGTTACAAAGCTGAAGAGCTTTCCTTTTTAGTTATACTCTTGTCTAATTAATTCAGCGGTGCCACAGTCTTGTTTTTATCATAACACAGTTACACGTAATACCCACAACCACTAACACGGAAAAGACACCAGGATCAGGCTCTCCAGACTAAATTATGATGCCTCTCATCGGAATTGGACCATTATGTATCCCTGACCTCAGTTTTTCTGCACTGAGGACAGTGGAGGTCAATTAGAAGTATATAAAACACTCTGAAAAAGAACCCTGCTACACATGAGATCGTGAATTTAAAGTATCTTAGAATCAAATGGCTGGAAAGATGGTTTCAAAAGCCAAAGGCACTGTAGCAATACTGCATTGAGGCATGTCACTAATCCCTAGACTTTGTTTTTATAAAATTTAAAGTTATTGTTCCTTTCACTTACATTGTCTTAACACCTCCTTCCCAAAAAAGGCAATATAATCTACATAACATCTCAATTTTCAACTGTTTTTTAAAAAATAAACACATATGAAAAACATACCTGTTAGTACCGTTATGTCAAATAATACTTTCGTCAAATAATTCAGAAATAGCTTTTAAGTGCAGCTTCTTTTCTTTATACCTTCCCTCATAAGTATATACTTCATCATTCAGTCAACATAATTTTTAAGCACAGATTGGGTCTGAGGTACCTGAAGACATAATGCTTGAAATACATTCTCCCTATCCTCAAATAACTCAGAAGTCAGGCAAGAAAAGCAATGAGTAAGAGCAGTAATAAAGTATGCACAACATGGTATGACAGTAAGGATAAAATACACCCCATAGGGGTGCCTACTTAGATTGAAAGGAAGTTGTCAGGGAAGGCATCTCTGAAGTCTTTGATATAGTTGTCTGTCTCAGTCCACTTTCCACTGCTATAGCAGATGGGATAATTTATGAATAAAATAAATTTATTTTTTACATTTCTGGAGGCTGGGAAGTTCAATATTAAGTTGGCAGCATCACGTGAGGGTCTTCTTGCTGCATCAGGACCTGGCAGAAGACATCACATGGAAAGAGAATGCATGGGAGAGAGCTCATTTTTATGACAAACTCACTCTCAAGATAACAGCATTAATCTATTCATGGGGACAGATTCTCCCATGACTTAACCACCTTTTAATGGTCCCATCACCTAATACTGCTACAATGGCAATTAAATTTCAACATGAGTTTTGGAGGGAACATTCAAACCATAGAACTCTTGAAGATAAAGAAAGAATTTACCTAGTTCAGCCATTCTGGAAGGCAATGTGGCAATTCCTCAAATAGCTGAAAACAGAATGACCATTTGATCCAGCAATCCCTTACTGAGTATCTACCCAAAAGAATACAAGTTGTTATATCATAAAGACACATGCACTTGTACGTTCATTGCAGCACTCTTCACAACAGCAAAGACATGGAATCAACCTAAATGCCCATCAATGGTAGACTAGATGAAGAAAATGAGGTACATATAAACCCTGGAATACTATGCAGCCATAAAAAAGAAGAAGATTATGTCCTTTGCAGAAATATGAATGGAGCTGGAGGCCATTACCCTTAGCAAACTAACGCAGGAAGAAAAAACCAAATACTACATGTTCTCACTCATAAGTGGGAGCTAAATGATGACAATACATGAACACAAGAGAACAACAGACACTGTGGCCTACTTGAGGGTGGATGGTGGGAGGAGGGAGAAGTGCAGAAAAAGTAACTATTGGGTACCAGGCCTAGTACCAGGGTGATGAAATAATCTGTACAACAAACCCCTGTGACACAAGTTTAACGATATAACAAACCTGCACATGTTACCCCAAACCAAAAATAAAATATTTTTAAAAAAGAATATTTCAAAATTGAATATTATTTACTCTTAAAAAAAGAACAAATTTACCAACCAAAACCCAGGAAGAGGGTGTGGGGAAGGGTGATAGCCACAAAGGCAAAGTTACGAGCATGTCCAGAGGGAATAAATCCTATATGAGCATCTTCACATATCTCCATGCCACCCTCACCCTGTGATCCTTGGAGGATGAACTTGTAGAAACTTCATGCTTATCACATCACAGCAGTTTACCCAGAAAGTTTCATATCAAATTTTCTCTTTTGCTTTCCTCATTAATGTAACACAGGAGTCTAAACAATATCACTTCATATAGTGAAAGTGTGACATTTTAAAACTCGAGAGGTGTAGGGATTCTCGATCATTTTCTGTCTATATCCTTGAAGCTAAATAATGTGCTTCTAAGTAATCTATACCCCATCACAAGTCTTTTGGAAAAAAAGCAATGGGTGAGGGAGGGAGGTGGTGAGGTTGAGCAGAGTACTTCCGATGAGTGGTAATTTTAATATAATTACCCTATTTATCATCACAGATTACTGAACTGATAAAAATAGAATAACAAAGCACTCCTCATGGAAAATAAATGTGTTGTATAACCCTTTGCTATTATTATGTGGTAGGTCATTTTTCATTGTAGGTTTTTGTCCAAATCCTACATCTACATACAATTTTACCATTTGCTCCATGAGGACTATTATTTTACCTCAAATAAGGCAAGATGAGGCAAAAAGCAAGGAAAAGGAATTTGCCAGGAAGCCAAGCCAAGGAAAAATATACAAATGAAGAAAGTGGAAGAGAGAAGAAATAATAAACTTTCAGGGAGAGTATGCCAAGGGAAGATATTTTTAAAATTTTTGGTTCTGAAATCAGCAGACTAAATATATAATCAGAGCATGGAGATGCTATTTAATACTGTACATGGAGTATTAATGTACATGAAGGAAAACAAGATTTAATGAAAAATAAAATGTTTCTGGACACTTACTACTACCTCAGATTTTCAAATAAGTTTTCCAAGGAATATTGGCAAATAAGGTGATTTCTATGATTTTTTTCCCTTACTTTTAAGGATTTTTATTCTAAAAATATTACTTTCTATTTGCCTTCTTAAACAGAGCATAAAATTTAGAATATTTTTATTTTCCTCAAGCCACATTTTTTTGCTGGTACAAAAGGATGCTTGACTTGTTCTTTACATGTCAATTTAGTATTTTCGGATTTAGTGAAAGTTTACATAAATATTAAGGCTATTATTCCATGGATGCAAATTGACCAGATATGTCCATTTAGTCAAAATAGGATTATATAAGGAAGCCAAATTGAGTACAGGAGAATTTGGGTACATGCAGCGATCCTGGAACCAATCGCCCGAGTATATAGAGGGATGACTGTACCTCCTTACGTAATGCCAAAATATGGACCCTGATGTATTTATCCTTTTATTCTTTTTCTGATTAGTGGGATCCAATGCTGTACATACTGATTCTTGTTATAGAAAAACTAGACCTCTGAGGCTGGGTGCAGTGGCTCAAGCCTGTAATCCCAGCACTTTGGGAGGCCAAGGCGGGCGGATCACAAGGTAAGGAGATTGATACCATACTGGCTAACACTGTGAAACCCCATCTGTACTAAAAATACAAAAAATTAGCCAGGCGAGGTGGCGGACACTTGTAGTCCCAGCTACTCGGGAGGCTGAGGCAGGAGAATGGCGTGAACCCTGGAGGCGGAGCTTGCAGTGAGCTGAGATCGCGCCATTGCACTCCAGCCTGGGAGAGAGAGTGAGATTAGGTCTCAAAAAAAGAAAAAAAAGAGAAACTAGACCTCTAAGCAAGAAGTATTAGTAAGTGTAAAAAGAGAGATAAAAAGGTGATTGATTGGAGAGGAATATGTTTTTATGACTTCAGAAACTATTTTGAGGATAACCAAAACTGAATTTTTGTTTTTCACATATTTCATAGCTTGATTATACTAATGGTGACAAGAAGTTTCCCTATAATTTGAAGAATCTTGAAACTTCTCAAATATGATGAGCAAGTTAAAGACCCTAGATCTTTGTCTTTAAATTAGATGAATGTAATTTAATAGTTTCTCTACTGCTGAAGTGCATGAGATCGCCTGGGGTCCTGCCATCTCACTTCTTACCAGGAAGCCAACAGTGTTTAAAAATCTAAAATTTAAGAGTGTTACACAAGAGCCCGAAGCAAGTAAACGTCAGTTTGGTAGAGATTTCAATGAAGACTAGAAAGAATTGAAGACTCAAAGGCCAAGCGCCATTGACATAATTTCCTTCCAAACTGCACTGCCAGAACTAGATTAAGGTTGGACAACCTTTGGCATATTTTAGCAATTGAAGGAGGGTCTTTCTGGCTAAAGCATATTAAGTGAGAGAGAGAGAGAAGGAGATAATTGGTATTTCATCTGGAGAGATACTGTGCTTAACCTTGCAAGCCTCTTAAAGAGTTTGGTCTTTACATTAAGGACAAAAGGAACCCATTGAAGAGTTATGAAGAGGTACTGGTATGATAAGATGTTTTTAAAAGTTCACTCTGGCTAAAGTGAAAAGATTAAACAGAAGGAAAAATGGTATAAGGAGACCAAACAGGAAGCTATTCCTACAGGAGTCCAGAGATAGGTGGAGGTAGCTTGGATGAGGAGGGCACATAGGAATGAAGAGACAGACCAATTCAGAAAATATTTGGTTCTCCTAGTCAGAAAACTGTTATCTTTGATTATTCTCCTATGCTTTCCATATCAGATCAATCTTACAGTCATGCCATTTTGATAATCTAATTTTATTTTATATGTCTCCAATTTTCTGATTCCTACAACTATGTTGTGGTCTAGCTTAGGTTCTGCAATAACCAGTTACATGATCAATTTTCAGTGCCACATCACAAGAGATCTCAGTAATATATTCTTATCATATCACCCCCTGTTTAAAATGTTTCAATTTTTAACCATCCTCATATAGAATAATGTAAAAACTTTCTAACACGGGTTAAGGGTCTCAATAAAATTCAAGGACTCTAATTACCTTAAGCCATATCTTTTAACTCCTCTCACCTCCAACTGTATGCTCCAGCCATATTGAATTGTCTCAAGTCCCTCTCTCCCTCACAAATTGGGCCTTGTTCTCACTTGCTTCCAGCCCTTTCCGTGTGCTAGCCCTTCTTCCTGAACACTGTCCAACAGCCACTCACAGATGCTCCACATCCCTCCCCTCACATGCAAACTAGTTATCTCTTGCTCAGCCTTCACTTCTTGGTGCAGTTGTCACTTCCATTTCTGAGGATCCTTTCCTGGCCTCTCGATCCTTTGTCCTCCAAAGCACTGCCTAGCTCTGTGGAACAATTTACCACACTAAGTGATATTTTCTATTAACAGGTCCTTAACTCCTTTTAGCTTCTTGAAGGTGGGAAATGCATTTTACTCATCTTTGTATGTTCTGTGCTTTGACATGTAGTAAACCCACAATAAAAATTTAATAAATGATAAAGAAGTGAATGGTGTCATCAATCCTTAGTTTAATCTCAGCTTTTTTTCTTAGCAGCTGCATTATTTCAGTCAACTCACTAGTCTTGGGAACTTTGGTTTCTTCATCTTTAAATCTGAGGCGATAATAATACATAACTGAATTCAAAATTGTACAAGAGTCAAAAATGGACACAGTTTTCTAAACATTAACTGTGTATATATATATATATATATCATGCTTGTAGTTGACTTCCTGGTAACTTGATTTCCTCCTGTGTAGAACAAGGAAGGTTTGACCAGGACTGGCTTTTAAAAGGAGCTGAATAGGTGAGTGAACGAGTGAATGAATGACTGCCAGACAAATACTCTCAATTTGATGTTCCTTTGTCAGCAAAACTTTGTAATTATCTATTTCTTGAGTCCTTTTGAAACTCTACTACTGAAGCCTTAATTGCCTCATTCCCTCAAAATCCCTAGTTATTTTCAGTATTATTTATTTGCATTGTTATTTATTCAACCTCAAAACCAGAAAAGGAAAATCCTTCCATCTCTCCCAATCTGAGAAGGAGCTTCTGCTTCTGAAAAATAAACAACAACAACAAATACCAACCATAAATATAGCCCCTCCTACAGTATTTTTGTTTTCTCTGTTTTCTTCATTTAAAAAGTGAACTTGCCACACACATCCACACCTCACTTTTTTCGGGTCTTCTAATACTCATTTAAAAATAACTTTACTAGATAAAATAATTTTTCTTTACAAACAACCAATGTAACAAATATAGGGAACAGCAAAAAAAATTAATCCACAAGACTTTTGCAAAATATGGGTTCTAAATTAAGAACTTATAGAGTTCAGCGGACCTTGCTGTGTTCCTGTGCAAAGTCAGTTTAGATATTAATTTAACATGCAAGCAAAATAACAGGAGAATGACCTCTGACCCTTTCATCAGTGCTTTTCTTCTCCCATAGTGACCCACTGGTCAACCAACAGTCAGTAACTTAGGCAGTAATGGAAGGTGAGGTCAGGCATAGTTCATGTGCTTCTGTAATCTCTTTGCGTCTCTGCGAGTTAAACTTCTTAGAAAGCTTTTTCAAGATGAAATCAGCTTGCCAATTTTCCCCCTTCCTTTCAGAGAAATGCCTTCAAGCACTTGAGGAAAACCACTGTACTCATCATTTTACTAATTTACATGTCATGTAGTATTTATCATCTTTATACCTATTTCACATATGATTATACCTATTTCACATCTTTATACCTTGTTCACATATATTTCATGCTTATTCTATGTATAAACCATAGCTTTGAATTCTCATCATCTTCAAGAGGCTTTGAAATGTGAAAGGAAGCAAGGAAAAGAGGATGGTCTTCACAGATAAAAGATTCCAAACATTAATAATTTCTTAAAATAATCATATTTGACAGGATATTTTCTATTCCATTACATATCTTTTAAAACATATGTTTACTAAGAGTCTCAAAATCCTACAGGAGAGTCTGGGCGTAGTGGCTCATGCCTGTAATCCCAGCACTTTGGGAGGCTGAGGCAGGTGGATCACCTGAGGTCAGGAGTTGGAGACCAGCCTGGCCAACCTGGTGAAATCCCGTCTCTACAAAAAACACAAAAATTAGCTGGGTGTGGTGGTGTGTGCTTGTAATCTCAGCTACTCAGGAGGCTGAGGCAGGCGAATCACTTGAACCCGGGAGGCAGAGCTTGCAATGAGCCTAGATTGTGCCATTGCACTCCAGCCTGGGTGACAGAGTAAGACTCTATCAAAAAAAAAAAAAAAAAAGAAAGAAAAAAAAAGAAAAAAAAGAAAAGAGAAAGGAAGGAAGGAAGGAAGGAATCTTTCAGGATAGAGAATGTGCATGTGTGAACGTGTTTGTCTTAACGCAAAGCCCATATTAGAAGGCTAGCCAAGATGTAAGAGAAGAAAGCCCCATCAGAGGTCTCCCAGCTTCCTCCTAGGCCAGCTCCCGTGAGCAGAAATGGGCCTAGACTTACCCCTCCAGTATCATTCACAGGGCATAGTTCCTCCACTATCAGGGTCTCATATTCTCACGCACTGAGTTGCTCTGAAAGTACAGTGAGGCAGTGTAAGCTTGGGCAAGTAACCTAACCTCTCTGGGTAAGACACAAATATATGTATTTATAGCTTTGTAAAGCATGTATATTTATACTTTGTAAAGCATGGATTGTTTAATTACATAAGCAATTCTTTTTTTTGTTTTTTTTTTTTATTTTTTTGAGACAGAGTCTTGCTCTGTTGCCCAGGCTGGAGCGCAGTGGCATGATCTTGACTCACTGCAACCTCTGCCTCTCAGGTTCAAGTGATTCTCCTGCCTCAGTCTCCGGAGTAGCTGGGATTACAGGCATGTGCCACCATGGCTAGCTAATTTTTGTATTTTTAGTAGAAATGGGGTTTCACCATGTTGGCCAGGCTGGTATTGAACTCCTGACCTCAGGTGATCCACGTGCCTTGGCCTCCCAAAGTGCTGGGATTACAGGCATGAGCCACTGTGCCCAGCAAATACATAGGCAATTCTTTTAAGCCTTCACCCTTCTGAGTCAGTACTAGAGTAACATCCAAATCACAAGAATAGAGTCCCCATTAATTTCAATATAACCAAAGTCCTTTAGTAGTATTTCTTAAATGTCATAAACAATTCTCCCCAGCAATACTTCTTAGGATCCACTTATTTTTTCCTCCCCCACTCACTTGTTCTCACTCACACAATTGCTTCAGTACCAAACCTTCACTCCCTAAAGCATACTCCTCTACTCCCACTGTTGACTCCCTGAAACACACTTCTCTACTCCCACTGCTAAGACTATTAATACCTACTTATTCTTCTCATCCTCTATATTCTGTAAAATGCCACCTTCTGTCCCCAAGTTTTGTAACCTCCTCTTACTGCCCACCTGGCCCTGGCACTCGCTGCCTGCTCTCTGATTCACCATCACAAAACAAGAAGAGCCTGTCTAACAAAGCAAGATGTTCCTTAGAAAAGAATAAGAAGAAAAGATCATCTTCTTTGGAGAACTGGAGGAAAAGAAAGGCAGGAAACATGTCTATATAAATATTCTTGTCCTTCCAATAAACTGTTAACGTTTTCACCTCATAGTAAGCTCAACAGATCAACAATATGTGTGATTACAAAACAAAGCTATCTAGTTTTAGATTTCACAAAAAAAAAATACTGTATCAGGAAAGATCAGAGTAAATCTGACATGAGGTATGAGGAGCACATTTCAAAAGTATTGTGTACACATTAGAATATGTTTCAAAAATGAAAGTAAGAGTTGGAAAGGAAAATAAAATAATATTCCTTGAATTAGGATTAAAGATTAATGAAGTTAAACATTGAGAATAATATGAAAATTAGTGGTTTTAGCTATTTAAAGTCTTGTACTGAGAAGAAATAAGATGTATTACCTTTTGCTTCAAGGGTCAGTGGATGGAAACTTTAGGGAGAGAAACAAATTCAGTTGAAAAAAATAAATGTCCCAATGTATTACCCCAAAATAGAATTTTTACACTGGAAGTTGGTGAGGTAAGCTTTCCAATGAATACTGAAGAACAAACTGGATAACCATTTGAAAGGGGTATTACATACTTCACCTTTATTGGGACTCTTACAACTCTAAACTGTACTTTTCTAATAATCTAGATTTAAATTTGTGATATAATCCCTGAATTTCCCTCAAATTTCTTCTACACAATGTCCAGGCCCAAGAAACCTAGATGGATCTGATACTAGTTACATCTGTTAGTTTTTAACCTTCAAATGGACATATACCATTTACATGCAGATTTGGTGTTTTATAATGAAAATTCTGCTTATACATACTAACAGTACAGCATTTAATCCATTTACTTAAAGATTCTTCTTTCATCCATTCCACAACAATGTAATGAGCATAATCACGGAAGCATTTGGTAGAGGGAGGAGCTGTGATGAGTGGGTGCAAAGGTGTCCATATCTAGCCTCAAGAAGTACAATGTAATGAATTCGTGGAGCAGTCAGCCAGAGATTGAGAGCCTTGAGATCAGTCCAGGCTTTTCTGCTATAGATGCTTAAGCACTAGAACCAGTGAGTTACTTTATCTATAAAATGGAAAGGCTGGACCAGATGACAGCTACTCCAGTCCTGGGGTTACCAGCTGTCCTGAATCCTTAGGGACCTTCCTAGGTCCCTGAGAAGGCCTGCATTCAGGAATCCCCTCAGTTCCTGGCAAATTGGGAGAGTTAATGAATGAATATAAGATTAAAATTTCAAAATCACATACAATAACAAAGTTCCAGATAATATATTAACTTTCAATTTTGAAAAAATATGGATGGAAAAATTTTAATTGTTGGAGGGAAGACAAAGGATGTGAAGTTCGCAAATCATGACCAAGATCTGACTCAGCTCTTACTTCACCAAAGGAGTTGATTTAACAATTAGTCCCACCATGTTCCACTTACAATTGATGCCATAAAAGGGAATTTGAATGTATTCACTATGAGAAAATTTCATGAGCCTCATTGTAGAATGGAGACAAAATATTCATAGAGTTGTCTGAGAAGTGAGTGACTCAGATCCACACCTTTGGCCATCTATTAACTGATTATGGGCTATGGCTTCCTGGGATCTCAAACAGCATCCAGGTAATCCAGTCCCATTTTCTCATTTCCTATGGCAAAAGTGCCTAAGAGTTCCAAATCAACTTAGCTTTTAATAACAAATTTTAAGATGGGGTATGAGAGGGTGAGGAGGCAGGGTCTATTTCAAGGCTAAAGAAGCAGTTCAAGGACCCGAGGCAATAATTTAACTCAATCTTATGGGACATCTATAAACAAAACTAATTAAACTAGAAGTTCATCACCTTCTCTTCTCTTTCTCTGTAGATGGGCTTTAGCCATTTCTCCCTTTTCCTACTAGGTATGCCTATACCATACTCCCAACTTTACATGCTACAATTCCTGACATATATTCGTAATTTTGGCTGTCTCTTGGTCTTTGTTCCAATTCCTCAGACAAAGCACCTACTTAAGCTGCTTAAGTGCTCATCTCTTATTTAATAAATATAGCCAGAGGAGCGATAGGGAGGTCACAGTGCAAAGTACTAGAGGATAGTCTGCATGAGGCTGAAGGAGAAGGCTCAAAAAATTTTTAAATTAATTCTCATATGCTCAGTTTTGAGACTAGTTCTTTTTTTTTTTTTTTTTTTTTTTGAGACAGAGTCTTACTCTGTCACCCAGACTGGAGTGCAGTGGCATGATCTCTGCCTCCCGGGTTCATGCCATTCTCCTGCCTTGGCCTCCCAAGTAGCTGGGACTACAGGCGCTCGCCGCCAAGCCCGGCTAATTTTTTGTATTTTTAGTAGAGATGGGGTTTCACCGTGATAGCCAGGATAGTCTCGATCTCCTGACCTCGTGATCCACCGCCTCGGCCTCCCAAAGTGCTGGGATTACAGGCATGAGCCACCTCGCCCGGCTTGAGATTAGTTCTGTGCAAAAATATGAAAAATTTTCCCATCCTTGGCTAGATTATAAACTAATTAAAGAGATAAGGAGAATATATGAAATAATCAGAAAAAAGCACTGTATAATTGGCAATTAAATCATGGCATATAAACAGTAAGTGTTATAAACTGGTCATAAGGATAGATCACTTAGGATAAAATGTAATGACTGGGAGAAAACTGCTTGAGGATAATTCTCTGTTCCATTATCTAATGGAGGCTCATGTGTGGGTATCTGACCATTGCCCCTCTGAATTCTAAACTTCAGGAAAACTGGACTTCTGTTTGTCCCCATAAAACAAGCTTGTCCAAACCGCTGCCCACGGGCCACACAACCTAACACAAATTCTTAAACTTTCTTAAAACACTATGAGATTATATATATATATATATATATATATATATATATATATATATATATTTTTTTTTTTTTTTCTTTTCTTTAGTTGATCAGCTATCATTAGTGTTAGTGTATTTTATGTGTGGCCTAAGGCAATTCTTCTTCCAATGTGGCCCAGGGAAGCCAAAAGATTGGACACCCCGCTATAAACTACTATGTTTTCTCTTGACTCATGTCTGCCTATACCTCTTCCTTTATTGCCAAACCACACTATATACACTCTCACCCTGGCCCTCCTTTCTAATCTTCACTCGTCATCCAGCTCATTTTTACTCAAACTTCAGGTTCAGGTGGGGCTAAGAGGGGCTTTGGGAAACCAGGGGACTCTCCAGAGCACTTGACCTCCTACTGCACTCATCTGCAACTACAGAGCTGAGTCTTGCTTATTCCTGGTAACCCACAAGAGAAATGCTTCTTAAACCAGAGCAGAGGGCTGGCAGAATCTCCCATGGATCAGTGTTTATGCCCTAGTTTTGCTCAAAGTCTGCATGTCAAAATGTCATTTCATGACTGTTCCTTTATGCTAGCTTTGAGTGCCAAACCCTACCTCATGCCCATGTTCTTGAATTTTGTTGCTGCCTGAGCTGGCTTTCCAGCTTACCACTTCCAGACCAAGTGAGTCCCTGCCTGTACACCGTGACTAACCTTTGTTTGTGCTACTTACCTGGGTTGAACATCTGGGAAATTATGATAATGGCCATGATAGTATTAGATTGGTTCAAAAGTAATTGTGATTTTTCCCATTACTTTTAATAACAGCTTTGTTTCTTGTTGTCATTGTTAGTGAATGAAGGAGGTGTATATTTGTTTTTATGATGAGAAGAGGGGAAAAATCAGCAGAATTACACAATGTTCTGGTGCAGGAGCACTTACATAGGGAGAAAAAGTCTCTGTAGGATCTTAGATATTTATGAAAAAATACCTGAGATACAATGAAAATAATATGGAGAACCTTTAAGAACATGTTGGATTTCAGCTGGGCATGGTGGCTCATGCCTGTAATCCCAGCACTTTGGGAGGCTGAGGCAGGCAGATCACGAGGTCAGGAGACCAAGACCATCCTGGCTAACACGGTGAAACCCCGTCTCTACTAAAAATACAAAAAAATTAGCCGGGTGTGGTGGTGGGCGCCTGTAGTCTCAGCTACTCAGGAGGCTGAGGCAGGAGAATGGCGTGAACCCGGGAGGTGGAGCTTGTAGTGAGCCGAGATCGCACCACTGCACTCCAGGCTGGGTGACAGAGAGAGACTGTCAAAAAAAAAAAAAAAAAGAATGTGTTGGATTTCATTTGAATTTGATATTTTTCTCTTTTTTTTTTCAGAGAAATCTTGCTTCTCATGGATTTGAGATATTTTGATGCTCGCTGTGAGAATTGGAAGATCAACTTTTTTGTCAATATGGTATTGGAATTGATAATTATTTTCTTAACTTCCACTTAAAGCTAATTCTCTTACTTAGAATATTGAGAGGTATAAAGCACCTACTTGTAGTAGGGCTCTTGTCCCCTCCCACAACTATTAGTGTTAACCTATTTGTCAGAGGTTCCAAACTTTATTGAACATTAGTTTGAATCACCTGGAGAGCTTTAGAAAGTTACGTGGGCCTCACGCCAGAGAGACTGTCGTAGTCCTAGGAATCCAGATTTTTTCCAGGCTTCTCAGTGATTCTAATAAGCAGGCAAGGCTGTAAAGCACCACTGCAGTTGTTCTCAAAGTATGGTTTCTGGATCAGCATCTGTGGTAACAACCTGGGAATTTGCCAGACATGTGAAGTCTCAATTTCCCTCTCACATATACCAATGCAGAGGTAACAGAGGTGAACTCAAGCACTCAGCGTATTTTTTAACAGCTTTCTTGAGATGTACTTAATATGCCATACAATTTTTCCACTTGAAGTGTAAAATTCAATGACTTTTAGTATATTCACAAAATTGTACAACCACCACTACAGTTAATTTTAGAACATTTTTATTACTTGAAAACAACTCTGCATGCCTTAAGCCATCACACCTTCATTTCTTGATCCATCCATACCTAAGCAAACACAAATCTACTTTCTGACTCTACAGATTTGCCTATTCTAGACAGTTAATATAAATGGAACCATACAATATGTGGTCTTTTGTGACTGACTTTTTTCATTAAGCATAATATTTTCAAGGATCATCTATGTTTCAGCATGAATAAGTACTTCAGTTCTTTTAATTGTCAAATAATATTCCATCATATGGATATACCACATTTTATTTAGCCGTTCATCAATTGAGGGATGATTAGGTTGTTTCAACTTTTTGGCTGTTATGAGCAATGCTGCTATGTGCATTTATGTACAAGTTGTGTGTGGACATATATTTTCATTTCTCCTGGGTATATATCTAAACATGAAATTGCTGAATCATATGGTAATTCTGTGTTTCACCTTTTGAGGAAATGCGAAACCGTTTTCCATAGAAACTGCACCATTGTAGTTTCCACAGAAACTTTCCACCGTCAGTGTATGAGAGTTCTGATTTCTCCATATTTCTGCCAATTCTTGTTGTTATCTGACTTTTTGATTCTCAACATCCTTGTGGGTTTAAAACGATTTCTCATTATGGTTTTGAAGAGCATTTCCCTGATGTGTAATAATGTCAAATATTCATATGATTACTGGCCATTTGTGTATCTTCTTTGGATAAATGTGTATTCAAGTCATTTTCCTATTTGTAATTGAGTTACATGTCTTTTTATTATTGAATTATAATTGTTATTTATTCTAGCACAAGTCCCTTAGATATATTATTTGCAAAAACTTGTCTCATTCTGTTGGCTGTCTTTTCACTTTATTTATAGTGTCCTTTGAAATACAAATGTTTAAATTTTGTTGTTGTTGTTTAATTTAACTATTCTGCCTTTTGCTGCTTATGCTTTTGGTGTCATATCTGTGAAGCTATTGTCTAAACCACAGTCACTAGTTTATTCTAAATGTAATACTTTTTTTAGTTTCGGCCCATATACTTAAATCTCTAATTCATTTTGAGTTAATTTTTGTGTATGATTTGAGGTTAGGGTACAACTGCATTATTTTGTATGTGATTATCTACTGGCTCTAGCAGCATATTTCAATAAAAACTGTGTTTCAATACATTGCCTTACAGATCATTCTGATGCATGCTAATGTTTGAGGACCACTGCACTAGTATGCTAAACATCTGTAATCACTAAGAGACTCTTGTAAGCACAGTATATAGGATGCTCTATTACATAAAATCATCAATTCCCTCTTTAAAATCATATAGATTGGTCAAGTGCAATACTATTACTCTACATTCATAGGCAGAAAAAGAATCAACATAATTTTTCATGTATTAGTCCCAAAACTTTTCAAAGCTAGGCAGAAAAATTACACTTCATTATATTTTGAACATCATGTGTTTTCCAGCTTTGAGTATAAATATACGTAGCAGTTCCCTTCCCAGCTGCCCCAGTTTACTTAAGAAACACGTTTAATACTCTGCATGAGCAAAATTGTGAAACCGCTTAACGACTGTTCACGTTATAAACAAAGGCATGTGCAAAAATCCAATTAGTTGTTCTCTGCTCTACTTCTTTTTGTCCTTTTTCAAAGGAAATAGTAAGGATCTATTTTATAACTAAAGGGGTTGTTTTTCATGATGTAATGAGGATGTTGTATTTTCTCAGCCAGCTCTATTATTATATTTTCAATTCCGCCAGGTTGAAATTGGATTGTTTAAACTTAAACATGGCCAATGCCTAAGCCATCTGTCAAGCAAGTGTGACTTACTTAAAAACTACTGTTTCAAATTTGCTACCATTTTTAGCATGTTGGGGAGCTTCTCTTGGTTTACACATCTGAAGAATATAGCTTGCTCCATGTCTTTCCATATTGGCACTATCAAAGTAAAGTTATTAAAGCTATAAATAATTGAAACCTAGAAATTATTTTATTTTATTTTAGTTCCGGAGTACATGTGCAGGATGTTACATACTTAAACACGTGCCATGGTGATTTGCTGCACAAATCAACCCATCACCTAGGTATTAAGCCCAGCATCCATTAGCTATTTTTCCTGATGCTCTCCTTCCCTGCACCCCCACCCCAGCAGGCACCAGTGTGTGTTGTTCCCTTCCCTGTGTCCATGTGTTTTCATTATTCAGCTCCCACTTATAAGTGAGAACATCCAGTGATTGCTTTTCTATAGAACTTATTTTTCAACCTAATACAATTTTATCTTAATTAAAACTACTATTTATGTATCTATCTCTCTCTCTATCTATCAGCTATAACAGTTACTTTGGAAAACCATACGTTTCCAGCTCTGAACTAATCCTCATAACACAGTAGGTATTTTACCACTGCTTTACAAGAAAGAGAGCCTAAAAAATATTCAGCACTGTCATATATCCAAAGTTACATAGCCAGATAGTGATAATAAAGATTTGAACAAGGATTCTTCGGACTCCAAAGGCCCAGTTCTTGCTGCTGAACTGCCTAAAATCAAGTGTGTGTGTATACATATATTTGTAGTAAAATAAAATTATAAAAGTGTTGAAGCAGAAAAACGTAGGCCCAGTTTAGAAGTACAAGGTCTTCTAAAAATATCATAAATTATTTGACACAATATGCTCTATGAATATAGCTTCTATCCCAGAGACATAATTAATAAATAAATATAGCAGTAACCTTTTATTCTTTAAGCCATAAATTATAATATAGAAAAGGAATTCATAGTGACAGAATAAGAAGAATACCTAGCTGCCATCTGGGCAGAAAGTGAACATATATTTCATTTGTTTGCCTTGGACAGTCCTGGTTTACATCTGTTGTCCAACATGATTATTATTTTTTATTTTTATTTATTTTTTTGAGATGGAGTCTTGCTCTGTCGCCCAGGCTGGAATGCAGCAGCTCAATCTTGGCTCACTGCAACCTCTGCCTCCCAGGTTCAAGCAATTCTCCTGCCTCAGCCTCCCGAGTAGCTAGGACTACAGGCGCGTGCCACCACGACTGGCTAATTTGTTTATTTTTAGTAGAGACGGGGTTTCACCGTGTTAGCCAGGGTGGTCTGGAGCTCCTGACCTTGTGATCCGCCCGCCTCAGCCCCGCAAAGTGCTGGGATTACAGGCATCAGCCACCGTGCCCAGCAGTCCAACATAATTATTAATATCTTTCTTTTACTCTCAAAAACATCCATTTTATATAATTATATAATTATGTGGTTACCTCATATACTGGTTGGTACTAGCTGTCCAGCAAAGTACAGACTCTTCCCAAGATAAGTTGATAACTACTTAGAAGAATAACTCAATGAATCATAAGCGCATTCCCGTATTAAGTCTTTTCTTTCTGCTAACTTACTATAGGATGAAAAATACACCATTTAGAATTATTTCTTTGGGTTAAGACATTGCATCTCCAGATGACCTGTATTGGCAACAAGATGGAACATAATCTATTGTCAGGCACTATTCTATTGACGTGGATTATTTATCAAATATCAAACAACTGCATAAAAACTGAGGGATAGGATTAATGCCTGAAATGGCATGAGACACGGGTATTTACTTCAGGGGAAGAAATGGCTTTTCACTTGGCCTTCCTGTTAGTTTGCAGTTACCTAAAGGAAACCTCAGTTGCTGCAACAAAGCATGATGAATTGGAGGGACAGAGAAAAGAAAGGCATGACTGTAGACAAATGAAGGTCAATGTCTACAGTATTTACAAAAAGTAACTCTAGAACCAGTACCACCTCTGAGACATTGTAGTTTAGTTGATAAACTCATCAACTGCCTTTCTTCAAAAATCTGAAGTGAATTGGAATAGAATTAAATTGCCTTTTTAAAAACCTGGTGATTTCTATTTGGATTTACTAATTAAGCTGTTTTTTCACATCAGAGCCTGACTTTAACCACCAATAGTGGATCCTGATTTTTGAAGACTAGGTCCTTAATATGTTACCAGAGAAATAATTTGGTAATGTTTTCCACCATGGTTAAGGGCTCTTGGGGCTGAGCCCACTCAGAGAGTGTTTGCATTTATGGTTTGTAATTATGCACACAATACAAGAAAATCAATGTGATAAATCTGTTCATGCTTCCTGGTAGCCATAGAAATAAAGATTATCTAGCTCAACCAAGCTTCAACAAAACAGCACAACTAGTTTATTATTCATTCACCTTGTAAAATTAGGTCGTTATCTGGTTCCCTGCTTTTATAATGTCAGATTATTATTCTAAAACGAAGCCAACTTGCAATTATTTGGAAGGAGTTATAGCATTTGGGCTTGGCTTTCTACAGGGCAAGTTAGGACAGACATACAAGGTTCTGGGAAACTGTCCTTTGACTCTCCTCCACCTCTCCACCCTGTCGATGATCTATAGAAACCCTCCAGCAGAGGAAATCAGAGAGTTTCACCATCATTCCCCCCAATGCCATAGAGTCTTTCTCCATGTGCTGCTGCCTTTCTAGAAAAGATCCGTTGACTAACAGAAAAAGGGGTACATTCCATGTCTATAGCCTCCTTGTTCACCCACAGGTCTCTCTCACTAAAGGAGAAATGAATAATTCAGCTCTGATTAAGTTTATTTTCTACTTTTTCATTCTCTGTCACTCTTTTAAGTTGCTTGAATGAATCTTTAATTTCTTTCCAAGAGTCACATGAATTTTCTTTATTCATTTTCTCTTCTCTCTCTTTTCCTGTTAAGTATACCTCTTCTTCTTCCCTAGACCTAAATCTACACTGGTGACTTATTATTTCATGGCATTCCTTAGAAATTGTGTAATCATCGTTTACCAGGAGCACGAAGAGTTGTGGATGTTTTCCCACCCCGAAATTGTCTGAATGTACCAGAATGGTCTTTGTACAGGTGAGGTCAGTTCTAGCATTTAATCATAAAAATAGTTAGCAATATAGCACTTACTATGAGCCATACAGTATTCTAGCTGCTTTTAATACATTAATACATCTAGTTTCATAACAGCCCTGTGAGTTTAGAAATGACTGACATCATCCTAATGTTATAAATGAATTTGAGACCCAGAAAGACTAAGTTTATTGTCCAAGATTTTACAGACTATAACAGATAGTGCTAGGCATACACCCAAGGCAGCTTCACTCTCTGGTGTGTGCTCTGAACTGCTGCCTGCCCTATACCATGTCACCAAGAATGTAACTTAAGTGAAATCTGAGCTTGCCAAATTAAAAAAGTCATACCACTGTAACATCATTTTAATATATGCCTACATTTAAATACACCATCTGTAGTGTCTCACAATTAGAACTTCTCCCCACCGGCCGGGCACGGTGGCTCAGGCCTGTAATCCCAGCACTTTCGGAGGCGGAGGCGGGCGAATCACGAGGTCAGGAGGTAGAGACGATCCTGGCTAACACGGTGAAACTCTGTCTCTACTCAAAATACAAAAAATTAGCCGGGCGCGGTGGCTCACGCCTGTAATCCCAGCACTTTGGGAGGCAGAGGCGGGCGGATCATGAGGTTAGGAGATCGAGACCATCCTGGCTAACATGGTGAAACCCCGCCTCCACTAAAAATACAAAAAATTAGCCGGGCATGGTGGCGGGTGCCTGTAGTCCCAGCTACTCGGGAGGCTGAGGCAGGAGAATGGCGTGAACCCGGGAGGCGGAGCTTGCAGTGAGCCGAGATCGCATCACTGCACTCCGGCCTAGGCGACAGAGCGAGACTCTGTCTCAAAAAAAAAAAAAAAAGAACTTCCCCCCACCCCCACCTTACAATTGGCTAATAAAAAGAAAATGAAATAAATAAATTTCATAAAATTATCCTACAAATCACGGTAGGAATAACAGAAAAAGGATATAATCTGTCTAGGCTCCAAAAATAAATAATTTTCATCTTTAAGTACGAATAAGACATTTGTGGAACTATTTCACATAACCATGGATATTTTGTGTGCAACCCAAGAAAGTAACAAATGATTCAAAAACAATAAAAGTCTTTTGGAATTTAAATCTTACATCATGTCTTTCTTCTGGTGAACTCTGTCTGCCATGCTTCTTTCCCTATGTGGCATTACTCTTAACATTCTCTTCTCTCCCACCAGCCATTAGCCAGTCATCTGTCATGCTTCCAACAAAGAAACTGCTATTATGAAAAAGGCACGCTCACACAGAAAATTATTAAATGTCCTTTATATCAACGTTGTAACAAGCAATTAATCCTGGATTTCTTCCATATGGTCAAATTGTAAAAGGAAAGAATGCAAATTATGGAGTTTTTTTTTTTTAAGACAAAAAGGTATTTCAGTAAATCTTGGTTTTAGTATTTGATGCCTGATTTTCCCAGTTAAACTGATTTATCTTCTAGTTCTATATTATTTTCCAATAAATTTATATTAATAAATGACTTTTTTATAAGTAGAAATGACCACATTCAACCTTACAATTAATATACTTACATATATTTGTAACATGTACATCAGCTTGTATTTTTGTATTTTTCGTAAAGCACAAAAACATTAAAATAAAAGCATATTTTTTCAATTTCCCACCCACATAGTCATCTACATGTATATCCTAGGTATTTCCAAAATTAGTTAAATAATAACATTATTATTAATATAACATTGGGCCGGGCAGATGGTTTTTCGATTTAAAATGTCATTTCTTATATAATATCTAATTTCATTGTTTGCAAATTTTATAAACTTGATTTTTATGACCTGGGAAGTTGAGTCAATGTGGAATTCAATAAGTGGCATTTAAATAATGGTAAAGCACAAGTTCAAGATTGCTCTGGCTTCCCCCACGAATGCCAAATAGAAACATGATATTCCGGTGTTGTGGACACATCTCAGAAAGCAGCTTCCTTTGTGTAAGAAGCCCTAGTCTTGACAAACTACATTTTTTCTGCAGTCAAACACATGTCAGTCATTCATTTCTAAATGGACAAGAAACACAGCAAAACCTGATTTTAGAAGTGCTGTGTCAAAACCAAACATATTCTGAATTTTATTGTTCTTAAACATCGGGCTCAGAGATCTGTTTATGAATATCACATGTATCAGTGCTGCTAAAAACAAGTCATTCTGCAGGGGTAAGGACAGGGATTGTTTGTGCATGAGGTGCTTAATAACTTTTTTGCTCTGCAGATTGTAATCCCCTCTGGTGTTTCAACTGAACACTCAGGTTTTTAAGGAATCTGGGGGCCTTGTCTGCTCACTAATTAGCTCTCTCTTCTATCGTGAAACTAGGTTAGAATCTTCCACTTTCACATCAAAATATCAGACTTACTTCTGTTGCATCCTTTCACTCACTCAATCAACAATCTCCATTCTTGCAACTAGTGTTTTATTTTTTGAGCATGTGTTATGTGACAGAAACTGTCTTAGCACTCTCCTAGGAATTCAGGCAATAAAGATTAGTTAAATTCTCAAACATACACTAAGCACATACTGTGCCGGGTGTTGATTGGGCCTGGCTGTACAGAGGGAAGATAAAGAGTCCATATCCAGACAGTTGATATTCTAGCTTGGGATACTGGTTAGCAAAGCAATGACTCAAGTAGTCCGATTTGTGTGATAATGTCTAACTGACTACAGTTAGGCATAATGTGCTACAATTATGATATAAGTAGATACAGAGGGTTATGCGCTTGTATAGAAAACAAGTGGAAGAGCTTTCAGACATCTTCCAGAAGCGTGTGCATCTTTGAAGGAATAAAGAAGAGGAGGGCTCTGCCAAGGAAACCAATAAAATGAGGTATTTCCAGGCAGAAGAAGTTTACGTGTGGAGGCAATGAATAGCATGCACCTCTCTAGGAACTACAGAGTACTTTGTGTAGCTGGAGCCCCGATTTCAAGGGATAGGTAAGGAGGAGTGGTGAGATGTGCTACTGGAGAGAAAGGGAGAGCCATAAAGGGCTCCTTTGACTGTGGAGTCTAGGGAAGATCATTAAGCGATGTTAAGCAGGACATGAAAATCCATCCAACTTGGATCTGAGGCACTCATAGTCATGTGGAAAATGGACTGATGCAGATGAGAGTATAAGGAGGCCAGTTAAGGAGCCATTGCAGTGATCCCTAAAGAGGTGGACGTGGGAGAGGATCTCCTCTCAGCACCAGAGACAGCACCAGTTTAGGTGCTGTCTTAAGCCCCTCAATAGCATGGTCTTGACCTTTCTTCTCTGGCTGTCATCATAAGACCAGCTGAGAGAAGTTACATTTATGGAGACATTGTCTGATAGGACATCTTGCTATGTGCTTGTCTACATTTTCTGACTCCTGTCCTTGAATTAAGTTGCACTAAAAAGCCATTAATTTAACCCTTTGTAGAAAAATTTCTGCTGAGTTTGATTATAATGACATAAAAAAAGTGTATGTTTGCTACTGAATATCTTTTAGAGATGTAACTATTACGCTGCATGTCTCCTATGTAAGATCTTATGTGATATACATATTTTAGATATAGAATGAGGAAAAAATTCTTTCAAAGATTATTTCTCTTGTTATTTGAAAATTAATTATAAGACCTACCATATATCTTTTTTGCTTTGGTTGCCATGAAGCTCAGACCCATTCCCCAACCCCCTAATATCAGAAACACTAATTCTACCCTCAAAATACAGTTGCTGTCTCCTTTTCTTGTATATGTGTCTTTTACTGTAAATCAACTCATGTGCACTTTGAAAGTAGCTAGTATACAAATATAAAAGAAATTGTATCATAGCATCTTCACATGGGTAATTCCTGCAGAATTTTTTTTAACATCTTAAACATAACACAATGTACTTCCATAAAAAATTATGTCAAAGGCTTAACATTTTTATTAGGCCATAGTAACATTTCTGATCTGTTTATAAGAGACCTAATTTTTTAAAGTGGGAAAACTATTTTTGTAACAGTGTTTTGAAAAATTTTAACTACCCAAATATAGGAATTTATTCATTTTTATCCACCTCCAGAGCATCTTAAAATTTATGGCTATTACATAAATGAGTTCTTCTAAAAAGAATTTACTACACACCAATGATATAAGAATATTACATGCTTACCACATCTAGTCTAACTCAGAAAGCTGTTACACTGCACTATTATCTTTAATCTAATCACTTGAAGCTATTGTAGACATAACTCTTAACAATCACAAATCCTCAAGAACAATTCTAGAAGGAAATGTTTCAACAAACATTTCAATAAATTTGGAGTGTGATTAATTTGTCAAAGAGAAATTAGAATAAACAGCTTATGAGTAGGTATGCTAGATGTTTGCCTTTTGATATGCAGCCCAGAAAGCTAACAGTAATGTTATGTAACCAGTCACTGTCAGAGAATTACCTCTAACATTGTGTAGACCACCTTCAATGCAGTCTGACATCCAACCTGAATTTAGGCTGCAAATATTAGTTGGGTACCCTCAGTCATATCTTAGTAACACCTTAAGGGTTTTGCTCATCCTATTTATAGTTTTATAACCTGTACATAATTTTATAATACCCATGATGCACTGTAGATTATTCAGGTCTTCTCAAACTCTTTTAACATAAAATATATCAGTCACTTCTCTCTGATATAAATCAGAAATAAATTTTTTTCCCTGAAATAAATCTTTTGCCCCAGTGTTAGGTATGCCTAAGAGAGGTGCTAATCCATTTATGATCTCAGACTTATTGAGCTGTTCTTCTTTATCTAATTCCTCCTGCGAGGGGCCTGGTTTTCCCTCTGCCCTTGTCTTTTCTGAACAAGTCATTATAAAGAAGAAATGTAGACAGCTGTGGAAGATTAAAAAAAAAGGGAAGTAGCCTTCCTTTTTTAACATAAGAACTGCTTAACTATTTAAAATGTAATTAATTGCATCATTCAAAAATGGAGAGAAATGCAAATATGGAAAAGGAGGAAATGCTGATCCTAACAAGATGAAAGAAAACATAATATAGTTGCCACCATTTGAGGGAGAGTGTTGATAAAGGAAAGAAGTTCATTTAAATCTATCAATAGGTGAACCTATCTTTTTTGGAATTTATAAGATTGTCAGGGGCATGAAAACACAAGGCCTCTGTGAAATGCCATTATCTTTTTTAATACATGAATGTATTAGGCCATTCTTGTGTTGTTATTAAAAAAACCTAAGACTGCATAATTTATTAAAATAAAAAAAAGGTTTAATTGGCTCATGGTTCTGCAGGCTGTACAGAAGGCATCGTGGCATCTGGTTCTGGGGAGGCCTTAGGAAGATTCCAATCATGGTGAAAGGCGATGCAGGAGCAGGCACATCACACGGTGAAAGTGGGAATCAGAGAGAGAGAGTGGGGGAGGGAGGTGCCACACACTTTTAAATGACCAGATCTCAGGAGAACTCACTATCGAGCAAGACAGCACCAAGCCACGACAGACCCACTCCGTGATCCAAACACCCCCCATCAGGCCCCACCTCCAGCACTGGGGATTACAATTCAACATGAGATTTGAGTAGGGACAAATATCCAAACGAAATGAAATTCATGAAGATTAAATTAACAGAAGGATTAAGAAAGACAGGCTTTAAGTGAAACATAATAGCACTTTCAATCTAATTCTGTATTCTGAATAAGTGGATTGTAAATTATATTAAGCTAAAAGTATTTAACCAAGATCTAAGTTAAGTTAAGCCATAAAAATGAATAATAAACTTGATGGGGAAGTGCAACCATTTATCAGTTACTAAAAGGACATAGCTGAATTTGAATCTAGCTTTTTAAAATCGTAAACTATTTTAAGGGACACATTTCACATTCCTGTGATTGTGAGAGCCAGTTTTGAAACAAAGAAAGCCTTAATTAGAGTCAGATGCAAGACTTCTTCCAATTGCCAATTTCAGTTTTCTGGAAAATACCCATTTGTTCGGCATGCAGTCTTTCTTGCAAATCCTTTGCAGCTAATGGTCAGCTGCAAGAAGTTCGACATTTTAACTTTGAACAATTTGTTCTACTTGAGAAGTAAAGGCATGCTAAATGATAACCAATTTGTAAGAAAATTCAGCACAGCAATGGAACTCTTCAGATAATGCCCAAGGCCATTGGATTCCATCCCTTTCTTAGATCTGAGTCCAAAAGATGGTTTCTTCCCACAGCAACTCGAAGATCAACCAACCTTAAGATTTCCTCACAAATGTCAGGTAGCTAAGTAACCCTGACAGGTTTATGTATATCATATTATTTAATTCACACAATATTCTTATAAAAAGAGCTCTATAAGTTGTCCCAGGTTTATAGCCAACAAAATGGAGCTTAAGATAATTTAAGTAACATAGCATGAAACTGGCCAAAAAAAATTTTTAAAAAGTTATAAGTAAGGGGCATCCAACTGAAAATCTCATGTACTTTCTAATATACTATATAGAATTTATCTCAATGTCCTATAGCCTTAACATAGAAATAATCTAAAATTGGTAGAACTTTGGAGAGGCTTTCCATGAGATCACTCATTAGGGAGATTCTGAAATCATTCACTATATACAGGTAAAAAATAGAAGTTACATGCTATTGAGACATTTTATGGTTCACAGGGTCAGACATGTTTTCCAGCTATAAATTGCAATGTTTCATCCGCATTTTTTTCTTCTTAATTTTTGTCACATATTTAACTGATTGATCACAGTTACAAACAGCAACATTAACCTTTTATTTTAAGTTGAGCATCTATAAAGTATCATTCACTGGAAGTTTGGGGATTTCTTGGTATGTTTTATAATGTCTTGAAAGATGGCCAACGTGTTTTGCTCCTCCAGCTTTCCTTAAAGTGTGAGGACAGCATGTTATAGGCACAAGTGTCAGTCTCACAAGTAGAGGCCTGAAATAAAAGCATGAGTCACAGAAATGTGTAAGAAGTGACTTTCCCTTCCTCTGCTCTACATTGACTTTGAAGAGCTTATCGATGGGGCAAAAGAATTCTCCATTAGTCTGGCCGGGCATGGTGGCTCACGTCTGTAATCCCAGCACTTTGGGAGGCCGAGACGGGTGGATCACGAGGTCAGGAGATCGAGACCATCCTGGCTAACACGGTGAAACCCCGTCTCTACTAAAAATACAAAAAATTAGCCGGGCGCGGTGGCGGGCGCCTGTAGTCCCAGCTACTAGGGAGGCAGAGGCAGGAGAATGGCGTGAACCCGGGAGGCGGAGCTTGCAGTGAGCCGAGATGGCGCCACTGCACTCCAGCCTGGACGACAGAGCGAAACTCGGTCTTAAAAAAAAAAAAAAAAAAAATTCTCCGTTAGTCAAAGAAAAGCATTAACTAAACCATTAACGGGGGAGTGAAGAAATCATTTCACAATGACACATCCCATGTCTGGGATCTTTTTTCCTGAATGAAGCAAGAGAAGTTGAAATTGTGCTTTTGTGGACAATATCCCCAACGCTGAATTGACGTGCACATGTAGAATGAGAGTCATTCATTCCATGCAATGCGCTGGACGCTATGGGGCATACAAAGAGGAACAGAATCCAAATCATGTCCTGGGAAAACTCCTTATTTACAAGGGGAGACAGAAATTCAAACTATTATCATTATTATAGTACAACTTGACAAGTGTCATTATGAATTCATAGCAATATTGGGAAAGTGCAATAATACAAAAATTTTTTCCACAGATATTAGAAAAACTTTACACTTGAAAAATGTTATGCAGAGTGTGGTGAAATATTTCACACACAAAACGAGGAGTAACAGAAGAAATAGAAAATATAAAAATACCAAGCTGAAAGGATAGTGTGTCAACAGGAAACAATAGTTTCCATTAGCATGAGGAGAGGAGTAGCAGATGGTGATGGGAGAAATTGAGAAAGTTCTTTCCTGTGAAGTCATTAGCCGAATCCCAGGACTAGTCTCAGACATGTCTTGGCAGCCCTGATGCCAAATTCCAAGGTGGCATATCCCATATATTAAAATTACATGAAATTCATGAGGGTTAAATTAATTGAAAGTTTAAGAAATATAGACTTTAAGTGAAACATATTTTTACCTTACATACATGCATAAAGCTTACTTGTAGTTTGTTTTTAAAACATAGATTCTGAGCCGCGCATGGTGGCTCATGCCTGTAATCCCAGCACTTTGGGAGGCTGAGGCGGTGGATCGCCTGAGGTCAGGAGTTTGAGACCAGCCTGGCCAACATGGTGAAACCCTGTCTCTATTAAAAATACAAAAATTAGCAGGTGTGGTGGCACGTACCTATAATCCCAGCTACTTGGGAGGCTGAGGCACGAGAATCACTTGAACCTGGGAGACGGAGGTTGCAGTGAGCCGAGATTGCACCACTGCACTCCAGCCTGGGCAATGGAGTGAGATCTGTCTCAAAAAAAAAAAAAAAAAAAAGATTCTGTTCTTGTCATCAGAGATTCTAACCCAGCAGGTCTGAAGTGGGGTCTGAGAATCTGCCTTTCAGCAAACTCACAGGGTGGACATGGTGCTGAATGACTGCAAAATAAACGTTACGTTTACTACATAGATTACTGTCTGCTCTGCAAGGTATAAAGGTTACATTTCCCATTAGCAAAACTTGAGTTTGATATTACTGTGCCAAATCAGAAGCCAGTTCCAAAGTATACTTTATTGAAAATGTATTTTTTACTAGCTCAACAAATTATGTAATAACAGGCCCAGAGTAAAAACCTAAGCTGTGTACCCACTGCAAATGTGAGTATACTTGGGCAGGCACAATGGCAACAGAGCAATGTGGAACTGCCAGGAGCTCCCAGGTATCTCACAGATGAGTTCAGCTGCCAACTAGGACCCCACTAAGGACCACAAAGGCTGTGATTATGTCTGTCTTATTCACTACTCTATCCCCAGCACCCAACATTGAGTCTGACATGTAGTAGGTACAATATTTAATGAAATATCTGTGGAGTTACACGCAGCCCCAGACAACAGAGAAAACATTGAATACCATTTGGCCTTCCAGACAGTGCACTTGATGAAGAAGTAGCGCATTCTCCTTCTCCATGAGGGAGAGCCCGAACATGCAACAGTAATCAAAAGACTGCTCAGAGACCAGAAACAGGTAAGATATTAGTGACTGTGGAGATTCATTCCCTGGCTTAAAGCCTGGGGAAACATAAATTTCATTTACACTGAATTTCACTGGAAATAATTTGTGTCCATTATGACTTTAAAAGCTTAGTTGTAAAACTTTACTTATAAATATGATTTTCACTTATATCATATCATCTTTCTCCATACACCTTTAAAGATAATACATTTTAGATTTAATTACTTTTAAAAAGTGGTTCTTATGTTGGAATAAGAATATGAAAGCCATCACTTTTGCAGTTAACCTTCATAGGAGAATTGTAAGTCTCTTTTTTCTTGCCACAGAAGTATACTTTTACTAGTCCGTGCAAAACAGTTATAATCATTCATAAATCTTGATGAAAATAAATGATCTGTGACGTTATTTATGCAAATACCCTAGAAATGTAAACTGATACAATAAGCTTTTAAAAATCAAATTGAAAAAAATAACATTTAGGTAGTTGTCTCAGTCTGTCTGGGCTGCTATAACAAAATACCATAAACTAGATAACCTAAAAATAATAGAAACTTATTTTTCACAGTTCCAGAGACTGAGAAGTCCACAATCAAGGTGTCAGGAAATCTGGTTCTGATGAGGGCTTGCTCTCTGGTTCACAGACAGCACCTTCCAGCTGTACCCTCATGTGGTAGTAGGGGTAAACAAACTCTCCCTTGGGCCTACATTGTAAGGGCACTAATCCCATTCATGAGGGCTCTGCCCTCATGACCTAATTACCTCCCAGAGACTCCACCTTCTCCTACTATCAACCTTGGGGGTTAGGATTTCAACATATGAATTTTCATGGCACATATAAATTCAGACCATAGAAGTAGTAATTTTTTTAAAACAAGCAAACGAGCAAATAAAAGCTAAACAATTATGCTTACAGAATGTTAATTCAGTTAATTAACAGAAAGTTAATTCAGAATTATGATGGAATATTAGACATTATTTTATAGTGTTTCCTGTGTCTATGAAATGAAAATTATGTATTTTCCCTACTTAACTGACCCATTTTTCTAAATTTTTTCTCTTTCCTAAAATTTTAAGATATGAAAACTTCCCTGGTTTGATTTAGAACCTAGGGCTATACACTGAGTTCCCCTTCAATGGTCCTAATACTTCAAACATTAGAAAATTCAAAGCAGATTATTCTCTCCTCGTTACCAAGTAACTCTCTCATGCTCACCCCTGCTCTTCAAAATATACCAGGGTAAGCTATTAATTTTCAGAATTTTCTCAGAGTACATGAGAGAATAATAATAACAACAATAGGATAATAATGGAGTAAAGAGGTGAAAGACAGAAATGTTTTTACTGTCTCTGTAACTCTTGCCTCTCCACTGCCCAATGGAAAACAAAATGAATAGGTTTAGGTAATGAAAATAGAATCTCAATGTGGATCTGTTTTAAGGATAGAAAAGGCTCTGCAACCCTGGTTGCGATTAAGATCATAAGGAAATTATCAAGATTTTCATAAGAGGACTGACTCACTAGGAATTTGTCCGCATGCTACATGGCTCTAATAACTTAGGCCAACATATGATTTTTTTTACAAATATTGATTGAGGCAAGTGTTCTTTTGATTTTTTTTAAATCAAGAATGGGTTTAATGATTCATACCATCAAAAATTGATGCTTTGTTTTGAATATGTCAAATCAGAAAATTAGAAATAATACAATTCAAAAGTGTTGCCTTAAAAAAAAATATATTGACAACCAAATTAACAAAATATCCAAGTAAAGCTTCAATATTAATGACTTTTGAAAAGCAAACAAAAATGATTCATTAAGTCTCCATGTTCTTAAAAATACATTTCTCTTTGAATCTCTTGAAAGAGATAATGACATAAGTGAATAACTGAAACTTTTTATTCTTTCAGTCAGATTATGACTCTTACCTAAAAAGACATGCAATGAAAATGACACCTAACTTTTGCTTGTCTAGCATAAGAGAGTAGCTTATTATATTCTAAAAGATTTTTACATATCATGTCATCCCGGGCTTTAAAAATGCCTTGGGAGCTAGAACAATATTTTATAATACCCATCAGCAACATGTTAAGTAGGTAGAGACAGGAAAGTAACAGCTTGTTAAAAGCAAGTTTCAAGTTACTATCATTGAATCTTCTATAGTCACAGCATTGGGCCCTCTGTAGGAATCAAATAAATAAATAAGCAATTTTTGCCTTCCATAAACCCTCAGTAACTTCTACATCACTTTATTCTTTCTTCTGATCCATGTAGCCCCTGGGTAGTGAAGTACCAATTGGTACAAATGTGAAAGGCCCAAATAAATTTGCCAAAACTTAAAAAAAATAAATTTATCTTTTTTTTTTTTTTTTTTTGAGATGGAGTTTCGCTCTTGACGCCCAGGCTGGAGTGCAATGGTGCAATATGGGTTCACCGAAATCTCCGCCTCCCAGGTTCAGGTATTACAGGCATGCATCACCACGCCTGGCTAATTTTGCATTTTTAGTAGAGATGGGGTTTCTCCATGTTGGTCAGGCTGGTCTCGAACTCCCGACCTCAGGTGATCCACCCTCCTTGGCCTCTCAAAGTGCTGAGATTACAGGATTGAGCCACTGCGCCCGGCCCCCCCTTTTAATAAAGTAGTAATATCTCAAATTCCATTTGGATATAGTCATTTCTTAAGTCAAAAGAATCTAAACACCATGAAAGATAAAAATAGAATTTCTTCACATTTTCCACATGTAAAACATACTGGAGGAAATATTCATTGAGGTGGTTATGGAGAGTAGAACTTAAAAGTTGTGAACCATATAATTAAATGTCCTATCCAAAAAGACTAGCAGCCAGCAATTTGCCACAGGACATTCACATTGGATTCAAAGACTAGAGCTAGTAAATCACTAAGTAATATCATTTGGAAAATTGCAATTGTGCTTTTGTTCAATTTAATGTACTAGGAAACAGCTCTGCATGACATTTCATTTCTACAAACAGTATCATTTAGAAATCCTTGTAATCTCCTTCACAAATTCTACAAATAGCACAGTAGTCTGTTCAAAGGCCATTTGGGTAAATATATAAAATTCAAACTTTTGACAAATCACAGCATTTTTCTTTTAAGATCTATGTTGGGTTTCCTAATTTAATTGCTCAAAAGATTTCCGGGGGTAAGCTAATTTTTAAGAGTAAGATATTCTGTTCTAAAGTAAATTAACTATTCCCTCTGTAATGTGTATTAAGTAAATCATATCCTCACTGACAATTTTACATAAGTACCGCTGTGACTAGTTCTCCTATTTCAGAAGTACATGGCTACATGCCCTTCAAATAGAAAGGTCCCTCTCCATTCAAACACAACACAGAATTTTCTTCATCATTCCAAAACATTATGACTCCACTGGAATGGAAACAAAATACCACGGCAACAGAAAAAAACAGAAGCTAAATTGTGGTTTAAAAAAAAAACCACAACTTTTGGCCAGATGAGGTGGCTGACACCTGTAATCCCTGCAATTTTGGAGGCCAAGACAGGAGGATTGCTTGAGCCCAAGAGTTTGAGATCACCCTGAGCAACATAGGGAGAACCCCGTCTCTGCAAAAAAAGAAAAAAAAAAAAGGAAGGAAGGGAGGAAAGAAGGAAAAGAGAAAGAAAAAGAAAGAAAGAAAGGAAAGGAAAGGAAAGAAAGGAAAGGAAAGGAAAGGAAAGGAAAGGAAAGGAAAGGAAAGGAAAGGAAAAGGAAAAGGAAAGGAAAGGAAAGGAAAGGAAAGGAAAGGAAAGGAAAGGAAAAAAGAAAAGAAAAGAAAAGGTGGCTGGATGTGGTGGTGCCCATCTGTGGTCCTGGCTACTAGGGAGGCTGAGGTGCAAGAAAAGAAAAGAAAAGGTAGCTGGACGTGGTGGTGCCTATCTGTGGTCCTGGCTACTAGGGAGGCTGAGGTGGTAGGATCTCTGGGGGCCAGGAGGTTGAAGCTGCAGTGAGCTGAGATTGCACCAATGCACTCCAGCCTGGGTGACCAAGTGAGACCCTGACTAAAAAAAAAAGTAAAAAATAAAAATAACACAATGTCTGAAAATTGTAACAACTTCTGAAAATTGTTAATATTCTACATGACACTCAAACTGGGGAGGGAGAGGCATGGCTGTGTACTCATTAATATAATAGTATAAAAGTACCCGATCACTCAGGAAAGTGAGTCAATATTCTTGTATTAGGATGCCTAAATAGAGAATTCTCTGCTATATTCATGGTTGTCTACGGTGCTCCAAAGAACAGAGATTTCACTGACTGTGTTATTTTATTTTATAGTAAACGGCCTGAAAATAAGGTACTGTAGAGTAGCTTTAAGTTCTAGAAGGGTAATGACTTAGTTCTCTTCATCTGAAACTTATAGTCCAAATGTATGTATTGGAAGATTACTTCCTCCTTGATAATATAGTTGACAAATCCCTGGAGATCACTGCAGTGTGGGTGAATTCTTTGGTTTTATTAGGTCAAGTTTATCAGAAATGAAAAAGTAGTTACCTCATTCCTGTTTTGATGTAAGATAAATCATCCCTGTCATTCAAGTAGGAAAAGAAAAAAATGAAAATCCTAAGACTCATTCTCATCTAACATCCAGAATGACACATGAGTTTCACCTCCTTTGACAACCCTACCTGATGGGTAGTGGTTGTCCAGAAGGCCATGTTGAAGATTACTTGGGGCTGCAGCTAGTCTCAGACATAAAGAGTACCCTGGAGGCTGAGCGATTTTGTCTGTGAAGGCAGGAAATGGCAGGCTGCATGTTGCGTACGCTGTTTTAAAATGATGTAGATTGATTGCCTGCATTGAATAAACTTGCTGAAAAATACACAATCCTTATTTTCATATTGTGTTATTTCTTCTAAAATAAGTTAGTACCACTAAAATAAATACTCTTCTACAAACTTTCAATCTACTATTTGAATAACATAAAAAAGTGCTAATGTTATAGTTTGTACTATAGACAAGGTATACAAATAAAAAATGTAATTAAATCATATTTGATATTTAAGCATGATAAAAACAAAATGATTGATACAGAACTACAGAGTTTTTCCCCAAACTATTTAATAAGGTTTAAATAGTTGGGGATGGTCAATTAAAAAAAATTAATTCTGGAATTTACTTTTAGTAACTGGCAATTATGGATCATTCTTATTTTTTAAATGATACTTAAAACCTTCATATCAGTTGAATAATGTAAACCCATAAATTAATTTAAATAACAAATAACTATCTACATGTGCATACATATGTTTGAACCTATTGTCATGATTTTATTTTTACTTCCCTTTAAAAATTTTCAGATAGAGTATGCATGGCTATGCCATTATAAAATTGCAACATAGCTTTTATTAAAATTAACTATATAACTACTATGTAAAGGAACAGTGGAAAGATTAGAAAATGGCACATACAATTTTGGAAGATTTTCCTTAGTAAAAATTATACTGAAAAATGTACTACAACTGAATAAAATGCAAATCCAGATAATTGTCTTCATTCCATTCAAAGCAGAGATATACTAGAAAACAACTTCCCTTCTCTTTTTAATCAATGGAAGCCACATATGGCTAATTATTAGTCTTATTTAAATTTAAACAGATATATTTTGTGCTTGGGGTAAAAGTATGATCATAAGGGTCATGAACAATCATTTCTTTTGCTGACAAGTTCCAACAGGGGCAAATCCTGACTACAAGTGTCACAGGATAAGACAATGTGAAGAAAAATATAGGAGTAGAAGAGATAGAAGAAGAGAGAATCCAGACATAGAAGAATAAAAGGTCATAATAGCAATGACAATTTTTATTATGTGTCATTACGAGGCATAGTGCTAAATATTTCCATGCAGTATTTCCTTTAGCTCTCAAACAACAGTATAGTATAAGGTAGATGTTAATTTCATTTTTTAGCAGCTTTGGTGAGATAATTCATATACTGTACAATTCACTCAAAGTTTACAATTCAGTGACTTTTAGTATATTCAATGTATGTGCAATCATCACCGCAGTCAATTTTAAAACATTTTCATCACCTCAAAAGGAAACCCTGTATCATTTAACAATTATACCCATCCTCTCTTCTCCCTTCCCCACTAATCTACTTTTAGTCCCTATAGATTTCCCTGTTGTAGGCTTTCATGTGAATGGAATCATATAGAACATGGTCTTTTGTGACTGGTTTCTTTCACTTGGCATAATGTTTCCAAGGTTCATCCATATTGTGGCGTATACAGGCACTTCATTCCTTTTTATGGACAAATAATATTTAATTGTATGAAAATAGCATATTTTGTGTATGCATTTGTCCACTGATGGATATTTGAGTGGTTTCCACCTTTTGGCTATTATGAAGAATGCTGCTATAAACATTCACACACAAGTTTCTGTGTGCCTATGTTGTCATTTATCTAGAGTATATATCTAGAAGAGGAATTGCTAGGTCATATGGTAACTCTGCATTTAAAATCATTTGAGAAACTTCCAGATTGTTTTCCAAAATAATTGTACCATTTTATATTTCCACGAGCAGCATACAAGTGCTACAATCTCTCCAAATCTTTGTTAACATTTATTGTTATACGACTTTTTTATTCCAGCCATCCTAGTGGGTATGAAATTGTATGTCATTGTAGTTTTGATTTGCCTTTCCCTGATGACTAATGATGTCCAGCATCTTTTTGTGTACTTATTTTGTTAACTCCTTTTTACATATAGCTAATAAGTTGCGGGGCTTGGCTTCAAATGCAGGCTTATTGGTTTCTAAACCTATTCTCTGAATCACTCTTTCTAGGTGCTTCCTAACCAGCAATTGCTATGAGGCCACCCTGCCCTCAAAACAGTAAGACCACTGATTTTAACTCCATATCTGCAGGGTAATTTGCCAAAAGTTGGTGACGCTGAAGTAATTCTTTCATGATTTCTCCATGCCCACAGTTTCTCAGCCAGAGTTTACTCTTCCTCAATAAAGGTGCTATCATCTCTTAACTGCTAAGTGGAAGATCCAAGTATCAATATCACTTTCTAACAGCAGTAATTATTGAAGTGACTGAGTCAACTTAACACTAAACTCAAAAAAGGAAAAAGAATCCTCTTTGTGTGAATTCTTAGTTGTGTGGTGATAGGAATAACAGTGGTTATACAGTTAGTAGAAACAGGAAGAAAATGATTGAAATAAGTAATAGTATGACTCGGAACAAGAAAATTCATTTGAAGCATAGCATGGAATCTTTAGCTGCCCTCCAAGGGGCAGTCAGTTGGCTTTGGATCTCATCACCCAGGAAAGCATGCTTATACTAGGACCACAGCTTTGTTAAAGAATTTACAGAAACCGTTTTGTTCTGTATATGTATATTGGCAAAAATGCAGCCATTATCACACACTTGTATTATTGGTAGACATTAGAATAAACTTGAGGGCATTACTAGAAAACAAAAAAATTAAAAATTATTTTTGTGCACAATACAATTATTGTGCAAAATGAAAGGATCAAGACACCTTCGACATTGCTCCTGTTTAGAAATTCTGTGTTGTGTTTTTCTGAAGGACACCTAACTTCCAAAATCAGGATCAAAATACACAAGAAAAATATAATTAGAGGGAAATGAAGATATATCACTACAGAAATGCTGACGCAATTCAGTTATTCTATGGTGTCAATGATAAACTAATTGAACAAATGTTTGTTGAGTAATTTCTGTGTACTATATCATCCTTGTTTCTGAGGAAGAAACAAAGAAGCAGTAAATACATTTTAAAATCTGTATTAGAGAATAGACTATAACTGAGCCTTTGCAATGGAATAAGTACAGTTAATCTGAAATAAACATAAAAGTTCTACTTACAGAAAACTGATTTGTTAATAATTACTCACATTAAAATGCCAGACATGAGTAGAAAGAGATGAAGTGGTACATGACTATCAAATTTCCAAGGCATTTAAAAATCCTACTCATTGTAATCTCACTTTTTTTACATTACTCTAAGTCTTAAGTTTAGTCCAGCACACATTCTGGCATGATCTAAGATCCTAGCCCACTCACGTATATTAATAACTACATTCCTTGGACTCTATATCTATGATGTAAAAGTGAGACATTAGCCATACAATAACTAAAAATGGACAAACATCTAATGCCAAAGCACTTCTTGTAATAGAGAACATTTTTTATTTAGTAACATTTGATTCATGCATACAAACCTGTGCTTCTTGAAATAATAGGTAAAATCAATTTTTTTCTAACAATTTTCCTTGGTGCTACTTGTTTCTTGCCAGATTTATCATATAAATTAATGGCTTCTAAAGTTAAGGTCAGGACTAAATTTTTTTTTTCAAAAGCTGTAGATTCTGTGCCTTATTTTACTTTGGAAAAAAGAACTTGAAGTTAACATATTTAACACTTCATTATCCTTTAGGAAATGTCAGAGACTGGCTGGCTCAGGGGAAAAAAAGAAAACAAAACCCAAACCAGAAACACTGACTCTGTTTCACCAAGAAGAGGAAAAAAAAGTAACCTTTACTTAATAGTGCTAGCTGGATAGAATGCCCTCCTCCAGGTTCACAGTCCCTCCTTCCTACCTTCCTTCCTCCTTTCTCCATCTATTACCCATCCATATATTTTGCCTATGCTTCCTCCAGTTTCCCATGGCTGCTAGCACTTGAAAAGCTGACGTAGGAGGATCGCTTGAGACCGGCAGTTCAAGGCCAGCCTGGGCAAAATACTGATGCTTTAGTATGGAAAAAAAAAAAAAAAAAAAAAAAAGGTAAGAAAGAAAAAGAAAGAAAGCAGAACGAGCTGTTTTGTGACAACCTTCCAATGAATCGAGTTCTGATATTTAGAATTTCAAGCTTGGTTCCAGTTCATCAATTATGCTTAATAATCATGAATGTAAAAAACGTATTTGCTTTTATGTTGCTTTTGAGAGTACAGTTATTTAAAGGTCCAGAAAATATCCCAGGACTGCAAAGAGTCCAAAATTGTCCCTCCTCACCTATTGACCAATGTCAAAATTCCCTTTAGGGGTAGCAGTTTATGTTTTTTATTTTACATGCTTGTGTGAAAGAAAGGATAGAAGAAAATATTTAATATGAGCCAGGAAAGAAAAAAAATGCTGAGAGGGAGTAGGTGAGTTCTATGAAGATTGCAGTTTTAGAGAGGTTACAGGAAACAGTCTCACTCTCGGAGGGATAATGTTATTTTTTCCCTTTTTGTTTGAATACATGTTCTTCATTTAAATTACTTTTGAAAATGTATTTCTGTCTTCTTGAAGCTATGGCAGTGACACTTGCATCTCAGTGTCTCTGGACAAGAGTGTGCTCAAGTATGAGGATAGGTCTGAAACTCACCTCTGCCACTGAGCTGTGTGACCTTGGTAAAAAGCACAGCCCCTCTGACCCCCAGTTTCTTCAAAGTGAAAGGATGATAATAATTGGTTTAGAATTGCTATATGAGTAATTGAGACAATGTATAAATCACTTAATATTCCTTCTGAAACCACCCAATAGTCCCAACAGACAGTTGTTTTTGAATTAACATAGATATTGACCCTTCTGCTGTTAAAGCTTGAAACTTGTATTTGTTTTATCTGAGTTCCTTCCTCAGGAAAGGATCTTCAGCCCTCTCAGAAAGGTATCAGAGAACTGAAACTCACTACATCACTGCACCAGGTACTTCGTTGCCCCTCCCTAGTTCTTGTTTTCTTATATATTGTTACATTTTTTCCCTGCTACATAAACCTGTAGTTGTAGTCAGTCAAGGAGATGGATTTGGGACTGAGCTCCCATCTCCTCAGCTGCAGCATCTGATTAAAACCTTCTTTCTTGTCAGTACTTGTCTCAGTGATTGGCTTTCTGTGGGGCAAGCAGCAGGATCTAGACCAAACCCCTAGTGTTTCAGCAACACTTCCGTCACCAAGCATGAAGTTAATATGTTTTTTTAAAAATCTGTGTTCAACCATGAGGCAAGCCTTCCTCAACCTCCTTCCCAAACAATGCTTGCTTCTCCCTCTTCTTTCTGTAATACCTGGAAATCACATTCTCTATTTTATAATAAGGTTAGCTCTAAGCCAACAAGTTGATAAACGATTAATAATCAACTAAAAAAGGAAGCCAATGGAGGAATGAACTTTTTTACCAAAAGTCTTTTACTGGCACCTGGTATATACTTAGAGAATAATATATGTTTACTGAAAAGATTAATAAAAACAATGGAAATTAGATCTCACAGTCAAAAGATAAGGAACTTTTTTTGCATTTATTTGAATTAATTTTACTTTCTATGGTAAATAGGAGGAAAATAATGCCAGTATAGCAATATTTGAACTCCCTGCCTCTGAAGACCAGGTCATTGAACTCTTTCACCTGCAGAAAAGACAGAACTTTGACAGAATTCTTTCACCTGCCAAACATTCCCATGGATCTTTAACTTGGGAAAGAGAAAGGACTTAACCATTAGAATATTCTAGATATATGAGGATGAGGTAAAAGGATATAATATTGTCGTAAAATAACAAAAATAGAATTTTAAATTCGTAAAAGTAATCTGAAAAAGAAAGAGTGAAGTACTTATAAGATGTTAGGAGATGTGAAGAGATGTAGCAACTGGAGAATTAGGGCAGGAGAGATGAAGGGGAAATGGTGGAAAACATGGCTGAAGAGAGAAATTCTCAGAGAATTTTTAATAGTGATGTTTAACATGAGTTTTTAATTGTTAAATAAGTAATCCATTTATATATTTGAAAACCAGAACAATCTAAAACAACTATATAATATCTTAGCTGTTTGGTTGGTAGCTATTAATACACTCTCCCTATGTGTAATCCATATTCTAAGTTTTTATGATTCCTTCTAGAGGTGCTTTAAATAAGTGTAAATATTGTCATTTTCCCGTTTTGTACAAAAAGTAGCATGTTGATAAAACTATATTGAATCAATTTTTTTCACTTCAACTATGCTTTGTGGAACTTTTCATATGGGTAGATAATGAGTTATCTCTCTTTATAGCTGCATACTATTCCACTTTATAGATGCAACATGACTTATTTAACAAGTTTTTGATCGATAAAATGTGGCTTGTGCTGAGTCTTTGGCAACTCTGAATAATGCTGTAATGAATAACTTTGTACAAGTTACATATGTGCAAGTATTGCTGTAGAATAACCTCCCCAAAGTGGAATTGTAAGATTGAAGTATAAATACCTTTAGTTTTTGATGGCTACAAATTTCTATTTATTGCAGTTGTTTGTGATCCATAAAATGACAAACTCTCTTTGCATTACTCGAAGCCTTCAGAAAAACTCTACAATGTGGTATGGTATTGGGTTAATTCGTTTATGGGAAATTAAATAATAGGACAGTAAAGAGAACTGGTGCTTTCAGTAATGGTATCATAGAAAGAATGAAGTACACACGCCAAACCCCAGGTGGTTGGTGGTGGGCTATAAAGGCTCCAGCGGGACTGGAGCCGCAGAAAAACACACTATAACATGGGCTGCCTCCAGAGAGCACATTAAAAAAAAAAAACTCTCATTCTGCAAATATAATAGATGGGGTAGACTCTTGAAAATAGTACACATACTTTCTATTTAAAGAATACCAGGCCAGGTGCAGTGGTTCACACCTGTAATCCTAGCACTTTGGGAGGCCAAGGCAGGTGGATTGCTTGAGGCTAGAAGTGTGAGATCGGCCTGGGCAAGATGGTAAAACCCCATCTCCACAAAAGTACAAAAATTAGCTTGGCATGGTGGCACGCACCTATAGTCTCAGCTACTCAGGAAGCTAAGGAGAGAGGATTGCTTGAGCCCAGGAGGATGAGGCTGCAGTGAGTGGTGATTGTGCCACTGCACTCCAGCCTGTGTGACAGCAAGACCATGTCTCAGAAAAATAATAATAATGATAATAATAATACCATTAAATAAGTGTTCATACATAAATATATTAATTTTCTTTCCACAGCTCTCCATTTATTAATACAAGTTTAATTAAGAACCCCTTCCTATATGGAATCTTCCATTAAACATGGGAAATTTCAATACCAACATTAGAAAGAAATACAGTTAACCCTCAAATAAATTTGCCCTGAGCATGATTTCAGATGCCAGCAAACACCTGCTTTTATGCGTCAATGGTATGATATCATAGGTTGTTATAATAATTAAATTTGACTAAAGTACGGGTGCTTTCTCAGTAGAATAATGGCTTTTAAAAACTTAAACTATTAATGGCCCAATAATGAAGACCTACATGGAAAGTCTTAACATTATACTTGAAAAAATATAGATACAGAAAAAATATTATCAGGTCCAATAAAATTTGATTTATAATCTTTAACTGATTAATGTAGAATATGGTTAAACACTATTATACATTTTCCATGTTTGCTTTTGTACCTTAAGGAAAAATAACACCTAAAATTCTAAGCAGAACACCTCCCCTTCCACTCACTTCCTACAAAACGTAGAGATTTAGGAAAAGTAGCCCCATGCCAGGCTTTAGAAATCTTTCATTTCCATAGGTTTAAAACTGTGTTCTTCAGATTCCAAGGGTTCCATTAGGGTGCTTTAGAGTTTCTACTAACATTTGATTTGAATTATCTTTAAAAACATTGATATTTATATTTGTTTTTGAACTGTAATAAAAAAGTTATTTATAGTTAATATATATCAGAAAACGTTACCACACCGGTGGCCCTCATCCATTAGTTTGTACTATCAAGCTACTTATTTTGGAATACAATGTAAATAATTTTTCATTTCTCCACCTACATATGAAAGTCTTATAAACATACCATGTATTGTAATGACTATCTGCAACAGATTTTTTCTTTTTAATTCAAGACTAAGCTTGCATCTTAAAAAAATTCTTTTTTAATCAGACACACCAGAACTTTAACAATGTGTAATTAACTGCCAAGCATGACTCAGGTAAAACTGGTCATATATTCAACTCATGGAATAACCATCAGCATAAAACATAACCATATATCTTATCCTTCTGAGATAAGGTTATAAATAGTTCTCATACTTCCTAGACTGAGGTATTTCTTAAATGGATTTTTATTTTTAAATTTTTAACATTTTCCTCAGTAAAATGAATTAACATTTATTGAAACTAAAAATGGATTACTGTTTTATTTGTTATTGTGGTTTAAAGGAAAGTTTTGTTATACAGAAAAGCACTAGAGGATGCTTTCAAAAGTGTTGGTAATAGCATATAATTTATTCATTTAAATAAGGGTCACAGTCTTTAAAGACTGACCCTCATTTAAATGTATAAATTATATATTATTTATAGTATATAATGATAATGAGTTCCAAAATTTATAATACCAGGCTAAAGTCATTGGTTACTTGGGGGAAAATGCCAGTTCAATGATATCAAATGAAATAAGATATCCTGATTGCTTTCTCATAAATAAGTTCATCAGATAAATATCTTTCTCATAGTAATATAGCTGTATTATCTTTTTTATCTTGTTAGCAATTTTAATCACATATATATAATTTTGCTTTATACAAATAATGTTACAGTAATTTTGACTCTGGCTCTAAAAAATGAGAAATTTTAAAAACAAACTTTTGGACTTGGTATGTAAAACAAACAATTTTCATTCATTTGAAACTTTTTGGATGTCTCTTAAAGGAAATCCATGAGATATCTGAAATTTTTTGTTGTTGTTTTGTTTTGTTTTTGTTTTTGTTTTTGTTTTGAGATGGTTTCGCTCTTATCGCCCAGGCTGGAGTGCAATGGCGCTCTCTCAGCTCACCACAACCTGTGCCTCCCGGGTTCAAACGATTCTCCTGCCTCAGCCTCCCGAGTACTGGGATTACAGGCACGTGCCACTACGCCCGGCTAATTTTGTATTTTTAGTAAAGAACTGGGTTTCTCCATGTTGGTCAGTCTGATCTGGAACTGCAGGTGAACCACCCGCCTCAGCCTCCCAAAGTGCTGGGATTACAGGCGTGAGCCACCGTGCCTGGCCCAAGATATCTGAAATTTTAAAAAATATACATAACATTGTAAGATAGATTGGAAAAGTATTCTTACCAAACAATAAGTTTACAATAAATAAGGAAGCTATTCAATTTTCTTCAATTAAACACTAATTAAAGAATTTTAGTAGCTGTTAGATATTTTAATAGTCCACTTTGAAACCAAAATGTCTTATGATTATTTAAAATTTATGTTTAATATAAAAATAAGCTAATATAGAGAGGCAAGATATTAAAATAAACAAATATCTTTAGCTTAGACTCCAAAGCGTCAACTCATTTTTAAATAATTTGACTGTATCTCAGAACAAAGCTCAAAAGTATTTCTAGAAATAAAAAAATTGAGCATGCAAAATATAAAATTCATAATGTCTGGCATTCAATTTAAAAATTTACCAGATTTCCAAAGAAGGAACATGGAGATAGATAAAACAATGAAACTAATACAAAATGAAATGGATATTAAATTAGCAGACAGGCCAGGTGCGGTGGCTCACGCCTGTAATCTCAGCGCTTTGGGAGGCCGAGGTGGACAGATCACCTGAGGTTGGGAGTTTGAGACCAGCATGACAACATAGAGAATCCAGAGGGGGAGTTGATATGCTAGTAACGATCTACAGATTTTGTTTACAAAGGTATTTTTAATCAAATTCAGAGCAAATATATTAAAGACAGTTGCTGAAGGTGAAATTGTGCACTCACAACAAACAAAAATTACAGTCCACATTATGACATTAGTTTTGTATAAAAAATGCTCAGATTTATACTTTTCAGAAGTTTGAGGATTTTAAATGTATATTTTACAGCAATATTCAGATCCCAAAGATCATCCTCAAATTATACTGTTCATCTGTATGTCAATTTGTCATTTAAGTGTTCCTTGCACAATCTTAATACATTTAACTCCTGCAGAGTGCAGTTATTCCACTTTACATTCATTACTTTCCCTAACACAATTGTCTCATTTTAATAATTGTTACAACATGTAAGTGTCACGCAATATCGATAGATTATCCTTAACAATTCAAGCAGTATTGCTGGGTAAACACTGATTCTAAATATGCCATTCTCCATTTTCTCAAAGGAGTTATGTTGTTTGCTCATGAATCTTGCCATACTGTCTCTTTCTACATGTATGACATAGTTAATTTAGCTTATAATTTACCAAAAGGATGCAAATGATTATTTTTTAAATCTCATGTAAATAGATAATTGTTTAACATTAGAAAAATGCTGAAATAATTTACTCCTAGCATGAAAACAAAATGTAATTTGACTAGAGAGCTTGAAAACTGGTGTTAACAATGATTAATGATAGATCATAGATGATCTCACTCAGCTTACCCAACTTGTACAGCAAAGTATTTTATAAATTGATGAGTCTAAATCACTCCTTCTTGAGAGCTTGTTTGGAGGTTCTAGCAGGGGAGCACAGCTACTCGTCTACCCTTGACTGAAGACCAGTCCGCTTCAGGAGGTACACACATGGAGGGCTGAGGGAGGAAGAGGACACCCGCCTAGCCAGCCAGATCAGCCGAATCAACCCTGGTAATCAGTGGGGCGACAGATGTCGCAGCCAGATTGCCCTCACATCCTAAATCACTTCTTCTTAAGTGTAAAATTGGGTACCTGGGGCCTAAGCTTATTGTATTCTGGAGGCTTGTATAGTCATAAACTACAATGGATTGTTCATTGTTGTGGTGTTAGTCAATCTCCATGTCTGCTTACTTGGACAAAGAGGTGGGATTCTCAAACAAAGAATACAGAATACTTATTGAATTCCAAGGGTGTCTCTACTCCACCATGCTGCCCAAAGAGCTACTACTCATACTAATAGAGAGTTTACCCTAAATTCAAGTCTATTATGTTGAGGGGTTTTTTTGCCTCCCTTTAAGAGATTCAGGTTATTAATACCATAAACGTTACTGTGGCATTAAAATACATTTTAGTAAACCTTAAAGCATAAATATTGAAAAACAGAAAAGATCCATGTCCTTAAATAAAAATGTAGTCCCTATAATTAAAATACACCTGTTTCTACAATGTTTCTCTGTTAAAGGGCTTTAATATATATTTGAATGTTGATAAAATATGTTAAATATTAATAACATAAAAAATTGTCTTCAATATAAAACTAGAAAACAACTACTGATGTAGTTACCATTTAAAATTATATGTGTGGAATGAAACTCATTTCAATTTCTGTCTCCTGAGGGTCACCTTGCATAATTTTCTAAAAAAAAGAACCTTTTAGTATTAATGTTTATATAAATATATTTTTGTGTAATAAATTCATTTTTCAAGTTAGTCATCAGCATTATGTAATTTGTAGCTTTTTTAAAGCATTTTTGTCTCTAAATGATTATTTTATATACAGGATATTATTTCCTATATTCTACCAAATAGTGAAGAATTACTAAAAATGATTAAAAGGGTAAAATGATTAGTAAAGGGGCAATTCTATCATAGATGGTATACTATTTAAAATTGCACACATTTTTCTCTTGAGGTTGATATTACCATAATTCCGGTTACTAAATTATATGTAGTTCATCAATTTCCACATCTTCACTGCCCAATATAAATGTGTGACACATTCTTTATGTGATATAGGACTTCCTGTATCCTTTCACTCTTTTTTTATAATCACTATCTAAATTAGCATTACAAGTCTACATTATCTGGCTACATCCTACTATTTTTGTCTTACATTCTAATTTTTTAAATCTTGAGTACTTTTCAGTCTAGTCAAACTGCAATGCTTTATATCTTAAACATGCATCTCATCTCTATTCCTTTAAATAGTATTTTTCCATCATTTGGACTGCTCTTCCTCCATCTGTGCATACTGAAATCCTGTTGCTCCAAAGACTGCTCCCTTTGACCTGCCCCCAGCCCCACCTCCCACAAACATCCTAGCTGGAGAAGAAAGAAAAAATAAATAAATAAGAATGGAACCAATACGTGTTGATGAATAAGAAATATGTGAAGTCATTGTCCTGAACTTAGTGATTTACTTCTATGAATTCAGATAGTGAAATTGTATCCTACTTTTTATTTTAATATTTTCATATTGGTCTGCTGGATTGCTCTTTAAGAGCAGAGTTCTGGGTTTTACCAACATTTATGAATCATCTCAGTTGCCCTTACTCTTTGTGATCTTTTCCAAACTCCCAGGAAGTTTTTCATTCCCCTCATTTGCATCTCACACTCTTACATACCTTTACTAGAATTGTTAAATATAACATAGTATAAAAGCTTCTATTTATTGAACACTATAAGTAAGAACTGTGTGAAGTGCTAAATTGGCATTAGCCCAACAAAGACTCCCTTGTGTAGATGTTACCATTACCCTCCTTTTATACCTGAAATAATTGAGGCCCAAATAGGTAAACAACGTGTCTAAGGTCACTCAGGTAACTAACAACCCATGTTAGTCTAGCTCCAAATACTGTGCTCTGGGTAAACACATTTGTATTTGCAGCCCCAGATTTGTAGAAGCTGGGAGGATCACTGTGGCTAAGAAATAGTGGGCTCAGGTGCCCAGTGACATAGCATGACTTTCACTACCGTCCAAAATCCCTAATGCCGCTGGCAGACGGTGCCCAGCTGATGCCAGGGCTAGATACGAATGAACCGTCTGTAAACAAATTGTCCCTTCTCTACCCAATTTATGCTTTGTCTGTGAAAACAGACTGAATTGGATTAATCAATGTACTTTTCTTTTCTTTTCTTTTTTTTTTTTTTTTGAGACGGAGTTTCACTCTGTCCCCCAGGCTGGAGTGCAGTGGAGCAATCTTAGCTCACAGCAAGCTCTGCCTCCCGGGTTCATGCCATTCTCCTGCCTCCGCCTCCCGAGTAGCTGGGACTATAGGCAACCGCCACCACGGCCAGCTAATTTTTTGTATTTTTAGTAGAGACGAGGTTTCACCGTGTTAGCCAGGATGTTCTCGATCTCCTGACCTCGTGATCCGCCCTCCTCGGCCTCCCAACGTGCTGGGATTACAGGCGTCAGCCACCACGCCCGGCCAATCAGTGACTTTTCTTTATCTTTTATTATATTGATTTAATCTAAGTACAAACCAGTGAGTCTTGAAAAAACTGCCTGAAGAGAAATGTAAATTTGATTTATAATTTAATATTTATCGCTCCTTTAAAATGTTAATAACTCTATAAAGATTAATCAGGATGTATGTTACAAAGAAGTTTAATGTCTTTGGATAAAAGCTTCAACTACAAACTTTCCTACTATCGAAACAATATTTTCTTCATCCTCTAAGATTTACAGAAATACTACTGGGTAAAAGGAATTAGAATGTATCAAAGATACCAGCTCTGCATTGTCCCCTATTATGCCAGATTCTTTCACACACACTATGGAGCTTTACGAGAACAGTAGACTACATATTTCAAAGTTATCTGAAAATACAAGGAAGTTGGGTGGCAGTACTAGGGCCAGTCTCAAAATAGGACATCCTTTTACTCCTGAGAGAGAAGGTGGAAAGTACGAGGTCATAAAAGCTGAGTGTTTTACACAAATAATAAAGTACTAAATCTGCTGAGTGTGGTTGTAAACCTACCCTCTGTATCCTAATCATAAGAATTCACGTGTTGATTATTGCTGTTTTTCCTTAAACTGTATCTTAGCAATTTTTTTTCATGTTCTTTAGCAAATCCATCTTAGGAATGATCTGTTGCATCCCAGAGGAAAGGGTTAATTTGTGCTACCCAGAGTACATCGGGGTAAGTTTAGCTCTTGAATAAGGTTAGCTCCAAGGGTTGAAGATGTGGAGCCCTTTACCTCAATCTGCCACAGTTTTGGAAAAAGAGTTGAGCAGCTGAGATGGGCACTAGAGAGGGGCTCAGCAGAACTGCAGCATCAGGACTATGGATGCATTTCATCCATGTTATGGTAAAAGCTCATCACTGGAATTTATCTTAGTGTATCAAGTTTTATTGCTATAAATAGTTTGTCTTTATGCATCTTATTCATTTTAATCCAGGGAAACTATTACATGATTATGAGTAAACATGCTTTAAGATTTTAGTGTTTGTTTCAGAAATGACTATATATCCATATAATTCTCTATATAGAAGCTCTCTCTCTATATAGACGCTCCCCAGGTAGAGGGCATGAGTTCAATGTGAAAATGGAAGACGAATTTAAGAAAAACGTCAATAAAGATGGATTATATTCATAGAGATTGATGTTTTGCACAATTAACACTTAGAGTATTTCCATGTTATTGCCAATAACTAGACTTATTCTCCATGTTAATTTTATTAATAAACTACAATTAAAATTAAAGTTTAACCCTTATATATACATATATATGTATATATATGTAATTTCAAAACTTGCTTCCTGAATTAATTATTTTAAAACAGAGCTCCATTGGACAGTAAGCATTTTATGGACAGAAACTGTTATTTATTTTTATTTGCCCTTCACTTCTCACAGTACCTAACATGTAATCGCGAATAGCACTTAAATGTTTGCTGGAGAAACAAGTCACGGAAATGTAAGGGAAACAGATAGGAAGGCAATTTAGTGCATACCTCGAAGGGTGTATACCACACTAAGGAAAACGGTTGATGGTGCAATAAACAGACTTGTCTGAAAGTGACCTGGGAGCCCGTTCTGTGTGACCTGTACCAGGAACCTTTTTGGATGGTGGAAAAGGGAAAGAGGTACTTCTCTCCATACCCCAGGTGGAAGACTGCAACTAAACTCACTTTCCCAAAGGACCAGTGTCTTTCTTCTTCCAGCATGGGGAACCATAACATCCTACTGGCCCAAAGTCTCCTGGTGCTATAAAGTTGGCATTCCCAGATAACTTGTTGGCAGCTGGTACCCCAAATCCAGACCTCCTGCTGCTGAGCCACCCATGTATCCTCCCAGAGATGAGGTGGTTCTCAGGGCTGCACTGTAAAAAGTGAGAGCAACTGAAGTGAGGGCGACGTCTGCCCACTGGCATAGACACCCACACAGCTGCGGCCACAGCTCAGCCCCACCCTCTGCATGCCTTTCAACAGCATGATGGGAAAATCAGGGAAATTCACACCAACTCATGCTTTCCTTCCTCTGTGTAAAATTTCCCTGTCCCCTGTAAAGCCTGTTTCTTAGCCCATACATGTTACAGTATGAAATTATTTTCCAAGTCCTGTGGCATGACAGATAGAAACCTAAAGGGATGGATTTGGCCTCACAGATACTATTATCTCCTCATTACATGTCATTTCAATTCAGTTAACACTTATTGAACATTTACAATGTGCAAAACTCTGGGCTAGACAGTGTTAATAAATATAAAGATTGATAATTTATCGTCTATTTTCCTTGGTAAATCACAATCTAGCTGTGGAGACACTTTGAAAATCAATATTCAATTAGGTATAAGACAGTTACTATGGGAAGTAGAAGAGAGCAGGGAATAGCTGAGTCTGAAGAGTTGGAGGAGAGTGTCTTGGAAGGCTTTACCATGGAAATGGATTTGAATTAACTCAGGTAAGAGCATTCAAGGAGTTATAAATGATCTGAGCAGAAGCACAGAAGAGAACTATTCCTGCAATCGTCAGAACTTCTTCGTGATTATAAATGTAAGTTTCTAGATAATGTCAGGAAGCTGAAAGTATGGATTGAAGTTATATACGTTTGTGAGTTATATATGTATATATGATTCATGTATGTTTCACCTAAATAGCATTAATAATATTTTGTATTTTCTTAGGAAATACAGAGACAGAAACAAATCTCTCTCTCTTTACATAGTAAATAGGCCTTCCCAAAACAGTTTGCCAGGTCTAGGTTATTTATTTATTTACTTATTTATTTTTTGAGACAGTCTCACTCTGTCACCCAGGCTGGAGTGCAGTGGTGTGATGTCAGCTCACTGCAACCTGCACCTCTCGGGTTCAAGCAACTCTTCTGCCTCAGCCTCCCAAGTAGCTGGGATTACAGGCATATGCCACCACGCCCCACTAATTTTTGTATTTTAGTAGAGACAGGATTTCACCATGTTGGCCAGGCTGGTCTAGAATTCCTGACCTCAAGTAATCTGCCCACCTCGGCCTCTCAAAGTGTTGGGATTACAGGTATGAGCCACTGCCCCTGGCCCTTCCAGTTCTAGGTTAATGTAAGAATCATAATCATCAATACTGTATGAATGATTATCTTACAAATTATTCCACTGAATTCTAAGGCAAGCAGCTCTTCCTCTGTCAAGCAGAATGCCAACATACAGGGTCACTTAACCTTAACTGTTAACATAACTGTAACCTGTGGAAGTTTAAATATGTATAAAATTTCTGGAGCAGCGTAATGTGCAAAGAGCATAAAGTTGTTCATACTTCGACCTAGTAGTTCCAAATCTAGAAATTTATCTCAAAGAACTAATTAGAAGAATGCACAAATATTTAATTATCAGGATTTTTTTTTACACGCTATTTATAATAGCAGATTAGAAACAACTAAATATATGAAACACTAGAACATGGTTTTACAAACCACAGAATGAGCTCCCAGGTCACTTTCAGACAAGTTTGCTTATCACATCATCAACCATTTTCCTTAGTGTAGTATACACCCTTTGAGGTATACACTACATGCCTTCCTATCTGTTTCTCTTACATTTCTATTACTTGTTTTTCCAGCAAACATTTAAGTGCTGTTTGTTATTACACATTAGGTGCTGTAAGAAGTGAAGGGGAAATAAAAATAAATAACATAGTCTCTGTCCATAAGGTGCTTACTGTCCAATGGAGTGCTGTTTTAAAATAATTAATTCAGGAAACAAGTTTTGAAATAATATATATTATTAATATGAAAAGATACATATTAATTATTAATATATTAATCATAATAATATAATTAATATTATATTATATATTTATATAGTATATATTAAGAATAAAATTTTAATGTTTTAATGGTAGTTTATTAATAAAATTAACATGGAGAATAAGTCCAGTTATTGGCGATAAGAAGAAAATATTTTGTTAATTATATCCATGTTGCAGCAAAGAACATGACTTCATTCTTTTTATGACTGTGTAGTATTCCATGGTGTATACGTACCACATTTTCTTTAATCCACTGTTGCAGAGCATCTAGGTTGATTTCTGGAAACCTGGGAAGTGATATCTTAAGAAATGTTTCAAATACCATAATGGAGTAAAAGTGGTAGTGTAGAAATTGGTGAAAAGAAATATGGTCAAGGATGGCCCAAGGCAGCCCAGAATCTTCTGTGGCCTCAAATAGAAGGGTAATTAGCTGAACCTTTCATGTGTTGCCATGGAGAAGACAAGGTCAATGGATTCCAAGAAATCTCATGATCATAATTCAGAAAAAATGTTTAAAAAAAATAGAATTGATTGTAGTCTGAAGCCCAGGTAAAAATAAGTACATCTGAGCAGATGCCAACTTGAAGGTGGCTGACACCAAAGAACAAGACAGAAAACTGAACATATCTCTTCTGCCCATATTGACAGAGGCTGGGAACCAAAGAACGGATGCCTCTCCCCAAAGCAAGGCGTGAGATACCACTATAACATGTATGGGAAGTGACTAAATTTTCTGCCAAAATGTACAATAGAGCCTTGCAATAGGACTTCATTTGAGCTATAGGAAAGTAAAAGTTGTATTTTGCACATCCAAGTGTATGAAATAATTGAAACATAAAAAAATGATTAAGACCATGTTTTCTGCCATCGAAAATACACAAGATCTCAAAATAGAAATTAAGTTAAAGTTATTTTTCTACACCCTTTTATATCTTGACAAATTTATAATATTTAAAATAACTCACAATTTTTATAACCTTGTTTTGTCATAGCTGATAGTCTTAGAATATGAAAGAGACCTAGATCTCTAACAACCTTCAAGAGGCCCTGATACCCAGATGGAATGATCCCATTTTGTTGTTTCATTGGAAAATTTTTGGCCAGTGTTTTGTGCACTCTGCAGATATCAACGCAATATTATCTAGTAACTAGAATGGAATATTCACCAAAAAGAAGTTCAGCACTTGGACTAAAGGACATAATGTTAGTTAAATAATTTTTTGCAGTACTAGAGCTGGTAAACAACAGAGGAGTACAGCTTCATCTCCAGAAGTGGCATAGCCTCCATTCCACAATTGGATGCATGTTAAAGAGCTGGATATCAGAAGATCATCTTCATGGAATAAATTCTATGTAGATAAAACATGACCAGTTACATATTATGTCTTTATATTTTTTTGGAATCCAAATGTATCATAATAATATTTACTGCTACAACTTCCTGAGAGATTAGAATTTTGCATTGAATCTCATAACTAATCACTTTCAAATCGAGGTTTAAAACCCTGAATCTAGGTACAAAGATGCTCTACAAAGTTGCCTCTTAGGAATCTCTCAAATTACTGAAAGTTAGCACCAGAACTATTAGTCACTATTCTCTGGTTAAATTCTATAAGCAGAATCAACAGTCTAGGGAGAAATTCTATTTTGTTCCACCATCAGCTTCAAAAATAATACTTTTTGAGCTACCTTAAGTAATTTTTCCGTCTGTATGTTTTTCTACTAGTTCTCGAGTTCAGTGAATTGGTTTCATCAAATATCAGTTTATGGGCTTCAAGACTTCTGTCTGCTCTCAAGAATATCAAAATGTAAGAAGATAAATGGTCTAAAAACCCTATTAGTAGCAATAAATGGCACATGGTTTTGAAACTGAATTTTTATTATTTGGGTTCACTTTTCTTCTTTGTTGTGTGAGGAGGCAAAGCATCATTTCCCATTGGTCTCCATTACGTACCCTATATCACCATCCCAGTCTAATACCTTCTATGGAGCATAAAAGAGGACATTGAATCAGCTCACCTTTCCAGCCCCCCTTCCAATCCTCCTCTAGGAATGTTAATATTGTTGTTTTGCTTCAACCATAATCTGCCCATGCGGATGCTAGATTTCACTATGCCATTACAATGGAAATATTGTCTCAACAGATTATTGAAGCACTTATTTCAATTGATGGTATTATAAGTAAAAGTGTAGGATATATGTGGACAGAGTCTTAATATGTTTGTAGAGTGAGTAGGCAATGAGACATTTGACCTAAGAAGTCAGTCTACTAACAAAATGTTACTGTATCCAAAAGGGATAAAGTCTTTTTTATAATAAGAAGTTACTGGTATCATTTTCTTGGTCATTTTTAATCAGCATAGTGAACGATTCTTTACAAAAGGAGACTAGAAAGTATCTATATATAATGACTCATTATTATTAAGGCCATAATAATGGACTATAACATCCACTGGGCAAGAGTATTTTGGTCAAAAGCCCATACTGATTTTGTACAATGCTCTAAGGAAAAAACGTTCTTATCATAATAAGACCATCTCAAAATGGCTTCTGTGAACTTTGCTTCATCTCACACATCTATTGTAACAAAATTTTGTAATAGGTATTTGAATGTCCATATCTCCAGACACTTTTCTTTCAGATAATGGCTGCCCTTTATCACCACCGAACTGAAGCAATGTATGGAGAGATATCTTGTCCAGGATGTCACTATCAAATCTTAAGGGAATGAGGAGGTTGAGAAGATCATAGTACTGGAGATTCCCTGAAAGCAGACTTGGAGCTAACATGCCAACAAGACCTGCTAGATCACCTTATTATTTCATTTTTCAGATGAGATTGTCCTATGCCTCGACTACCTCTCTAAAGATATTAATAAAAAACATTATAAAATAAATAAACACATTTTAATTGCTACACTTTCTACCTAACAGTCTTCATTCATGTTTTCCATAAGAAGTTTCTGCAGTGGAGCTAGACTAAGGTGAGTTTGGGCCAGAGTAATTCCAGTTGTGAGATCTGTATCAGTGAAAGCCCAGAAGACCAATCGAATCTGTGAATATTAAAATATTTATCAATTTGGAAGACATTTCTCTGAAGTAATTCAAAACAGTAAACCCTAGAAGAGCTCTGTGGATTGAGGAGTTAGCATTATTTCTGAAAGAAGCTATAAGTACTACAATACTATCATAAGTGTTGAGTTTGTCACCAGGCAATTCTATGTATATTAATATAGTATAAACAGCCCTGTAAAGATTTAAATGGTACACTTACGCTCTTTGAACAGTACCTATGCAATAGGAAACAATTCTATAAAGTGTTTATACAGAATATTTCATTACTTTGCATTATGTTCATATTGCAAATGTATAAATGAAACTTTAACAACTTAAAATAATGAATTTTAACAAGTTAATATAATGAATTTTTAAAAGTTTTTCTATATGTGTTATTACACGGTGAAAAAATTCTTTTATTAATGCACTGTGTATGTTACACCCCCCTCCACCCCCCTACTGGCTACAGAAATATACCTCTACCCCTATAATACCTTCAATCATTATATATTCACAGAATATTCTCTATTTTTAAAAAGTTTTTTAAAGTTCTGAAACTTTTATTCACATGTGGCACAAGTTTCCTACTACAGAATAAGTTATTTCCTATTAATATTATTAGCTAGGAACATGATTAAAAAAATAAAGAGAGAATTAGTATATGTTATTTTTAAAGACCCATTGGGGTATTAAGTGAAATTGAACCTCTTTTAGTGGATATGAACGATATTGAAATGTATGTTATTTTGAAGAGAAGAATATTTTATTAAAATTACTCTGCATTTGTCTCATTTGTAAAATGAAATAATGACATTTTATAATATATTACTTCCTGACATTAAAAGCTTTATGTAAAGTCTTAGCCTTTGGAATCTTCCAGTTATCGTGTTTCAACACATTGTACTGGGTGACATTTAAAGTCTTTACAAGCTCATGTGTTATTTAAGCCCTCATTGTCATCGCTCTGTTGCCTCACAGCAGATTTTTCTCAGGAATGAAACCCACTGACCCGACTAACACCACCAAAAAAATATGAACTCATTAAGTCCAAGTAGCTCTTATAAACCAAATCACTAATCCCTTAAACTATTTTGCTTCCCAGAAATCTTTTGTTCTTAAAGACTTAGCTTTGATGCGAAGTCATCCATAATTATTTTCAATAGGGCTATTCCAAAGACACCTAATCTAATTAAAGCTGTCTAAAACAACGTTCAATTCCTCCCCCTTTAGAAGTTTCTAATGAATTTTAAGAGTTTTTCCCTTGTGATTAACGAAGAAATCTATTAAGGATAATCTTATTATTCAAGATCACCTGTCAAAATTCCTCTGTCTTCATTCTATTACTATTTACCCACTCGAACTTCTTTGAGTTTCTTCAAAACAGCTATTTTGAATTATCTCTCTGAAAAGTCACATATCTTTGTTTCTCCAGAATTGGTCCCTGGTGTATTTAGTTCAGGGGTAAGGTCATGTTTTCCTGCATGGTCTTGATGCTTGTAGATATTCACTGGTGTCTAGGCATTGTAGAATTAGGCATTTATTGCAGTCTTTGCAGTCTGGGCTTGTTTGTACCTGCCTTGCTTGGGAAGGCTTTCCAGGTATTTGAAAGGACTTGGATGTTGTAATATAAGCTGTGTCTGCATTCGCAGGCATCCTAAGCCCAGTAATCCTGTGGTTCCTGCAGACCCATGGAGGTACCGCCTTAGTAGTCTTGGACAAGAATTTTCTGGATTACAACTACAACTTCTGTAGAGACTCTTGTTCTCTTCTCTTACTTTCTCCCAAACAAATGGAGTCTCACTCTCTCTGTGCTGAGCCACCTGAGCTAGGGGTAGGGTGCCATGAGCACTCCTGTGGCCACCACCACTGGGACTGTGCTGTTTTAGACCTGAGGCCAGCACAGCACTGGTTCTCACCCAGGGCCCACTGTAACCACTATTTGACTACTGTCTACGTTCACTCAAGGCTCTAGGGCTCTACAATCAGAAAGAGGTAAAGCCAGACAGACTTGTGTCCTTCATGTCAGGGTATTGTGTTCCTCCAGACCCCACATGGGTCCAGAATGCTGTCTGGGAGCCAGGGACTGGAGGCAAAAACCTTGGAAATCTATCTGATGTTGTATTCTACTGCTAAGCTGGCACTCAAACCACAAGACAAAGTCCTTCCCACTCTTCCCTCCCCTTTCCACAGGCAGAGAAGCATCTCCCACCACAGACTCACAGCAGGTACTGCCAGGCTACTGCTGATGTTCACTTAAGGCTAAAGGGCTCTTTAGTCAACTTGTGGTGATGCTTGCCAGGCTTGGAACTCAGCCTTCAGAGCAGTGGCTTCCCACTGGCCCAGCACAGGTCCAGAAATGCCATCCAAGAGCCAAGGCCTGAAATTGAGGACCCCAATAATGGTAGCAGTGAGCCATCCAGAGTGCCCGCTGCCATTGCACCAGGAGCAGTGGCAGAAGTGGCTGTGGGAGTGGCAGTAGTGGCAGTGGGACCCCTGTGCCCTGTGGCCCCTGTGCCCAGCATTCCTAAGGCAGCCAACTGCACCACCCCCACCCTCACGTGGCGGGGATCCACTCCCAGGCGTGAAGCCTCCGCCACTTCAGACCCTGGACCTGTGTCACCACTCTCACCCTCCACCACTGCGCGGAGGGCACAGGGTGGAGGCAGACAATCCCCAGGGCTGCCCCTGGGAGCCCCCCGGGAGCCCAGCCCTCTAGGGGCCACTGCAATGGGTCCAAACTAAGCCACCCAATGTAGGAAGAGCAGTGCAGGTGGGCATAAAGGAGCAGGCAGAGAGGGGCCCAGCTAGGACCTGGAGCCCCCACCCCGGGCTGCAAGGAGGTACAGCCAGGGCTGCATGCTGTACAGAGCCAATGGGAGCCAGGGACGAGTGGGAGCCCCGCTCCTGCAGGTGGGGTGGGAGCTCCCAGGTGCATCTGCAGCCTCCCTTCTGCAGCTGTGAACTCAGGCATTTCTGCACTCTCAGGCACCTGGGATGGTCCCCTGCCCTACCACAGACTTGAAAGTGCCTGCTTCCACTGCCTGGCTTCTCCCTGATGTCAGCCTCCCTACAGACTTTGGGTGCCAACAAGCAGGGGAGGCAGGCCAAGGAGGGACTGAGGACAGCCTGGTACTGGCCTGCAGGCATGCCTTGGCATGAACAGTCTGGGTGCCATTAACAAGCAGCAGGAAGCAGACAGGCTCCTAGGCCGAAGGGGGCTGGTCCTCAGTGAAGCCCAACCTTCAAACCAGGGAGAACCTGAAGCCTGGGGGTCAGGCCACCAGTCCCACAGACCGGAGTGGAAACTTGTGGTGCTTTTCCCTCGGTCTGCCCATGCCACCCATGGACTAATCAGCATGTACTTCTTCCCCTCTGAGGCCCATAAAAACCCCAGACTCCGCCAGACTCAAGCACAGGACAGAGAGACTATGGGGAGATGATGGGACAACCAGCTGCAGAGAGGAGCTGCCCACCCCAGAGTCTCCTCTGTGCTGAGAGCTGAGGAGAAGACAGGATAACCAGCAGCATAGAGGAACTTCCCTCTCTGCTGAGAGCTGAACACTCGACAGGACGACCTGCCTACAGAGAGGAGGTGCCCACTGCAGGTCTCCTCCGAACTGTTCTATCACTCAATAAAGCTTCCTCTTTGTCTTGCTTACTCTCCACTTGTCTGCATACCTCATTCTTCCTGAACTCAGGGCAAGAATTCAGGATCTGCTGAATGGCAGTGCTAAAACAGCTATAACACAAGGCTAAACACACCCCTTGCTTGCCACATTGCGGGCAACAAAAAGAAGAGAAGAGAGAAGGAGAGAAGAGAGAAGGAAGATAGAGCTGAGGCCCTTTGGGGATCCCAGACTTGGGAGCTTCTCAAGCCAGGGCTGTGAGTCCCTCTTTCGGGCCCTGCAATTCCTGGAGTCTCCAAGCTTCCAGGCACCACCACATTCCCTGGTTCTAGCCATGGAAGTTGCTTGCAGTGTGCCTGGTCCAGCTGCAGCCTCATAGTAAGCCAGCACCTATACCAGCACCTGGAACCGCCCACCCCACTACAGCAGCCAGCATGCCTGACTGTGTGCAGTGGTCGGACCCTCACGCTCACTTGCTTACACACCTCTCATCACTCCAGTCCAATTTCTTCAGAGTTGTGACCAGTAATGCAAGCTGAGCATAGCCTGCCAGAGTGAGTGGGCCCAGCGGGCCGAGCAGAACTCGGGCAAAGGCACCACTGGTCACAGAAGTTTCTGGCTGGAAAAGCAACATTCCAAGGATCTAGTAACACCAAGAGCCCACTTGGTACTCCACCCTCCATGGCCAAGCTGGTACCTGATTTTTGATTCTTATGAAGATGCTTTGTTTGTGTGTAGTTGGTTGCTAAATTTGGTGTTCCTGCAGGCAGGACAATTAGTGGAGACTTCTATACAGCCATCTTGCTGTGCCCCTACCCTACATGTTAATTTTTATTTATTTTTTATTTATTTTCTTTTTGAGACAGAGTCTCGCTCTGTTGCCCAGGCTGGAGTGCAGTGGTGCAATCTTGGCTCACTGCAACCTCCACCTCCCGGGTTCAAGTGATTCTCCTGCCTCAGCCTCCTGAGTAGCTGGGATTACAATCACCCACCACCACACCCAGCTAGTTTTTGTGTTTTTAGTAGAGACGGGGTTTCACCAGGTTGGCCAGGCTGGTCTCGAACTCCTGACCTCAGGTGATCCACCCACCTCGTCCTCCCAAAGTGCTGGGATTACAGGCGTGAGCCACCATGCCCAGCTCCATGTTAATTTTTAAATCAGGTATAATCATTAACTTTTAGTCTGGAAATGGACTTTTAGTTTTAGACCATAATATGAGGTACACCCATTTTTCTATTTTATCATTTCAAGCAAACTTTAGTGAACATGGCAACATTGTAAACATGATTATGAGTCCTTGGTAAAGGCTGGGTGTGATTGCTCACCCCTATAATCCCAGCACTTTTGGAAGCAGAAGCAAGAGGATCACTTGAAGCCAGGACTTCAAGGCCAGCCTGGACAACACAGCAAGACCCCATCTCTACAAATAATAGTAATAAATACTTAGCAACGAATGTAGCATATAGTGAGTAGTCAATAAATGTTTTCTGAGGAAATGGATTAACGACTATGTTTGCTCAGAGTATGCAGGGCTGCAAAACGTAATCAGCCTAAATGGTACGAGCTATCTGATATGCATATACTGTGTAGTACCAATACATATCTCCTTTATATTTTTTTGTAAAATGACAGGTTATGTTATTTGGGAGCAGTGACTCTCAAGCTAGGTAGCACTTTGTAATCCATCACCTGAGAACCTTTAGGGAAAACTACAGATCAGGCATTGGTTTTTTAAAACTCCCTAGGTGATTCTACTGTGCAGAGAAGTCTTATATTGTAGTGTACTACCCAGATTATACACCAAACTGGAACGTTAAATCAGAATCTCTAGAAGTAGGGCATGGGCATCAGCATGTTCTTAAATTCTCTAGGTCAATATCTGTGTGAAGACCAGATTAAGAACCACTGAAAAGGATTTCAATTCTCCAACCCATTCATTTTACAGGTGAGGCTGATTGAAGCCCAACAGCTTAATAGTCTTGCCTGTAATTAAATGGCTAATTAGAATCTGTGTTAGCACTCAGTCCACATTCAGCATAAGAATGCGAAATATGGAAGAAACCATTGTAAAGGAGAAAGACATATTTCAGACTACCAAGAATATATGAAAATGGACCATCATTTAGAATCTTCTAGAAGAGCAAGCCAATTATGCACCTTATCTATTTACTGCTTCCACTCTCTGATGATTATGAAAAGTCTTTCAACTAAATTTAGAGAGAGCCTTGGGACTATGAGTGTTACACCCTGAGGAGTCCTCTGCCCCAGTTATGGGTCCATTAATGTGTTAATGGCTGGAGTTTAACAGAATGAAAACAATAGGAAAAGAGAAGATATATCTTTAGCGGACTGGCTGTTCTGTGCTGGGTTTCCTGTGTGGAAAATCAAACGACTTGCAACTAATTGTTTGTGTGCAAAAGTCTTTGGCAGTGATGCCAACAAAAGCACTGGATAGTGTGTCTGCTCAAAGCAAAACACGTCAAATTATGTATTCAGCAAATCCTTATTATCAGAACCTGGGTCATGTGAGTTATTTGCTTTTTAGTTATGCTTCAGGAGGCCCTTCCTGTGAACATAATGTCTGGCCTGTTAAACACATAGCTGCCAAGACAGAGCCACAGGTGACCATGACTTGGCAACTGATAAAACACCAGCCACACTGGAAATAATAAAAAATGGACAGGATTTTCCATCTGGTTTTCAATACAGATAGACAGCACAAAGAGTTTCTTGAAGAAAATTGATATTTACAATCGAACATAATGCCCGATACATTTCCCCACATTACCAAGCTGATACTTAAAATTTGGGAATCTTTTATTCCAAATAACTAATTTAAAAGTCTATATAAATACAATATTATGGCTAAATAATAAATTGTTATATTCTTTTCCCTTTTCCCTTATTTCTTCTTATGCTTTTAAAGACTTGTTGCTAATGTTTATATTCTCCCTAAACTTTGGAAAATGGCATGTAGAATGTGTGTACCAAGAATTTTACAAGTACATAGTCAAACTTCTCCTTCTGTCTCACTCTCCGCCACAATACATGACAAATGGGATGCTCACAATTTGTCATTCACCTAACAATATCAACTTTTGCACTGATTCTCTCTTAACAGTATGTATTTCTTCATCAGTTGGATCTCTCAAACCCCGAGACACTCATGTAAACTCAAACCTTATTGGAGCTACCACTTTGTAATTTTCACCTTACATCATATTCTGCACATGATCACATCTCATACTATATATTTCATCTCATATAAATCCTCCAAATGAATATATGCATATATATATATGTGTGTGTTTTTCATATACATATATGACAAAGAGCATGTGAGCAAGCTCTCGCACCTGTGAACAAGCTATCCCTGTTCTCTGGGGTTTTAAATTCCAGCCCCAAGATGTGGTGACTGAAAACCAAGACCAGTGCCAGGGAAACGATGTCCTATTCCAGGCTCTGCCACTTTATAGGCGAGCCAGATGGAACAATTTTAGGGCTCTATTTTCTTCATCCATAAAATTGGAATAAAAATGTTAACAGCCTATTTTTCAGACTTGTTAAGATCAAGTGAGCTAATGGTCATGAAGGTATCTTTAAGAGGCATGTAATTGATATTCTTGTGTCATAAAGAAGAATTCCCGTATAGTGAGCTTAAATTACCTTATAGTTTAAAAGGAAACTTAGAATAAAACGTCTCTTACAACTAAATGCAAAAATTCATTCTTGTTATCTGGCAAATGGCCATTAGTTTCTGCTTCAATACATTTAGTTATGGGAACTCTTTATGTCAGAAAGCAACACATTCTAATCTTAATAATGTGCATTTAACCATGATAGTGAAAAGTAATGTGACATCTCTAATACCAACCCCTGTTCTCTGACATTTTAAATTCCATTCTCCAAGGTGTGGTGACTGAAAACCAAGACCACTGCAAGGAAAACTTGTCCTATTTCAGGCTTTATAAATTGACAAATTTATAAAGCTTAAATGGACATATATATATATATATATATATATGTATATATACACACTATATATATGTATATGTATTAAATTGATATATATACACAAATTTTTTAATTGACAGAATTCTCAATTTGATATTGAGAAAACAAAACAACGTAAATTGTTTCTTTGTGTGTGCTTGTCATTAGCATCAAAAGATAGGCAGTTTAATTATATCTAAGCCTCCTATTCAAAAAAGAAAAAACCTATTAAAAGACCACAAGCGTAAAGACAAGATTTTCCATTCTGAAACTTCAACTCCTACACTCTGGGATATTAGAGGATGAATCTTGAAGTGATTTCTACATTTAGCAAAACTAGGTTTAGCCTAAGAATAGTAAATAAATGGCAACAATCTTAAGAGATAGTAAGAAACTAAAGGCCAAAAGAAATGTTTGAGTACTGATGTCTATAAAAGATAACTGGTATTATGGCCAATAACCATATAATAAGTACTTAACAGATTAATCATCAGAGAAATGGAAATTAAAACTATAATTAGTTATCAATACACAATGGAATGTTTAATAAAAATAACAATACAAAGCAATTGTGAGCATATAGAGCCACTGGAACTTTTATATACGGCTAGTAGGAGTAACTAACGATTGATACAGCCTCCTAAAGTGCTGGAGATATTCCATATTGATATTGATCAACAGATACAGATCTGTATGGTGGTTACATAGGAGTCTACATTTATAAAAATTAACTGATTTATATATTTAAGAATTGTGCACAGAACTGCTAACAGTAGGGGCTTAGAGCTTTAAAGTAGTACATTCTAAAATATAATTCATCTTTCTTTTCTTATCTGAGCCTCTTTAGAATATATGAAAATAACATTTCATGTGATAGAGTCAAGTTGGAAAGACTCGCCAAGAGCTTAATTTGAATTAATTATTGTGTTTGCAGAAAAGAAGCTACTCTATAATTGTGTTTGGGCAGTAAGACAGTATATTTAGCTCTTGTGAATGTCCTTCTGTTTACTTAATATAATAACTTATAAAAATGAGTTGCAGTGTTTCTCATTGATGAAAGAATTCTTCAAAAATAAATCTGGGGTCAGGTGCGGTGGCTCACTCCTGTAACCCCAGCCCTTTGGGAAGCCAAGGCAGGCAGATCAAGGGTCAGGAGTTTGAAAACAGCCTGGCCAACATAGCGAAACCCCATCTGTACTAAAAATACAAAAATTAGCCGGGCATGTAGCGCGTGTCTGTGGTCCCAGCTGAGGCAGGAGAATTGCTTGAACCTGGGAGGCAGAGGTTGCGGTAAGCCAAGATCACACCACTGCACCCCAGCCTGGGCAACAGAGTGAGACTCCATCTCCAAATAAATAAATAAATAAATAAATAAATAAATAAATAAATAAATTTGGGGCCGGGTGCATTGGCTCATGCATGTAATCCCAGTACTTTGGGAGGCCAAGGTGGGGGAGGATTGTTTGATCCAGGAGTTCAAGACGAGCCTGGACAAAATAGGGAGACTTCATCTCTTCAAAAATATTTAAAAATTAGCCAGGCACGGTGGCGTGCACCTGTAGTCCCAGCTACTCCAGAGGCCAAGGTGGGAGAATCAATTGAGCCCAGGAGGTCAGGGCCACAGTGAGCCATGATCATGCCCCTGCATTCCAGCCTGGGTGAAGAGAAAAACCATGTCTCTAATAAATAAATAAATCAATCAATAAATAGCATTCACTTTATTTACTACTAAGGTGAATGAGGTATGACCTGAGTCAATAAATAGATTTAATTGAGGAGTGGCCTTGCCATTATGGAATTCTACAGCAAATTCTAGTTAAAATGACTTGTACTCCAAAACTCTCCTGAAAAGTGGAGTTTTATAAAGACAGCAGTCATTCAGAAAAGTACAGTAATGTGTGTGCCAGAATTTCATGACCTCAAGGATCTGAATTTTCAAGTCACTGCAAAAAGGACGTGTTTTTGGGAATTTTACTAATTCCCTTAGGCAGATACTTTGGGGTGAGGGGGAGGATGTTCATCCTGTCTACCATCTCCCTTCTCTGAAAACTGTACAGCTGCCCTGTAACTGGGTGGGCCCTAGCACCAGCCACAACTATACTCAATACTTTCACTTATTCCAAACTACTATAAACATCCACCTCCCTTAGAAAGAAGTACTAAAAATAAAGGCAATCCTACTCTTCTGTTATTAATAAAATAAAAATTAAACACTTTGGGAGGCCGAGGCGGGTGGATCATGAGGTCAGGAGATCGAGACCATCCTGGCTAACAAGGTGAAACCCCGTCTCTACTAAAAATACAAAAAATTAGCCGGGCGTGGTGGCGGGCGCCTGTAGTCCCAGCTACTCGGGAGGCTGAGGCAGGAGAATGGCGTGAACCCGGGAAGCGGAGCTTGCAGTGAGCCGAGATTGCGCCACTGCAGTCCGCAGTCCGGCCTGGGCAACAGAGCGAGACTCCGTCTCAAAAAAAAAAAAAAAAAAAATTAAAGAAACATAGAAGACTGACTAAGTAGAACAACTAGTACTGTAAAAATAATTCATCTAAAGAAAGGAGAAGGGAGGCCAGGCATGGTGGCTCATGCCTGTAATCCCAGCACTTTGGGAGGCCAAGGTGGGTGGATCACCTGAGGTCAGGAGTTCGAGACCAGCCTGGCCACCATGGTGAAACCCCATCTCTACTAAAAATACAAAACTTAGCCGGCCATGGTGGCAGTCACCTGTAATCCCAGCTACTCTGGAGGCTGAAGCAGAGAATCACTCGAACCCGGGAGGGGGAGGTTGCAGTGCATTGAGATCGTGCCACTGCACTCCAGCCTGGGCGGCAAGAGAGAGAGACTCCATCTCAAAAAAAAAAAAAGAAAGAAAGAAAAACTCTAATCCTGTCTTGAGAAATTTTTTCAATTGAATGAAAAGAGAAATTAATCAGGCAAAGGAAGGAAAAGGGATTCTTACAAAACTGAATGTAAAAATCTGTACTTTTTATTCTGACATGACATTTCCTGAGGGGAGCTTATAAGAGAAGAGAGAGCATTACTGAGCCAGAAACCCCGCTCCATGGGAGAGTAGGTAACTTAGGTAGTGTCTTTTTTGGAGGTGCAACCACCATGAGAGAGTAAGTTTCAAGAATCTCTGCTGGGCCAAGTACAGTGGCTTACACCTGTAATCCCAGCACTTTTAGAGGTCATGGTGGGAGGATTGCTTGAGGCCAGGAGTTTGAGATCAGCCTAGGCAATATAGCAGACCCCATCTCTGCAAAAAATTAAAAAAAAAAAAAAAAACCACATGTGGTGATATGTGCCTATAGTCCTAGCTGCTCAGGAGCCTGAGACAGGAGGATCACTTGAGCCCAGGAGGTCAAGGCTGCATGCCACTGCACTCCAGCCTAGGCCACAGAGCAAGACTATCTATAAAATAAAATAAAAAGAATCTCCACTGATACTAGGTGCTGCTCACTTTCAGTGTGTGACTCTGTAAAGCTCATGGCCTGCCTCTCCCCTGCACCAAAACCCCTGCCCTCCACTTCCTCCTTCTTTTGGTTTTTATACTGAAAAAGTAGAAGACATACTCTGAAATGCAGGGAAAATGCTCTAGTTTCAGGGTTTAGCCCAACTCTTTTGTGTTTATTTAATAAACATTCAGTAATAAGTATTCTTCTAATGATAGATCTGGGACAAGAAAGCCTATAAAGGGAAATAAAACAGATTTTTTGAAAGTGTTGTGTGGGCCAGGTGTAGTGACTCACACCTGTAATCCCAACACTTTGGGAAACTGAGGCGGGCAGATCACTTGAGGAGTTCAAGACCAGCCTGGCCAACATAGCACAACCCTGTCCCTACTAAAAATTCAAAAAATCAGCTGGGTGTGGTGGTGCACAACTGTGATTTCAGCTACTTGGGAGGCTGAGGCACAAGAATCACTTGAACCCAGGAGCTGGAGGTTGCAGTGAACCAAGAACACCTCATTGCACTCCAGCCTGGGTGACAGAGCAAGACTCTGTCTCAAAAAACAAAAAGAAAGTGTTGGGTGATGAATTATTTTATTTGCCAACCTGACGGGGCCATGGGGTGCCCAGATATTTGTGCAAACATTCTCTGTGTGTTTCTGTGTAGGTGTTATTTGATGAGATTAACATTTAAATTGGTAGACAGAGTAAAGCAAATTGCTCTCCATAAGGTGAGTGGTCCAGAAGTTATCTACGTTTAGGAATACTTTGCTTTACCAATTAGGTGAAGGCCTGAATAGAACAAAAAACTGGCCTACCCCCAGAGTAATAAAGAGTTCTCCTGCCTGGGGGCCTTCAAACAGAAACATCAGCTCTGCAGATTTTGAACTTGCCAGTCTCCATAATCACAGGAGCCAATTCCTTATAATACATAATAAATAAACATATCCTATTGGTTCCATTTCCCTAGAGAACCTGACTAATCAAGTTGGCTTCCAAGGGCTTAAAAGTCGTGGAGGGATTGGGGGTGGTGGGGACGTTGGAGACCAAAGGGAAAACACAAATACAATGAAGGATGTACAAGAGGGAAAAGGATATCCTAAAGTCATCATATCTGGAATAATTCAATTTTACTTTTCCATAGGAAATAAGGGTGTTATGAGATGATGAAGGCCAATCTGGTCCCAGCATTGTCACGAAAACAAAAGTCCTGATGATCTTTAGGGATGGGAATGTAAGACAGAGCTAAACTCAAAATGTTCGTGAAAAGACAGATACAGGCAAAAACAAGCAATTATGGTTTTAGGGAGCAATTCAAGTAAATTTAAATATTGCTAGCACTAATTACTACTTTGGCAGCTCCAGAAATTCCTAGATAGATGGGCGTAGGAGAATGTTCTAGTAGAAAGGAAAGATAAGCAGACTTGTCTTCAAGCTGAATTTTCATATCAAACAAATGCATTTTATTTCACTTATTTATTTGGCATGACTTATGAGAAGCTAATGGATACCCCTCTAACTTCCCCTCCCACCTCCCACTGCCTTGCATCTCTTGGTGCCTCAACTGACCACAAGTAAAAACTAATAATAAATAACATGAAGAAAAACTAAATCATTATTCCCTAATTAATCATTTTGAAGGGGATAATTTAAAATAATTAAATGTTGTTTAGCATTTGATAATCAAACAATAATTTGCACAGCTATCTATAGTTTGGTGATTCTTAAATTTTTGAGGGGTTAAAAAAGCCTTTGAGAATTTCACATAAACTATGGAGCCTCTTCTTCCTAAAATACACACATTTGCCCCCTCTCCTACACATGCGCAGAATTTTGCATGTGTTTAATGGGGGTTATGGAAAATATCTGGGAAATCCACATATTTTTCTTCTTTAGCTTCTTAACAGATCGCCCCCCCCCGCCCCCACCTCACAGTATGGAAGCAATAGATTTCTATTTTCCTTCTTTTTTTTTTTTTTTTTTGAGATGGAGTCTCGCTCTGTCACCCAGGCTGGCGTGCAATGGCATGATCTTGGCTCACTGCAACCTCCACCTCCCGGGTTCAAGTGATTCCGCTGCCTCAGCCTCCTGAGTAGCTGGAACTACAAGCATGTGCCACCACGCCTGGCTAATTTTTGTATTTTTAGTAGAGACGGGGTTTCACCATGTTGGCCAGGCTAGTTTCAAACTCCTGACCTCAGGTGATCTGCCTGCCTTGGCCTCCCAAAGTGTTGGGATTACAGGCGTGAGCCACTGCACCTAGCCAGATTTCTATTTTCTTAGTGCTTATTCTTATCTTTTTAAACAAATATCCTTCATTAAAAAAAAAAAGAAAAAGAAATACAGAGGTGTTGGGGGATACTATAACACCTCTGTATATAGAGAGGTGTTATAGTATCACTATATATAACACTAATATATAGAGATTATAACTATAATCCCTATAAGATTTTGTTATTTGGGGCTTATCACTGATTTCATTTTTTAGATCAATAAAGAGAGAGGAAAAAAATCAAGGATTATTTGGCTAAAATATGTGACTTTGGTGTCTGTAGTAGGCTGTATTTACATGCTGTGACTTTTTATATGTCTGGTAGTTTAAATAGAGATAAATTATTAAAGAAAAATAGGCTCATCCTGCCAAATCATTATTAACTGGACCAGGCCTTTTCAAAACTATGAAGTAGATAGTCAGGGCCCGTGAAGTGTGCCAAAGAAATAATCCCCTGCACTTTAGGCCAGACATTTCAATCCCTGTATCTTTAACCTCCTTGTTAAGTTTGTCTCTTCCAGATCGAAGCTGTAAAACTACAAATTGTTCTTCAAATAGAGCCCCAGATGCAGTCCATGACTAAGATCTACCGCAGACCCCTGGACCGGCCTGCTAGCCCATGCTCCGATGTTAATGACATTGAAGGCACCCCTCCCAAGGAAATCTCAACTGCACAACCCCTACTATGCCCCAATTCTGCAGGAAGCAGTTACAGCAGTCGTCGGCCAACCTCCCCAACAGCACTTGGGTTTTCCTGTTGAGAGGGGGAACTGAGAGGCAGGACTAGCTGGATTTCCTAGGCTGACTAAGAATTCCTAAGCCTAGCTGGGGAAGGTGACTGCACCCACCTTTAAACACGAGGCTTGTAACTCAGCTCACACCCAACCAATCAGGTAGTAAAGAGGGCTCACTAAAATACCAATTAGGCTAAAACAGGAGGTAAAGAAATACTCAAATCATCTATCATCTGAGAGCACAGTGGGAGGGACAATGATTGGGATACAAACCCCAGGCATTCAAGCAGGGAGGGGCAACCCCCTTTGGGTCCCCTCCTCTTGTATGGGAACTCTGTTTTCACTCTATTAAATCTTGCAACTGAAAAAAAAAAAATAGGCTTATCCTCAAATTGGGGATCAATTAATAAAAAATGGTAGATCTGAAACCATAGTAACAACATGTTCAACAGTAATAATTTATCTGCCTTAATAACTTCTATCAGATTTAGAAATGCAAACAAGAGAAATAAAAATATGAAATAAAAATATTTTTCTTTAAAATATTATATGATTTATAACCAAGCAAAATAAATATTTATACCCAAGGAAAATAAAAATTATTTGTTTCAAGATATTTAATTATTTATTAAAATTATTCCAATTCCTTCTACAAAGCATCTCTTCAGCATAATTCTGAGGACTAAGTTTTGAAAAGAAAGAAAAGCAGTTTGTCAGTTAATATTTAATAAGTGTTTCTCCATATTCCTGTTGAGCTGAAAGCAGTAACGGAATGGATAATAAACATTAAAACTTAAGTTCTTCCATTAACCCTAGGTAAGTAATAAATGATACATTCTTACCCTAGGTAAGAAAAAATGATACATGTTATTAAAATGATCACTTTGCCATTATAATAAAAAAAGGCAAAAAGGAATCATAAAGGGACTGATAATTTTTTTATTGGATGGTCCTTATAAATTGTTTATTACATCCTATTTTAAAGGGCGGAGGAAAACAATATGAAGCGTCCTCAAAAAATTGAAAATAGAATTACCATATGACCCAGCAATCCCACTACTGGGTGCATATCCAAAAGAACTCAAATTAGAATCCAATAAATATTTGCACACCCATTTTTATTGCCACATTATTCATAATAGCCAAGAAAAGGAAGCAACCCAAAGGTCTACCGAAAGATGAATGGCTAAAGAAAATGTGGTGTATACATACAGTGAAATGTTATGTAATATGAATTACAACATATTTGAACCTTAAGGAGATTATGATAAGCAAATATGCCAGTCCCAAAGGGACAAATACTGTATGATTGAGTGCATGAGATTCCATTCATATGAAACATCTAAAGTAGTCAAAATCATAGAAACATAAGAGAAAAGTCGTTGCCAAAGGCTGGGGGAGAATGGAGAGGCGGAGTTGGTGTATAATGGTGTAGAGTTTTAGTTTTGCAATATCAGAGAGTTCTAGACATCTTTTGCACAACAATGTGAACATAATATTGATAAACTGTACACTTAAAAATGGTTAAGATTGTAAATTTAATGTTACATATTTTTATCACAATTAAAAGCAGGAGGCAGAAAGCAGGGAGGTATCCACATTAAGGAATATATTATTTACAAGGAAATCTGTATTGGACTCAGATGATTTTGATTCAGAATACAATCCCCAAACTTAATAAACTGTGCCCTTACACAAGCCATTTAACCTAAAGGTTATCAGTTAGATTTAGCAACCTCCTAGGAGGGTTAACCTCATAAGATAGTAAGGCTTAAATACGATGTTCTATAGGAAGTTGATTTATGTTGTATATTGCTTTCCTCAAATATTGATTATATTTTTGAAGCTACTGAACCTATTTTGAAGCTATTGAAGCTGTTTTGACCCATGTCATGAAGCTATTGAAGAGGCAGAAGCAGAACTAGAAAGCCAGGTTTATCCACTCTGTTCTATAGGTTTGGTGAGGGCATGTTACTGCTTGAATCCCTGAGGTTTCCTGTGAAGACGAGTAGGCCTAAATTGCTTACAGCTCACAGGCTGGTCCGTTCTGGGTATAATAGGCTTTTTCCCTTTCCCCCAATGTACTACACAAATAAGAACCCTTTCTGCATGTGCAAATTTAGAGCAAAGTTAGAGAGCACTTTTTATTTTTGTTTGTTAAGTGTGGACCCTGCTGAAACCCCTCTGAGGGTCTGCCCTAGTTGTCAAGGACAAGGTCTGGGTAGGCAGTTGTAGCCCACAGGCAGCTGGCCAGAAGCAGAGCTGCAGTGCCCACTGAAGCCAGAAAGAGTGCCATGATCTGAATATTTCTGTTCCTCACCCCAAACCCAACCATATATGTATTAAAGCCTAAATTCCCCAATGTGATGGTATTTGGAAGTTCAATTAGGTCATGAGGGTAGAGCCCTCAGGAATGAGATAAGTGCCCTTAGAAGGGGATAAAGAGACCAGAGAGCTATTTCTCTTTGCTCTATGCCATCTGAGGAGGCAGCCATTTGCAAACAAGGAAATGAGCCTTCGAGACCAGCACCTAGATCTTGGACTCCCCAGCTTCCAGAACTGTGAGAAATAAATGTTTGTTGTTTAAGGTACTCAGTCTTTGGTATTCTGTTATAGTGGCCTGAACTGACTAAGACAGAGGGCTTGCTGGTGGCCACAAAAAGTGTCCTTCCAGCTAGTCCTGTGGCAGCTATGCAGTGCTGTAACGGTGTTGTCTGAATTATGGACACAAGGCTCAAGTCTGTTTCAGTGTCCCTTTCCAAGAAAATGCTGCTTTGATGGGCTGTACAATAAAATAATGGAAATGAGCTAGCCAAAAGATTTTCTGTCTGAGTTGAAAAGTGTCATAAAATTAGTGAGAAGAACAGACTCATTACATAGCCTTTCAAGTTCTTGAGTCACCTGCAGTGGAGGCCAGCCTTCTGAAGTCACAAAATCTGTGTTTGGGAAAACTTTGTAAAGATATGAGTAAGTCCACATTTTCACAAGGAGATACAGTAGACCTTCTTGACCAAAACCAGAAAAGTCTCCTAAATTTTATTCCATTGGGTGGTGATGGACAGTCTTAAATAACAGACACAATCACTCAAAGAGGCATCAGAAGTTCTCTGGTTCCATGTGATTGGGGCCAAGATTATTTCAAAAGCATCTCAGAAGAATACACTACAACATCATAGGGAAACAGTTAATGGTTTTGAAGAAACTGTTTACCTTCAAGAAAGCTGAAAACTACTCACCCAAGAAGACGTTTGGTAAACAGAAAGAGTATGAGTGCTAAAAGAACAGAAAGAAATGCTTGAAAACTTCAAAACACAAGGAAACCAGATGTAAATGAGAAAGACAGCCAATTAAAATCTCTGACTGAATCTGTGCTGAAGATGATACATTTATCTGCTTTATGTATATATTACATGCTAACAGCCACAAGGAATTAGAAAGAGAGGATGAATCGATAAACGGAGACTAAGAGGATAAGTCGGGTATCAGCTTGATGAAACTTCATTGATAATGTTAACTTAAATGTTGATTTAAAAGAACTAAAAAGAGAAAAGAAAAAAAAGTATTTTACAAGCTATGCAAAAAAAAAAAAAAAAAAAAAGCATAAAAGATCTGTAGTTTAAATCAAAAGTCTCTAACCAAGCAGTGGTGAAAATGCAGCTTGGAAGTTAGAATCAAAACCTGCATGTGGTACTTCAGACCCTGCCTAAACTACATACAGAATGTGAAACGCAACTTTGCAAAAAATCAGTGGGAGAAGAGAATTGACTGCTTAGAAAAAAGAGAAATGTCCTATTGTATATGAATGCATCAGCCTTATACAGCAAAAGCTTGACTGTTACAGGAAAAAAACAAAGACCAGGAGAAAGAAAATGGAAAGCACCATTTTATTCAACAAAAGACAGGTCAGCTCCCATGAGAAACTAACTCAAGAAAATTGGTTGACAGGCCTGTTGATCAACAGAAAGTTTAAGAATCTAAGGAAAGAAAATGTTCAAGCAAAGATTTGTTGAATTAGAATTTGAGATCCAGCCTTTTCCAAGGCCTGCTATCCTACATATGGCCCACAGTGTCAGCCTATGAGGGTCAGAGTACCCCGGGCACCCTCCAGTCCCCAGTGGAGCAGAGGGGTGATCTGTGAGGGCTCAGGGATGCAAGAAGATGTGCAGGTTTAATTCCGATTTAGAGCATCCAACTTCAGAACACCCACAGACAGAGAAAGATGCCTGATGTATTTTCTCCCTTTAAATTAAAATTCTGAGTGATGCCTTTTTAATTTACTTTGTTACTTAATTGATGTTACATTTACTCTCATAGAAGTTTTACATAATTATTCTAAGATAGTGCTTCCAGAATATAGATGGCTTTAATATAATTCTTAAGAATATATTGTTCCCAGTTCATTGGACCCTCTAGAATTGGATTGTATAAGAATTGCATTTTAATTTAATTAATTGGTTCACTGTTACTTAAAACATAATTGAAGTTTGACGTGATCAGGTGGAGACATTTGAAACATTAAAAAACCATTTCTCTATGCTATGGGGTGTGAAAAGAAATCTGTACAAATTATCTAATATTTATTTCAATAAATATTGATTTGTTTAAAGCAAACAAAAAACCAAATCAACAACAACCATATTTCTTGCTAACTTATTTGTATTTCAGTTAGTTTAGCCCTAAATTCATAGATTAACTTTAGAGAGTTGATACTTAACAAGCATTTGATTATTTTTTTTTCTTTTTTACCAATGTAATACTACTTTAAATGTTTCTCAGTTTTATACAGCCAAAATAAAAAGTCCTTCTACAGTATCTGGGTTTTGTTTTTGACTTGGAAACAATCTCCTTTATTTAAGAATTTTTAAAATTTTCTTCTCTTCTTTGGTATTTTTATGGCTTCAAATTCATCTATTTAAAAGTTCAATTCCACTCTGTTTTACATGAGAAAACAATTGGAAGTCCTGAAGATATGGTTTGGATCTGTGTCCCCACCCAAATCTCATGTTGAATTGCAATCCCCAGTGTTGGAGGTGGGGCCTGGTGGCCGGTGATTTGATCATGAGGGCAGAGTTCTCATGAATGGTTTAGCTCTATGCCTCCTTGGTACTGTATAATGAGTGAGTTCTCATGAATGGTTTAGCTCTATGCCTCCTTGGTACTGTACAATAAGTGAGTTCTCCTGAGATGTTGTTGTTTAGAAATGTATGGCACCTCTCCTCTCTCTCTCTTGGTCCTTCTCCTGCCTGGTAAGATGCCTGCTCCCACAGCAGCTTCCACCATGAATGAAAGCTCCCTGAGGCTTCCTCAGAAGCAGATGCTGCCATGTTTACTCTACAGTCTGCAGAATCATGAGCCAATTAAACTTCTTTTCTTTATAAATTACCCAGTCTCAGGTATTTCTTTATAGCAGTGCAAGAATGGGCTAATACAGAAAATTGGTACTAGGAATAGGGCACTGCTATAAAGATACCTGAAAATGTGGAAGCAGCTTTGCAATTGAGTAACAGCCAGAGGTAGAAAAGTACAGAGGGCTCAGAAAAAGAAAGGAAGATAAGGGAAAAGTTGGAACTTCCTAGATACTTATTAAATTGCTGTGAGCAAAATACTGATAGTAACATGGACAATGAAGTCCAGGTTGAGGAGGTCTCAGATGGAAATGAGGAACTTATTGGGAACTAAAGCAAAGGCCAACTTTTTTTTTTTTTTTTTTTGAGATGAAGTCTCACACTGTCACCTGGGCTGGAGTGCAATGGCATGATCTCAGCTCACTGCAACCTCCGCCTCCTGGGTTCATGCAATTCTGCTGCCTCAGCCTCCTAAGTAGCTGAGATTACAGGCACACACCACAGCACCTGGCTAATTTTTTGTATTTTTAGTAGAGATGGTGTTTCACTATGTTGGCCAGGCTGGTCTCGAACTCCTGAACAAAGCTCACTTTTGCTATGCTTTAGTAAAGAGAATGGCAGTATTGTGCCCCTGCTCTAGGGATGTGTGGAACTTTGAACTTGAGAGTGATGATTTAGGGTATCTAGCAGATGAAATTTCTAAACAGCAAAGCATTCAAGAATTGACCTGGCTGCTTCTAACAGCCTAAGCTCATATGTGTGAGCAAGGAAAAGACCTAAAACTGAAACTTATATTTAAAAGAGAAGCAGAACATAAAAGATTGGAAAATTTGCAGCCTAGCAATGTGGTAGAAAAGAAAAGCCCATTTTCAGGGGAACAATTAAATCAGGCTGCAGAAATTTGCTTTAGTAAAGAGGAGCCAAGGATTGATAGACAAAACAATAGGGAAAAGGCCTCAAAGGCATTTCAGAGACCTTTGCAGCAGCCCCTCTCATCATAGGCCCAGAAGCCTAGGAGGATAAAATGGTTTAATGGGCCAGGCCTAGGTCCCTGCTACCCTGTGGGTCCCTGGAACACTGCTCCCTGTATACCAGCCACTCCAGCTCCAGCCATGGCTCAAAGGGGTCCAAGTTCAGCTCCAGTCACTAATTCAAAGGGTGCAAGCAGTAAACATTGGCAGATGCCACATGGTGTTAGGCCTGCAGGTGCACAGAATGCAAGGGTTGAGGCTTGGGGGCTTCCACCTAGATTTTAGAGGATGTATGTAAAAGCCTGGATGTCCAGGCAGAAGCCTGCTGCAGGGGCAGAGCTCTCATGGAGAACCTCTACTAGGGCAGTGCACATGGAAAATGTGAGCTTGGAGCCCCCACACAGAGTCCAGACTGAGGCTCTGCATCATGGAGCTGTGAGAAGAGGGCCACCATCTTCCAGACCCAAGAAAGGTAGGGCCACTGACAGTTTGCACCCTGCACCTGGTAAGGCCACAGATAACTCAATGCCAGCCCATGAGATCATTTGTGGGGCTGAACCCTGCAAAGCCACAGCGGCGGAACCACCTAAGGGTTCAGAAGCCTACCTCTTGCGCCAGTGTGCCCTGGAAAGACTCCTTGTCCTCAAATGGGGCCCTTAGCTCCTTTCTTTTGGGCAATTTCTCCCTCTTGGAATGGGAGTATTTGCCTTATGCCTTTACTCTCATTGTATCTTGCAAGCAACTAACTTGTTTTTATTTTACAGACTCATAGGTGAAAAGGACTAGCCTTCTCTCAGATGTGACTTTGGTCTTCTGAGTTTATGCTGAAATAAGTTAAGACTTTGGGGGACTGTTGGGAAAGCATGGTGGTATTTTGCAATGTGAAAAGGACATGAGATTTGGGAAGGGTCAGGGGCAGAATGATATAGTTTGTATTTCTGTCCCTGCTCAAATCTCATGTCTAATTGTAATACACAGTGTAGGGGGTGGGGCCTGGTGGGAGGTGATTGGATCATGGGGGTGAAGTTCTCATGAATAGTTTAGCACCATCCCCCCTTGGTACTGTATAGTGAGTGAGTCTTTAGGAGATCTTGTTGTTTTAAAGTGTGTAGTGCCTCCTCCCTATCTCTCTTTCCTACTCCTGCCATGTAAGATGCTTGCTCCCACTTTGCCTGAAGCATCCCCAGAAGAAGGAAGGCACTGACATGCTTCCTGTACAGCTTGTAGAACCATGAACCAATTAAATATCTTTTCTTTATAAATTACCCAGTCTCAGATATTTCTTTTTTTTTAATTATACTTCAATTTCTGGGTGACATGTGCATAACATGCGGTTTTGTTACATAGGTATACATGTGCCATGGTGGTTTGTGGCACCCATCAACCCGTCATTAGGTATTTCTCCTAATGTTATCCTTCCCCTAGTCCCTCAACCCCCAGAGGCCCTGGTGTGTGATGTTCCCCTCCCTGTGTCCATGTGTTCTCATTGTTCAACTCCCTCTTATGAGTGAAAACATGTGGTGTTTGGTTTTCTGATCTTGGGATAGTTTGCTGAGAATGATGGTTTCCAGCTTCATCCATGTCCCTGCAAAGGACATGAACTCATCTTTTTTTATGGCTGCATAGTATTCCATGGTGTATATGTGCCACATTTTCTTAATCCAATCTACCATTGGTGGACATTTGGGTTGGTTCCAAGTCTTTGCTATTGTGAACAATGCCACAATAAATGTACATGTACATGTCTCTTTATCATAGAATGATTTATAATCATTTGACTATAAACCCAGTAATGGGATTGCCAGGTGAAATGGTATTTCTAGTTCTAGATCCTTGAGGAATCGCCACACTGTCTTCCACAATGGTTGAACTAATTTTACACTCCCAACAGTGTAAAAGTGTTCCTATTTCTCCATATCCTTTCCAGCATCTGTTGTTTCCTGACTTTTTAATGATAGCCATTCTAACTGGCATGAGATGGTATCTTATTGTGGTTTTGATTTGCATTTCTCTAATGACCAGTGGTGATGAGCATTTTTAATGTGTCTGTTGGCTGCACAAATGTTTTCTTTTGAGAAGTGTCTGTTCATATCCTTTGCCCATTTTTTGGTGGGGTTGTTTGCTTTTTTCTTGTAAATTTGTTTAAGTTCTTTGTAGATTCTGGATATTAGCCCTTTGTCAGATGGGTAGACTGCAAAAATTTTCTCCCATTCTGTAGGTTGCCTGTTCACTCTGATGGTAGTTTCTTTTGCAATGCAGAAGCTCTTGATTCCTACATTGGTATATAAGAATGGGATGTTAGTTTAATTAGATCCCATTTGTCAATTTTGGCTTTTGTTGCCATTGCTTTTGGTGTTTTAGACATGAAGTCTTTGCCCATGCCTCTGTCCTGAATGGTATTGCCCAGGTTTTCTTCTAGGATTCTTATGGTCCTAGGTCTTATGTTTAATTCTTTGATCCATCTTGAGTTGATTTTTGTACAAGGTGTAGGGGAGGGGTCCAGTTTCAGTTTTCTGTATATGGCTAGACAGTTTTCCCAACACCATTTATTAAATAGGGAGTCCTTACCCCATTGCTTGTTTTTGTCAGGTTTATCAAAGATCAGATGGTGGTAGATGTGTGGTGTTATTTCTGAGGCCTCCGTTCGGTCCCGTTGGTCTATGTATCTGTTTTGGTACCAGTACCATGCTGTTTTGGTTACTGCAGCCTTGTCGTAAAGTTTGAAGTCAGGAAGTGTGATGCCTCCAGCTTTGTTCTTCTTGCCCAGGATTGTCTTGGTTATGCGGGCTCTTTTTTGGTTCCATATGAAGTTTAAAGGAGCTTTTTCAAATTCTGTGAAGAAAGTCAGTGGTAGCTTGATGGGGATTGCATTGAATCTATAAATTAATTTGGGCAGTAAGGTCATTTTCATGATATTGATTCTTCCTATCCATGAGCATGGAAAGTTTTTCCATTTGTTTGTGTCCTTTCTTATTTCCTTGAGCAGTGGTTTGTAGTTCTCCTTGAAGAGGTCCTTCACATCCCTTGTAAGTTGGATTCCTAGGTATTTTATTCTCTTAGCAATTGTGAACGGGAGTTCACTCATGATTTGGCTCTCTGTTTGTCTGTTATTGGTATATAGGAATGCCTGTGATTTTTGCACATTGATTTTGTATCCTGAGACTTTGCTGAAGTTGCTTATCAGCTTAAGGAGATTTTGGGCTGAAACGGTGGGGTTTTCTAAATATACAATCATGTCATCTGCAACCAAGAGAATTTGACTTCCTCTCTTCCTATTTGAATACTCTTTATTGCTTTCTCTTGCCTGATTTCCCTGAGCAGAACTTCCAATACTATGTTGAATAGGAATGTTGAGAGACGGGATCTTTGTCTTGTGCCGGTTTTCAAACGGAATGCTTTCAGTTTTTGCCCATTCAGTATGATATTGGCTGTGGGTTTGCCATAAACAGCTCTTATTATGTTGAGATACGTTCTATCAATATCTAGTTTATTGAGAGTTTTTAGCGTGAAAGGCTGTTGAATTTTGTCGAAGACATTTTCTGCAACTATTGAGATAATCATGTGGTTTTTGTCATTGGTTCTGTTTATGTAATGAATTACATTTATTGATTTGCATATGTTGAACCAGCCTTGCATCCCAGGGATGAAGCCAACTTGATCGTGATGGATGTTTTGATGTGCTGCTGGATTCGGTTTGCCAGCATTTTATTGAGGATTTTCACATTGATGTTCATCAGGGATATTGGCCTACAATTCTCTTTTTTTGTTGTGTCTCTACCAGACATTGGTATTAGGATAATGCTGGCCTCATAAAATGAGTTAGGGAGGATTCCCTCTTTTTCTATTGATTGGAATAGTTTCAGAAGGAATGGTACCAGCTCCTCTGTACCTCTGATAGAATTCGGCTGTGAATCCGTTTGGTCCTGGATTTTTTTGGTTGGTAGGCTATTAATTATTGCCTCAATTTCAGAAACTGTGATTGGTCTGTTCAGAGATTCCACTTCTTCCTGGTTTACTCTTGGGAGGGTGTATATTTCCAGGAATTTATCCATTTCTTCTAGATTTTCTGGTTTATTTGCATAGAGGTGTTTATAGTATTCTCTGATGGTAGTTTGTATTTCTGTGGGATCAGTGGTGATATCTCCTTTATCATTTTTTATTGCGTCTATTTGATTCTTCTCTCTTTTCTTCTTTATTAGTCTTGCTAGCGAACAATCTATTTTGTTGATCTTTTCAGAAAACCAGCTTCTGGATAAATTGCTTTTTTGAAGGGTTTTTTGTGTCTCTATCTCTTTCAGTTCTGCTCTGATCTTAGTTATTTCTTGCCTTCTTCTGCTAGCTTTTGAATTTGTTTGCTCTTGCTTCTCTAGTTCTTTTAATTGTGATGTTAGGGTGTCGATTTTAGATTTTTCCTGCTTTCTCTTGTGGGCATTTAGTGCTATAAATTTCCCTCTACATACTGCTTTAAATGTGTCCCAGAGATTCTGGTACGTTGTGTCTTTGTTCTTATTTGTCTCAAAGAACATCTTTACTTCTGCCTTCATTTTGCTATTTACCCAGTAGTCACTCAGGAGTAGGTTGTTCAGTCCATGGAGTTGTGCGGTTTTGAGTGAAATTCTTAATCCTGAGTTCAAATTTGATTGCACTGTAGTCTGAGAGACAGTTTGTTTTGATTTCCGTTCTTTCACATTTGCTGAGGAGTGTTTTACTTCCAATTATGTGGTCACTTTTAGAATAAGTGCAACGTGATGTTGAGAAGAATGTGTATTCTGTTGATTTGGGGTGGCGAGTTCTGTAGATGTCTATTAGGTCCACTTGGTTCAGAGCTGAGTTCAAGTCCCGGATAACCTTGTTAATTTTCTGTCTCATTGATCTGTCTAATATTGACAGTGGGGCGTTAAAGTCTCCCATTATTATTGTTTGGGAGTATAAGTCTTTTTGTAGGTCTCTAAGAACTTGCTTTACAAATCTGGGTGCTCCTGTATTGGGTGCAAATACATTTAGGATACTTAGCTCTTCTTGATGAATTGATCCCTTTACCATTATGTAATGGCCTTCTTTGTCTCTTCTGATATTTGTTGGTTTAAAGTCTGTTTTATCAGAGACCAGAATTGCAACCCCTGCATTTTTATTTTTTATTTATTTATTTATGTTTGCTTTCCATTTGCTTGGTAGGTCTTCCTCCATCCCTTTATTTTGAGCCTATGTGTGTCTCATATGTGAGATGGGTCTCCTGAATACAGCACACTGATGGGTCTTGACTCTTTATCCAATTTGCCAGTCTGTGTCTTTTAATTGGGGCATTTAGCCCATTTACATTTAAGGCTAATAGTGTTATGTGTGAATTTGATCCTGTCATTATGATGCTAGCTGGTTATTTCACCCATTAATTGATGCAGTTTCTTCATAGTGTCGATGGTCTTTACAATTTGGCATGTTTTTGCAGTGGCTGGTACTGGTTGTTCCTATCCATGTTTAGTGCTTCCTTCAGGAGCTCTTGTAAGGCAGGCCTGTTGGTGACAAATCTCTCAGCATTTGCTTGTCTGTAAAGGATTTTATTTCTCCTTCATGTGTTAAGCGTAGTTTGGCCAGATATGAGATTCTGGGTTGAAAATTCTTTTCTTTAAGAAGGTTGAATATTGGCCACCACTCTCTTCTGGCTTATAGGGTTTCTGCAGAGAGATCTGCTGTTAGTCTGATGTGCTTCCCTTTGTGGGTAACCTGAGCTTTGTCTATGGCTTTCCTTAACAATTTTTCCTTCATTTCAACCTTGGTGAATCTGACAATTATGTGTCTTGGGGTTGCTCTTTTCAAGGAGTATCTTTGCGGTGTTCTCTGCATTTCCTGAATTTGAATGTTGGCCTGCCTTGTTAGGTTGGGGAAGTTCTCCTGGATAATATCCTGAAGAGTGTTTTCTAAGTTGGTTCCATTCTCCCTGTCACTTTCAGGTACACCAATCAAATGTAGATTTGGTCTTTTCACATAGTTCCATATTTATTGGAGGCTTTGTTTATTTCTTTTTATTCTTTTTCCTTTGATCTTGTGTTCTTGCTTTATTTCATTAATTTGATCTTCAATCACTGATATCCTTTCTTCCGCTTGACTGAGTTGGCTACTGAAGCTTGTGTATGCTTCTTGAAGTTCTCATACTGTGGTTTTCCGCTCCATCATGTCATTTAAGCTCTTCTCTACACTGGTTATTCTAGTTAGCCATTCATCTAACCTTTTTGCAAGGCTTTTAGCTTCCTTGTGATGGGTTAGAACATGCTCCTTTAGCTCGGAGAAGTTTGTTATTACCAACCTTCTGAATCCTACTTCTGTCAACTCATCAAACTCATTTTCCATCCAGTTTTGTTCCCTTGCTGGCAAGGAGTTGTGTTCCTTCGGAGTAGAAGAAGCGTTCTGGTTGTTGGAATGTTCAGCTTTTCTGCTCTCGTTTCTCCCCATCTTTGTGGTTTTATCTACCTTTGGTCTTTGATGTTGGTGACCTAAGGATGGCGTTTTGGTGTGGATGTCATTTTTGTTGGTGTTGATGCTATTCCTTTCTTTTTGTTAGTTTTCCTTCTAACAGACAGGCCCCCAAGCTGCAGGACTGTTGGAGTTTGCTGGAGGTCCACTCCAGACCCTGCTTGCCTGGGTATCACCAGCAGAGGCTGCAGAGCAGCAAATATTGCTGCCTGATCCTTCCTCTGGAAGCTTCGTCCCAGAGGGGCACCTGCCTGTATGAGGACAGACGTCAGACCCTACTGGGAGGTGTCTCCCAGTCATTCTACATGGGGGTCAGGGACCCACTTGAGGAGGCAGTCTGTCTATTATAGGAGCTCGAACGCCATGCTGGGAGAACCACTGCTCTCTTCAGAGCTGTCAGGCAGGGACTTTTAAGTCTCGAGAAGCTGTCTGCTGCCTTTTGTTCAGATATGCCCTGCCGCCAGAGGTGGAATCTAGAGAGGCAGTAGGCTTTGCTTAGCTGCGCTGGGCTCTGCCCTGTTAGAGCTTCCCTGCTGTTTTGTTTACACTGTGAGCATAGAACCGCCTACTCAAGCCTCAGCAATGGCAGATGCCCCTCCCCCTGCCAAGCTCCCACGTCTCAGGTCAATCTCAGACTGATGGGCTGGCAGCAAGCAAGGCTCTGTGGGCGTGGGACCTGCTAAGCCAGGCACAGGAAGGGATCTCCTAGTCTGCCAGTTGCGAAGACTGTGGGAAAAGCACAGTATTTGGGCAGGAGTTTACCACTCCTCCAGGTACAGTCACTCATGACTTCCCTTGGCTAGGAAAGGGAAATCTCCCAAACCCTTGCACTTCCCTTATGAGGCGATGCCCCGCCCTGCCTCGGCTCACTCTCTGTGGGCTACACCCACAGTCCAAAAAGTCCCAGTGAGATGAACCAGGTACCTCAGTTGGAAATGCAGAAATCACCTGTCTTCTGCATCAATTCGGCCATCTTGGAAGCAACCTCAGGTATTTCTTTATAGGAGTGTGAGAATAGACTAATACACTGCATTATTTTTTCTCCATCACCTGCCAGTTTCCTAGTAGGATTTTTAAGTTAATTCATGTCACTTTCAACAGTCATTAGGTTCTGATACATATTCAGCTCTATTTTTACTACTTTATTACAGTGATCATTAGAATTCTAAAAAATTATAGAGAGTGAGCCCCCTTCCTTCCTATATAAACTTCTCTTTTCTAATTTTTCTTGGACATTTAGTCTTTCACGTTAATCTGACAGCATTTGGTCAAGTCTTCCTCACTGTGAGAACACAACATTTTTAAATTAACTTACAAGTTTTGACATTTTTCTCATGCCTTCATAGCTTAGAAAAAGCATACTTTTATACTTATTATTATTTAATATTTTATTTATTATTATTATATTTATTTACTTTCTTATTCATATATTAGTTAATTTTGCCATCCATGTGCACATTTATTTGTAGGTTTGCTACATTTCTGCACATTTATTTGTAGGTTATAATTATGAGTATATAATATTTTGAGATATTAATCTTCATTTTCTTCAACCTGTAACTTCCCTACTATTTTCTTTATTTATGCACTTAGTATAATGCCTTAGGAAGGTAATATGACAGGAAGATAAACCAAAAGTGTGCAAAATATTCTTGCCTTTTATTTGGAGAATCATAAGCCCTAGAGGAAAGAAAGGATTTGGGAAATAAAGACAACCCCTTGGTAAGAAAGATAATGAGAATAGGAATTCCCCTCCCTTCACCTGCCATCACGCATACACCAAAACCATGCATGCACCCTACCCAAACTTTACTAGCAGCTGAAGACAGAAAAGAAGGAGAGGTGAGGCTGTGCTTTCTGGTATTTATACCTCTTCCAGCCTTATTTGGAGCACTAGTCACTTTCTGAAGCAGAAGGCTGAGGGAATCAATAGTACGTGATGAACAAGATATCTGCTTTTCTTATCACAGGAGATAAGCAGAAGAGCAGAACTCCCCACTATGACAGTTTTGCCACTGTGTAGCACTGTTTAGATACTCCAGGAGCCCACATACTCCCTTCAGAAAAACCCCTTAAGCCCCTCTAACACATCCACACAACAAAAATTACTTCCTTATAACTATGGCATGTTTTCTCATTTTCTCCTTTTTCTATCCCTCATCATATTGTAAAGTCCTTGGGAATTCAGAAATGCAAACATATTCCTTTATTTTGTCATTTATTTCAGGTGAGTAAAGTAAGTTCATACTTCTGTTGTTGCCATTTTGGCAGAACTCTGTGTGTTGCTCAAAATCTAATCACAGATGTGTTTTCTCTTGGACTGTTAATGTAGTCTATATTTTAAGAAATTTGGGATGTATACTTCATAATTTGAGGCTTAGAATTTTTATTGCTTTCAGGATTTAATTTTTTGTTTTTATACACTGTTAATATCAAATAAAGCATGCATACACAAAAGTTAATAGATCATAAGTATGTAGTCACTAAATAGGCACTAAGTGATCTCTCCAACAGTACTATGGCAAACAGAAATAATATTAGCAGCACTCCCAAAAGCTACCCACCTCTCATTCCTTAAGGGTCAAGATGCTTAACAACATGAGATTTTCGTTTTATGACTATGAATCTTTGGTGAGGCCCACATCCTAACCTTTTTTAAAAAAATTAATTTTTAATTTTCTTACAATAACATTTATATCCTTTCCGTGTCCAGTTCTGTGAGTATGAACAAAAGTATAGTCATATACCCACTGTCACGATCAAGGTATAGACCAGTTATTTCATCTCTTCCCCAACACAAAGTAGCTTATTTCCCTTTAAAAGTCAACCCACTTCCAGCCTTGGCATTCACAACTCTGGTCTCTGTTCCAGTGGTAAGTCTACTACAAGAATATCATATAAATGGAGTCAAACCATACACAGCCTTTTTAATCTGACTTCTTTTACATAGTATAATGCATTTTGAGTTTTCTATTTTGTTGCGTGTGTATTTCATCCTTTTTTTGCTGAGCAGTATTCCATTGTATGGGTGCACCATAATTTGTTTCTGTCTTCATCAGTGAAAGGACATTAGCATTGTTCTTAGTCTTGGTGACTGCAAATAAAGCTACTATAAACATGTCTACAAGGTTTTTGTGTGAACACAGGTTTTGATTTCACTTGAGTCGTGCCAAGTTGGATTTCTAGATCACAGGAAAAGTAAATGTTTCTTCTATCTTTATAAGAAACTGCCAAATTGTTCCCCAAAGTGGCTGTGCCATTGTGCATTTCTATCATCAATGTATGAAAGTCCTAGTTATTCTGCAACCTCACCAGTACTTACTTAGAGTTGCTACTTCATTTAAAAGCCATTCTAATGGATAGGTAGTAACATATCTATGTACTTTGAATTTGCCTAATGTGGAATAACATTGAGAATATTTTCATATGCTTCTTTGCTATCTGTAAGTCTACTTTGCTGAAGTGTTTGTTCTAATCTTTTATCCAATTTTTAACTTTTTTGTTGTTTGTTTTCCTATGAGTGTCGAGTTTTTATATTTATTATTTGTACATAAATGTTTTATCAGATGTGCGATTTACAATTTTTTTTCCAATTTCTAAGGTTTTAGCTTTTAATCTCTCAACAGTGTCTTTCACAGAGCAGAAATTTTTAATTTTAAAAATCTACTTTGTCTGGCAGAGTACTTTGGCATTTTATCTGAGAAATATTTGCCTAACTGAAATTTACAGAGTTGTTATTTCCATTTATTTTTGTCTAGAAGTTTTATAGATTAGGTTTTTACTTAGTAGTATGACCCACTTTGAGTGATTGTGTATGTTGCAAAGTGTGCACAGTGTTTAGAGCAGTGACTGTCACATAGGCACCATGTAAGTATTTTAAATATTAGATTTATATGAAACATATGGTCGATATAGACTACATATTATATGCTTAAGTATTATACACTCGGTATTATATAAGCATTATCTGTATATACACACTATCACAAGTACATAGGTAATCATCAGAAGTATAAATCTATATTGAATTCTCCTATTTCTCCAATTTCATAAATGAACAAGGCACTTTAAAATTTGAGAATGGCTGTCTTTGTTGATATTCTTAGCAGCAGAATTCAGAGGACATCACAGTTTTTCCTTTCCATGGGTGGTGATTAAAATGGCACCAACAACCACAAGAAAAACATTGCATTGCCTATCTGAAACATCAAAGTCACATTAACATCTTACATTTTTACTTTCTTAAGGAAACCTGGAAACCTTCTTCATACAGCTAGAATAATTGCCTTAGCACGTTCCAGGTTCTCCCCTCTTAGGTTCATGACCCAAGATAAAAGGAGACTTTCTCCCATAACTCTAACTTTAAAAAGTCACTAAAGTCATTTGATTATTTTGCTTGGTTGCATGCCTTCTCCTATGTCGTAAGAGGAGGATGCTAAGAGGGGAACTCTATATAGAATCACAGAGTTGCTTTGAAAAATGGGTTACAGGAGGACTAAATGAATATATAAATATATAAAACAAGCTTTTCATTTTCCAAAAGAAAATAGGTCATACAGTAGTCAGGAAAAAACAAACTGGTGTCCGCTTTTGTTCCTCAATTTAACTCAGTGGAAGTTCTTACCAAATAATGGCTGAAGGAATAAGCTTAGACACAATGAAGTTCACAGAAAAATAATTAGTCAAGGTAATCTGCAAATTGCAAATAAATAAATAAATAAATATTTGATAATTCAAAAATTGTTTGGCTCTTTGATTACAACTAAATTAAACATACCTATAGAAAGTAAATAGATATTAGTTACTAGAAATAAAATTTAACACACTACACCTTACAAATGAAATTTATATGTCTGATCTTAGAGATTTCTGAGACTCCTAAATCCAGTATGTGAGGCAAACCTCATATTACCAGTTTATACATAAACAAAGAAGCAAACTTTTTTTTACCCATATTTTAATGGGACTTCAAATTCTTATTGCCTCTACAAACATATCTGTGAATAAAAGATGAGCTGTTCTGACCTAGATCATTTCTTCTTTATAAATTAACTTCTTTATCATCATTGTTGTATGTTGTTACCCAAACCAGAATTATAATTTAAGTATGCCATATTATACATTTTGGAAGGTGAATAATTTTGAATAATCCTTCGTATGGTTTGGCTCTGTGTCCCCATCCAAATCTCATGTTGAATTGTAATCTCCAATGTTGGGAAAGAGACCTGAAAGGAGGTGATTGGATCATGGGAGCAGATTTCTCCCTTGCTGTTCTCATGATAGTGAGTTCTCAGGAGACCTGGTTCTTTGAAAGTATACCACTACCTGCTTCGCTCTCTATCTCCTGCCACCATGTGAAGACATGCTTGCTTCTTCTTTGCCCTTTTGCCATGATTGTAAGTTTCCTGAGACCTCCCCAGCAATGCTTCCTGTACAGCCTGCAGAACTGACTCAATTAAATGTCTTTTTTAAAAATAAATAACCCAGTCTCAGGTAGTTCTCTATAGCAGTGTGAGAACAGATTAGTGCAGAAAATTGGTACCAGGAGTGGGGTATTGCTTTAAAGATACCTGGAAATGTGGAAGTAACTTTGGAACTGGGTAATGGGCAAAGTTTGAAACAGTTTGCAGGGATCAGAAGAGGATAGGAAGATGAGGGAAAGTTTGGAACTTCCCAGAGACTTGTTGAATGGTTTTAACCACAATGCTGATAGCGATATGGATAATGAAGTCCAGGATGAGGAGGTCTCAGATGGAGATGAGGAACTTATTGGGAACTGGAGTAAAGGTCACTCTTGCTATGCTTTAGCAAAGAGACTGGTGGCATTTTGCTTCTGCCCTAGAGATAGGTGAAACTTTGAACTTGAAAGTGATGATTTAAGGTATCTGGCAGATGAAATTTCTAAGCAGCAAAGTATTCAAAATGGTAGCCTGGCCACTTCTAACAGCCTAACTTCATATGAGTTTGATAAAGAGATAGTCTGATATTGGAACTTTTATTTAAAAGAGAAAAAGCATATAAAAGTTTGAAAACTTTGCAGCCCACCCATGTGGTAGAAAAAAAAATTCTGAGAAGAAATGCAACATGGCTGCAGAAGTTTGCATAAGTCAAGAGGAACTGAATGTTAATAGCCAAGACAATAGAGAAAGATGCCTTGAAGACATTTCAGATAATTTCATGGCAGCTCCTTCCATCACAGACCTAGAGGCCTAGGAAGATGGAATGGTTTTGTATGTCAGGCCCAGGGCCCTACTGTTCTGTGCAGCCTTGGAACATGGTGCCCTGCACTGCATTTGCTCCAGCTTCAACCATGGCTAAAAGGGGCCAAAGTAAAGCTCAGGCCATTGCTTCAGACAGTGCAAGCCCCAAGCCTTGGCAGCTTCCATGTGGTGTTGGGTCTGTGGGTATGCATGCAGAAGACAAGAGTTTAAGCTTGGGTTTCTCTGTCTAGATTTCAAAGACATATGGAAATGCTTGGATGTCCAGGCAGAAGCCTGCTGCAGGGGCAGAGCCCTCATGGAGAACCTCTTCTAGGGCAGTGCATAGGGGAAATGTGGGCTTGAAGCCCCCATACAGAATCCCCACTGGGCACTGCCTAGTGGAGTTGTGAGAAGAGGGCCACCATCCTCCAGATGCCAAGATGTTAGATACACTGACGGCTTGCACCATGTGCCTGAAAAAGCCACAGGCACTCAACGCCAGCCCATGAAAGCAGCCATGGGAGCTATACCCTACACAGCCACAGGGGCATAGCTGCCCAAGACCTTGGAAGCCCACCCATTGCATCAGTGTGACCTGGATGTGAGACATAGAGTCGAAGGAGATTATTTTGGAGCTTTGATATTTAATGACTGCCCCCATGAGTTTCGGACTTGCATGGGGCCTGTAGTCCCTATGATTTGGCCAGTTTCTCCCTTTTGGAACAGGAGCATTTACCCAATGCCTGTGCTCACATTGTATCTTTGAAGTAACTAAATTTTTCTTGATTTTACAGGTTCATAGGTGGAAAGGACTTGCCTTGTCTCTGATGAGACTTTGGACTTGGGCCTTTGAGTTAATGCTGGAATATGGTAAGACTTCGGGGTACTGTTAGGTAGGCATGATTGTGTTTCAAAATATGAGAAGGACATGAGGTTTTGGAGGTGCCAGGGGCAGAATGATTTGGTTCGGCTCTGCATCCGCATCAAAATCTCATGCTGAATTGTAATTCCCAATGTTGGGAAAGGGACCTGGTGGGAGGTGATTGGATAATAGGGGCAAATGTCTCCCTTGCTATTCTCGTGATAGTGAGTTCTCATGAGATCTGATTGTTTGAATATGCACAGCCCTTCCGCCTTTGCTCTCTCTCTTTTTCCTGCCACCATGTGAAGATGTGCTTGCTTCGCTTTTGCCCTCTACCATAATGTAAGTTTCCTGAGGCCTCCCCATCCATGCTTCTTTTACAGCCTGTGGAACCATAAGCCCATTAAACCTCTTTTCTTTATAAATTACCAGTGTCAGGTAATTCTTTATAGCATTATAAGAATGAACTAATACAATCCTCTCAGGTTTATTTGTTCACAAATCCATAATTTGCTGAAAATTGTTACTTTAATACTTTAGGATAATTAGTTAATTAATTAATGCATTACAAATATCCCTGAATTAGCTGGTTCTGAGAGAGTAACACACTATGTAAAAAATGACTGATCAAAGTAGTAATCACACCAGGACAAAGGCTATGGGATGTGACATTTCCAGGGGGAGAAAAAAAGAGAAGCAATTAGGTTGGGCTTCACACTGCCACCTTGCATGGCACAAGAGGGCTGCTCGTGGATGCCACTGCACAAGCCAGCGACTGTTTCCTCTCATGCAGCCCTGGTTGTTGACGAGCATGTGTTTACATAGCTATGGCTGCCAGACCATCTACTGATCAACACACTATCTAAAGCACAACATCAGATGGCACAGCCTTATTGTCAATTTACTGTACATGTGTGAACCTGGCACAAAATATAACCAATAGAAAAGACAGACATTGGAAATTGGAGAGTTACTGAAGAGAGTCACCCCCATCCTCAAACTTCTCCTTATATTAATAGTTCCCAAAAAAAGAAAATGAATAGAAGATGAAGGAGGGAGAGAAGAGGAAGATAGTGGGAAAATGCCAAAATACAAGTAAACTAAAAGTTACTAATACAACAAACTTTATCAAGATTTTAATATTTGTAATAAAAGTCATAACACATAAGTACTGCCAAAATTACCAACTTTTAAAAATCAGGCTCTGGTGTTTTTTTCTCAAAATTCTTGTTAATAACAACAAAAGAAATCGAAAAACCAAGAAGGAAATAAATTCATCTATTGTTATAGACAGCATTTGTTCAATGCCTTCTCAGTGCCAGGTTACATGGATTATGCCATTCAAATTTCACAACAATGCATTTGGGCAGGTAATATTAAACACTGGGATTTTAAAGTTGTGGAAACAAAATCTCAGAGAGGTTAGATAACTTGCCATGAATCTGAACCCAGTAGTCTTACTCCAGGTCCTCTATCTAGGATCACACTGGCTACCCCTTCAAACCTATGCTGCCTCCCAAGTGTGAGGAATGAGAATACTTCAGCAATAACAACAAAAAACTCTCTTAGGAAAGTACATGACTTAGGATGAAAGTATATGACTTAAGATGATTCACCAAAGATCACCTTCAAAGGAGTCAGTGATTTCAAAGAGAAAAATTCTGTTCAATTTTCTCATGCATCCTAAAGCTTATCCTTTGCAAAAGAAACAGGGTCATCTCCTCCTTTTAAAATTAATTAATTTGCATTGTAGACATCTGAGAGATGTCTGAATGTGTGACATAGCAGCCCAGAATATAATGCAAGAATTATTTTCCAGCTCCTGGCTTCAGTTGCCAAAAGAAACCTATTTCTTATCATGGCTTTGCAGCCTGTTTTATGATATGAGGGATGTAGAGAATCTTCATTTAGAAAGCCATAATATCCATAGAAATATTTTCACCATCCACCCAAGGATAAACTCTGAATAACTTACATACGTTTTTAATGTCTGAATGAGATGGAACTTTAAACATTATTTTTATAGTTATACTTTTTTAGAGAGACCAGAAAGCTAGCACCAATTAAACATTAGCTGAAGTACAAAACAAAAAGAATTGAAAAAGCACACAAAATTTTAAGAATAAAATGTGAAAGGATTAATTTTTTCAATGTACTAAGTCCATTTGCACTATATTTTAAATATATTTGACTTGATGTCTTCAATTTCCAGTATACGTGTTTTGATAAATAAATGCTGACTAGTATATTTGTGTACTTTCCATATTTGGAGAATTTCTCTTGTGCATTCCTCACCTCATTCAGATGTTGTTTATCACTGTCTTGGGTAGTTGAGTCTATGGTTCTTTCATACAGTAATACTTTCTTTACTTTATGTGTGTATGGAAAACTTTTAAAAATCACGTTGCTAGTGCACGGGCCAAAACAACTTGGGAAATTGACAGTTTTATTATTATTCATGACTCTCTTTTTTCCTAAGGTTCTCCTCACTGCCTTGAGATTTTGTTCTTGTGATAGATTAACCAATGCTAATATGTTAACCCTTAGAGATGATTTCTGTGAAATAATAGAGGTTTCTGGAGATTGAAAGGATAGACTCCAAAACTGGGAATTCAAACTCTGTGAAGTTTGGGATAGATGGTTGGTTCTTTGTAGTGTCAAAAACTCAAATTTTGTTCTGGGTTCCACTCCCCCACCCCTCCCCACCACAAAAAAAAAAAAAAAAATTTAGAAAAGCAGAATAATAAAATTAAGAAAATTTTTTTGTGCTACCTTTACAAATCACCAATCCATTTATTTTCCCCCAAATAAATTCAACAATATTAACTAGGTACCTGTTAAAGACTTATCTTCTTACTAGAGATGCAAATAAAAAGATGACTAAGATACAGACCTGCTCTCAAGAAAGTCCCAGAGAAAGCCATGGAGCCATCATTGCAATAGTGTTGCGAATTCTCTATTAGGTATGTGAACATGGAAAAGTAAAGAAACAAACAAGTAGAGGCTAAAATCTTCCACGTGGAGGCAGAATTTTAAATCATTGGCATTAAGAAATAAGTTTTAAAGGATTAAGAGATATGTCACGGTGACAGGAGTTTTTGGTGTGGAGAAAACATCAGGTGTTACGACTAAGAGGGGTACTGACGCATGGCTCACGAGTGGAACTGTGAGTAGTTTAGAATGGCAGGGGCTTCAGTTGACAGAGACCAAATCATGAAGGGCCTTAGATTCCATGCCAAGAGTTTGAAATTATCCTCTGAGCAATTGCATGATGGTGATATGGTTTAGATATGTCTCCCCACTCAAATCTCATGTTGAAATGTAATCCCTAATGTTGCAGGTGGGGCCTGGTGGGAGATGTCTGGGTCATGGGAATGAATCCCTCAAGGATTGGTGTTGGCCTTGTAATAGTGAGTGACTTCTTGTGAGATATGATGGCTTAAAAGTGTGCCACCCTCCCTCTCCCCTCTTGATCCCAGTCTCACCTTGTGATACATCAGCTCCTCCTTCGCCTTCTGCCATGATTAGTTTCCTGAGGCCTCCCCAGAAGCCAAGCAGGTCCCAGCACAGCCTATAGGCTTCCTACAAAGCCTGCAGAGCTGTGAGCCAATTAAACGTCTTTTCTTTATAAGTTACCAAGCTTCAGGTATTCCTTTATAGCAACACAAGAACAGCCTAACACAGGTGGCTAATTACACGTCACTGTTTTTCTGGAAAATCTTTGGTAATGCAAACGGGAAGACAGCAAAATATTTTAACCAAGAAGCAATGTAATCAGTTTCACATTTTGAAGAGTAATGCTGGTGATGGTGAGTGGAATTTCATTATTTTATTAACTAAAAACAAAGTGTGTGTGTGTGTGTGCATGTGTGTGCACATTTAGTATCTATAATACTATGGGTCAGGCACTGGGATGCATTACAGTTACAAACATAAAAAAAAAATGCGAACCTTAACCCCATGGAGACAGTTAAAGTAGTTACAATGTACATTAATTGGAAGGGAAATTAGGTAAAAGATTACTGGAAAACCCCACCAAGAAATATTGGAAGCAGAAATGACAGACTAGCTATGAGATAGATTACAGAGATATTGGCAAGACCTAATATATTATAACAATTGAATGTGTGATGGGGTAGCTTAAGAGTGAAAAAGAAATCTAGGATGATGCTAAAGTTTCTATCTTGGAAACAGCAGAAAAATAGCATTAGGCGTGGAAGAAGGAAGAACAATTTGGGAGAAATGGCATGGATTTCAGTCCTGGGCAAGCAGGGGTTGAGGTGTTTGTGAGACATGCAGATGGAAAAGTCCAGGATGCAAGAAATATGACACAGAAACTCTGTATCGATGTATTAGCCTGAGACACAGATTTGAGACTCCTCAGCCTCTTGATGGAAGTAGAAAAGGCATCAAAATATTAACAGTAATTGCCTATAGAAGGTAAAGCTTTTGATAAGTTCTTTTTAATCTTTTCTATTTTTCAAATTTCTATATATTCCTTTTATAACAATTTTTTAATTTTTTATTTTTAAAAGACAAATTAAAAAATATAATTTAGCTCAGTGTGACTATATAAACTTTTAAGACAAACTATGTGAGCCTACTCTCCAAATGCGAGATTAAGCAATTCACTTAAAAGAGCTAAACTATATTATATACAGATCCAGCCCCTTCACATAGATTATTTCATTTAAATCTTAAAACAAATGAATACCTGCTGATTGATGTATTGAACTGGAAAGGTTTTCTTTTAATAACCTACTTATTATGTATACTATTCATCTAACTCTTCCTCTGCACTATTTCAGCCCCTGCAAATTATATGCCTTAGGTATACTCACTGATTGTATGCATACACTTAGCTCTGATTTACACATGACAATCCTATTCCACTGGGCAATAATCTAGTATATTTAACATAAGTGTGCTCTCATTATACCTTTGAGCATTGTGTCTTCAGGCATCATAAAGATATGCTATGACATTGTGGTTTCTTTATTTTTTATTTTTCTTTTCTGAGATGGAGGCTTGCTCTGTCACCCAGGCTGGAGTGCCGTGGCGCAATCTCAGCTCACTGCAACCTCTGAGATTCTCCCGCCTCAGCCTCCTAAGTAGCTGGGATTACAGGTGAGCATCAACACATCCGGCTAATTTTTGTATTTTTAGAATAGACAGTGTTTCACCATGTTTGCCAGGCTGTTCTTCAACTCCTGGCCTCAAGTGATCCACCCACCTTGGCTCCCCAAAGTTCTGGTATTACAAGTGTGAGTCAGACGTTGTTGTTAAGTGCAGAAAAAATTCTTCCATGTCAAATGATAACCAACACTTACGAAGCACTTGCTGTGTCAGGCACCATTGTAAGCACTCTACAGATAATAGCTCAGCTATTCATGACAATGGCCTGAGAAGGTATTATTATTATCGTCCCCATTTTATAGATGGAGAAACTAAGGCATTAAGTAACTTCAAGGTCACAGAGCTAGAAAGCAGCAGAGCCAGAAGTAAAACCCAGAGTCAAAGTTAGTTCCTACTGCTGCATTAGGCTGCCTCTCACATAAAGGGTCTTCATCTTTCAACCCTCAGCCTTCCACTTGCAGAACCAGTTGTATTCTTTCCCAGTGACTATTGAAAAGCAATGCTGATAGAATGCCTCCAAGCCATAGAATAAGGGTTGGGAGTGGGCTAGGATTCTGAGTCACTATAAGCTATGGTAGCACAGATTTGAAGTTCTATGTCACATGGATCATTTTTCCCTCTCTATCTAAACCCAGGAACTGAAACCTTGAATGAACTTCCTAGTCCACCTTCCACTCTGGCATGCAGTAAAGCCATGACTAAAATTCACCACTGCCACATATGGAGTATTACAAGAGCAAACAAAACTAAACATGACTGTGGCTGAGAAAAGAAAGATAACAAGGCTGAAAATACACCTCCCAGGAATCCAAATCCCTGCCAATAATTTAATCACCAAAACATAAATAGTGACTGTTAATATTTTACTGTAAGATTGAGGTAGCATCACTTAGAGGAAACAGCAAAGGTTTCGTATATAGACAAACCTGGGGTTCATGCACGTCCTTGACATTTACTTGGTGAGTAACCTCACAGAATACACGTAACCTCCCTGAGTCTGTTTTCCTATTTACAAAAGGAAAATAAAAACTATTTTATAATGTTATTGAGAAAATAAATGAAAGAACCGAAAAACCACAAAATCACTACTTAAACATAAGATATTATCATAATGGCTAAGCAACCAAACTCTATTATTCTCAGTGGCTATGCACATTATCCAATTGGCTACACCATTCAAGCTTGAACTATTGTGTCAAAACATTTTTCTGTATGGAATAAGGCATATTTCATTAGTATCTATTCTATGGTATTTTTATGACCAATACTGTGTCTGTATCTTTATATATTTATATTAGATCTACACTTTATATTCTTATAAAACATTTCTATGTTTTTATTTTGCTTTCTAAAATACCACATTTGAATGATTGACTTCTCTGCTGTATCTCTCCATCAGACTTAGTATCTGGACCTTATTGTCAACACTACCTAATGATATCTCCCTCTGGAAGATGTGCAAAAAGTGGGGATACTGGAAAACAGGGGATACAGGGAAAACGGAATTTTTTTTGTTGCAAAATTCTTCCTAAATGACTTATTACAGAAGTGTTTAAGCAATTTTTTTTCCTAGATATTTATCACTAAGGATCAAGTGTGCTCATGCGTTAGTATGCGTTCTAGGAAACATTATGATTTTAAAGCCTCTCTCCTGAATGACTTTATAAAATTTTATACAATATTACAGAAGCAAATAACAAAGTGACTCTTTGAGTCCTGGAGCCTATCTAGTGATTGCACTGGCCCTGTACTGAAAGTGTCCTCCATTAATGCTTTTAATCTTCAGTGCTGGAGATTTTATTGAATGTTGTAGTAGTCTGTTCTTGGACCACTATAAAGAAATGCCTGAGACTGGATAATTTATAAAGAAAAGAGATTTAACTGGCTTATAGTTTCACAGGCTGTACAGGAAGCATGGCTGGGGAGGCCTCAGGAAACTGACTATCATAGTGGAAAGCAAAGGGGAAACAGGTATATCTTACATGGACAGAACAGGAGGAAGAGGATGAGGGGGAAGGTGCCAAACACTTTTAGACAACCAGATCTCATGACAACTCTATCACGAGAACAGGCCCAAAGGGGGAAATCTGTCACCATGATGCAATCATCTCCCACCAGGCCCCAACCTCAACATTAGATTACAATTTGACATGAGACTTGGGCAGGGACACAAATTCAAACCATATCAAATGTGAACTTGGAACCAAAACTGAGAGTTTTCTGAATTTGGAGATCAGACTTTGGGAATAACTTGATAATAGGAATTTAAAATTTTACATGCATTTTTAAGATCCACTTGATGGCAGATTCCCTCTTTGTACTGCAAATCTTTTGTGAGAAGAGGGGGCATTCAAATTTTTTAAATGGTAAGTTTATAGAAGTTTTACACTAGAAATAGAGTCTATTACTTTAATTTAATGTAAATTAAGTAATTTACATTACTTTTAATGGCAAAAGCTGCAATTACTTTTGCACCAACCAATACAATTTATAGAATGTCATTCTATTTTTTTGTTTTGTTTAAGGAAGAAGAAAATTGTTGTGATTGCAATTATCAGGCTTTTCTTTCTTCTGAAGAAAATAGTTTTTTACGTCAAAGGCCTAATATGCTGAAACAGATTTACTTTATTGTTTCAGAGAAGACTACTTTTCAGGTAAAATTTAAATACAAGTAACCTAACCTAATGAAAAATTATCACAAGCTGACCTCTTTTGCAGAGCTTTTGAGATTTCATAAATAAGCACCACACAGAGACTAAAAAGGTATAGAAGGAAACAAAGTAAGTTTGAGATAATAGCTACCTTGAAAAGGAAAGAGAATATTTCCAGAGATTGTGGTTGAACTTTTTCTGCAATTAAGAAACTTTGTAGTTATTTTTTTATTTTAGATTTGGGGGTACATGTGAAGATTTGTTACATAAGTAAACTCGTGTTATTGGGGTTTGTTGTACATATTATTTTATCACACAAGTATTAATAGTTATCCCAATAGTTATCTTTTCTGCTCCTCTCCCTCCCTCCACCCTCCCTCCTCTAGTAGACTCAATGTCTGCTGTTTCCTTCTTTGTGTTCGTAAGTTCTTATCATTTAGCTCCTACTTATAAGTGAGAACATTAGGCATTTGGTTTTCTGTTCCTGTGTTAGTTTGCTAAGGATAATAGCCTCCAGCTCCATCCATGTTCCCACAGAATACATGATCTGTTCTTTTTTTTTGGCTGCATAGTATTCCATGGTGTATATGTACATTTTCTTCATCTAATCTGTCATTGATGGGCATTGAGGTTGATTCCATGTCTTTACTATTGAGAATAGTGCTGCAATGAACATTCACGTGCATGTGCCTTTATGGCAGAATAATTTATATTCCTCTGGGTATATACCCAGTAATGGGATTGCTGGGTTGAATGGTAGTTCTGCTTTTAGCTCTTTGAGGAATCACCATATTGCTTTCCAAGATGGTTAAACTAATTCACACTGCCAACAACAGTGCATAAGTGTCCCCTTTTCTCTGCAACCTCATCAGCATCTGCTAGTTTTTGACTTTTTAATAGTAGCCATCCATTCTGACTGGTGTGAGATAGTATCTCATTGTAGTTTTGATTTGCATTTCTCTAATGATCAATGATCATTGAGAAAAATGAGCTTTTTTTCATGTTTGTTTGCCACATGTATGTCTTCTTTTGAGAAATTTCTGTTCATGTTATTTGCTCACTTTTTAATTGAGTTTTTTTGTTTGTTTGTTTGTTTTACTCTTGTAAATTTAAGTTCCTTATAGATGCTGGATATTAGACCTATGTCAGATGCATAGTTTGCAAATATTTACTCCCATTCTGTAGGTTGTTTGCTTACTCTGTTGATAGTTTCTTTTGCTGTGCAGAAGCTCTTGTTTAATTAGATAACATTTGTCAATTTTTGCTTTTGTTGCAATTGCTCTTGGGGTCATTGTCATGAAATCTTTGCCCGTTCCTATGTCCAGGATGGTATTGCCTAGGTAGTCTCCCAGAATTTTTATAATTTGGGGTTTTATATTTAAATCTTTAGTCCGTCTTCAGTCAATTTTTGTGTATGGAGTAAGGTAGGGGTCCAGCTTCAATCTGCTGCATATGGCTAGCCAGTTAACCCAGCACCATTTATTGAATACAGAATCTTTTCCCTATTGATTGTTTTTGTCAGTTTTGTCAAAGATCAGATGGTTGTAGATATGTAGCCTTATTTCTGGGCTCTCTATTCTGTTCCATCAGTCCACGTGCCTGTTTTTGTACCAGTACCATGCTGTTTTAGTTACTGTAGACTTGTAGTATAGTTAGAAGTCAGGTAATGTGATGCCTTTTTGCTCTTTTTGTTTAAGATGGCCTTGGCTATTCAGGCTCTTTTTTAGTTCCATATAAATATTAGTATAGTTTTTTTTTCTAGTTCTGTGAAGAATGTCATTGGTAGTTTGATAAGAATAGCATTGATTCTGTAAGTTGCTTTGGGCAGTATACCTCTTTTAATGATATTGATTCTTCCTGTCCATGAGCATGAGATGTTTTTCCATTTGTTTGTGACTTCTCTGATTTCTTTTTGAGCAACGTTTTGTAACTCTCATTGCAGAAATATTTCATTTCCATAGTTAGCTGTATTCCTAGGTATTTTATTCTTTTTGTGGCAACCGTGAATGAGATTGCCTTTCTGATATGGCTCTTGGTTTGTCTGTTGGTAGTGTACAGGAATGCTAGTAATTTTTGTAAATTGATTGTGTATCCTGCAACTTGGCTGAAGTTATTTATCAGCTGGAGGAGCTTTTGGGCCGACACTATGGGGTATTCCAGATATAGAATTATGTCATCTGCAGGCAGAGATCATTTGACTTCCTCTCTTACTATTTGAATGCCCTTTAATTTTTTATTTTACCTGATTGCTCTGGCTAGGACTTCCAATACTTTGTTGAATAGAAGTTGGTGAGAGGGAGCATCCTTGTCTTGTGTACGTTTTCAAGAAGAATGCTTTCAGCTTTTGCCCATTCTGTATAATATAGGCTGTGGATTTGTCATAGATGGCTCATTATTTTGAGGTATGTTCCTTCAATACCTAGTTTACTGAGAATTTTTAACATGAAGGGTGTTGAATTTTGTCAAAAACCTTTTCTGCATCTATTGAGATAGTCATGTGGTTTTTGTCTTTAGTTCTGTTTATGTGATGAATCACATTTATTGATGTTCATATGTTGAACTGACCTTGCATCCCAGGGATGAAGCATACTTGATCATGACGGATTAGCTTTTTGAGGTACTGCTGGGTTTGGTTTTCCATATTTTGTTGAGGATTTTTGCTTCGATGTTCATTAAGGAATTGGCCTGAAATCTCCTTTTTTAAAATTTTGTTTCTGGCAGGTTTTGATGATGCTGATCTCATAGAATGACTTGGGGAGGAGTCCCTCCTCAATTTTTTGACTAGTTTTTGTAGGAATCGTACCAGTGCCTCTTTGTACATCTGGTGGAATTCAGCTGTGAATCCATCAGGTCCCAGGTTTTTTTTGATTGTTAGGTTATTTATTACTGATTCAGTTTTGGAACTCGTTATTGATCTGTTCAGGGAATCAATTTCTTCCTGGCTTAGTCCTGGAATGGTGTATGTGTCTAAGATTTTATCCATCTCTTCTAGGTATTTTAATTTGTGTGCATAGAAGTTTTCATAGTAGTTTCTGATTATTGTTTTCATTTCTGCAAGGTCACTAGTAACATTACCTTCATCAAGAAATTTTGTTTATATTAATTCAGAACCATTTTAAGTACGACTGTAAGGCTTTTGCCTTCAGTAATTAGATAACTCATAATTTCAATTTTTAGCCTTCTTTGCACCTAGTATTTTTGGAAACTACTCGATGTAAAGACCATGTAAAGAAAGCTAATGTTCATGCATATGAATAGCCATATTTTTAATATTGGCACCAAAATAAATGCATATTTTTTCTACTCTTTCATTCAGCTTTGAAATACAGGCTTTGCATTTCTGCCATATTTTAAAATGTGACCTATTTCTCATGTATATTTTAAGTGAGAAAAGATACATGAAAATATTTTAAATATGGAAATACTTCTGAGATATAACATCACTGAAAGAAAAACATAGCATAAAACACTTTCACAGAAGGAGTCACATCCCTTGATTGAGGCATGCTAATTTTTCTTTTAAAAGGTCTTAGTGCATTTCCTGATATTATAAAACAACACCCTGCTGCATTTAATACTGCAACAATATCCCAAAGACAAATTTGGAGACATAGCATTTTCCTTCACCACAGATGTTGCTGAAAAAAAAAGCACTCAAAAACACATCGTGCTACTGATGTAGCCATGTGAATACCAAGATGAGAGAACAACAATGCGGGCTTTGATGATGGTCAAATATTAACATGACATCTGCCACTGGCTCTTTGGGTCCTGAAGTCTATCTTGTGATTGTACTAGCCCTGTAGTGAAAGTGTCCTCTATTAGTGCTTTTAATCTTCTGCTCTGGAGGTTTTATTGAATGTGAACTTGGATGCTGCTTTCTGAATTTGGGGATTAAACTTTAGGAATACCTTTGTAATAAAAATGCAAAATTTATGTGCATTTTAAATAATCTAGTTGAAGGCAAATTTCCTTGGAATTATTTCTTATATATTAGAGGGATTTTTTTTGAACTAGTTTTTTTTTTTTTTAACTTCCCTAGCTATTGCCTTTTATGTCTACTTATTTATTCATTGAATTAATCAATATAGGGTCATTTAAACACTACATGCAAATACCATTAGAAATATTCTGTCTGTTACATTTACGTTAAAATCATCCTTGGATCTAGGACAAAGCTGTTATGAAGTACAAAGAAAAAAAAATCTTAGGATGTAAGAATTTGTTTATTAGAGAGCCACAGTTAGATCTACCCAAGACTTTGTTAACTATCATTGAAGAAAGTCAAACTCTGTAAAATATTTGAAGAGATTTATTCCGAGCCAACTATGAGTGACCAATGGCCCATGACACAGGCCTCATCAGGAGACCCTGAGAACATGTGCCCAAGGTGGTCAGGGCACAGCCTAGTTTTATACACTTTAGGGAGACATGAGACATCAATCAAATACATTTAAGATATATATTGGTTTGGTCTAGAAAAGCAGGACAATTGGAAGTGGGGCAGGGCGGCAGGAAGTTGGCGGTGACTGGGACTTCCAGGGATTTAAATTTTTCTGATTGGCAATTGGTTGAAAGAGTTATTATCAATAGAATGGAATGTTTGAGTTACAATAAGGAGCTGTGGAAACCACAGTTTTATCATGCAGATGAAACCTCCAGGTAGCAGGCTTCAGAGAGAAGAGATTATGAAAGTTTCTTATCAGATTTAAGGTCTGTGTTGATGTTCAATGCTGGCTGGCTTTTTCTGAATTCCAAAAGGGAAGAGGGCATAATGAGGCATGTTCAGACCCCCACTCCCAACCAGGGCCTGAACCAGTTTTTCAGGATAACTTTGGAGTTAACTCTGGCTGAGAGGAAAGGTCCATTCAGATAATTGCAGGGGGGCGCTTTAAATTTTATTTTTAGTTTACATAAACTTTGAAGGTAGCCTCTAATAGACAACAGCTAATCACGAACTACTTATAATTATTCTCTAGAAAATAACCAGGAAAGTTATAAATATTCAACAATAACAACATTTATGTCACATTAATATGATGTAATGAATGTACCGATTGATAACTTACTCATGTAGAATCCTTTGATTTTTTGAGTATTGTGTATAGTTTGAGTATATAAGCTACCTGTGAATTCTTATGTAGGAATGGTGTCACTACGACAAATGATCTAAACTTACTCAAAAGGAAACCTTACAAGTCTCCAGAAAGTTACTGTGTATCCCCTGGAGAATTTTTCCGTCTTATACTTGGCAAAATAAAAAATATTTCAAATACCAAGTTTTGTATATTTTGCATAAATACTTTTATTCTATACTCTGCTTGGGGCAAATGAACAATTGTTCGGGGATTAAATCAATGCTGGATGCTTTGACACAATTTGTGAAAATCTCGGGTGTTTGATGGATGGGTGTTTGCCGACTCAAACCATCTGCATCATCGTTTAAAAAAAAAAAAACTCACACAAAATGGCATTTTTGTTCCAACACACAGTGTTCAAATAGGCCAAAGAGTTCGGGAGAGCAATACACCTAGACCAGACATTAGGAATGTCTTTAAGGACATGAATGAAAATGTTCAAAGAAATGTTGAAAGAAAGCATTTTTTATCCTAATGTAGGGAGAGAAGGAAAATATGGAAAAAAAAAGAACCCTTAGAACAAAATAAGTGGGATTTCAATTCACTTAATTATAACCAATATATCTTTATTTGTCATGTGTATTAATTTCAGACAGTCTTTCATATTAAAATTAAGGATTTCTCAACCTTCTATATTTTACACATAGACAAATAATAAAATAGTTTTTAATAGGCACTTGATGACTTTCTATAGACTAAAATGAAATTACCTGGGAAGAAAGACAAAATGATAAGTGCTCAACAAAGGTAAAAGAGTTTACTAAGCCTCATATCTGCTAAGAAAAAGAGGAGTTTCTATTTTTAGCACAAAAGAAAATCTTACCGAAAAGTCAATGGCCTTAGGGATATTTCCTTCTCTTGGCCTATAAGTTTTTTTCAGCAAACATGTTTATGATAATTTGAGTAACTTTCCTCTGTTAATTTTACAGAAAACGTATTTGAAAACTATACCATATGTGTATGAAAATACCATATGTATGACTGTCCCTCCCTTTATTCTTCCATTACAGAAAATCGCTTAGGAATCATCTTCAGTTTACTTTCCTATAGCCATTTGCTGGAGTACATATCTACCTGAGCCTTGAAAAAACATTCAGTTGCTAGCAAAACTCATCTAGACAGAGAAAAAAGGTCTTGAAAACAAAACTCAGATGTGGAGAAATAAAGTATACCAAATTCTTATTTTGCCTTTGACTTCAAAGGACTCCTTTGTGGAATAATCTTTGTGGAATACAAAAGGAAGAGAAGGATATGGAACAGAAAGATAGAATCAAAGAATAAGATTGTGCGGAAGCCTGCAAAATACTCCATTGCACTCAGAGCTAGTGGCTGTGCACTTTGAACAAAACCAAATTCACCCAGGCTTGTCAACTACGCAAAGAAACAACTAATGCTAATGATGGCATTTTAATTGCTTTAATGGAACAATTTAACCTATTTAAGCATGAAGAATTTTTTTTTCTTTTCATCCACAGCCAAAGTAAAGTAATGTATATTTTTGAATACTGTAAATTTCTTTTTGCCATTAGTTTTGAATGTGGGATTAGTTAGTAATTCAAGTATGCTTGGAGCAAAACATTAATATAGCGCTTGTTTAGATTTTTTTAAATCAACATTTTACATATACATGAGTATAGTCTATCTTAAGTATAGTATATCTACTTTAATATGTTATACACTTATTTCAGTAATGCTACTGTCATTCAAAATATTTTAAAATTCTCATTATAATGAAATTTGGGGCCCATGAAGAAAATACTTCCAATACTTCCAGTTCTTTCAGTGAAAATGTTATCTTCTGACTACAAACTAATATTTTGCATTAGTTTGCCCAGGCACATTGGACAACTGACATATTAAGATTATAAATGTAAAAATAAAGAAAATAAAATCACCCATAATTCCTTTACCATATTAACCTTTTAATATATATCCTTCCAGATTGTTCTTATGAATTTGTCACTTGGAGATACAGTTTATAAAATGATATCATTCTACATATGCTTTATACTATATTATATGTATACATATGTAATATACAACACATAATATATGTAGTTAATAATATATTACTAATACTTTCTATGTTAATATGTCTTAATTACTGATTATTGTTTTACTGAATGAATCTAAAACTAATTATTTGACACTCTGTTTTCAAACTTCTGAAAATTCTTTCAAGGAGTTCCAAATTATGGGGAGGGAAGAAGGCAAGTGATCTGCACCAAAAAAAGTTAAAAGAATTGTGAAAATGTCTTAATTTCAAGGCTTTTCAGAGTGTGTAATATGGTAATTCAAAATTGTGAATTTACAAAGGTGGAACATTTAATGACATATTTATACACCAAAATAAGCCATTGAATGTTTTATTTAGTAAAATTGTATTAATGTTCTAAAGCTTTCGTAAGCATTTTCAGACACTCGTCTTTGAGCACTTATCTGGTTATTTCCTTAAAATAAATTGCCTGACCTTTTCACATATTTAAGGATTTGATACATAATCACCAAATTGTCCCTAAAGATTTTATCAATTTACATTGATACAGGACTGCCTGAGAGTTTACTCCATAAATTAACACCAGTTATTATCATTCCTTAAATTAAATTTTTTCTCCTTAATTGTTACTGCCCTGATCGTTTAGCCACCTTAGTCTCAAGTCTCACCTCTAAATGACATTTGGTAATTCCTTATGCAACAGACCACATCAGCCTTGGATACAGACAGACTATAAGAAACAGTCTATAGACTCTCACAAACTACCATTCCCTCTTCCCCTGTCCCATCCCACTCTCTCCACCACCAGTGGTCTCTGTTCTGTAAATTTAGTTTTCATGTCACAGCAAGAAAGTTACAATGGAGTCACACCTCCCTAATTTACATAAGTAAATGTCACCATGGTGGCATTGCAAAACAAATAGTAATAATTTATGTATTGTAGATCAGGTTTTCAGTCTCAACCTCTACTTGGAAATTGTACCTGCTCTACATAGTGCTGGGACAACTAGACAGTCTAACAGTGAATCATAGGGAAGAAGATAACTCCCCAACCAATAATTTCCAATCATGCAGGGAAAGCCAACACTATGAGAAAGACAACAAACTGAGAGAGTGGAAAATGTGTGCCTAATAAAATGCAACTAATAGATTTTGGAAAAGTTATTAAAACATAAAAAGAAACAAAAACAGTAAAAAGAATATACAAAAATAAATTTTGTTATTTTCAAAAGAAGAACAAAATAGGCAGATCTGACAAGGTTAGCAGACAGGACACAAATATATTAAATATAACATTTGAAGATACAGAGAAAGCAGTAACACCATAAAATCATACGAGAATGCTATAAACAACCTCATGCCAAGGAAATAAGATAAAATTAAAATTTAGTTAAGAAAATATTAAATTAACAAAATTGATTTAAAAAATAGAAAAACAGATTGGTCTTATGCTATTTCGGAAGTTGACTCAGTAGGCAATATTGATTTATAAGCACCATGCCCACATAGTTTTACTCAAATTTCACCAAATTTACAAGAAACAAATTAATCCTTTATTATGGAATTGTTTTAAATTACAGAATAAAAAGAAAAGGCTACCCAATATTTCATTGCAGAAGTCTTTCCTAACACTGAAATAAAAATCAGACAAGGAATAATCAGTACACAAGAAAAGAATGTTATGGAAAACCAAACATCGCATGTTCTCACTCATAAGTGGGAGTTGAACAGTGAGAATACATTGACATAGGGAGGGGGACATCACACACTGAAGCCTGTCAGGGGGTGGGGGACAAGGGGAGGGAGAGCATTAGGACAAATACCTAATCCAGGCAGGGCTTAAAACCTAGATGATGGGTTGATGAGTACAGCAAACCACCATGGCACATGTATACCTATGTAACAAACCTGCACGTTCAGCACATGTACCCCAGAACTTAAAGTAAAGTAAAATAAAATAAAGAATGTTATGAACACAGATTCAAAAATCTTGAATAAAATGTATATAAAACTGAATATATCAATATATAGCAAATTAATATATTATGACTCTTTATAGTTTGTTCAAGAAATGCAAAGAGGATTTCACATAAGAAAATTTATTGCCATAATGTGTTACATTAAAAATTTAAGGAGAATTTATTTTTACCATCAAAGTTGATGCAGAAAAAAACAATTCAGTCAGTTTCAAAGTCTATTCGTTCAAATAAAAAAGGTCTCAGCAAACCAAAAGTGATAGGGAATATCCTATTCTATTAAAACCTGAAGTAAACTTTATGCATAATAGTAAGATAGTAAAAATATTTTGTTTATATCAGAAGCAATACAAATTTGTTAACACAAATTTTTTTAAATACTAAGAATGGCCCAGAATGAGGGAAAACTGACATTCTTACACATGTACTCTGTGATACAGCCACCTAGGAGGAAAAATCTTTAGTATCTGTAAAACTAAGAAAGTGTGCTCAGTTTATGACTTGACAACTTCCTGTATATACCCAGAGTAACACTGGCACATAAAAACAAAGAGGCCTGTATAGGGATGTAAACTGCAACAATATTAATAATGGTTAAGAGTTGGAAATAACCTAAGTGTTCATAAATAGAGGAATTGCTAAATAAACCATGGTATATCTACTATATTACCAACAACAACAACAACAAAACTCTAAGAAATATGTTGGAAGAAAAAAGAAAAAAGCAAACTGCCTAAAACTATGTACGGTGTGCTACAACTTAATTGTAAAACATAAGCAAAGAAAAAAATTGATGTATTTTACAGATATAAATATGCATGTATATACCCTACAAAAAGTGCTGGAAGAATTCTCACCAAACTGATAATAGCTGTCGTTTCTGAGAAGTGATTATGGATGTGGTCACAGTGAATTTTAGCTTCATTTGCAATGATTAAATGATCCTATGTTGATATATTCCATATGTAATTAGGCACAAATACTTTCTTTTTTATGCTGTTATTTCAATAGCTTTAGGGGTACATATGGCTTTTGTTTTCACGGATGAATTGTATAGTGATGAAGTCTAGGATTTTGCTGTACCCGTCACATGAGTAGTGTACATTTTTCCAAATTAATAAAATATTGTTTTCTACTTGAGTATTTAAGAGAATGTTTCTACTATAACAGTATTTCCTAATTTCTTAAGAGAAATATTAGATTTGTAAAGACTCCAGAATTAGCCTTATAACAAAAGGCTAGTTACTAGAGTGATAGGAGATACTAAGTGAAACCAGTATTAGCCTTAAAACAAAACAAAAAAGGCAACAGGAAAAAAAAAAAAAAACCTCTTGTGAAATTAATTATGGCTAAGGTTTTCCCTAGTACTGTATTTTTTAAAAAGGAATCTAAGCCATGAACACTAGATTTTGCTATACTGAACAATCCTCTTCTCACATGCAACCACTGTAGATTCCCCCAAATCTTCTTAGGGAAAAACCATGAGCTTAATTTTACAGCCCTCCCAATCACCATGCACCTTCTCCTTAGCCTAGAGGGGGGAACAGGTTTCTCTAAGAAAATGTGGGTGTATGAGTCAGCACAAAATGTGGAGGAAAAAGGGAAACCCAGAACCTACCATTCCATTTCCATTTTGCTTGGGCTGCAAGTCAACAAGCCTAAGTTTGACATTTTGCTTTACTCTGTTACTTGGTCAAATCTTGGGCTTATTTTTTGTATCTGGAAAATAAGGAAGCTAAATGTATCAGTTCCCTTCCAGTTCTATAGTTTGATGACTCTATTATTAACTAGTCCAGTATATACCTAGAAATACCATTACCTTTTAGAACACCTTGGTCCAACATCTACAATGGTAAGTCTGTCCTGCCCTCAAAAACTCTATCCTCTAAGACTTTAATCACTAACATAATTGGTAAATATAGGCGTGTTTTAGGAGAAAATACAGTGATTTGCAAAGTTGCCTAGAATTAGAAAATAGCATGGAAATAAGAGGTAGCATAGGCGTTGTCTGTCATAGATTCTCAACGAGAAGCAGCAGTATTGTTCTTACATGAACCTTAATACTTCTGCTCTTATAAAGGCTTATTTAAATGAAAGTAAAAGTTTCTCAGGAATTTTATTTAAAAGCCCTTTACTGGAGCTCTCAGAAAGTATTTCTGAGCAAGGATGTGTGTTACTTAACTCTAAATATAGCAGGCATTACTCATTGGCAAAGAGGTTGGCTTACCTGTCCTAAAATAATTCTTCCAAGGGCTTGTCATGGCACCACCCTGCCCTCTTTCCTGGCTGTGAGTTACCTTTCCCGAGATTCAGTTCATGACCAAGAAAATCAGTGTAAGCAACTGGAGATCAACCAAAGTAAGACGGGTTAGCACATGCAGTAGCACTGAAATGGTTCTTAGACTTTTAGAGAACATCATGCAGTGCTGAACAGGGAGAGAATGGTCCCCAGGTAGCATCAGGCAGCTAACCTAGGAAAAATAGGACAGTACTAGAGAAGGAAAGGTAGGATCGAATGGGGAATTTGGATTTAAATACTTGGTAAGCTGAATTGAACTGAAGGACAGAACATGAAAGCCTCCTTGGTTTCAAGCTAAACTCTTGCCAGAGGCTATAATAATTAATTTTAATCATTTCAAAAGTCATTTTGCTAAACTATTTTTTTGCTGGTTTTTAGCTTCACTACTTCTCATAAGTAGCGCTGATTCATCAAGATTAATTCCACCCCTGGAGTTTCCTGATACTTTTTCTCCTAAATGAACAAGTTAACATCATGCAAAAGGGCGCTTAATATCTAAAAATAATCCCCATGTTGAAAGAAAGTAGAGCAAGCATGCTAAAGTCCACACTCACTGCCATAATTTCATCCTATCCCCTAGTATTTTGAGCATAATTGCCAACTCCACCTTGTCCTGCCTCCATGACAGCTGAGGAAAGCAAATCATAGCAAAATCACTCCCAATAGTTATAATGGATGTAAATGCAGGATGAAAACTTCATGACTCATTACCAAAAAAAAATAAAATAAAAAAATTAGGTGATTAGATAGATGATAGGTAGATAGATGTGTTTTGTTCACGTTTATTGAAGTACTGGACCAAAACCTTTTGGGGTAGTTGCCATCAATAACTGAGAGAATATCTATTTAAGACTGGATGGTAGACAAGAGAAGCCTAAGTTGATCCATGATGGATCATTGAAGTTGGCCCAATGTCTTTTGTGTTCTCTGGATAGCCATCTGGACTCCATGCAGATAATTGGACTTGAATACATAATACTCAAAGAAATTCTATTGACTGTGAGGGCAAAATGTAATGTATTAAAATGTAAAGTCATTTACATGGAATTGCTTTACCAAAAATGGTTTGTTGAAGTCATTTTCAATGGTTTGGCCATTGATGATTTGTATTAACCACCTTTAACTTGTATACATTAAGCTGTGTTTAATGTTTCATTCAGTAGTTAACTTTGCACCATGTAAATGTCACCATCCTCCTTTGCCAAAATTTGGGACCTTAAGTTTAATCCATTTCCACTATCAATTTTATTCAATATGGAAAGAAAAAATATTAAAATTCATTTAATACATATGTATGTCCCATAAGAAGATTCATTGTCCTTTCTGTGAGCACAAAACTGAGCCATTTTCAAACTCCATATTAAGAAGGCTTACTTCTTTTTACCTGAATTTAAGACTTTAAATCATAACACCAGAAGAAAAAAATGAGAACAACTAAGCAAACATATCTTCTCAATGCTGTTATGATAACACTTATTTTCTCTCTGACTAGTGTTCATCGTAAAAGTTTCTTATTGCCATTTAGGCAGATAAACTTTTTTGAATTCTGAGCTCTAGATAGGAATAGCCAAATGAGTTATTTTATGTGTTAAACCAAAGAAACGACTGAGAAAGAAAAGGCTTTTCTGTCTGCTGCACTCTCAGTCCGTTTGTGACATTACATTTTTTACAACTTTACATAATAAACATGCCACAACTTGTTCTCAGAATGATTTTTTAAATGGATGAATTTAATACATTATGTAAAATGGCAATAAAGCCTAAATACTAATTTTTTTAGAGCTTTTATTGACCCATCCCATGTCAAACTAACTACAGTCCTATAGAGAGAATTAAAGGCCTCAAATGATCTCAAGATAAGGCAATTACTTGCAAAATTGTGGAACCAACCCAAACGTCCATCAATCAATGGGTGGATAAAGAAACTGTGGTATATATATGATGGAATACTACTCAGTCATGAAAAGGAATAAATTAACAGCATTCGCATCGACCTGGGTGAAATTGGAGACCGTTATTCCAAGTGAAGTAACTCAGGAATGGAAAACCAAACATTGTATGTTCTCACTGATATGTGGGAGCTAAGCTATGAGGACACAAAGGCATAAGAGTGGTACAATGGACTTTGAGGACTTGGGGGGAAGGTTGAGGGGGGCAAGGGATAAAAGACTACAAATAGGGTGCAGTGTATACTGCTCAGTTGATGGGTGCACCACAATCTCACAAATCACCACTAAAGAACTTACTCATGGAAACAAACACCACCTGTACCCCAATAAGCTATAGGGAAAAAGAAAGAAGGCAATTACTTACTTGTTGAATATTCATTTGCATGTGTTAAAATTGTGTAGATACATACATGCAAACGAAAAAAATTGGACACTTCACATCATTCAGAAAAAATAATTCAAAAGGAATCATAGAGATAAAACTACAAACAACATCAAAAGCACAAGTGACAGAAGGAAAAAAATAGATAAACTAGACATCATCAAATTTAAAAATGTTTTTGCTGCATATGATATCTGAAGAAAGGGAAAGAAGGGAGAAAACGTTTGTAAATCATGTATCTGATGAGGGCCTAGTATCCAGAAAAATAAAGACCTTTTACAACTTAGTAATAAAAAGACAAACATCCCAATTAAAATTCACAAATAATTTTAGTAGGCATTTCTTAAAAACATATTCAAAAGGCTAAGGACACAAAAAGATGTTCAACATGAATTATCTCTAGGGAAATGTGAGTCAAAACAAGATACCACTCCACAACCAGTAGAATGCTTATAATTTTAAAAACAGTCAGTAAATTTTTCATGAAGATGTGGAGAAGTTGGAACTCCCACACATTGCTGGTGGGATTGTAAAATGATAGTCACTTTGGAAAACAGTATGTCAGTTCCTAAAAATGTTAAAAAATGGAGTTACTACATGACCCAGCAATTTAACTCCTAGATAACATGCTGAATAAAATTTTGAAGGGCGGGCACGATGGCTCACACCTGTAATCCCAACACTTTGGGAGGCCGAGGTGGGCAGATTGCTTGAGGTCGGGAGTTCGAGACCAGCCTGGCCAACATGGTGAAACCCTGTCTCTATTAAAAATACAAAAATTAGCCAGGTGTGGTGGTGCACATCTGTAATCCCAGCTACTTGGGAGGGTGAGGTGGGAGGATTGGTTTAACCCTGGAGGTTGAGGCTGCAGTGAGCCAAGATTATGCCACTGCACCCCAGCCTGGGCAACAGAGCAAGACTCTGTCTCAAAAAAAAATAAAAAATTTGAAAACATGTTTACACAAAGACTTATACACCAGTGTTTACTGCAATATTATTCTTAATAGTCAAAAGTTGAAACAGTCCAAGTGTCCAAAAACTGGTGAATGGCCAAATGTGGCATTGTATATCCATATCCACAAAATAAAATATTATTTAACAAAAAATAAAAATATTATTTAACAGTATTTGACAATAAATAAAATATTATTTAACAAAAAAGAATCAAGTATTAATACATGCTGCAATATATACCAAAGTCAAAAAGATGCTAAATAAAAGTTACAAATGACCATATGTTGTCACATGATTCCATGTATATGAATGTCCAGAACTGACAGTCCTACAAAGACAGAATACATTAGTGGTTGTCTAGGGCTAGGCAGCAGGGTAGAAAGGGTGGTAGGGGATCTGGTAAGAAGTGGCTACTAAAATGTATAAGCTTTCTTTTAAGACAATGAAAACCTTCTAAGATTTGATTATGATGATGGTTGCACAATTCTATATGTATACTAAAAACCATTGAATTGCATGTTTTAAATTGTAAAATATATGCATGTAAATTATGTCCTAATAAACTGCTATTTTTTAAAAGGCGTGCTTTTTTTAATGCAGAAAAAAGTACACCATCATGCCTTGCCTTTAAAGGTTGCATTCCAACGCTGTATTCTCAATCATATAATGTTGCACACTGGAATTCAATTAAATTATTTATGTCTCCCTAAAACGTTGTTACTCCATCATACACAAATTATTCTGTTTTTCAACTATGAAGTAGAACTAAACTCCTTTGCTATGCGATTAAAAAAAAAAGACAATAAATTCTAATGTTCCGTTACACAATAGGGTGACTATAGTTAACAATAATATATTTTATATTTCAAAATAGCTAGAAGAGAGGATTTTGAATGTTTTTACTACAAGGGAATGATACATGCTTGAGGTGATGGATATGCTGATTACCCTAATTTGATCATCATACATTGTATGCATGTATTGAAACATCACACTGTGCCCCACAAATGTGTATAATTATTATGCGTCAATGAAAGATAAAATAAAACTTTAAAACAAGACTGTTTATTTCTAAATTATGTACCAAGATAATTGTTGGAGGGAATTAAAAGAAAACTGGTGCTCCATACGACAGAGGTATTCTGGTTTAAGATAGTGGGGTGGTCTTTTTGAATTCCTGTAGTTGCATCCTGCAGCGATTTGGGACTGAATCAGCAGGGAGCTCTTTTAAAATGCATGCATACATTCATTCATAAACATGTCCTGGTCATCTCGTTTATGCCAGTTGGCACAGACACATGGCAAAGCCCACAGCTGGATCCAGACATGTCTGTGCATGACTGATGGATCATTGTTTTGACTCGATGGGGAAATGAGGAGCCCCATAGAAGAAATCCAAAGGGAAGAGGGGAACAGGGACCAGATTAGCTAGATAACCAAGTCAGTCAGGCAGATGGAGCAAAGCGACTCTATCCCTTTGCTTTGCCTTTCAGTCCCAACTCCTAGGATTTCTGTCTGACATCTCTGGTCAGAGGGTAACAGTGAATAAAACCTGAAGAAAACAGATTTGTTCATCAGGAAAAGAATCGCAAACGTTTTTGGTATTATATCTTTATCTTTCCTATTCATGGACCTCTATCCCTAAATAAAGTATAGAAATAGTGTGTAGAGAAAACCATCATTTGTGTGAAAAATAAAAAATGTGTGTATTTGCCCGTATGTGCATAGAATTAAGGGTAAATAACAACGATAAAATAGGTTGACTCCCATGAGAGAAATTTGGGATCTGGAAACGGGGATGGAAAGGAGATTTTTTGTACTTTTATTTTGTATATCTTTTGTACTTTAAAATTTTTTTAACCATATGGATATATTATCTGTTCAAAATTTAAATTTAAATTTAAAAGTGCTATGTATACACATGTAAAAGTTTATACATGTGTATATGCATAGGTATATAGACACATGTATCTATCTATATGTACTTGCATGCACATACACATGGGGTTGTTTTGACTATTAGAGGCCAATTGTACAGTACCTGTAGCACAAGAATTTTAACTTTGTCTCTAGGCAGAGCCGTTCCATTCCCATCACCATCAATGGGTTGGGATATAGATGCCTGATAAAAATTTTTCCCTGGATGGAGGCAGTGCAACAAATACCTTGGGAGCTGGAGGCAGGAGGATCACCTAGGCCCAGGAGTTCAAGACCACCCTCAGCAACATATGAGACCTCATTTCTAGAAAATTATAAAAATAATAGCCAGGTGTGGGCCGGGTGTGGTGGCTCAACCCTGTAATCCCAGCACTTTGGGAGGCCGAGGTGGGCGCATCACCTGAGGTCAGGAGTTCAAGACCAGCCTGACCAACATGGAGAAACGCCGTCTCTACTAAAAATACAAAATTAGCTGGGTGTGATGGCACATGCCTGTAATCCCAGCCACTCAGGAGGCTGAGGCAAGAGAATTGCTTGAACCTAGGAGGTGGAGGTTGTGGTGAGCCGTGATCGTACCATTGCACTCCAGCCTGGGCAACAAGAGCGAAACTCCGTCTCAAAAAAAAAGAAAATAGCCAGGTGTGGTGATACACACCTATAGTCCCAGCTATTAGGCAGGCTGAGGTGGGGGGATGGCTTGAGCCCAGGAGTTCAAAGCTTCAGTGAGCCATGATCATGCCACTGCACTCCAGCCTCGGTGACAGAGCAAGACCCTGTCTCAAAAACAACACAACAACACAGAGATTAGGACCATGGGAATCTTGGTCATGACTACAATTAATTGTAGAACAAAGTCACTTCCCAAAAGTTTTTGCATCATGCATATTACCTAAAACAAATCTATTTACCTGAAAAACACAAAATAATCAACAGAAACATTATTAGAAGCCATAAGAGAACTTATGAATGGGGCTACTTCAAAAATTATTTCAGAAAAATCAATAGCTTTCCTACACATATTTTTTAAAAGTGTAATGCAAAAGAAGAAATGTTACCCTTTGCAAAAGCTACACAAGTATAAAATAATAGAAATAAACAAATAAATGTTCTGAAACAAAACCTAGGTAAAGAAAACCTGAAAATCCTACCTAATAAGAAAAAAATAAGAAATATTTCTTGTTCTTGGATTTAAAGACACTATATTGTAATGACTGTAGATCACCCTGAATTAATTATTTATGAATTATTTCATAAATTCAATGTGATTGCTAACAAAAGTATAAGTGAAATTTTATATTTTGGAACCTCATTAGAATTATATGGGGAAAATAGAAAATAAAGAGACAAAAATATGGCTAGGTGTGGTGGCTCACACCTGTAATCCCAGCACTTTGGAAGGGCAAGGCAGGTGGATCACTTGGGCTCAGGAGTTCAAGACCAGCCTGGGGAACATAGCGAAACCCCATGTCTACTAAAAATACAAAAATATTAGCCAGGTGAGGTGGTGCAAGCCTGTGGGAGGTGGAGGTGGGAGGAAGGTCAAGGCTGAAGTGAGCTGAGATGGCACCACTACACTCCAGCCTAGGCAACATAGTGAGACCCCGTCTTAAAAAAAAAAAAAAAAAATCTAAGCATGCTAGAATAGACATAAAAGAAAGAAGAGTAGTGATGGAGAACTAGTTCTTTTGGTTGTTAAAACATGCATTAAAATATGGCAGTTCTTCAAGAACAAAGAGATCATAGGGGTACAATCCCCAAATAGAGCCAAATGTTTATGAAAATTTAGCATATGATAAATGTCACTTTCCAAATCAGCTGGAAAAGGTGAGGTACATCAATAGTGAGACTGAAAATAGTGAGTCATGTGTGGGTGAAAAAAAACTAAATCCTTTCCATAAAAATAAATTCCCAAAATATGAAATATTTTAAAATAAAATATGAAACCAAAACTATGCTATGAAAACAATGGGGCAATTGGGGGAAACGATCTTGGAATGGGAAAGACCTTTCTAAACAAGGCATAAAGTCCAGGAATTTATAAAAGAAATCATTAAGTGACTTACTTTCATAAACATTACAAATTTTTACATGGCAAAAAAATTAATTAGAAGGGCAAAAAAAAAAAAACACTGTGAGAGTTTATTTAAAACACATTTAAATATGTTTCAATTTTCTTAATATACAACAGTCCATCAACCCACTAGAAAAATAGGAAAGTAACAACAATAACTCAAACAGAAAAAAGACAAATTGACCATATATATTTGATTGTAAAACAGAAATGAAGTACACTTTTTATCTTTTACTATGACAATGATGAAAAATATTGATAATACATGATATTGGCATAAATCTGGAAAAATAGGCCTTATCATAACTGCTGATTTGAGTAAAAATGGTGCAGGCTTCTTTGGAGGGTAATTTGGCAATATCTACATTGACTGTCAAAATTCTAACTGCACACGTCTCTTTCAGCAATTTCACAGAGAAAATAAATATGTAAGCAAAAATGGAAGTGCAGGTATTCTTCAGAATCTGTAAATCAAATATTAAGATAAAATATGGATGTCCATAGCTAAAAAACTGGTTAAGTAAATACATTAGTATTATACCACTGCTAAAAAGAATGAAATAGATCCAAGTGTGACATGGACAAAAAAAATCTCCAAAATAAAATGTTAAGTAAAAATGGCAAGATACAGGACACTGTATATAATACATGTTACATACATTTCTGTTTACGTGAAATTATCTTATATATTTGTAGAATTACGTCATCCATATATTTTACATAAACAGAAAATTCTGGGAAAATGCACAAGAAACCATTAGCAGTGGTTGTTGCTGGGCCTGGGAGGAGCCGGAAGGCTAGTGGTGTAGAGTGAGTAGGAGACTTCCTTTTCATTGTACACATTTGCACGATGAAATTGTGGAACTGCAGAATTGGAATTTGCAAATGTGTACAATGAAAAGGAAGTCACTCACTCCTACTCACCATACACATTTGCAAAGTCCAATTCCGCAATTCGACAATTTCGTTGTCCAAATGTGTACAGTGAAAAGGAAGTTTCCTTCTCACCCCACACCACAGGAATTGTAACTGAAAGCCAGTTACTAGTAACTCACAATTTGTTATCTGTTATAATTTCTAATAACCGATCAGCTTTTACCTAAGGAGATTTAAAGGTGTTTGTGAGCAGGAAACAGATCTGATCTTTTACTGTCAGTTTCTATCACCTCAAAGGTCAGACTGAAAGGATGATGCAACTAAGCATGCCATACAGTAGCTAATTGAAGGACACTGATCAAAAACATCATGCTAGATTTCTGACTATTTAAGAAGTTATTACTCAAAGAGAATACATTGTACAGAATAACTAATGCAGAACAAGTCAAGACTTGTGCTGACTGTTGTCATTCAAATTTAGCTGGAAAATAAGCCAGACAGAGATATAATGCTCTTCTGTCTGTACTTATCCTGTAACCACATGTGCCTTGAGAGTTAAACTGCATTCAGAACTATGCATGTAAACCACAATAAATCCTTGAGATCCAAATTAAGATTATAGGTTAGTACTGGTCCTAAATCCAAGTTCAAAGCCTAGTCCCTTTCCAGAAAGAAAAAGATCCTCAGAGCTTTTTCCAAGGTCATTTGATTTGAAACGGAACCATTAGAAGCATTATCTTCTAGAGACTTCTCACACAAGGTATCTTACCTTGCCTCCCTAGAGTTTCTAGAGTGACCAAGCACTAACTTTTGATGAGGAGGGATCTCCTGAGAGTTAGACCCCCTGCTCAGTATACAACCAAAAAATATCTCAGAGGAAGGTATTCTAATGAAAAAATTATGTTTAACATAAGAAAGAAAAAAAAAACTGTAACCATGGTTATCTTTGAGAAAGTAAACGGGAATACAGGATTGGGGTAGCAAGAGAATTTATTTTCATGGTATACCTTTTTACAACCCTCAGATAGTTTAATATGTACATTATTAATTTTCAGAATTAATAATAGTAGGCTTTTCAAACATCATGACAATTAATTGTGATATGTTTTGTCAAACAGTACTGTACTGATGCCTGTGCTTCTGTTCCTTTTACGTGCCTCTTCACTTTCTGATGGTTCCATTCCTAAATTATTAAGTTGTGAGCAGTTGTGCTCTTCAGCAGGTTTAACTTAGAAATGCTCATATCCCATCTTCTTTTGTGCCTACTCACACAGCACATGCTATCTGATTTATTGTCTTATCTCTCACTTGCCCCCACAATGGGCTCCCATTGCATATGTTGTTAAAGAAATTGATAACTGAGTCATCCCAATATTGATCCATAAAGAACTCTACAGTTAACATTTATCCGTAAAAGAATTACTATCAAGGAAATGTATCACCTCCTTTGTTATCATTATTAAGATTTTTAAAATACTCTTGGCCAGGCACAGTGGCTCACACCTGCAATCCCAGCACTTTGGGAGGCCTAGGTGGGAGGATCGCTTGAGCTCAGGAGTTTGAGAACAGCCTAGGCAACAAGGCAAAATCCCATCTCTACAAAAAGTACAAAAATCAGCCAGGTGTGGTGGTGCATGCCTGCTGTCCCAGCTACTCAGGAGGCTGAGGTGGGAGGATCGCTTCTAGGTCACTGCAATGAGCCATGATCACGCCACTGCACTCCCGGGTGACAGAGTGACCCTGTCTTAAAAAACAAAACTAAACTGACAGAAAATCCTCTTGTTATAAAGTACGAGCTTAAGTTTAAAACAACAACAACAACAACAACAACAAAAACTGATATACCCCTTCCCATGGATCACTTTGTTCCTAGTACAACCCAGATTAACACCAAATATTTAAGTCAAATTTCTGTGTACTACAAAATGTCCACCTGAAGTCCAAAATATATAGGTTCTTGTTAAAGACCTTGTTAATGGATTTTTTAAACATCAGGATATAATATGTCTACATAAAAGATTTTTCTTAAATCAAGTAAAGGAAATAATTAGCTCTTCCCCAGTAAATGTAAGATTGAGAATTATTTTGTGAGAAGGTAAGCAAATAGTTTTGGGAAATAAATACTCAGTTAAAAAAAAACAGTGGCTGAGATCATCCTGTTTTAACACATATTATGTTATAATATAAAACAAACATTTCTGAGGAGCCATGTAGAAACGAATCTTTTCTCTTTGAATTATTTTGTATTACTGGCCACACAGTAAAAAAGCGAATTCTGTCCGTCTGTGTTCACATATGTGTCATAACTGCACTTATTTGCTCTGCAAATACAAAGTTTAATGAGTGTAGACACTTGTACATCCATCACCGGGCTTGTTATACTCTAGGTTAATGCAGCACCAATCAAACGGCAGATATCTAAAATCTTGCCAATTCTCTGTGAAACATGCATGGTTTAAGTATATTATTATGTTAAACAAATAGAAGATGGCCAGGAAAGACGAATCCGTATCTTAAAACAATTGCTGTCAAATGAGTAATATGAAGTAGAAAAGGTATTTAAAGTTCAAATTAAAGTTTACAAGCCTTGGGAAGAGGAAAAATTGGTATTTTCAATGTTGCTTTGCCACATTCTTTAGTCTTTTGTTAAATAAAAATGCCAAGAGAGTTAAAAAATAAGAATTCTTCTTTAGCCTAATAAAAGTTTCTTGTTTGGACTCCATTTTCATATATATTAAAAAAAATAAGTTCTGTCTGAAGGCTGGGTTTTTAAGATTGGGCCAAAAAGAGACCACACCTGGTATGGCCTTACATCAATGCCACCATCATTCTGGGCTCCTAAATGTTCATGAAATTTCTTCTTCTGTCTAATCTTGCCTCATCAAGTCTCTTCAAAACCAAATCTAAAAGAGCCAGATGCAACAGGAAGAAGAGGACTCATAGAATTAGCAGATGATGTCTTCCTACTATTTGTTTAGTTTCCAGTAGTCTGAAGTGCGACTTTTCCAGTATGCAGACTAAGGGGTTTAAGGAAACTCTATAACCCAGATAAAGCACTGAGGTCAGAAAAATTGAAGAGAAATTCATCATAATTAAGAGCACAATTGTTTAAAAAAATGCAAATTTATTTCAACAACTGTATTTGAATATCTTCATGAAAGTGCACTCCATACATCTGTTTTCCTCCTGTGGCTATTTTCTCATCTTTCTCCCATGATTTTGGATCCTGCCTTCCAAGTAACATTCATTAAGCATTCAGCAAGATCATACAGGAGGTTTAAACAATGATGATTGTTATTCAGACACACCTCAAATCAAAACATGTCCTAGAAAACATAATAAATTTTGGAAGCCTGACTTACTAACCTTGTTAACTTGCATTACAGGAATGAGTCCTCTTCTTTGATTCCACTCTGTTTATGTTGTGTATAAATCAGGATTCCAATACAGAACAGATAGCACACTCAAATCAGGATAACTTGAGTAGGATGTATTTACAAAAAGACTATTTACAGAGGTGTGGGTGTAGGAGAATCACAATGGGTAGTGTAAGAATGCTAAGTTGGTAAGGAGTTAACACCCCTAAGTCCAAAAGGACACAGGGAAGAAGTTATTGAAACTGGGAGAGAGCCATGTGGAGAAGTTCACCTTGAAAGGGTAAGCGACCTTCCAAGGAGAGCACAGCAGCCCTAGGGGATCTGGCAGAGTCTCTTTCCTTCCTCTGTTTTCCAGCACACCAGGAAGCAGGAGGACATGGGAACCTTGATTGCCTCAAGCAGCAGTGCCACCTTAGGCAAACTTCCCATAAGCTATCAAGGGAAATAAAAACATCTAGATCTTTCGCAGTGGTTCTCTAAAGGCTCAGCCTAATTAAAAGCCAGAGGGTGCAGGAGCCAGGTGATAAAGATTATAAATGAGTCATCATCCTGGGGCAAAGGCAAGCATGGAAAAATGAAGTCTTAATCAGAAGATAGTCAACATACTCTCTGTGCCTACACATACTCCTTAACACACAAACAGACTCAAATACATCATTGAAAAGCTCTCAGAAAGGAATTTTCCTTGGAAATCACTTCATTGATGTCTTTCATGTTCAAAATTTCCACCATTAGATACTTCAGATATTTAAAACTTCTGATAATCTATAAATTTTGGATAGTATTGGTAGTAAAATGGAAAGGAAAAAAAGAAACTAAGTTTTTGAATACTAGCTCCTTTACATATCTTATCTCACTTAATCTTCAAAATGACTCTATTAGCTATACATTATTATCCATGTTTTACTGATAATTTGAAACTCAGATAGTTCAAATAACTTGCCTAAAGCCACATAGGAAATACAAGGGAAATCATAGAACCCAGGCCTGCCTGATTCTAAAGCCTATTCAGCTTATACTTCAGCACTGCTGCACTTGAGCACTTTAACCCAAAATAGTTTAATACTTTCCTGGCAGAGGACAGGGCAGGTAAGAGTTAACTAAAGATATAAAAGGGGAGAATTGGTCGTCCGGAGTCCAATGTCTATCAGGTAGAATATAAAAGGGAAATTCCTAAAGGTGAAAGGACTGGGATAGTTAGGAAAGAGTTGATATCTAGGGAGAAATGGAAATAAAAGGAGAGATTAAATACAATCTGTGCATTCCTCCCACTGCCCCATCTTGTTAAACCAGCCCAGCCACTTTTCAGTGTCCATGGACTTTGCACCTTAGGTTTACACCCTTCCACATAGGAAGCATTTTATAATGTCTGCAGTGATGCAATACCTCACCCCTAATAATAATTTCAACTGCCTCCCATCTTGCCCTACTCTTACCTGCAATGGACTAATGACTATCTTGAGGGCCGATGACTCTCCCGGTTGTATCTGACTTTGTACACGTGTGCTGTGACAGTAAAATTAAACCTGCATACTCAGATAGGAGGATGTTCTTCTCAAAGAGTTTACATCTTGATAGCATAAAATGAGTCAGTGAATCAAGGCAGGGATAACGATTTCATAGAAATCATAAAGGGAATATGCTATTAGACTTGAGAATTAATTTGCACAGAGAACCAACAACGTGGAACCCAAATATGAATGTGTCCTCTCTGCTTTAAGGAGTCTGCAAGCAAGAAACCATTCCACAAGCAAGAAAATCCATGCATCTGTCATTTTTTTCCCAGAGGCAAAAAAAAGCAACTGGAAGTGACTAGCAAGAAAGATTACAGAGTTATGCTCTTCTTCTTCTTCAAGATGGACTCAGTGCCCTACTATGGCATTCAATATTTTCTTTTTTAGAACAGAGCTAGAAACCTCTAAAAACAGAACACAAAGAAATAACTTCCAGGGTTGGGCAGGCACTCCCTGAGCAATGGGGAATTACCAGCATACTTTTATTTTTGACTCAAATTCCACAGTTGTCATAAGGCCAAACATTCTTCTACCTTCTTCCATTTCCACACTGGATTCTACAGAACTTATTTGTGAACGATACGTTTACCCAGCTCGCCTCCCTGCCTGAACTGTGAAATCATTTCAAACAGCTAACTGGATAAAAAGCTTAAAATAGGGTGGCCTTTATTCTTTATCAGCTTAAAATTGCCAAGCAGCAGCCAACTTAAGCTTTGAAGAAATGTAGAAGATCTTTGGAGCTATTTATATTTTCTTTACCATCCATGGAATGATTTAATTCAGAACTACAGTAAATGAGACTCTAGATCCTGGAGTATTTTTGATCAAATATCTGGATGGGCTAGGCTACTTTAAATTACTCATATGGTTCAGAAATCAACAGTTTGCAAATTGTTTGGAAACTGAGAGACAGTTTGAAAACACTGTTTCTCCATAAAATTCATACAAATCATAGTACATAATAATATGCAATATTTATATTATGATCAATATGTACATATATTGATGTGTCTTGATGCAAGAACTCCTAGTCTGTTAATGAGGAATGTAGGATTTAAGAAGTCTCTGCCACAAATTACCTGGGAATTTCTGGTGATGTCACTTAAACCCTATGCCTCAGATTCCTTTTCTGTTAAATGAAAAGGTTGGATTAATACAGTTTTCAAGTGACAATCTGAAGAGGATTCAGCTCTCTGAAGGGGTGACTTAGCTGCCATTACTGGAGGTGGCAATTAGGTCTTCTCTCAATCCCCCTGCCACCCCGCAACCATGATCACCATCAAAGCAGCTCCACATTTTTAGTTTTTGTGTCAGATTTTGCTTGAAGACCACTTTTAAAATCTTTAAAAGCACTGACTACTGTATCTCTTTGACCAAATTTGTGACTCTGAATTTTCATTTTCATTGACATATGGGTGTGTTTTTTTGCAAATCAAATATCATTTCCTCTGATGTATGAAATAGGTATTAAAAAAAGTGTGTCCAACAAGATATATATGTACAACAATGATAATCATATTTTATTCTTCTGAAAACGAGCAAACTCCTCTGCTTGGATATATTTCTATACTTTTCCTGATCCTAATGCTCTACTATTTACATTTGAACAGTTTAAGAAGACCTAAGTGGGTTTTAAAAGTTGGGTAGGAACTAACTGGTAACTGGCAGAATAACATCTCTCTTTGAAATGACTGAATTATATAATTGGTCCTCCAAAACACATAAATATACAAATATATTCTCCACACCTCCCCCATGTCTCCTTAGAAACATGCATTTAGACAGCCAAACAAGAGAAATGAAGATAAGTAGTGGAAGTAGACCCAGGATTGAGAAAGGAGTATGATTTTTCTGGTTCATCCCTCTGAGTTTAAAACAAAAATGGGGTAAGTCTGGACCTTACTCGACTAAAGCTGCCATGAAGGCCAGCACACAGATACGTATGTGCAGGTGTATAGAGATAGAGCAGGGAGGAAATAGAAGCCTAAATCCCTGGGGAGAAGCCCAAAGGAGGCATGGTTATGCTACCAGTCCAAGAAGAACTGCCAAAAGAACCCAGAGAGCTAATCCTCAAATTGGAAGCAGAGCCATGAGTAAACTGAGGACAATAACATGAGGTGCCAGCATTAAGTTAGAATCAAGGGACATTGAAGAATGAATTTCCTCAAGAAAGCTTATCTCAGATGACATAATTTTCAGATTTGCCACACTATTTTTGATGGACTGGAGCCTATCCTTGAAGTGTACCACACATCTTGGAGAATGGGATATATACAATCTTATGTGTGTGTGACTATTACTTTGACATTTTAATGCTTTGGTGCATTAACGTATATAATAATGTGTATTTTAATTATGTCATAGCATTTCTTTGAATAACAAGATATTTTCATGTCTCCCACAATTAAAGAAAACTGAAATTGTTTCACTACCTTGTAATCTCTTAGTCAAATTATAATTCTATCTCCCATCAGGATATGCTGTCTTTAATAAGATTGATATATTTTATATTGTTTGAAATTTTTCTTGTCCATTTAAATATTCCAGAGTAATTCTACTTCTATACAGTTGATAATTCCAGTTTTTCACAAAACAAAGCATACTGAAAATATCTACTACTGCTTCCTTAAAAATACACTTTCAAGATAAGAAAAATTTTGTTCCAGCCAATGTCTAACTGGCCCTCATATTTAAATATAGAGATGAGTTTCAAAAAATTTTTTGAGAGAAATTTTGCCCTCAGAGTGGAATTTCATGAGCCTTTTTTCTGGCCTCTAATCAGTCCCATAAATAGGTCAGATGTAGCATATTTCTCAACTGGCACATACACAATGGGTCAGTTATGATTTCCACAAATTAAAATAAGCAGTAGTAGGTTTGGCAATACACACAATTTGCCTAAGGAGAAATGGCATTATTCTCACTTTGATTAACAACAGAGTCTTTGGAAAAAAATCCACAAATCACTTTGACATAAGAGAGGTAAGAGGGAATTGGCTAGCAACTGCGTGATCTATGCCCTGGATGAAGATAACTTAATGTTTTCTTTTCACAGGTTTTCTTAGCTTATGAAGCAGAAACAACCTGGATTTTAATCTACAAAACCACAGAAATATTATTTCTCTCATTTCTTTCATTCAAATGTAGAAGTAGTTTTAGATTTTTTGAGTCATATAAATCCTCCTAAATATATTGGACATCTGACAACCCCAAAAGCCATCACCACTGTAAGCCATCACTATGTTTGTTTTCACAAGAGGTACTTGCTGCTTTTGGTTGAAAGGAACACTGAAATACAACAGCCTGGCCAGGCGCGGTGGCTCATGCCTGTAATCCTAGCACTTTCAGAGGCCGAGGATGGTGGATCATTTGAGGTTAGGAGTTCCAGACCAGCCTGGCCAACACGGCGAAACCCCGTCTCTACTAAATATACAAAAAAATTAGCCAAGCATGGTGGTGCGCATCTGTAGTCCCAGCTACCTGGGAGGTTGGGGCACGAGAATCGCTTGAACCCGGGCAGCAGAGGTTTCAGTGAGCCAAGATCACACTACTGCACTCCAACCTGAGTGACAGAGTGAGACTACATCTCAAAAAAAAAAAAAAAAAAAAAAAAAAAAAAAAATATATATATATATATATATATATATAAAATGGCCTTCCTTGAGTTAAATTTTATGTAATATCTCAATGTCTAAACTAGAATTTCTAAATAAACTATAAGAGAAACTATTTAGACCAGTCAGTCAAGAAACTTGGTAATATGTCACTTGCAATATGTTAACAGGCATTGATGATTCTACCAGGCATTGATGATTCTACTAGTCATTGATGATTCTACTAGTCATTCATGCATTTGTGCCTTTAACCATACACTTTAAACCTAAGGGACTGTGTAACTAGATTTCAGATTAGCAGTTTTATGGCTGCATGAATGGGACATATTATTTTGTTGGTATCACTAATAAAGACAAGATGGAAATCAGAAGCTCAAACATTAATTTAAATGACAAGTCACATTTCAAAGTAAAAAATAATGAATGTATATTACAGTTTTAGTCAAGGTTCTCAAGAAAAAGATTAAGAAACAGAAATTTGCTTGCAGTAATCTTATTGGGAAATGATCTTAGGACAAACACCTATAAGGGAGTGAGAGAGGCAGGATTGGATAGAATTTCAATGCAGTAGCAACAAGCCTCACAAGATCTCACAGGGAGCTATGAAGCAAGAATGGGTCTTCAGAGTTATTTTGGATTAGACAAGAAAGGCCAAGCCTCCACTAATCTCCCACATTCAGCAGTCGTTGGATGTTATCTACCCCTAGTGAGCATTTGTAAACTTGGATGAGGCAGCTTTCATTAGCAGAGAGCAATGCCCTGAGAGGTACTCAGATGTGAGACTTTAGCAGTTGGTATAATGAACGCTTCTCCATAGGAAATGTTTGCCCTGGTGCATACAGCAAGGTCCAGCATCTGCCTCTCAGTAGTTTTTCTAGTTTAAAAGTTTGATTTCCTGTCCCAGAGTGACTTACTTTCCAAAGCATAGATTCACACTAACAGATCACAAGGGACTGATAAATAAACCAGGTTCTTAATGTGCCAGCACACGTCAGCCAATGAAACTAGAACTGATCAGCACATCCTCTCTTCTTAAAAATCTATATGGAAGGCCAAGTCATCAGGAAGTGGCTGATGATCGTGGGATATGATTTAGATATTTAGTGGAATCTGATTCTGACTGACAGACACAGGTTTCAATCTACACAATTGGTATCTCTGAGAAGTAAGCAGGAAACTGGCATAGCTGGGCAAAGCAGCATCTCCCTGAGATAATGAGTTCATTAATAAAATTTGGCAATGTTGGTGTGATTGTTTATTTTCTATAATTCCATTGATAGATCCAGGTTTGGTTGGCACTGAAGTTTATATAACTTGGATCTCTCTGAAAAACATGAATACAAAATTTGGTATAAAAGTGGTCATTAATTTAGAATGACAAATCACTAACATTTACAAATGTAGAAGACTAATACGAAAAGCAACACAAAATAAAGAGAAATCATATATTTGCATGAATATTAATATTAACTGCTTAATGCACTATGTAATATTTTTACTACATTTTTTGATCCCTTATTCATACAATTACAATTTTTTCTATAGAGAGAATGGAAAGATATTTCAGTCTTTTGTCTTTTTTTATAGAGGTTTAGAGAAGTTTAGCTTCTCAAGTTGTTTTGTAATGCCACATCTGTTTCTTCCTCCCTTGTTTCTTCCTCAGGCACTAGGGGACAAATAGCAGGGCAAGGGTCCCATGGAGAAGCCCATATCTCTGATGTCACCTGCAAGGCCCTCTGCTACTGCAGTTGCTCCAGTAAGAACAGCAGTCCTGCAGGGAGGCAGTGGTCCTAGCAGCCTCCAAGCTGTGTTTCAGTCTCTGGTCCAGATAATTTCCTAGGGGTCAAATAGCAACAGCATATTTCCACGTGACCAGGGTCAGGTTTCTGCTGATGGAGGTGAAAGTGGAGGTAGCCCTGGTAGCAGGAGCCCTGCCCTCAGCCCCAGGACTGACCTCACTCCGTTTAGAAGGGATCCCTTACCCCAAGTTTGGGACAGAGGCTGCTGTCCCCTCCTACTACCCGAGAGAACACCTTCTTCAAACGTATGATGTAGATATTATTCACAGATGTTTTGAATATGAGGAGCCTAGGACTTGGGGGGCCTGAAGTGTCATCAGTTTCAGGAAAATCCATCCCTGCCCCGCTCATGTGACAAACAAGTCTTACTAGGGAATCATCTTTTCTCAAAAAGGTTTACCTAAGAGGTGCATTAAACACACAGATTTCAAGTTCTTCCCTGGGGATTCTACTTCAAATTTGGGGCAGGGCCATTATTGTATTTTTAGTAAGCATCCCAGGTTACTCATAAACTCTCCTGCATTTTGAAAACAGAGCTTTAAGGCAATTTAGTGTACTTCAACTTTGATTTATTAAACATAGGTTTAAAATTTTAAATGTCAATAAGCAATCTTATTTCTCTCATTTCCTGGTTTCTAAGGCGTGACTGTGTGGGGTTGTACATATGGATGGTGGTGGTGTGTGTGGGAGTGTATTGGGAGTGGTGTGTGCATTTGTGTGGTGCCTGTGGTATACGCGTGGTACCTGTTCAAGGTGTGGTGTGTGGAGTAGTGTGTGTATGTGTATAGTGCCTTTGGTGTGTGATGTGGTATGTATGGAGTGGTGTGTACATTTGTGTGGCACAAATGGTGTTGGTGTCAGTACAGTGGTGTGTGTATGTGTGTGTGTGTTTGCTGCATGTGTGAGTTGTATGTGTGGGGCTTGTGTGTGTGAGTTGTATGTGTGGGGTTTGTGTGTGTGAGTTGTATAGGTGTGGTGTGTGTGAGGAGCACATGTTCTTTATGCATTTGTGGTATGTGTATGTGTGGTGCATGTGAAAGTGTTTGGGGATGTGTGGAATGGTTCTTGTTGGAGGCCTGAGGGAGAAGAGGAAGAACACCTCAATTTCACTGGCATGTTTATAATGAGTGATATGGTTTGCCTGTGTCCCCACACAAATCTCATCTTGAATTGTAATTCCATAATCCCCATGTGTCCTGCAAGGGACCTGGTGGGAGGTAATTGAATCATGGGTACAGTTATCCTCATGCTGTTCTCATGACAGTGATTGAGTTCTCACCAGATCTGATGGTTTTATAAGGGTCTTTCTTCCTCTTCGCTCTGCACTTCTCCTTCCTGCCGCCATGTGAAGAAGGACATATTTGCTTCCCCTTTCTGCCATGATTGTAAGTTTCCTGAGGCCTACCCAGCCAGGCTGAACTGTGAGTCAATTAAGTTACCCAGTCTCAAATATGTCTTTATTACAGACTGAGAACAGACTAATATAATGAATATATTGAAAAATCAAGACTCTCAATTGTACTGAAAATGTATGGCTCTTTTCTGAGAGAAGTAATGAAGAGGAGTTTTGAACTAGACTTTATTAAGAGTTATTTTTAAAATTGATACTGCTTTTCCTCCTTATCCACATTTCTGTTTATTGCCAGGTTTTTGTGATTAGTTGCTATTGAGTTTTCCCCAACATAAATCTTACAATTAAGTTCAAAGAACCGTACTGTTGATCAAAACAACAAAATAAAGTTAGAATGACACCGCCCATAAACATCTGTTTATTTTTATAAAACACCTTTTTTTTTTTTTTTCTTGAGACGAAGTCTCTCTGTCGCCCAGGCTGGAGTGCAGTGGCGCGATCTCGGCTAACTGCAAGCTCTGCCTCCCAGGTTCACACCATTCTTCTGCCTCAGCCTCCCGAGTAGCTGGGACTACAGGCGCCTGCCGCCACACCTGGCTAATTTTTTTTGTATTTTTAGTAGAGACGGGGTTTCACCGAAACACCTGTATATTTTATTAAATATACTTTGATCTGATGAACTACTGAGCTAAATTAAAATTTTTTAAATAATAATATAGTAATCGGCCTTTATCTTTCACTTGAAAACCTCTGTATATATTACAGGTATTGGCTTCTGGCATTTGCAAAGCAAACTACAAGTGGTCAGTCCTTGTGCCCATTAAAGATGAAAAATAGGAGGCAACAATTTGTTAATAAGCTATTCAGTCAGTACCAGACCCAGAAATCAAACACAGCTTCCTAAATGTCTATTTGGCCTGATTCTCTATTTTCTCTTTCTTTGAGGAGAAAAATGTATGGGCTTTGGAAGCAGAGAGACTTGTGTTTGAATTCTGACTCCACTACTTACTTAAGAGTTTATAACCTGCAAATTATGATAATAATACCTACCTCATATGTTTGAAGTTGTTTAAATGAGATAACCATCAATAAAATGGTACCTATAGTAATAAGCGTTACTATATTTTCTGTTTTCTTCTGCCTCCTTCTAGTGTTAACACTCTTCTCCACATCTTAAACATCATTTCACAAAATTCATTCCCTCAAAAAAGTTGTTCAAAATTTTTTGCCATTTTCATATAATGTTAACATATTATGTAGTTTTTTGTTTTTTTTTGTTTTTTTTTTTGAGACAGAGTCTCGCTCAGTCGCCCAGGCTGAAGTGCAGTGGCGCGATCTCGGCTCACTGCAAGCTCTGCCTCCTGGGTTCACGCCATTCTCCTGCCTCAGCCTCCTGCGTAGCTGGGACTATAGGCACCTGCCACCACCACACCTGGCTAATTTTTTTGTTTTTTTAGTAGAGATGGGGTTTCACCGTGTTAGCCAGGATGGTCTCGATCTCCTGACCTCGTGATCCACCCATCTTGGCCTCCCAAAGTGCTGGGATTACAGGCGTGAGCCACCGCGCCCGGCCCATATTATGTAGTTTTATTTATGTAATATTTTATTTAAGTAAATTTACAGTTTTTTCTTTGTTTACCTTAAGAAATAATATATGTGAAATCGTGGGCTTACAATTATGTTAATTGTAATAAACATTAACATAAATATATAACTATTAAAAAATTTATGAATGCAACACCTAAAGGCATCTCCCACGCCAAGGAGGTATAAGCACATTCTTAAGGAAGCATTGGCTGAAACTGATTAAGTTTCTAGAGTTGTCATAGAAAATGATCCTGAGTCTTCCACTAATGGGCTGTCCTCATCACCCAGAAATATATGCTGCTGAGTTTATTGCAAACATTTACCATAGCTATGTAACATCTATGAAGGCCAGAGTTGAGCCACTAAATAAATTCCAAGTAATTGTCAAAGCTCCTAGATAACTGTGCTTTTCAATTAAATTCATCTGATTCTAACATACAGTAAACAGTACACGATGGCTTCTTGGCCATATGGCTTATCTGTGTGAAAACACACAAGTCTCCCTATAGCAAATCCATAATCATATACCCCTTCAGCTCCAGAAATATCAAGAACGCTAATTACATGTTAATAGAAAGTACAATTAAAATTTATGAGATTTCTTTTTAAGGTTTAAGCTGGAACTTGTTTTCCAGGCCTGAGGTACATGTGAATATATCAATTTGCATGTTGCCTGGAATATTAACCTAAGCGATAAATTTAGTAATTTTAGTACATTATATTACTATGTTCGAGATGACTGAGGCATATTTAAAAATACTGGTTGAGTGAGAATAAGACCTGATACACAAGTTTTGCGCACACAGAACAACCAGAGGAGAAAGTTCTTTAAAGAAGAGAAACAGAAAAAGGCATGGTTTTACCAGTGAGCTTTATGGCTTTTGGTATTCAGCATTCTCCGAGAAGGACTAGAAGTCATGCAACAAATTCTGGTGAGTGGATTATGGGGAAATTTTAACTAGAAGCTGACACTAAGATGATTGCTGGTGCTTTCAGATAGGAGACGTGAGGACGATGAGCATCCTAAATAAAGTCTACAAAACACTGGGACCCAAAAATTCTGCTGGAAAATAAACAGTTTAAAATAAATGTATGGCACCCTAAAATTTTCATAATTACAAAATATATCATAGATAGGAAAACTAATTTCAAATTTATACATTAATCTGGTTTCATTTTGAAAACTAAAACATAAGAAACAACAACTAGGCTCAAAGAATTCCTTAGGACATGCTTGTGTTCCTATATTTTTTGTTGTTGTTGAGACAGAGTCTCGCTCTGTCACCGAGGCTGGAGTTCAGTGGCGTGATCTCAGCTCACTGCAACCTCCGCCTCCTGGGTTCAAGCGATTCTCCTGCCTCAGCCTCCCGGGTAGCTGGGACTACAGGCGCCCGCCACCATACCCCGTTAATTTTCTGTGTTTTTAGTAGAGATGGGGTTTCACCGTGTTAGCCAGGATGGTCTTGATCTCCTGACCTCGTGATCCGCCCCCTCCCAAAGTGCTGGGATTACAGGCATGAGCCACCGCGCCCGGCCTTGTGTTCCCTTTTTAATCAATTTTCTTAACTGTGACATTTTAATTGTAGAACAGAAATCAACTCCACTTGCCACACTGAAACTCAAGCCACTGCTGGAAAATCTGTCAGCACGGAATTTTTCGAGGCAATTCTGATTTGGCCCAAGAAAAGACAAGCGTTTAGAAATTCTAACCAAAAACACAAAGAGAAGTAGAAAAATGTGTATCATTTCTTCATGCTGTCTGTGTGATAAGAACCGACATTTTTATTTCTCCTTTCAACAGAATTCCATGTACATAAAAATAAAATTTAAACCCAGCTGTACCCTGTTCATTATAGCAAATGTATTTCTCACATTATTAATCAAGTATTTTAATAAAAAATTATAGGCTGGGCACGGTGGCTCACGCCTGTAATCCCAGCACTTTGGGAGGCCAAGGTGAGCAGATCCCCTGAGGTCAGGAGTTCGAGACCATCCTGGCCAACATGGTGAACACCATCTCTACTAAAAATACAAAAATTAGCGGGCCACAGTGGCAGGCATCTGTAATCCCAGCTACTCGGGAGACTGAGGCAGGAGAATCGCTTGAACCGGGGAGGCGGAGGTTGCAGTGAGCTGAGATCGCGCCATTGCACTCCACCGTGGGCAACAAGAGCAAGACTTCATCTCAAAAAAAAAAAAAATTATATTTTGGCTGGGCGTGGTGGCTCACGCCTGTAATCCCAGCACTTTGGGAGGCTGATCCGGGTGGATCACGAGGTCAGGAGATTGAGACCATCTTGGCTAACATGGTGAAACCCCGTCTGTACTAAAAATATATATATATATATATATATATATATATATATATATATATATATATATATATATATAAAATTAGCCAGGCATGGTGGCAGGCGCCTGTAATCCCAGCTACGCGGAAGGCTGAAGCAGTAGAATGGCATGAACCCAGGAGGCAGAGCTTGCAGTGAGCCGAGATCGCACCACTGCACTCCAGCCTGGGCGACAGAGCAAGACTCCGTCTCAAAAAAAAAAAAAAAAATTATATTTTACGTGCACTAGATAGAGCAGCAGTTTCCTGATTTTTGAATTTTAATAAAAATTATTTTTTAAACTATGTTTTTAAAAAACTAAATTGGAATAAAAATCAAACAAAAAATAAAATATTTAAAATTTTTGGGCCGGGTGTGGTGGCTCACGCCTGTAATCCCAGCACTTTGGGAGGCCAAGGCGGGCAGATCATGAGGTCAGGACATAGAGACCATCCTGGCTAACATGGTGAAACCCTGTCTCTACTAAAGATACAAAAAATTAGCCATGCGTGGTGGCACGCGCCTGTAGTCCCAACTACTCGGGAGGCTGAGGCAGGAGAATCGCTTGAACCTGGGAGGCAGAGGTTGCAGTGAGCCGAGATTGTGCCACTGCACACCAGCCTGGGTGACAGAGGGAGACTCTGCCTTAAAGTAAAATTTTGAATTTGCAAAGATACAATCTACAATAACAGATAGTGGTTTCTGAGAAGATATTTGGCAACCAAGATGTCTAAATCAAAATATTTTCTTTTAAGTTTTGGATAGACAAAAATAATAATATTTTATTTTATACTATTACCTTGAACTGTTTATTTTTTTTAAAATTTATTTTCTAATATATTTGATCTATGTTATAAGATCTCTACCAGCTGATGTCTATCTTTCAGTTTTTCGGAGTGGTATTTTTTGAGAGGTAATGGATTATTTTTTTAAGCTACTGAATCATAACCTGCCCAAAGCAATACATTTTAAACATGGATTAATTAATTTCCAATAATTATAAATGACTTCTCAGACTTTGAAACGAGCTACATCATTAATGTTTAGCTTCTTATTTTAAAATGATTATACACCGGGCAGGGTGGCTCACGCCTGTAATCCCAGCACTTTGGAAGGCCACCTGATCACCTGAGGTCAGGAGTTCAAGACCAGTCTGGCCAACATGGTGAAACCCCATCTCTACTAAAAATACAAAAAAACTTAGCTGGGCCTGGTGGCACACACCTGTAATCCCAGCTACTTGGGAGGCTGAGGCAGAAGAATCACTTGAACCCAGGAGGCAGAGGTTGCAGTGAGTTCAGATCATGCCACTGCACTCCACCCTGGGCGACAAAGCGAGACTCCTCCGTCTAAATAAAATAAAATAAAATAAAATAATTATCGATTCACAGGAAGTTGCAAAGAAATGGACAGAAAGATCATGTGTGCCCTTCGGGTGCATAAACCTTACCCCAGTGTTAACATGTTACATAACTATAGTACAATATTATTATAAATTCGCATTGGTACAAACCATAGAGCTTATTCAGATTTTGCCAGTTATACATGCACTTGTGTGTGTATGTATTTGGTTCTATGCACTTTTAGCATGTGTGTAGATTCATGCATCCATCACTACAGTCAAGATAGAAAGCAGTTCCTTCACCACAAAACGCCCCTGTGTTACCCTTTATAGCCACACCCACCACCCTCATCCTTAAACCCTGGCAACTACTAATCTGTTCTCTCTCTTTATACACAGTCATATGTCACTTAAAACGAGAATATGTTCTGAGAAATGTGTCATTTGGAGATTTTGTCATTGCGTGAACATCATAGAGTGTGCATACACAATCCTAGATGCTATAGTTTTCTACACATCTAGGCTATATATGTACAGCCTATTACTTCCAGGATACAAACCTGTGTAGTATGTTACTGTGCCGAATACTGTAGGCAGTTGTAACACAATGGTAAGTATTTGTGCATCTAAATATATTTAAACATAGAAAAGGTACAGTGAAAATATGATATAAAAGATAAAAAATTGTACACCTGTAGAGGTCAATTACCACAAATGGAACTTGCAGGACTGGAAGTTGCCTTAGGTAAGTCATGAGTGAGTGGTGAGTGAATGTGAAAGACTAGAACATACTGTCCAATACACAATACACGATAGCGTGCATGGAGCTGTCATCTCCTATGATAACAAGACCTTCTGGAATAACTTCTGAAGGCCTTGCCTCAGGCAGTTTTACAGTTACCTTTTTTTAAATAGGTACAAGGAGTACACTCTAAAATAACCACAAAAATATACTGTAGCAAATACAGAAAGCAGTAACATAGTTCTTTATTATCATTATCAAGTATTATATACTGTACGTAATTGTATGTGCTAGACTTTCATAGGATTGGCAGAGCAGTAGGTTTGTTTACACCCCCATCACCAAAAAACAGGTGAGTAAAGGCATTGCACTATGACAATACCATGGCTATGATGACAGTAGGTGACAGGAATTTTTCAAGTCCATTATAATCTTATGGGACCACCATCATATATGCAGTCCATCACTGATCGAATCATTGTTTTGGGGCACAGAGCTGTAATTATGTCATTTAGCAATTATTATATGAGTAAACCATGTAGTACGTAACTTTTTCAGATTGGCTTTTCTCATTCAGCATAATTTTCTAGAAGTTCATAGAGATTATTATATGTATCAACAGACCATTTCTTTTTATTGCTGATTAGTATTCCATAATACGGATGTACCACAGTTTCTATAACCATTAACCTATTGAAGAACATTCGGGTAGTTTCCAGTATTAGGCTATTACAAATAAAGCTGAACATTCACGTATCAGTTTCTATGTGAAAATAAGTTTTCATTTCTCTAGGATATATACCCATGAGGAAAATGGCTGGGCTCTATGGCACATCCACTTTCAGCTTTAAAAGAAACTACTAAACTATTTTCCAGAACGCCTATGTCATTGGTACTGTCCTGCCAGTGATGCGTGAATGATCCTGGTACTCTGCAATCTCACCAGCATTTGGTGGGCCACTGTTTGATTTTAACCATTCCGATAGGTGTGTGGTGATATCTCACTGTGGTTTTAACGTGCATTTTTCTAATGGCTAGTGATGAACATCTTTTCATGTGCTTATTTGCCATCTGTATATCCTTTTTGGTGAAACATTTATTCCTATCTTTTGCCCATTTTCTAAATGAGTTTTTTTGAATTAATGTTGAATTTTGAAAGTCATTTCAAAATTACATATTCTAGATACAAGACTTTTGTCAAATATATTTTTTCTCCCAGTCTGTTGCTTGCCTTTTCATTCTTTTAACAGGATCTTTCACTGAGCAAAAGTTTTTAATTTTGATAAAGTCCAATTTCTCTAAATGCTTTTAAGGACATTTTCTACTTACAAAACAATGCACGGTTTTAAGTTATGCTTTAAGAAAAAATATTTTCTTTCAACAAATCCCTTGAATTTTGTATTCAATGCTTAACTTTCAATACCTTGTAAATGTGATGGTTTCATAGAATTTTTCCAGAAAATAACCCCTTATATTACACACTCTGGGGATCATTTTTATTTACTTCAATAAACTTGACCTGATTTATGAATATTGTCCTTATTTCTCTCATTTCTCCATGTACCAACACAAGGTTTGCCATGTAAAGAGATAGGTGCTGAGACCAACCCTGGGCAGCTACCACATGGGAGTGTAAAGTGAGTCCATTGAATCAAAATCAGGAAAGGAAAACGGGCTTGGCTTGGAGACCATTTGTCTAGGTGATTCTGCACTACATTTCAACTCTGGAAAAAACATGAAGGCAGAGGTCAGAATCATTTGACGATTGTCAGGGGAAGTGACTACACCTCTCATAGTATCTATTACAAAGTTGAATTTCTTACTTGCTAAGGGAAAACCGTGCTTGGAGAACACAGTCCCTCTGAGCAAAGCCAAAAGCCAATTTATTAATATGTCACACTTGGGGGAAGCGAGCAGTTTAGGGATTGGCTGATTTTCCAAAAGTGAGAGAACTGAAGCAGAGCTCTTGCCTGGAGTTGCAGGACTGATAAAGACTGAATTAAAGTTCGGGCGTGGTGGCTCATACCTGTAATCCCAGCACTTTGGGAGGCTAAGGCAGGCAGATCACCTGAGGTCAGGAGTTCAATACCAGCCTGGCCAACATGGCGAAACCCCGTCTCTACTAAAAATAGAAAAAATTAGCTGGACATGGTGGCAGGCACCTGTAATCCCAGCTACTTGGGAGGCTGAGGCAGGAGAATCACTTGAACGGGGGAGGCGGAGGTTGCAGTGAGCTGAGATTGCACCATTGTAGTCCAGCCTGGGCAATAGAGAGAGACTCTGTCTCAAAAAACAAACAAACAAACAAAAAAAAAACAAAACGACAGTTAAAATCTGTTCTTTGGTTACTTGTATATGGCTTATGACATTTAAAAAAAAATACAGCTTCTCTGCCTCCATCTCATACCTATTGAATCAGAATCTCTGGTGGTAATCAGGCTTAGTCAGTGATTCTGTCACCCATCAGCTACTAATTTTTATACATGTATCTACCTCACATGTATATATCAGTCATTCACTTTCTGATTCATGTAAAGCCATTTGAAACTGACTTGGGTTTGCGATTATTGGAAACGTTCTGAGGTGGAGCAAAATCAAGGTGAGGAAACTCCTAGACAGGAGACATCTACAATCTCTACAGACTCTTTTGGAGCCAGCAAAGGCAAAAAGAACATTACTTAGGCTGATTCCTCCATGTGCTTAAACACTAGGCACTCTCCTCCTACTTTCAATTCTTTTTATTTCCTCTGTAAAAGAGCTGAATCATAAGGGAGGGAGATCTCAGAACTTTGGCCTTTCATTTGTTTCTTAGAGAGGAGACATTACCACATTATACGCTTAGTAACATAAATCAAGGTCAGTTCTTTTTATTATTACAAAACGAGTCTTTAGAGCAATTCAACTTAGTTATTGAGTCTTTTACTAGACCTATCACCTCACACAATTGTGCCCTTTGGGATACGTAGTCCTATATGAAGTTCAAATCTTTGTGTTCACATTGAATTTGACCTATTTTCAGTCATCTAAACTCCCTACCTAATTATCCACACACTTATGTTTGACCTGGAAACTTTTTAATTTAGCTACTTTTAAAAAAATTTCTAATTCAGTAATACATTGAAGTATTCAATTTCAAGTGCAGATAATTTGATGAAGAAAAATAAGAGAAATCTGTTCTATCACTCCCTCCTTACAAATGCTCTTCCCAGTAGCAGTGACTTTTAACTGGTTTTGTTTCTTCTTGTGGTTACTCTCATATCTATTTAAAAAACATATTTATGATTACTATATTAGTTGTCTAGGGCTGCTATGACAAATTACATAAACCAGGAGGTTTAAAATAACAGAAATTCATTCTTTCACAGTTTTGGAAGCTGTAAATCCAAAAATCAAGTTTTGGCAAGGTCATGCTCCCCACTGAAGGCTCTAAGGAAAAATATCCTTGTTTGCCTCTCCCTACCCTCCAATTCCATCACTCCAATTTCTGCCTCCATCTTTACAGACTGACTTTCCTCTGTGTGTGTCTTCTGTGTGTCTGTGTTTTCACAGGGTCTTCTTGTGGGGAAATCATTCACTGGATGTAAGGCCCACCCTAGTCCAACATGATTTTTTTTTTTTTTTTTAAGACGGAATCTCCCACCGTCGCCCAGGCTGGAGTGCAGCGGCATGATCTCAGCTCACTGCAAGCTCCGCCTCTCGGGTTCACGCCATTCTCCTGCCTCAGCCTCTGGAGTAGCTGGGACTACAGGCGCACGCCACCACGCCCCACTAATTTTTTGTATTTTTAGTAGAGACGGGGTTTCACCATGTTAGCCAGAATGGTCTCAATCTCCTGACCTCGTGATCCGCCCGCCTCGGCCCCCCAAAGTGCTGGGATTACAGGCGTGAGCCAGCGCGCCCGGCCCTCATTTTAACTTACTTACATTGGCAAAGACTCTGCAGATAAAGACCCAAATAAAGTCACTCCGAGGTTCTGGGTACACATAAATTTTGGAGGACACTATTCAACCCAGTTCACTTACTCTGCTATTTCTTGATTTAAAAAACGTAGACATTTTCTATTGATTGTTATAATAGCTAGGGATTATTTTATTTAAATATCTCCCGCTGCCCCTTTCCTTTCCACCCCAAATAGTGAACATTATTCTCATTCCTTCTACTGGTAACCTCAACAGCTTCAAAAAACATACTTGAACCTTCATTTCTTGTTTATCAACAATAGTCTTTACCTCTTGGTTTCATTTCTACTCAACTGTTTCTACCTCTCAACCTATGTCAGCTTTGCATTTGTTTTGGCATTGTCAAGATTTTTAAAAATGATCCTCTAAAGTTGAATATGCAGTATTAACATCATCATACAATGTTTACATAGTTGAGCCATTCAGTGGAGAATGTACTTAACATTAAATTCAGTTGGATGAGTTTTTTCTTTCTTTTTTTTTTTACAGCCCACTAACTGCATTCTGCACATTATTAAATTTTTGCACAAACCTGCACATCCTGCACATATACCCCAGAACTTAAAACAAAAAAATCAAATAAATAAAAAATTTTTCAAGTACTTAGTCATATTTCTTTTCTAGTTATTACACTTTTTTCTAGACAAATTCCTGAAGAACCCTCCATCTCTCTGCTCCAATTTTGACTGTTTTCCAAGTCTATACAATTGCCATTCTGGGACTTCCCTTAACTAATATTTGAAGGAATATATTCCTTCCTGAATCTCATGCTTTCCTCTTTTTTAAAATCAACTCTATTGAAATATAATTTACATACAACAATGTATCCACTTTAGCACAGTTCAACAAGTTTTGGCAAATATATAAAGCTGGCAAATGTCCACCACCCACAACATCACACAGAAAAATTCCCTTATGCACACTCGATTTCAATCCCTTGCACCTCCTGCAAGATAGAATTACTTCCTTTTACTACAGATTAGAGGTTCCTTTTCTATAATTTCATATAAATGCAATTATACCATGCATATTCTTGTGTGTCTGTCCTTTTCCACTTAGTATACTATCTTTGAGATCTAACTGTGTTGTTCCTGTATCAGTAGTTTGTCCAGTTATATGGCTGTATCACAATTTGTTTATCAATTTCACCTGTTAATGTTTCTACTTTAGGACTGTTATAATAATGCTCAATGAACAGTCATGTATAATTCTTTGTAATGACATAGGTTTGCGTTTATCTTGGTTAAAAAGCTAAAGTAGACTTGTGGGACTGCATTTTTTTTAATACAAAGCTGCCAAAACTGTTTTCCAAAGTAGTTGTACCATTTTACAACCCAGCTAGCAAATATGAGAGTTCTAATTGCTCTACCACCTTGCCAAAACTTGATATTGTCACTATTTTAATTGCAGCCATTCTATTGGGTATGTAATGGTAAGTCACAGCCATTTTTATTTTATATTTCCCTAATAATGAATGATGTTTATATGCTTTTATATGCTCATTGGTCATTTGTAGATCTCCTTTTGTGAAGTACCTGTTTAAAATTCTTTTGCTCATTTTTAATTGGGTTGATTATCTTATTATTGAGTTGTAAGAATTCTTCAGAATTCTTTTAAATATTTGAAGATATATCATTCCCTCATATTGCTGTCCTTTGTCAGATATATCTTTTTTTATATTGCTGGAATACATTCTAATGAAACTTCCTAAGAAAGGGTAAATACTACAGTCCTTGAATGTCTAAAAATCTATTTATTTTCTCTTACTCATATGTAAAATTTTGACTAAGTATAAAATTCTAAGTCCAGAAGTACTTTTTTTCTCAGAACTTTGAATGTTGTCTTCCAACATTAGGGTTAAGTACTAAGAAATATAATACCTTTCTGATTACTTTTTCCATTTTAGCTGACTAGCTGTTGTTGATTTTTCTTCTCCATCTTTGGAAACTTACAGGTTTGTCATTTTTCCTTGATGTTATGAAATTTTACCATTTTTTTTGTCCTCTTGGACTGCTTAAAATTACTGGCCTAAGCACTTAATGGTCCTGTCAACTTAATGACTAATGTTTTTCAGTAATGGTTAAGGGCATACACTCTGGCATCATACTACCACTGTACTGCCTTCAAGCCACAGGTAATTGTTTAAAACTTTTCTGATGAGAGAATTAAATTAGTTAATATATTTGTTAACCAGTAGGGCAACATATTATTATTGTTATTACAGGTTGAGTATTCGTTATCCAAAATGCTGATGACCAGACTGTTTTTGATTTGGGATCTTTTTTGAATCTGAGAATATTTGCATTATACTGGTTGAGCATCCCAAATTCAAAAATCCGAAATCTGAAATGCTCCAGTGAGCATTTTCTTTGAGCATGATGTCAGTGGTCAAAAAGTTTTGGATTTGGGAGCACTTCAGATTTCAGATTTTTTGTATTTGGGATGCACAATTTGCATTATTGGTTGTAATATTAGTATTATCAGTTGCAATGTGAGTATTATCAGTAATATTATTACCATTAGTAGTAATATTAATATCTCTTTGATAGTATTCTCTCATCATTTTCTCTTTCTAGAATACCAGTCACTAACATGCTGGACTTCTTAGGGTGACTTCCTCGATAATTCCATTGACTTTATCTTTCAACATTAACGTTAATATATTAATATAATACTCATGTTTTAATGTTTAAGGGCTCTTGTATTTCTGACTCTTTCTTTTCATTCCATTTTGTTCTTATTTTAAGAATATAATTCTCCTTGAATCTCTCTAAGAGTAAATATTAAATATTTGGGATTTGTTGTTTGTTTCCTTATTTATTTTTAATCTTCTTTTGTTTTATGAATTTTCTTTGTCCTCCAAAGTAATCTTTAAAATGTGTTTATTTTTGTACTTTTTCATTTTGCAAGCACTCATCAAATATATAGTGATTCTTGATTTTCTGTTTGTAGTTACTGTAACACTAGATTATTGATGGAGAGTTCTGAATATGTAAGCAGGAATTAATTGGTGCATTTGCTTTATGGATAACGGGGAGGGAGAGAGCTCTTATGCTAGAGAATCTCGAATGCCAGAATAATTAGGGCTCCATTTTGAAGTACCAGCATTAACTAATCATACTTATTATTTTTATTTCTTTTCAGAGTAGTTCCCTAATAGTTCTGCTTGTCAGTAAGTGCTGAGTTTGGGGTAATTCTTACATGAAAAGTGGAAAGATTTAAAGTCTCTCCTCCTATTTCTACCCTCCATGGTAATTGAGTCCAGAGGATCTCCAGACAGAGTAGGTCTCCCCTTCATGCACATTCTAGGTGTGACTTCCTCCTCTACACATCATTAAGCACCCCTTTTCCATGCACTTTCTGATTCTAGAAGTTAGTAATATGCAGACATTTTCCTTACATTCATTTCATTTTTATTTCAATGCGGTCACAAAAGGAAGCAACAATAAATATGTGATCTCACTATACTATCTTCTCCAGCACCTTTTGTTTGTTGTTCATGGGATACGGTGTTATTTATTTATTTTTAGTTTATTCCAAAATGTTCAAACTCAGCAAAAGCAGAAGAGCATAACAATCATATGTCTTTCTATTACATTCAAAGATGTAAAAATTGTCACAACTGCTCCATCTCCTCTGTACATAGCACATACTTCTCTTTTGTCAAAGCATTTAAAAGTAGTCAATATGTATCTTGACATTTCACCACTAAATACTTCAGAATGAATCCTCCCAAAATGAAGATTATTTTCCTATATAACTACAACACCAGCACCAATCCTAAGACATCATCATCAACCCAAATACATTATCCAACATTCTAAGCCATTATTACATTTTCCTAATTATCACAAAAATATCTTAATCAAATTTTATGTAATGCGAATGGCCATTATGAATCTTCAAATACCCCCAGCCTAAAACAGTATCCTGCCTCTCACTGTCCATTGTGAAATTTACTTCTTAAAGAGTCTGGGCTACTCTTCAAAAGTGCCTGCCACTATGGGTCCTGCTTCTCTTCCAGGAACCAGAACTAGAGGCAATTTACTACTCTTCTCCCTCCCGAAACCTTCCATTGCCTTTTTTTCCTCTTGTTTCTTTTGCTTTTCTTTTAAACTCCTCCAACTCTTTTCCTTCTAGATTCTTACAATAGCTTCTTTGCTCTAATGAGCCCAGTGATTCATGACTTTAATGATACAGGGAAAACAAGGATTGTTTTCCTCAAGCCATTTTATTTTTATCATCAAGCCATTCTTGACACTATATTACTAGCAGATATCCTGAAGCAACATCTTGTCATTCCTCCTTCTACGTCATTTCCTTTGTGCACACCCACCCATGTAAAGTGTTTTCTTATTAATAAATTAGAGACAAGCTCAGAATTCATACACACCCCGGTAAAAGTATGCATGCTTACACTCTAAACCATTTGTGGTTGCCACTTACCACATTATGCTTTAAAGAAACGTTCTCCTTTAGTATCTAATGTTTATTTGAATTACTGTATTTCAGGTTAATGTTTCTGAGAATTTCAGTGATCTAATAATTTAAACAGAACCCAGCGTAGATTTTTTGTTCAGTATCCTCAACTCAAAAAGAGATAAGAAAAAAAAATAGAAATCTCATGCAGCATTAGAAAACAGAAACCATTTATGAAATATAGCATACCTTCATGTAATAATAGTATTTCAGACGTTAAGCATAGGAAAATGAAATTTCCTACCCTGTAAATAAAATACACATCATAGATGAGATCCCAGTGAATCTGGAATCTCTTAACTGGCTGCTTAACTATTTAAATCAAATTTATAAGAAACAATGTTGGCTTCCTCCTTTTCTTCACTCAAAAATGAAAGCCAGTATTAACATGACTCTCAGAGAATTTTTGGAGATTTAATCTCAAAGTACAGGGGGAAAAAATAAGGCATGAAAAATGACTATGTTAAATACATTTCTGAGAAACTGGTGGCCAGATATAGCTATAAATTGTGATACTCTCTAGTTCATACATGCATTTTTAATTAGGAAAATGAAATATTTACGGCCTAACAGAAGTAATTTTATGACCATTAAGCCATTTCTCAAGGGAAATTTCCAGTAGGATAGTCAAATAATTCAATATTTTTTTCCCATTAACTATAGTAATACTTTTGCATCATTGTATCTCAGTAAAGCTTATCTTTTTATATTTACTTTCAAACCCAAATATTCAGTGATTATAAGGATTTGATGATGGAATTAGTTGCTTGTTATCTATATTAATTTGTAATATTTGCTTTTTCCTGTAAAAGAAAGTGGATAGTTACACAATATAGAATATAATGATAGCCTAAAGATGCACTGGCATTTGGATTCATCATTTATTCTAGTGGTCTGAAATTATCTTCTTAAGTAATAAAAAAGTACATGTCAATGATACCCAGGTTTATTTATTTTATCTATTCATCACAAGTAAACAGCAAGGCCAAGACATCAACAAGCAAAATGAAGTATAATTAGGGCAATAAGAAAATCTCTGCTTCTTATAAACAAGTATAACCTAGAGTCATCATGTCATCAGCTAATTGATTGGAGTTCAAGGCTTTGGTCTACAGAACCATACATTAACCAGTTCCATGCCTTTCTTCAGTCTTGTTTAGCTACAAGCTTTATCTTGCCTAGTTCTTGAGTTAATTACAATTCAGACAAGCAGGATGTACCAATCTGAGCCTGGAATGTGTCCATGGCACCTACACCTAGTCTACCTAATTGGCATCCGTCTCTGATGAAAGGCAAGGCCTCTTCTGGGGCTGCAGTCCTGGTTGAACTTCCAGTCACTTGCTTGACACCCTTACACACAACCACAACCTAGAAAAGCTTACTGTTTCTTATTTCGAGGATTCTTCATGGTTCTTATAGCAAGTGCTCTGTTCTGAACAAAACACCAGGAATGCAGCTACTTACCTCATTGCAACAGCCACCATTTCTTAGAAATTTTTGTAACTAGTTCTCACTGATTTTCTCCAATATGTATTTCAATATCTTTCCAGATTAGCTCTTTGAATATTTCTTTAGACTCTTTGCTTTTGGTGGAGATACAATCTGTGGCCACATTAGCATTCAAGCACATTCTATCCCCACTTTTCTCTTGCCCCTGCAGGAAGTCTGGCGACCATACCCCTCAACTTACAATGTTTGGAGCACTGTCTCTTGATTAACTTAAGGGTTGAGATACTTTTGAGAAAGAGCTATGTAGTCTCTTCACACCAGAAAACATGCACATATGCATAGGTGTTCAAGTCATGTTTCACATATGTTACAGGGAATTAACAGATTCCCTAATACTTTCTCATTTAAGAACTCCTGCTTTAAATTTTGAATTCTCTGAGGTTCCACTGTATTCAGGTTTTCAGGTGCACATGAACTTCTAATTCCAATTAGTTTAGATGTGTGAATGCAAGAAAACCCATACCCAAAAAATCTTATTTAATTTTGCTCCAAAATAAGCTTAAAAAGTAAATAAAATTTTAGAAGAGTCAAAACCCTACTTATAATACTTAATATATCAATTTAGTTACACACATATATTTAAAATTACATTTTTAGGCTGGGCATAGTGGCTCACGACCTGTAATCCCAGCACTTTGGGAGGTCAAGGCGGGCAGATCACTTGAGGTCAGGAGTTCTAGACCAGTCTAGCCAACATGGTGAAACCCCATCTCTACTAAAAATACAAAAATTAGCCGAGCATGGTGGTAGATGCCTGTAGTCCCAGCTACTCAGAAGGCTGAGGCAGGAGAATGGCTTGAAGCCAGGAAGTGGAGGTTGCAATGAGCCGAGATCAGGCCACTGCACTCCAGCCTGGGCAACAAAGTAAGATTCTGTCTCAAAAACAAACAAACAAAACAAACAAACAAATGAAAACCTATGTTTTTAAAAGAAAAGAGTTTGAAATATTGCTTTTTCGTACTCTTAGATTTCATGAAGCAATTGTGCTCAATTCTTCATGTTTCTCTTCTACATCATTCATGTGCATCTTCCATCATCACTGAGGCGTCTTGCTGAGTCATCTAACAGTTTTCAAGGGCATCTATTTTTCATTTCTTTCCAATCTTTCATAATACATTACTTTTAGTCCCTATATAATGGAAACTAAAACCCAAACTATAGACCAAAATATTATGCCTCATATTCATCCTCTAAATATATACATGTGGCCTCCATGATAATGTCTTTTAGATATTTTTAATACCTTTTAAAAATATATTTTAGTTTCTCTTTTAGACCAGCATTAAGATCACTTGTTTGCCTGTCTACTATGATATCAACATTTGCAATAGTAAGGTAATACTTCTAATAATAAAAAAAACTTATAGATGCATCAAATTCTTGAATGGAGAAATTGTTTTCTGGCTAATATATCTACTCTAAACTGTATTGTGATGTGCAAATGAAAGTAATTTTAAAAGAGCTCTGTAAGATTAGAAATTTATAATTACTTAAATATTTTGGAATTATCATTTTTCTGTACTATAATTGCTGTGGGGAAAACAAATTACATTAAGGTAGGTAAGATAAAACTTTATGTTTCTTTATAAAATTCAGTTAAAACTTCCCTATCTTTTCCCTATCTATATCCTTCCCTCCATTATTTTCCATAATGACATATACTTTCTCTTCTTTGTTGCTTCTTCCCCATCCCACCATTGCTTCCTTTCTTCTGCTCCTAGATAGTTCTGTTTTGTTTCTACTGAGATATTTCAAAATTCTATGAGCCAATAAGCTTTATTAGGATATTTATTTTTATTTTTGCTTCATTTTTATTGTTAAGATTTGCATTTCACTCTAGATATTTTTTTCCTGTGCCTCTTCCAAGAAGATAACTGGGCAAGAATATAATCTCAGTGGATGAAGACAGTATACCTTCTTTTAAAATAAACCTTGGCTCATTGATGATATTGTGCTGGGAGAGAGGAATTCAGAGGCAATGGCTGCATGGTAACCTGGGAAAGCTGGACCACAGCCCTAGGCCTCCCAGCCCTGGAGCAACATTTTTGTGTACAGGAATGAACAGGATGCCATGGAGTTGGCTGTTTTCAAGGGTTCATGAGGGGCTGGAATCAAAGTATCTCAGAGAAAGCTGAGACCAGAAGAACATCATCTGGTGCTGAAAACCAGAAGAACATCAATGAGTTCCTCACTGTATGTTAGACCCCTGGATCTTTGCTAAAGCCCAGGGAAAACAGCAGCCCCAGTAACTTCCCTGCAGCCCTGATGAACAAGAGCTTAGCATCGAATTTAATTTGGTTTAAAAAAATAAAGACATATTTTATTTTGTGTTCACCCAAGATTGTCAAGTTTTTACTATATTTATTTTCTTTATTTCCTTCTTTTTTCTGCCTAGAATATTAACTTCTGAACTTATGTCTTCATTTGCTATATCTCTTTTTAAAAATAAATAAATAAAAGCTCTAAAGTCTCATATTCCTTGAATTTTCATACACCATCTTTCTACATTATCTCTCCCTCAAAATTTGCTTAGAACTTTCCCCATAATCATGGGTTAAACCAGTATATATGTTAGATTCCAAATCTAAGTTTTACAGTGATTACATTGCAAAATACATTGTTGAATTAATAACATCATGTTTTCTGCTGATCTTCAAATTCTATTTTTAGTATCATAAAATAAAAAGCAGGGTATGTGGAAGCATAAACTTAGACAATACAACAAGGAAATTTCATTTTTGATTATTTTACGGTAGATGGCAGTGGCTGCAAAGTGGGTGGGAAGGACGTTCAAGAAAACGATACAGCTTATCAAAGCAATGCAATTGATCTGCCCTCCAGACTCACCTATCATACTTTCGCTGTAACTGATAAAACATATACTCTCTGATGACAGTTGTGTAGGGAGGATTTTATAGACATGGACACACTGATTTGCTTAATTGGATTGGTATTATTTTTATCAGTTTTATTTTTACATTTCTACATCAAGGTGAAATACTCTTGATAAATTTATTAAAGGAAGAAGTACATTTTATTTTTTGTGTATGTGTTTTCTTTTTTAATGTAATTTCAACTTTTGTTTTAGATTAAGGGGGTACATGTGCAGGTCCATTACATGAGTATATTGTGTGATGCTGAGGTTTGGAATATGAATGATCCCGTCTCCCAGATTGTGAGCATAGAAAACAACAGTTAGTTTTTCAACACTTACCCTGGTCCCACCCTCCTCTCTTTTAGTGTCCAGTGTCTATAGTTGTCATTTTTATGTCCATGAATACCCAATGTTCATCTCTCACTTATAAGTGAGAATATAAATATTTGGTTTTCCATTCCTGCATTAATTCACTTAGGATAATGGCCTCCAGCTGCATCCATATTGCTTGCTGCAAAGGACATGATTTCATTCTATTTTATGGCTGCAAAATATTGCATGGTGTATATGTGTCACATTTTCTTTATCTGATCCACTATATTGATAGGCACCTAGGTTGATCCCATGTATTTGCTATTGTGAGTAGTGTTGCAATGAACATATGAGTGTAAGTGGGTTTTTTTTTTTTTTTTGGTAGAATAATTTTTTTTTCTTTTGGATATATACCCAGTAATGAGATTACTGCGTCAAATGGTAGTTCTGCTTTAAATTCATTGAGAAATCTCCAAACCGCTTTCCATAGAAGTTGAATTAATTTACATTGCCACCAAATATGCATAAGTGTTCCCTTCTCTCAATAGCCTCACGAACATCTGTTATTTTTTGACTTTTTAATAATAGTCATTCCGACTAGTGTGAGATGGTATCTCGTCGTGGTTTTGATTTGCATTTCTCTGGTGATTAATGATGTGGAGCAATTTTTCATATGTTTGTTGACTGCTTGTGTGTCCTTTTGAGAAATATCTGTTCATGTCTGTTGCCCACTTTTTAATAGGGTCATTTGTTTTTTGCTTGTTCAGTTGCTTAAGTTCCTTAAAGATTCTGGATATTAGACTTTTGTCAGATGTATAGTTTGTGAGTACTTTCTCTTATTCTCTAGGTTGTCTGTTTACTCTGTTGATATAATAGTTTCTCTTGCTGAGCAGAAGCTCTTGAGTTTAATTAGGTCCTTCTTGTCAATTTTTGTTTTTGTTGCAGTTGCTTTTGAAGACTTAGTCATAAATTATTGCCAAAACCAATGTCCAGAATGGTGTTTCCAAGGTTTTCTTCTAGGATTATTATAGTTTGAGGTCTTACATTTAAATATTTAATCCATTTTGAGTTACTTTTTGTATATGGTGTAAGGAAGGAGTCCAGTTTCATTCTTCTGCATATGGCTAGCCAGCTATCCCAGCACCACTTATTGAATAAGAAGTCTTTTTCTCATTGCTTATTTTTGTTGATTTTGTTGAAGATCAGGTAGCTGAAGGTGTGCAGCTTTATTTCTGGGTTCTCTATTCTGTCCCATTGGTCTATGCATCTGTTTTTGTATCAGTACCATGCTGTTTGGGTTACTGTAGCCTTATAGTATAGTTTGAAGTCAGGTAATGTGATGCCTCTGGCTCTGTCCTTTATGTTTAGGATGCTACTTGGGCTCTTTTTTGGTTCCATACAAGTTTTAGAATGGTTTTATTCTAATTCTGTAAAAAAAATGACATTAGTAGTTTGATAGGAATATCATCGAATTGATAAATTCCTTTGGGCAGTGTGACCATTTTAGCGATATTGATTCTTCCAAACCATAAACATAGGATGTTTTCCATTTGTTTATGTCATCTCTGATTTCTTCAGCAGTGTTTTGTATTTCTCCTTGAGGAGAGATCTTTCACCTCCTTGGTTAGATGTATTCTTAGGTATCTGTGTGTGTGTGTGTGTGTGTGTGTGTCTGCGTGTGTATTTGAGTGTCTATCGTAAATGAGAATACATTCTTGATTTGGCTCTCAGCTTGAACGTTATTGGTATATAGAAATGCGACTGATTTTTCTAGATTTATTTTGTATCCTGAAACTTGACTGAAGTTGTTTATCAATTCAAAGAGCTTTTTGGTAGAATCTAGGGTTTTCCACGTATAAAATTATATTGTCAATGAAGAGAGATATTTTGACTTATTTTCCTGTTTGAATGCCTTTTATTTCTTTCTCTTGCCTGATTGCTCTGTCTAGCACTTTCAGAACTATGTTAAATAAGAATGACAAGAGCAGGCATCCTTGTCTTGTCATAGTTCTCAAGGGGAATGGGAAGCTCATTTTTAATGTCTTATTCTAAGACTTTTGGTACAATGCAAAGTCAGCTTGCAGGTCCAGCCCTCTTTAAACATAGCAACTTTTTAAAAATGTTTTTTTAATTGAACATTTTGCAGTTTTTAACATTTAAAAACAAGGGGTGTCAGATAAAAATCTAGATATCTGGCTTATTTTGACAAAAGAAGGATCATTTCTGGTGCCATTGCTAAACCTGTCAGGGGTGTGTAAACCAGAGCAATTCCATCTTGAACAGGAGCTGGGTAAAATGAGGCTGAGACCAACAGGGCTGCATTCGCAGACAGTTAAGGTATTCTAAGTCACAGGATGAGATATGAGGTCAGCACAAGATACAGGTCATAAAGACCTTGCTGATAAAACCAGTTCCAGTAAAGAAGCTAGCTAAAACCCACTAAAACCAAGATGGTGACAAGAGTGACCTCTGGTCGCCCTCACTGCTACACTGCCACCAGCGCCATGACAGTTTACCAATGCCGTGGCAACATCAGGAAGTTACCCTATATGGTCTAAAAAGGGGAGGCATGAATAATCCACCCCTTGTTTAGCAAATAATCAAGAAATAACCATAAAAATGGGCAACCAGCGGTTTTCGGGGCTGTTCTGTCAATGGAGTAGCCATTCTCTTATTCCTCTACTTTCTTAATAAACTTGCTTTCACTTTACTCCATGGACTTGCCCTGAATTCTTTCTTGTGCGTGACCAAGAACCCTCTCCTGGGATCTGGACTGGGGACCCCTTTCCTGTAACAGACCCACTTTCCTTAGCTTCTTCATTTTCCCCACATGCCAATAATCTGCTAGAGCTGCCCTTTTTATGACTGCTTCCTTAATGTTATCCTTGGTCTCTCGAAATCATTGTACTTGACCCACTTCCCTCAGAGTAACCTGCATGGCTCCCAAAGATATTTGAGTTTGAGAATCTGGCTTAAATATTTTTTGAACAATCACAAATGGACTGGAGTTCTGACACTTTATAAGATTCTATCATAATTTATACCAAATGATACGAACCCATGTAGTTTGCTGTTTTTAAAGTAGCACTACAGAGAGCAAAATAAGTACTAAATACATCTATTTAAAATTACATCTAATATGTCTTTGTACCAATAATTGAGTAGTAACATGCCCTCTTGCTCAAAAATAAATCTCAGTGTTAGACGTGGGTGGATACTTAATCTAACTTTTTTGCCTGCTATATTTCACATTCTTTCCCTGGGAGTAATGTGCAACCATATGCCCAAGTAATAAATAATATGATAGGAAACAAATATCTATATTATGACAAAATGACAGTCACTAATGCTAATGGGATTTTATAACACAATACACAGGAAAGAGAGAGTGATCCGGCCCCTGAGGTAAAGCCTTAAAGGAATTCATTTTCCTATCACCACTGAGAATACTTTCTATCATGGAATGAAAGGCACTAAAATAAATTGGCAAAATGAAACCTCTCTGCATATGGTGTTTACTCAGAAGGGTGAGGTGCCAAAGAGACTGTCAGCCACAGCAAGTTGGACCTTTACTGCCACGATGTCATTTAAAGAGCTGCCCTGACAAAGCCTCAGCCTTCTGCGTCCATTAGACTCAGTGTGAAAGGTCTCCATTCACTTGCCAGCTGGCGTAGTAGACCATCGTCTAAAGATGTGAACGGTTACAGCCCTGGCCTCGCTGCAACTGGAAACCAAAGAGACGATTAATTATGGATGGAATGCAGCCAGGCAAGGCTGCAATTGTAATCAAATGAGACCACACTGAGGAAAAATAACATTTTATCCTGCACTTGGTAACTCACAGATAGATTTATGACTATACTGCCAGTTGGAGATAAAGTAAAAATCAATCATATTATTCATATGAGTAACATAAGCAAGTACTAGCAAAACAAAAAATATGTTTCCTACGATTGTGTTGCAGATACTTCATTTATATCCAGCTTTATTCAGCAGAATCACACATCCACAACTTTTTTTTCTTTTAATGAAAGCTGAGAAATAAACTATCCACTGGAACTGTAATGAAGAGATCTGCGAACTTTCTGCATTCAAAGCCTTCATTGCAAAAATATATTACAATATTTCCTGTTTTATTGCCTTGCTCATATTTTATTACAACTCTATTGCATATCGAAATGTGCAGCCTAGAAGCTACAGGATATCCACAGTCAACAAATAGAACAGCTTGTTCATTATGTCCATGAATAGTCAAAAAGTTAAAAAGAATGCTAATTCTATGCAGTAAAAAGCTTAAAAACGTATGTTTCTTTTAAAGCACAATTGGAATGTCAAACTAGTTCTGTAAAAGAAGGAGCATCATTAGCTTCACATTCCCCAAAAGAGCTGGTCATTGTTTGGAAGATTCATTTGTCAAACTAAATAGAGAAACTGCAATCATAGATTACAGGTTAATGGGGATGGATGCATGTCTCATGGACTAGAATCAGTTACTATCTAGCCAAGTCCTACTTCACTTAAAAAAAGAAAGAGAAGCCATCAGGTGGTGTTGCACTTGTGGTATGCACTTATCCATTAGGAGCAAAACTGACATGTTCTTTTTTAAAGTCCCTTAAAATGTGGCTGTGTTATGTAGAAGTTCAAGTAACTTTGGCAATTAAAATGACAACGTATACATATTTAACCCAAAGATATGTAAAGTACCTGGAGTACTAAGACCTTCAAATCAACAGCCTAGGAGATTCTACATAGAAACAGGAGTGTGTCTGCCCAAATCTTCAATTTCACTTTATTTTCTACCTCTTTCTATCCTTTGCCAAACAATCTGTTTGATAAGTTGGGTGAACTGGAGGGGAGCCAGGGAATTCCAGCAAAAGAAGACGGGATCTGGGAGGACCTGTGGCAGAATGCCACAGCAGGCTCAACTATTTATTCCACAATACTCTGTTCAAACACTCACCACCCTCCTTACCCTACCAACCTCCAGCAGCAAAAGCCCGTTTATCCAGGTGACTGCAACTTCTAGAAAGTCACATTTAATAATTGTGAATTGTTTAACCACCAAGAGATCTTCACAAGAAGTGCTATGTTAGGCATGGTGATGGGAAGGGGCATGGATAGATGGTTTAAAAAATAACAACCGACAGACAAGCCAAAAGCAAGGCAATTTGCTTTGTAGGTGTCTCAACATTTCTCACTCTGGAGAGGGCTGCAACTTTGCGCGTAGCTTCTAATGAAAAGTAAGCAATAAATATTGATATAACAACAAGGGTTTCTTGCAAAGAAGTCTTTGTTGGTTTAGTGTAACACAATTGATTTGGCCTTTCTTGGTTCCCTTGTTTCTCAGAATGAAGCAATTAAACACATTTGTTCACTTTAAATGTTGTGTTTTGCTTGGTTCATTTGAATTCAGGATGGATTAACAAGGACACCATAAAGAATTCTAGAAAGCAGATGCCCCAGAGATAGATGAGAAGGAGCACCATCCACAGAATACCTACTAAATATAAATATTAGGGCGCCTATTACCAATTATCTTGCAGAACCTCCCTGCCTGTGTAAGTGAGGCCCACTTGAAGGTGAATATTCACATAAATGTAAACAAAGCATCAAATTGTTTTCTTGTAAAGTGAATTCCTTCTTTCTGTGTAACAGAATGACAGAACATTTGGATCCAGTTACTCTACATTTTTTCCTAATGTGAAAAGCAAGACTGAGAAACAATTTTCAAACTCCTGAAGAATATGTATGAGTGAGTATGTGTGTAAAAATATGATGAGAGGAAAAAAAATAAAACCATTATGCTAGAATGTGGTCTCTCAATTTCTGTCATAATTCAGCAGTCTGTTTTGCTTTTTGCAGAAAATCTCTTCATCTTTCCTCAGATTGGGTTTAGTCCTCAACCACTATATGTTTCCTACCTGGGTCTATATATACATTTTCTTTAGAATCCCAGAACCTGTCACCTCCCTAGAGGCTTCTTCTGCCCCAGGTAGAATTAAATAGCTCACTTATCTGCTTGTGACCCTATACTGGAATTATATTATAATTGCATTAATGTCATTGAATATTTAGCTATTTTGGTGCATAGTGGGTGCCCCTCCCCTAGGCTTTCACCCATCCCACTACCTCCTACCCACAAATATTCTAAATTCCACGGAGACTTATTTGAGACCAGCAAGCACATCTTATCTGCCTTGGGATCTGAAGTACTGTGTGTGGAGCCTGACACCTAATAGGTTCCCAATATAGTTTGTCAAACTCAATCAAATGTTGAGAGTTTAAAATATATCAGAAGAAAAATTCCTATGTATATATAACCCCTTTTAAATTATGTTGTTCCATCTCAGAAAATATATCTCAGAACATATTCTTCTTTTGAGGTTTTTTTTTTTTTTTTTTAGAGAAGGGGTCTCACTCTGTTGTCTAGGCTAGAGTGCAGTGGCTCCATTACAGTCACTGCAGCCGCTAATTCACGGGCTCAAGTGATCCTCCTGCCTCAGCCTCTTGAGTAAGTGGGACTACAGGCATGTGCCATTGAAACTTGTTTTAATTTATCTACCCTTACTGTTCCTTCAGCATAGTTTTATAAAAACTGCTATCACATAAGGGGTCTCTAAATGATTAAAATTCATTCATAGCTAACTCTAGTATCTGGAAACTATCTGGGGAAGTCTGATTTTCAAATCAATAGCCTAAAAATTTTACATAGAAACTCTAGTCTGTTTTCTGCTCAAACCTGCTGTACTACCCAACTTCTTCTACTCCTTTCTGTCAATTCCTGAGCTATCTGTATATGTAAGTGGGGTGATCAGAGAGATGTCAGGAGAGTCCAGGTGAAAGAAGAGGAAACTACAGTGTACTGCTATACTGTACTAAGAGCTTTGTCTTTAGTGCTCTCTTTAGTTAATACCAAAGTGTAAGTATTAGTATCCCTGTTTTACCCATAAGGAAACTTGAGTCTCAGGGATTTTTTTCAGCCACAGAAGCTATTAAGCAGAAGGCTCACAATTAAAACATTTCATTTTTTTTTTCTGATTTTAAGGACTGGGTGAATCCATGATTTCACACACAACTAAACTGTCTTTAGCTAGCATATTTTTATTGCATTGCTCTTCTTTTCGTTAGTCGATGAAAAGTATTTTTGGTTTCATTTAAGTACTTATTGAGTCCCCATGTAATGGAAACACAATATCTGATGCTTGTAACATGTCTTTTAAAACCCGCATAATGACCTAATCTCCAGAAACACATTACAGAAAAGTTCAACTACTATTATGTGCTTTGCTTTTCTACTAAAGGTATTTCAGAATGAAAATCCCAGGAGCAGAGAAGAATATCTCTTATAAATATACATTTAGGTCCCCAGCTGTGATTTGATTCCTGATTTAATATTGTACATAAAAAGTGATTCAGATCAGTATAGTCTATTTTAAATCATTCATTTTGAAAGTTAGCATAGTAATATTTGCAGCTTGATATACTAAAACAACATGTTTATTTTCTCACTAGTACATAATCATAGAGAACAATTTATAGAAAGATTTTTATATATTCTGTTTATATAACAAAGTATAATAGACTAAATAGACTAAAGGACGCATCATACATGTGCCCTTATTATAGCTGCACAGATGATTAAAAAGAGCAAGTCTCTTTGTTTTTAGCTGGACCTACAGTACCCTTAAATTTTGAGCTGAAAAAGCAAACTCTTTGCCTGTGCCTTGGCCTCTTACTCTTACTCTTACCTCTTACTCTTTCCACGTAATATTTCTCTTTCCTGGAATACTCTTTTCTACCTTCTTACCATCATCATCTGGCTACTTCTTCCTGGCTTTTTCACTCAACTTGAAGCAAGCTTCTTCCCAGGGGTTCTTAACTTGGGATCTACAGATAGAATTTTAGTTCCTTTTTCTTTTTATATTGCTATGCATTTTATTTCTTTTCTTTTTTTTTTTTTTTTTTTTGAGACGGAGTCTTACTCTGTCGCCCAGGCTGGAGTGCAGTGGCGCGATCTCAGCTCACTACAAGCTCCGCCTCCCGGGTTCACGCCATTCTCCTGCCTCAGCCTCCCGAGTAGCTGGGACTACAGGCGCCCGCCACCGCACCCGGCTAATTTTTTGTATTTTTAGTAGAGACGGGGTTTCACTGTATTAGCCAGGATGGTCTCTATCTCCTGACCTCGTGATCCGCCTGTCTCGGCCTCCCAAAGTGCTGGGATTACAGGCTTGAGCCACCGTGCCCGGCCTTCAAAGTGGTACTCTTAGCTATTTTTTGCTGCCCAGTAGCTCCATTTGACAGTTATAGATGAATGAAATGGACTGTTATGATTAAACATTATTTGATAGAAAAAATCTCTCAAATACTAGATTTAATGAAGACAGCACTTTATATTGTGATGAACAGATTAAAGACCCCAAAGATGTTCTGCCTGACTACCTATTATTGCATCTCTCTACTTCCAAACTGCAGGTTCTCTCCCACTTCAGGCCATTCCTGGTCCTGGAAAGGATGTATATAAGAAGCCAAATTTGTAGAGTCCAATTCTTGGTGACCACTGGTTTCCCAATGACTGAATGAGGATGAGAACCCAGATCTGCCTCCTCTATAGCTAATGATTTTCCTGCCTAGAATAGGGGTTTGGCTGCTGGGAAAATAGAAGTCATCAAAAGCAGATGGTTGTAAAACCATCTTGATGCCAATCAGTGCAGTGATTCTCAAGCATCTGATTTGGGCCTGGATCTTCTTCAAAAAATTTCCTTGTGATTATGTCACCTCCTGGCCCAAAAATTTATTATGAAATGAAAAAGTTGCTGGAGGCAGAGAACCTACTTCAGTGCTGGACACACAGTAGGATCCCTGTTAAATGTTGCTCTCTTCCTTTAACTTTTACCTAAACTACGATTGGCCTTAATTTCCAGATAGCATACTTGCAAAACGATAGGATGGGTTGCCTGACACTTCCACATATTACCAGTTTAAATGTTAGTTTTTTCCTAAACCTCTTCATGATTATTTTCAAACAGTTTTTGTTCACTCTTTTCTAGTCCCTAATTTCATTGACTCTAACTCACCATCAAACATCAGACATATCCTTATTGTGTGTACAAAGTAAACTACCACTTGAAGTAGAACAAGTCGATTATAAGTTGCATCCCAGTTAAAACATGTAAAAATGTGAGAGATGTGCTTCTTAGACTCATGTTAATGTTGTGTCTATGGTACTCATCTGCAGAATTAATCTCTCCTTTTACCTGAGAAGGGTAGCCTCCCAGGCACTTCCAGCAACCCTGCCTCCCAGCTGCTGGGTAAAGCAATTTGTAGCCCAAAGATAGTCTTGGAAGAGGGCTGCTGGTAACAGCTGTTAGTGGCAAAACTATGAGTAAAGGAGCTGAGCAACGGGTGTTTATACCCAGTAAAGGAGATCCAGAGCCTCTGGGGGGAGCCTCAAAAGTATCCACTACTGGACATATTTGATATATGACTAAAACAGGGAGGCTAGTTTTAATGTGTGGGCTTTGGAATCAGATTTATCCCATCATCACCACATTTCATGCATCTAGGATAAACAAGTATATTTTGATCTAGAACAAAGATCATTTCATGAATTCCCAGAGAATTTTTCAATAACTTGTTTTAGTAGTTTGTATTAACACATCAACTGTATGTAACTTATTGCAATGTTTGCAAATTAATGTTAACTTTTGTATTCATAATTAAAGTACATCTTTAATGAACATTATAGAAGTATTCAGATTACATCTAGAATAATCGATTTTGTTGTCTTGCTATAGTTCCAGATGCAATAACCTGCCTTGCTCCTACAGACTAGCTGGACAATTTATGCCACAGAGCTCAAATCTGAGTAACCATTAAAATTCTGAGAATCTGCTATGAATATTTTTAAACTTGAAGGATGTAGAAGTTATTTCTGTTCGTTACTAAAAGATGCATGGGATTTGGCATTAGAGCCTCTATTATTAAAGATTGTCTTTTCTAGAATGGTATTGCTGGATATACCTATAACCCACTCGCCTTAGAGCAGGATGTAGCAAGACTAAAAACAGAAAAATGTGTGGAGTTAGTTCCAAAGACACATAGTTATATTGGATCCAAGAGACAAAGGAAGAATCAAGAAGCAAATCCAAGATCAGTCACGGTGTCAGGCTAGAAGATGCCAACTAATGAATGGATATGTAAGTCCCTGAGTTAATGAAAACCAGATAAAAGCCAACGGCAAATGAAGAAACAGGAAATGGGGGTACAAGGAGAACATGGACCTTAATTCTAGCAAAGAGCACCTTGCTGGCCTACAGTTCCTTTAAAAATGTTAAGGACACACATACTCAGTTATAGGAAGGCAGGAAAAGAATTGGAAGGCGCTGCCTGTGCTAGGATATGACAATCTTCATACTGGATTGGAGCACCACATTGTTTCATGTGAAGTTTGTATTTCTCTTATCTATAAAACATGGTGATTCAGGATCCTATCAGTGCAATTTTACAGAAACACACTCAACCTGGTATGCAAGAGCCACAGCCAATTTCCCTGAGGAATCTCCAATTAAAGAGTTAAGCCCTATTTAAACTTTGACTTCCCGTGGTTTTTCTTTAGCTTAATACCGTTATTAAACATCATCTATTGAATAGCCCAGGGAAGAATTTTCAAAAAGCATTAAGGAGAATGTAGGCCATTGTCATCTCAGTTTCTCAATGATTCAATTATTTGACATTTGCTTATGCCCTTTGAATGACAACAGTCATGTCAGCTGCTGGTTGAAGGGGAATTTTCCAGCAGCACTTAAATAGACTGTTTATATTCATTAGCTATTTGTTAGAATTCACTCTGAACAGACGTGGAGGCTGTCATTCATTGAATTCTAGAATAGTCCTATTCCTGTTTTGTGGTTTTAACGTCTGCTAAGCTATTTCTTTTTTGGTTAATTCCTTTGACATTTAAATTTTTAATTGATATTATCAACATGCTTTAACACATCAGTCTAAGTTTAATGTTTCTATATTTTCAATCCTAAATTTATAACTACCAAATATTTGCAACCCATTTTTACTATGCATTCTAGTTTAAGAAGACAAATCAAATGAATGCCAGGCAAATTGCTTAACTAGGATTAATATCAAATTTGAATGACTTCGTTGATGTGGTACAGAAGTTGTTTATAATCTTTCCTTTGCATGTAAAACAGCAAACTCTCAGACATAACACTTGAACACTAGGACGGGATAGTTACTTAATAATTTCCCTGTATAACATATGACATTTGCAATTTTTAAAAAATGTAACACAATCTATATTGAGTGATTTTTTTATCATTTAGATGATATATTGGCCGGACACAGTGGCTCACACTTGTAATCCCTGCACTTTGGGAGGCTGAGACAGGAGGATCACAAGGTCAGGAGTTCGAAACCAGCTTGAACAACATGGTGAAACCCTGTCTCTACTAAAAATACAAAAAAAATTAGCTGGGCGTGGTGGTGCATGCCTGTAATCCCAGCTACTCAGGAGGCTGAGGCAGGAGAATCACTTGAACCCAGGAGGCAGAGGTTGCAGTGAGCCAAGATCGCGCCATTGCACTCCAGCCTGGGCAACAGAGCGAGACTCCATCTCAAAAAAAAAAAAAAATAGATGATATATCTTCTATCACTGCACAGAAAAAAATGCAGCAGTGACTAATAATAGAGATTTCTACTAAAAGCATGAAAGTTAACATAGAGTTTTCTATATAGAGTTGTGTGGATTGCAGTCTTCAAAAAGGTAGTCTCCCATCTTTGGAGGATCCACTGATGTTAAGGTTGAGTCTGACTCAAACAAATAAAAAACTAATTGGAAAATAAAGAAAAATATATTTCCAATACCATGGGGAAGCATATTAATCACACAATTCCCTACAAGAATTCCTAGTCCATAAACCTCAATATTACTTTAGAGAACTCCTTCCCAACCCTTCACTCCATTTACAATTGTATTCACGTTCTTAAATATAAAGATACATTTGCAAATGTGTCAATTTTAAATATTGTTCTGACTATATTATGTATGCAATAAATGAATTAGGTATTTTGTTCAGATAGTTTTCCATGGCATATAATCAATACATGTCTTCTTGTTTCTAAACATAATATCTATTATTTATTGTGTGTTTATTATATTTAGGGATTTGCTAGGTGTGTACTGTCCTTCCAAATTCTTTCCCAATTCAGAGTCTTTGTGGTTTTCTCAGCCTCGGATGCTGTTCCTCAACTATGATTAGCTGTCTCTGACTGAATAACTCCCTGCAAGTTTTAGCCTTTCTTAACAACTTATCAAAAAGTAGAACTCTCAACCCTGTCTGTAACTGTCACATCAACATTTTTATTTCTTTCAAAGCACGCTTCCAAATCTATAATTAGTTTACCTATATATTTATTTTTAGAAGGAGTCTGGCTCTGTCGCCCAGGCTGGAGTGCAGTGGCATGATCTCGGCTCACTGCAACCTCCGCCTCCCGGATTCAAGCGATTCTTTTGTCTCAGCCTCCGGAGTAGCTGGGATTACAGGTGCCCACCACTGCACCCGGATAATTTTTGTATTTTTAGTAGAGAGGGGGTTTCGAAGTTTACTCATTTATTTGTTAACTTATTTATGTCTATCTTCCCATACATACAACAGATATATTATAAGAGCAGAAACTTTGTCTTAAACACCTCTGAACTCTGAACCCCTTACCCTGGTACACAATAAATGCTCAGAAAATATAGATTGAGCAAATGTGTGAATGTTTTGTAAACATTATCTCATTTAATCCTCCAAACAATCCCACATGATCATCTCAAAGGAATGAGGCTCAAAGTGGTTAAGAATCTTGTTTGAGGTCAGGTGAGCAGTCAGGCTAAAGCCATACCCTAAATCTTTATAATCTTTATGGAGTTTTTTGTTTGTTTTTTGTTTTCGCTTCTTGTACTAATTTCACTTAACAGTATTACCACTTTCCCAGCACTTGCATTAGAAATTTGAAATCCACTCCAGTCCTTCCTCTTTTTTATACCCTGCCGAAACAATTGGTTACCAAGCTCATCTATCTTCCAGATCTCCTTATCCCTTCCATGTTGTCTATACCACTGTAGTTTTGACCCTCACTATAGGGAGTCAATATTGCCTCTTTGCCCCGTAACTGGTCTCCCTTCTATTACGGACTTCCTCTGCCCCTAACACTTAAATTAGGACAATGGTACAGATTTAGCCCTTCTTTCACTGAGATAACTCACTGGGTTCCCTATCTTTAGCATAAAATTCCCACTTGTTAACTTCACATAAAGGCATTTGAGGACCTGGCTTCTGCCTTCTTCAAGCTCATGCCCATTACTCCTTACATTAAACCCAATGTTCAGTGCCTGAAACATTGGCATTCTTCCATGTTCCTGTGTTTTTACATATGTTTCCTCTCTCTGAATGTGTTTCCCTGCTTGAATGCCTTATTCACATCTAATCATCCTTCAAGACTGAGAACAGGCCGGGTGCGGTGGCTCACACCTGTAATCCTAGCACTTTGGGAGGCCGAGCCAGGTGAATCATGAGGTCAGGAGGTCGAGACCAACCTGGCTAACAAGGTGAAACCCTGTCTCTAATAAAAATACAAAAAATTAGCTGGGTGTGGTGGCATGTGCCTGTAGTCGCAGCTACTCGGGCGGCTGAGGCAGGAGAATCACTTGAACCTGGGAGGCAGACGTTGCAGTGAACCGAGATCACGCCACTGCACTCCAGCCTGGGTGACAGAGCGAGACTCCATGTCACAAACAAACAACAACAACAACAACAACAAAAACGCTGAGAACAAACATTTCTCTGTGAAGGCCTTACCTGATCTAACCCCCATATGACAGGCACCACTGAGCTGAGTCACATGCCCCTGCTCTGGACACCCATAAAACCCATGACAGTCCTCAACATTATGAGATATTACAGAGTACAGTAACCACATTTTGTTGTCTGTGTTTTTCTTTAGTTTTGTATCATCTTTTTTTAAAGTCAGCAGCCCTTTATGGACTCCTTGAGGGCACATTCCTGGCATAGTACTTGGTATATTATTCAGAAGTTATTGTTGAAAGAATGCATCGAAGAGTGGATATGTTTCTGAATATGATTACAATTAAGCTCAATAACGAAAAGAAAGTGAAATATTATTGCGGGATGTCAGGGACCCCAAACAGAGGGACTGGCTGAAGCCATGGCAGAAGAACGTGGATTATGAAGATTTCATGGACATTTATTTGTTTTCCAAATTAATATTTTTATAATTTCTTATGCCTGTCTTTACTGCAGTCTCTAAACATAAATTGTGAAGATTTCATGGACACTTATCACTTCCCCAATCAATACCCTTGTGATTTCCTATGCCTGTCTTTAATCTCTTAATCTTGTCAGCTGAGGAGGATGTATGTCGCCTCAGGACCCTGTGATAATTGCGTTAACTGCACAAATTGTAGAGCATGTGTGTTTGAACAATATGAAATCTGGGCACCTTGAAAAAAAGAACAGGATAACAGCAATTGTTCAGGGAATAAGAGAGATAACCTTAAACTCTGACCACCGGTGAGCCGGGCAGAACAGAGCCATATTTCTCTTCTTTCAAAGGCAAATGGGAGAAATATCACTGAATTCTTTTTCTCAGCAAGGAACATCCCTGAGAAAGAGAATATGCCCCTGAGGGTGGGTCTATAAATGGCCCCCTTGGGTGTGGCCGTCTTCTATGGTAGAGACTGTAGGGGTGAAATAAACCCCAGTCTCCCACAGCACTCCCAGGCTTATTAGGAAGAGGAAATTCCTGCCTAATAAATTTTGGTCAGACCTGTTGCTCTCAAAACCCTGTCTCCTAATAAGATGTTATCAATGACAATGGTGCCCGAAACTTCATTAGCAATTTTAATTTTGCCCCGGTCCTGTGGTCCTGTGATCTCGCCCTGCCTCCATTTGCCTTGTGATATTCTATTACCTTGTGAAGTACGGATCTTTGTGACCCACACCCTATTTGTACACTCCCTCCCCTTTTGAAAGTCCCAATAAAAACTTGCTGGTTTTGTGGCTTGTGGGGCATCACGGAACCTACTGACATGTGATGTCTCCCCCGGATGCCCAGCCTTAAAATTTCTCTCTTTTGTACTCTGTCCCTTTATTTCTCAAACCGGCCGATGCTTAGGGAAAATAGAAAAGAACCTATGTGACTATCGGGGCAGGTTCCTCGATAAAATATGAACTGTATGATGAAGTTATTAAATAGTGTCAATAGTTTTGCCTAGGAAGCAGAGAGTACTCTGTTTCTGACTGTGATGCTGGACTCTTGAGGGAGATGGTGAATGCTCTTCACTACACCCATCCAGCCCCCAAAGTGCCTTAAAAATACTGTGCTTAGTGCCATAGAAGATACAAGAATAAATAAGACAGCGTGCTGTACAGGATTTTGCAAACCAACAGGAGACACATCATTCTCCGAAGGACTTTATATGAACCCCCTGACTTCCTTTTACCCAAGATATATGATCCATACATTTACCGAAAATCATTTGACCTGGTCTTTATTTTCAGCTAGCAAATTGCCTTGAAATGCCTAATTGTCTCTAATCACTGATTCCATTTATTTATCCTAAAACTCTCTTCTTGAGGCCTATTTTAAGGATTTTATAATTTGAAAAACACCTCCATATTCATAAATTCAGTGGCTACTTAAATGTATGCTTTAACTTTTAAAAATTGTATTGTAATAAACCTCTGGGTTTGAGCCTTCCAGAGAAATAACTCTTCATTTACACTCATCAAATCCTATTTTGCAGATTTCAGAGATGCATAATGCTATATATAATTTTCAAACGGGGATTCCTAGAGAGCAAGGGCAGCTGCAAGCTGGCTGAACTGCTCAGGGGACACAGAACTGCAAATAAAAAGCAAGGTGAAATTTTTTTCTCATAGGCCTTGAAGAATTATTTTGTTTTGCCTTTGTCCAAGTTTCCATGGAAACTCCTCTCCTGGAAATGTGCAATTGTTCAGAGCCCTTGTCCTGAATGTAAGCAGAACATAAACCTGGAGCTGTAATCTATTTTAGTGCTGCCATGAGTTGCAGAAATCAAGGAATAATTGTTATATTCATAAAGAAGTTTGTCAACATGAAAATGAGCATAATGAGCAAACACTGAGTTAGATGGTACCTTTAATCTTCCTTCTGCCTTTAGGCAAATATAATATAGGGATATATAGTTTCTTATTGTATATGTGAAATAGTGAACAGTACAATAGTAGTGAGATGCAACTGTACCAATAATCAGTCTAAATCTTTACTTTATCCTAACAATTTAGGTGAAAGTAAAAGACAAGTTTGCAAAATAATATAAGCAGACCAAGAAATTACTGTTTCATCTACAAGAAACAACTCAGGAGCCGGGCGCGGTGGCTCACGCCTGTAATCCCAGCACTTTGGGAGGCCGAGGCAGGTGGATCACAAGGTCAGGGGATCGAGACCATCCTGGCTAACACGGTAAGACCCGCTCTCTACTAAAGATACAAAAAAATTTACCAGGCATGATGGCACACGCCTGCAGTCCCAGCTACTTGGGAGGCTGAGGCAGGAGAATGGCGTGAACCCGCTAGGCTTGCAGTGAGCCGAAATCGCGCCACTGCACTCCAGCCTGGGCAACAATGCGAGACTCCGTCTCAAAAAAAAAAAAAAGAAAAAGAAACAACTCAGGGAAAACTCCACTTTAAATACAGATATAAGTAACAGGGATTATGCTTTTTAGTTTAGAAGGAGTTTAGTGTTGATTAAGAAGGCTCATGCCACATATGAGTAGCATCTAGGAAGTGTTATGAACGCACTATGCCAGTAATATCGTGTATCATAAGAGAGGTACAGAAATTCTCAAAACTCACAGAGGAACAGAGTAAGGAAAAGAAAACCTTCAGGTTTCTGGGTGGGAGAAGAAAAAGAACAATGCTTATAATAGCTTACGATAGCGTAGTATACACGAGGTACTGCTCTGGTTTCCACCGGTCAGCATCGCTGAAGGATGTGCTAGAGTGGGAGACAGCATGGTAAACAGGAGAAGCGTGGTCCTTTCTCTCAGGAAGCATATCTCCCTGCAGAAGGCAGAGGAGACAAACAGTAAAGGGTTAATTTTATAATTATTGAATTTCAAACTGTAAAATGTGCTATAAAAAGAGGCAAATGATTCTATGAGAGAATGTAAGGAAGGAATCTAACCTTACATACATTATATCTTTTGTTCTCACGTGAGCCCTTGCATTAGATGCTGTACTCCTAGTTTTCAGATGACAGAGGCATAGAAGAAATAAGATATTTCTCCCAAAGTCAATCAGGAACTAAATATTAGACCTAAGTGTTGGTCCAGGGTCCGTGTTTATGGTCTCTTTCCTATGCAATATGATTTGTGAAGTAGCTATCTCAATTTTATTCTAAATTCTGAATTTAAGAATCAGAGAGAGCTAGAATATATTTGTCAGGAGATACTAGAATTTTTGTGGCGTCTAGATTGCTCTGAATTATTTTTTTCATAAGCACTGAGGGATTCTCTCTTAAGAAATCCTTTGGAACTGGCTTTTCTATCATAATGACTCATTCAAATATTTGTGAATTTGCCCGTCTGAAACATAGATACATTCCTGGTAAGGACTCTCAAAGCCAACCAAATGTCTGGGCTGGGATCTCAGCACGTTGATGTCACTAAACTAGTGTGTACATCTGGAGGCTAAGGGTGCTGCACACCCAGCCTGAATTCAAATCTTCTACTTACCAATAACTTACCACTAACTTACCACTACTTACCACTAACTTACCACTGCCTCCTCTCATTCACTTTATTATCTTGGTACATGTCTGTCTCTCTAACTCAACTATAAACAATTTTGAAGATATAAGGCATTTATTTTTGTGCCATAGTGACAGTCATAATTCTGTTAACGTAGATGTTTGTTAAACTAAAAAACTCTCCTTCTAATATTTGATAATAATAGTTTTATTAAATATTATTTTAACTTGATTTGAAGTCCACTAAAAGATTTATATTATCAAATAATGTTGAACATATTTTTCCGGAAGTCTCATTTTTAAAATTTACTTTAATAATAGAGATGGGGTCTTGCTATGTTGCCCAGACTGGTCTTTAACTCCTGTGGTCAAGCAGTCCTCCCACCTCAGGCTCCCAAAATGCTAAGGTTACATGTGTTGAGCCACCACGCCCAGCCCAGGAATCTCATTTTTTAAGAAGTTTGTTAGTGACTGTTAAGATGACATTATTCTGAGGTCTGGTTTAAAATGAGTCAAACTTCCTTCTTCACGAAAAGATGGAGAAAGGGATGAAATATCAATCACTCTGATACTATCCCTACCCCACCTAGTTCTTTGGAAATAAAGACTATCGTAACTTCTAGCTTAGTTGTTTGGCCAGTTTCCTTCTCCTTTCCCAGAACTATAGGCTTTGTAACCTTAGAGGGGCCTCTGTTATATGCCACTGTAAACAATAAAGAACAGCTTATGGGCTTTGTTTTTAGAATATATTTTCGGATCCACTCCAGTGAAACATGGTGCAAAACACCTTGAAAACACCATGCGGCAATGTCCACAAAACATCTTCCTAAAGAAAGGGTGCTCCTAATAACCAGATTACCCAAACAATGGGAGTGGAGGGGTGCCATGACCTTGCCATTTGAGGAAAAATGGGCACTGTAAGAATACAAGCTCTGCCTCTTTTTTTTTTTTTTTTGATTTACTCTTGTTCAGGCTGGAGTGCAATGGTGCGATCTCGGCTCACCGCATCCTCCGCCTCCCAGGTTCAAGCGATTCTCCTGCCTCAGCCTCCTGAGTAGCTGGGATTACAGGCATGTGTCACCACTCCCGGCTAATTTTGTATTTTTAGTAGAGACGGGGTTTCACCATGTTGCCCAGGCTGATCTCAAACTCCTGACCTCCAGTAACCCACCCGCCTCGGCCTCCCAAAGTGCTGGGATTAGAGGCGTGAGCCACTGCGCCTGGCCCAAACTCTGCCTCTTTTCTTCAGATCCTCTTAGTTCAATTCAGCTCAAACCTTTACTAAGCACCTAGTATATGCCACGTATGGTAAGAGACGCTGTCTATATAAAAGTGAATAGAGGCACATACTCTGCTTTTAAGTGGGAGGGAGCCAGACACAGTAATGGATACTATCTTATAGTTTCAGAGGAACAAGATCTCTCCTCCCATACCTCCCACCCACCCACTCCCCATAAGCACAGACAAGAGCTCTTTTTCCCCAAAGCAATTCAAGTAGAATAAATTACATAGAGCTTTAATAATGTATAGACACTGCAATGACTGACTGCCTTTGACTCATAATCTTCTTCATCCTATACATATTTTCTGAAAATGTCCCATATTCTTCAAATTTATCCAGCCCAACATCCAACTGTGGACCAGAAGTAAACAAGAATTCTTGATTCTTGGCCTCTTATCCCTAGGGATGAACATTAGGAATACAATGAAGATTCTCCAATTCTTTTAAATTTTGCTTTTTGAAATCCTAGAAATTCCACAAAAAGGTACTTGGACACCTTTTTTCTCAATACTTTCAAAACCCATCTCTTATTTTGTCCTTCTATTAATTTTTTGATTATGTGACTCTGTATTCTAATATGTCCTAATGCATGTTCTTTATAACACTAATTCAAAGGACACTTCAGGAAAGAAAGGTGGCAGTTGAAAAGAGAGTTCTGTAATCAAATACATTTGGAAAAGCCCACATACTACCTATCTTTAAGAGAGTCATATACATATTAATATAAAGTTGCTGTGAAGTCTTGCAATATAGAAATGTAATGAACTTCATTTATTTATTTATTTTTTTTTTTTTTTTCGAGACAGAGTCTCGCTCTGTCACCCAGGCTGGAGTGCAGTGGTTCTATCTCGGCTCACTGCAACCTCCGCCTATCGGGTTCACGCCATCCTCCTGCCTCAGCCTCCCCAGTAGCTGGGACCACAGGCGCCTGCCACCACGCCCGGCTAATTTTTTGTATTTTTAGTAGAGACGGGGTTTCACCGTGTTAGCCAGGATGGTCTCAATCTCCTGACCTTGTGATCCACCCGCCTTGGCCTCCCAAAGTGCTGGGATTACAGGCGTGAGGCACCACACCCGGCCAATGAACTTTATTTAACCCAGCAGTTCCTTGACTCACTTGGTCAAAATATTATTTGATGTTAAAACTTATGAACACCTTGATAAATTAGTTTTCATAGAAACATTTAGAAAACACTGTTGTAAATTAATACCTTTGGAATTATTTGGAAAACAGCAGAAGACTTCCATTCTCCAGAAATAAGATCATATAATTCATTCATTCAAAAAATATTTATTGAGCATCTACTATGTGCTAAGCACTTAACTCCTAGTTGTTAGTTTAAATGTCATCCAAGCCTCAGGGATCAGTTAAGCCTCTAAACGTGAAATAAAAAGAATCTCCACAGAGCTCCGTAGGTGTACCTAAAATCTCTTTTGCTATTACCACTATTATGATAATATTCACTCTTTCTAGAAACAAACCAGTTGTATTTCTTTCACTGAACCTCAATCTCACACTCTTCACCAAGTTTTTGGGTTTCTGTCTTGTCCCAAAAACATCTCAGTATGTCCTTTGGCTTCCTGTCCAGTTCTCCTATACTGAATCCTATTAATCTTCACCAAGGCCTCCAGGTATATGGAACCAGGTGTTTGAGGAGCACTGTTCACAGCTGGGTCCCTGATCCCTACTGCCAGCCCCTGTCACCAGGCCTCCATGCTAAATGACATTAATTTTCCTTCAAACCTTCGGTGATTCATCATGTGACTATGTGTGGATCCTGGGTCCTGGCCATTTCAAATTTCCTCTGTCCTACGTCAACCAAGCCCTAGCTGTAGAAAGTCTCCCTTCTCTTAGCTTCCAGAACTGTGCAGCCCTGTTTTGTATTTCCTCCTTCCTCTCTGAATACTCTCTTCTACTTCCTTTATGAACTTTATTCTTAGCTACAGTTGCTTAAATACAGTCTATACTCATGCCCAGGCCCAGGCCCTGGGCTTTTCTTTCTCTGTACGTTATCACTGGCAGCTCAGTTACTCTCAACACTTCAACTACAATAGAAAATACAATCAAATTTAAAATTTGACATATTTCATCTTTGCTGAAACTTACAAATGTGTGAAGACCACATGTGAATATTCTGAGTATGTTTTCATAAAGAGCCTGTTAGACACTTCAATAACTTCTGTATAATAATACGTACCTAGAAAATAGAAGATGATCATCATAAATACCATTTTAAGTTGATATCAAAAGTAAAAGTAGTCTTTATTTTCCATAATTATTTTGGAATACATATATCCCAAAATACCTAATATATGTTTCCTCCAAAAGATGTAAGAAGATTTTATTTCCAAGCCATCAAGCATCATCGAACACTCATCTCAAAAGACAGTAAAATAAATACTCCAAGTATCATTGTTTAACAAACGTTTTAGGTAAATCAGGAGTTAAAATTGTGTTCACATGTGATGTTAATAATTCATTGACTCACCCCTAGAACAACTTATTCTCCTTTTCAATTGAAGTAGCAGATTCTTAAGATAATAATACCTTAACTTTGTGATTTGTTCCATCCCTCAAGTACTTCCAGGCTCTCTATCCTCAATAGACATCAGTAAGAAATGAGGAGTACAAATTAGAATCTCCATTGTATTGTTTAGATATTGGGTCACGAAGGGGTTCAGTGACTTGTTCAATATCACATAGAAAAACCCCATCAGGACCTAAACTATAAAACTGCCTCCTCCTGTTCCTTCAGTACAAAGCTCTGAAAATCATCTTATAGTCTCTTATAATTATGCTTCTGATGAATAATCAAAACATCTCAGAAAAACAATAATATACAATAGAATGTACATTTCAAATGCTTCCCTATTTTATAGGCAAGGAAAAGTGAGACCCAGAAATTTTATGACTTGACCAAGTTCAGAGAGGGCTAAAAACCATTGCATAAGCAAGATCAGAGAGATGTAAAAGCCATAGTACAAAAAATTTAAACTCTGACATTTCATTTGTACCAATACTGTCAACAAAGAGAACGTGATTATGTTTTACTCTTCCTAATGTCTTCATCAGCTTCTGGAAACATTTTCTAGTTCGTTTTTAATCTCTAATGTCGAAGTCAAATGTGTCCTATAACACTTCTCAGAGCTAATTTCTGCAGAATAAAATGATGTGAGGTGAGCTATTTAATGAGGTCAATCACTTAATTTCTTGTACTATTTTGAGGTAACTGACCTAATAATGACTTTTTAAAGTCTGTCCTTTATAAGCTTCTTGCCCCTTTTTGTAGAACTATTGTTGTTAATACAGCAGTGACATCTGAAGTGAACATATGCTCATGTGTGGATAAATCCTGACAAATCAAAGAGAGTCTGCTATTCCCTTTAAAAATAAGACTACGCTTCTTATACATGATAATGCTTAAAAATCACATTGTAATAGTGATATTACACTATAATCATTATAATAGTTATTTATAATTGATATGAAATATATCTATAAATGACTATTTCCACCAGTTTCCAGATCTTGGTTGACTTTCATTTCAACTTTTCTTCAGTATATATGCATACTTATTACTTTGTTTGAATTGATAAAATCTGACTTCTAAATTTCTTTTTTTTTTTTTTAAGTGAAAGCAAGTTTATTAAGAAAGTAAAGGAATAAAGAATGGCTACTCTATAGGCAGAGCAGCCCTCAATTTCTTAACGGCTGACTGAAATATAATATAGATACAATAATGTGAGAAGAAATTATCAAATTCCTATAACAGAAATAAATGTTTTTTAAAAAACATATAATACTCCCATCTCACAAACAGCAAAAATACAAAATATAGAAATGTGGTAGTAAATTGATTAACCGGCTTTTCAACTTCTATTTTGACATATCAGTATATACATAACTAGTTTTAATGTGTATTTATTCTGCAGATTTTTAAAAGATAGAAATTTAAACATACATATGACTTCAAAGTAGTGAAAAAGGGTAGAGTCAGAGATCTGAATTCTGATCCTGATTCCACTAATCTTGCTAAGTTACTTACATCTTAGCCTCAAGTTTTTATTTATAAAAATGGTAATTATCAAGTCCACCTGGAAGGTTGCTGCAAGGATTAAATATGAGAAAAAAATTGTAGATTTTCTAGCATAGAACATGGAAAATAGTAGATATATGTTGTTTTCTTTCTCATTATGTCTGTGTGTTTATACTGCTCCCACACTACCGTATTTATTCTGCTTATATACCTGTGACTAAATTGCTATTGTGTTTGAGTGTAAATCTTGTACAAATAAGGACCCTGAACTCAGTTCTCTAGTTTCAAGCATAAAGAATGCATTTTTAGTTTGTTGTTGGTGGTGGTGGTGTTTTGGGCACAGTAGATAGACGTTATTTATTTATCATCTTCCTAAATTCCATATTGCTACGTTCATGATGTTTTTCATATCTTTGCCTTAAAATTAACTTTTTTCTTAACTTTATGACTATACTATCTCATTCAGGCATTTAACCCTATATTTTATTGCAGGCATCTCAAAACTCACATTCTGAAGCATGATACCAAATGTTTCTTCCATGATACCAAATGTTTCTTCCAGCAATTCCTCTCATGTGAAAGCTACAATAAACAACAGATCACAGGAATCCTCTGTCTGAAAAAACTAGTATGTCTTTACCTGACCTCCTCTTAAAACTCTATAAGTAATTGGAAATCATGATTCTCACTGACGTTACTGTTTACATCTTTCTTCTTTAAAAATCATGCCTGGAGCTCATGTTGTCAGAACAAGTAATCACAAATGACATCCCACCTGGAACAAGGCATTCAAGATTAGAAATTTGTTATGAGCCATAGCATCTCTTTGGGGCCCACAGATCTTTAAAACCCTACTGTGGCTCTTTTCTGGTTTCCTGGAAATGAAAGTAATCCAACCATATAATGAAACACTAGCCTATTCCATGCATATGGGAGTACTTGTCTATCCACAGTCTATCTAGTATCACATTTTTCAGATTTGCAAGTTGAAGTCTAATAGTGGTATCTTAGAAATCAGATTAGTGTGTTATAAACAGCATTTTTAAAAGTAAAGAAAAACAGAATGATATGGAATGAAATGGAACAAAACAAAATGAAATTGAAAATATCACAATACATCACATGCAAAAGGAACAAATAAAAAAATATTATTTTGGGTCAGGCTTGGTGGCTCACGCCTGTAATCTCAGCATTTTGGGAGGCCAAGGCTGGTGGATCATGAGGTCAGGAGATTGAGACCATCCTGGCTAATACGGTGAAACCCCATCTCTACTAAAAATACAAAAAATTAGCCGGGCATGGTGGCATGTGCCTGTAGTCCCAGCTACTCAGGAGGCTGAGGAATGAGAATGGCCTGAACCTGGGAGGCGGAGCTTGCAGTGAGCCAAGATTATGCCACTGCACTCCAGCCTGGGCGACAGAGCAAGACTCTGTCTCAAAAAAAAAAAAAAAAAAAAATTTATATATATATATATATATATATATATACACACACACACACACACACATACATACATATATATATAATTAAACTTTTGTTTTATTTATGTAAGAGAGAGAGAATGTATGTGTGTGAGTGTGTGTGTGAGAGAGAGAGCAAGCATACACTCCCATGTGGTGATATAAGGGGTATTTCTTATTGTGGACAATTATGATTTGAATGTTTGTGTCCCTTCCAAAATCCACATTAAAACGTAATCACCAAGGCGACAGTATTAGAAAGTGGCACCTGCAGGAGACGATTAGGTCATGAGGGCTCCACCCTTGGGAACTGAATGAATGCATTATAAAGGAGGATTCACACAGTGCTTGCCCCTTTTTGCTCATCTGAATTCTGTCATGTGAGGATGCAGATGAGAGAAGCTGCCATCAATGGAACAGGCCCTCATAAGACACCAAAACTACCAGCACCTTGATCTTGAACTTTCCAGCCTCCAGAACTATGGGAATAAATTCTGTTCTTTATAAATTACTCAGTTTCAGGTATTTTGTTACAGCAGCACAAACAGACTAACACATGAACCATAGTGAAAAATCTTTGAAAGTCATTAAACTGGTATAGTGGGCACATAGATATGTGATATAGATTGGCCACTCAGGTGTTACTTCAAGTAAAGGCTTGTTATCCAGTTGCTGAAAATGCTGTCATCAGACACCATTAACTATCAGCCCCTTTGCGGGGGGATTGCCTCTGTTGCAGAGAGTCACCATGCACCTTGCTTAAGGTCTTGCCTTTCCTACGCTGTCCCAGACTAACCACTGACATGGGAGGAAAGAGACTAGACTATTTCACTCCAAGCCACAGCAACACTGAAAGACTCTGTTCATTTCATAGCTCCTGTGGGGTCAACCAAGGCATTTGTTCAGGTCTGCATAGCAGTTCTCCCTCTACCCCAGTCCTGTTTTCTTCTTCTCCCACAGATTTAGATCCCAAGGCACTTCCTAATAAACATCTGCTTCCCAGAGAACTCACTTGTGCTATGTAGCTGAAGGAGTAACAAGTTTTATTGGCCAAGTCAGCTGAAAAGGCCAACTATAAAATAAGCAAACATCTTTACATAAAATAAAGTGCCCTTCAAGCTAGCAACAGTGTGTTGAAAAACAAAAATAAATAAATAAACAAAATATAGTGCTCGATTTTCAATGGAACTGCAAATTAAAAGGTTAATATTAGGACCATACTCTGTTTATCCTATTGGTTATTGATACGTTTGATCAAAATGAGCATATCTTCTCCTTAACGACGGTTAGTTGGTTATCATTTTTCCCTTCAACTTGCATAGGTGTCCTGTCTCCAGTGAAGTTTGCCAAAATAGCTCAGAATTGTCCTTCATTTCTTCTGTCAGCTCTTTTTGCATTCATCCCACCGTAGCAGCTATTGGGCTAGTCTTGCTAACCTTTGTCTTACAAATATGCTTACTTCAAAGCCTCAGAGAAACAATGAAAAAACCATTAATGCCATCCATAGGAGGTGAGGGCTGAGAGTTGGGGGGTAGGTAAAGGATATTAGTAGTGAACCCTGTTCAAATTATTCAAATTATTTGTTTAATACAAACTGTTTAACACTAAGGCTGTGTTCTCTGGAACAATCATATCAAATTCTAATAGCATATAAAATGAAATATTAGCTTTTTTTTCTAGAATATAAATATTGGCAACAGAGCCTGATTCAATCATTCTGATTGATTTGGTCAGATCAGTAAAAAAAGAAAAGAATCCATTGATTGATTTTGGTTCTTTTATTTCTTTTAATTAAAATGTTTTTTATCCTGCTATTCCATAGGATATTTCTTTTTTTTTCTCTCTCTCTCTCTCTTTTTTTTTTTTTTTTTTTTTTTTTTGAGACAGTTTTGCTCTTGTTGCCCAGGCTGGAGTGCAACGGCACAATCTTGGCTCACTGCAACCTCCACCTCCCAAGTTCAACCAATTCTCTTGCCTCAGCCTCCCGCGTAGCTGGGATTACAGGCATGTGCCACCATGCCTGGCTAATTTTGTAGTTTTAGTAGAGACGGGCTTTCTCCATGTTGGTCAGGCTGGTCTCAAATTTCCGACCTCGGCTGATCCGCCCGCCTCGGCCTCCCAGAGTGATGGGATTACAGGCGTGAGCCACAATGCCCGGCCTCCATCGGATATTTCTAACATCTTGAAACTCTGAGACCCCACGTCACCCTGCCCATTTATTTTTTTCCTCAAATATATTTTGGGTATGTGTTCTCTAGATAGGAAGCAATGGTGGTAGGTGGATCAAATGTAAGGGGAAACTTTTTTTTTTTTTAACAAAAAACAGAGAAAGTCAAAGAATTAGCAGTAAAGTTCCCAAGTAAGTACATGTAAACTTTGTGAGAATGTCGAAGGAGTTTGAACCAGAGTGACTCTATCCTGAATAGGAGCTGGGTAAAATAAGCCTGAGACCTACTGTACTGCATCCCTAGGAGGTTTGTCATTCTTAGTCACAGGAAGAAATAGGAAGTTGGCACAAGGTACAGGTCAAAAGACCTTGCTGATGAAATGATGCTGTAAAGAAGGGAGCCAAAACCCACCAAAACCAAGATGGCGATCAAAGTGATTGCTGGTCATCCTCACTGCTCATTATACACTAAATATAATGCATTTTCATGCCAAAAGACACTCCCACCAGCGCCATGACAGTTTACAAATCCCACGGCCACGTCAGGAAGTTACCCAATATGGTCTGAAAAGGGGAGGAACTCTTAGTTCTGGGAATTGCCCACGTCTTTCCGGGAAAACTCATGAATAATCCACCCCTTGTTTAGTATATTAACAAGAAATAACCATAAAAACAGCCAACCAGCAATCCTCGGGGCTGCTCTGCCTAGGGAGTAGCCATTCTTTATTTCTTTACTTTCCTAATAAACTTGCTTTCACTTTACTCTATGGATTCGCATCAAATTCTTTCTTGCGCAATATCCAAGGACCCTCTCTTGGGGTCTGGATCAGGACCCATTTCCGGTAAAGAGAATACACATTTAGCTCTTCAATTGAATATGATCATTGTATAAATTCCAGCAAAGATTAGTATGCTTGTGTTTCTTTCCATTTTATTTCCAAGGAAAAATAATGGACATTTACTGTTCCCGTTTTTTTCTTTAATTAAACAAAGTTAAATATAAAAAAAGATTGATAAGTAGCAGTCAATCTATTTACAAAATTAGGTTTATTTTCTTCCATTCTTGGAATACACTAAGAGAGAAGATGGAACATCAGGTGGTTTTGAATAAGGGGAACAGGTTAACAAGCTTTGACCCAAGGCCCCTGCTACAATATGAATGAATTGGAGGAAAGAGCTGCACTCTAGGGTTTCTTAATAAATGGATGCAGTGATTCTGTGTGACCTGGCATTCAAAGTGTCTCCATCGATTTCTTTGTTTCTCCTGCTTTTTCTATGCTGGGAATGTTTCTTTCAAAGTACAAATTTCAGGTCACTCTAACTTGCAAAGAGGGAAGTGTTGAAGGATTCACTTAACATAGTATACCTCTAGAGTCTCAAATATTAACGCAAAAAGAATGTGACAATCTAAGCTAAAATCAAATAATTCAGCCATGTTAATTGTAATTACACTGTGTGAAATAATGATGTCATGTCAATAAATGATAAAACATTCACACATTGGCATCTATGAAAGGAAGCATTATAGACTCAGATAAACTCATGAAAAAAAATTTTTCTGATTGGGCGTGGTGGCTCACACCCGTAATCCCGGCACTTTGGGAGGCCAAGGTGGGTGGATCACAAGGTCAGTTCAAGACCAGCCAGACCAACAGGATGAAACCCTGTCTTTACTAAAAATACAAAAATTAGCCAGGCGTGGTGGCACATGCCTGTAATCCCAGCTACTCAGGAGGCTGAGGCAGGAGAATAATTTGAACTTGGGAGGCGGAGGTTGCAGTGAGCCGAGATTGTACCACTGCACTCCAGACTGGGCGACAGAGCAAGACTACATCTCAAAGAAAAAAATATATATATATTTTCTGTCATACTTTAATTTTGAGACATTTTGGCACTAGTACTTGTGTAGAGTTATTATTCTAGCTTTTGGTAACATTTACAGTTTTTCTACATGATTTCTGGATGCCATTCCTCAAAGTCTTTCAGTGGGTTTCTTTAAATGGTTTCTAAACAGTTTAAATTAACCATCTCTCCAAGACAGAAGAGTTTAATCCTTCTCTAATTATATGACCTGATTGTGAACTGTGAAAGCTAAATGATATTAATTAGTAGGACAGTCTGGGAATAAAAGGGCAGAAGAAAAGGCTTTGTTATTAAGCCTTTCATCCCCTATTAGTCACTTTCCTGTGAATAATTTAATTTGTCTCTGTAAAGGAATTTTCAAAGTATGTGGATTTCTCACTTTTCCACTTCTTTAAATAGTAAGCATAATCCAGTCTAGATCATTTTGATTCTCCCTGTTGCTAAAGAATAAAAAAGTAGACGTTCTCAATAACATTATGGCAGCTTTTTATTTACATAGTATTACAACATTGTTTAGTTTAGGAAAGATATCATGAAAGAGTGTCTTCATTTTCTGTTAGTGCGTAACAAATTATGCCAAATCCTAACAGCTTAAACAATAAACTCCTATTACTTCACCCATTTTCTCCAGGTCAGAAATCCAGAAGTGTCATAGAGACATACTTCCGAGACATTGAGGGTTCAGTTCCAGACCACCACAATAAAGCAAATATCACAATAAAGCAAGACACACAATTTTTTTGTTACCCAGTGTATATAAATGTTACATTTACACTATACTGTAGTCTAAGTGTGCAGTAGTATTATGTCTAAAAAATGTACTACTTTAATTTATAAATACTTTATTGCATAAAAATGCTAACAATCATTTAAATCCTTAGGCAAGTCATAATCATTTTGCTGGTGGAGGATCCTGCTTTGATGTTGGTGGCTGCTGACTGATCAGGGTAGTGGTTGCTGAAGGCTGGGGTGGCTGTGGCCAATTCTGAAAATAAGGCCACAATGAAGTTTGTCCCATCAATTGACCCTTCCTTTCATGAAAGATTTCTCTATAGCATGTGATACTTTTTGATAGCATTTTATTCACAATGGAACTTTTTCAAAATTGGAATCAATCCTCTCAAACCCTGCAAGTGCTTTGTTAATTCGGTTTTGGTAATATTCTAAATCCTTTGTTGTCATTGTCATTTCAACAATGTTCACAGCACTGTCACCAGGAGTAGATTCTATCTGAAGAAAAACCGCTTTATTTGCTTATGCAGAAGAAGTAACTCCTTATCTATCCTTTTTTTTTTTTTTTCTGTCTTTCTTTTAGACAGGGTCTTGCTCTGTCACCCAGACTGGAGGGCAGTCGCGCGATCTTGGCTCATTGCAACCTCCGCCTCCTGGGTTCAAGCAATTCTCCTGCCTCAGCCTCCTGAGTAGCTGGGACTACAGGCATGCACCACCACGCCTGGCTAATTTTTGTATTTTTAGTAGAGACGGGGTTTCGCTACGTTGGCCAGGCTGGTCTCAAACTCCTGACCTCAAGTGATCCACCTGCCTCGGCCTCCTGAAGTGCTGGGATTACAGGTGTGAGCCACAGTGCTTAGCTATCTGTTCATTTTTTTATCATGAGATTTCAGCAATTCAGTCACATCTTCAAACTCCACTTCTAATTCTAGTTCTCTTGCTATTTCCACCACATTTGCTATGACTTCCTCCCCGAGGTCATGAGCCCCTCCAAATCATCCTTGAGGATTGGAATCAACTTCTTCCAAAATCCTGTTAATATTGCTATTTGGATCTCCCCCCTTGAATCAAGAATGTTCTTAATGGCATCTAGAATAGTGAATTCTTTCCAGAAGGTTTTCAATGTACTTTGCCCAGATCCATCACTATCTATGTAGCTATAGCCTTACAAAATATATTTCTTAAATAAGACCTGAAAATTGAAATTATTCCTTGATTCATGGGCGCAGAATGGATGTTGTGTTAGCAGGTATAAAAACATTAATCTTTTTGTACAACTCCATCACAGCTCCTATATGACAAGGTCTATTGTCAATAAGCAGTAATATTTTGAAAGGAATTTTTTTTCTGAGCAGTAGATACCAATAATGAGCTTAAAATGTTATTTAAACCGTGCTGTAAACAGATGTGCTGTCGTCCAGGCTCTGTTCTTCAATTTCTAGAGCACAAGCAGAGTAGATTTAGCATAAATCCTAAGGGCCCTAGGATTTTCAGAATGGCAAATGATTTTCAGAATGGCTTCAACTTAAAGTTTCAAGCTATGTTAGCCCCCAACAAGAGAGTCAGCCTGTCCTTTGAAGCTTTAAAGCCAGGAGTTGTCTTCTCTCTAGCTACGGAAGGCCTAGATGACATCTTTTTCCAAAGAAGGCTGTTTGGGCTACATTGAATATCTGTTGTTTAGTGTAGTCACCTTCATCAATTATCTTAGATACGGAAACCTTGCTCCAACTTTTACATCAACACTTGCTCCAACTTTTACATCAACACCTTGCCCTTTTATGTTATGACTTCTTTCCTTAAACCACATTAACCAACGCCTGGTAGCTTCTAATTTTTCTTCCGTGGCTCCCTCACCTCTCTTAGCCTTTACAGAATTAAATAGAGTTAAGGCCTTCTTCCAGAATAGGTTTTGGCTTAAGGGAATGCCACGCTGGTTTAATCTTCTACATAGACCACTAAAACTTTCTCCAAACGTACAATAAGGCTATTTCACTTTCTTATCATTTGTGTGTTCACTAGAGTAGCACTTTTCATTTCCTTCAAGAACTTTTCCTTTGCATTCACAACTTGGCTGTTTGGAGTAAAAGACATTGCTTTTGGCCTATCTTGGCTTTCAACATACTTTCTCCATCATTAGCTTAATCATTTCTAGCTTCTGATTTAAGGTGAAAGACATGCAACTCTTCCTTTCACTTGAACACTGGGAGGCCATTGTAGTGTTATTAATTGGCCTAATTTCAATATTGTTGTATCTCAGGGGTAGAGAGGAGAGGAAGACATGGGGGAATGGCTGGTTGGTGGAGCAATCAGAACACGCACAACACCTACTAATTAAGTTTGCTATCTTATATGACCATGGTGTGTGGCACCCCAAAACAATTACAATAGTAACATCAAAGATCACTGAAAACAGATCACCATAACATATATAATAATGATGAAAATGTTTGAGATATTACGGACATTACCAAAATGTGACACAGACCTGAAATAAGCACATGCTATTGGAAAAATGGCACTGATCAATTTGCTGGAAACAGAATTGCCACGAACCTTTTAACTTACATAAAACACAAGATCTGCAAAGCCCAACAAAGCAAAGCACAATAAAATGAGGCATGCCTGGCTGGGCACCACGGCTCACGCCTGTAATCCCAGCACTTTGGGAGGCCAAGGCGGGTGGATCACCTGAGTTCGGGAGTTCGAGAACAGCCTGACCAACATGGAGAAACCACATCTCTACTAAAAATACAAAAGTAGCCGGGCATGGTGGTGCACACCTGTAATCCCAGCTACTCGGGAGGCTAAGGCAGGAGCATCACTTGAACCCGGGAGGCAGAGGTTGCGGTGAGCCGAGATCGTGCCATTGCACTCCAGCCTGGGCAATAAGAGTGAAACTCCATCTCAAAAAAAAAAAAAAAAAAAAAAAAAGAGGCATGCCTATTTCTGAGTGGTTCTGGCTCAGGGTCTCTTACAAGGTTACAGTGAAGCAATGGCCCAAGGCTTCATCTCAAGACTCCAATGAGGCTGAAGGATCTATTTCCAAGATGGGTCACTCATAAGGCTATTGGAAGAAGACCTGAGCTCCTCACCATATGAACCTTTCCATAGGGCTGCTTAATTGTCCTCAAGACATGGAAGCTAATTTCTCCCAGAGTGAGATTATAAAAAGGGTAGATAATATATGTTATGACTCTAGCTCTGAACACCATATACCATCATTTCTGTCTTATTCTCTTCGTGAGAAGCAAGTTAGTTAGTCCAACCCATACTCAGCAGAACTATTAGGTTCTGCCTTTTGAATTTATGGTCATATGTTAAAACCATCACAGAGAGGAATCCTATGTGTAAGTCAGCTATTTCAGTAATTTCATACATAATATCTGGAATCTCTATCCAATAAAAATCACCTCTCAAAAGAGTAAATGAGTTATCCTGCTATAAAAGAAGAAGGAAATCCTGTCAAATGTGACAACATGGATAAACCTTGATGCCTTTATACTAAGTGCAATAAGCCAATCGCAGAAGGAGAACTACTGCAGGATTCCATCTACATGAGGTATTGAAAGTAAACAGACTCATAGACACAGAAGATAAAATGGTGGTTACCAGAGGCTGGGAGGAGGGTAAAATGGGAAGTTGCTAATTCAGTGGGTATAAAGTTTCAGTTATGCAGGATGAATAAATTCTACAGACCATTTGTACAACATTGTGCTCACAGTTAACAATACTGTACTGTACACTTAAAAAATGTTAAGAGAGTAGATGTCAGGTTATGTGCTCTTCCCAACACAAAACATTACCTAATTAGATGATTCACAATGACAAGTTACTCAAGGTGATTTTCCTATAGTTAATAGAGCTACAAGTAACTTGTCTCATGTGTTAGAACTTCAGATGAATAACATTTTTGAAAATTTTAAATTAAAAGTATTAACTGGACCTAACAATCTTGAACTTGACATAAATATTTTCTCATGAAAATTCTATCATATAGTCATTTTTACAAGGCAAATGTATAAGGAATAACCACATCTTATAAGGAATTACCACAAACTTAGTGGTATAAGGAATTACCACAAACTTAGTGGCTTAAAAAAACAAAGATCTATTATTTTACATTCTGAGAAGCCAGAAGTATAAAGTAGGTCCATAGGTCTGTGTTCCTTCTGGCAGCTCTTGGAGACAATCTGTTTCCTTGTCATTTCCACCTTCCAGAGGGCACCTACATTATTTTGCTTGTGACCCCTTCCTCCATATGTAAAGCATCTTCTGTCCTGTCTCACCTCCCACCTCCCTTTTATAAGGACACTGTGATTGCATCAGGTCCACCCAGAAAATCCTTCTATTTTAGAATCCTTACTGTAGTAACATTTGCAATGTTCCTTTTGTCTTGCAAGGTAATATATGCACAGATGTCTTGAATTAGGACATGAACACCTTTTGAGGGGAGGAAGCACTATTCTGTGTACCACAAATAGTTTTAAGAGAATCTCAGAGTGAATTCAATTGTGGAAAATACCCTGACAGACTTAGTTAACATCATGTAAACAAGACTAATATGAATTTTACTGATGTTAACACAGAAGCAATTACCAAAATGATTAGTTTCATATACTGGGATCACATTTGGCCATCTTTTCCCAAATTAATCCCCATGAGGCCGATAAATCACACTTGTCTTCAATACTTGTTTACAATTGATTTATTAGATAAACTAGGATTGGAGCCTGAAATATGTCCAGCTAATTCACTCAAAACATCAGTTTCAGCAGGGCGCCATGGCTCACACCTGTAATCCCAGCACTTTGGAAGGCCGAGACAGGCGGATCACGAGGTCAGCAGTTCGAGACCAGCCTGGCCAATATGGTGAAACCGCGTCTCTACTAAAAATACAAAAATTAGCCAGGCGTGGTGGTGGGCGCCTGTAATCCCAGCTACTCCGGAGGCTGAGGCAGGAGAATTGCTTGAACCTGGGAGGCAGATGTTGCAGTGAGCCGAGATTGAGCCACTGCACTCCAGCCTGGGTGACAGAGCAAGACTCTGTCTAAACAAAAAAACAAAAACAAAAACAAAAACACATCAGTTTCTTTCCCCAGTGGCTCCGATCCCACACTCTCATCTCAGCCGCCTCACAAATGATAAGGAAATACAAACTGCTTTGAGAAATGTTCATTTTGAAATACATGAAGTCTGCCCAAAAAAACCCCAATTTCTTTGAAACTGGAAAACAGCTTTCCATACACATAACATCACAGAACTTATAGAATGTGGTGGGACCTAGGAAATTTTTAAATGATACAGTTATTTTCCACACTCCCTATCCACCTCATTCTCCCTATTTTATCTATGAAGATTCTAAGGATCAGAGAGGTTACTATGGTTTTAATCTCTTAGTAGAGCTAGTAAGTGGCGGAGCCTGGCCTACTGGGTAGTTCTCCAGACTCCTGATTCATTGTATTTTATCACATGCCCAGATCTTTTTAAAAATGCAATGTGTGTAAAGGTTATTGATAGGATGGGGCAATGGTAGGAATAACTGACATGCATAGAGGACTTAACATGTGCCAGTTTCTGTGAGAAGCACCTTTATCCCCTCTATATATTTTACTTCAACAGTAAGGGCCGGGCGCTGTGGCTCACACCTGTAATCCCAGCACTTTGGGAGGCCGAGGCGGGAGGATCACGAGGTCAGGAGTTCAAGGCCAGCCTGGCC